>NC_000010.11:69120368-70370368 GCF_000001405.40 Homo sapiens | reverse complement strand
TTTGGACCCTGTGCTCCTGTCTGGTGAACTATCATCTGTGTAATCCTGGGTCGCAGGGCTGTGTCCTCTGGAGGGGTCGTGATTGCTTTGGTCAGGTGCCTGAGTGTGACCAGCCTAGAAGCACGTCTTCTGTTAATGTCTCAGCCCTGAGGGCTTCTGTATATGAATTAAGGGCTGTGAATATTCAAATCCTAAGTATTAACAGGTCTGTGATTTCAGAATCTTAGTGGAGATTTTTGTTTTTTAACAATTCAGTGCCCAGGCAAAGACTAAACTGCTTGTTGTCTTATCAGGTAGTAGATTTTTATTATTTTATTATTTTTTATTATCAAGTAGTAGATTTGGCTCATTAGAGCCTCCACTTCTCAGGTTCAAGTGATTCTCCTGCCTCAGCTATCCCCAAAAATTAGCTGGGCACCTGCCACCATGCCCAGCTAACTTTTGTATATTTAGCAGAGATGGGGTTTCGCCATGTTGCCCAGGCTGGTCTCGAACTCCTGACCTCAAGTGATCCACCTGTTTCGGTCTCCCAAAGTGCTGGGATTCAGATTCTCTATTTTTGATCTTTTGGACTTGCCCTTATTAAATGCCAGGCATCGTGGTAAACAGTTTGCTGGTTTTAACTCATTTAATTCCCCATGACAACCCTATGACAAAGGTGATGTTAATACTCCCATTTTACAGATGAGGAAAGAAAGGTGTGAGAAACATCTTTTATCCAGTGTGTATGTATGGTTTTTTTTTTTTTTTTTTTTTTTTTTTTGAGACAGCGTCTTACTCTGTCACCCAGGCGCTGGAGTGCAGTGACACCATCTCGGCTCACGGCAATCTCTGCCTCCCAGGTTCAAGTATTTTATCTGATGTTTTTAAGTGTTTTGTTGTACAAGGGTATTCAACTTCCCTCCTCTCCTGCTTTGCTTTTGCAGTAGTTTTCCTCTGTTTTATAGCTGCTGGAGCTAGGCTGAGTGTAGGTGACCTGCTGGTGACACAGCTGTTTGGAGTGGGAGCAGAGTTCATAGGTCAGCCTAGGGCACAGCCCTGCTTTTCCCCATCCACCCTGCTGCCTGCCCCGAGGGATGGGGGTGGGGATGAGGAGGAGGGCTGAGAGAACTAAGCGAGGCCAATGATGTGAACCTCCCTCTTCCCGCCTTCTCCCACCCACACACCTGCCTCTCCTCCCAGGTCTTCTTGGAACCACAGTGAGCCCACCCTGTTCCTTGAAAAGGAGGAAAAAAAGCAGAGGTGAACATCTACCTTTGTATTTAAGATTTACATCATTGTTAGGCTGTCTTGAGTTAAAGAAACAATGGGGACAGCCCCCATGGACTGCTTTCATGGGCAAATGTCCCTCTGTCAGTTCCTTCACTCCTGCAGGATTTTCTGAAGGGTAGGTCCTGGGTAACCAACATCAGGATTGTAGGAGTACTGGTTAAAAATGCAGATTCAGGCCGGGCACGGTAGCTCACACCTGTAATCCTAGAACTTTGGGACGCTGAGGCGGGCAGATTGCCTGAGGCCAGGAGTTCGAGACCAGCCTGGGCAACACGGTGAAACCCCATCTCTACTAAAATACAAAAACTTAGCTAGGCGTGGTGGCATGCACCTGTAGTCCCAGCTACTCAGGAGGCTGAGGCAGGAGAATTGCTTGAATCTGGGAGGCGGAGGTTGCACAGTGAGCTGAGATCATGCCACTGCACTCCAGCCTAGGTGACAGAGCAAGACTCAGTCCCCCCTGCCGCCAAAAATAAATAAAAATAAAACCTCAGTTCATTTCAGAAAAAAAATGCAGATTCAGGCTGGGCGCGGTGGCTGATGCCTGTAATCCTTGTGGTGGGTAGATCACTTGAGGTCAGGAGTTCAACACCAGCCTGGCCAACATGGTGAAAACTGTCTCTACTAAAAATGCAAAAATGGCCGGGCGCGGTGGCTCACCCCTGTAATCCCAGCACTTTAGGAGGCCGAGGCAGGCGGATCACGAGGTCAGGAGATCAAGACCATCCTGGCTAACACAGTGAAACCCCATCTGTACTAAAAATACAAAAAATTAGCCGGGCGTGGTGGTGGGCGCCTGTAGTCCCAGCTACTTGGGAGGCTGAGGCAGGAGAATCATTTGAACCCGGGAGGCGCATCTTGCAGTAAGCTGAGATTGTGCCACTGCACTTCAGCCTGGGCGACAGAGTGAGACTCCGTTTCAAAAAAAAAAAAAAAAAAGCAAAAATTAGCCAGGCATGGTGATGCATGCCTGTAGTCTCAGCTACTTGAGAGGCTGAAGCTGGAGAATCTCTTCAACCTGGGAGGTGGAGGTTGCAGTGAGCCAAGATTGTGCTACTGCACTCCAGCCTGGGTGACAGAGCGAGACTCCATCTCAAAAAATAACATAACATAACATAACATAACATAACATAACATAGGCAGATTTATGGGCAATACTCCAGAGCTGTGAAAATAGAATCTGTGAGGGCGGGGGCTGGTAGTGTGGATTTTAGCAGGCCTCCCAGATGATTCTGCCATGCCTTGATCTTATGTATTTTATTGTTATAATTTATATATATAAAATTTACCCTTTTTAGTATATAGTTGAGTTCTGACAAACATATGTTTTTATAACCAACCACAACAAGACTCAGAACCTTTTTATCACCTCATGCTCCCCTGCAGCCAAACCCTCCCCATCCCTGGTACCTGGGAGTCACTGATCTCTTTTCCATCGCTGTGGTTTTGCCTTTTCTAGGATATCATGGAAATGGAATGATAGAGTAAATAAGCTCTTGAGCCTGGCTTCTTTCACTTTAGCATCACGTGTTTGCGATTCATCCATGTTTGGTGGGAATCAGTAGTTTGTTCCTTTCACTGCTGAACAGCTTTACATGGTGTGGGTGTTCCATGATCCGTTTATCCTTTCATCTGCTGAAGGACATTTGGACTGTTTCATTTTTTAACATCACGAACAAAGCCTGTAAACATTTGCATACAGGTTTTGCTGTGAAGCAAAGTTTTCTTTTTCTTTTTCTTTTTCTTTTCTTTCTTTTTTTTTTTTTTTGAGACCGGGTCTCACTCTTTTGCCCAGGCTAGAGTGCAGTGCAGTGGTATGATCTTGGCTCACTGCAGCCTCCGCCCCCTGGGCTCAAGCGTCCTCCCACCTCAGCCTCCTGACTAGCTAGGACTACATGTGTGCACCACTGTACCTGGCTAATTTTTGTATTTTTTGTAGAGATGGGGTCTCCCTGTGTTGGCGAGGCTGGTCTCAAACTCCTGGGCTCAAGCATTCCTCCTGCCTCAGCCTCCCAAAGTGCTGGGGTTATGGGCACAAACCACGGCATCTGGTCAGTAAAGTTTTCATTTCTCTCAGATAAATACATAGGAGTAGGATTGCTGGGTTGTACAGTTGTCCCTCCATATCTGAGGGGATTGGTTCCGGGAGCCCCACAGATACCAATATTCAAGGATACTCAAGTCCTTTGTATAAAGTGCTATAGTATTTGCATCTAACCTACACACATCCTTTTGTATACTTTAAATCATTTCTAGATTACTTATAGTACATAATACAATGTAAATGCTATGTAAATAGTTGTATTGCTTTTTAAAATTTGTATTATTTATTTATTTTCAAATATTTTCTGTGTTTGGTTGAATTTGTGGGTACAAAACCCACAGGTATAGAGAGCCAACTCTATATATTAAGTATATGTTTGACTATAAAAAACTACCACACTCTTTTCCAAAGAGATTGAGAGCTCCAATTGCTTCACATCCTTTTCAACACTCGGTATGTTTTTTACTTGTATACATTCTCTAGGGTGTAATGTATCTCATTGTAGTTTGATTTATTTTTTCTTTTTTTATAGTATTAAGAGGTGTATCATTGTAGTTTTAATTTACAGTTCTCTGATGATGAGTGATATTGAACATCTTTTATTTTTATTTTATTTTATTTTTTTTTTGAGACAGAGTTTCACTTCTTGTCACCCAGGCTGGAGTACAGTGGCACAATCTCAGCTCACTGAAACCTCCGCCTCCCAGGTTCAAGTGATTCTCCTGCCTCAGCCTCCCGAGCAGCTGGGATTACAGGCGCCTGCCACCATGCCTGGTTAATTTTTATATTTTTAGTAGAGACGGGGTTTCACTATGTTGGCCAGGCTGGTCTTGAACTCCTGACCTCAGGTGATCTGCCTGCCTCAGCCTCCCAAAGTGCTGGGACTACAGGCATGAGCCACGTTCCTGGCCGACGTTGTACAACTTTTCATGTGCTTGTTGGCTATCCATTCGTTTTTTGTTGTTGTTTTTTTTTTTTTTTTTGAGCTGGAGTCTTGCTCTGTCACCCAGGCTGGAGTGCAGTGGCACAATCTCGGCTCACTGCAGGCTCTACCTCCCGGTGTTCACGCCATTCTCCTGCCTCAGCCTCCTGAGTAGCTGGGACTACACGCGCCTGCCACCTCGCCCAGCTAATTTTTTGTATTTTTAGTAGAGAGGGGTTTCACCGTGTTAGCCAGGATGGTCTCGATCTCCTGACCTCGTGATCCGCCCGCCTCGGCCTCCCAAAATGCTGGGATTACAGGCGTGAGCCACCACACCCGGCCTATCCATTCGTTTTTGATTAAATCTCTATTCGAATCTTTTGCCCATTAAAAAACATTGGGTTTTCTTTCTTTTTAGTTTTGTTTTTTCGAGGTGGGGTCTTGGTATGTTGCCCAGGCTGGAGTGCAGTGCTGTTCACAGGCACAATCATTGCACACTGTAGCCTGGAACTCCTGGGCTCAAGAGATCCTCCTATTTCAGCTTCCAGAGTAGCTGGAACTACAAGTGCATGCCACCTGCCTGGCTCACATTTTTAATTTTGATGAAATTTAATTTATCGTTTTATCTTTTATACATGATACTTTTGGTATTGTATGTGAGAAGTCTTTGCCTAACCCAAGGTCAAGAAGATTTTCTCCTATCAGGATCATTTGGTTATTGGTTAAGCATGCAGATCCACGGACCCTATTCTAGAGCTTTAAAAGTTGAATCTCGCCGGGCGCGGTGGCTCGCGCCTGTAATCCCAGAACTTTGGGAGGCCGAGGTGGGTGGATCACGAGGTCAGGAGTCCGAGACCAGCCTGACCAACATGGTGAAACCCCGTCTCTGCTAAAAATACAAAAATTAGCTGGGCTTGGTGGCACACGCCTGTAATCCCAGCTACTCGGGAGGCGGAGGCAGGAGAATCTCTTGAACCTGGGAGGCGGAGGTTGCAGTGAGCTGAGATGGTGCCACTGCACTCCAGCCTGGGCGGCAGAGCAAGACTTCATCTCAAAAAAAAAAAAAAAAAAAAAAAAGTTGAATCTCAGAGAGGACCTGGTGATCTGAATTTTAACATGAACTGTGTCTGATTCTTCTTTGCCTTGAATTTTGAGAATCACTGGCTTACTGTTTGCAATTTGGAGCTTCCTGTCCTGATGGCTGCTGCGGGGTGGGGCAGGGGCATTGCCTGGCAGGGTTCTGGATGTGCATGTGGGAGATGATGAATAAATACGGACATGGATGTGATGTGCTCCTGGGGAGGGACCTGAGCAGCTAGGCTGGGAGCTGTGGAATCAAACAGGGAGACCAAGGCTAGCGCGAGGGGTGTGTCCACCTTTCGTCCCTCCCGGGCCCACCTGCGCTTTGGCTGAGCGCTTGCTTCTTTCTGTACTAGCCAGCAGATGGCGCCCTGTCACAGGCCAAGCCAAGGACCGGAAGCCGAGCCCAGGGACCTGGCCAGGCTGTTGCTGGGTGAGCTGTTGCTGGGTGTTCTGACCAAGGCTTCCACTCCCTTCTTGTGTTTATGTTCCTGTCCAACCCCTGCAGGGACCTGATGTTGCAACCCCTTTTCTGAACAAGAGTACTCAGGAAACACTTAATAGATACCCACTGAATCACAACATTTTCTTCGTTCAGAAATTGCCACTGGCTCCTCTTTCAAAAAACACACTTTGAGCAGCTGCTGTGTGTGCCCTGCCTGGAGGGCAATGCATGTGCCCGGGAGTGCCCAGTCTGGAGGGGAGGCAGACATCGCTCTAGCACACTCTTACACTGAAAGGGGGCTGCCAGGGACTGGAGTGGGAGCTGCTTTTCTGGCCTGGTGGGGTGGTGATCTTGGCCCTCACCAGGGCTTGTTGGCCTGTAGTTCCTGGCCCAGAGCTGAGGCCGGCATCTGGTAGGGGTGAGGGGAGTGTGTTTTGCTGTGATGTTTCCTGGCCTGGCGAGTCCTGAGGGTCAGCCTGGCACAGTCCAGCTCTGAGAGCATGGGGGAGGGACTGCGTTCTCACACAGCAGCTCCCAGATGGCTGGGGCTGCCTGGCTTTGTTTGCCACAAGGGCTGAGGCCTCAGATCTGCCATCCTTGGCTCTCTGCCTCTCGCAGGAAGCAGGTGGGAGTTTACCAGGGAGGAGAGGGGGCTGGAGGTCCCCACTGCAGGGTCTGTGCTGCTCTCCCAGGGGGACTGAGCTCCTCTGTAAGGAGACAGACCTTTCCCAACTCTGCCTCCTCTGTGGTGTGCTGTGTTGGGGGTTGACTTGGAGCCTTCTGCCTAGCATGCCACCTCTAGACTTGCTCTGTCTGGATTGGGGCTCCTGGGAGGCTAAGAAAGACCCTTCTCCCTCTTCTCCTGTGCCCCCTGGGGAGGGCTTTCTTCCCTTGAGGGCTCTGCACCTATTTGAAAGGAAGGCTTTGTATCCCTGGGTGGGCACTTCTCTGTCTTGACACCTTTGGTTTTTGAGCTGGATAATTCTTTGTTCTGGGGAGCTGTCCTGTGCTTGGTAAGATGTTTAGCAACATCCTAGCCTCTACCCACTTGAGGCAAGATGCCTTAGTTCATTCAGGCTTCCATAGCAAAATATGAACAGCAGAGATTTATTTCTCACAATTCTGGAGGCTGGGAAGTCCAAGATCAAGGCACTGGCAGGCTCAGTGTTTGGTGCAGGTCTGCTTCCTGGTTCATTAACAGATGTTTCTCACCATGTCCTCCGTGGGTGGGGGGCCAGGGAGAGACTTTTCTGGGGTTTCTTCCTTCCTCCCTTCCTCTCTCTTTTTCCTTCCTTCCTTCCTTGAGAGAATGTTCTGGGGTTTCTTCTCCCCTCCCCTCCCCTTCCCTCCCCTCCACCCTTCCCTCCCTTTGCCCAGGCTGGAGTGCAGTGGCTCAAACTCTTAGGCTAAAATGATCCTCCTGACTCAGCCTCTCGAGTAGCTGGGACTACAGGCACACATCACCATGCCTGGCTAATTTAAAATTTTTTTTTTTTTTAATAGAGATAAGTCTCACCATCTTGCCCAGACTAGTCTCGAACTCCTGGGCTCAAGTGATCCTCCCATCTCAGCCTCCCGAAATCTTGAGATTATAGGTGTTACAGGTTTGAACCACTGCACTGGCCTGGGGGTCTCTTTCATAAGGACACTAATCCTGTCCATGGGGGCTCCACCCTCACGACCTAATCACCTCCCAAAGGCCCCACCTCAAATGCCATCACATTAGAGATTAGATTTTAACCTATGAATTTTGGGGTGACACATACATTCAGTTGATAACACTAGTAGCACCCCCTGCCCTCACTCCACCCCCAGTTGTAACAGCCAAATTTGTCTCCAGACATTTCCAAATGTCCCCTGGGGGCAAAACTGCCCCCCTTGAGGCACGCTGCTCTGGGAGGTCATGTCTGTAAGGGGCCAAGCCTGGCACTGGGTGGAGTCAGCTCTGTCAGGACAGGGCTCACGCCAAGTGAAGCTGGGTGAGGTGAAAAGATGAGAGTTCTGTTTTACAGGAGGCTGTGGTCCAGAAATGAGGAAGCTGGGGTTCTGGTCCTCACTCTAACTCCCCATTGCAGGGCCCAGTTCTCATCTGTCAAATGTGGGACTCCAGCGCTGACCTTTAGCAGTTCTGTCTGTATTAAACCCTCATCGGCTTCTTCTACACAATGAGTAAAACCCAAGATCATACCACAAAGCTGTGGATGACCTGACACTTGCAAAATTCTCTGACTGCACTTTGAGTAGCTTGGGGCTTCCCTCATCTTTACAGCCCAGACTATCAGTCCTTTGAACTATTAAGCCTTTCTAGCCACAGGCCTTTGCACATACTGTTCCCTTTGCCTGGGATGCTCTTCCCTGTTCTTCACGTGTCTGGGCCCTTCTTATACTTTAAGGCCCAGCCTAAATGCTTCTTTTTTTCTGAGACAGAGTCTTGGCTCTGTCACCCAGGCTAGAGTGCAGTGGCACGATCTCAGCTCACTGCAACCTCCGCCTCCTGGGTTCAAGTGATTCTCGTGCTTCAGTCTCCTGAGTAGCTGGGATTACAGGCGTGTATCACTATTGGCTAAATTTTTGTATTTTTAGTAGAGACGGGGTTTCACCATGTTGGCCAGGCTGGTCTCGAACTCCTGGTCTCATGTGATCCACCTGCCTTGGCCTCCCAAAGTGTTGGGATTACAGGTGTGAGCCACCATGCCCGGCCTGAATTTAAGATCTTTTTAACTGGCATCTGCCTCAATCTCAGTTGACTGTTTTTGGCTAAGGTGCTTATTTTTGTCGTGCTCCAGTTCATCCTCGAGATTCCTGGTTTTGTCACATTCACTCCGGCAGATGTGTATTTACTGTGTCCTGTGTCTGTGTACCGTTCTGCAGAGGATGGGATGGGAGGGTGAGGGTGGGGGAGGGAGCCAATGACTGGGCCCCGGCAGGTGTGCCTTCAAGTTGTGCACTTGCTGTGATTTCCACCTTGATCGTCCTTTCCCCAAATCTTTGTATGCCCTGCTCTTTTTTTATTCTTTTTTATTTGTTTGCTTCTCTTAACACTGTACCTCTCAGATCTTATCCTTTTTATTCTTGTCTCAGCTAAATGTCACTTCCTCCTAGAAGCCCTTCCTGATCACCCTAGTGAGGGTTGCCCCTGCCCCTGCCTCAGTTACCTGCTCTCCCATTATACCGTTTTGTTTTCTTGAGGGCAGTTATCACTGCTTGCCATTCCCTCATATACTGCCTTCTCGCCACACTAGGGCGTAAGCTCCCTGAGGGCAGAGACTCACTCTCTCTTGCTCACCATCATATCCTCGGACAGTGCTGGCATATAGTGGATACTCAGGAAATATTTGTCTGATGAGTGAGTGCATCTGATTTTCCCAGCTCTGGAGAGGTGATATTTCATGTCACTTATCAAAGGAGAAACTGAGGCCTCATGAGCTGCAGTGGTTTGTGTGGACGCTCACAGCCAGCAAATCTTAAAATCTTGTGCTGAGATTTGAACTTGAATCTGTTGGCCTCCTGTGCCTTCATTCTCTCTTTCTCTCTCTCTCTCTTTTTTTTTTTTTTTTAGAGATGGGGTCTCACTCTGTCTTCCAGTCGGGTGCAGTGGCATGATCATAGCTCACTGCAGCCTCAACCGTCTAGGCTCAAGTGGTCCTCCCACCTCAGCTTCCTGAGAGTAGCTGCGACTATAGGCGTGTGCCATTATGACAGTTCCCATACCCTCTTTAACATGCCACCCATTTCAGTGGGACCTAATTTCTGCCCTCTGGGAGCTCTCTGCCCTGCTAGGAAGAGTGAGACAAACACGTTGACAACTTTCATGTGAGACACAACGGGATAGGGACCCTGACAGAGCTGGCAGAAATGCAGTGGGCCCAGTGTGGTGGCTCACACCTGTAATCCTCGCACTTTGAGAGGCCAGGGCGGGAGGATCACTTGAACCCCGGAGTTCAAGACCAGCCTAGGCCATATAGTGAGACCACTGTCTCTACAAAAAAACTAAAAGAAAAATTAACCGGGCAGGGTGGCGTGAGCCTGTAGTCCCAGCTACTCAGGAAACTGAAGCAGGAGGATCACTTGAGCCTGAGAGGTCTAGGTTGCAGTAAGCTATGATCATGCCACTGCACTCCAGCCTTGGCTATAGAGTGAGACCCTGTCTCAAAAGAAAAGAAATGAAGAGCAAGAGAAGGAGGAAGAAGAGGAGGAGGGGGAGGAGGAGGAGGGAGATGGGGAGGAGGAGGAGGAGGAGGAAAGCAATGAGGAACCAGGTGTGGTGACTCACACCTGTAATCCCAATGCTTTGGGAGGCAGACTGGGATCACTTGAGGCCAGGTATTTGAGACCAGCATGGGCAAGATAGCAATACCCCATCTCTAGTAAAAACAAAAATAAAAGAAATGCGGATGGGCGCAGTGGCTTACGCCTGTAATCCCAGCACTTTGGGAGGCTGAGGCGGGTGGATCATGAGGTCAGGAGTTCAAGACCAGCCTGGCCAAGATGGTGAAACCCCGTCTCTACTAAAAATACAAAAATTAGCCGGGTGTGGTGGTGGGCACCTGTAATCCCAGCTACTCGGGAGGCTGAGGCAGGGAATTGTTTGAACCTGGGAGGCAGAGGTTGCAGTGAGCCGAGATCACGCCACTGCACTCCAGCCTGGGCAACAGAGGGAGACTCCACCTCAAAAAAAAAAAAAAAGAAAAAGAAAAAAAATGCAGTGGAACAACGGGGGTTCAAGGGCAGGAGCAATTACATTAGTTGAGGACATGAACAGAGGCTTAGTGGAGAGGAGGCATTTAAACAAGTCCTTGAAATACAGTGTTGACGAGAACTTTTGAAGCTAAGGGAGAACATTCTACTTAATGGGAACAGTACCAGCAAAAATGTAGAGGTGGAAAAATAAAGGGAGTTGCAGGGAATAATAAGCAGCCTGGCTTGGCCAGAGGGCAAGAGCTTTGATGAAGAGGTGCAAGAGGGATATCTAGAAAGGGAGGTGGGAGCTGGATCCTTCTGTGTGGATGCTAGGCTTTGGACAGTGGGGTCAGCACCTCCAAACTAGCATGGAGAGTATAATTTTGAGACAAGGTCTCACTCTGTTACCCAGGCTGAGGTGTGGTGGCATGATCTTGGCTCACTGCAGCCTCAAACTCCTGGGCTCAAGTGAGACTCCCAAGTAGCTGGGCCCACAGGTGCATGCCACCACACCCAGTTAACTTTATTTTTTATACAGACGGAGTCTCACTATGTTGTCCAGGCTGGCCTTGAACTCCTGGGCTAAAATGATCCTCCCATCTCTGCCTCCCAAAGTGCTGGGATTGCAGGCATGAGCGACTGTGCCTGGCCTGGCATGGAGATTCTTGAATGGGAGAGTGATGTAATGGAAAGTGGTGTTCAGGTGTTCGAATGGAAGGGCGGGGCTGGGGTTTGGAGGGCAGGGAGAGGGATTCTTCTGTGTAGATACAGCCACAGCCTTTGTCAAGGCAGATTCCAGGATCACAGAGCTAGTTTCTTTCAGGCTGCAGTAAAACCATAGTAGAATAATTACTTTGCTGCAGACTAGTGTGTTTCTTGCTTTGAACTCAACACCTAGATAAATATTAGCTCATTCTTTTCTTCATTCCCTAAAAGCGAATTTGTACCCCCATTTTACAAAGTGGGATGCTGAGACCAAGCTTCCCGATGGTGAGGGGTGTAACTATGTTCAGAGCGTTTGCCCAGCGCTGTACTGGGTGCGAGGGGTGGTCCGCAGAGGCTGCCTGTGCCCCTACATAAGCTCACCTCTTGTGGGTCCTGGAGGCAGGCTGCAGATCTCTACCAGCCAGGAGAAAACAGTCCAGGTCCCACGCTAAGACAAGTGTCCTGAGGTTTGAGGTGGGTGCCCTTTCTGGGGAGGTGGGGCTAGGCTGGTGGGCAGAGAGGGGAGGGAGGGGCATTCTAGACTGCGGTAGCCAGTCAGCATGGTCGGTGAGCTTGAGGAGTGGCAGGTGGTTGAGGCCAGCCATGCCAGGCAGTGGTGTCTGTCTGGGGCAGACGTGGTGCACAAGGCACTGGTTGGCGACATTTGTTGCTGCTTCCTGGGTCCCATCAGTCATGCATCTGTGAGATCAGGAGGACAAACAACTGTTCTGAGAAGCCATTGCTTACAGGGGTGGATTCCTTGCTATATCAAGCCCTGAAAGATTGTCCGAGGAGGAGAAAGTTGCTGTAGAAATCTGGTCAGTTGGTAACTGCAGCCCTCTATCCCCAGGGTGCTGTGTCGGTTCAGCGGGTGTGGCTCTCGCAGCTTCCATCTGCTGCCCCCTCGCCCTCTGCCCTGCTCCAAGTGGATTGCGTTGTTTGGCATCTCATCACACCCGAAGATAACCTTGAGAGTAGTTTTGTGCATCCCACATTTGGAGAGACATAGGCTGTGTTCATTTCTGTGTTTCACAGATAGGGAGGTTGAGGCCCCATAAGTGACTTGCCCAAAGACACTGGGTTAAAGGCAGCAGCAGATCCGGGTTTCTGGACTTTCTCTGTAGGGCGATGTTCTCAAGAAGATGTCAAACTCTACCCTTTGCCTACTTAGTGTGTGGCTTTGAGCAAGTTCTTAACTTCTCTGGGCTTTTGTTTCCTTCTCTGCAAAAAGGGACTGATTGATGCTTTCCTTGCAGGAAGACCTCAGGGCCTGCCCAAGCCTCTCCAAGGTCTGGCTTGGCCACGTGGCCTCCTCCACTCGGACCAGCTGTGGTCCCTTTAGAGCCATTAGTGGCCATACTGTTAGTGTCATCCTGGCTGCTGTTTCTATTCCCTTTTGTATGTATACGTTTGTGATGAGTCATCAGTGAAATCAAAATAATTTAATGTCTCAAATTGTTGACTGTGTGTCATTTGATTGTATTCTGTGTGGGATTTACTTTTGATTTTAATTGAATATGGGCTTCTTTTCTCCTTACTGGCTTGCCAGGAAGGAGGGTTTTTTTTGGAAAGTCCCAGAGCCCATGATAGCACATGCGGTTGTCTCCTCGTCCAGGGCTTGTGAGAATAAATGCAATCCAGAGGTCATTTCTCTCCTCCAGGGATGACAGAGCTGAAGCACATCTTTGTCAGATTCTCAAATAAAAGTAATACTTTTGCATCCTCATAGCAGCATCTCTTACTTACTGAGCACAAACTACCTGCCAGGCACTGTGCTAAGAGCCTTGCAGACGTTTTATTTCATGCTCAGAACCACCTGTTCGTTGGATCCTGTTGTCCTCATTTCTTTTTGAGGTATATTCAAATACTGTAACGTTTACATTTTAAAATATACAATGCAGTATTTATTTGTATATTCACAAGATTGTATAACCATCACTGCTGTCTAATTCTAAGCCATTTTCATCACCCAAAAAAGAAACCCTGTACCATGCGGAGTCCTTTCCCATTTCCTGATCTCCGCCCAGCCCCAGGCCATTACCAGTCTACTTTCTGTCTCTATAGATTGCCTCTTCTGGACATTTTATGTAAATGGAATCATGCAACATTTGTCCTTTTGTGACTGGCTTCCTTCACATAGCAAAATGTTTTCAAGGTTCATTCATGTTGCAGCCCATGTCAGGATTTCATTCCTTTTTATGGCTGAATAATATTCCATTGAATGGATATATGACATGTCCTTTATCTGTTCATCAGCTGATGGACATTTGGATTGTCTCCACTTTTCAACTATTGTGAAAATGCTGCTGTGAACATTTATATACAGGTGTTTTTTTTTGTTTTGCTTTGTTTTTTGTTTTGTTTTGTTTTGAGGTGGAGTCTCATTCTGTTGCCCAGGCTGGAGTGCAGTGGCGCGATCTTGGCTCACTGCAACCTCCGCCTCCTGGGTTCAAGCAATTCTTCTGCCTCAGCCTCCTGAGTAGCTGTGACTACAGGCACCTGCCACCACACCCTGCTAATTTTTGTATTTTTAGTAGAGACGGGGTTTCACCATATTGGCCAGGCTGGTCTCAAACTCCTAACCTCGTGATCTGCCCGCCTCGGCCTCCCAAAGTGCTGGGATTACAGGTGTGAGCTACTCTGCCCAGCACTACATACAGGTTTTAAAACTTTATTTATTTGTTTTTATTTTTTTGAGACAAAGTCTCAAAAGGTCTGGCTCTGTTGCCCAGGCTGGGGTGCAGTGGCATGATCTTGGCTCACTGCAACCTCTGCCTCCCAAGCTCAAGCGATCCTCCCACCACAGCCTCCCAAGTAGCTAGCTGGGACTACAGGCATGCACTACCACACCCAGCTACTTTTTGTATTTTTTATAGAACCAGGGTTTTACTGTGTTGCCCAGGATGGTCTTGAACTCTTGAACTTAAGTGATCCTCCCACCTTGGCCTCCCAAAGTGCTTGGGTTACGGGCGTGAGCCACCATGCCCAGATTGCATACAGGTTTTTGAAAGAGCTCTTGTCCTCACTTTACTGAAGAAGAAACTGAGATTGGAGTTAAGTAACTTGCCTGAGGTCCCACAGCAAGAAAGAGTTGGCCCAAGAAAGGATTCAATTTGGATTCTGAGAAGAAGATATTGCTTTCTAGGTCTCTTGTGTGGTTAGAAGTTATTCTGACTGAGTATGATAGCCACTGGCTGGAGGGCCTCATGCTCAGCTTTCTTCTCTGAGGCCAACTCTCTGTAGCACATTATTTCCTAGAGAGGCAGGGGCTTCTGCAGCAGGACGTGAGAAGGCACCTCTGAGATGCAGGATTCGTGTGTGCGTTTGTCAGAGGGGTGTCCACACAGCCCTCTGAGCGTGCGGCTGCTCTCCCCAGCAGCTCCCGTGAGCTTTGCCCTGGCAGGACTTTAGCTCTGTTCCCTATGTCCCCATCAACACCCATCTCCACTGATCCAGGTTTTTGGGCGTTTGAGGAAAAACATACCCCAAGGGTCACTGCATGTTGGGGATGTTCCTTTCTTTAAACTGGAGATATTTGTAAGAAGTCATTAAGTGCTTGTAAAACTCTTGCACAATATACAAGTCCATGAAATAGGAAGTGAAAGAAAAAAATCCCCCTAAACCCACTGGCACTTTCAAGTTGAGTGGTTTCCCCACGTCTCAGAAGACGCGCCTTCCCGAAGTGCCTTTCTGCCCTTCTCTTCCCGACAACCCTCCCGGGCCCAGTAGCTGTGTGTGCTATTGCGGTGGGACTTTCTGGACGTATGTGGTCCTCGGTGAGCTCTTCCTCCCATGCCCTTTTCTCTATAAGGGGCATGAGACAGGAAACAGGCTCAGAAACATTGCTCTAGAGATCGGGAGTAAAACACCCCCAAAGACCTGAAAGTGGTTGTCCCTGGGGGAGGGGATTTGTCAAGAGGGAGCAAGTCCGGCTGCTTTTTGTCTTAAGCCTTTTAGAGCCAGCCAGCTCTGTAAGCACTACAACAAACAGCTTTGTTAAAGTGATGCCTAATTGTGCCCAGTGATGCACGGCACGATCCCTTGATGAGCAGTTGTTTTGCTCGCTGTCTGCATCCTGTGTGTCCCTACTTTGGAAATTGAGTGACATTTCAGAGACTGGCAGCTCAAGTCATGGGGGGCTCCTGTTTGACAGAGGGCTGTCTGAAGAGCCTTTGTTTAGTAGAATCATGGAGTCAGAGGATGTCTGGTCTGGTTGAGACCCCAAATCATCTAGTCCAAACCCTCATTTTACAGATGAGGGGACAAGGCCCATGAAGAAGTAGTGTCTCTGAGCTCCCCCTGGCTGATAGTGGAGGGGCTGGGATAAGAATTAGGCCTCCTGAGTTACAGCCCAGGGCGGCCTCCACACCGAGGGTCACGTGTGCCTCTGAGTACCAGAAGCATGAACAAAGCGAGAGAAGAGAGTGAAGAGACTCTGTCTCTGCTGCTCTGTCCTGAAATAGTCTGCTCAGAGGGGAAGCAGGAGGAACCCAGGGCACAAAAAATTTCCATGAGCGTGTAAACCTCATGCCCTTAGGCAGGCAGGAGCAGCCAGCACTCAGTTACTGTCATTACCACCCCATTATCATCATCAATACAGGAAGCAGCTACATCAGGAGGAGGCCTGGCCCCTCTAGGCCAGTGATGCTTCAGCTAAAACACAGATGCCTGGGCCTTACCCCCAGAGTTTCTGATTCTGTGGGACTGGGGTGGTGCCTGAGAATGTGCCTTTCTGACAAGTTCTGGGGTGATGCTAATGCTGTGGGTGATGCTGATGCCCTTGGAGAACCACTGCACTGGAGTAGCCCTTGCTACTTAGTGTGGTCCTTGGACCTGCTGGGTGGAAATGCAGACTCTTACGCCCCACCTAGACATGTGGCATCAGAATCTGCACGTTGGCAGTGTCCCCAGGTGTCACACTTTAGTTTGAGAGGTGATGGTATGGTGCAGAGTTCACCTGGCTGCACGTTAGAGTCACCCAGGGAGCTTTTACCCTCCCTTCCATTCCCAAGCCCCAGCCCCCACTAATTAAATCAGACTCTCTGGGAGAGAGACTTAGGCATCAAGAGTCTATAGAGCTCCCAAGGTGGCTCCTGGTTGTGGCCAAGTCCTAGAATCCACAGTGGCAGCTGCAAGGGGCCTTGGAGATGATCAGTTGCAATTTACCAAGATTTGAAAACTAAGGGCATAAGGACCCAAGGTCCCACAGACAGTAAGTGACAAATCCAGGCTGTTGATACCCTGATGACTCTTTCACCAGCTCTTTCAACTCTAAGTCCCCTTTTATATAGTTCCATGGGAACTGCAATATACTAGTGTTCCCAGGGAACCCATTGTAAATCATGGAAGATCTATCTGCTCATTGGAAACCCACCACCTCCCAATCTGTTTCAGCATGGCAGGCTGTCCTGAATGCGGGTTACATATTCTAGGGAGGCAGTGTAGCATGGTGGTTAGGAGCAAACCCTTAAGCTCAGCAGCTTACTAACCAAGACTCCTGGCTCTGTGTCTTGATTCCTCCTCTGTACAACAGGAATAGTAATAATAGTGCCCATCTCATGGATCATCTGAGGTCAGGAGTTCGAGACCAGCCTGGCCAACATGGTGAAACCCCTTCTCTACTAAAAATACAAAAATTAGTTGGGCGTGGTGGTGCATGCCTGTAGTCCCAGCTACTCAGGAGGCTGAGGCAGGAGACTCACTTGAACCCAGGAGGCGGAGGTTGCAGTGAGCCGAGATTACACCACTGCACTCCAGCCTGGGTGACAGAGTGAGACTCTGTCTCAAAAAAATAAAAAATACAAAATAGTGCCTGTCTCATGGGGATGTTGTGATGTTGTGGGGGTTAACTGAGTTAATGCATGACAAGCTGAGATCACTAATTGCAAGCAGCAGGCACTTTGTAAATGTTTTTTATTATTTCATTAACTGGTTGACCTTGAATAAGTCATATGACTTAGAACAATTTGTTTGACTTCTCCATGACTCAGTTTCCTTAACTGTTAACCAGGGGTAAGCATAGTAGTGACCTATTTATAGGGTGGTTGTGAGGAATGGAGGGAATAAAAGGTCTGAAGCCCCAGCACAGCTTCTGGAACACACCTGGTGTCAATCAGTGGTGGCTGCAGTTATGTGTTAGAGACTCAACACCGGTGCAGGAGAAAGTTCTGGCCAGGCCAGAGTCTGAGCTAGGTTGGTCCTGCTCCTCTCACGGGAGCAGCCAGAACCATGAGGATTGAAGTTTCTGGGGATGTTTTTGCCTGGAAAAAAGTTTATAATGTTCTGTGGTTGCCAGCAGCTGGGGGATGGGAAAATAGGGGGTTAACAAGTAAAGAGTTTCCGTTTCGCAAGATGCAAAAGTCCTGGAGATTAGTTGATTGCACAACAATGTAAATATACTTAAAGCTACTGAACTGTACATTTAAAAATGGTTAAGATGGCACATTTTAAAAAATATTTAATTTTTAAAGGGGAGTGTTAGGTTCACAAGGTTCACAAGCAAAATTAAGAGTTAAGAATAGAGATTTTCCAATATACTCCCCACTGCCCACAAACAGGCATTGCCTTCTCCATGATCAACATCCCCCACCAGAGGGGCATATTTACTACAATTGGTGAACCTACGTTGGTGCATCATTGTTACCCAAAGTCCATGGTTCACATTAGGGTTCACTCCTGGTGTTGTACAGCCTTAGGCTCAGATTAATGTATAATGACATGTGTCTGCCACATGTCACTTTCACCGCCTGAGAATCCTCTGTGCTCTGCCTGCTAATCCCTTGCCACTGATAAAATGCTACATTTTTTTTAGCAGTTTTTAAAAGGAGGATTTATTTGACAAGTTTCACTTAGCACAATATACCTAAAAGGAAGTCACACTACAATGAAAGATTTAAATCAAGGCCTCAGAATTTCATACAAACACCAAGGCCAAAATTCTAAAGTATTGGTATTGCGTTTCAGATTTTTCCCATTAACTTAAAAAAAAAAAAAGCTTAAACGTACATGCCTTACAAGTTATTAAGTGAAACTAGAATTAACAAACATGCCAAAATGTTTCTAGACACAGCTCCTACCTTGAGTTTTACAAAAAACAAAGCATGTCTTTCCACATGCATCCAGTGTTCAGTGTAATGTGGCAAAGGGCAACATTTAACATAATTCAACTTCTTTCACCTAAATATGCTTACTAAGTACACCCTATAATATAACTAACTTGAGAAAAGCTGGAACTTGCTCAACAGTTGTAGTTTACTCGGCTTCACTGTTACATCCTAGATGAGTATTGTGTTAAAAAATATTGAGCCTTAAGTCTTCATAACAATCCTGATTTCCACTAGAGAGTAAGCATAAATCACAAGCTTGTATTGCAGAAACTGTAAAGTTGACCAAGAGTCAGTGATTAGGATCGATCAATTACATTTCCCTCCACAACTCACACTGGACGTGTTAGACATCCCTCCCATTCCTCATGCCTATAGATGCATGGCTTCCATGATTCTAGTTGCTGCTATTCATTGCTCCTTGGCTACTTATGCAATGTTTGATTGAAAATCACGGGAGTTTTCCCGTAAAACTTGGTCATATCGCTCGCTAAATTTTTGTTATGTGTATTTTACAATAATTAAAAAGAAAATGTTTATAATGTCCTTTGTCATCATTTATGTGAAGGATTGCCATGCAGAAGAGAGGGCAGCAGGACTGGTGAGTGGTGAAGGGTGGCAGTTATTAATACAGTTCGTTAAAGAACTCTCTAACAATTAAACTCATTCTATGGAAGGAGGAGGGAGCCCTCCCATCACCAGTGTTCAAGGAGAACTCTATGACCTCAGATGGAGACATGGAGAGATTTCAGGCCTCAGATTGGAGGCTGTGTTACTCAGTGTTTCCCAAGTTTGCCTATTGATAAGAATCACCTGGGGATATTGTTAAAAACAAATTTCATGGCACCATCCCAGATTCACTGAAAGGTAGAATATCTGGGGGAGGATGAAAGGACCAGCCTCTTCAGATGATTGTCTCTTTTTTTTTTTTCTTTCTGAGACAGGGTCTCACTCTGTCACCTAGGCTGGAGTGCCATGGCACGATCTCGGCTCACTGCAGCCCTGACTTCCTAGGCTCAAGCAATCCTCCCACCTCAGCCTCCTGAGTAGCTGGGACTACAGGTGTGCACCACCATGACTGGCTAATTTTTTATTTTTCTAGAGACAGGGTCTCACTGTGTTGCCCAGGCTGGTCTCAAACTCCTTGGTTCAAGCAATCCTGCCTCAGTCTCCCAAAGTGCTAGGATTACAGGCATGAGCCACTGTGCCCAGCCTTCAGTTGATTCTAACTCAGAAGTTTGGCAAACGTCGGCCAAAGGACCCCCGGTCTCCTAACCCTGAGATTCCATGAAGAAAGCTTCTCAGTGGGAGTGGGTCACACTGGCCACAGAGTTCCTCCAGTAGCCTTGGGAGCCTTACTTCTTGGCTAGGTCACAAGCCCATGTGCCTACTGGCCTGAGTCCCTGACACCCTCGCCTCTGGGCCCTGTGACTTGGTTGGCAGGGAAGTCCTGCTCCATTTCCCACTCTTGGGCCCTGTCACCAGGCCCACTTCTCAGCAGGGGCTGGCAGGGGTCAAAGTTCTATATTTCTAAGTCACCATGCAAGCTCAATCAGGCGCTCCTGAATTCCAGCTGAGTGTTCTGTCTTCTTGGATTTTGCTCCTTCTGCCCTGGTTCTGCCCACTGATTACTTTTCATCAAGCATTCATTAGAATTAACGAGATAAGCTTTAATAAAGGACCCAAGCAATTTGAATAAAAGGCTTCTTTATTAATGCAAAAAACTGTTCTAATTAGAAGTTTGGGGACATGCAGTTTGGTCTTCTTGCAATAATAATTGTAATTAGGAGGATCATCACAGCTTGTGTTTATTGTACTGCTACCGCCTCCCCCAAGGATCTTTCTGTTCCCTGCTGCAGCCCAGGTGTCAGTGGCTGGGGCTGCTAGGGAAAGTCTAGCTGCTGTCTACATGGTGCTGGAGGAGCCTGGCATTGCCCCTTACCTACCATGCCATTCCTGACCCCTGTCGGGGTCTGTGACCGCCATTTAGCACTAAATGATTCCAATGCCAGGAGCCTTCTTCTCTGAGCATTCATGCAGCATGGGCGAGGCTCTGAGAAAGTGTAGAAGAAGGCAGAGCTCAAGGAGGGAGTCCCAGAGGGGTGACAGTCCTTTGCTCATGCTGTGGCTCACTCCTGGGTTCCCTTCCCTCTCTCCTTTTTGTCTGTAGAACTCTCATCCATCCACCTGAATCTAGGGTGACCCTAAACATCCCAATCTGCCAGTGACTGAGGAGGGATTCCCCAGGATGCAAGACTCTCAATGCTAAAATTAGGAAAGTCCTGCTTAAACTGCCCTACTCGTCACCCTACTTGAATCTTTGGTTTTGAATCTTTGCATTCAGATCCCATCACTGTACCACAATGACCATGGACAATTTACCTATCAACATGTGCCTCATTCTCCTGCTGTGAGGGTAACTCAGGTTGTCAAAGGAATTAAATGAGTTACTATAGAAAAAGTGCCTAGAACTGTGTCTGGCACATAGCAAATACTCAGTGCTGTTAGCTGTGTTTATTTTATTTATTTATTTGTTTATTGAGACAGAGTCTTGCTCTGTTGCCCAGGCTGGAGTGCAGTGGCACGATCTCTGCTCACTGCAACCTCTGCCTCCTCGGTTCAAGCAATTCTCCTGCCTCAGCCTCCTGAGTAGCTGGGATTACAGGCACGCACCACCACGACCGACTACTTTTTGTATTTTTATTAGAGACAGGGTTTTAACATGTTGGCCAGGCTGGTCTCGAACTCCTGACCTCAGGTGATCCACCTGCCTCAGCCTCCCAAAATGCTGGGATTACAGGCATGAGCCACCATGCCCAGCCCTGCGCTTATTAACTTGAATGGGACCTTTGAGATCACCAGCTTGGCCTCTGCTGGTTTAGGAATTCTCTCTGTGGAGACTCTGCCTGACCATGCTGCTTGATGCGGTCCTCACGTCCTCACCCAGGAGCCTTTTCTTTATGCCTTGGTGAACTATATACTGTCTGTGCTGAGGACCCATAGAGAATGAGACCTTCTCGATGACATCCCACAGCTCTTTGAGGACCACTCTCTCCTGTCTGCAGCCTGGATCTTCTCTTCCCTGGGTGGGGCCCCCCTTCCCTAGTGGGACCTGGCCCCCAGTCACATCTTGGCTGTGTTCTCTGGCAGCAGTGCCGTCTGTTCCTATAAACTCAGGGCCCAACATTGAACTTGGGGCTCATGGGGCTTTTTCCTTCTGCAAACTGGTAGAATGGGTATAGATGGTGCCCAACCTCTGAATTAGACCTGCAGAGGAATTTCCAGAGAACAGAAGGTGACTGGCTCGTGCAGAAGGCTGTTGGCCCCTTTCCCCAGAGGCATTGAGGGCTCTGAACTTGAAGGGCCTACAGGAGTTTGTAGACAAGACCTCGGTTTCCCATGGGGGAGTTCAGCATATACTCCCTTTCTCTGGCCTGGCCTAGAGCCAGGCACCTAGGCATGTTTTTGACTCAAGGGGGCAGTAGAGTGGAGTGGTTGGGACCCCTGGCTTCCTGATCCACCTAACCTGGATCCAAATCTCCCCGTCCTCACTTCTAGCTATATGACCTGGGGCAAGTCACTTTATTACAGTCTCCTGTGTGCAGAGGGGATAGTTCGTACTTACATAGCACATGTGAAATAGTAAGTGGTGTTGTTTATGGTTGTTATTATTCCCATCCCCCGTGTGTGGCATACAGCATATTGCTCCTTGTGTACAGATGGGAACATGACTGTGTAAGGATGATATTTGCTCCTGGATCTCCATTTTCTTGTCCCGGGACCATGGAGAACTGTTCTGGAGATCATGGACCTCTCCTCCCAGCAGGGGTGAGAGTCCATGTGCTGTGTTAGTGGCTGGTGATGGGGCTGGGATGAGGGGTGTTTGCATCACATCCCAGCAGGGCCCTTCTGTGGAACTCCTGGATTGCCTTTGACGTTGGTGGCAGCCAGGCTGTTCTGGGTAGGAGCTTGGTGGTGCACCCCTCTCATGCATCCTGGCCTCTGGTGGGTACTGGAGGGGTCACATAATGGAGAAAACAGATGGAATCCCTGGGGACACAAAAAAGTCATAGGTAAGTCACAGGATACTGTGCAGATCAGTACCTGGCACACAGGAGGGCCTCGATAGCTATTTGTGGAGAGTGAAAGAAAGAAGCAGGTGTCGGAGGTGACATTCCAGGCCCTCGGCATCCTCTAATGTGGCCTTGCGGTGTGTCAGTTGGCCAGATGAAGCCGCAGAGGGCTTGTATGTTGCTTGTTTTTTGTGTGTGTGTGTTTTTTGGGTTTTTTTTTTTTTTTGAGACGGAGTCTCGCTCTGTTGCCCAGGCTGGAGTATAGTGGTGTGATCTCGGCTCACTGTAACCTCCTCCTCCCAGGCTCAAGCAATTCTCCCACCTCAGCCCCCCAAGTAGCTGGGATTATAGGACGCGCCACCACACCCGGCAGATTTTTGTATTTTTAGTAAAGATGGGGTTTCACCATGTTGGCTAGGCTGGTCTTGAACTCCTGACCTCAAGTGATTTGCCCGCCTCGGCCTCCCAAAGTGCTGGGAATTACACACGTGAGCCACCGTGCCCGGCACTTGTATGTTGCCTAAATCAGAGACTGGAAGGGTGGGTGGTGTGAGGTTGGGATGGTGTGTAGATGGCCCAGGTGGTCGGAATGGGACTGTGGGCTGGACATTTCTGGGCTGATCTACTCCGGAAAGACAGGCTGCTTTGAGTACCCTTGGAAATAACTTGCATGGCTTTATGGCTTCTTCCTCCGTTGTAAGCACTTTCTCTCCCTACTGTGGGGAGTGGTGGTCCCTGAAAGCTCCTATTCACAGCTCTGCCCCAGCCCAATGCAGAGTTCCTGTGTTTCTTGGATCTGCTTTTCCCTATTTCCCTCACTGACGAAGAGCTGGCTGCCCTCAATTTATCTGCGAATTTGCCAGGTTATTTTTTCCAATAAAAGTTAACTTTAGCACTTAGGGAACATGAGGCAGGTGGATCACTTGAGGCCAGGAGTTCAAGACCAGCCTGGGCAGCATGGTGAAACACTGTCTCTACTAAAAATACAAAAATTAGCAGGGCATGGTGGCATGCACCTGTAGTCCCAGCTACTTGGGAGGCTGAGGTGGGAGAATCACTTGAGCTTGGGAGGTGAAGGTAGCAGTGAGCCGAGATCACGCCACTGCCCTCCAGCCTGGGTGGCAGAGCGAGATCCTGTCTCAGAAAAATAGCTAATTTTATGATACATTAATTTTTTATTTTAAAAGTAAAGTATCACTGTATACAGATACTTGGCAAATGGTTTTATATAAATATAGAATGGTATTTTACTTACTTTGTATAAAGTAAACAACCATGAAGACTATAATTTAGTAACAAATTGCTCAAATCCTTTGAAATAACCACTGTTAGCATTCTGGTTATTTTTCTTTCTATTGTCTTTCCCAGGCATGTATCCTTTTATACCTAGTTGGAATTACAATGTGCATATGGTTTTTATGTCCTGCTTCAGAAAAAAACCCTACGCTCTGTAACATGAATGATTCAACAAGAGAAACAATCAACACACCTGGGTTGATAATACTATTTAAAGAGCTCTACAAACATTTGGGAGAAAAAAATGCCAGAGCTCCAAGTAGAAAAATAGTGAGACATGGATAGGATTTTCCATAGGGGAAACAAATGGTTAATTAATATTTACTTTATTTTATTAGAGATAGGGTCTTGCTCTGTTGCCCAGCTTGAGTGCAGTGATGCAATCATAGCTTACTGCAGCCTTGAACTGGACCCAAGTGATCCTCCCACCTCATCCTCCCGAGTACCTGGAACTACACACAGGCACCACCACGTCAAGCAAATTTATTTTATTTATTTATTTTTTTGAGACAGAGTCTCTCTGTCATTCTGTCGCCTAGGCTGGAGTGCAGTGATACAATCTTGGCCTCCCGGGTTCAGGCAGTTCTCCTGCCTCAGCCTCCTGAGTAGCTGGGATTACAAGCGCCCGTCACCACACCTGGCTAAATTTTGTATTTTTAGTAGAGATAGGGTTTCATCATGTTGGCCAGGCTGGTCTCAAACTCAAGTGATCTCCCTGCCTCGGCCCCTCAAAATGATGGGATTACAGTGTGAGCCACCATATCCAGCCGTATTTTATTTTTTGTAGAGACGGGTCTTGCTGTGTTGCCCAGGTTGGTTGTGAACTGGCCTCAAGTGATCCTCCAACCTTGGGGATTACAGGTGTGAGCCACCATGCCTAGCTGAAAAACAGTTAATTAACCATGAAAGACAGTCAGTCTCATTATTGAAAATATTGCAAATTAAAGCAGGATACCATTTCCCTTGATCAACTTAGCAAGGCTTTCTTTTCTTTTTAATGATTCTATTATTTGTTGGATAGGTTACATGTAAATTGGCATAAATATTCTGGAAAGCAATTTGGAAACACATCAGGAGCTATATATTTGTTTACTAATTATGTTTTTTCCTTTGTAAATATCTTACGTCCTTTCCTTCTCAGGTGGTCTTAATTTTTTCTTTATTCAATTATATTGAGTAGTTTCAGTAATAAAGATGACTCTGTATGCATCCTATTTACAGATCCCTGTTGTTTGCTTTACTCTTTTTAAGCTTCTAAGTGTTTTATATTTTTTTAATGCAGTTAGTTTTGTTGATCTGTTCCTTTGTGATTCTGTTATGCTCCTAGATTTGGGAAGTCATCCTCACTTAAGAGGTTGTATAAATGTTCAATTAAGTTTACTTTTTTTAATTTGGTTTAAAAATATTTAACGTGTAATTCTATCTAGGATGTATTTTGATTCTTAGATTGAGTCTTTCTCAGAATTGTTAAGGGGTTATTCTGACATCAGTTGATTAATCCTTCCCTCTCCAGTTTATTTGTGAAGCTTCCTTTAGCATTTATTATGACATTATTTCTGGACTATATTTTTTGAACTACATAATTTCTTTCTATGATCTATTTTCCATTTTGCCCTCTGTTTTAATTATTTTAGGCTTATAATATTGGTTATAACCTCACCTTTTTAAGAGGGTCTTGCTTATAGATTTCCCTAGTTGAACTTTAAAACCATTTAGTTAACTTAAAAATAAATAAAAAACCTTGTGAGGATTTGTGTAGTAGTTACATTCAACAATATATAAATTAATTTCTTTAAAAAACCGGTGTTTCAATATTTTGACTTGTCATCAATGGACATGTTATATCTTCACATACAAAACTATTTTTAAAAATGTCTTTGTGGGCCGGGTGCCGTGGCTCGTGACTATAATCCTAGCACTTCGGGAGGCCTAGGTGGGCAGATCACTTGGGCTCAGGAATTCAAGACTAGCCTGAGTAACATGGCAAAACTCCATCTCTACAAAAAATACAAAAATTAGCCGGGTTTGATGGCACGTGCCTGTAGTCCCAGCTACCCGGGAAGCTGAGGTGGGAGGATCGTTTAAGCCCAGGAGTTCGAGGCTGCAGTGAGCCGAGATCGTGCCACTGCACTCCAGCCTGGGTGACAGAGCGAGACCCTGTCTCAATAAACAAAACAAAACGAAAATAAATATCTTTGTGAACTTTTCTACTTTTTTTTTATATTGGTCAGATACATTTTTCATTATGCTCATTTCTCTATATTTTATATTGTTGTTAGGAATAGTATCTTTAAAAACTGTATTTTCTTGCTGGTGCATAGGAATATCATTGCCTTTTGCATGCTTATTTGATTAGCCGCTTTGCTGAGACCATTTTAATTTATGTTGTTTGTCACATGACTGTTTTGGGTTTCTGAGGTTATACAGTCATTTCATATGCACCTAAGAATCATTTTGTCTGTTTTCAATGTCTGTGCTTTCTATTTAATTAGCCAGACCTGACTTGACTTTTCTTTTCTTTTCTTTTTTTTATTTTCTTTTCTTTTTTTCAGACAAGGTCTCACTGTCACTCAGGCTGGAGTGCAGTGAAGTGTAGAGGCTCACTGCAGCCTTGACCTCTTGGGTTCAAGCGATCTTCTTCCCACTTCAACCCCCAAGTATCTGCGACTACAGGCACACACCACCATGCCCAGCTAGTTTTTAAATGTTTTCTGTAGAGACAGGGTCTCACTATGTTGCCCAGGCTAGTCTCAAACTCCTGGGCTCAAGCAATCCTTCCACTTTGGTCTCCCAATGTACTGGATTTACAGACATGAGACACCATGCCCGGCCTGGCAAGAACTTTCATGATGCTATTTAGGGATACTGGTGATGAAAGACATCCTTATTTTGCTCTTTGTTTTAAAGGGAAAGCTTCTTCCATTACTTTGATGTTGCTCCTGGGATGTATGATGAGATCTGCCTACTCCTACCCAAAGGGACTGGTGTAATTCACAACAACTCCAACAAAACTTCTTTCCAGCCCTTAATATATCGGTCACAGAGCACTAGAGGGCTTGTTGTTTGGAACGATTACTCTTTTTAGAATCCCCAGGTTGCCCCAAACTCTGAGCCCACAGTGCCTGTTTGCTTCCAGCTCAGCCCTTGCTTTCTCTCTTCTGAAAGCCTGACTTTTGGGAGCTTGTTCCTCCCTGGCAGGATTTAGCAGTCTCTCCTGCCAACCCCACCTGCTGATAGAAGAGCTGGTGCTTGACACTGGGCAGCCGCAGGGCTGGGTTACCAAGTGCAGCCCTGGACCAGAGGAGGCATTAACAACACCCCTTATAGGCTGCCTGGCAGAGGAGCCCTGTGGACCCTCAGTCATCTGTACTTTTGCCCTTTTCCCACCTGTCCCTTTTCCCCCCCAAAACCACATCTGTGAGGTCAACTGGAACCCCTGCCTTACCCATGAGTCTGCTGGACTTCTGGTACTATGCTCTGGGTGTCTTCCCAGTCCACTGGGAAGATAGCACAAAAAGGGATTAATACAACACAGGGTGAAGAGGTCTTGTTCGCATTATATGAGGCTCAGCTTGTGGAGCAACTAACTGCTTAGGACAGTCAGAGAAAGCTTCATGGAGAAGGTGACATTTGAGCTGGGTCTTGGAAATTCTGTGAGGCAGATGAGGGAGAAAGGCTTCAATTGTGATTATTTCCATGTATTTCATATTATTGTTGCTGTTAGGAATAGAATCTTTTAAAACCATATTTTATTGCTGGCATATAGAAATATTGAGTTTCACATGTTTATTTTGGAGCAATCGTCAAAGGCTTAGAAGCCTGGGAGAGCCTGGCCTCTTTGGGGAAAAGATGAGAGTTTCTGAGAGATAAATGGGGTGGTGCTGTCACGCTCGATGAGTGCTGCTGGGGTTCGAGGTTGGGGGCTGACTGGACACCAGCAAAAGGGGTGACCCAGAAGACTTCTGGAAGAGATGAGATGGAAGCTGGCCTGGAAGCATAGAGAGGCTTTAGATCGAGTGGCAAGAGGAGGTAAAGTGGAAGGGGAGGACTGCTACAATATTTGTAGCATTCCTGCTAAGTATCTTCTAGGCGCTTTGTTAGTCATTATTTTACTACATTTAATTTTTCCCAACAGCTCTGCTAGGCAGCTGGTGGTACCTTCATTCTGTGGATGAGGAAACTGAGGCTCAGGGAACTTGAGTGACACCTTGATGAACTGGACAGACTAATTTCTGAACCCCTATGCTTTTAGGGTCTATCTGCTGCTGTTCACATATATAATAATATATACAATTATATATGTATATATATCAGCTTTATTGATGTATAATTCACATGCCACACAATTCATCCACTTAAAGTGTACAATTCAGTGGTTTTACTATGTTCAGAGTTGAGCAGTTATCACCACAATCCAATCTTAGAACTTTTTTTTTTTTTTGAGATAGTCTCACTCTGTTGCCCAGGTTGGAGTGCAGTGGTGTGATCTCAGCTCACTGCAACCTTTGCCTCCCAGGTTGAAGCGATTCTCATGACTCAGCCTCCCGAGTAGTTGGGATTGCAGGCATGTGCCACCATGCCCAGCTAATTTTTTTGTTTTTTTTGTATTTTTAGTAGAGATGGGGTTTCTCTATATTGGCCAGGCTGGTCTCAAACTCCTGGCCTCAAGTGATCTGGCCACCTCAGCCTCCCAAAGTGCTGGGATTGCAGGCGTGAGCCACTGCGCCCCGCCCAATCTTAGAACATTTTTATTACCCCTACAAAGAACTCCCCCACCCTCCATCCCCTGCAGCCTTGGCTAATCTACTTTCCGTCTGTATGCATTTGCCTATTCTTGACATTTCATATAATGAAACTGTACAATATGCAGGCCTTTGTAACTGGCTTTTGCCTGGCATCACATTTTCAGGGTTCAGCCATGCTATAGCTGCTATAACATACATTGGTACTTCATTTCTTTTTTAAAAATTTTTTTGGTGGGGAGACGGAGTCTTGTTCTGTTGCCCAGGCTGGTGTGCAGTGGTATGACCTGGGCCCACTGTAACTCCCACCTCCCAGGCTCAAGTGATTCTCGTGCCTCAGCCTTGTGAGTAGCTGGGATTACAGGTACATACCACCATGCCCGGCTAATTTTTTTGTTTTTAGTAGAGATAGGATTTCACCATGTTGGCCAGGCTGGTCTCGAACTCCTGGCTTCAAGCCATCCACCCACCTTGGCCTCCCAAAGTGCTGGGATTACAGGCGTGAGCCACCACGCCTGGCCACTTCATTTCTTTTTGTTGCTGGATGATATTCCCTTTCATGGAGAGACCACATTTTGCTGATCCAGTCCCCAGTTGGTGGACATTTGGGTTGTTTCCACTTTCTGGCTTTCGGGCCATTGTGAATAACGCTGCCATGAACATCCACATGTAATGTGTTTTTGCATGGATGTATGTTTTTGTCTCTTGGGTATATACCTAAGAGTGGAGTGACTGGGTCATATGGTAACTCTGTGCTCTGTGTTTAACCATTTGAGGAAGTGCCTGACTGTTCTGCACAGTGGCTTCCCAACTGCTGCTTGTACGAGGCTTGCCTTCAGCGTGACAGGACTAGGAAGAAGATCAAACCATAAAGTCTGTGTGAATTGCCTGTTTTCAAAGAAGTAGACTATTGTAAAGCAGTCTTTAGACTGCATCTGCGCTGTCGAGTCTTTGATGATTCTAAAGGGACTTGTGGATTCTGCAGGATCTCAAAGGCACTGCTATGAATGCCAGTCATCTTTGTGCCGGCAGACACGATTCTGGCTAGTAGGCTGTGGTAACAGAGATGGTGCTAACACAAATCCTTAGGTTCAGGGTGCAAGGGAGGGACAGGTGTGAGTTAATGCCTATGAGGAGGGCTCCTGGAAGAGGGAGGGCAGGGTCTGAAGCCTGGTCCTGGGGAGACAGGTGGGAGGGCAAGGAGGCTGGAAGGGGGCATGGAGGTGGGGTCTGTGTGAGTCTGGGACAAGTTCTCGGGCAGCTGTGGCTGATAACTCTGGTTTGTTTTTGTTCTTTGGCTGCAGACCTGGCCGAGTGCAAGCTGGTCTCCTTTCCCATTGGCATCTACAAGGTCCTGCGGAATGTCTCTGGCCAGATCCACCTCATCACCCTGGCTAACAACGAGCTTAAGTCCCTCACCAGCAAGTTCATGACCACATTCAGTCAGCTCCGAGGTAGGCCCTGGTCAGCTCCAGCCAGGAGGGCATGGCCAGCTCTCATCGTTCAGGCTCTGACCCTGTCTGGGGAGTGCCACCAGAGCTGGTCCCTGGTCAGCGACACCCATGAAATCATTCCCATGGGTTGACTTTGAAAATGGACCTGTGTTCTCCCTGCAGCTTGGAACTCTCTAGGTCACTTCTGCCTCTAGCTGGCTGTGAAGCAGATTGAACAAGGATCAAGGGTGTGGTTCCTGGAGTGATTCTCTTGTTCTGAACAGACCAGCAGGGTGTTTGGGTCCTGAGGCCCTGGGAGTTGTTATTTCCCAGTAGTCTTGAATGAGCCCCCTTCTCACCTTCCAATCTAGTGTTGTTCTCCTGTGTTGCTCTCTCAGTTCAGGAGTGACAGATGCCAGGGATGTTGGCATTTTCTTTTCTTTTTTTTTTTTTGAGATGGAATCTTGCTGTATCGCCCAGGCTGGAGTGCAGCGGTGTGATCTCGGCTCACTGCAGCCTCCACCTCCCAGGTTCAAGCGATTCTCCTGCCTCAGCCTCCCAAGTAGCTGGGATTACAGGTGTGTGCCACCACACCTGGGTCATTTTAATATTTTTAATAGAGGTGGGGTTTTACCATGTTGGCCAAGCTGGTCTCAAACTCCTGACCTCAGGTGATCTGCCCGCCTCAGTCTCCCAAAGCGCTGGGATTACAGGTATGAGCCACCATGCCTGGCCGATGTTGGCATTTTCTCTGCTGGGCATATTCAGAGCATGTGGTTGTAGGTGCTTGCCATCAAGGTGGCAGGAGTCCAGCAGGTGAGCCTCGTAGATGCTCTAGAAATGGTTCCTCTGGATGGACAAGCAGTGTGGCCTGACTGCTGCAGTGCCTGCCCTCTTCTCCAGAGAGCAGTCTCTCCATCCTTCTACGAGAGGTCACTGCTGCTCAGTGACCCATGTGACAGAGCTGTGGCATGGGCGCCTGTTGTACGTTTGTGAACGAGTGGAGTGGGAGAATTGCGGAGGGCACAGGAAGCCTAGGGGGGCAGATCCTGCTTCATCCCAGACTCACATGGACCCCAACTCCATGCCCCCCTTCCAGCCTCCTTGCGCTCTCACCTGCCTGCCCTGGAGACCAGGCTTCAGAGCCTGCCCTCTGTCTTCCAGGAGCCTTCCTCACAGGCATTAACTCACACCTGTCTCTCCCTTGCACCTTGAACTTAAGGATTTGTAACAGCACCATCTCTGTTGCCACAGCCTCCTAGCCAGAATTGTGTCTGCTGGTACAAAGACGACCAGCATTCATAGCAGTGCCCTTGAGACTTTGAAGAATCCACAAGTCCCTTTGGAATCATCAAAGACTCAACAGCGAAGATGCAGTTTAAAGAGTGCTTCACAATAGTCTACTTCTTTGAAAACAGGCATTTCACACAGACTTTCTTCCTAGTCCTGTCACACTGAAGGCAAGCCTCATACAAGCAGCAGCTGGGAAGCTGCTGTGTAGACAGGTCAAGCAGTTCCTCAAATGGTTAAACACAGAGCACAGAGTTACCATATGACCCAGTCACTCCCCTCCTACGTATATACCCAAGAGGTGTAAAAACATATGTCCACGTTGCCAGGTGCAGTGGCTCACGCCTGTAATCCCAGCACTTTGGGAGGCTGAGGCAGGTGGATCCCCTGAGGTCAGGAGTTCAAGATCAGCCTGACCAACATGGCGAAACTCTGTCTCTACTAAAAATACAAAAATTAGCCGGGTGTGGTGGCGCACACCTGTAATCCCAACTACTTGGGAGGCTGATGCAGGAGAATCGCTTGAACCCGGAAGGTGGAGGTTGCAGTGAGCTGCGATCGTGCCACTGCACTCCAGCCTGGGTGACAGAGCAAGACTATGTCTCAAAAAAACAAAACAAACAAACAAACAAAAACCAAAAAAACAAAACCATACATCCATGCAAAAACACATTACACGTGGATGTTCATGGCAGCATTATTCATAACAGCCTGAAAGCTGGAAAGTGGAAACAACCCAAATGTCTATCAACTGGGAAATGGATCCACAGAATGTGGTCTCCCCATGAAAGGGAATATCATCTAGGATCTAGGAATGCTCTACGTGATAGGGATATGAAAAGGGTCTAAGATCCTGTTTAGAGAAAGAAATACATGAAATGCTGATGATGCATGAGGGACCCGAGCAAGCCTATCTCATAGGGCTGACTTTAGGCTAGGCAAGCTTCCTAGAGGAGGTGTGGGCATTGGGCAGGCCAGGAGGGAGAGGGTGCATGAAGTGGCAAACACAGTGCAGGGACAGTGGCTCAGGAGGGAGCTACAGGCAGGACTTGGAAAGGCCACCATGCAAACAGAAGGACAAGGAGGAGGGATTAGTCTACATAGCTGTTTCTGAGTGAAGCTCACAGAGTTTGTTGCATTTGTGCCTGAAAAGCTAAAATCCCTATGACTTGGAGGACAGGGAGAGGCTCCTAGAGCAGGATTTCCAGGTCTGGAACTTTCCAGGCCACCTGTGTTTGTCCCAGGGTCCTCTAGTGCTGTACTCAGCCAATTGGGATTGGATGTTTGCTTTCCCGAGGAGGATAGAATGATTGAAAATGGAGGGTGGGGCTGTCCGGGCCCTCAGAAAGGGCACAGTCAGGCCCTTTGGGTAAGAGGAGAGTTCACTTGTGCTTTTACTTCATTAGACCTTCCCTTGAACACCTGCGTCTCCCAGACCTAGGTCCGGAGGCCCAGAAACAAAGGCCAATCCACCAGGGTCTCCCCCTGAGGAGACCAGGGTTGCAGGACACATTGTCCTCACCACCCAGTGCTGTGATACGGGTATGGACAAAATGCTGGAAGGGACTGCTGGGAAGAGGAATGAATTCTTCCTGAGAGTGGCATGGGAAGGGCCTGGGTATGGATGCAAGAGCTTTGAAACTGCTTGACATCTGGGGAGAGCCTTGTGGGATGAGTAAGTAGGCCCTCCCCAGAGGGCATGGGGAAAGGTGCCAGAGAAATGCTACTTAGCCCATGCATCTGTGGGATGCGGAAATGTATTTACGTAGCACCTTCTGGTTAGAAGTCTGCTGAAGTTGCTGTTTGAACTCCTTCTCTGCTGCCAGTGGCTCCTGACTCCCTCACGCTGCCTCAAATCACAAAGTGCCTGCTAATTGAATTCACAGAGGCAGCGGATTGAGGGATGCGGTGGCAGCAGGGAGGGTGGGAGCTGAGCACCCTGTTGGGCTCTCCCCCTACCCTGAGAGATGGCTCTGGGCCTGAGCCTTTGTTGTGGTTTCTCTTTCAAATAGAAAAGCCCTCTTCTTTTATGTGTGAAGAGGAGGCTTAAATAGGCCTGGCTGAGCTCAGCAGGCCTGCTCTGTCCTCCTCTGGGTGCTTGCAGAGGTGGGCTGCCTTAGTGCTGGGGAGAGAACAAGCTGCTTCCTCCCTGCCTGCCACAATGTCTCCTGGGGCTGCCCTGGGGACTCTTCTGCAAGGCCCAAGGCCCTGGCAGGGGTGGGTCATCTCTAGGTGATTCCATCCCCTTGATGTCCTTCATCCATTTTATGGAAGGAAAAAATAAGACATGAGAAAGCCAAGGGCACACATGGAATTGGTCTGATGGCAGGTGGGCCCTGCAGAGAGTGGGTCCCCATGTCCTGCTGTGGCTCTTCTGTCCCTTCTGCTCCTGTATCCCTGTTTCCCCTCTTCCTCAAGTCTTAGCTCTTTTTAGTGAGTGTGTCCTGGGACTGCCAGGCCAGAGGTGTAGGAGACACACCTATGGCAATAAACGAAGACCACCCAAATGAGAAAAGCACAGGCTATGTATTCGGAGCTTGCTACAGTGAAGGAGTCAGCCACCATCACTTGTGTGTTGGCAGAGACTCAAAGGCAGGCAGCAGAGTGGTAGAGTGGAAAAAAGGGAAGACTTCAGGTACTCTCTGATTGTTGGCACGGGGGAGTTCTAACTAGAGGCGGAGCATCCTCTGTGATTGACAAGGAGGGCATATTGGCTTTCTTTTGTTGGTCCTTAATTGGAAGTGGGGACAAAAATCAGGAAGCTGTTAGTTGTTAATTGAGTCCCAGCCATTTGGGACCAGTTGTTATAGGGATTGTTGTTTAGCTTCCTGAATGATTGCTAGAGATAGCAGTCTGACTTCCTACAAATCTGACATATGGCAGGCTGGCATCCTGGCTGGTTACTGTAGATCATGGGTTGGTTTCCTGGGCAGGCTGCTGCGGGTTGTGAGTGGAGTTCTGTTTTTATATTTGGCCTGGTCATTGCCTGTTTGTATATTCAGTCTCTCACATCCCTGCCCGTCAACTCAATCCAGCAGATTCCCACAAGCATTGGGTTCGGTGTGGCTGTGGGAATGCACGGGTGAGTGATAACAGCAGAGCCCAAATTCACAAGGTGCTCAGCTCTCCCGGCTCCATGCTGAGCATTCTCCCTGTATCATGTCATTTAGTCCTGATAGCAGCCGTGTCATTTGGAAATGATAAGAAAACTGAGAACTGGACGTGGCCCCGGAGGAGCCCCTCATCTTGCTGATCTTGCAGGGGAGGCAGGTTTATGAGCAGACACCATGTCATAATGTGAGGGGCGGTGCAGCAGACGTTTGTCCACGGTCTGTGGGTGTCCAGGTGTTGGAAGTCAGTTTTGCTTTCAGTAATTAGGGAATCAGAAAGCCTCCAGAGGAAATGGCTTAAAATGTGGATTTGACAGATAAGTAGGAGTTTACCAGGTAAATAAGAAGGAGTTTCTAAAGCATCTTTGGGACAGTGAAAGTTATGTTTGGGAAATAACTAGAAAAATGGTAGAAGACTGAGTGTTACAGAGCGGAGGGATGGTGTGTTGTTAGGGACTGGCTGGAAGGAGTCATCTGCCTGGGTGGGAATGTTTGGGAAGAGTTCTGGGAGGTTGGGAGGGGATAGGCCCTGTGGAAAAGGCAGAGAAGCATCCTAGCAGGGAGAAGCTGTGTGAGGCCAGGCCAGGAAGGCACGGAACAGGCAGGGCCTTGAAGCCAAGTCATAAGGGAGGTTGCGAGCTCCTTCTGCCCTCCAAAGCGATGAGTTCCCTCATCTCAAGAGCCTGGGCCTGGGCCAGGGCAGCCGGAGCTGGCTGCTGGGGCTGCTGCAGGGCAGGGGAGCGGCTTTGGTTGGTCGGGAGCAGCTGTGTGTGGGCGCGGGCGGGCGGACTGGGAGGTGGGTTGCTCCAGTCGGCCAGCCTGGGGCCTCCATGGAGACTTGCTGACCCCAAGACCCTGCATCTGGAGGTAACACAGCCTGGTGGAACTGGGCCCCAGAGGGCTTGTGAGTAGTTGGGGAGCATCCAGCAATGTGGAGTTGAGAAGTTCCCTGGGGCTCGTGGCTCATTTTCTCTGATTTTTCAGCAGCACCAGGCTTCTTGCCTCTTTCTGTTTCCCCAAGTGTGTGTTCTTTACACTGTCCCTGACAGGGAGATGCCAGCCAGCCATAAACTCCGGGAAGAAGTGTGGTTTCCTCCTCAGAGCCAGGCCCTCCCAGGGGTGACCTCGGAGATGTGCCCAGGGTGAGCCCACAGGGTGCATGACACCTGGGGGGAGCCTGTCTGCAGAGGGCTCCTGGCTGCTCACTGGGCTGCCCCTTACCCTCACCACAGGGCTCTCCAGGCAGCAGCTCCTGGTGCCTGCCAGAGAAAATGGGGCAATTTTCCTCATTATCTCAGCAATTAGGACAGTCAGGAGGGAGGCACCAGGCTTTATCTTTACCTCTGGCAACCGCCTTGGTGCCAGAGGGGGCCACGCCTCAGCCTTGGCTCCTCTCTGCACACTTTGGGGAGTGGTCTTCCTGCTCCAAGGGCCCTACATGCCTGGTGCCTGGGGGTGGGTGTGGGCAGAGGGCATGGAGAAGCTAGGTTAAAGCAACTGAGTTCATCCTAACAGGCCAGGGTGGTGAGGACGGGGTGGGTCCCTCTGTTCCTCAGGCCATGCCATCAAAGCTGCTGCTGTCCACGTGTGGTCAGGAGTCTTAGGCGGTATTTGGGGGTGGGAAGGGGGTGTGCCAGTGAACAGTGTATGTCAGTGCCCCACAGGAGTTACTATTTTCTGGAGTTCTGGGAAGGGAGGAGACGGGGAGTGTCCCCTGGGCACATTACATTTCCAAACCCGGGGAGCAAGGGAACCGTCCTCAGAAAGGCTGTTGGGGTGTTGGGGTCACAGTGTGCTGTTCCTCCCCAGCTTCCTACTTCACTTCAGCCCACTGGGTTTACTTTTTCTAATAGCTGATGTTACTTAGTGGACAAAAGAGAAAAGAAGAGGGGGCTCAGGAATGTGCAGGGACAGCAGGGCAGACATGGAAGCTTTGTGCGGTCAATGGGATGCTTAGGTTTGGTTGTAGCATGGGATCAGGCAGATCTACTCTGTCAGAAACACATTTTCTTTTTTTTTTTTTTAAGATGGAGTCTCGCTGTGTCACCCAGGGTGGAGTGCAGTGGCACTATCTCTGCTCACTGCCACCTCCACCTCCCCAGTTCAAGCGATTCTTCTGCCTCAGCCTCCCGAGTAGCTGGGATTACAGGCACTTGCCACCACGCCTGGCTAATTTTTGTATTTTTAGTAGAGACAGGATTTAACCATGTTGGTCAGGCTGGTCTCAAACTCCTGGCCTCAGATGATCCACCCATCATGTCCTCCCAAAGTGTTGGGATAATAGGCCTGAGCCACAGCACCCGGCCAGAAACACATTTTCTGGTTCTTTCAGTGCAACCCACCACTGGAATAGTGGGGTCTGGGAGAGTCCATCTCCCCTGAGTTATGCACAAGGGGCAGACCCCAATTGCAGATGATCAAGAGTTCCTACCTGGTACCAAGGCAGTGACAAGGTTGTGGCCTTCTGCATCAGTTTTTGCCATCAGTCCTCAAGGGTGCCCCACCCCTGGAGCTACCTGGATGACCTCAGTGAAGCAAAGGCCAAACTGTTTGTGACCCCTGCATGGCTGCTTCTGGGCAGTGGGTCAGCCCTTCCTAGCAGTGTTAAGGAACCCAAGCATCATGGGCTTCAGCATCCTTAGTAGAATCCCAGAGATGGGATCACTGAGGTCAGAGGGCATTTTGAGGCTCTACTACATATAGCAGAAGAACCGCCCAGCAGAGACCAACCAACCTACAGAGCTACAAAAAATAAGTTAAATTCCCTATGAAGGGGAGTTGGGGCAGCCTGGAGATGGATTGCTGCTGCACCAGCAGGAGAGCATCGCTTCCATCCTGGGTCTTAACCACCCCTAGAAACCAGCAGACCTCAACAGCCCCCTTGCACCCCCCAGCCCAGAATTCTGTACAGTGTGTTGGGGGAGGAGGGTACACCTGGAACACCAGGACCGTGTGGCTCTGAGCCTCTGGTACCTCTGTCCTCCAGAGCCCAAGCTAACACTTCTTGCAACCCTGTAAGGCAGAAGACTGCAGTTTCCCTTCACTTCCCTCTTCCAGGCTCTAAGTGCAGCTCTCCTTTGCTCCCAGCTCTGCGATTCAGATGTTTCCATACCTGCCTCTGCTCTTCTTACCCATTCCCAAGCACCTCTCTTGTTGCTGTTTATGTCTCTGCCACACCTGCAGAGCTCTAAGTCTTCATTTGAAAAACGTATCCTATTTACTTATTTATTTTTGATTAGGCAGTAGATGCACACAATGTGATATTTTGAGGATTGAAAGGATAGTGGGGAAAAATAAGTCTGCTCTTCTACTCCTGTCCCCAGACATCCAAGTCCGTGTCCAGAGACAACCACCATTAGCAGTACTGGAGATATTCCATGCCTATGTAAATATAAATATACTTCATAATAGTAGCATTTATAATATGCCACCAAGGGTAGGTACTGTTGTAAGCAAACAGAGCATAAAGTAACAAGTAACTTGCCCAAGTTCACACAGCAAGAAAAAAGAGCTACCTTAGTCTTTTCTTTTGAAACAGGTCTCCCTCTGTCACCCAGGCTGGAGTGCAGTGGTGCAATCTCGGCTCACTGCAACCTCTGCCTCCTGGGCTCAAGTGATCTTTCCACCTTAGCCTCCCGACTAGCTGGGACTACGGCACACACCATCAAACCTAGCTAATTTTTTGTATTGTTTGTAGAGACAGGGTCTTGCCATGTTGCCCAGGCTAGTCTTGAACTCCTAGACTCAAGTGATCCGCCTGTCTCAGCCTCCCAAAGTGTTGGGATTACAGGCGTGAGCCACTGCACCTGGCCTGCCTTAGTCTTTTTATGGAGGCAGAATGTTTAGTACTTCATTTTAGTCTGTTCCAGACCTTGTTAAAAGTGCTTTTTCTGCCCTTCCCCTTGTCCACCCCCAAGGAGTGAGTGTGGCATCTGGAAATGCCCTCTGACCCCTGTGGGCAGCAGCTGTCTCTGTGTGAAGCCTCCTCAGCACTGAGCATGGGCTGGTGGAAGGACACTGCCCACCTGACCGTCTGACTCTGCCCTGCTGGGGAGTCCGTGCAGTCAGGGACTGTGATTGCTCATTGCCGCAGGTTCAGAGCCGAGGTGCTGATTGAGGTTTGGTGAGCAGGTATTTTTGGAGTTGGCACATTCCTTCGAGCATGGGTTGTATAATTACTGCAGGCCAGCCTTGTCTGTCCCCTAATGGAATTGGCAAGCTTCTCTCTCAGCTGGGGTTAATCTAAGGCCTCTGAGTCAGCCTTGGCAATTGTCCAAGATAAGGATGGTACAGGAAGTAATAAGAGGAACTTGGGGAAGAAGAGGTCCATTTAACAGACACCGGAAACCACAGTTCAGTAGGTTTAATCAATAAGGAAATGTCATGATGGGGGCTGCTCTCAGGCTGGGTACAACGTTGGGAGTGGAATGGAGTGGGATCTTTTTCCAGAGCCCCGGTCCATCCTGGGAGCCCTGGTTGTTCCACTCTGAACCCTGGCCTGGTGCAGGAAGAATCTTTGGAACCCCTAATGCAGTCTTCTGGGACCAGAAGATCTCAGCCCTCTCTGTCCAGAAGAGGGGGCAGTAAGACCTTGGGCAGATGGCCTGGGTGCTGTGACTCCAGAGGTGAGAAGCAAAGCCAGACGTGGCTGTGGCTGTGTTGGGCTGGAAGCCCAACACACTGGCCGATCCCGTGGCTGGGGCTTTGGCCACACTTTTATTCTTCCTCTGAACTGGAAACAACAGAGAAAACCTTAAATGCCTGGTTTGGGGCCATATAAGAGATAAAAAGAAAGCCAAGGCATCAGCAGCCTTGCTGGCCCCAGTTGGCCTTCGTGGCCTCAGTTTCCTTATCTGAGAAATGGGGAAACATCTACTCCATAGTGATTTTGTGAGGTTGGAGATATTGCTTATAAGGTGCCCTGTGTAGGGTTTGGTGCATGCAAGATTCTTGATGAGTGATGCTTCTGATACAGTGATGGTGAAGACACTGGGGGGCTTAGTTGTAGACAAGAGAGGTCTCTGGCCAAGTAGTCAGGATGATGGTCCAGTCATAGGAATCTCTCTCCACAAGGAATTTCAGTGAGAACAGAACTGGAGAGATCCCCAAGTCCACGTCTTCACGGATGGGGACCCTGAGGCTCAGAAGGGAGAAGTGGCTTTTCTGACCTGCCTCCAGGAAGATGTAGGGCGAGACCTCAGTTCAGGGTCCCCGGGTCCCCGGTCAGGCTCTTTGCCATGGAAGCAGGTGGTGTGGTCACCTGCTTCTCAGCTAATGCTAAGAGGCTGTTTTTAACTGGTTGTGTATATATACCTCACCTTACCGCACAGAGGATTTGTGGAGCTTGTGACGCAGGCAGCTTGGGTAGAGCAGTGGAAACCACAGTGGGAGCAGAAGCAACTCAGAGACCCTGCTGGGCCGTGGCTTCTGAGAAGTGAAGCTGGATGGCTGGGAAGAACTTGCTCTCTTGCCGGTGCCTCCCCACCCCATCAGGATGCATGCCCCATTCTGTCTAATTCAAGGCCTTTCTGTGGAATGCTTCCTTCCCATGGAGCTCAGATTTGGCTACCTGGAGATTTACTCTAACAATTTTGGTGGAATTTGGCACATACATTGACATTCATAAAGCCCTAGGGGTTGGACAAGTGGGTGACTGACAGGGGTGGGACATCCATCCCCAGGAACCTGCTGTCTTTGCCCTCCCTTGGGGAGGGGGCCTAGAAGCAGCTCCATGGTTTGGTTCCCACTCAAAACCTACCAGGTTTATTATAAACAACTTTATTCTTATAAATTTGGCAACTTAGAAGAAATGGACCATGTTCTTGAGAACCACAAACCACTAAAACTCAGCCAAGATGAAACAGACAACCTGAAGAGACCTATGACTATCAAATAAGTGGAATTCATAAATAAAAAGATCCCAAAGAAGAAATCTCCAAGCCCAGGTGATTGCATTGGAGAATTCTATCAAACTTTTAAAATGAGAATTAACATCAATTTTACACAGCCTCTTCCAGAAAATAGAAGGGAAGGGCATACTTCCCAATCCATGCTATGAAGTTGATATTACTCTGATATCAAATGCAGACAAAGACAGTATAAAAAATGTGAAAGAAAAAGAAAATACAGACCAATATCTCCCAAGAACACAGATGGAAAGATTCTCAGCAAAATATTACCAGTCAAATTCGGCAATGTATAAGAAGAATATATGACATGTGTAAGTGGGATTTATCAGTTATTCCAGGTATGCAAGTCTGGGTCCAACTTTAGAAATCAATCAGTGTAATCTATTATATGAAAAGGCTAGGCTGGGCGAGGTGGCTCACGCCTGTAATCCCAGCACTTTGGGAGGCTGAGGTTGGTGGATTGCCTGAGCTCGGGAGTTCGAGACCAGCCTGGGCAACATGGGGAAACCCCGTCTCTAGTAAAATACAAAAAATTAGCTGGGCATAGTGGCGGCATGCACCTGTAATCCCAGCTACTCGGGAGGCTGAGACAGGAGAATCGCTTGAACCCGGGAGGCAGAAGTTGCAGTGAGCCGAGATCGTGCCACTGCACTCCAGTCTGGGGGACAGAGCCAGACTCCATCTCGAAAAAAAAAAAAAAAAAGGCAAAAGAAGAATCACACAATCATATCATTTGACAAAGAAAAAGCATTTGACAAACTCCAACTCTCAGTACACTAGAAATACAGGGAAACTACCTCAACTTGGTAAAGAGCATCTTCAAAAATCCTACAGCTAACATCAGACTTGATGATGAAAGCCTTTCCCCCAAGCTGGGAACAAGGCAAGGATGTCCACTCTCATCCTTAAAGTTCTAACCACTGCCATAAAACAACAAGAAGAAGAAGATAGCTTTTCCCTGGGCTTTTTGCCGAACTGGTTTTTTTCACTCTGACCTCAAATGCCTTCCTAGCGATCTGAAATAACCTTCTTTTCTTGTTTACTATTTCTCCCTGCACTTGTCTGTAAGCTTGTTAAGGTTGGGATCTAGTCTGTCTCATTGCCACGATTTCCCGCTGTCTAGCAGAGCCTGCCCTGTGGTAGGTGCTGAGTAATATTTTTTGAGTAAGTGGAGACTGTGTTGGCATCATTGGCTCTGACTGGCTTCCTGCAATCCATGTGTCACAGTTGCACTGACCCTCTCTTATTTTCCCTTTTGATTCCTGCTATCATGTTGGCTTTGAATTTTGTTTCTGCAAAGGTTCCATAATCCAGGAACCAAGTGTCATGTGTCTTCTATCTCTAAGAGAGTCTCGCTCTCACTCTGTTGCCCAGGCTGGAGTGCAGTGGCAGGATCTTGGCTCACTGCAACCTCCGCCTCCCGGGTTCAGGTAATTCTCCTGCCTCAGCCTCCCAAGTAGCTGGGATTACAGCTGTGTACTGCCATGCCTGGCTGATTTTTGTATTTTTAGTAGAGACAGAGTTTCACCATGTTGTGCAGGCTGGTCTTGAACTCCTGGCCCCAAGTGATCCACCCACTTTGGCCTCCCAAAGTGCTGGGATTACAGGCATGAGCCACTGCGCCTGGTCTTGTTGAGTGTATTTAATTTTCAAAGATTACCCTTTTCTGACCGGGCATGGTGGCTCATGCCTGTAATCCTAGCACTTTGGAAGGCCGAGGCGGGTGTATCACCTGTGGTCAGGAGTTCGAGACTAGCCTGGCCAACATGGCAAAACCCTGTCTCTCGTAAAAATCCAGAAATTAGCTGGGTGTGGTGGTGGGTGCCTATAATCCCAGCTTCTTGGGAGGCTGAGGCAGGAGAATTGCTTGAACCCAGGGAGCGGAGGTTGCAGTGAGCCAAGATCACACCACTGCACTCCAGCCTGGGCGAAAGAGCAAAACTCCATCTCAAAAAAAAAACGCCAAAAAACAAAAAACAAAGATTACCCTTTTTACATTCAGTTACAAGGCTGAGCATATAGTAGGTGCTTAGTAAATATGTGATTAGGCTGAGCATATAGTAGGTGCTTAGTAAATATGTGACTTGTGTAGCTCATCCTGCCTTTCACAGCCCTCTTAGCTCATCATCACAGCCTGCGATAAATAGGCAGGAAAGACCTTCTCATGAGGCCACCTGGAGAGAGGATGGGCCCAAGGACACCTGATGAGTTGGAACATAACCAGGTCCTTCCTGGTTCTCCTCTTGTCATTCTTTGGCCACTGAACAAGCAAGGATTTAATGGTTATGTATTCTGAGAACAGGTATTGAAGGGATTAGGCGTGTAAAACTGGATGAAGTGAGGTGCCAGCGTGGCCTGCTTCTCTTAGGGAGGGGACAAATGCAGAGCCCATGAGACAGGACAGTGATGGACGAGATGAGGAGTCAGGCTCTGGACACGGCTGGCTGGGGTTCACATCCTGGTTTGGGGGTTGGGAGAGGAACGTCACATACCTTGGGGAGAGGTTGGGGTTTCTGTGACCTTGGGCAAGTTATTTCACCTCTTTGTAAATTGATGGTAATGGGTTAGAGAAAAATCACAATGATGATTACATGTAAATCCCCAGAACAAGTGCCTCGAATGTAGTAGTGCTCTATTAGCATAGTAATAAGCGTTAGTTATCATTATTACTTTTTTTTTTTTTTTAGATAGAGTCTCACTTTGTAGCCCAGGCTGGAGTGCAGTGGTGCGATCTCAGCTACTGCAACCTCTGCCTCCTGGGATTCTCGTGCCTCGGATTCTTGTGCCTCAGCCTCTCAAGAAGCTGGGATTACAGGCACGTGCCACCCTGCCTGACTCATTTTTGTATTTTTAATAGAGATGGGGTTTCACCATGTTGGCCAGGCTGGTCTCGAACTCTTGATCTCAAGTGATCCGTCTGCCTCAGCCTCCCAAACTGCTGGGATTACAGGCGTGAGCCACTGAGCCTGGCTGAGATCTTTTTACTCAGTCCACTGATTTAACTGCTGATATCCTCCAGAAAACCTCACAGAACATCCAGAAATCATGTTTGACCAGCTGTCTGGGCATCCCTTAGCCTACTCAAGTTGATAAATAAAATTAACCATCACAGCCCCCACATTAGCTTCCACGGCCGCATCGGCCATGACCCCCAAGACTGCAGACAGGGGCAAGCTCCCAACAGGCTCTTGGAAATGTCTCCAGGGGTAGATGCTTCTTATTTTTCTCAGCCACTGTGGGAATACAATTAGACTCATGCCTGAGTTGGTTTGATAAAAGCCCATTTAAAAAAATTCTGAACATGTCTGCCGGGCGCGGTGGCTCACGCCTGTAATCCCAGCACTTTGGGAGGCTGAGGCGGGCGGATCATGAGGTCAGGAGATCGAGACCATCCTGGCTAACATGGTGAAACCCCGTCTCTACTAAAAATACAACAACAAAAAAATTAGCCAGGCGTGGTGGCGGGTGCCTGTAGTCCCAGCTACTTGGGAGGCTGAGACAGGAGAATGGCGTGAACCCAGGAGGCGGAGCTTGCAGTGAGCCGAGATCACACCACTGCACTCCAGCCTGGGTGACAGAGGCTTATAATGGTGATCTGGATAGCAGCGTTCTGTGGTTTAAGGTGTGGCTATTCAAGAACCTGGCTGCCAGGGGAAGCCTGGGTTTGCGTGAAGCGAGCACTGGACCTGTTGATGGAACCTTGGGTTCCGACGTCCCTGAAGATGGAAAAATGGAAGGCAGTCCAGGCCCCCTGCACTGTCTGCCTCCTGAGGGGAGAAGAGTCATTATTTATCACATATTTTCTGAGTGACACAAGGTGCCTGCAAGAGGCTGGATGTAGGGACAAAGATGAATCAGATGTAGTTCCTCCCAAGAACCCCAGTGTGCTGGAGCAGGGCATTTGCAGTGGGGCTGGTACCCAGGCGCGTGCGTGTGTGTGTGTGTGTGTGTGTGTGTGTGTGTGTGTACACAGAGGCGCTGGGAAGGGGGCAGGGGTCAGTTTTCACTGTAGGGATACCTGGGAGGGGCTGTGGGGACCTCAGAGCAGCTGCATTGTGGGGCTGTGGAAGAGCAGGCATGGAGCACTGAGGGAGGGGCAGGGCCAGCTGCAAAATTGGTGGGGCACAGAGAGAAATGACTCCAGAAATTAGGGGTCATTTTTCTAAAAGTTACATAGGAAGATTTTCCCTTTCTTTTACAGCCTCTCTCAGCATGTCATGGTGCCTTTCATTTACTATTTCATGTTGTTCTAAGTAAGGAAAGATCAAAATTGAGCATGAATTTTACCATTTATCTTTATGTTGTGGAATGCCAGTTTTAAGTGCAATTATGAGAGCATTAAAATCATGTGTAGAATCATGAAATTCATATTTTGTGGCTTATTTTCTCGGGAGGTGCCTGGAGTAGGCCAGAAGGACAAACTCAAACCAGACTCAGAAAGGTTGGAAGGCAGAAGGGAGGAAGGACAGACTCAGAGGGCCCGGGGGCCCCGTCCACAGTGCAGGGCACCCACGCAACCACCCTCAGGCCTGACAGCTGCTAGGTTTCTGCCCTTACCAGATGCTGGACTGACTGCCTTCCACCCTGGCCTGGGGTGATCTGAGGAAGCTGAGCCAGGTCTTCCCTGCCTAAGAGTCCACCACCCTCAGCCTTGGCAGGCAGGCAACTCCAAGGCTCTTTAAACCTGTTCGTCAGGACCTGCTCAGTGCCTAGCTCAGGGGTGGGTAAGAGGCTCACTCCTGCTAAGCCCCAGTGGCCCTGGGTGAGGGTGAGGGAGAGCTGTTGCCTGCGTGCTCCACCCTGAGACACATGGAACACAAGCCTGATTCTGACCCTCCCTGCCGAGGTGGAGGGTGCAGTATCATTGCAGAACAGGGATGGGAGGGGGAGGCCAGGCGGGAGAGCAGGCCGCTATCCTGGGAAGGCAGTAGGAGATCGGATCATGTGTGAGCTCAGACTCCATGACCCAGCTCCACTGACAAAACTCAGATTCAAGGATAAAATTATTAAGACTTTCAAGATGGCCATACAAGGCATTCCACCCCAAGTGCGGGGCCCTTCTGATCATGAGACCTCATGTGAATACACTGGCCCCATGCCCACAAAGCCAGCCCTGGGAGAAGAACTGGGGGACATTCTTCAGGTTACTCAGCATTTCTGGGCCTCAGTTTCCCTCGGGTCAGACAGGGTGGGGAGAGACTCACTGTAAGGCCACACCTGGATGGGGACTGGACAGCCCCTGGGGCCTCACCTCTACCTCTCCCTGTCATGCTGCTTCACCTGTGTTCACAGACTTAATCCTCTCACAGCCCTAGAGACAGGCATTATGATGTTAGCTCCTTGCTACAGGTGAGACGATGTCCTTTCTGCGGGGATTAAATAACGTCCTAAGGAAGAACAGTGAAAGTAGGGGCACGGCTGGTGTGTACCCAAGCATGGGGACTCCAGTTCCTCCTCCCATCAGCCCTGGGCTGTGCTCCTCCACCACCTGCTGCCCTTGCTTCCTGCCCCCCAGCTCTCCTCCCTGCACAGGGCCCTGTGGGCGCCCGGCTTCTCTCACTAGATTCAGCTTCAGCCCACACTATATCTGGCCCCATCTCTTGGTACTGCCTCAGCCGGGTTCCCAGCAGAGGGACTCCCCCGGCCCAGCTGCCTTCCCACACAGGTCCCTGCACAGGTCGCTGGCCAGCTTTCAGAGCAGCTGCTCTCGGAGCAGGAACCCACCCACATTGGGTCAGCTGTGGTTGGCCAGGGGAGAAGGGGCACATGACACTGAAAGAATGTGGCTGCCCCTGGTGGCTCCTTGAGCAGGGAGGGCCATGGAGAGTGGTGTCCCCTAAATGGAGTGTGGGGAGCCCCGAGGGGGAGAGGCCGCCCATCCTGACCTGCCCCGTCAGGGCCCGGAGTTGAGGCTTTGTCTGAGGGAGGAGCCAGCACCTCCTGACCCCTCGCTGAGGCCCAGGCTTCTGCTGGGAGAGCCTTCCATTCCAAAGTCAGCAGCAGGCAGCCTCAGCTGGAGTGACAGGTGGCAGGCCCCGGGCAGCGGTAGGAGGGTGACCCCTCCTCTAGCACAAATAAACATGGAATCAGCCCTGTGCGGGGCTCCCTCTGTGGCCTAGGGCTTCCTCTGTGCCTTCCTGGCCCAGGCAGGGTGAGAGCCACAGCGGGCAGTCACTGTGGTCTCGGGGTGGCCCCCTCCTCATCCTGTTCTCTCTCCTTCCCTGCACGTGGCAGAGCTCCACCTGGAGGGGAACTTCCTACACCGCCTCCCCAGCGAGGTCAGTGCCCTGCAGCACCTCAAGGCCATTGACCTGTCCCGGAACCAGTTCCAGGACTTCCCTGAGCAGCTTACCGCCCTGCCGGCGCTGGAGACCATCAACCTGGAGGAGAACGAGATCGTAGGTGAGTGGGCCTGGCCCACCTGGCCCTGGGCTGCTGCACGAGGCGCTCATGGGCCACAGGACTCTGGAGTCGACCTTCACAGGTGGGAGGAGAAGCTTGGGCTTTCTGTCTGAGATGCCTGAGCAAAGGACATGGGGCCTGGGAAGGTAGACATTTTGAGGCCCTGTTGCCTACCGGGTGCTGGGTGGGACACTTGCTTTCCCTGGCAGGTAGACGGCCTTGGCTTTCACCACAGTGCAGCTCTGAACTAGCCAGGCCACTGTAGGCCACAAGCTCTCCCTCTCCAGTTCTCACCTACCAGCCTAGGCGGTCTCAGACCCTTCGGCTCTGGCCCTCTGTGTACTTTTTCCTCCCTGAGTCCCCTGGCTTCACAGAGACCTCTTCACAGGAGTGAGCAGGGCCCACTAGACAGCCATGTTCAGCACAGCCTCTCTATGCCTTCCAGAACAAACACGCTGCTCCCTGTCAGCCCAGCCTGCCAGGGCCCTCACCACCAGGGAACCAGGGGTCTGATAGGTGCCTTCTGCAAACAGCAAACCCCAGGAGGTTGGGTTCTGCTGAGGTCAGGAAGCGGTCTCTCCTTCCTCTTGCAGCGATTATGTGTCTCCTGTCTCATCAGGACCTCAGAGAGCCGAGCCTCAACTCCAGCTAGTGGTCTAACCTGCCCAGACAACCTGGGCACTGGGTGGGGTCTCTGTGTGCCCTCCCCTCCGCAGCACCCTCCTTCAGTGGCTCAGCCCCAGTTCATCCTCTCTCACATGGCCTCTGATGTGGAAATGCTGTTCTAATGCCAATGATGTTCATAATAACCCCCTTCAGTCATGCTTTCATTTTCTTAAGCCCTTTTATAGCCATTATGCCATTTGATTAAAAGCAACATGAGGCAGGCCATTCCCCATCAGATGAGTCCTAGCAGTTTGGGCCCATCTGATGGGGAATGGCCTGCCTCCTGTGGTGCGAGTGCCCATCTGTCAGCGGTGCCACAGGCAGGACTCTGACCCTGGCTGGGTGGGAGGTGGGACCAGCTGACCTTTGAGGTTCTGAGTCTTTCCTTGGACAGATGAATCAAACGAGGCCCAAACACATCATGAGAGTGCATCGGGTTGCACAGTGAGACTGCCGCGGTGCCAGGATAGGAATATGTGATTCCACAACAGCCCTGTGCCCAGGATAGACGTCTCTTGCCTGGCCTCTGGGAAGCCCCTGGGGGTGGGCTGTGGTTCAGTCTTATGCTCCCAAGACCAGAGTCCTCAAACAGCTTGCACCTGGATTGGCTCCTGGGTCACTGGGGCCTCTGAGTATTCTCTAAGCAGAAGGAGCCTGCCCAGAGCAGAAGGAGCCTGCCCAGAAGTGCCTTGGCCTGCGCGGCTCTCCCTCCCGTGCTGTCCTGCTAATCCCAGGGGCTTGCTTTTGAGCCCTTTGCCCCCTGCATTCCTGGCCAGGCCCTTCTTGCCTGGGTCCTTCGTCTCCCGTCTCTGTTCATTGTGGCCCCTCAAGATGCCTCCACTTCCTTCTGCTGCTCATCCAAATGGGGCAGTAACTGAGCAAGAACAGAGCTGGGTGTGCAGCGGGTAGACAGGTGGGTCTCACCAGCGCCAGCTTTGGCTTCCCCATATCCTAACTGTGGCCTTGGAAGGCTCACAGCAGCTCTGTGAATCTCAGCGCCCTCTCATCTTTCAGATGAAGCTTATCCCCCACCCCCAGAAGGTGGTTCAAGATAAGAAGGTGGCTTTTGCCAGATAAGGGAGCGGGTCGACTGGGTGTCTATGTTGGCTGCAGTCCAAGAAGTGACTTGCACCGAAGTGGGCAGCAAGGGTGGCCCAGATCTCCTGGTCCTTCCCCTTCTGAAAGGCTGACAATATCTCTTAGCAGGCACAGCCACAGAGCAAAGATCGGCTGTTTTGGCTCCTCTTGCATAGACATATCTCGCTTTTCTGCAGAATGACAGTAATAATTTCAACATGTGGAAGCATCTTACTTCTTACCAAGAATGGTCATGTGCAGTCCCACATCCACAGGGTGATGGTCTCCCCTTGACACAGGTAGAAACTGAAGCTCTAAGCCTTCATGGCCAAGTGCCTATCACACATCTGGCCAGGTAAGAGAGACATCAGTGACTGGGCTGTGTTTCCCAATCAGTTCAGCCTGGGACAGAGCCCCTGCTGCCTGGCCTCGGCCAGGCCTTGGTGATATGGAAATGCCAGGGGCTGTTGCTGTCCAGGAGGGGCTCCTGGTTTACCCCAAGTGGCCAGCTGCTCCTGAAAGAGCTTGACTGATCCCAGGGCCTTGTCCACTGCAGGAGGCCTTGGTTGTTCTTCCCCTGCCCCCGAGCTAGAGAGAGGGGGCATATGGAGGCAGCCACTGTTTCCTTGCTGGAGTCTCTCTGCTTCTATTTTCTATCTCTCCCTGATCCATCCGAGTTACTTGAGTGGCTTCTCAACTCCCAAACCAGCAGGAGAGCCAGGTCACAGCCTTCATCCCCAGGCTGGAGGGAGGTGAGAATGAAAGGGCCTGCTGGAGGAAGGAGGGGCTGCAGTGACAGCGACGAAGGTAGGGCTGCACAGTCTTCCATTATGGAAATAGTTCTGCACTCTTCGCTACTTGTAGCTGAGCTCCTGCAGCACCTCACTGGGATAATTGTAGAAACTTAGGATGCCTTCAGAGTGGCTTATTTTTTCCTTCCAGAATGCTTAGAGGGTGGTGGAAAAAATAAAACAAGATTTTTATGGGAAATAAATTTGAGATGCATGAGTGGCCTTTAAAGCTTTAGTAAGTGGAGAACAGGCAGCTCTGAAACAAGACCCAAGTGAATCAGAAGGACAGCCACCCTAAAGGGACCTCCCCAAAGCGGCCCCAACCTGGCGCTGGAAAGACGGGGAGGCTCTCAGCATCCAGGCAGCTGCCAGGATCAACTCAGTCATCCTCTTGTTTCCGAATAGAGCTGCCACGTGATCTTCCTCCACCCTCTGAGCCATTCTCAGGAAGAGAAGGAGGGAGGTCTGGGATCTCAACAGGGCATAGAGGCTGAGAGGGACAAGGATACTTCTGTCTGCTTTCTGATGCCAACCACTGGGAGGTGGTACCTGACCTTGGTGCTCACTGGTAGCTAAATGCCCTCACGTTTCAGGTCTGTGTGGCACGTGGATGGCTTTTGTTGCCACCTTGAGCACACGGCCCTCCAGTCTATGTGTGTGACCCTTCTCTGCCCTCCACCTCCACCAGCATCGGGCGTGGTGTGTGGCATACAGCAGGTACTCAGCTGGGTGGGAGCATTATGTAGAGCAGGAATTCCAAAGCCTCGAAGCTCCTCTGAAATAAGTGAGACATGATAGGGCAGAGTTTTTCAAGTTGCGTACTATGAACCTGCTAGTGAATTGTTAAGTCAAGTCAGTGGGTTGAGACCAGCAATTTTTTAATGCAGTAAAATAGAAAATGTCAGAGTACATCATCACATATAAAATGGTAATTACTATGTTGTAACTTTTAATTTCAGTTTTACTATGTGCATGCACAGATCTATCTATCTATCTATCTATCTATCTATCTATCTATCTATCTATCTATCTCCTGGGACATGATGAAAAATGGTATTTCTTACTCTTAGTCATGACGAAAAAATATTGAAAGCCACTCTTATGAGTTGTCCTGCAGAGATTTGGGGGTCTGTTCTCAGCCAACTCAGTCACCCGTCCTCCCTAGCTCATGCCCCAACCACATTATACAGCCTTCCTCCTCTCATCCCTCCCCTTCACCTGCCCCGCATGGCCCGTGCTCTCAGTCTGGAAGTCCTTTCTCATGTCTTACCATTTTCTCTGCCTGTGGCCAAATCCCCTGAGTCTGAAGGTCTGGGCCCGGTTCAGGTGAAAGGGAAGCAGAGTGGGTCAAGGGGCTTCTCCCTTTCCCAGCTGACTCCCTGGCAGACACACAGCAGCAGGTGTCTCCCACCCAGATGAGAGGCTTCCGGGGTCTTGGGGACTGGCCTGCCAGGACACAGTTGTTTACTCTAGGCACTCCTAAGAGGGAGAAAAGGGTTTGTAGCTTATAATATTTGTTCAGATAAGAGCCATTTATAAGTTTCTGGGATATGAGATAGTTCCTGTATTTTTCAAATCAGAAAGTGGTGTATGGAAGTTTTAAAGTATTTATAAATAAGCCCACCTGGGAAATGTCATTTCTGAAGAAGGAGGGGCTACAGAGATGAATGAGATGCGAGTCTCAACCTCAAGTTGCTTACAGGTATTAGTGTCAGCAAACACTAGATGGCTAGATAGCACCTGGTCACAGGTGTAGGGGAGGGCAGATGTGCCATGGAGAGCTAGAGAGAGGACTCTCAGTGGGAGGGTGGCTGTCCTCGTGTCCTTGTGGGAGGGTTTCTAAGGAGGTGGAGGCATGTAGTCTGACTGAGTGATGACATAGGGACATGATGGGTTGGAGCAGTCAGCTTGTTCACCCCAGCAGCCAACACACATGACTTGAAGGTGGATGCAGCGGCAGTAGGGCCTCACCACGTGCTCACCGGTACTTGGTGCTGCTTAGCAATTCAATCCTGGAACATGTGAGGGTGAAGACAAACGTCACATATTAGAGAGACTTCATTTTGCCCCGTAGGAGACTATTATTTCAGTTAAGCTGGAATTTAACTTTCTGTAACCTTCAGTTCTCTGTTTCTTTCTTTTTTTTTTTTTTTTTCCCTATACACCCACTGCTCCAGAGAGCACAAGAGATTAGAGGAAAACAAGTCTTCATTAAGAATTTAAGTTGGGCATGGTGGCTCACGCCTGTAATTCCAGCACTTTGGCAGGCCGAGGTGGGAGAATTGCTTGAGCCCAGGAGTTTGAGGCCAGCCTGGACAACATGGCAAAACCCCATCTCTACAAAAAGTACAAAAATTAGCCGGGTGTGGTAGTGTGAACCTGTAGTTCCAGCTACTCGGGAGGCTGAGGTGGTAGATCAATTGAGCCTGGGAGGTTGAGGTTGCAGTGAGCTGTGATTGCACCACTGTACTCCAGCCTGGGCCACAGAGTGAGACCCTGTCTCAAAAAACAAAAAACAAAAACAAACAAAAAATAATTGATTAAATACAGTAACAACACTTTTTTTTTTTTCTTTGAGATGGGGTCTCGATCTCTCACACAGGCTGGAGTGCAGTGGCATGATCTTGGCTCACTGCAACCTCAACTTCCCAGGCTCAAGTGATCCTCCCACCTCAGCCTCTCAAGTACCTGGAACCACAGGTGCACACCACCATGCCCGGCTAATTTTTGTATTTTTGGTAGAGATGGGTTTTTGCCATGTTGCCCAGACTGGTCTCAAATTCCTAAGCTCAAGCGATCTGCCCGCCTCGGCCTCCCAAATTGCTGGGATTACAGGCGTGAGCCACTGTACCTGGCTAGCGGCACTTTTAAGAGGAAAAGTATCTGTGTCATATAGGATGCTTTGGGCTGCATTTACTTAATTCTGCCCTTGTCCTGTTTCACCTTACTATCCCAGCCGATATTTCTCAAAGTGTGGTCCCAGGACCAGCAGCAGCAGCATCGCTAGAGAACGGGTTAGAAATGCACATTCCCTGGCCTTGCCCTAGACCTACATCAGAAACTCTTGGGAGGGGGAAGCAGTCTGTCGTAATACCTGCCCCTGACCCCCGGCTTTCTGATTCACATTCATGCTGAAGCCTGAGAAGCTCTGCCTGGGCTCTCAATTCTCAAAGTGGCTTCAATAGGCTGGCAGCATGGGCATTCCGGAAGGCTGTTAGAAATGCAGAACCTTAGGTTTCACTTCATACCTCCTGAGTCAGAATCTGCACCTGAGCAAGAACCCCCAGTGATTTGTTTGTATAATAAGTCCTCATTTAATAAGGACTGTGCCAACATCTGGCCTGCTGCCCATCCGTTAGACCCACCAACCCTCAGTAGAATGGGGTCAGCAGGAAGTAGGGAATCTTGGCCGAAACAAATGTTTCTGGACCCAAAGCTCTGCCTCCTGCCAGGCCAGACAGTGGCATAGTGGGAGGCTTCAGACCTCCCAGCTTGCCAGGGAGGGTGCCTTGACCTGCCAGTGCCAGCTGCCCTCAGAACTTCCTCTGGGCTCACGAGGCAGATTGAACCATGGTCACAAAAGGCTTCTCAGTGTCCCCTGGGACTGACTGCCTGTCTTCAGCCTGGATGACACAGAGAGGGAGACGCCTGACTGGACCTGGGGGCTCACGCCTGTAATCCCAGCACTTTATGAGGCCAAGGCAGGAGGATCGCTTGAGGCTGGGAGTTCAAAACCAGCCTGAGCAACATAGTGAGGCCCCCATCTCTACAAAAAATTTTTAAAAAAACATTAGCCAGGCATGGTGGTGCATACCTGTAGTCCCAGCTACTCAGGAGACTGAAGCAAGAGGAGTACTTGAGCCCAGGAGTTCAAGGCTGCAATGAACTATGATTGCACCACTGTACTCCAGTCTGGGTGACAGAGGGAGACCTTGTCTCAACAACAGCAACAACAATTTAAAAAAAAAAAGAGAGAGGGAAAAAAGAAAGGGAGACTCCCATGGTGAAAACAGAAGCAGAAGCAGAAGCCAGGGCTCCCTCTTACACCTCCTTCTGCTTCTCTCCTGATGACCTGTGGCAGCTCCCCTGCAGGGTAGAGAGCCTCTGAATCAAACTCTGCTCAATCCTGACCACTTTCCACATTCAAGTGGGAGGCAGGGACCCTCTGGGCTGGCACATCTGGAAGGACAATGTCAAACCTGTGGCACTTCTCTCCTGCCCCTGGATCTGGGGCTCCAAGCCCATCTGGAGGGATGTTGATTTGTTCCCTCCCTGGGCATGGAGTTCGGATTGCCCCCTGAGCACAGCCAGCTTTCCAGAGTCTGACCCTTGCCCTGACCTCTATGCGCTGAGTGTCACAAGTCCCATGACAGGATGACTTGCCCTCCGAGGTGGTAGCTTCTTGCCTGCATGCCCAGCAGCTTCATGCCTTCTGCCCCGCATGCCCTTGCTTGGTGTCTGCAGAGCTCTGAGTTGTGCTCACCAGGCATTGAGCAGTAGGTGCAGGCATCGATTGTGTTAGCAAGCACTTAGGAGGTGGTCATTAGACAAACAGTGCAAGGAGCGCTTGCCAGCTGTGCAGCCGCACCGAGGGAGAGGTTGGGATTAAACAAACAGGTGTCAACAGCAATTAATGCAAATTAGGCATGGCCCCCAGACACGAGGGTGCAGGAAGCTCCTGTTTGCAGCCCCTGCCCCACTTGTGTCCACCTGCAGGGAAGTAGCAAGCCACACACTTGGTCTTTGCCCAAATGGCATTCTCTGTGCCAACCACTGTGTGGTGAAACCTGGATGAACCAAAACCTCCAACTGTCCAGGATACTGTTGGTGCTCTGCTGGTAGCACACAGGCCAACAGCAAGAAGTTCTTTGACCCTTGTTTAAAACACAAGAAAAGGGCCGGGCGCGGTGGCTCACGCCTGTAATCCCAGGACTTTGGTATGCTGAGGTAGGTGGATCACTTGAGGTCAGGAGTTTGAGTCTGGCCTGGCCGATGTGGTGAAACCCCATCTCTACTAAAAATACAAAAATTAGCCAGGTGTGGTGGCATGCACCTGTAGTCCCAGCTACTCGGGAGGCTGAGGCGGGAAAATTGCTTGAACCCAGGAAGCGGAGGTTGCAGTTAGCCAAGATTGCACCACTGCACTCCAGCCTGGGTGACAGAGCCAGACTATGTCTCAAAAGAAAAAAATAAATAAAATTAAATTAAAAAATAAAACGCAACAAAAGGCTTCCAGGCTCCATTTACTGCCACTCTCCACTACTACCTGTCCCTGTCTCTGTCCAGAGTGCTGGAGAGCCGCCTGATGCCCTGATCTCCAAGCCCAGCTTTGCAAGGATGCCTTATCCAAGGAATAAAAGGCTTGTGGGGATATGGACATGGGTATGTAACCATAATGGGTTTGTTGCCTGATGCACTCGGCAAGTCAGTACGCTGAGACACTGGGTTGCAGCAGAGAAAGAGGTTTAATCATAGGGTCACTGAACGAAGACATGAGAGGATACCTCAAATCTATCACCCCAAGGAATTTGGAATTAGAGTTTTTAACAGTTTGGGAGTGGGCTGAAGCGTGGAGATCACTGATGGGTGGAAAAGAGCAGGGTGAGGTCATGGGACAGGGAGAGGAAGCAGCTGTGCTTTCATGCTGACCCTGATCCTCTGTGGGGGGGCGTCTCCAAACTGGTTGCTGAAATTGGGGATCTGAAAAACATCTTAAGCTATCCTACAGCAAAAGTTGATGATTCTAATGTTAGCAATCCTGTCTATAGGAATAACGGGGTTGTGAATCAATTTGTAAACAGTCTTTGGACCCTAAAGTCAGAAATCCTATCTACAGGAACAACTGGGATACACAAGGTCAGGATCTTGTGCTGTGTGACTTTCAGCAACAAGGAAGTGGGCCAAAGTGCAGCCCAATTAATGCTTAATTATAACTCTATTTCAGTCCATAATGTGGCATGCAATTCTTGTCAACCCTCTGGGGACACTTTTGAATTTGGGCATTTGGGAAATGTTCCTTCATTCACCAGTTGCTGTTTTTAACTAAGTGATTTACTTTGTGCTGGAGCTGAGCTGCACCAAGCTGGAGACACAAATAGAACAAACACACTCCCTGCTCTCATGGAGCTCCTGGCATTGTCCCGTGCACTAGTGACCATTTGCTGCACACCCAGCTCTTCTCTAAGCACTTTTCAAGGATGCTCTTGTTTAATCCTCATGACAACCTTATGAGGCAGATACTGTTATTCTCCTCAGGTGAGGAAACCGAGGCACAGGGAGATTAAATAACTTGGCCAAGGTCACTCCATCTGAGCCGGGATTCCAACCCAAGTAGTCTTGCTGCAGAGTCCTAGCTATTCAGGACAGTGCTTTGCACGGGAGAGATTTTTGCCCATAGCTCTAGGGGGATAGAAAGCCACAGGAACATTATGGCTGAAGTGCATAATTTTGGTTGGAAGGAAACCTCTTTGTAGAAAGAACAGTATAAGGTAATGAGGCAGGTTTCCCTAGGCCAGGTAGGCAGTCAGCCCCGCTCCTGCTAGCTCCTGTCAACTCTGCAAGTCAGGGGAGGGTGGCACCCAGAATGGAAGTACTGTGCAAAAGTTTTCACCAGATTCTCTCATTAATCTTCACCGAGAAGACCAGCGATGCTCAAACTATCTGTGCATTCAAATCATTGGGCAGGCTTTTAAAACTCCATGTCCTGACCACACCCTATGCCAATTAAATCAGAGTCTCTGATGGTGGGATTCGGGCTTCATGATTTTTTAAAGCTCTCAATGTAGTTGCCCAATGGTTTCTTCTTGCCTGCTGCCCAGGAAAGCAAATTCACTGAGAACAGCAGGTTTTGCAGCAAAGAAAGAGTTTAATAATCACAAGGCCAGCCAAGCCAGAGGATGGGAGAGAATTCTCAAGTCAACCTTCTTGAGAATTTAGAGGTTAGAATTTTTCAAGGATAGTTTGTCAGGCTAGGGAATGGGGAATGCTGATTGGTTGGGTTGGGGATAAAGTCATAGGGGGTTGAAGCTGTCTTCTTGCACTGAGTCAGTTCCTGGGTTGGGGGTCACAAGATCAGCTGAGCCAGTTTCTTGGTATGGTTACTGGTTGATATGGTTTGGCTGTGTCCCCACCCAAATCTCATCTTGAATTGTAGCTCCCATAATTCCCATGTGTTGTGGGAGGGACCCAGTGGGAGATAATTGAATCATGGGGGTGGTTTCCCCCATACCTTTCTCGTGGTAATGAATAAGTCTCACGAGATCTGATGGTTTTATAAAGGGTTTCCCCTTTCACCTGGCTCTCATTCTGTCTTGCCTGCTACCATGTAAGACATGCCTTTCACCTTCTGCCATGATTGTGAGTCCATTAAACCTCTTTTTCTTTATAAGTTACCCAGCCTCTGGTATGTCTTTATCAGCAGCCTAAAAATGGACTAATATACCGGTCCAGGTGGTGCCAGCTGGTTTATCAGAATGCAGAGTCTGAAAGATACCTGAAAGATACCTCAAACACCAATCATACGTTTTACAGTTGTGATGTTATCTGTAGGAGCAGTTGGGGAGGTTAGGAATCTTGTGATCCCTGGCTACATGACTTCCAAAGCATAATTCTAACCTTGTGGCTAACTTGTTAGTTTTACAAAGGTGGTCCCTGAGCAAGGAGGGAATTAGTTTTGGGAAGGGGCTGGTATTGTCTTTGTTTTAAGGTTGAAGTATAAACAAATTCCTCCCATAGTTAGCTTGGCTTATGCTCAAGAATCATCAAGGACAGCTTGTGAGGCTAGAAGCAAGATGGAGTCAGCTATGTCAGATTTCTCTGCCTGTCATAACTTTTGCAGAGGCAGTTTTATCCAGATGATTCCAGTGTGCAAACTAGATAGAACCACTGAGCTAGGCCAGAACTTCTGAGGAACCCTTCTGCCCCAGGTGTGCACCACCAATTCTGAGGCAGGGAACACAGGCACATGAGAGGGGACAGCAAAATTGTCATTCTTTCCTGAGGCTCTTCCCAGAGCACCTTAACCAAAGCAGAGGAACTAAGAGAGGCCTGAGAGCAGCCTGTGGGAAGGCATAGGCCTTCCAGTGGCCGGAGTGCAGAAGGAAGGAGGAGGGTGCAGAGGGCGGGGAGGATAAATGTCAGGCATGGGCCCAGCCGTTTCAGCTGCTTATTTGGCTGTCTCCAGAGTGGCCAGTAAGAAGACTGAGTCATTTTTGCAAAGAATTGTTATGATCTGGCTTTGATTGCATGTCAGATATGCGTGCAGGGGACTCTTTGGAGGGAAAGGCTGTGGTGGGTGGCCCCCTCAATGCCCATTAGCCCACCCTTGCTGGCCAACCTGGGGCACAGAGGAGGAATGAAAGCCAAAGGTTTTTCTCCTTTGCTTTTCTTTCCCTGCAGCTCATACTTAAGGACAGAAAAATGTCTCTAGGTTTATTGGTAGATTCTTAAAACATCCCGTGCTTCCCATCCTATTGATGGGGGTGCCCGCCATACTTCCTGCACCTCACTAGCCCCCTCCTCCCTGGAGAGCACCGATGGTCCCACCCCACAGATCATGAGGTGGAAGGACGGTCTTAAAGATGAAAGGTTGTGGTTCAGAGATGTGAAGGGGCTTGCCTGAGGGTGCACAGCTTTAAATGGCAGTGCCAAAATTAGGGTCTGTGTCCCTGGCCCTGTTCACCCTGCCAAATGGCCCATCGTCAGCAGGAGACTCAGAACTCCAGTCCACCCAGCTTTTTCTGCAGGCTAGAACTCAGCCTGCAGGATTGTCAAGGCTGTGCAGTGTGCTCCTGGCTCTCTGAGGGCTGGAGCTGTTCTATTTCCATTTGCTTCTGCCCCACCTCTGCCAGGATGCCCAGTCCAGGACCATGTGGCAGTAGGGAAGGCTCAGCCCCTGTCCCCGCCTGACTCCACCCAGAAGGGTGTGGTGGAGTGGTCTGAGAGATGTGTGTGTGTGGCTCCGGAGCCTTCTTGTTGCAGCATGACCCCCTGTCCCTGCCAGGTTACCACAGTCTGCTTGCTTGTCTCTTGTGGCATTTTGAGAGGGGGTATGCAGCTTAGCGCAGCACAGCAAGGCGTCCTTGATCTTGGTTGTTTTTGTGTCCAGGCACCAGAGCTGCCTTGAGGCTGAGATGTGGGCCTAGGGCTGGCCTGGATTCTCTAGCAATGCTGGAATCAGAGGCCAGCTAGCAATTCTGGTTACCTCTATGCTAGGTGCTCACCTCCCTTGACACTTCCCCAGGTCCTGACCCCTCCTTCTCACAGGGTCCCACTGTGGGCACCACACTGGACCAGGAAAGCATTCTGGAGCCATCGTTTGTAATCATCCTGCTTCTCAGCCGGTTCCACTGATGTAAAACAAGTTTACCTGTCAATATTGCTAACAATTAGTGAGACGGGGGCAAGCTGACCTCAGGGAAGTAATTTTGTGTAAACACTGCCCACTCTGCTTCTACTATTATTGATTACTCTAAACTTCCCACAGACATAGGTGGGAGTCCAGGGTGGCTGTCTACAGTGGGAGGAGGGCCAGCCAGTGCATAGTTTAATTCTGCTTGAGGTTTTTGCCTTGCCATAGGCCACTGAGTCCTTGACTTTAGTCCTCACCTAAGACATGAGGCCTTGCAACAGAAGCCCACACACTTGAGGGCCATGGGAAAGTTAAAGGGACATTCCTCTGGCTTCATAAAAGGATTCTAGAACCTCACATCCTACATTCTACAGTCATAGGCTCAAAGAGATAGAAGTAACCCCAGAATGCCCTGTAGACTCAAAGCCTCTCATTATCTGGAATAGTGGAATGTTGGAGGCCGAGTGCAGTGGCTCATGCCTGTAATCCCAGCACTTTGGGAGGCCGAGGCAGGTGGATCACTTGAGGTCAGGAGTTCGAGACCAGCCTGGCCAATATGGTGAAATCCCATCTCTACTAAAAATGCAAAAATTAGCTGGGTGTGGTGGTGTGCACCTGTAATCCCAGGGAGGCTGAGGCAGGAGAATCACTTGAACCCAGGAGGTGGAGGTTGCAGTGAGCTGAGATCGCGCCATTGCACCCCAGCCTGGGCAACAGAGCAAGACTCTGTCTCAAAAAAAAAAAAAAAAAAAAAAAATGGAATGTTGAAAACAACCTGGATGTCCAACAACAAGAACAGGAGTCAAAGTGGTACATCCATCCCATGGATTATGATGCAGCCATAGAAAGTCACCAATTTGTAACCTGAAAAGATATTTACAGCATATCATGAAGAACAGCATGTCATAGCATGCTATCTGGGAGGCCATTTGGAAATACGTAGGTATGTGAGTGTATATACACACATACACAAACACATTAAACAGTGGGGAAGGCCATATACCAAGACATTAATAGTGATTCATTCTAGGTGATGGGACGTGATGATTTTACTTTTGTTCATCAATATCTTTGCATTTTCTAAATTAGATTACTAGTGTCAAAGGGGAAGACTAGGATACGTGTCTTATCATAGCGTTGGTCCACAGAGGCCTGGCCCTGACTGGCAAATGTGCACAGAATGGGTGAGGCCAGGGAATGGGCCCCAACTCTTGAGTGTAGCTGTAGTCACAGAGTTGATTAAGCAGCATTGATGGCGATTCTGCTGTTTGCCCAGCTCAGGGTGGTCTCAGCCTGAAGGGACTCATGGTCTAGTTCAAAAGGTTAGACATTCATTCATCCAACAGATATGGAGCACCCGTGAGCACTGTGCTTTGTGTCACATTTACAGGAGTGAACAGACATATTCACAGGTTGCAGGGCATGGTGCATGATACGAGTGTGTATAAAGAAAATGTTCAGAGAGTTTGGAGGGGGATGCAGGGGAGTGGCAAAGGAAGCCGCCCTTGAGCTGGGATTTGAGGAGCAGCAGGACGTGGTGAGTGGTGATGGGAGCATGGCCCATGGTATTGAAGGCAAAGCGGAGGTCCCTTTCCTCTCCACAACAAAGTCCAGAGACCACTGGGCTGTCTAGCCTCAGGACATTTATTTAACCTCTCCAAGCCTCAGTTTCCCCATCCACAAAATGCAGGTCATTTCATATTCTCCTCTGCAGCCTCCAGCTATCTCCCTCTCTTGTCAGGATGCTGTGAGCATAAATGATCTTTCAGCTTTATCCAGAAACTCCCAGTTGCCTTCTTGGGCTTGTCACTTGCGAGTTTGACTGCTCTGATGTGTTGGTTCTGCCAGCTTTGGCATGTTTGATGGTCCCATCGCTCCTTCCTCTAAGCTGCTCAAATGACTTTTGCGGTTAAATTAGGGGAAAGAGCTATACCTAATCCCTGCTCTGTGCCTGTGAAAGCTATTACTGGCCTTCAGTAGGGTGGTTCAGAGAATGCCACAGACCCTGGAGAGGCCAGCTCTGTGGCAGACGTGGAAACAGCAAGCCGAGACCCCGGCAGTGCCGCTCCCACTAGGCCTGGAGTCGTGGGGATGTGTTCCGGGGCTGGGCTGCAGTGGGTCTTCCTGCCATGCCCAGCAAGCCTGTGGCAGCAGCATGACAGGGGGACCCCCCCATCCTCAGAAGTACTAGCCACTGTGTGGGCCACTGGCCTTCCCAGGTGAGGGACAGAGGAGACACGGGAGTCCAGAGTAGGGAGGGTCCTTAGCAAGCTCCTGTTCAGCCTCCTCTGGAGAAACTGGGGAAGGATCAGTGGTCTTCAGTAGCGGATGGGGAGAAGGGGTGACAGCAGCTCTGAGCCACCATTTCTCAAGTGGGAATATCTTGACAACTGAGGTTGTGATCTCTTAGCCCGGGCTTCAGTCCTTACTGAATCGCTCAGTGAAACTTGCCTGTCATTGTTATCTTCTGGGGGCCGGGGGCCAGTGCAAGGAGACCAGGTTCTGGCCTTGGCCTTGCCCCTCTGCGTTGTGTGTTGAAGTGTATGGGCTCTGGGATCAGGAACTGTCCTGCCTCCACCACTTACTGGCGTGGCAACCTTGGGCATCAAGAAACTGAGAATCAAGTTTTCTTACCTGAGAAATGGGTCATTGTGAGGAACTGTCTAGCATAGGGCCTCAAACATCAGTTCCCAGAAGCAGCCTGCTTTGCTGGGCCCATTTAGACAAAGGTGCTACACCTCCTTGCGCCTTGATTTCCTCCTGTGTCCAATGGAGTTTGATGCCCCATGAAATAAAAGCCAAGTGCGAGGGGTCTTTCTTACTCTGGGTGATCAGGGGCAGAGGGGATGGCATCTGTACCCCTGCCCACGCTGCTGGCTGTGCCGCTGGGGAATGGCTGCAACAGAACTCCTGAATATGAAGATGTGCAAGAGTCCAAGGAATTAGCCCTTTTCTTCCCAGCCATTATTAATAGGGAAAATGGGGGCCCTGCTTGAAAGAAGAGACTCAAGAACTACCATAGGCAGCACCTTTCTTTAGCCCCCACACCCAGCAAGAGGCTGGGACGAGCGAGGCCAGGCTGCTGGCAGCTGTGTGGTATGACATTTGTACCCACATGAGCTCCAGAGAAAGCGAAGGAGGTGAGTGGGCACTCCTAGCACTTGTTCTTTCTTTTCCTCTTCTCCGAGGAGTCACGTCTGCTTATAACCCTGCCTTCTGAAAACAGCCTGTCTCTGCGTCTTTTCCTGTCTGAGCCTCCATTTGCCATGGACTCCTGGCCTCTCCCACCCCTCCTTGCTGGCTCGCTCGCCTGTCACATGGTTCCTGCTCCAGGCAGGTGATGACCAGCCCCTCCCTGCCACACCCCCCAACCCCGGCTGCCCTATAGCCAGTCTTCTTATTGGGGACACAGCTCCTGGAGTAAGCAATTCCTGTGTCCCCCAGCATTCAAGGCCGTGGACTGGGCCCCTGGTCTCATACGCAGAGCCTGCCTTCAGGGAACTGAGAGGCCAGGTCACCCCAGAGTCTAAGGGTAGGCAAGCTCCTCCCGTTAGGGAACCTGGCTGCCAGTTTACGGGGCCCGGGGACTCCTGCATAGCGCTTCTCTGTGGTCAAGAGTCTTCTCCGTCTCGGTGTCAGCCTTGCTACCCACTGGCTGGGTGACCCCAGGCAAAATTACTTCCTCCCACTGAGCCTGGGTTTTCGCAACTTTCAGGACCCTCCTACCTCCTGTGGTCTCTCTGCCATGATCTGTACAGCTTCTTGTCAATGGCCTATGAATATCAGTATGTCCAGGAACTTTCTTGTTGGTGCTCTCAGCGGAGGCCAAATCTGGGGCTTTGGCCTTCTATGAGTGGTGGTGAGGGGCTCCGGGAGCCATAGTGCTTTTAGGAGACATCTGAGGCTCAACCCTTGTTCCTTTCTATGTGAGCCGACATCTGGGTTATCTGGGTGGTGAACTCAGGCTGAGACTCTGCTGGCCAAACTCTGTGGGCTTATCCCCAGGCATCTGGGCTGCTGCTCAGCGGATGCAGGCCCCAGACCAGTGACAGGGAGCAGGGAACCTGCACTAGCTGGACACATGTTGCTGGAGCACTGTGCTGTTGTACTGCATGCAGGCATCTTGTCGACTTCTGGGACCTCCCTGCAAGGTGAGCAGTATGACTCCATTTTACAGATGAGAAAGCTCAGGTGCAGGGATCCTGCCTGAGGCACCACAGTCACTGGAAAGCCGGGCGTATCCTTCTGACTCCAGAGCTTGTTTATCTTAATAACCACTACCCACCCACTCTCAACTATCATGTGAAGCGAAGGATCTGGGGGCCTTTGCCTAAATAAGGTGGTGGTGTTTTCTAAGCTCCAGGCTTCAGCAGTGTCATGGACAAGAAGGGATAGATTTGTTCTATGCTGTGACCCACAGCAGAACAAGGAGGCCTGGAAGATTCTAGAAGCAATTTGAGAACATCTCCAGGAAGCTCTTTCTCTCAGGACGGGTCAGCAGCCTCTTTGAAAGCCTTTGTTGGGGGTGCAGGATAGGAAGCTCCTGGGAGATTCAACAGGAATTCTAGAGAGCAGTTAGTGGAGGTATATACACATATTCATTGACAGAGCAATCAGTCTTGCTCCTGGGCATATATCCAAAGACTTTCCCACATTGGCTCCTAAGGACAGATAGAGGCCACTTGGGTGTCATTGCTGGCAGAGTAGAGAGGTACAGTGTGGTGGGTGCACAGCATGGTATACTAAGCAGCAGTCAAAAGCAGATGGATTCGATGTACACAGTCCTCGTGGATGGAATGTAAAACACGGCTTAGTCAGTCACACTTACTATTGGGCACTAATACTCTTCCCCATTGAAAGGAACCAGGACTTCTTGGAGAAGTGGCTGATTCCAGGGCTGGGAACAGGGAAGGCTCAAGACGTGTCTTCCTAGAAATTCAGGCAGTGCATCCAAAAAGTGCTGGAGCCATGTCAAAAGATACAGGAGCCAGGCCAAAGGGGCTCCCAGTGGTCAAATCTGGACAATTTGAGCATCAGAATAATGAAGTCCAATAATGAATTGTAAATCACTAGAAACATAGGAGTCTATATTGATAATAGATACATGGAAGAGAAGTAGAATACTGAGGACTGTTGACATTAGGAAATCATTTTGCAGCCATCATAAAGATCAGGTCAGGTAAGAATCTTTAGTGGATGCTAAGTCTAAGGGTGATGAATGCTAAATGTTGGTGAGAACCAACATTTAGGATATTTGCACGCTCTTAAGATGTGTCCCCACAGACTTCTTGTTAGATGCAAGGGAGAAAAAAAACACACAATAGTAATTATATAGTGGAGAAAGCAAGTTACACATTGATCAAGTGATCAAAAGTAACAATAGAAATGAATTTGGTGTGCCTCTGATGTGATACCCCAGGAAGGACATGCACCTGTGCAGTCTTCAGCTGAGGATGCGAAGTCTCGGTTGAATCGTGAAGAAACACCAGACAAACACAAAATGAGGAACTTTTAAAAAGGGAAGGGGGCAGTGCACTACTCCTCCAATATCAATGTCATAAAAGACAAAGGGGCCCAAAGAGTTAGAAGTAAATGCAATCCTTGATTCCAGACTGGCTCTGGTACTAGAGGGGGAAGTGCTGTACAGGATGTTAGGGCACCTGACCACACTGAACTGTGGGCCATGGGTTAGATACACATTCTATCAATGTGAATACCTGGAACCCTTAACTGCACTGTGGTTATGTAAGAGAATGTCCCAATTCCTAGGAAATATACACTGAGGGCCATGACGTATGTATGGTACACTCAAATGATTCAGAAAAAAAGCGTGTGTGTGTGTGGGGTGGGGGAGAGAGAGAGAGAGAGAGAGAGAGACAGAAAATGCATGCACAAATGATAGAGCAAATAGGATAAAATGATAACAATTGGCGAATCTAGGTCGGGCGCAGTGGCTCACGCCTTGGAATCCCAGCACTTTGGGAGGCAGAGGTGGGCAGATCACAAGGTCAGGAGATTGAGACCATCCTGGCTAACACGGTGAAATCCCGTCTCTACTAAAAATATAAAAAATTAGCCGGGCGTGGTGGCGGGCACCTGTAGTCCCAGCTACTTGGGAGGCTGAGGCAGGAGAATGGCGTGAACCCGGGAGGCGGAGCTTGCAGTGAGCCGAGATCACGCCACTGCACTCCAGCCTGGGTGACAGAGCGAGACTCCATCTCAAAAAAAAAAAAAAATTGGCAAATCTAGCTAATGGTCATCTGGTATTTTTGCTAGTTTTTATTTTTAGTTTTGCAACATTTTATACATTTGAAATTATTTCCAAAGGAAAAAAGGAGGGGGGAAGAGACTTAAGACAATAATATTCAACTTTTCTGAGTAAAAAAATTTAAGACTTCTGAAACTGAAAGTCCTAAAGACATTTGAATAAAAACGTGGCCCATGCTATGTGGTTCCATTTATATGAAGTTCAGGAATAGACTAAATTAATGATGAAGAAGATCAGAGGGTATAAACTGGAAAGGGGCACAAGGGAACCCTTTTGGGGGTTCTTGAAATGTTTTCTATTTTTATCTGGGTGGGGGTCTCATACATCTGGGTATACATCACATATATACCCAGAAGAATGGAAAGCAGGGTCTCGAAGAGATATTGGCGCACTCATGTTCTTAGCAGCATTGTTCATCATAGCCAAGCGATGGGAACAACCCAAGTGACCATGGACAGGTGAACCTCAAGGTTCATTCACGTTATGACATGGGTCTGAAGTTTCTTCCTTTTTATTATTTATTTATTTAGATAGAGTTTCGCTCTTGTTGCCCAGGCTGGAGTGCAGTGGTGTGATCTCGGCTCACTGCAACCTCCACCTCCCAGGTTCAAGAGATTCTCCTGCCTCAGCCTCCCAAGTAGCTGGGATTACAGGCATGTGCCACCACACCCGGCTAATTTTTTGTATTTAGTAGAGACAGGGTTTCACTGTGTTGGTCAGGCTGGTCTCGAACTCCTGACCTCAGGTGATCCACCTGCCTTCGCCTCCCAAAGTGCTGGGATTACCGGTGTGAGCCACCGTGGCTGGCATTTCTTCCTTTTTAAGGCTGAATAATCCTGCATTATCAATGCCACGTGCCATAATGTGGATGAGCCTTGAGGACATTATGCTCAGTGGCATAAGCCCGTCACAAAAAGGCAAATACTATATGAGTCCACTTATATGAGGTACCTAGAGTAGTCAAATTCATGGTGGTTGCCAGGTGCTGGGAGGAGGGAGGGATGGGGAGTTTTTGTTTAAATGGGTATAGAGTTTCAGTTTTGCAAGATCGAGTTCTGGAGATTGGTTGTAAAACAATGTGAATGTGTCCATGCTGCTGAACTGTACACCTAAAAATGGTTAGTATGGTAAATTTATTTGTATTTTACCACAATTAAAAATTAAAAATAATATTTAAAAAAGATTGTTATTGGTGCTTAGTAAAATATATATATATATATATATATATATATATATATATAAAGAAGTGGCCTGATATCTATATAGCACAGTACCATTTGCCTAAAGTAAAATATGTGTATAATATCCATTAGTGTGTTCTAAAATTAAACACAAAACAACCACAAAAACAAAAAGCCCCCAACCGTGGGCAATATTTTGTGCCTAGGAGAGGACAGGAGCTGGCTCTTGCCATCACTATCGGCCTGAGGTTGTGTCGGACTGCATGGGATGAGGTCTGGCCCCGTCCTGTGCTAGGGTGGGAGGTTTTCTGGGATCCGGCTGCTCACGGAATTGGATCGGGGAAGAGCGGATGCAGCCAGAGCCTCAGCTTGCACAGGGCACGCGTCGAGGGCAAGCGTCCTAGTGTTGTCTGAGTGATCCTAAAGGTTAGGTGGGAGGAACTATAACAGGTTACCAAGTGTTAGTATAGCTGCTGCCTTATTCTGGTCCTTTAAAAAAAAAACTGAGGCGAAATTCACATAACATAAAATTAACCACTTAAATTAACCACATAAAGTGTATAATTCATTGGCATTGAGGACATTCACAGTGTTGTGCAATCATCACCTCTATCTAATTCCAAAATACTTCTGTCACCCCAAAGGAGTCCCCATATCCTTTAAGCAGTTGCTCCCCAATTTAATTCTGTTTGAGGAAATATTAGTTATGTCCATTTTCAAGATTAGGAAAACAAGGTACGGGAAGTAATACAAATTTTTAGGTGGTAAAGCTGGGGCATCAGCTTAGGGCTGTCTTAAATTTCATGTCTATGACACTAGGCTGTGCTGCGTCTTCAGTTATAACTGAGAATATTGGACCTGGAATTAATTATAGATCACTACTATCTTTATATTTATTACACTGTGGCATTTTTGATGAGTGTTGGAAAATGCCCTAGTATCTTATGTAAGTTAGGTGGATGACAGCTTGAAACTTGATTTCCAAATTCTACACGTTAAATTTTGGAAACTAGAGCTGGGACAGGAGATATGTTTGTTTTGATTCCAGAGGACATTCCATCTCTAAGTGATGATCCAGCATAGTGATGATCCAATATAGTCTGGAACTTCCCAGATAGCTCTTATGGAGCAGTGATATAGGTAGGGCACATTATCAGGAGTCCTGATAAATTCAAACTGTAACTAACCTCCCTTAGATAGACCCAAGATAGTCATGTCTGCTTCTTTAGGGACTCTTTAGGGGTATGATGGAGCAGATGGCATGATAGAGTGGCATTCCCATAGTTAAGAAGAATTTCCATAGGCCACTGTATGCGACTTCCTCTCTCTTGGCAAAAATATTCTTTATGCACATAATAGTCTTTGTTTTTTAATAGTTTTATTGACACATACTATACAATTCACCCATTTAATATATGCAATTCGGTGGTTTTGGCATATTACATTATTTTTTAATTGTGATAAAATATATATAACAAAATGTGCCATTTTAACCTTTTTTTTTTCTTTTAAGAAATAGAGGGCCGGGCGCAGTGGCTCACGCCTGTAATCCCAGCACTTTGGGAGGCCGAGACGGGCGGATCACGAGGTCAGGAGATCGAGACCATCCTGGCTAACACGGTGAAACCCCGTCTCTACTAAAAATACAAAAAATTAGCTGGGCATGGTGGCGCGCGCCTGTAGTCCCAGCTACACGGGAGGCTGAGGCAGGAGAATGGCGTGAACCTGGGAGGCGGAGCTTGCAGTGAGTCGAGATCGCGCCACTGCACTCCAGCCTGGGCGACAGAGCGAAACTCCGTCTCAAAAAAAAAAAAAAAGAAATAGAGACTGGGGTCTCACTATGTTGCCCATCCTGACTTTGAACTCCTGGGCTCAAGAGATTCTCCTGCCTCAGCCTCCTGACTAGCTGAGACTATAGCCTGGCTGATTTTAACCATTTTTAAGCATACTGTAGCTCAGTGGCATTAATTACTTTCACCATGTTGCGCAACCATCACCGCTATCTATTTCCAAAATATTTTCATCACTCCAACAGAAACTGTAGCTATTAAGCAATAAATCCCTACTTCCCCTTCTCCTAGCCCCTGGGAACCTCTGTTCTACTTTCTGTTTCTATGAATTCAACTACTCTATGTACCTCACATAAGTGGAGTCATACGGTATTTGTCTTTTTGTGCCTGCCTTCTTTCTTTAGCACAATATTTTCTCTTTTTTTTTTGAGACAGAGCTTTGCTTTGTCGCCCAGGCTGGAGTGCAGTGGTGCGATTTCCCCTCACTGCAACCTCCGCCTCGTGGGTTCAAGCAATTCTCTGCCACAGCCTCCCAAGTAGCTGGGATTACAAGCACCCACCACCATGCCCGGCTAATGTTTTTGTATTTTTAGTAGAGATGGGGTTTCACCAGCTTGGCCAGGCAGGTCTTGAAATCCTGACCTCGTGATCCACCCGCCTCACCCTCCCAAAGTGCTGGGATTACAGGCGTGAGCCACCACGACTGGCCTAGCACAATGTTTTCAAGGTTCATTCATGTTGTAACCTGTATCGGAATTGCGTTCCTTTAAAAGGCTACATAGTATTCCATATATCATATATATATGGACATATATATGGACAACATAGTATATATCATATTGTTTATCCATTCATCTATTGGTGGACATTTGACTATTATAAATAGTGCTGCTATGAACATTTGTGTAAAATTATTTGTTTGAATGCCTGTTTTTAATTCTTTCAGTTCTACCTAGGAGTAAAATTGCTGGGTTGTATGGCAATCCTACGTTTAACTTTTTGAAGCAGTTGATTCTTATTTTTAAGGATGCTTTCCTCCATGTGGTTGTTATATCCTGGTGGGCCCGATGGCCCTTTGCACAGGGCTGGGCACCAGGAGCTGAGCCCACGTGCAGTGGGCAATGGAGAGCTGCCCCTCACCATCAGGTGCTCAGAGTCCTCATGGCCCATTGTCCTTCTTTTCTGTCTGGTTGGCCTCCACCACTCTAACCTGTCCATTCTGTCCCCAATAGATGTGCCCGTGGAGAAGCTGGCCGCCATGCCAGCCTTGCGCAGCATCAACCTCCGCTTCAACCCACTCAACGCCGAGGTGCGCGTGATCGCCCCGCCGCTCATCAAGTTTGACATGCTCATGTCTCCGGAAGGCGCAAGAGCCCCCCTACCTTAGGCCACCCTCCTCATGCCCACCCAGCAAGGGGCAGAGGCCACAGGCCTGGAACCCTGGAAGGGAGGGAGGCCCATGGGAGGCCAAGCCTGGGGGCTGGGGGCGGGTGGGCCGAGCAGCACGTGGTGGGTGGGGTGCAGCTGGTCTGGATAGATAGCTTACAGCAGTAGTGGGCTCTGGAATGCCCAAGGGAAGAGGCAAGGTGGGGCCTGCAGCCTGGACTCGGCACTCACAGCTGCTGTGCAAACTCAGGCAGATCTCCTGCCCTCTCTGAGCCTTGTCACTTGAAAAAAACAGGACCCTTTCCCTCCTTTGGGCTCCCTGGAGGTTTTTAAGCAGTACGTGCCTCCAAGTTACCTCCAGATCAGCAGGCACAGGTGGGCATTGCCAGGTATTTTCTGAGCCCCTGCGGGTTTGAGGCCTTGTTTTTAGTGCTGAGAGCCAGTTGCTGCCCTGAGAAGAGAAGACAACCTCCATCTATTTATTGCTTCCTGAGAACTGACCTGGATGCGGCCCTCTGCAGGGCCCAGTCTTCAGTCCTGTGGTCCCTGGACTGGTGGGAACCTGAACTAGGAGTCCTGGGAGAGCTGTGGTGGGAATATGGGCTGGCACTGCTGCAGGGCAAGAACATTCATGTAGGAGCCCGAGGACCAGCAGGCTGGGAATGGGGAGCAAGTCACGTCAGCTCTGTCATTCCCCACAGTTAACAAATTGGCGGGGTGGGAAGTCCTGAGTGCTCCGTCCCTCTAGCATCACTCCTGAGCTGCGGGAGAGGTGGCCCAGAGAACAGCAGAGTCAGTTACACCTGCAGCTCTTGTCTAAAGTGATTAGATGGCCACCCTCACCACTGTCCAGTCCAGCAGCAGCCTGGCTGCCTTGTCATGGCCTCCTGGGGGCAGAAGGCGATGTGGACCACGGGATTTGTAGCCAGCCAGCTCCCAGGCCAACGCCCAAAGCCCTGATGACCTGGTTCTTCTGAGGCCCTCAACCTGGCATCTTAGGGTATGGTCAGGCAACAGGGTGACCAGCTGTCCTGGTTTCCCAGGACATGGAACTTTCAATGCTAAAACTGGGACAGTACCCAGCAAGTGGGGATGGTTGGTCCCCTACCAGGAGAGGGCCTGGGGCTCTTGCTTCCCGAGAACGCCTGTGGCTTGAAGAACCTTGACTGCTTGGTCCTCAGGTATCTACCTCCCACCTTCTCCTCATCTGTGGAGCAAGCCAACTCAGTGCCCCAGACCCCACCTGATCTGCATCTTTGTTTGCATCTCCAGAGACACCTGAGGCCCCAGAGCTTGAGGCAAAGCCAGGCCGTCCAAATCCTGTGTGCCGTGGACGAGTGGCCACTTTACTACTCCTAAGGCTAAGATGTTGAGAGCTCAGACCACTGCTCAGAGCAGTAATCCCTGCTCAGAATGCTCCCAGTTCCCTCGTCCCTGCCCAGGTCTCTTGTCTCTTGGGAAGGAACTGATAGGTCGGGCCATTGTTGGGCCATCACTGAGCGCTCAGTATCTCAAGAGACTCTGTTCATTCTGCTCGTATCCCAAGGCCTGGTTGGTCAAACTCTGGGCAAAGGGTTTTCAGGATGAGGAGGTCAAGACAGGATCTCCAGAGCTACCGAGTTCATCTGTGGGTGTTGGGGGCAAGTGGGGGCTGAAGTCCTGTGCAGGCTGCGCTGGCCCCACCTGCCTTGTGCCCTGGAGTGGGGTTTCTCCTTGTTGAAGAAGAGGCATCCTTCTCTGATGTGCACAAACACAATGTATGACCAGAGCCTTGCAACTCAAAGTGTGGTCTGTGGACCAGCAGCGGCAGTGACACCTGGGAGCTTGTTAGGAATGCAGAGTCTAGGCCTCACCCTATACCTCCCGACTCAGACCCTGCATTTTAGCAAGACCCCCAGCTGATTCCTATAAGCACTTTAGAGTTTGAGAAGCAAGGACCTAGGCTGGGGATGTCCTCCGAGCAGAGGGTGAAGTTTCTCTCAGTTCTCTCCCTGCCACTTCCAGGGATCTGAGCCTGTGCTCAGCCTCCTCCCTAACCCACCCTGGGAGACACTTGGCCTGTTAGATTGTTCCAGAGTCTGCATGGCACTCCTGAAGAAGGGAGTGTGACCTGCAGTCACCAGGAGATGAGGGTTAGGTGTGCCCAGCCCTCCAGACCCGGCCTTTCTGGTTAACCCCTGCATGCCAAGCTGCCTGCTGCCCCAGGTCCTCACCTCAGGCCTTTGAAGGGGCAGCTTCTGGAAGTTGTTTTCTCCTCTGCTTGGAGAGTTTGCCCTTGTCTGTCTTGGAAAGTGTGGGCAGCCACAGATGCCCCCAAATCAGAGCTCACAGTGAGTGAGCCCCTAAGCTTCAGTCTGCAATAAAGAATGCATTGGTTTCATCTGCCTGGTTGGTGTTTGATTCATTCTCACTGTACAGACCTCCTATAGCCTGGGCGTCAAACCAGCCCACATGCAAGAGGGGTGCCCTCTTGTTGAAAGCACGAGGTAAAGAAGGCTAGAACGGGATGAAACGTGGATTATTCACAGGTGGGCACAGGTGCAGCCAAGCAGAATTGGTGCGTGCCCCCCAGCTGCGTTACTGCAGGATGGCTAAACATCAGGGGGAGACTGTGTATCTGGGAAAGGATGAAGAGACCCACTATCTCCACATTTCTCTCTTACCAGTGCCAGAAATTATTCCCTTAGTAATTTGTTCCTCTGAGTCCATGGTTCTCAAAGAGGGATCTCTGGGCCAGCAGCATCCGCAGCACCAGGAAGTTAGTTAGAAATGCGAATAGTTGACTCCACCCTAGATGTGCAGAATCTGAAACTCGGGGATGGGGCCCAGCACTCTTAACAAGCACTCCATGTGGTTCCGATGCCTGCTGAAGTTAGAGAACTACTGCTCTGGGTTCAATGTTAAAGTCAGGTTTTGCTTTTCTTAAGTCTGAGAGGCCAGCTTAAGTTTGCCTTGAGTTTTAGTCCAGATGCTCCATTGTTTCTAATTATTATTATTATTATTACTATTTGAGACGGAGTTTCACTATTGTTGCCCAGGCTGGAGTGCAATGGCGTGATCTCGGCTCACTGCAACCTCTACCTCCCAGTTCAAGAGATTCTCTTGCCTCAGCCTCCCAAGTAGCTGGGATTATAGGCGCCCACCACCATGCCTGGCTAATTTTGTATTTTTAGTAGAAATGGAGTTTCGCTATGTTTGTCAGGCTGGTCTTGAACTCCTGACCTCAGGTGATTCACCTACCCCGGCCTCCCAAAGTGCTGGGATTACAGGCATGAGCCCACTCCCAGCCGATCCATTATTCCTTTTATTTTATTTTTTATTTTTGAGACGGAGTCTCACTCTGTTGCCCAGGCTGGAGTGCAGTGGCACGATCTCAGCTCACTGCAACCTCCACCTTCCAGGTTCAAGCAGTCCTCCTGCCTCAGTCCCCTAGTAGCTGGGATTACAGGCATGCGTCACCATGCATGGCTAATTTTTGTATTTTTAATAGAGACCGGGTTTCACCACGTTGACCAGGCTGGTCTTGAACTCCTGGCCTCAGGTGATCCACCCGCCTCGGCCTCCCAAAGTGCTGGGATTACAAGTGTGAGCCACTGCGCCTGGCCCAATTATTTTTATTTAACAAACACACATAGAGCTTAGTGGGTACCAGGCAGTGTCTTAGTGCATTATACCTATTAACTCATTTAATCCCTATAACAATCCTAGCTAGCTTTGTGATTTGGATAAATCTCTTTTCCTCTCCAGGCCCTGTTTCCTGTCTGTAAAACTAAGGGGCTAAACCAGGAGACCCCTAAGGGCATTTCCAGAACTCATATGGTCACTATTTCTCAGCTCCTGAAGGCCCTGTGATCACTTATAACTGCCCCCTGTGGATTAGCCTGGACTCAGGCCGCTGGCCTCCCCCACCCCAAAGGTCAGAGGTCAGAGAGAGGACTCCCACCTGCGTAGTTTTCTGTTGAAGGATGCCTCACCGAAAACATCACCAGATCCACCTGTTAATCAGGAGAAGCTGATTCTACTTTTCCTGCTCGAACTTGACAGTTTTCCTAGCGTGTCAGACTTGGGAAGACAGTCAGGAAGTGATGAGAGATTTCAGAGTTTGGTTTTAGGTGGGACTTTCAATGCAGAGAAGGAAGCCTCGATTAGGATTGGGTAAAGATCAGGACATAGTTTAGGATCGGTGGACACAGCAAAGGGGGATTTTGAGGCAAAGGGTTCAAAGAGTCTTGGTGCGTAAACTCTCTTTTGATGTGATTAAGAGTTGATCAGTTTGCTGTTGCTTTAAATGATTCCTTCAGAAAGCTCCTGGAACGAACAGTAAAGTTATTTACAACTTTTTCTTCCTGGGCAAGAGTTTCCAGGACTAGTACTGTTATGCTGGAAAAGATGGAGGAATAATGTGGACGGGAAGCTGTGTGGGGCTACAGGATTCTAATTGTAGTCTCACCCAAATACCATGTTGTACCCCAGAGCCCCGCTTTGGGTCTGTTCTTCACATGAGATGTGCCCGTCCCTTCACAGAAAGCCAGCCCTGGGAAGCAAGCAGCAGTTCCTGAGCGATAATTGGCACCTGCCCCAGAAGGCCTCGGCAGAGCCCTGAACCAGATGTGAAGGGCAGGAAGGGCGGGCCTGGGGGAAGAGCGTGACTCAGGCAACTGGGCAGGAAAACCTCTCCAGCCCATGAGCAGCCAGGCCGTGCTCTGACTGTGTCTCCAGGCCAGGCAGGCTCGATCCATGCCTGAGAAAAGGGACATAGCCGAGCTGCGTTAGGTCCAAGCAGGAGCACCCCTGGAGCTCCTAGTGTTTTATCAGCACCAGGCAGGCACTGGTATGTGGTTTGGGTTTTTTTGTTTTTTGTTTTTTTGTTTTTGACGCAGAGTCTCGCTCTGTCACCCAGGTTGGAGTGCAGTGGTGTGATCTTGGCTCACTGCAACCTCCACCTCCCAGGTTCAAGTGACTCTTCTGTCTCAGCCTCCCGAGTAGCTGGGACTACAGGCGCGCACCACCATGCCCGATTAATTTTGTATTTTTTTAGTAGATACAGGGTTTTGCCATGTTGGCCAGGGTGGTCTGGAATTCCTGACTTCAGGTGATCCGCCCGCCTCAGCCTCCCAAAGTGCCGGATTACAGGCATGAGCCACCACGCCTGGCCCAGTGTGTTTCTCATTTATTGTTAACATCACCCCTCTTGGTGCCCACTCTATGGATGAAGAAACAGGCTTAGCATGTGACTAGGAAGGAGCAGGGCTGGGGTTGGTTTAAACTGGGTTGCAAGTTCCGGGTTTTTGCTGTGAGCCCCGGGTCCCTCAGGAGGCCAGCTTGGACTGAAGTGGTTGATTGCTTTCTTTAGCTGACACGGTCCTTCTACCAACCCATTCCTGTGAAAAGACCTCTCTGAAGCTTTACTTTCCTCATCTATAAAGTGGGTGCCAACACTACCTTTCCTAATCCCATAGGGTTAAGAACAGGTGACAAAGGTAAGTGCATCAGCATGGTGCCCAGTTCACACTCCAGAGAGTTTCCTCTCACATCTGCTTGTGCCCACCCTTAGGCATAAGGCTGTGTGGGCACAGCCTTTAGTGCCCAGATAAGAACCTCACCTCTCTCAGTGCCGTGCAGATCTGCATGCCACACATACCTGGAGCTCATCTGGCCAATGGGAGATTTAGTCCCACAGAGGATGAGAAGATTGACAGTTCCCCGCTCCCTCCATCTTCATAGTTCAGGAATCTACAAAGGCTCTGTCTCAGGCCTTTGAGGATGATGAAGTACTCAAGGCGTTGGCTGGGAGCCAACTGGAGCCCTTGCTACCCTATGTGTGTACATTCAAGTTCATGCCAGCAGAAGCACCTGGGAACCCTGCTTCCTGTAGCTGGGAAGCACTTAAGTTGGGGTGCCCTCCAGGGTGGACTCTGCAGGACTACCCCAGTGCATGACTGCAGGGGGTGTCACTCACAATGCAGTCTCAGTAACTGGCACCATTTGCATAGAAAACTGTGAATGGGCCACCTGGCGCTGTGCTAGGGCTGGTGCTGCATCTATGGACTATTTCCAAGAGAACCAATCACGGGAGCTTTCTCAAATGTAGATTACCAGACCTATATGAGCCCCATTAAACCAGACTCTGGAATAGGACTCATACCTCTGCACCTTAAAAGGTCCCTATTCATCCTTCACACAGCGCGCAGAGGATCCTTCTAAATCCCAACTCTCTCATCTGCTCCGAGCCCTGCCATGGCTCTCCACTTATTTCAGTATAAAAGCCCAGGCCTTACCATGGTCTTCGAGTTCTGGAATCACCCGCCCTCTGTTACTTCTGTGGTCTCTTTCGTACTCCAGACACACTGGCTTCCAGCTGGTCCTCCAACACCCCACATGTGTTCACTTCTCAGGGCCTTCGCATTTGCTCCCCACAGCCCTCACACACCCACCAAGATATTCCCATGGCCAACTCCCTTATTTCCTTCAAGTCTACTCAAATCGAGGTCTACCCTAACCACCCTACTGCAGCCTGCCCCGTTGCACTTCTGTCACTTTTATCTCCCTTAACCTGCTCACCTTTTCCTTTATCTATAGTGCTTCTCCAATATACGCTATAATTTACTTATATCTATGGCTTCTTGTCTGTCTACTCTCGCTAGAATAAAATTCCTATGAAGGAAGGATCTTTGTCCTTCTTAGTCTCTGCTGTGTCTCCAGCACCTGGAGTGATGCCTGGCTCATAGTGGGTACACATGTATGTTTACTGAATGACTGAATGGACAGGTGGTTGATATGCACTGATGCTTGGGGGCCTCTGCTTGTGAGAGAACTGCCGTGTGATATCCACTTACCAGCCCAAGTTCAGGTACCATATTAAATACCTGTGCTCACCAGCAGAGTTTGCTTCCAAAGGACTGAAAAACACCAGGAAGTCTTCCTCACTTTGGTCTTTCCAGACACTCACAAGCCATGGTATTGTGGCTGGGGCTTTTCCTAAGTGGGGTGGCCAGGAGTCAGTGTACATGAGCTAAGAGAGAACAGTCAGTCCCCAGTGCTGTCCCTTAGCCTGCCACTGTGCCTGAAAGCCCACCAGGATGAGACTGCTGCTGTTGATGAGGCATTGCCCTGTCCATATGATCTTATTTTAACCCCTGCCAGGATTCAGAAGGGAATTCCTAGTGGACCAGGCCCTCGCTACTCAAAGTGTGGACCTCAGACGATCAGCATCAACAGCACTTGGGAGTGTGTTAGAACTGTAGTGTCAGCCGGGCGCGGTGGCTCACGCCTGTAATCCCAGCACTTTGGGAGGCTGAGGCAGGTGGATCACTTGAGGTCAGGAGTTCGAGACCAGCCTGGCCAACATGGCGAAACCCTGTCTCTACTAAAAATACAAAAATTAGCCGAGCATGGTGGTGTGAGCCTGTAATCCCAGCTACTTGGGAGGCTGAGGCAGGAGAATTGCTTGAACCCGGGAGATGGAGGTGCAGTGAGCTAAGATTACGCCATTGCACTCCAGCCCAGGAAACAGGAGCGAAACTCCATCTCAAAAAAAAAAAAGAAAGAAAAAAGAAAAGAACTGTATTGTCTAGGTCTCTCCCCAGGCCTATTGAATCAGAATCTGCATTTTAACAGGATTCCCATGTGATTTGTGGGCATGAATGTCCTGCCAGCTGATAAAGTCAACTTGGGGTTATTTTTTTCTGCCGGACAGGAATCCATAAGTTAACAAGTAACCTCACAGAGTCTGTGCCTTTAATTAATAGTAACTAACAAAGTTACAGTGGTACATTCTCACAGGCAGGCCTGTTGAACAATGCAGTTATCATCTTTGTCTCTTTTCTAGATTTTGGGTCATATTTCCTTGTAACAGATTCCCCTGGGAGGGTATCTTGAGCGTTAACATTCCTGGGACCAAATTTATCAGCTGCTCCGTGTTTCTCTTAGAGAAAGGCAAGAGCCACCCAAAGCTTGACGTGAAAGGAAAAAACCAGAGGTGTCAAAAAAGAGTAGAGGAAGTGAAAAGCATCACCAGCAGCTCACCAGGTGTCTGTGACCACACTAAGTGCTCTCCACTTCTCACCTCGTTTAACCCCCACAGCAACACAGGAGGCAGCTACTATTATTTCAATTATATAGATGAAGAATCTGGGGAGAGGAGATGTTCAGCCTGGCCAAGATCGACATTAGTCGAGGCTGGTGGCTGGGGGCACAATTCAGATTCAATTCAGATCCAAATCCAGCCTTTTTTTTTTAAGAGACGGGGTCTCATTGTGTTGCCCAGGCTAGAGTATAGTGGCACAATCTCACTGCATCCTTGAATTCCTGGGCCCAAGCGATCCTCCTGCTTCAGCCTCCTCAGTAGCTGGGATTACAGGCACGTGCCACCATCCGCAGCTAACTTTTAAATTTTTTCGTAGAGATGGAGTCTTGCTATGTTGTCCAGGCTGGTCTCAAACTCCTGGCCTGAAGAGATCCTCCTGCCTCAGCTTCCAAAGCACTGGGATTACAGGTGTAAGCCACCATGCCCAGCCTCAAATCCAGAGCAGAGTCCATGTCTTGTAGAATTGGTGTCCAGGGCCCAAGAAATGGTTTACAGAAGGCCCCATCTAAGCTGGAGGAGGCCCCAGGGCTGCCCCAGCTATCCCCGATAACTGCCCACCTCTTCCCAAGAGGCTTCACCACTTTCCCACCACCTTGTAGAGATGTGTTTTTCCTGATATAGTGGCCTGAATCCTTCTTGACCTAGTAGTGCTCACCCAAAAAGCTCTCATTGCACCCAGGGTGCAGAACCTAAGACAGCTGGAGTTCCTCAGGGCATCCCAGTCCACCCTAGGAAGACTCCCTGCATGCAGATTCTCCAGAGGAGAAGGTGAGCTGTCAGAGGGGAAAAGTTCTGATCCAAACCTCTTCTGCTTCGTAGATGGGAACCCCAAGTTCTAGAGGGAATGTTCCACAGCGTTCAAGAGCAAGTGGAGCAACCCACCCAAGGATGTGCAGGGAGTTGGTGGAACCCAGACGAATGCCCAGGTTTCCTGGCTGCATGCTCTGGGTTCTTTCTGTGGCCCTCACTGGGCGCTGGGGTTTGGGAGCTCCTCTACGTGGCACTCCTGGCATCTCCTCTGTGGCCACTGCTGCCCCGGCTGTGCTGTGGAAGTGAATCAGCCATTGGAAACCTCACTTGTCATTTATTAATGCAGATAATGATGCTGACCTGCTTCCCTAGGGAGAGCTGATTAATAAGCATTTTACAACCTTTTGAAGCAACTGCTCCTCCGAGGCTGGTTAAGGAGATGGAGGGATGCCTCCTGGCTCCTAGGAAGGGACCCCACTGCTGCCTAGGTCTCAGCCTCTCTGCAGCTCCCCTGGCCTTGCTTTTCAAGGGGACAGTCCCTCCTTTCACACCACCATAAACAAACACACTGAAAATGCTGGGGATGTGCTGGGGGTCTGACTCCAGGGGCCATATTTTCACCACACGGAGACCCCCCCTTTCCTGTGGATTCTGTGCCTTTTCAAAATGGTAGCTACACCAATGGACTTCCTTGCCCCAAAGGCCCGTGTGCATTTCCAGCCAGCGAGAGATAGACTGTCTCCATGGGAGGTGCCTGGCTTCCCCACCACAGGGGAGGTATCCCACAGGGCTGTCTTCAGCCTCATGCCAACCCTTCTCCCGGGTACCTACCAACCCTCTCAGGCATCTCGGAACACGCCTCCGACTCTGCTTAGAGGATGAGGAGTGTGTGTATGAGGCCAACACAGGCCTTGTGGGTTCCATCAACACCCACTGAGGGCCTATGACCAGGGAGGATGCTAGGACGGGGCCTGCTGCTGTGCAAGAGAAAGGGTCTCTGCTCTTGGAGGGCATTAGGGACTCAATGTGTCCCTCAAAATTCCTATGTCGAAGCCCTAACCCCACAATGTGACTGGAGATAGGGCCCATAGGAAGTAATGAAAGTTAAGTGAGGTCCTGGGGTGGGGACCTGATCTCCTTGGATTAGTGACCTTATAAAAGGAGACACCAGGGAGCTTCCTCTCTCTCTTGTGTGCACACACCAAGGAAGGGCCATGGGAGGACATGGCGGGAAGGGGTGTCTGCAAGTCAGGAAGAGTACCCTCACCAGAAACCAAGTCAGCCGGAACCTTGATCCGGGACTCTCAGCTTCCATAACCATGAGAAAAAAATTTCAGGCTTACACCTGTAATCCCAGCACTTTGGGAGGCTGAGGTGGGCGGATCACAAGGTTAGGAGATCGAGACCATCCTGGCTAACACGATGAAACCCTGTCTCTACTAAAAATACAAAACAACAACAACAAAAAATTAGCTGGTGTGGTGGCACACGCCTGTAGTCCCAGCTACTCAGGAGGCTGAGGCAGGAGAATCGCTTGAACTCAGGAGGTGGAGGTTGCAGTGAGTCAAGATGGCATCACTGAACTCCAGCCTGGGTGACAGAGTGAGACTCTGTCTCAAAAAAAAAAAAAAAATTTCTGCTTATTTACCACACAGCCTGTGGGAAGTTCATAGACTAGCCGGGGAAACAGGCGTGGGAAGAGAAATATGACTGGAATGTCCTAGGCAGTAATTCTGAAATCTTGCTGCACATTGGAGTCACCTGAGAATCTTTAGAAACTCCTGATCTGGGACCGGGCATGGTGGCTCATGCCTATAATCCCAGCACTTTGGGAGGCCGTGGCAGGTGGATCACTTGAGGTCAGGAGTTCGAGACTAGCCTGGGCAAAATGGTGAAACCCCCCGTCTCTACTAAAAATATAAAAATTAGCCGAGCGTGGTGACATGTGCCTGTAATCCCCGCTAACTGGAAGATTGAGGCAGGAGAATTGCTTGAGCCCAGGAGGCGGAGGTTGCAATGAGCCAAGATCACACCACGGTGTTCTGGGACAGGGTCTTGCTCTGTCACCCAGGCTGGAATAAACAAACAAACTAACAAACTGATCTGGTTCCCACACTGAGACATTCTGATTTTATTGGTATGGGGTGTGATGACTTCAAGTCTCCCCAGGAGATTCTAAAGTGCAGCAGTTTGGGAATCACTGATCTAAGAGCTATTCTAGATGTGGGAGCAGAGAGGATGGGACAAGAGACAGGCTGATGGGCAGGTGAGGAGGGGGACAGGAGAGGGAGCACCAAAAGATAGCCAGGCAGAGGGCATAGCACATGCCAAGGCGCGGAGCAGTTAGTGGAACAGCAAGGTGCTCAGTGAGGAGCGGGTCAGGTGGGAGGGAGAAGCGGTAGGATTGCAGGGTGGGGAAATGGACAAGGACTGGGCCGTGGGCATCTTGGGTGGCCTGTGGAAGAGATTGGGTTTAACCAGGAAGTACCTGGAAGTCTGCAGGGGAATGGAAATGGACGGTGAGGGGCATGATTTGGGGAGATCACTGGGGAGAGTATGGTGTGTGGACCACAGACAAGGTCATCATTCATTCATTCACTCACTCATTCATTCATGTCTCCCGCAGTTGACCACAAGCTCTATGAGACCAGGACCCTTGCGGCAGGTAAGAAGCCGAGAAGGGTTGCGGCAGTGATTCTCTATCTTGCCTGAACATCAGAGTCACTTGGAGAGTTTTGAAAAATCACTGATGTGCAGACCCTATCCAAACAGAGATGAATACAATTGAATTGCTCTGATTCCACAGAATCAAGCGAGCTTCAATTAGTCTGCGTTAGAGGCTCAGTGCCAGTGATTTTTCTTAAAGCTCCCCTATACAATTCTAATGTGCAGTCAGGATTGAGAATTCTTGGTCTCTAGAGATGTTAAGAAGTTGCAAGAGGGTTTAGAGCCAAATTCAACCCATTGATACATTGTTTGGCCTGTACCATGTTTAAAAATAATTGTGAATTTGTTGCCCAGCATTTTTTAATTGGGAGCTGAAATTTTTTATGAAAAATATCTGGAGGCCAGGCACAATGGCTCACACCTATAATCCCAGTGCTTTGGGAGGCCGAGGGAGGCAGATCACTTGAGGTCAGGAGTTCAAGACCAGCCTGGCCAACATGGTGAAACCCTGTCTCTACTAAAAATACAAAAATTAGCCAGGCGTGGTGACACGCACCTGTAATACTAGCTACTTGGGAGGCTGAGGCAGGAGGATCGCTTGCACCTGGGAGGCAGAAGTTGCAGTGAGCCAAGATTGTACCACTGCACTCCAGCCTGGGCAACAGAGTGAGACTCTGTCTCTAAATAAATAAATAAATAAATATCTGGATTTCTGGCTTTCTATTGTCTCCTTTGGCTGCCCTCACTACTCCCGAGAAAGTCTGATTCTGAGATCACCCTCCACCTCCTCCTCCACTGCTCCTTTTAGATGCTTCTCCAAGCAGGTGTCCACATGGATTCCAGTGTGCACAGGAGGCTTTCCCCTTTTAAAGAACTTCTCAATTCCATTTTCTTCCTGCCACCTCCTGGCATCTAGCTTTTCAGATGGAAATCAGTTTCCAGGATGGTGGGGCTTTCTGCAAAAAGGCTCCCTAAGCCACAGCACATGTGCCCAGCTGTAGCTATTGGAGGTGGGGTGGGATGGGGAGTAGCTCCCCTGAGGATGAAGGTGCAGGTCAAGCTCTTGGGCAGAATGCATGCAGCTGGAAACCCTGCAGGCCAAGGAGGTGGTGGGGCTCCTTGAGATGGACAGGGATTGCTTCTACACCTTGGATGGGTGCACCCTTAGCTTTCTCAGATGCTCTCCCAAAGGGCCAAAAAAGTTGAGGGAGGCAGGGCCAGTGCCCAAGGAGTCCAAGGGAGTGTTCTTGGCCTCCTCTCCTCTCTCTTCCACTCTAGCTGTGTAGTATTGGGCAAGGCATTTCCCTTGATTCCTTCATCTGTAAGATAGGAGCAATGGTGACTTGTTTGACTGAAAGACTCTGCATCCAAGGTTCAGGGCAGAGAAGCGCCCCAGCCCTGCAGTCAGGTGAACTTTGGAGAAAAGCATGATCTGCAATGGAGAATAATGTTGCCTTAGGTTTCCTGGGAGCTGCTTTGGGGTAGGGAGGTATCTTGGTTTGCTAGGGCTGCCATAACAAAATACCACAGACTTAAACCCAACGTTTTTGGCACCAGGGACTGGTTTTGTGGAACACGATTTTTCCACGGACTCGGGGGTGGGGGCTGATGGTTTGGGGATGAAACTGTTCCACATCAGATGATCAGGCATTAGACTCTCATAAGGAGTGCGCACCCTAGATCCTGTGCATGTGCAGTTCACAACAGGATTTGCGCTCCCAGGAGAATCTAATGCTGCTGCTGATCTGACAGGAGGTGGAGCTCAGGCGGTAATGCTCACTCACCTCCTCCTGTGCGGCCCAGGTCCTAACAGGCTGTGACTCAGGGGTTGGGGCTTCAACAACAAAAATTTGGACACTCCTGGCTTAAACAACAAAAATTCATTTTCTCACAGTTCTGGAGGTTAGAGTCGAAGATCAAGGTGCTGAAAGGCTTGGTTTCTCCTGAGGCCTCTGTCCTTGGCTTGCAGAGGACCACCTGCTCGCTGTGGCCTCATATGGCCTTTCCTCTATGCATGTAGATTCCTGGTGTCTCCTTCTCTTCTTCTTTCTTTTTTTTCCCTTGAGACAGGGTCTTGCTCTGTCACCCAGGCTGGAGTATAGTGGTGTGATGTCAGCTCACTGCAGCCTCTGAGCCCCCTGAGCTCAAGTGATCCTTCCACCTCAGCCTCCTGAATAGCTGGAACTACAGGCACACAACACCACGCCTGGCTATATACATATATTTTTTTCATATGTTTTATAGAGACAGGGTTTTGCCACGTTGCCCAGGCTAGTCTTGAACTCCTGGGCTCAAGTGATCCACCCGCTTTAGCCTCCCAAAGTGCTGAGATTACAGGTGTCAGCCACCACACCCAGTCTCTTTCTCTTCTTATACAGACACCCACCTTATGTCGTTAGGGCCTCACTTTTATGACCTGATTTAACCATAATTACTTACTTCCTATCTCCAAATACCGTCACATTGTGGGGTTAGGAATTTGACATATCAATTTTGGGGAGACATAGTTCAGTCCACAACAGGAGGAGAAAGAGAGGGGGCACTTTTCTTTATCTGCATGGAGCAACTTTTACCCAATCTGTCTGTTCGGCCTCCACCCATGACTTTGGGGATGAGGAAGGGCACTGTATTTAATGCTGTTTTAATCCACACAGCAGCCGTTAGAAAAAGTAGTATAAATCCCATTTTACAAATGAGGAAAATGAGGTTAGAGGGTGTGTTAATCCATTTTCACATTGCTATGAAGAAATACTGGAGACTGTGTAATTTATAAAGAAAAAGAGGCTTAATGGACTCACAGTTCCACATGGCTGGGGAGGCCTCACAATCATGGCAGAGGGTGAAGGAGGAGCAAAGTCACCTATTACATGGCGGCAGGCAACAGAGCATGTGCAGGGGAACTGCCCTTTATAAAACCATCAGATCTTGTGAGACTTATTCACTATCACAAGAACAGCACAGGAAAAACCCACCCCGATGATTCAGTTACCTTCCACCCGGTCCTTCCCACAACACATGGCAATTATGGGAGCTACAATTCAAGGTAAGATTTGGATGGGGACGTAGCCAAACCATATCAGAGGGCTTAAGTGACTTACCCTGGGTCACACAGCTAACAAATAGTAGAGATAGAATTCACACTCAGACACACTGCCCTGCCTGCTCTCCAAGGCTAGATCCACGAAATTTGTTTTGTCTGGTACCACGTGGACTTGACACTATAGGAAGGTTTTAATGGTAGAAGAAAAATGTCTGTAGAAGAGGAGGGAAAAGGAAGAAAAGGCTCTATGATCTGGAACTATTCAAATAAAAAAGATGGTGGAGCAATTGACCACAAGGCGCTAGAATGATGTGGCTGCTGAGGAAAGAAGGAAGGAAAGGGAAGAAAGCGAAAAAGTGAGACTGCATTATTCAAAGTCTAGTGCCCCGGCTGGGCATGGTGGCTCAAGCCTGTAATCCCAGCACTTTGGGAGGCCATGGCAGGTGGATCACATGAGGTCAGGAGTTCAAGACCAGCCTGGCCAACATGGTGAAACCCCGTCTCTACTAAAAATACGAAAAAATTCGCTGGTTGCGGTGGTGGATGCCTGTAATCCCAGCTCCTAGGGAGGCTGAGGCAGGAGAATCACTTGAACCTGGGAGGCAGAGGTTGCAGTGAGCTGAGATTGTGCCACTACACTCCAGCCTGGGTGACAGAGTAAGACCTTATCAAAAAAAAAAAAAAAAAAAAAAAACTCTATTGCCCCTGTAATTGTAGCTCATATTTATTGAGTACCTACATGTTGTCAGGGCTTTACATATATTAACTCATTTAATTCTCATAACCCTACATGGTAGGTACTATTATCCCTATTTTGTAGATGAGAGGAAACTCAGGCACAAAGACATATAAATTTCCCAAAGCGCACCAACTCTAAATGGCAGTGCTGGGCTATACAGACTTTACAGCACAGTGCCTCAAACTCTGCATTGCTCAAGGGGGCTTAATATGACCTGACATACTTCTGGGTTTTATCAGAGGGACTTCAAGAAATGTGAGCACTTCTACAGGGAGGTGGACTCAAGATAGTGATAAGATGAATAATATTTCTTGCGTACTGTCTATATGCAAAGCACTGTTTCACATGCTTTGTATATAGTAACTGCTTTAATCTTCACAACTATAGGAGATAGGTGCCATTATTATGCCCATTTTACAGATGAAGAGACTGAGGCAAGTCACAGAAAGAAAAAAGCCCAGTGAAATTCTTGTGTTTCTCCAGTAGAACAGCAGCGTTGAAGGAGCAACTTCCCTCCCACTTGACCTCTGAAGGGCTGCCCTAGGGGAAGAGAGAGGGACATGATGGCAGAGGTACCCATTGCTGGGGATACTTCTTGCTGGGGATTAGGGTCAGGATGCCCGCTCTGGGTCAGGGTTAGACTCAGTGACCCCTAAGGACCTTCTAGCTGTGAGACTCTGCCCACTGCTCTGGACAGAGGAGGAACTAGGGAAAGAAGTGAGACTAGGAAGAATCTTGATGCCAACTGTTTCCCCAGTGTCCAGTGAGCAAACTCCTGACTCCTAAAAGAGGAAGGAATAGACCATTCACTTTCTTTCATCTGCCTAGAACATGGGATCTTTTTTTAAAAAAATAGTTGGGTACATAGTAGGTGTATATATTTATGGGGTACATGAGGTGTTTTGATACAGGCATGTAATGTGAAATAAGCACATCATGGAGAATGGGGTATCCATCCCTTCAGGCACTAATCCTTTGAGTTACAAACAATCCAATTATACTTTTTAAGCTATTTAAAAATATACAATTAAGTTATTATGGACTATAGTCACCCTATTGTGCTGTCAAACAATAGGTCTTATTCATTCTTTCTAGCTATTTTTTTGTACCCATTAACCATCCCTATCCTCCCACTACCCTTCCCTGCTTCTGGTAACCACATGCTTCTACTATGTCCATGAGTTCAACTGTTTTGATTTTTAGATCTCACAAATAAGTAAGAACATGTGACGTTTGCTTCCTGTGCCTGGCTTATTTCATTTAATATAATGATTTCCAGTTCCATCCATGTTGTTGCAAATGACTGGATCTCATTCTTTTTTATGGCTGAATAGTACTCCATTTACATATATGTACCATATTTTCTTTATCCGTTCATCTGTTGATGGACACTTAGGTTGCTTCCAAATCTTAGCTATTGTAAACAGTGCTGCAAGAAAAACACAGGAGTGCAGATAGAACCTGGGATCTTTATTCATGTGGCGAAAATTTATGGTGGTGCCTGCTGGGTGCCTGACAGGGGCTGGAGATGAGTATTCTCCAATTCAGCTCAAGGAACCATTTGTTGAGCATCTACTATGGGCTGGGCTGAAACTTTGGTATCACATTTACTCCCCTCAAAATCATTTTACAAATGCAGAAACACACTCAGGCACAGGTATTATTATAAGAAACTTTTCCAAGGGTACCACCCGGTGAATGCCTGAACTGGTTAATTTCAAAGCCGTGGTCACCTAGCAGAACTTGTCCCCATTCTCCTGGGAGAGCCGGGAGCTGGTGGGGCTCCCCCCTGCCTCCCTCCCGAAGCCCTCCTGTTTTCACAGCTACCTCTCATCCCCTTCTCAGGAAGGCCCAGAGTGCTGGACCCCAGGCTAGGGTGGGCAAGGATGAGGAGTGGGGACAGAGGCTGGCATATGAGGCACGGGAGAGAGGTGGGGAATTACGGGACGCCGCTGCCAGGGCTGCAGTGGGAGGAGGGGTGTGTCCCCTACTTCGGAGGGGCGCTCGGGCTCTGTGGAGAGAGCGCCATGCGGGAGGCGGGCCCGGGGCGCCCTCGCTCGGCGGGCACAGGTGCGCGGGTGCCATGACGACTGCGCCTCACGAGCCCCCTCCTTCCCCTGGTCGGGAGGCGAGGGGCGGCGGGCGGCTGAGCCCTGCGGGCAGCAGCGCTGCGCGGGAGCCAGTCAGCCCGAGGGGAGGGAAACCGGCCAGGGCCCGGGGCCTGGGAGCGCACGCCCCCTGCTCACCTCTGCCCGGACCGACCGGACCTGCGGAGCGCGGAGGCAGGGGCGCAGCCCGCAACCAAGTGCCCGGAGACCGTCCCTCTGCCCGCTGGCCCGAAGGGGCCCGCTGCCTCCCGCCATCGGAGACCGCCGGAGCCCGCAACTGGGGGCATCATGGAGGGTGAGTGGTCCTGGGGCTGGGGGCCAGCCGTGGGGCAGGGTACCGACTCCGGGGCATGGGGCGAAGGGAGAGGAGAGGGCCGGGCAGCTGATCACCCATGGCTGTCCAGAGCCAGACGTTGTGACACTCTGTGTGTGACAGAGACAGAGACACTGAGTGAGGGAGAGAGACCTGGGGTGCCCATGTGTTCATGGTGTGTGTGTGTGTGCGTGTGTATGTGAGACAGAAAAACAGACAGACAGAAAGAGACAGATGGAGAGAAAGACCTGGGGGTGCTCTGTATTCATGTTGTGCCTGTGTGTGTGAAAGAGAGAGAGAGAGAGAGACAGAGACAGAGACATAGAGACAGACACTGAGAGAGGGAGACAGAGACAGGCAGAGAAACACTTGGGGGTGCCTCTGTATTCATGTTGTGCTTGTGTGTGTGTGTGAGAGAGAGAGAGAGAGTGAGAGAGAGAGAGAAAGACCTGGGGTGCCTCTGTATTTGTGTTGTACATATGTGTGTGCATGTACAAGACACACACACACACACACACAAAAAGAGAGAGTCCCTGTTGTGTGTGTGCACGCACACAATCCCTGCTGTCTGAGCAGAGAATCATTTGAGACCAGGTGAGGACAGCTTGGCTATTAGCTTCAGAAGAATTGTCACCGACTTTGTCTGCTTGAAGGGGTGGGGTTGTTGGGGAGATGGGATTCTAGAGGTGATATCCTCCATGTAGAGAGAATTTCTCTCCCTAAGGAAAGGAGAGTGAACTATGGACCTTACCTTCAGGATTTTAAGGGATAGCGGACCAAGGCATAAGGCTGCTTGCTCCCACTTTACCAGAACCCTCTCTCAGCCATTGTGGACAAGGGGAACCATATTTAGGCTAAGAAACTGGAAAACCAAGGGCTCGTCCACTGTCTTGCTGGGTGTCTTTGAGATAGTGCCTAAACCTTTCTGTGCCACTGGTCACCCATCTATCGAATGGGGGAACTTAACATTCAGCTGGCTTCAGAGAGTGTCTGTGAGGATAAAATAAGATATGTTGTACAACACGCCAGTATGAGGCAGCTGTGGCAAGAGGTAATAAAACCCCAAAATTCCAATTAGTAATTGCAAACACTGCTGTTAAAAAATAAAATCAAGTTTTATAGAAAATCTTGTGAGGCTGCACTTGTAGTTTTCCAATGAGCCAGGGTATGAAAAGCACACACACAAAAGAGGCAAGAAGGAATCAATAACCCAAGAGGAATCTGGAAGATTGGCAGATCTGTAAGAATGGCGTTAGCAAAGCCCTGAAGCTCCAGTGAACAGAAGTCGGGGGAAATTGGCAAAGACAAGAGCAAAAAGCTTTCAAAGTCTAAGAATAACAAGAAGGAATCTGCTCTGGCTTAGGCTCGAGGGCAGGCAGAGCAAGATACAGGCAATTTTACTTCAAATTGTGGAATAAAGAGGATAAGGAGGAAATAGAGACCCAAGATAGTCAAGCGATAGGAAGAAGACATCAAGTTACCTACAATGAGCTCACTCATTGAAGCCCAGACATATGACATCCCAGCGACCCAGAGGTATTTACAGATATAATCATTGCTTTTGAGGAAACTACAGAGAATGAAGGAAGTGCCAGAAAACTGAAGATGGGCAAATGTCCTGATTTTCAAAAAAGGGAAATATAAATTTTTTATCTAAAAAGCCTCTACACTGCTAAGATTAGTTTTGACCTCTATTAAAATTCCAGAAGAAATGACCAAACACAGTGTACACTTAGGAGACAACAACGCACTCCCTCAGCTCAGAATTTTTTCAAATTCTGAGCTGCACACTTGCAAAGATGTGTGCCTGAGCATGTTCATCACAGTGCAAAATTGGAAACCATCCAGATAGCCATAAATTATGTAAATTAAATAAAAAATGAGACACTTCTGCAATGGCATACTATGCAGACATTAAAAACTGTGCTTAGGATTTTCTTTATTGACATGGAAATATGTTCACTACCCACTGTGAGTAATTAGAAAAAAAAACAGGTTTTTGAATGCATGTGTAGTGTGATCCCCTTTATGCAAAATTACATAGGTTTATTATTGGAAATATACATATACAAGTGTATACGCAAAGAGGTAGTCACTAACATCTTTGTTTGATTCTCCTGCTTCTGAAAGCAGACCCTAAGACAAGAGCTTGGATATAGGGAGTCTATTTGGGAGATGATGCCGGGCAGTGGAAGTGAGGGAATGAGGAGAGTGAGATGAAGAAGGGAGAAAAGGCAAGAAATGGGTGCCTTAATGAGCTGGTTTTAGCTGTGGGCAACTGGGGGGTTCTATCCTGCTGGGGACACTCTGAGAAAAGTGCAGGGTGAACCCGAGGTTTACCCCACCTAAGAGGTGGCGTTGGCTGCTTCACCTCCCCACTGGTCTGGTATTGCCCCACTCCTGCAGTTTTGGGTTGTCCCTTTTTGTGACTTCAGAGGAAGCAGAGCAGAGAGACTCCCAGGTGCAGACCTGGTGGGGTGCTAAAAATTTGAGGAACCATTCACCCCAGCTGAAATCTTTGGGCCAATGGGATGTGGCAGGCAGAGAGCATCACAAACATAGGGGTTATCTCTGGATGTGAGGGTTCTGTCAGGTTTACTCTCTCTTTTGCGGTGCTCAGAATTCTTTGTTGTTGTTGTTGTTGTTGTTTGAGACGGAGTCTCGCCCTGTTGCCCAGGCTGGAGTGCAGTGGCGTGTTCTCGGCTCACTGCCACCTCTGTCTCCCAGGTTCAAGCAATTTTGTTGCCTCAACCTCCTGAGTAGCTGGGATTACAGGCATGTGCCATCATGCCTGGCTAATTTTTGTGTTTTTAGTAGAGACAGGGTTTCACCATGTTGGCCAGGCTGGTCTTGAACTCCTGACCTCGTGATCTGCCCGCCTCGGCCCTTCAAAGTGCTGGGATTACAGGTGTGAGCCACTACGCCCAGCCTAGAATTCTTTTATAATAAGCACAACAAAACAAAAAAGCGTTTTCAAAAAGAAAGAAAATAATGTATTGTTCATTAGGAGCCTATATTAGTACTCACTAAGAACAAATCCAGGAGCTCAAACAACTCAACAGCAAGAAAACAAAAAACCCAATTAAAACATGGTAAGAAATCTGAATAGACATTTCTCGAAAGAAGACATACAAATGGCTAACAGGTATATGAAAAAATGCCCAATATCACTGATGATTAGGAAAATGCAAGTTAAAACCGCAATGAGACATCATCTCATACCTGTCAGGATGGCTTTTACCAAAAAGACGAAAGATAAGTAAGTGTTGTTGGAGATGTGGAGAAAAGAGAACCCTTGTGTGGTGTTGGTGGGAATGTAATAAATTTGCACAGTCATTATGGAGAATAGTATGGAGGTTCCTCAAAAAGCTAAAAACGGAATTACCATATGATCCAGCAAGTTCATTTCTGGGTACTTACCCCAAAATCTGAAATGAGTTACTTGAAGAGATGTTTGCACCACCGTGTTTATTGCAGCGCTATCCACAATAGCCAGGCTATGGAATCAACTAAGTGTATATAAACCGATGAATGGATGAGGAACATGGGGTATGTAAACACAATGGAATACTATTCAGCCTTTAAAAAGACAGAATTGTGTCATTTAAAACATCATGGACAATATTGGAGAACATTATACTACGTAAAATAAGTCAAGCACAGAAAGACAAATACCACATGTTCTCACTTATATATTGAATCTAAAACTATAGAACTCATAGAACCAGAGAGTAGAGTGGCTCTGTGGTGGGGGAGAATGGAGTGATGGTGGTCAAAGAGTACAAAATTTCAGTTAGACAGAAGAAATGGTTTTCTTTTTTTGAATTCTATTGCACAGCATGGTGCATAGAGTTAATAATAGAGTATTGTACATTTCAAAATTGCCAAGAGGGCCATGTGCAGTGGCTCATGCCTGTAATCAGAGCACTTTGGGAGGCCAAAGCGGGAAGATCATTTGAGGTCATGAGTTCGAGACCAGCCTGGCCAACATGGTGAAACCCCATCTCTATTAAAAAATACAAAAATTAGCTGAGTGTGGTGGCACACACTTGTAATCCCAGCTACTCGGGAAGCTGAGGCAAGAGAATTGCTTAAGCCCAGGGGGTGGAGGTTGCAGTGAGCTGAGATTGTGCCACTGCACTCTGGCCTGGGCGACAGAGCAAGACTCCATCTTAAAAATAAATAAATAAATAAATAAAGATTGAGTTTGGGTGCAGTGGCTCACGCCTCTAATTCCAGCACTTTGGGAGGCTGAGGCAGGCGGATCACCTGAGGTCAGGAGTTTGGGACCAGCCTAGCCAACATGGTGAACCCCCATTCCTACTGAAAATACAAAAATTAGCCGGGTGTGGTGGTACACATCTGTAATCCCAGCTACTTGGGAGGCTGAAACATAAGAATCGTTTGAACCTGGGAGGCGGAGGTTGCAGTGAGCCAAGATCTCTGCACTCCAGCATGGGTGACAGAGCGAGACTCGGTCACACATACAAAAAAAGATTGAATCTTACTTAAAAAAAGCAAAAACAAAAACTAAATTTCAGATGTTTTCACCACAAAAAATGTTAAGTATTTGATGGATATGTTAACTGGCTTGATTTAATTACTCCACCTTGTATTCATAAATTATACCATCGCTTTTTATCCCAAAAATTTATATAATTATAAATTGTCAATTTGCAATAAAAAACTTAAAACTTATTTTAAATCTAAAAAAATATAAAAATCATGTCAATACCATTTGGAGCAACTGTTCATAAGACACAACTGGCTGGTAAATGTTTTTGTAACTCTATCCAGCTGTTAATTTTACATAGCTATTCACAGTGTGCACGTTTTACTAAATAATATTTCCAAAACAAACAAAAGAACAAATCAAGCTAAACCTACAGATTTCCTCTTCCAGAATGGGTTTCTGAGAGGAAAAATGATGAATACGAAAGTTCATCAGGACACTGCCAAGATCTCTCAGAAAAAACTCGTGAATTGATTGAGAGACGTAGGAGGGATACTGGAGGACCAACAATGGGGGCTTTATGAAAGGTTTGATAGCAGCCTAGGGGTCCCTAGAACTCCAACCCTGATATGACATTAATTAATAATTTAGGGGGAAAATAAAAGGCATGCTTATGAAATCTGTGGCTAGGAGCTGTAACACCCACAAGGCAATAAAGTCAAGATTTAAGGTTATCTCAACATACCAAAATGCTGGATTAAAACCAAGAAAATGAAAGGTACATGTAAGTGAAATGTAAAGTCCTGAATTTAGGTCTCAAAAAATTAATGGCTTACATTCAAGATGGGGGAGATCTGGCTTTTATTCTTCAGGAAAGTTACGGGGCAGGGTGGGGGGTGGGTAGGGGAGGTCCCAAAACACACTGACTATGAGATAGGTCTGGAGTCCCTCTTGCTGGATACCCTGGGACGTGGGGAGAGGGGGATGATTCTGGGGACAGGGGCTCACTCTTGTTCTGGCTCCTGGGAGCAGAATTGGGACTGGTGAGGGAAGGTTGCAGTAAGACAACTCAACTCAACCTCAGGAAGAACTTTCTATCACTCAGGGCTGGCCCAGCATCTGTCTCCTCACCAGTTCCCATATCCAGCTTGAGCAAGTGGAGGCTGACAGGTCTCATGACTGACTAGGGGACAGAAAAGATAATTATTGGGTGGCTGGATTAAAACAATGGCCTGGAGGGTTCTCTGAGGGCCCAGAAGTCTTCCCCAACATCTAGAGACAGACACTGCAGTCTGCCAAGCCCCCTGCAGAGTTGCTATGGTTAGCCGGGCAGTAACCCTCATTTGCCTTCCCCTCTGGGCCTTAACTGTGATGTTATGCTGTGGGACAAGTCAGCAGAAGGGCAGCAAATCAGATCTGCTCCCCAGCCTAACCCCAGCCCCACCCCAGCCCAACCCCAGCCTTTCTGGGAGCCCCCAGGGGCCTCCACAGCTGCCTACCCATCCCAGAAGCTCTGTGGCTGAGAGAGGCCCAAAGGCTGGGAGGATATACACCCGCACTGGCTGGAAGTGGGCACAGCTATGGGGAAGTGGCCATGTACGGAAGGGGGTCACTGGAGAGAAGAGGGGACAGGAGCATGCCAGCTGGTGTCCCTCCAGCACAGGACACAGTAGATCTTAGAGGTCCAGATGGATGCTGCTTCTCCATATGCTCCTTGGAAATGCTCCTGCCAGAGTCTCTGTGCCCTGTCCTTTTCCACAAAGCATATCATCATCCTGGGGCTGCCCACCAGCCTGGGAATTGAGCAGGGAGACAACAAGACCCCCATTTAATAGATGATAAAACTGAGGCCCAGGAGGCACAGATTGCCCTGGTTTGAACTGCAGCAGGTCTGCACAAATGGTCTAGATTCTGGGGACACTGTGGGGCTGCAGCCTCCATGAAGTCTAGCTTTCCAGCTTTGTCCTGAAGACCTTCCACGCCTTCCTGTCTTACTGGGAGGGAAGAATGGGAAGGGTCTCAGCTGCTGCTGGGGAGGCAGAGGCCAGATGGGTGTAGGCCTGGTTCTCATTGGGACCATGATCTGTCTGATGACAATCTGTCCTGCTTCCAGCAATGAGTTGAGGAGATATACTTACAATAAGTATTTCTACTACAATCATTGAGTGGCCCATTCTACTGTAAAAACTCTGGGCTGTTAGAGCCAGGCGGTCTATGTAAGCGGCTGCTCAACTCTGAGTTCACAAATGAAGCAACTGAAGCAACAGTGAGTGGAACTGACAACACAGCTAACTTCTATCAGATCCCCTTAAGACACAAACATAAAGAATTAGTCTACAATCCCAGCACTTTGGGAGGCTGAGTCAGGCGGATCACTTGAGGTCAGGAGTTTGAGACCAGCCTGGCCAACATGGTGAAACCCCGTCTCTACTAAAAATACAAAAATTAGCTGGGCTTGGTGGTAGACGTCTGTAATCCTGGCTACTCAGAGGCTGAGGAAGGAGCATTGCTTGAACCCGGGAGGTGAAGGTTGCAGTGAACCCAGATCGCGCCACTGCACTCCAGCTTGGGTGACAGAGTGAGACTTCATCTCCAAAAAAAAAAAAAAAAAAAAGATACAAACATAAAGAATTAAATTCGGTCTCTCATGCTCAAAAGCTTTTTGTAGCTCTCTCGTTAATAACTGAAATTGCATTATTAGAGCTTTCCTTTTTCTAATTTAATGTCTGACTCCTTTTGAAATGCAAAAGCCTAAAAGAGACACAGCGCTTTGTTATGAGTCATTTCCTCATCCATGTGAACAAGTTTATCAGAATATTTCCTAAAAGAAGATTCTGCTAGGGATGGGGAGAGAGAGAACGTTAAGTAACCTAGGACTCCAAGCAGTGATGCCTCGTTAGGAGGTAATGGATCTCAAAGGGGTTAGGTGTCCTCTTCTATTATTTCTCAGTTGAGCACAGAGTGACCCCGGTTCTGCCTTTGGCCACTGTATGCCTGGTTTTAGGCAAGGTTTTAGGTGATACATGCACTGTTCATAAAGTGTCAGCTTTGTAGCAGAAGCCTCAGGAAGGCAAAGTTCCTTCCAAATCAAGGATCCCTAATTGCTGCTAATGGACCCTAGAGGTCTTTATATGTGACCTGATGATACCCAAAGAGGATGAGAAAATGGATGGAGATGGCAGAGCCTAAGCAGGAGCTCAAACTCAGAACAGGCGTCCTGGCTTATTTGATGCACCCTGAATCCCAGAGCCCAGCAAAATCTGGAGGTCTACCACTACTGCATGCTGTATTCTTAGAGCAAGTCTCTTTTTGTCTTTGAGTTTTGATTTTCCTGTGAAATGAAGATAATTCTCCTTTCCTTGTCAGAGATAGCTTGATGTTGTACAAAACAAATTTCAAAAATAATGGAAATACTATCTAATAGCACCTATGGGATACAGCTAAAGCAGTGTGTCTAGGAGAATTCATAGCCTTTAGTACCTAACTTATCAACATACATTAATCATATTTATGTTCTAGGCCCTGTGCCAGATAATGAGGAGCATTTCAAGCTGAACAAGGCATGCTTTCTACCCCTAAGACATTTCTAGTTTAACTAAAAGAAAAAAAAAATCTCTACACTTAGCTGAAGCAGGACGTGAAATGTGGCCAGCACTGCAGGTAAACTGAACCTGCAGACCTTGAGGAAGCAGCCAGCCATTGAACCCGGAAAGGTGCTCCAGGGCATATGTTTAGCCTTTCCAAGAGAAAGAGAGAGGGAAATCCCTGCCTCCCCTTTACTTTCCCCTCCTCTCCCACCTTAAGCCTCTTCCACATCCACTCTCTAAGGCCTGGAATTCTTTTAAATAGACTGAGAGTACAGGCTCAGTATGTGATAAAGGCAGTTCAGTTTTCACTATGAGGTAAATGATTTGTATCAGAACCTTTTCTGAATACAATTTTTGATGGGTAAAACCGGAGACCTCCTGCAGGAAGTAAGGAGAAATAAAAAGGCCTCAGAGTAGAAGAGAAGTATAAAGAGGGGCTCGCTTGGGGGCTCCTGATGGCTGTATTAGCAACTCAGCCCTCAAATTCTTTGGCCTTTGCCAATCCAAATGATTCTTGGAAGGGCAACCTGCTCTCATTCACCAAAAAGAGGTCAGGCTTGCAGAATCCATGTTGCTGTGGTGGGTGCCTGGGATGGAGGGGCTTTGGTTCAGCCTGCAAGAGGAACAGTAGGAGGTTATAGTTCTCAAGAGGCCTCCTTCCTCCTAGATCCTCTGCCACATCCACTTTTTACTTTCCTAAGCAGTACTAAGAAAGCTTTTGCCAAGGCTTGCTTCCCTGGGAACAAACCCAAATGAACTGAAACCACACTGCGACCTACTGGTTCCCCACAGCTGCCTGGCAGATAGCTAATGCAGTCAATAAGCAGTCTGAAGTTCTGCAAGGCCCTTTGTAATTTACTCTGCTGTCTCTCTGAATGTATTAACAACTCCATGAGGTTGGGAGAGGCAGGAAGCCCAGGTCATCCACATTCGAAAGCCAAGGAGAACACAGGGATGAAGTAGATCTCCCCAGTTCTCTTTGGAATACCAAGAGGTGGCATGGGGGCTTAGGGTCTACTATCATCAGTCTCCCAGCCACCCCAAACTAACTATACCTCCCTTTAAAAATTGTACTAAAGCAGCTCTAAGACAAGTTCCCAAGCTTCTCCTCCAAACCAAGTTTCCCAGCCCCCAACCTCTCTCTCTCTCTCTTTTTTATTTTCAAGATGGAGTCTCGCTCTGTTGCCCAGGCTGGAGTGCTGTGGTGCGATCTCAGCTCATTGCAACCTCCACCTCCCGGGTTCAAGCAATTCTCCTGCCTCAGCCTCCCAAGTGGCTGGGATTACAGGCATGTGCCACCACGCCCGGCTAATTTTTTGTATTTTTAGTAGAGACAGGGTTTCACCATGTTGGCCGGGCTGGTCTCGAACTCCTGACCTTGTGATCTGCCTCCTTCCATCTCCCAAAGTGCTGGGATTATAGGTATGAGCCACTGTGCCCAGCCCCCAACCTCTGTTATATGCAGTCAGTGACCACCATGGGGCCAGCTCTCAAGGCCACGCTTTCTGATTCCCAGGTCAGTGTCCTTTCCTCTCTGCATTAGCACAGTCTCCGTGGAAGATTACATGGCCTGTTAAGAGACAGCGTGTGGGATGGTGTTGGGGAGGGAGGTGGGCACAAACATCTAATCTAGGGAACAGGAAACTTGGGGGTCTATGGTGCTACCCCTGCCCATCTCTAACACTTTCTCTGACCCTGGGATTCTGAACCTGGACTCTGCAGACTCCCAGGAGGTCCATGGATGACTAACTTGAATCCCCTTGTATTCACCAAGACACTAGGGTTATAAGCAACAGAAACGAGTGCTGGCCAACCTAACCAACACTGGGAATCCATTGGAAGGGTGTGGGGAGGTCATCCAATGGAAGGAAAAGCTGTGTTATGAAGACTCAGAGGCAAATCCAAAGCAGAAGAGGTCTGATTGGCATCCTCTGGCCAGCGGTTGGTGCAGACACCTGATGGACGGTCCCTCAAAAGCTCCATGTGAGGAGGAGGCTGACTCCCCAGGGGAAAAATCAGTACTCGAGAAAGAAGGGCTCATGGATGCAGGGTGAGCCCAAAACCTGATGCCCAACACTGCCTTGAAAGTGTGTGCCAAAATCCAGGGCTCTTTTTGGGAGCGGATCCAATGCTTTTGGAGACCATAAATTCCTCCAGACAGGAACCATTGATTGGCATAACAAAAGGAAGCCCTAGGAAAGCATCTGTGAAGGAACCAAAATGCATCAGAGTCTTAAAGAATTTGATGACCCCCAAAATGTTAAGCCACACTAAACTTGACTGTGAGTGGCGGGAGGGCAGGGGCTGTATGGTTCAGTGGTTCTCAAATCCGGCTACACATGGAAATCACCAGGGGAGTTTTTTGAAAAATACCAGTGCCTGAACAACCCCATCCCCTGCCCATCATCCATCCTTCCCTACCACCCTGTAGAGATTCTGATCCAGTTGGAAGGGGCAGGAGCTGTATTGTTAAAAGCCAGGTGATTTTGATATGAGTCAGGGCCAAGAACCAGTGACATCATCAGTATTTTATCACACGTATCAGTTTCCTTCTGATTAGAAAGGTTAAATGCAAGCTAGAAAAACCGAAAATAAAAATCACTTGAGGAAACACCACCCCTTGTGGACAAACATTGTTATTTTTTCTGTTCACCTACAGTTCACATAAACGCACACTTTTTATACAGAGTACAGACTTATAATGCATGTACATACTATTTTGTAACCATTACCATGTCCCATGGTCAATACTTTCCCTCTCATCCTGAGACCTCACTCTGTTCCTTAGGGTAAACCGTGAGAACTGGAATGGCTGGATCTGGGGGCGGGTCCCTCACTAGGGCTCTGGACAGATGTGCCTCGACTGCGAAGAGCTGATTTGTTGTCCCCTCACCCTGCACCCCTCCCTACAGGGCACATCCATGCTCTGGCCCTTATTGAATAATTCAGTCATTGCCGATCTGTTTGACGAAAAGTTTAACCGAACAATCCAAGCAAAAATCTGTTTGATGAAAAGGTTAACCCAACAATCAAAGCAAAATTGCATTGCTTAGATTACAAATGAACTTGAACTTTTTGTTTCGTGTAGTTAACAGCCATCAGTCCTGTTCATGCTGCATGTACTCGGCAGCCCTGTGTTGTGTTCTTCAGCGGGTCCAGCGTCTCTGCATCCAGGCCTGGGTTCACTGGCAGCCTCTCAGGAAGAGGTGGGGCACCCACGTGTTCCCAGGATCAGCAAGCAAATGGTAACAAGGATGAAGCCATCAGTGGGAGGCCTGTGAACTCAGGGAAACACCCAGACTGATTCTGGGTTAAGCTCATTCATTTAGGGATTGTTTTCTTTCTATTATTTTCTTTCTTCTTTCTTCTTTCTTTCTTTCTTTCTTTCTTTCTTTCTTTCCTTTCTTTCTTTCTTTCTTTCCTCCCTCCCTCCCTTCTTTCTTTCTTTCTCTCTCTCTCTCTCCCTTTCTCTTTATTTCTTTCTTTCTCTTTTTTGAGGCAGAGTCTCGCTCTGTCGCCCAGGCTGGCATGCGGTGGCACGATCTCAGCTCATTGCAACCTCCACCTCCTGGGTTCAGGCGACTCTCCTGCCTCAGCCTCCTGAGTAGTTGGGACTACAGGGGCCCACCACCACGCCTGGCTAATTTTTGTATTTTTAGTAGAGATGGGGTTTCATCATGTTGATCAGGCTGGTCTTGAACTCCTGACCTCAGGTGATCTGCTTGCTTTGGCCTCCCAAAGTGCTGGGATTACAGGTGTGAGCCACCGCGCCCTGCCAGGGATTTTTTTCTCATTCGCACTTCTTTCAGTTTGTATTATAAAAAATTATGCTCACATCCATTGTGTGGCTCAGAACTATCAGCCCCGCTGCTGCTGCCTCACACAGAGTGCCATGTGTACGATGTGCTCTTAGTTCTCACATGTCGTCTCATCGAAGCCTCAGCACAGCCCTTCTTTGGCAGGTGTTCATTTATCTCCATTTTACCAATAAGGAGTCTGGCTTCCAGGGAGATGACATGACCTACCCTAGGTCACACCCAGAAAATGTCTGTTTTTCTGTTTTATTTTCTATTTTTTAATTATTTTTTATTTTTTATTTGAGAAAGAGTCTTGATCTGTCAGCCAGGCTAGAGTGCAGTGGTGTAATCATAGCTCACTGCAGCCTTGACTTCTCAGGCTCAAGCGATCCTCCCACCTCAACCTCCAGAGTAGCTGGGACTACAGGCACGCACCACCACATCTGGCTAATTTTTTAATTTTTTGTAGAAACAGGGTTTCACTCTGTTGCTCAGGCTGGTCTCAAACCCCTGAGCTCAAGTGATCCTCCCACCTTGGCCTCCCAAAGTACTGTGACTACAGGGGTGAGCCATGGCACCTGGCCTCTGTTTCTATTTTAAATATGAGAATGCTGAGTTTGCACAGAGGTAAGGAGGCAGGAAGAAGGGCTGGGACTTCCCAGACTGTGTGTATCCACTCGAGGTGTCTTTAGTTCAAGGCTTTTAATTCTGTGGTTCTCAAACCACAGTGTGCGTTGGAATCATCTGAAGGATGCTTCAAAATGTAAAACAGAGATAGCTAGGCCCCAGTCCCAAGGGTTTCTGGTTCCCAAGGCCAGGGTTGTGGCCCAAGAATTTCTGTTTCCAATGAGTTCCAGGTGATGCTGACACTGCTGGTCGGGACCCCTCTTTGAGAACTATACACCCTGATCTCTCTTGGGTACCCTGGAGACAACCATTATTACACCCTGAGATGGGGAAGCTCCTCCAGTAGAGGAATGGCTTCACCGGGTTCAAGGATGAAAATTTCACAGGCTGTAATTACAAGGGCACCTGGCAGATCCCAGGAAGGACAAATCCAAGGTGTCAATGAGGTCTCTGGCTGCTAGCATGCAGCCCAGATGGGGTGGGAGGCCTGCCTGCCTCCAGTCCAGTGGAATTGCCAGGAATGGGAAGGAGTTTTTCCTCCTCCAGAAAGGATTCATGTGCAGTGCTGGAATCTGGGCCCTGTCTAGAAATGATGCCCAGGCTCTGCTGAGGCTCTAGCAATGGGCAGGGTCACTCCCAGATACTTCTCAGGACAGACTTCGGAAGATGAGCTTACTTGAGGGCCAAGTGAAGGATAGTGGGGGAAATGGACTGGAGTCTAGCCTGAAAGGTTCTGGCAGTTTCCTCTGCCCATCCATACCCACAGATCCCCCCAGTCATGGGAGATGATTCAGAGCTAATTTTGAGGCTCGGCAGGGGTAAGCAAGTCTCCCAACAGGTGCTGGGATGAGTGATGCCTCTCATGGGGGTTCTTTCTGGAGGGGCCTGGAGAAGGCCTTCCAACATCAGCACTGCCTGCCTGCAGCAGGACCCTCTCACCTGATATAAGGATCCACCTTCCTTTCTTTTTTTCCTTCCTACAGATATTTATTTATTCCATAATTATTAGCTGTTTATTGAACCATTTACTTTGGGCAGGCACTGACAAGATGCTGAGGACACTGCCACCAACAAGACAGGGAAGATCCTTGCTTTGCAGGTGCTGTCAAGCATGGGGAAAAAGACAATCAACCTAGAAACACACAAACTATTGACAGATTGATGAACATAAACCAGATGCTATGGGAAGACAACATTTATGCTGAGAGCTAAAGGAAGGGACGAGCAAAGGCCCTGGGGTTGGAAGAAGCAGGAGTGCGTGAGGAGCTAAGCAGATGGCAAAGTGACCAGAGCATAATGGGCAAAGGGGAGAGTGGCACTGGGTGAGGTCAGAGAGATGTCAACAGGGATCAGACCATGAAGTGTTTTGGAGGCCTTGGTAAGGAGCGTGGATTGTATTTAAAATGCAATGAGGGTTGGGAGGCTGAGGCAGGTGGATCACCTGTGGTCAGGAGTTTGAGACTAGCCTGGCCAACATGGTGAAACACTGTCTCTATTAAAAATACAAAATTAGCTGGGTGTGGTGGCATGCACCTGTAATCCCAGCTACTCAGGAGGCTACGGCAGGAGAATCACTTGAACCCAGGAGGCAGAGGTTGCAGTGAGCCAAGATCGAAGCCATTGCACTCCAGTCTGGGCAACAGATCAAGACTCCGTCTCAAAAAAAAAAAAAATGCAGTGGGGAGTCTAGGCAATAATCCTTAGTGTCTGCTGAAAATATTATGTTAAAAGCTGATGGCACAGTGGCTCATGCCTGTAATCTCAGCACTTTGGGAGGCCAAGACAGGAGGATTGCTTGAGCTTAAGAGTTCAAGACCAGCCTGGGCAACGTAGTGAGACCTCATCTCTACAAAATAACCTTAAATTAACCCAGCTTGGTGGCGCACGGCTGTAGTCCCGGCTACTCAGGAGGCCGAGGCGGGAGGATTGCTTGAGCCCAGGAGGCAGAGGTACATCACCTGAGCCCCCTGATTGAGCCAGCACCACAAAGAGAAAGGCCACTGGACAAAATCTGATCAAGACTCTAGATCTGACTGCCAAGTACAGGTAATACAGGGAACAGAGAGCAGAACATGTAAAATGACATCATGAGGGAGCAATCAGAAAAATCCAGCCTGCAGAAGTGCTACAGACCAACCACTCAGTCCATATGACAAACATACTGCAGAAGGGAAAAGAGACAGACTGGGGACCTGTGAACTAAAAGAGACTTCAGCATCACGTCTACCAAATGCAATATGGGGATGGTGGTAGACTTTATCATAATGGACCTTAATGAATCACACTTCCATGTCCACACCTCTTCTGCAATGCTATATTGCTTTTCTTCCTATCAACAGGAGAAACTATTTATCCACTGACTTGAACCTGGGCATCCCTTGTGACTTACTTGGGCCAATAAAATGTGACAGACGTGATGTGAAAATTCCAGAGTCTCGGACTTAAGAAGTTGTAGCTTCTTTTCTTGCTCTCTTGGAACCCTGAGACCACTGTTCTCTGAAGAAGCCCACACTAGCTTCCTGGAGGATGAGAGGCTGAGTGGAGAACTGAGACATCCCAGCCAATGGCCAGCACTAATCACCAGCCATGTGAGGGACACCTTGGACCTCCCAGCCCCAGCTGAGCCAGCAGATAACTACAGCAGCTGCACGAGAGTCCCAAGAGAGACCAGGAGAAGAACTACTCAGATTGCCAAGCCACAGTGCTGTACCATTAAATTTTGGGGTGGTTCACAACATAATAATAGGTAATAGAAACAGAAATCTTGCTCCGATCCACACTCAAACAAACCAACTATTTAAAAAATTATGAAACAATCAGGAAATTTTGCTGGATGCTGGCTATTTAATGATATAATTACATAATTGTTAATTTTGTTAGGTTTGATAATGATGGAAACCACATTTTTTCATGTTGTTTTTTTGAGTCCTTATTTTTTAAAGGTACAAACTGAAACATTTATGGATGAAAGGAAGTAATGTCTGGTATTTACTTCAAAATAATCCAAAGAGAAGTGGGGATATGGATGAAACAACTCCAGGCCTCGAGTTGATAACTGTTGAAAGCAGATGATGTATACATGGGGGTTCTTTATATGATCCCTCTAATAACAGCTCATTAAACTTTATACTCTTGTATATGTTTATTACAATATTCTCTCTTCTACATGTTTGACATTTACCATATTAAAATAAAGATGTTTGAGTACAGTTGGAAGTCCTTGGAAGGCCTAAACCTGGGAGTATCATCTCTCATCGGGCACAGGAAGTTTGCAGGTTGTCCGCCTCCCGCCGCAGTCCCTCTGCCCCATCCCAACACTCACCGCAGTGCCCCCTGCTGGTCCCTGCAGCCCTGATGATGCCAGCTCGCTGGCCCTGCTCCTCTGAGGGTCTCTAACCTCCAGGCCCCCAGCCTCCATTGAGCCTCCAGGCCAGTGGCTGAGTTCTCGGTGTGACAGAAAGATTCCACAGGGACTCTTCATCCCCTGGAATAGGCCTCAGGAGGAAAGTTTATGACACAACATCATGAGTCACCCCAACTAATGACTTCCCAGAAGAGCTGTGGTTGGACACTGAGCCTTCCCTTCGAAGCAAGCCTGGGGAAACACACACCAAAGCCTGGTCCTAATTCACAGACACACAGAGCAGGGCCAGCTGTGCTGCAGCATCATTGGAGGACCTTGAGCAAGTCATGGAACCTTTCTGACCTCCATTTCAAATGAAGCTAACACCTTAGGGTAATTCAATGAGGGTTTAAAAAAAATACAAAAGAAAACAAATGAGGCTAATACCTAATGACTTACATCATGGGATGGCTCGGAGAGCTAAATAAAATAATAGATGTGGAAGTGTTATGTTAAATGCTATGCAGGCAGAACAGCTGATCATGGGATGGGAGGAGGCAAAGGTTGAGCAGGAGCCCCTGCTTTGGATGTTCTGCTGAATGTGATGTGCCTCTTCTCCTTAGCCCTGGTTCACAGTTCCCCTTCATTCTCCCTTTCTCTACTGCCTTCTTGCCTTTCTCAACTAAAGTTCCATGGAGGAGATGAAGGGGAACGACATCAAAGAGTTTGAGGGTATAATAATTGGGTCCCAGCAGAAAACAAATGGTGCACTCAGAAAGGGTTTAACTGAACAGAGTTTAATGGAAGAAGAGAGGGTTAAGAGAACCAGCCAGAAACGGTGAAGCACCCAGGGACTCACAACCACAGGAAGCTGTTACCATTGAGTGCAAGGAGAGGGAAGAGTGTTACTGTAGTCAGGTGAGGGCTAGAGCCATGAAAGGGGACTCACCCAATAGGAGCAGGCTGTGGCTATAGGGAAAAACAGCTGCTGAAAGAATTGGGCCAGGCAGGAAGGGAATCAGAAGACAAACACCCTGACCTCTCTCTCTGCTCCTGCCCTCCCATCTCCTTCAGGGCCTGGCATTGGCTGAACCCAGCTAGAAGCCAGAAGACAAGGGAACCAGGGCAATGCAGAACTTAGAGGTTAGCCTCTGGGGCACACAGGAGGGCCAAGAAAGTTGGAACCTAAATGGGATGGGGGAGTTAATAAAGAAAAACCAACATTGGAGAATGAGTTATGGGCAAGACAGGGCATGAAGTACAAGACCAGGGTTTGAGTGGTTGTAGGCTGAAAGTCTTGGATCAGTGCATCAAGTTGCAACTGGAGCTGGGGACATGCTTGGGGGACCAGGGCATGGTTAAGGTTTGGCACACAGAGGGTCTCATTAGTGGTGAGAAATCGGTAATCTCTTCTTTGCCTAAGGTCCTGACCAATATATTCCTTTGGTCCTAGGGGAGCCCTCCCAGCCTCCCAACAGCAGTTGGCCCCTAAGTCAGAATGGGACTAACACTGAGGCCACCCCGGCTACAAACCTCACCTTCTCCTCCTACTATCAGCACACCTCCCCTGTGGCGGCCATGTTCATTGTGGCCTATGCGCTCATCTTCCTGCTCTGCATGGTGGGCAACACCCTGGTCTGTTTCATCGTGCTCAAGAACCGGCACATGCATACTGTCACCAACATGTTCATCCTCAACCTGGCTGTCAGTGACCTGCTGGTGGGCATCTTCTGCATGCCCACCACCCTTGTGGACAACCTCATCACTGGTGAGTGCGGGCAGTTGGCAGCAGGAGTGTCCCCTACCCCCCACTTCAACTTCTCAGATAAGGCTGGAAATCAAAGCTTAGAAGACAGATATCATTGCTGGGCTGGCCTCTTGGCCATGCCGTGGTCTCGAACTCTCAAGACAGTCTTGGGGCTGAAGAGTTAGACTAGAAATAAGAGATTTAATGAATTTCCTGTTTTCTTTGTGCCTGGCATGATGTTACTTCTCATGCATTATCTTAATTCATCCTCACAACAATCCAGTGAAGTAGAGTTTATGGTCCTCCCCATTTTATGGAAGAGGAAACATGCTCGGAGTGGTTAAGAAACTGGTCTGTAGTTACACAGCTAATAGGTGTCAAGGTCAACATTCTCACACCCATACTTCTAATTATTGTATTATACCATTCAGTCCCACTCTCTCACGGAGCTCGCATGGGCAGAATTAGAGCCAGTGGGGAGAAGTGGAAGGGAGGCAGGTTTCCTCTGAATCGGGAACGAAAACTCCACTCATTTGAGCTGGAAATTGAGCAGGGCACAGAAGAGAGTCCTGCCTGTAAGTAATGAGCTCTCTGTCCCTTGGAGTGTCTAAGCAGGGACTGGCCGGCCACTCAGTGGACCACTTGACCTCTAAATTCCTGCCGGTGCATCCTGCAGATGTCAGAACAGTGCCATCTACTCTCTACTCTCTCATGCGACTGGCCTTTCTTGTTTTAGAATCAAGTTTCCACCAACCTGAGACTCCAGGTGAGGGACTGGTTTTCAGAGATATGGAGACCCCTAGAGGTCTGAGCCTGCAGATTCTGAGCTCAGAGCTCCCAGCAGCTCACTGGTCCTCAGGATCCAGAGCCTGGACAGCCCTATTCAGAGTGACTTCACTGACTCGGGGCAGAGGGAGCCACAGCCCACGTTTCTGTAGGTTCTAGGACCCAGGATGTGGAGCCAGTGCAGAGTCAGCTCCCCTCCACAGTACCAGCTCTGTCTGGTGGAACCGTTACCCACTGCTGAGTCCCAGCTTCCTTTGCCAATGCTGAACATAAACTGCATTCCTCTCCTTTCCAACACATAGACACACACACGTGTACTCAGGCACACATGTGCAGAGATGCACACATGCATACACATAAATACATGCATACCAGTCAACAGTGATATAATGAGGTCACTAGCTGGTTAAGGTGGCGTCTCCCCATCTTTTTCATACACTCATATTTAAAATATTGTTTGAATACATAAAACATTCAGATGATTCAATAGTCAAAAACTACCAAAATTCTCCAGTGAAAAATCTCCCTTCCGCCCCTGTCCTCTGGCCTCCCAGCTCTTCTCCCTCCTGGGAGGCAACCAGTGTTGCCAGTTTCTTGTGTCTCTTTCAAACACTATTTTATGCGAGTGCAAGCAAATTGAGGACATGCTAAGGTTCCAAACAGCCAGTCCCGTACTTTTACTTCCCACCACACCCCACTTAAAAATATACCATGTATGCTGTAAAAAAGATTCATTAAAATAAACTTACATGTTGTTATCCCATATTAATAAATAAAAGAGTTTCTCACTATTTTCACCAACTGCTTAGAATTCCATTGTATGGATGTACTACAATTTATTTTGATTTGTATTTATGTTGTTTCTAATAGAATCTTCTGCAATTAAATAAAACTTCACACAGCTTCACTATTTTTTCTTTCTTTTTTTTTTTTTTTTTTTTTTTTGGAGTCTCACTGTCACCCGGGCTGGAATGCAGTGCTGGGATCTCGGCTCACTGCAACCTCCGCCTCCCAGGTTGAAGTGATTCTCCTGCCTCAGCCTCCCGAGTGGCTAGGATTACAGGCTTCTGCCACCACACCCAGCTAATTTTTGTATTTTTAGTAGAGATGGGGTTTCACCATGTTAGCCAGTCTGGTTTTGAACTCTTGATCTCAAGTGACCTGCCTGCCTCGGCCTCCCAAAGTGCTGGGATTACAGGCATGAACCACCACACCGGCCTCTTTTTTTTGAGACAGTCTCACTCTGTCATCCAGGCTGGAGCGCAGTGCACGATCATGGCTTACTGCAGTCTCAACCTGCCTGGGCCCAGGTCCTGGGACTACAGGCATGTGCCACCACCAATGGCTAATTTTTCTATTTTTTGTAGAGATGGAGTTTTGTCATGTTACCCAGGCTTGTCTCAAACTCCTGGGTTCAAGCCATCTGCCCGCCTCAGCCTCCCAAAGTGCTGGGATTACAGGAGTGAGGCACCATGCCCAGCTTTTTCTTCCTTTCTTTCTTTTTGTTTTGTTTTGTGTTGGTTTTGTTTTTTTTTTAACTCACATACAGAAGGTTGAATCATTCATTCAGTTTACAGTTCATGGCACTATGTGATTTCACTCTGTTGCAAAGCTCTTCTTTTGTTTATTTGTTTCCTTCTATATACCTATTCCACTCTACATCTCTTCTCTGACCCATAGGCAGCCATTCTGTTATATTTCTGTCTTTTGTATGCATTCTCAGAAAATGTGCTGTGAATGGCCGGGCGCGGTGGCTCATGCCTGTAATCCCAGCACTTTGGGAGGCCAAGGCGGGTGGATGACAAGGTCAGGAGATCGAGACCATCCTGGCTAAAATGGTGAAACCCCATCTCTACTAAAAAATACAAAAAATTAGCCGGGCGTGGTCGTGGGTGCCTGTAGTCCCAGCTACTCGGGAGGGTGAGGCAGGAGAATGGCGTGAACCCAGGAGGCAGAGCTTGCAATGAGCGAGATCACGCCACTGCACTCCAGCCTGGGTGAAAAAAGAAAATATGCTGTGAATGTGTGCATGTTTTACATTTAAATATTTTTGTTAATATATAATTTAACATACATTAAAATCTGCCTTTTTAAGTGTATAGTTCCACAGGGGCTTTTTTGTTGTTGTTGTTGTTGCTTTTTAAAAAGACACGGTCTTGCTCTGTCACCAAGGCTGGAGTGCGGTGGTGAGATCATAGCTCACTGTGACCTCAAACTCCTGGCCTCAAGAGATCTTCCCACCTCAGCCTCCCCAGTAGCTGGGACTACAGAAATGCGCCACCATGTATGGCTAATTTTATTTTTAATTTTTGTTTTTGTAGAGTCAGAGTCTCACTATATTACCCAGGCTGGTCTTGAATTCCTGGGCTCAAGCGATCCTCCTGCTTCTTCCTCCCAAAGTGCTGGGATTACTACACCTGGCTGAGAATAGTATTTAGAAGCCAAGATCTGGGTTCTAGGTGTGCTCATGGGTATTGGGGTGTCATTTCTTCTAGGTGCTCTCAAGGGACAGAGCTAGGAAATATACGTATACTAACAGAAATATTTAACACACATATCTTTATTTCTATATCTGTCCATCTGTATGTGTATTAACATGAGTTCAGACTGATACCTCTGATTCTAACCCACTGTCACAGATTCATTTTAACTTGACCCTCTTCCTTAATGGTAACTTCATTTTCAGACAGTGAGAAATCTAGCTGTATTTATCTACAACATATTTACTTATTTGTTCAATCTTAGTATACACATAAGGTAGTTTCATTATTGCTAACATACTTCTGTGATTTGGGTTTGCCTGATATTTTCCCATAATTAAATCCAGTTTATTCAGTTTTGTCAAGAATATACAAGTTTAGTAATGACAGTACAGAATTTGTATACAGTTCTTTTTGCTGTTATAGTATACAGTCAAAATACTGTTTTGCAAAGTTACTCCAGTTCGTGTGTTCCTTCTTCACCCCTTCAGTGTAAATATTATTCAATTTAAATACAATATTATTCATTTGTAATATAATTAGACTTATTTGTTAATGTTTGTATTTTACTTTGGGTCCCCCCTCCCCAACCATATCCTGATAGATGTTAATTATTTATCTTGAGTAAGTGATTCATTGCCATGATTCTAAAAAGTCAGAACCATACAAAGATATACTCAGAGAGGCATCACTCTCATTATCTCACCTATCCCATTCATCCATTATTTCTACCCAGTTCTTATCTTCTCTCTGTATGGATAGCTAATCTCATTATTCTGATTTATCTTTTCTGTATTTCTTTGGTACAATGAGAAAATAACCATATATTTTCTTAATCTCTTTTTTCTCACATGAAGGGTAATATAGTACAGATAGTCTTTATACTTTGCTTTTTGCAAACCACATGCCTGTGGTTCCAGCTGCTCAGGAGGCTGAGGCAGGAGAATGGTTTGAGCCAGGAAGTTGAGGCTGCAGTGAGCCATGATCACACCATTGTACTCCAGCCTCAGTGACAGAGCGAGACCCTATCTCAAACAAAACAAAACAAAACAAACAAAACAACTGATGTCTGGGTCCTGTCACTAGAGATTCTGATTGTAACTGGCCTGGCATGGGTCTGAGCATTTGTTCTTTGCAAAGCTCTCCAGATGATTCTCGTGAGCAGCCAGTGTCGAGAACCACTGGCCTAGAACCCAAGACAGGGCTATGGGAGCAGAGAGCCAGGCAGGGCTGGACGGTCTAAAGCTCATGGAAAGAAATCACTGGTCAACATAAAGAAAATCTCACTAATACTGTTGACCCTTGAACAACATGGGTTTGAACTGCATGGGTCCATTTATATGAGGGTTTTTTTCAACTAAATGCAGATTAAAAATACAGCAAAACCCGTGTATATTAGGCCATTCTCATGCTGCTATAAGGACATACTTGAGACTGGGTAATTTATAGAGGAAAGAGGTTTGACTCACAGTTCTGCAGGGATGGGAAGGCCTCAGGAAACTTACAATCATGGTGGAAGGGGAAGCACATCCTTCTTCACAAGTCAGCAGGAGAGAGAAGAATGAGAACGGAGTGAAGGGAGAAGCCCCATATAAAACCATCAGATCTCGTGATGAGAACTTACTCACCATCACAAGAATAGCATGGAGGAAACCACTCCCACGATTCAGTTACCTCCCATGGGTCCTTCCCATGACTCGTGGGGATTATGGGAGCTACAATTCAAGATGAGATTTGGGTGGGGATACAGCCAAACCATATCACCATGTACATACAGAGGGCTGCCTTTTTCTATACACAGGTTCTGCAAGGCTGACTGCAGGACTTGATTATGTGTGGATTTTGGAATACTTGGGGGTCCTAGAACCAATGCACTGTATAAACGAGGGGATGACTGTAGTGAGAACTGTCCATGGTTTTATGGGCTGGTTGGTTCCTCATTTCTGAAAGTCTGCAAGCAGAGACCAGATAACACCTAGCAGGTCATGGAGGAAAGATCCAAGCTCAGAGGGGACCTGGCTTGGAGGGCTTTCAGTCTCTGGCTCTTGATGCGTGGGCATCTCTCACTCTGTGGGGGCCTCTGTCATTGCAGGGTGGCCCTTCGACAATGCCACATGCAAGATGAGCGGCTTGGTGCAGGGCATGTCTGTGTCGGCTTCCGTTTTCACACTGGTGGCCATTGCTGTGGAAAGGTGAGAGGTTTCCTGGCTGGATTATGCCTGAGCCAACTAGGGCCTGGCATTAAGAGGAGCCACTGCCTCTAATGCTGGGTTGGCTGGAAGGCTGGGGCTGCACCATGGTAAGTGGGGCTAAATCCTGAGCCACAAGGAGAAGGGCCCTGGGCCCAGCTGCCCTCTCCCTAAACTTGGGGAACCTGATGAGGACACTACCACCCCCTTCTGGAAGGCCTGAAGGTAGCCTTGGTTGGCTTTTGTTGGGATTCCTGGGGCCTGTGAGGAGCTCAAGAGCAGTCCTTATTTCCTGAGCAGCAGGAATCCTGCCACCTCTAAGTCTGAGCCAGGTGAGCCAGAGCTAAGGGGGCCAGCTTATGGGTGGGTCACGGTATGGCTGGGGAGGAAGGGTTTCTCCCTGCTCCTTATTCTGTCCCCACTGGCTCCTTGCTGGTTCCCGGCAGCCCAGGCTGTACTCAATCCCCACGTTCACCGCTTCTCGTCTCTCAGCCTCATATTCCATCAGATTCCCTGGTAAGTATAAATCTATCATGTGGCCAAAGGTATGGAGCAGAGCCAGGGAGAAGGAGGCTTGCAATCAATAAAGCACTGAACCCAGGAGGCCTCCATATTGCACTACATGAGTGCTCCTCCCCCACAGCATTGTTAGCAGGGGAAGGGCACCCTCTGGGTGCTTCACCCCAGGGAAAGGTGGGCAGGCAGATCAGCTGGAGATTTGCTCACTCCTGCCTTGGTGTATCATGTTGGGTGGGTCACCTAACTACTCTGAGCCCTTGTAGTCTCATCTGTAAAATGGTAGCTACCCTACAGGATGGTTGGGAGGCTTCAGTGAGCTCCTGCTTGTAAAAGCTTATGCACAGTTCTTGGCATAGAGTCCAAATATCAGTTGCTAATAGTATGTTGTTTCTTCTGCACACCCATCCCCTCCTCCTTGTTCTCTCCCCAGCACAGGCATATCTTAACCCTGCCCTTTGTGGAATCTAGTGTTCACATCCTCTCTCCACCTCAAGCCCAGTTTTTTGTAACTCAGTGAAGTAGGCAGCTGGAGTAATGAAGTGGGTTCTACTCTCCACAAGGCCACTAACTAGCTGGGTGATCAGGAGAAGTCCCTTCCCTTCATCGACCTTTGTTTTGTTATCATTGTTGAAGGAAATGAGAGTGTACAACTTCTCCCAGTGGTGTTTGCAGTATTCTTCAAGTCCCACCTCATCCAGGAAGCCTGCCCAGATTACCCCAAGATTCTCCTCCACCCATTTACTGCTATTGCATTCATAGCCAGCACTACAGGCTTTAAGAATTATTTATTCTCTGGAGATTTCTTTTTCTTTCTTTCTTTCTTTTTTTTTTTTGAGGGGGGAGACAGAGTCTTGCTCTGTCACCCAGGCTGGAGTGCCATGGCGATCTTGGCTGACTGCAACCTCTGCCTCCCGGGTTCAAGCCATTCTCGTGCCTCAGTCCCCGGAGTAGCTGGGATTGCAGGTGCGCACCACCATGCATGGCTAATTTTTGTCTTTTTAGTAGAGAAGGGTTTCACCATGTTGGCCAGGCTGGTCTCGAACTCCTGTCCTCAAGTGATCCACCCTCCTCAGCCTCCCAAAGTGCTGACATAAGCCACTATTCTCTGGAGCTTTCTTGAGTATGTGAAGTATGAAGCCAGTAGGTCAAAGTCATATAGGTTGAGATAACAAGGCCTGAGTCAGGCTGTGGGAGAGGTAAAAGGTCAGGCTATCAGGCCAAAAACTGGGTTGGCAGGAGGGCAGGACACAGTGTAGCGAAGTGGAAAGGACACTTGACTGAGAGTCAGCTCTAGACCTATGTTCCAGGGCAGGCTCTGACTCCAAACAGCCATGTGACCATAAGACCCCCACTGGGCAAGCTTTCCCCTCCATTAAACAAGTAAGATTGACTGGACATTCTTCAGGTTTCTATTTTCTGGCATCAGTAGATGACAGAAGCCATTCTGGGGAATAGGAGCCCCTCCTTTTTCCTCACTATTAAGCATTTGAAATGTCTCAAGAAGTGTGGTCAGTGTCATCTCACTTAATCTTCACAACTACCCAACAGAGTAGGTCATACTATGGGCTTCATTTTACAGATGAGGAAACTAAGGCTCAGAAAGTATTTTGAGTAACTTCCCCTCTGGTCATTCATGCATTTATCTAATCACAACCTAGGAATACTGAGATGAAAAGTCAAGGCATCTGCCCTCACAGAGCTTGCAGTTGAGCAATCGTCTTTGAACCATGCTGCAGGGGGAGGTTTTTACCTCCCCCTACAGCAGCTGTTTTCAACTCTGGTTGCACAGTAGACTTCTCCAGGAGCTTTTTTTTTTTTTGGAGACAAGGTCTTGCTCTATTGCCTTGGCTGGAGTGCAGTGGTCTGATCATGGCTCACTGCAGTCTCAGCCTCAACCTCCTGTGAAGGGGTGGCCTGCCTCTCCACACCTGTGGGTATTTCAAGTCGGGTGGGATGAGAGACTGAGAAAGAGAAATAAGACGCAGAGACAAAGTATAGAGAAACAACAGTGGGCCCAGGTGACCGGTGCTCTGCATACCAAGGACCTGCGCCGGCACCGGTCTCTGAGTTCCCTCAGTTTTTATTTATTATTATTTTCATTATTTCAGCAGAAAGGAATGTAGTAGGAGGGCAGGGTGATAATAAGGAGAAGGTCAGTAACAAACCTGTGAGCAATAGAATCTATGTCATAATTAAGTTCAAGGGAAGGTACTGTGACTGGACGTGCACGTAAGCCAGATTTATGTTTCTCTCCACCCAAACATCTCAGTGGAGTAAAGAATAACAAGGCAGCACTGCTGCAAACATGTCTCACCTCCCACCATAGGGTGGTTTTTCTCTCATCTCAGAACTGAACAAATGTACAATAGGGTTTTATACTGAGACATTCAGTTCCCAGGGGCAGGCAGGAGACAGTGGCCTTCCTCTATCTCAACTGCAAGAGGCTTTCCTCTTTTACTAATCCACCTCAGCACAGACCCTTTACAGGTGTTGGGCTGGGGGACGGTCAGGTCTTTCTCATCCCATGAGGCCATATTTCAGACTATCATATGGGGAGAAACTTTGGACAATACCCTGCTTTCAAGGGCAGAGGTCCCCGCGGCTTTCCGCAGTGCATTGTGCCCCTAGTTTATTGACACTAGAGAATGGCGATGACTTTTACCAAGTATACTGTTTGTAAACATTTTGTTAACAAGGCATGTCCTGCACAGCCCTAGATCCCTTAAACCTTGATTTCATACAACACATGTTTTTGTGAGCTCCAGGTTGGGTCAAAATGGCTGGGGCAAAGTGGCTGGGGCAAAGCTACAAATTAACAACATCTCAGCAAAGCAATTGTTTAAAGTACAAGTCTTTTTCAAAATGGAGTCTCTTATGTCTTCCCTTTCTACACAGACACAATAACAGTCTGATTTCTCTTTCTTTTCCCTACACTCCTGGACTCAAGTGATTATCCTGCCTCAGCCTCCTGTGTAGCTGGAAGAATAGGCAAGCATCCCCTCATCTGGTTAATTTTTTTGGTAGAGATGGGGTTTCACCATGTTTCCCAGGCTGGTCTCCAACTCCTGGGTTCAAGTGATCCTCCTGCCTTGGCCTCCCAAAGTGCTGGGATTATAAGCATGAACCATGGCACCTGACCCCAGGAGCTTTAAAAACAAAAACAGCACATAACAAATAATGCTAAAACCACTTTCTAGACTAATTAGGTTGGAATCCTTGGCCTGAAAAAATAGGCACGGGTTTTGTCTTTGTTGTTGAAATGCTTCAGGAGAGTCTCATGCACATGGAGGGTTTACAGCTACTGGTTTATATGGCATATGAAGCAAGACAAATCTGGGTTCAAGACTGGTCCTTGCAACTTGCTATGTGAACTTGAGCCAACTGCTTAACACTCGAGTCCCAGTTTCCTTGTCTGTAAATCAACAGTGTAGTAACTATCTTAAAGGCCTCACCTTTAAAAAATAATAAAGGGTGTAATAACAGATGCTGAGTTGTCCTCATGAGGAAATAAATGGTGCAGACTTGTCCTTGCATTGTAGAGATACTGATACTATGGCCAAGATGACATAGGGACAGCCTGACATGTAGGCTCTACATCTGACCTCCTGAGGTTTTCTGGAGAATCCATAAACAGAAACTGTGTTATTTGACGCACCTAATCGTCCTTGTCGAGGACAGACTGCGCACTCTGATCGCTCTGCTAGCTGCCAGCTAATCAGTTGACCCCCAAAAGTACACAAATGGCCCCGCAAGGAGGCTCATATCTATAATCCCAGAAATTCGGGAGGCCGAGGCCGGAGGATAGCTTGAGCCCAAGACTTTGAGACTAGCCTGGGCAACACAGTGAGACCTCATCTCTCCAAAAATTGAAAGAAATTAGCCGGCGAGGTGGCAGCGCATTCCTGTGGTTCCAGCTACTCAGGAGGCTGAGGTGGGAGGAGAGGATCACTTGAGCCCGGGAGGTGGAGACTGCAGGGAGCCGTAATCGCGCCACTGCACTCCAGACTGGGCGACAGAAGGAGGCCCTGTCTCAGGAAAAAAAAAAAAAAAAGGAGAAAAGTGCAAAAGTGCACACAGGATTCATTGTTCCCACACGATCTGCGGTTTCCTCCTCCCTTCTCATAAATCCTGTAGCTGCCTTTGTTCTTTGACTACTCAGCCAATTCAGGTCTGAGCTGTTCTTCGACGCCGCCCTAGATGCGATGATGAAGGTCAGGTGCCCGCATCCCACCCACCGTCCCCTCGCAGGGGCCCTAGGACCCACCCAGATCCCGCCTGTCTCTCTCCCCGCGGCAGGTTCCGCTGCATCGTGCACCCTTTCCGCGAGAAGCTGACCCTGCGGAAGGCGCTCGTCACCATCGCCGTCATCTGGGCCCTGGCGCTGCTCATCATGTGTCCCTCGGCCGTCACGCTGACCGTCACCCGTGAGGAGCACCACTTCATGGTGGACGCCCGCAACCGCTCCTACCCGCTCTACTCCTGCTGGGAGGCCTGGCCCGAGAAGGGCATGCGCAGGGTCTACACCACTGTGCTCTTCTCGCACATCTACCTGGCGCCGCTGGCGCTCATCGTGGTCATGTACGCCCGCATCGCGCGCAAGCTCTGCCAGGCCCCGGGCCCGGCCCCCGGGGGCGAGGAGGCTGCGGACCCGCGAGCATCGCGGCGCAGAGCGCGCGTGGTGCACATGCTGGTCATGGTGGCGCTGTTCTTCACGCTGTCCTGGCTGCCGCTCTGGGCGCTGCTGCTGCTCATCGACTACGGGCAGCTCAGCGCGCCGCAGCTGCACCTGGTCACCGTCTACGCCTTCCCCTTCGCGCACTGGCTGGCCTTCTTCAACAGCAGCGCCAACCCCATCATCTACGGCTACTTCAACGAGAACTTCCGCCGCGGCTTCCAGGCCGCCTTCCGCGCCCGCCTCTGCCCGCGCCCGTCGGGGAGCCACAAGGAGGCCTACTCCGAGCGGCCCGGCGGGCTTCTGCACAGGCGGGTCTTCGTGGTGGTGCGGCCCAGCGACTCCGGGCTGCCCTCTGAGTCGGGCCCTAGCAGTGGGGCCCCCAGGCCCGGCCGCCTCCCGCTGCGGAATGGGCGGGTGGCTCACCACGGCTTGCCCAGGGAAGGGCCTGGCTGCTCCCACCTGCCCCTCACCATTCCAGCCTGGGATATCTGAGGGGGTCCAGGGAGGGCGGGACGCTGCCTCAGGGCCCCGATTGGACACGAGATACATGCAGGCGATAGCGGCCTGGTGTGGTTAGGTGAGGATGCGTGGTCCCTCCCTCTCCAGAGCCAGGCAGTGGTGGGCAGCTGCTGGTGATGTCTTCTCTGCTGCCTTCACCCTCAGTAGAGGCAAATGCGGGGGACGGGAAGGAACCAACTTGCCCTGTGTGGTGGGCTTGACAAACATCATCTCACTGAATTGTCACAACGCTTTGGAGATAGGTTGTCTTCTCTTCCTTCTACAGATGCAAAAACTGAGGCCTGGAGAGATGTGACTCACCCAAGTTTCTCAGGTGGAAATGGCATGTGAAGCTATCTGACTCCAATACCTGTGTGGTTTTTATCATCTCCAGCTGGCTCCAAGAGGGCCCGGTAAGGTAGAACACTGTGAACTGAGTAAGTCCTAATTAGGCAGCTAGGAAGAAGCGAAAAGCAAAGCCGGCCTGTCCCTTGATGCTTTGTGTCCATGTGAGGGAGTCCCTCATGTTCCGTTACTGAAGCCACTCCCCTTGATCCTTTTCTAGAAGAACACGGTGTGCCCCCGCTGCCGGCTCTAATGTGTTGGTTTGTCTTGTTTGTTCCAAGAAGTTCCAAGAAGCCATTGTCCTCAGAGGACGGCAGCTTCAGAACGAGCCTTGGGGAGGCTGCCTCAGTTGCAGGGCACTCTAGGTCTTGCCCTCTGGGTCTGAGCTTAGAGAACAGAGGAGGGACTCCCAGACCAAGGCAAGAACTTACAATGCCACAGACATTGTAATGCTGCAGGGCCACAGGAGGTGTCCTTTTACGTACTCATAGACAACGAGGAAGGGGAAGCACGGTATGCATTTTCCACATTGGGAAACACATCTGCTCACTGGGGCTGCAGGTACAAAGCCTTGCCCAAGGTCTCTCTCCTCCCTGCTTCCTGGGAGGGAGAAGTTGGTCAACTGAAGCTGCAGCCGGAGTGCCATTTGGAGACTCCTGAAGGACACACACTAAACTCTTCCCCAGCACAAATGACTTGTGTACTCTAAGGAGGTACCAGGAGAGCCCTGTTTACTCTGGCTTTCCCCCAACACCCCTGCATCAACTTGAAGAAATGTGGCTTCTTTCCAGGAGACGGGAGCACATGGGATTGCCTTGGAGGGTCCTTTCACAGGCCCCTTCATCTTGCACTTAAATGGACATTTCCCCCCACCTCTGTAGAAAACACGGTGTTGCTAGAAATTTAGTAAACAAAAAAGAAACGTTTCCAGGGGTCGGGGCTCTGAGGCTCTGTTCCCTTAACCGACACACAGTGACTGTTTACTGTTTGCTCCACTCTAAGTTCCAGGTTTAGGGGCAGAAGAAAATTCCTAAGCAGTTGTACAATACATTCTCCAAGCATGTCCCCAGACACCGTCTCATTTAATCCATAGTAATGAGGTTGAAGGAGATTGAATGTTATTGTCATTTCACAAAGTGACTGAAGCTCAAAGGGGCCAAGTTTCCAGGGCCACAGAGGGGCAGGATTTAGATTAAAATTTGTCTTCTGATTGTTCTTCCCACCCCACATGCTGCCTTTCAAGGAAGGTGGGGATGACGGGAGAGCTGGTAATTTCCCCAAAGGCTTTTTTGCCTAACAGTGAACCAGAATGCCCACTCCTGGTGCCCAAGCTCTTGGTCTGGGAAAGAAATCTATTGTGTTTACTCTCGTAATGTCCAGCCTGAGTTGTTCTTGCCCTGGTGCTGAGCAGGCTGCCAAGAGCCATCATGACCTTGTCCTGGTTCTGGGGGTGATGGATGAGGGTCTGAGAGAGAGTATGCCCTCCTGCCCCTCAGTGGTATTAGCTGGTGCCATGCATTTCTGGTACTGTATCAGTGTCATGTGTCATATGGGCCAGAGAGTTCCCAGCTGGTTCTGGGCTATTTGTTGTGAAGAAGTCTGACTCCAGGCTCTAAAAGTAAGCCAGAGAAAGGGCCGTCTCAAACCCAAAATGCCTATCCCTATGGCTGGGTGGGAATTGTCTGAAGACACCACCTGGTGTCTCCTCTGGGGTGTGTTTCTCCTTTAGCATAGCCTCCCCAAGTACAAGATCAGCATTTGAGGCTGGGGGCGGGTAGGGATACCAAAGTACTCACTCAAGCCAACCTTTCCATCACAGCCCCTTTGTCTTCCCCCAAAAGATGTCATGCTTTGAAAGGTTATAACTGCCCAAAAAACTCCTTCAGCTCTCGCTGAAGGTTACAATTAACATATTTTGCTGTTATTTTTGTTTCTTCTAAAAAATCAATCAGAGGCTATACCTGCCCATTCAGATCTGAGTGATAACAGGCATGACAATGCTTTAATGAAGCAGTGAGACATTGTGGGTATGTGGGGAGTTCGTTTCTTTGTGGATGTGGTAAAATATAAATAATATAGAATTTACCATTTTGGCCATTTTTAAGTGTACAGGACTGGAATTAAATATATTCACATTGTTGTGTAACCATTACCACTATCTATTTTCAGAATTTTTTATTATCCCAAACTGCAACTCTGTATCTATAAACAATATCACCGCATCCCCTCTCCTCCTAGCCCCTGGTAACTACTATTCTACTTTCTGTCTGTGAATTTGGCCACTCTAGGTACTTCTATACAAGAGGAATCATACAATACTATCCTTTTTGACTGGCTTCTTTCACTTAGCACAATGTCTTCAAGGTTCATCCATGTTGTGGCATGTGTCAGAATTTCTTTCATTTTAAAAGCTGAATAATATCCCATTGTCTAGATAGTCCTCATTTTGTTCATTCATCCATCAGTGGACACTTAGGTTGTTTCTATCTTTTGGCTACTGTGAATAATGTATGGAGTTTTTAGATGCTAGAAGTAGTTCCTGACAATAGTGCCTGTGTGAATCCTGAGGACAGAGACCCCAGGTTGGGAACCAGGGTCTCTCCCAACTTACCCTTTATGGCTGACAAAACAGAGGCTTCCAGGACAGCTGTGATGTGTCTCACTTCCCTGTGCCCACCCCAGCTGCTCTGGGCTTCTGCTGGGCTTTACTTCCTGACTAGAGTGGCTAGAAAATTGTATGTTTCCTCTACAAGATGTTTTTATGAAGCTATTTTATAATTATAGATTTATTATCCTCACTGGATTCCTATGTTCTGACACCTGGACCCTGACGGGGCCTTGTGCAGCCTAGGCGCCCACGGGCAAGTGGTGTGGACCATTCCTGACACGCCATCCTCCACCTCCAGGTTGGCTGGGTTTCCTAAGGTGACTGCCCTTTCATAAGCGGCAAGTTCGGAGATGAACGGCATGCGTGATGGGGGAAAAGGGCCAGAGGCCTGTTGACACTGAGCATCCCCACCCAGAGGGCCTCCTGGAGGGACTCTGTGTCCTGTCCTGCCATGTGCGGCATGAGTGGTCACCCTCATTGTGGCTCTCCACTGATGAATGGCCTCTTGACTTTACCAAGACCAGGCAGCACCCAACAGACCAATGTGAGCTGGAGGCGGATGCCGGGCCTGCACCCCACAAACCACAGTCTGCCCAGCCCTGTGCTGAGGAGTCTCTCTTGGGGCCTGGAGGACTCATGAGCTGATCTGCATTGGAATGGAGGGCGAAGTTGGCAAAGGAAGATGAGAGCCCCCCTATCATTAGTCTACTGTGTATTCATCCAAAAAGCAAGGCGAGAGCCAAGCCCAGAGCTGGATGGACAAAGGATTGCTATTAAGCTCTGTACCTTTTTGCACCCGTTTCCTCAGCTCACCCCTCAGAAGTGTCACTGATGAAAGATAGATGAGAAGGAGGCGGTCTAAATGGGCTTCATTACAATGAACAATGTTGAATGAACAATACATTCCTTGTTGAATAACCCAATTATTTATGATCATGGCATTTTATTGTTGTTTTTCTCTCTCTCTACAAAAGCTCTACATAATCATTGTGGAAATTTTACAAGATTTCAATAAGCAAAGACAAGAAAATGAAAAGCACCCAAAATCCTACCGCAAGAGACAAGTATAGCGTCCTTTTCTGTGCATATATCTCTCAATATATTTAACATTCTTGGAACAGCTTTATTGAGGCAGAACTTGAATATGAAAAAATTCACCCGTCTTAAGTGTACTGCTTGACGAGTTTTAACAGTTGTATATAGTTATGTCCCTACCACACTGAAGATATTTTCATCATCCTAAAATGTTTCCTTGTGCTAATTTATAGTCAGTCCTTTCCCACGCTCCTGATTCCAGAAAACGATGATCTGATTTCAGAATGTCATGTAGATGGAATCAGACAGTTTGCAGCCGAGTCTGGTTTCTTTCACTTAAAATGATGTTTGCAAGATTCATTCATGCTGTAGCATGTATCAGTAGTTTTTCCTTTTGATTGCTGAGTACTATTCCACTGTATGAATAGATCACATTTTGTTTATCCATTCATCAGTTGATAGACATTTGGTTGTCACCAGTTTTTGGCTATTATTAATAATGTTGCCATTAACATTCATGTACAAGTCCTTATATGTATGTGTATGTATGTTTTCCATTTTTCTTGGGTAGATACCTAGGATCGAGATTGGTAGGTTGCATGGTCTGTGTAAAATTTAACTGTATAAGAAACTGCCAAAGTGCTTTCCAAAGTCGCTCTACCATTTTGTACTCCCATCAGCAGTGTATGAATGTTCCAGTTGTTCTACATCCTGGCCAACACTTAGCAGTATTAGCCTTTTGAAAATTTCCAGGCCAGGTGTGGTGGCTCACGTCTGTAATCCCAGCACTTTGGGAGGCTGAGGTGCGTAGATCACCTGAGGTCAGGAGTTCAAGACCAGCCTGGCCAATATGGGGAAACCCCATCTCTACTAAAAACACAAAAATTAGCCAGGCATGGTGGCACACACCTGTAGTCCCAGCTACTTGGGAGGCTGAGACACGAGAATCACTTGAACCTAGGAGGCAGAGGATGCAGTGAGCCAAAATTGCGCCACTGCACTCCAACCTGGGTGACAGAGCAAGACTGTCTCAAAAAAAAAAAAAAAAAGAAAGAAAGAAAGAAGAAAAGAAAATTTCCCTGATGACTAGTGATGCTGGGCATCTTTTTGTGTGCTTACTGCATTCTTATATCTTTTATTGTAAAGTATCTTCAAATCTTTCTTTTAAAAACATGATTTTGGCTGGGTGCGGTGGCTCACACCTGTAATCCCAGCACTTTGGGAGGCCAAGGTGGGCAGATCACCTGAGGTCAGGAGTTCGAGACCAGCCTGGTCAACGTGATGAAACCCCATCTCTACCAAAAACACAAAAATTAGCCAGGTGTGGTGATGTGCGCCTGTAATCCCAGCTACTTGGGAGACTGAGGCAGGAGAATCACTTGAACCTGGGAGGCAGAGGTTTCAGTGAGCCAAGATGGCGCCACTGCACTCCAGCCTAGGTGACAGAGTGAGATTCCATCTCAAATAATAATAATAATAATAATATTTTATTGTAGAGACTTTAGCACAAAAACTTGCCCTAACTCTAAGGGATTTTTTTGTGAATATAATTTTTTTTTTTTTGAGACAGAGTCTTGCTTTTGTTGCCCAGGCTGGAGTGCAATGACGTGATTTTGGCTCACTGCAACCTTTGCCTCCTAGGTTCAAGCGATTCTCCTGCCTCAGCCTCCTGAGTAGCTGGGATTACAGGCATCTGCCACCACACCCAGCTAATTTTTGTATTTTTAATAGAGATGGGATTTTACCATGTTGGCCAGGCTGGTCTTGAACTCCTGACCTCAGATGATCTGCCCGCCTCGGCCTCCCAAAGTGCTGGGATTACAGGCGCGAGCCACCATGCTCCACCAATGATTTTTAAATCCATTAAGAATGGGTCTAAAGCAAGGTAAGAGGATATAGTGTGATAGAAGTAGGAGGGCTATTTGAACAGATGGTTAGGAATGGCCTCTGTGAAGAGGTGATGTTTGAGTACAGATATGAAGTGAGAGAGGGAGCCATGTGACTAGCTGGGGAAGAAACAAACCCAGACAGAGAGAGCATCATGTACACAGGTTCTAAGGGAGGAGTGGGATAACTGAAAAAGGAATTAGTAGATATCAAAATGCTATTGAATTTCAATAATTAAATTTCTGGTTAACTCAAAACATGTATTCAGTGTCTATTAAAAGCCAGGCATAGGCCAGGCATGGGGGCTCATGCCTGTAATCCCAGCACTTTGGGAGGCCGAGGTGGGTCGATCACTTGAGGTCAGGAGTTCGAGACCAGCCTGGCTAACATGGTGAAACCCCATCTCTATTAAAAATACAAAAATTAGCCAAGCATGATGGCAGGCACCTGTAATCCCAGCTACTTGGGAGGCTGAGGGAGGGGAATTGCTTGAACCTGGGAGGCGGAGTTTGCAGTAAGCCAAGATAGCGCCACTGTACTCTATCCTGGGCAACAGAGTGAGACTCCATCTCAAAAAAAAAAAAAAAAAACAAAAAACAAAAAAAAAACGCCAGGCATAGTACTACGTACTTTGTGTCTGTTATTTATTTCTCACAGTGGACCATAAGCTCCATGAGGACAGGAACTATGTCTATTTCACTTACCTTTGTGGATTCAGGTAGGATATTGCCTGGTGCATAGGAGGCACTCAATAAATGTCTGTTGAATGAATGAAGTAATTAACTAAGCAGGTATTTATTATTATTCCCATACAATAGATTGGAAAAGCAAGGCTCAGAGAAGTAAAGTAACTTACTGGAGGTTATATAACCAGGAGGTCCTGAAGGTGAGACTCAAACCTTAGTCTATCTGACCACAAAGTCCAGGTTTTTGCCATTCCCCAAGCTGCTGTGGTCTCTCCTTCCTACATCTGGGAAACTGAGGTTCAGAGTAAAAGAAAGAGCCTTGATGGAGGTCTCCCATAATCCTAAAAATAAAACCAGCCAGCCACAGGCTCCAGGCTGCTGTTTTGGCCATGAGACACATTTGCATCACTTTCAATGGCTTCCAAAGATTTGGGATAGAAGGAATACCAGCAGTTTAGGTAAAAGGTTTAAATTTAGTTTGACTCAATACCACATCAAGCCCTCAAAGCAGCCACGGGCTCCCCTGCACTGTGGTCACTGAAGGAGCAAAAGCTGCTGAACTGGCTGTAGCGTCCTGCCTTGAGTTGTTTGTGTTCTCCTGCTAGCTGCAATGCCCAGGTCTTTGAATCCTGTCACCAATAAATGATGCTGTTGTCATGTGCAAGCAACCAAATTAATGTGGGTGGAAAAACCCAAGCTTAGTGATTTGGGCAAATTAGTTTATCTGTCACATAGCCAGTGGTGGTGTTAAATCACTCTCTGTTTGAGGAGTAATCACTCTCCCCCCATCACCACCCTGTCTTCCTTTCGGTGTGGAAGTTAGAACAGCCAAGTCAATCCGTTTCAGTGACTGAGCGATCTACATTTCTGTGTTTTGACTGCCCCCCAGGAGGAGTATGTTGTGTAGTGCATTTTGTTTGTCCATAGTGCTGTCTCGTGGTCCTCCGAAGCCACCTCTAATGATCATAATTGCCTCTTTTATTCTTCTCTAGTCCGTGTCTTTGCAAAATGATTCTGTTACCTATGCTATAAATTATGGAAAATAAACTCATTATGAAAGAGTTGTTTACTTTTTACGCTCCATTGCATTAGTAGTTGTTCCCTTTTGCTTCCTCACTGTGAATGAAGTTTTCAGGCAAAATAGCGATCCTTTCCAAAAAGGTAGAGAGTAGGCTATGTGACCACTAACATAACTGCAGTATTTCCATTTTGCGGATGGGTAATTAAGTTGCATGGAGGCGAAGGCATATTACTGAGGGCCCCATAGCTCCTAAGTGTTGACAGCAAAACAACATTTTAGGCTTTGTGGATGGCAGACCAGTGTTCTTAACACAACACCAAATTACCTGTTTTGTTAACTCCACATTTATAAATATTTGTGACAGTTTAGGTGAAACTTAATTCTAGCATGTTAACATGAACTCAACATACTTAGTGTCTGTTGAGTCTGGGAACATTGGACCTCTCCACAGTCCAGTGAGCAGAGACAGAAAACAGAAAAACCTACAATCAGGTACCATGGTCGGTCAAAAAAGTTAGGGAACAGCCAGAGGGGTGTCAGAAAAGGGTTCCCATAAGAAGCCTGAAATAAGTCTTAGAGACTGAGTTTGGGACCACCACTTAGAGATGAGGGTTTGAAGCAGGAAAGGGATGCACGGAGACCTTCATCTTCTAGAGCTAATGTTGGCAGCATGTAGAGTACACTAAAGGGAAAGGGAGCTGGAGGCCAGTAAGGCCGGAGGTATTTACAGGCATTCAGGTGAGAAATCTGGGATTGGCTAAGGCAATAGGGATAGAGAAGAAACAACAAATTCAAGAGATGTTTGACAGATCAGTTCAATGTTGCCTGGCCTGGGAGGATGTGGCAGGATGGGTCATCACCTATGATGCTTTTAGTTGCCAGTAACAGAAACTTGACTCAAACTGGCTTAAACTAAAAAGAATATAATGGCTCACATAACAGCTAAGTGCAGAGGACTGGTTGGTCCAGGGGCTCAACAATGTCTTCAGGGACCCAGGTCATCTCCATTCCTCTGCTCTTCCATCTACCCCACGTGACCTTCATCCTCAGTCTGGCTTCCCTCAGGGTGTAGAATGTGGCCACTAGCAATCAAAGCTCCTTGCTTCCTTGTTTACATCGACTCAGAGAAGCGGGGAGGGGACAGGAATCTCTATCATCATGAGTTTCTCTAAGAGCAAGCAGTGGCAAACTCTCAATGGCTCAAATTATTAGGTGAGGTACCTATTCCTGAACCCATCCCTAAGGCCAGGGGAATGCCACATTCTGAATCCCATGTTCTGGGATGGGGTTCCTGAACAGTTAATGAAGATGAGATTATAATGATTTGGACAAATCAATGCCCACCCTGGACCTAGAGTCAATCCCCAGTTTAATTAGTCTGGGGAAAGGGTGAAAGGCTGTTGAGAAGTTGTATCCATTAGAATGTTTTTCAGCTGCAAGAAACAGAATACCCTGAATCAAACTGGTTTAAACAGGACAGCACAACAAAGTCAATTTATTATCTCACATTACAAGACCTGAGGAAGGGAAGCTCCAGGGTTGTTAATTCAGCAGTTTAATGACACCATCAAGAGTTAAAGTTTTCCCACTATGCATCTTCATTGTAGATTTATCAATATTACCTAAGTCTACCTCTCTTCCAGCTTGTAAGGCAGTGGTTGGCAAATTTCTATGACAATGTCCAACAGAAGAAGAGTGGGCCTCCTCCTATGTATCTCTCATAGATGCAAGAGATCCTTTCCCAGAAGCCTCTTTCACAGCTCCCCTTACATTGCTACGGCCAGAACTGTGTCACATACCCGTGACCAAACCAGTCACGGGCATGAGGAATGAAACAACTGTGATGAACTTAGACTGATCAGGATCCGTGTCCAGGGCTGGGGATGGCACTGAGTTAGGGGTGGTAGGTGGAGGCATGTCTCTGAGCAGAGTACTGTTAGAAAGGAGGAAGAGAGAGTGAACAGGTGTTAGGTGGGTACCACCAGTGGCTGCTGCAGAGGTCAACCAGGAAGAGCCCAGAGGAACTTCCAGGTTGGCTGACTGGGCAGATACTGCCTCATTAACTGAGATAGAAGACTCAAGGGAGAAATGGTGAATTCACTTTTGAACTGGGGGAAGGGGTTGTTTGTTACCACAATATTCTCTAGAAAAACTAATAGAGCAATTGGTACCAAGAGCAGAATGCTGTCCTAAAATGTGTATTGTTGGCTTTGGGGCCCAGTGGTAGGCAGCAAAGAAAATGTAGCCTTTGACCACCTGGAAGACAAACAATATACTAAATAGCTTATGATTTTAGAGAGGTGGGAAACAGATTATTATTAGTGTGACTTGGTTGCTTTCAGCTGCGTTTGACAGGATTCCACAATAAACAGATGAACTCAGAAAAGAACTTGGTGATTTGTAAGCAGGGATGAAAGGAAAAAGAGAGAATCCAGAAGTTCCAGGGTTGATAGATGCAACTGTTGTTCATCTCCAACCAATAAAGGCAGATATTGAGAAATGCTTTGATTTACGAAGCTGATTAAGTCTCAACTTAAAACTTAGCCTTGGGACAGACCAAGGGGCTGAGCAACACCTCCTAGTGAGTCCTTTGTTGGATAAAATGGCTCAGGGAAAACAGACCAAAGGCATGGTTCTCCCATGGAAGCCTGTTCAAGTTACCTTAGTAATCATGCCCAGAAAGCAAAGAATTATAGGTGTGGTGATTGACACACAATTTTGACTAGAATCAGACAGGTAAAGCACTATCCAAGCTTTCAAGAGCATTGTGAAGCCAAAGACACACCAGCCTGGCTTAAAAGGGACTATGACTGTTGGGGAAAAACCTTTGGGCTCTGAAGTTTCTGTGGGCAGGAAGGAGGCTGAGAAAGCGACTCAATCCTCATGGAGTGGATATTTTCTATAATAGATATGGCCAAGAAGGATAATGCAGAGGGTAAAGCCAAGAGCCCCGAAGAATGATAACGGGGGCTACTTCCAGGTAGCTGAACTGGGACCAAATGAAAGAACATTTCCTAGACACAGAAAGATGTGGAATTCTAAGAACCACTGATGTTCTTTCTGTTTATGAATGGGAGTGTTAATCTCAGTGCTTATTCTGTCTTTGGCCATTGCATGTCAGATATAGATGTGGGGTAGGGAAACCTTTTCTCTATAAAAGATTAGCTGGGTGTAGTGGCATGCACCTGTGGTCCCAGCTACTTGGGAGGCTGAGGTGGGAGGATCACTTGAGCCTGGGAAGTTGAGGCTGCAATAAGCTGAGATTGTGCCATTGAACTCCAGTCTAGGTGACAGAGTGAGATCCTGTCTTAAAAACAACAACAATAAAAAGATACAGATGTGGGGTGATAGGTAACATTTGCTTGTTTTTGAGTTCATACATCTCTGGATGAAGAGGAGCAGTATCTGGACATAATGTGGAAATTATCATGAGATACTAAACTTGATACCATGATTGTTTGAGACTTTCGGGCGTTACTCTTTAGGGAGAGTGAGTATGTTTTTCCTGTGAAAAGGGAGAGATGAACATTTATGACTAAGAAGGTGGGCTGTAATAGAGGGTATTATTGTTCCCAGTTAATTGCTTCTCTCCCTGTAAGAGGATTATACAGTCTTAAACATGGTTACGCATTTGTAGTTCCCCCTAGAGGAGAAGTATTCATATGTCCATGCCCAAAGTCATAGGACTTTGTGCATAGAATGAGTGAAAGTGACATATACCATTTCTGAGCAAAAGCTTGTGAGCCATTGTACAGTTTGCCATTTCTTTTTTCCCTCTGCAGCAAGACCAAGATGGTGGATACTTCTTCAGCCTGAGCTGAACACGAAGGCAGATGGGGCAGAACCATAGCTGACCCATTGTCACCACCATGTAACCTGAACAAGAAATATGTGTTCATTCGCATAAGCAAATGAGATTTCTTATATTGTTTGTTACAGCAGCATAAACAGGTAAAAGTTGACTAACACAGCTGGCTTCCACTGGGGCCCAGCCAATGGAGACACAGGCAGGAGATTGGAGTGGTTGAGGAAGGGAAGGGGTGTGTCTCCCTTCCTTTTCTGCCCTAGGCAGCATCTCCAGCAGCAACTCTGTACAGATGAACAGGCCCACTGTGCTGCCAGCTCCACCCAGAGACCCTGCGCTCCTCCCTTTGGGTGACTGTGCCTCTTCCTCCCATCTCTCCAGCCTAAAGATGATAGTGGCTTCCTGCCATTGCCAATCTCTATTTGGTTTCTCAACTCTTCTATTACCTGTTGACCAATTCCCTGCCTTAAAGTTCCTGTCTTAAACACTTTGAGTAGCTTTTGTTTCTCTGGTTGACTTTAGTTGATACACCATCCTATGTACAAAGTTTGGAGTAACTTAATCTCAGATGTCTCAAACTTTGTTTGGAAAAAAGATATATTTGCTTTTATAATTGTTTTTTTAACCATCTTAACCATTTTTAAATGTACAGTTCAGTGGCATGAACACTCATATTTACAACCATCACCACCATCCATCTCCAGAACTTACTTATTTTCTTTCTTTCTTTCTTTCTTTTCTTTCTCTCTCTCTCTCTCTCTCTCTCTTTTTTGAGACAGTCTCGCTCTGTTGCCTAGACTGGAGTGCAGTGGCACGATCTCGGCTCACTGCAACCTCCGCCTCCCAGGTTAAAGTGATTCTCCTGCCTCAGCCTCCCGAGTAGCTGGGACTACAGGTGCATACCACCAGGCCCAGCTAATTTTTTGTATTTTTATTAGGGATGGGGTTTTGCCATGTTGGCCAGGCTGGTCTTGAACTCCTGACCTCAAGTGATCCACCCACCTCGGCCTCCCAAAGTACTGGGATTACAGGCGTGAGCCATGGCACCCAGCCTCCAGAATTTTTTCATCTCCGCAAACTGAAACTCCACATCTATTAAACAATAACTACTTTTTCCTCCTTCCTTCCAGGCCCTGACAACCACCACTCTTCTTTCTGTCTCTATGAATTCCACTATTCTAGGTACCTCATGTAAGTGGAGGTACACACTATTGGCCGTTTTCTTGTTTGGCTTATTTCACTGAACATAATAACAGATTTCAATATAAATTTGAAAGTTTTCATGTTATAGGACCTCTAGGTGATAGTTGACACTAAAGATATCCATGAGATAACCTAGACAGACAGTATCTCTCTCTCTCGAGAGAGAACATGAGAAATAAGAAAGACGATGATTAAGACGATGAAATGAAGAAGGCTGAGAGGGAGAATGAGAAATGAGTAGCAAAGAAGTAGGAAGAACATGAGAAGAGAATGTAGTCTTGGCTGGGCACCGTGGCTCACACCTGTAATCCTAGCACTTTGGGAGGCTGAGGTGGGTGGATCATTTGAGGCCAGGAGTTCAAGACCAGCCTGGCCAACATGGCGAAAGTTCATGTCTTCAAGTTACATCCATGTTGTAGCATGTGTCAGAATTTCACTCCTTTTTCAAGCTACCAGTCTGTCTTACCCAAGATATTTTTGGTTTTGAGTCATAGAAACTTTCCATTTAAACTGGTTTAATGGAAGGAATTTATTATCTAATGAGACAAGAAGTTCAGAGGCAAAGTAGTTCCGGGGTTAGTTAAATCAGTAGCTCAAAAATATCTTTTTTTTTTTTTTTTTTTTGAGATGGAGTCTTGCTCTGCCGCCCAGGCTGGAGTGCAGTGGCACGATCTCGGCTCACTGCAAGCTCTGCCTCCTGGGTTCATGCCATTCTCCTGCCTCAGCCTCCCGAGTAGCTGGGACTACAGGCGCCTGCCACCATGCCTGGCTAATTTTTTTTTCTTTTTTGGATTTTTAGTAGAGACGGGGTTTCACCGTGTTAGCCAGGATGGTCTTGATCTCCTGACCTCATGATCCACCCGCCTCAGCTTCCCAGAGTGCTGGGATTACAGGCGTGAACCACTGCGCCTGGCCAATAATATCTTAAGAACACAAGTTATTTCCATCTTTCTGTTTTGCTGATTTCTGCATGGCAGCTTGGTTCCCAGGCAAACTCTCCTCATGGTGGAGATCTCATAAGAAAACTGCAGCACTGTTAGCCATTTGTATTAATCAGCTCTTGCTAGATTATGCTGCTGTAACGAACAGCCCCCAAATCTCTGTGACTTCAAACAAGCATCCAGAACTATACTCTTCCTAAGATAAAGGAAAAATGTTCCAGAAACCCTCTAGCAGCCTTCCCTGCTAGAGGGACAGTACTGTATCACATTTACATGACTGAAAAAAATCACTGGCAATCATGATTGTCTTTGCTCATTTAAAACTCATCCCTTGGCTGGGCGCAGTGGCTCATGCCTGTAATCCCGGCACTTTGGGAGGCTGAGGTGGGCAGGTCATGAGGTCAAGAGATTGAGACCATCCTGGCCAACATGGTGAAACCCTGTCTCTACTAAAAATACAAAAATTAGCGGGCGTGGTGGCGTGCGCCTGTAATCCCAGCTACTAGGGAGGCTGAGGCAGGAGAATCGCTTGAACCCAGGAGGGCAGAGGTTGCAGTGAGCTGAGATCACGCCACTGCACTCCAACCTGGTGACAGAGGGAGACTCCGTCTCAAACAAACAACTCTCTCCCTCTCCCTCTCCCCCCTTCCCCTCCCCCTCCCCCTCCCTCCTCTCTTCTCTCTTCTCTCTTTCTTTCCACGGTCTCCCTCTGTTGCTGAGGCTGGACTGTACTGCCGTGATCTCGGCTCATTGCAACCTCCCTGCCTCGGGCTCCCGTGATTCTCCTGCCTCGGCCTGCCGAGTGCCTGGGATTGCAGGCACACACCGCCAGGCCTAACTGGTTTTTGTATTTTTGGTGGAGACGGGGTTTCACCGTGTTGGCCGGGCTGGTCTCCAGCTCCTGACCTCCAGCTCCTGTTCTGCCTGCCTCGGCCTTCTGAGGTGCTGGGATTGCAGACGGAGTCTCGCTCACTCAATGCTCAATGTTGCCCAGGCTGGAGTGCAGTGGCGTGATCTCGGCTCGCTACAACCTCCACCTCCCAGCCGCCTGCCTTGGCCTCCCAAAGTGCTAAGATTACAGCCTCTGCCCGGCCGCCACCCCGTCTAGGAAGTGTCTCTGCCCGGCCGCCCTGTCTGGGATGTGAGGAGCGCCTCTGCCCAGCCACCACCCCATCTGGGAAATGGGGAGCGCCTCTGCCCAGCCGCCCATCGTCTGGAATGTGAGGAGCACCTCTGCCTGGGTGCCCCATCTGGGAAGTGAGGAGCGCCTCTGCTCGGCAGCTGCCCCATCTGGGAAGTGAGGAGCGCCTCTGCCCAGCAGCCGCCCCGTCTGGGAAGTGAGGAGCGTCTCTGCACAGCCACCCCGTCTGGGAAGTGGGGAGCGTCTCTGCCCGGCAGCCACCCTGTCTGGGAAGTGGGGAGCGCCTCTGCCGGGCCGCCCCGTCTGGGAAGTGAGGAGCGCCTCTGCCCGGCCGCCCCGTCTGGGATGTGAGGAGTGCCTCTGCCCGGCCACCACCCCATCTGGGAAATGGGGAGCGCCTCTGCCCGGCCGCCCATCGTCTGGAATGTGAGGAGCACCTCTGCCTGGCCTCCCTGTCTGGGAAGTGAGGAGTGCCTCTGCCTGGCGGCCGCCCCGTCTGGGAGGTGAGGAGCATCTCTGCCCGGCTGCCCCGTCTGGGAAGTGGGGAGCGTCTCTGCCCGGCTGCCCCGTCTGGGATGTGAGGAGTGCCTCTGCCCGGCCGCCACCCCATCTGGGAAATGGGGAACGCCTCTGCCCGGCCGCCCCAATCTGTGATGTGAAGAGCGCCTCTGCCCGGCCGCCCCATCTGGGAGGTGAGGAGCACCTCTGCCTGGCCGCCCCGTCTGAGAAGTGAGGCGCGCCTCTGCCCAGCAGCCACCCCGTCTGGGAAGTGGGGAGCGCCTCTGTCCGGCCGCCCCGTCTGAGAAGTGAGGAGCGCCTCTGCCCGGCAGCTGCCCCGTCTGGGAAGTGGGGAGTGCCTCTGCCCGGCCGCCCCGTCTGGGAAGTGAGGAGTGCCTCTGCCCGGCCGCCCATCATCTGGGATGTGAGGAGCGCCTCTGCCCAGCCGCCACCCCATCTGGGAAATGGGGAGCGCCTCTGCCCGGCCACCCCGTCTGGGAGGTGAGGAGCGCCTCTGATTGGCCGCCCCATCTGGGAAGTGAGGAGTGTCTCTGCCCAGCTGCCCCATCTGGGAAGTGGGGAGCGTCTCTGCCCGGCTGCCCCGTCTGGGATGTGAGGAGCGCCTCTGCCCAGCTGCCACCCCATCTGGGAAATGGGGAGTGCCTCTGCCCGGCTGCCCCATCTGGGAGGTGAGGGGCGCCTCTGCCTGGCCGCCCCGTCTGGGAACTGAGGAGCGCCTCTGCCCGGCTGCCCATCGTCTGGAATGTGAGGAGCACCTCTGCCTGGCCGCCCTGTCTGGGAAGTGAGGAGTGCCTCTGCCCGGCAGCCGCCCCATCTGGGAAGTGAGGAGTGTCTCTGCCCGGCTGCCCCGTCTGGGAAGTGGGGAGCGTCTCTGCCCGGCCGCCCCGTCTGGGATGTGAGGAGTGCCTCTGCCCGGCCGCCACCCCATCTGGGAAATGGGGAACGCCTCTGCCCGGCCGCCCCGTCTGGGAGGTGAGGAGCGCCTCTGCCCGGCCGCCCTTCATCTGGGAGGTGAGGAGCGCCTCTGCCCGGCTGCCCCGTCTGGGAGGTGAGGAGCACCTCTGCCCGGCCGCCCCGTCTGGGAGGTGAGGAGCGCCTCTGCATGGCCGCTGTGCAATCTTCCAAGTGTGAAGTGACAGCCTTTCTGCAGGTGTACCCAACAGCTCCGAAGAGACAGCGACCATCGAGAACAGGCCATGATGATGATGGCGGTTTTGTCGAAAAGCAAAGGGGGAAATGTGGGGAAAAGAAAGAGAGATCAGATTGTTACTGTGTCTGTGTAGAAAGAAGTAGACATAGGAGACTCCATTTTGTTCTGTACTAAGAAAAATTCTTCTGCCTTGGGATGCTGTTAATCTATAACCTTACCCCCAACCCTGTGCTCTCTGAAACGTGTGCTGTGTCAACTCAGGGTTAAATGGATTAAGGGTGGTGCTAGATGTGCTTTGTTAAACAGATATTTGAAGGCAGCATGCTCGTTAAGAGTCATCACCACTCCCTAATCTCAAGTACCCAGGGACACAAACACTGCGGAAGGCCGCAGGGACCTCTGCCTAGGAAAACTAGAGACCTTTGTTCATGTGTTTATCGGCTGTCCTTCTCTCCACTATTATCCTATGACCCTGCCACATCCCCCTCTCTGAGAAACACCCAAGAATGATCAATAAATACTAAAACAAACAAACAAAAAAAACTTCATTTCATGAAGATGAAGGAAGGGCTGGCTGCCCTGAGGCAAAGGTGTGCGCAGGAGAGTGGCTTCTTTTTATTTTATTTAATTTATTTTTTGAGACAGAGGTTTTGCTCTTGTTGCTCAGGCTGAAGTGCAATGGCGTGATCTTGGCTCACTGCAACCTCTGCCTCCTGGGTTTAAGCGATTCTCCTGTCTCACCCTCCTGAGTAGCTGGGATTACAGACACGTGCCAACACGCCCAGCTGATTTTTGTATTTTTAGTAGAGACGGGGTTTCACCATGTTGGCCAGGTTAGTCTTGAACTCCTGACCTCAGGTGATCCGTCCTCCTCAGCCTCCTAAAGTGCTGGGATTACAGGCATGAACCACCACATCCAGTCTCTTGAACAAAATCAGGATTCTGTTAGAAAAGAGAAGGTAATATGGCCATTGGGCAGGGAGCTAGGAGTGTTTGGTATTAATACCCTCCATCTCACCCACTCTCTCTCAGTAAATGACATACCATTCAACTCAACCAGTTCTTGTAGCCAGAAACCTGGGACTCATCCTCAGATCTCCACCTCTCTCCTCTTCCACACTATTCAATCAATAATTCCATTGATTCTACCTTGAACACAGCTCTGTAATCAGCCTTCTCTTTTGCCGCCCAAGTTCAGGAAACCACCATCACCTTTCATCTGGGGCCCTGCAGTGGACTGCATTGGTCTCCCTGCCTCTAGTCTTACTAAACCTCAATCCAAGTTCTAAGCTGCTGATAGTACCTTTTCTTAATGCAATTCTGATCATGTTATTTTCCCATTAAAAACCCTTCTTAAGTTTCCCATTGCTCTTAGGAGAAAGTTCAATCCTCATATCGTGCCTTCCAAGGCTTTCTAGCTTTTGGCCCTGACTATTTCTCTAGTCTCACCGCTTTCTTTTTTTTTTTTTTTTTTTTTTGAGACGGAGTCTTGCTTTGTTGCCAGGCTGGAGTGCAGTGGTGTGATCTCAGCTCACTGCAACCTCTGCCTTCTGGGTTCAAGAGATTCTCCTGCCTCAGCCTCCTGAGTAGCTGGGATTACAGGTGCGTGCCACCACATCCAGCTTATTTTTGTATATTTTTAAATAGAGACGGGTTTCACCATGTTGGTCAGGCTGGTCTCGAACTCCTGAGCTCGTGATCCGCCGGCCTTGGCCTCCCAAAGTGTTGGGATTACAGGCATGAGCCACCGCGCCCGGCCTAGTCTCACCTAACCGTTTTCTGGCTTTTGCCTTGTCCCCTTTGCCTTATTAATTCCATGTCATCATTCAGATTGCAGGTTACAGGTCACTTCCTTGAAGAGGTTTTCTGCTCCCATAATGTAATGCCCTGTACTTCCTATATCATTCTACTCACCCAAATTTATTATAATTATTTGTTGAAGTCTGTCTTTCTTCTAGACTATAAGTTCTGACTATAAGGCCTAGTAGGGCTACATCCCTACCCACCTATCACAGAGCATGACCACAGTAAGTGTTAAATAAGAGTTAGTTATAGATTTGAAAGTTTTCATGTTATAGGACCTCTAGGTGGTAGCTGACGCCAGAGATATACATGAGATAATCTAGACAAAGAGTATTGCTCTAGAGAGAGAGAGAGAACATGAGAAATAAGAAAGACAATGATGATTAAGATGATGAAATGAAGGCTGAGAAGGAGAATGAGAAATGAGTAGCAAAGAAGTAGGAATGGGCCGGGCGTGGTGGCTCATGCCTGTAATCCCAGCACTTTGGGAGGCCGAGGCAGGCAGATCACGAGGTCAGGGCTTCGAGACCAGTTTGGCCAACATGGTGAAACCCGGTCTCTACTAAAGGTACAAAAAATTAGCTGGGCGTGGTGGCAGGCGCCTGTAATCCCAGCTACTCTGGAGGCTGAGGCGGGAGAATTGCTTGAACCCGAGAGGCGGAGGTTGCAGTGAGCCGAGATCGCACCACCGCACTCCAGCCTGGGCGACAGAGCGAGACCCCATCTCAAAAAAAAAAAAAAAAGAAGTAGGAAGAACACGAGAAGAGAATGTAGTCGTGGCCTGGCACCGTGTCTCACGCCTGTAATCCCAACACTCTGGGAGGCTGAGGTGGGCAGATCATTTGAGGCCAGGAGTTCGAGGCTAGCCTGGCCAACATGATGAAAACACATCTCTACTAAAAATACTAAAATTAGCCAGGCATGGTGGTGCATGCCTGTGATCCCAGCTACTCAGGAGGCTGAGGTACAAGAATCACTTGAACCTGGGAGGTGGAGGTTGCAGTGAGCCGAAATCACACCACTGTACTCCAGCCTGGGTGACAGAGTGAGACTCTGTCTCAAAAAAGAAAAAAAAAAAAAAGAAGAGAATGTAGTCGCAAGCCAAAGAAGGAAATTAGAGACACCCAACAGGGTCACCCACAGCAAAGGGGACAGGATATGGACTGAAAAGTGCCACTAGATTTGGTCACTGAGTGAGAAAGATAATATTTGAGAAGAGATGGACTCCTTCTTTGTCAAACTAATGTACTTAAGAAGGTATTTTCCACCTTTACATTAATTCCTCTACCTATCCGTCCAGCAAAGATTCACTAAACATCTACTCTAGGCTGTGTACTGTGCTAGGCCCTAGGGAGACATGGTAGACCAAGGTCCTTTTGGGCCTATGGGCTCACTACACTTGCCTGCAAAGGAAAGTTACAATTCACCAGGGCTGGGTGTTTTACCAGACCTGATAATGACTGGCTCTCTGAATACATTCGATGAAACAAGAGCCAGTGTGCAAGTCTGGAGGTCAGTGAGACTTTATTATCTTGCTCTGAGCTGGCAGGAGGCAAAGGGAAAGTGTATGTAGAACATTATTATTGCATCACTGCTGTCTTCTTAAGTCAGTCACAGATGAGAGTCTGGGTTTTTCCAAGAAAATTGGTTCCATCTGCTCAAAGGCAGAAAAGTGATAGAGCAGTTCAATCAAAAGAGCATCCCCTTAAAATATTCTTTGAACTTGATCCTACTTTTTTTTCTGAAACAGAGTCTCGCTCTGTCACCCAGGCTGGAATGCACTGGCGTGATCTCAACTCACCGCAACCTCCGCCTCTCGGGATCAAGTGTTCTCCTGCCTCAGTCTCCCGAGTAGCTGGGATTACAGGCGCGTGCAACCACGCCCAGCTAATTTTTGTATTTTTACTAGGGACAGGGTTTCACTGTGTTGGCCAGGCTGGTTTCCAACTCCTGACGTCGGGTAATCCGCCCACCTCGGCCTCCCAAAGTGCTGGGATTGAAGGCGTAAGTCACCGCGCCTGGCCTTGACCCTAATTATTGACTAAACTATTGCTTCGCTAATTTTTTTTCCTGCCCTTCTGTTTTAACAGCAGTAAAACAGTGTGGTGAAATGTTCAAAAAATCAGTGAATCACAGCCTTCTGAAAATTAATGGGTGTCAGTGAGGTTTGGGAGTTGGATGGAGACAAAGGGAGCGACACCATAACTAACTGGAGATCTTACTAGGTTTTCATTTAATATTCATTTTTTACAATAGACATTGTTTGGAAAAAAGGGTTTAATTCAAAATGTCATTAAGGCACATTATCTTTAATGTTCTAGAAAAAGTTATTTAAAGAAATCCTGGCCATGAAATTAAAATAAATAAATAAATAAAACCAGGCATTCTTTGAAATGTGAATAATAATTTGCTAATTTATATTTAGGATTGTGGATATACTTTTTTTCTTTTACATGTATTCCTGGGGAGGTAAGTGATGCAAATATTTTCCCACTGCCTCAATCAGACTTTAGTTTTTGGGGTCTGGCCTGATATGATGGAATATAAACAGGAAATCAAGATCAGAAGAGCCTGTCCCTGAGAACACTCCTTCACGGGACTCTAGCTCACGCCTGGACCTTCCCAGTGCTTCCATCTGAAGCCCCTGGAGACCCAGGTGGGTTAAGTAGGGTGGCAGGGGGGATGGAGGGGGCGGGGGGCGCGGGGGCGTAAATCCTCCCCCACTGGGGAGGGTGACAGTAACAACTTCCAGATTGTTTACAAAGATACAGGCTCTGCTTCAGGCATTTGACGTGTATTAACTCGGGTAATCATCCCAGTAACTCATGAAATAGTTATATTATTATCTTCACTTCCCAGATAAGCAACGGAGTGAGAGAGATTATAGAAAGTGGAGAAGCGAGTACCTTACTAGTAGCCACTAGGGGTGTCAGTAATATGGCTCAACTTTGTTACGACGGATCAGAAAAATGCTCACCTTTAAGACCGCAAGCAGAGCCTGTCTGGGGAAGCAGGTGACTTATCAACGCCTTTTGAGATAAGGAATAGGACTGCGGGGAGGAGTGTGTGAGAATCAAAGGTGAGTTCCCTGTGTGCGTGGTCGGCGGTCAACTCCTAGCTAGTCCAAGCTTAGAGCCTGCGCATTTGCCCTCCCGGGTCAGAGCCCAAAGCCGAAGGAACAGAACCAGCGCCGGCGGCAGCCACGTGGCCCAGCCTCTGAGCCCTAGCTGCCATCGCGGAGGCTGGGCCCGAGGGGCGGGGCTGGGGAGTGCGGACACCCGGGCCTGGCGGAGTGCGCCTGCGCACGGGGTTGGCCCGGCGGGGGTGGGAACACTAGCAGAGCCGCGTTAAAGGCGCTCCCCGCCCCGCCCGCCGGTCCAGTGCTCGCAGTGCGCAGGCGTGGGGCTCTCTCCTTGTCAGTCGGCGCCGCGTGCGGGCTGGTGGCTCTGTGGCAGCGGCGGCGGCAGGACTCCGGCACTATGAGCGGCTTCAGCACCGAGGAGCGCGCCGCGCCCTTCTCCCTGGAGTACCGAGTCTTCCTCAGTGAGTGTCTGCGGCCCGTGGCCCCTCCGCGCCCGTCCGCCCATTCATTCCCGGGCCTTGCCTCCCCGGGAGGGTGCGGCCCGCGCTCGGCCCCAGGTCTCCGACGCGGGCCCGTCTCCTCGGGCGCGTTGTGGGGCCTGGCCGGCCTCACATTGCATACTTGCCGCCGCCGGTCGGGGCGGCGAGGGTCGCCTCCGGCCATCCCTCCCCGCTGAACGGAGATGGTCCCTTTGTCACGCCTCGGGGTACCCGAACCTGGGCCCAGCTAGTTTTGCAGGTGTCTGGCTCTGACAGGGTCTGTTGGGAAAAGGAAATCACCGACCCACCCTAGAAAGGTGCTTGGAAGTAACATAATTCCCGTAAGAGGATTGCTCAGTTTGGAGAAAAGGCGACTCCGGGCCGGGGGGGGCAGTGACTTCCTAAAGACCTTAATTCCGCCGCCGTAGCTCAGATTATCGGCGCTGAGCGGAGCCAAGTCCACCCCCTCGTTTTACAGACGGGAAAACTGAGGCCCGGATCGGGAGCCGTCTGTGAAGGCGCTGGACCGGTCCTCCGCGGCCCGGTCGTGCTCCTGCCTCTGCGCCGCCTGTTTTCCCTCAGCGCCGATGCTGGGAATGCTCCTTATGAAACAGAAAGCTGTTTCCCTCAAATCAAACAGATGACGTCAGTCTGGAAACAAGACTGAGAAAGTGCCAAGTTTTTACCTTTGCAGGATTCGGCGTCTAGGGGGTACCTACCCCGGGTCCTGCACCTAGGGCTGCACGGGGAAACCGGGAGGCTGCATGCTGGCGCCCTCCACGCTCCTTAGGGCACCACGTTTTTTTGGCCTTGTAGGTGGAGGAAAGCTACTTGGGGTTTTTCTTTATCCTCTTACTCCCCCCACCCCCAGCTACTAGGAGTAGATTATGGGCGATAACGGAGGCGTTCGTAAATGTGTCACCACAGGCGCTTCTATTGTAACCTCTTTACAGTTTTATTTGGAAGGAAATGGGCAGGTGCCTCGAACTCTGAGTTGGTGTATGAAGGAAGGGGAAGCGGGGAGTAGAGGAGACGAATGAATAGGCATTGAAGGAACAAAAAGTAGCCTGGTGCGGGAGGAAAAGGAAAGCGAACTGTAAAGCTTACACATCTAGCCAAAGGTTAACTATCAGGTAAAATCCAGGAAGGGTGAGAACTACCCCCCACTCTCCATTTTATTTAATTTTGCAATTAAGCAGCAAGGACAGTCCAGTAACTTTTGACTAATAATTCATGGGACTGTTTTTCTGGAAATAGTGTTGGCTCCAGAATTTCTCTGTAGGAAAGGCTTACAGAGGTGACTGTCTGGTTTGAAGGTGAGGGGTGGATCTTCAAGCTATATATGCAGAACAAACACACTGCTTTTACTTAGGTTATTTATTTGCAATTAATATTTGGTGGCCGTTATGGGAGACCAAAGCTACTCCTAGAATTTGGCACTAGCTGAAGTAACTGTTTTTATCAAGTGGAACTCTCTGGAACTTAAGAAATACTAATAATTAGAACCCACTACATAGTTATCCAATTTTAAGTGCTTTATCCTTCCTTAATAGAAATAAACTTTTTTAAGCTTTATAATATTACATTTGTCAATTTCTTTAAAACTGATAAAGGGCTGGACAGACTGCAAAGTCACAATTGGCCCTAAAGGGACTTTTATGTTTTATTGTTTGTTTTTTGAAACAAAGTCTCGCTCTGTTGCCCAGGCTGGAGTGCAGTGGCATGATCTTGGCTCATTGCAACTTCAGCCTCCCGGGTTCAAGTGATTCTCCTGCCTCAGCCTCCCAAGTAGCTGGGATTACAGGCACTTGCCACCATGCCTGACTAATTTTTGTATTTTTAGTAGAGACGGGGTTTCACCATGTTGGCCAGGCTGGTCTTGAACTCCTTACCTCCAGTGATCCACCTGCTTTGGCCTTCCAAAGTGCTGGGATTACAGGCGTGAGCCACCGTGCCTGGCCTCCACTTTGATTTTTAAACTTGAAGGGATGCGATGTGGACAGTAGGTTTCCTAAAGAATACTGAAGAAGTTTTAAAATTACTTTTTGGCTATAGTTAGGCCTCTAGAATATATTAGTAATATATATCTAGAATATAATAGAAATTATTTGTGAAGATGTTTGTTGCAACTTGATTATCCTTAAAGAAAGTCATAATCTAAGATGGCTGGCTGTCTCTGGGAACACCACTTTTAGCAACATTGTTTAGTAAAGTGGTCCCCTCCCTTCCTCCCAAGTACTTCATAATGGTTCTGTAAACTTAACTGATGTAAGATCAGTCCAAAACAATTTAATCGCCTTTTGTGTCCTCAGTAGTCTCTGCTCTCACTATAGAGATTAGTACTTATTAGATGCCTACAGAGTGCATAGGATGTAAACCCAGCCTAGCCTGGGAGTACAGTCAGGAGAAGTGAAGTATACAAACAGTTTTTCTAGTGTAAGAATAATATCTTGGTTTAAAAATGTGTACTGGTCGGGTGCAGGGTGCGGTGGCTCACCCCTGTAATTCCAGCCCTTTGGGAGGCTGAGGTGGGCAGACTGCTTTGAGCTCAGGAGTTGGAGACCAGCCTGGGGAACATGGCAACACCACCTCCCTACAAAAGACACAAAAATTAGCCAGACGTAGTGGCTCATGCCTGTAGTTCCAGCGGCTCAGGAGGCTGAGGCTGGAGGATCACTTGAGCCTTCAAGAGGGAAACAGAAGTGGCAGTGAGCCAAGATCACACCATTGCACACCATCCTGGGTGACAGAGTAAGGGACCTTATCTCAGAAAAAAAAAATGTGTACTGTGGGCATTTAGCAATACAATTAATTATAGTAATAACTTTTTCTAATTTATTTTGCAGAAAATGAGAAAGGACAATATATATCTCCATTTCATGATATTCCAATTTATGCAGATAAGGTAAGGCATCCTTGTTTTTGGACACAGTCTCTTTACTCAGATCAGCTAGTTCTACATATGAATTTTCTTATATGTCTCTCAACAAGTGCTTAAAATGCCTCGTTGTGCTGTGAGCTAAAGGTCTGTTGATTAGGCTGGGCGTGGTGGCTCACGCCTGTAATCCCAGCACTTTGGGAGGCTGAGGCGGGTGGAGGGCTTGAGTCCAGAAGTTCAAGAACAGCCTGGGCAACATGGTGAAACCCTGTCTCTACAAAAAATACAAAAATTAGCCGGGCATGGTGGCATGTGTCTGTAGTCTCAGCTACTTGGAAGGCTGAGGTGAGAGGATCGCTTGTGCCTGGGAGGCAGAGGTTGCAGTGAGCCGAGATGGCACTACTGTACTCCAGCTGGGTGACAGAGTGAGACCCTGTCTCAAAAAAAAAGGTCCATTGACTAAATAAGAAGTTAGTCTTAAAACTAGATTATTTAGTTAAAGGAGCAAATATAATTTGGGGAAGGAGAGGAGGAGTAAAAGCAAAAGTATTTAATCTGTCTTGGAAAAAAAAAAGAAAAAATTACATTGGTCCTTTTTGTATGTGTATTTGGAACTAAAGTCGTAATACTTCATTACTGGTTCTAAAATAAACCAGGTAGCCAGCACAGAATTTTGGCTGTGGGATCTTTATGAAACAGTAAAAGTAAACTAGATTATTCAATGAGTATAGGAAAATTTAGTAACGGGCTAGTACCGTTAAGATTTGCACAGTTAAGATAGAGTTAATACAGGTAGGCACACAGACTTCTAAAAGGACATAGCTGTTCCTGTATACACCAGTGAGAAGAAACCTAACTTTAATACAGATTGGTAGGCTTACCACAAATTGTAAAAGTCTTTACTTTTCTAGGGGAAAAAGAAGTCTACAACTGTATACACCAGAATAGCTGAGTGTGGGGCAATTGTAATCCCACTTGGGAGGCTGTGCTGGGAGGATCACTTGAGTCCAGGAGTTTGAGACCAGACTGGGCAACATAGCAAGAACCTGTCTTAGGAAAATAAATAACAATAAAATATATATCAAAATAGTTATGATTCGTGGGACTGCCAGTGACTCTTGGTTTTATTTTCATTTTTGTCTTTTTATATTGTCTAATCTTTTTACAAAGAACATGTGTTATAAGAACAACTTTAAACAGTCATTTTAAAAAACACATCTTTTCTTACTCTCCTTTCCAATGGAAGCAGTTTGTACTGTATTTAGCAACTTAACACAAGGACAAATATCTTATTCTTTTTCTACCTTTCAGTTTTTTTCCTTCAGTAAGGAAGTTTGATTCACATTGAGTACAAAGGTTTTTGAGTTGTAAGAGTTACATAGGTTATTGACTTTCTTTAGCTAGATGTCAATATACAACACGAACATCACTTTGCAGTGCACGTCTAGAATAATAGTAATTTTGTTCTTGTGTGTGCTGTCTTACTGTTTTTCTGGGCCTGACTATTAGATAGAAATAGACACATTCATTGCACTTCTACCAGGAAGTTTGCTGCAGTTCTGTACTGCCTGAAATTCCAATTTTTACATTGCTTCCCAGGAGCCTTCCTGGGTAAGACTCCAATTAGAGGCAATGGAGCAAACAGCCCTAGGCCAATTATGTGCCACAAATACAGGAGGGACTTCTAATTGGCATGTGTTTTTCCTGTGGGAGTGTCAGAGTGGTATTTATTCAGAAACTCGAATTTGTTACATCTGATTTCCTGGGAGTTGATATAAACTGCAGAATCCTTCCCTCTTCAATTGGCCCCATTGGGTTGGCTTGAATTATCTGCTTGTTGTATAATAGCATGTATATCATACTGTAGCATCTCAGACCATTTTGAGCAATGAAGAGGTATAAAATGATGACCCTAAGTTTATTGATAATACCCTGGCATACAGGTATGCTACAGGTAGGAAAACATTTTCTTGACATAGAGCTATTTTCCCAGTGTTCTAAGTGACTGTATTCCTACCAAGGACCAGAATGATCATAGATGTTTTGGTACCTACTCTTATTGCTGCTTCAGGTTACTCCAAAATAGGAAACAGGCTACATTTTGGTGTCCTGTTAAGTGTGTTCACTTAGATTACTCTCAGACACTGAAGCCTTATAAGGGACTGGTTGTGTCTATAAAGTGGATTACTCAAAGGAAGACTCTGCCCTTGGCACGCCCTGTCCCAGCTCAAAAGCACAAGTTCTTATGACTCTGGATTTTACCAGTAGTCTAGACCTCAGTGGACCTTGGGCAGAAGCCTTCCTGCCTGAGAGGCTGGAAGGAATTCTTTTGTTTTGTTTTAAAGGAAGTTACTTGTTTAAAACACAAATAAAGGTGTGGTAGACATCATTTTGGATTATAGCCTTAAAAAAAAAATCTGATTAACTTGATTCATTAGAGTGTGATTTTCTTTCTTTTGTATAAAAAATCTATTGTGATTAAGTTTACATGAATACATTCTCACGGGCTTGGCCTTGGACTTTATTCCTAATATGGTCAGTCATCCGAGGGATTATAATGAGGGAATGTCATGATCTAGTGAGCATGTACCTTTAACACAGCTCAGTCAGCTCCACTAAGGAAAAATGTCCAAGGGCTCATATTGATATCAGACTAAGGAAAAATGCCCAAGGGCTCATATCCATATCAGACTTTTTTTTTTTTTTTTTTTTTTTTTGAGATAGGGTTTCACTTTGTCACTCAGGCTGGTGTGCAGTGGCATGATCTTGGCTTACTGCAGCTTCAACCTCTCAGGCACAAGTGATCCTCCTGCTCCAGCCTCCTGAATAGCTGGAACCACAGGCATACACCACCACGCCCAGCTAATTTTTCTATTTTTTTGTAGAGACAGGGTTTCCCTATGTTGCCCAGGCTGGTCTCGAACTCCTGGTTTCAAGCGATCTGCCCACCTCAGCCTCCAGAAGTGCTGGGGTTGCAGGCGTGAGCCACTGTGTCCAACCCATATCAGGACCTTTTAATGTGGATATTCAGTTTGGCATATGCCATTAGGTAATCAGTCCAGCCAGTTCTGGAAAATCTTGTGACTCGCGTACCCTGCTTTGATTATTTCCGAATCCAGTGGGTAGAGAAGGTAAAGGCAAGGGCTCACTGGATATTTTTAAATTGTAGGGATGTCCTTTGCTCTGGGTCAATTTTAGGATCAAATATAAAAGCACCTATAGCTCAGAGTATCTTCTAACATAAAACTTCTGAGATACCAGAAATTTTCCAAAACATGGTATAAACAGTATGAAACACTGGGTAGATAAAAGCTTTCTCTAAATCTTAAAGTGCTCAAATATCATGACCTGATTTTTTAGTTTTAGAAATCAGATATTTTTCTATTCCATATCTTAAACTTTCATGTTAAATTCTAGTTCTGACAATGTAGGGTTCTATTTTTTTCAGGTGATTGTTGGGAGCGTATAGAAGCATATATAAATATGGAATATGTGTTTCTTTTTTCCCCTTCTGAAAGAAAGTCAAGCCTCTAATCAAATAGATTGATGCTTCAGAAACTTAACAGAATATTATCTGCAATTTGGCATAAATGCATTTTTCTTGGGGAAGTTTCCACGCTCAAAATTATTAGTCATTGCAAAACAGAAAAGTTTGACAACTGGAAATGCAGACCCTTTTGCTTGATTTTGTAAAGACAGGAAAATAAACAGATTATGCTTAGAATATCTGTTTTCAAAATTTAGTCATCATAAAGCTTATCTGAAAAGAAAAAATAGCAAAAATAGCAGCTTTTTCTTTCTTTTTCTTTTTTTTTTTAAGACAGGGTCTCACTCTGTCACCCATGCAGTGCTGTGATCTTGGCTCACTGCAGGCTCCATCTCCTGGGCTCGAGCAATCCTCCCACCTCAGTCTCCTGAGTAGCTGGGACTACAGGCACACACCACCGTACCTGGCTAATTTTTTTGTATTGGTAGAGACAGGCTTTCGCTGGTCTCGAACTCCTGAGCTCAAACAGTCCACCCACCTCAGCTCCCAAAGTGCTGGGATTACAGGTGTGCGCTCCCACACCCAGCCAGCAGCTTATTCTTAATTATGACATGACAAATTAAGTTATTGCTCTACACAGGTACATATGGTAGTGTGTAGTAGCAAATACAGGCATTTGTTTGAGCTGCAATGAGTAGAAAATCTATGTAACTGGAAAACAAATGAGTATTACTAAAAGTTTTGTGTGTATGTGTTTTAATTTCTTTACTTTAATAAGTTAATGATCTCCCTTGGAATCTTAACACAATTTGTTGAACAAATGTTTTTTGGGTTGGTGTAAGTCATGTCTTTCTTTGCTAAGTCACAATTCTAAGTGAATAAGGGGCACAACAGTGTGAACTTCGGTCATCGTATTTCTTTCTGATAGCTTCTCAAATAGACTTCTGTCACTTTCGATGAAATACTTCAGGTATCCATATACTTTTAACAACTTAGAGTATATCCTTCTAGAATCATATAACCAACTTTACAGCCAAAACTTAGAATTAAGAGCCATTGTCATTTGGTGAGCAGTGAATAAGATAAAGTATTCTTGGAAATGGTGAAATCTGGTATACCTTTTCGAAAGCATCTTTATGGGGATGGAACATTTTCTTTTAACTACGTGAGCTCTTCTGATAGGGATTTTATACTCCAAAACTAGTCTATAAGTTCCAAAAAAAAAAAAAAAGTTAAAGCTTGGTTTGGATTAGTTTCTTGCTTTATGTTTATGCTCTAGATAAATTTAGAAGAAAATTCTCTCTACCTCTACTGTTTTTTCTCCAAATTTTATTGCAAAACAATAAAGATTAAAAAATGGGGGGTGGGCTGGGTGCCGTGGCTTATGCCCGTAATTCTAGCACTCTGGGCAGCCTAGGTGGACGAATTGCTTGAGCTCAGGAGTTCATGACCAGCCTCAGCAACATGGTGAAACCCGGTCTTTACCAAAAATAGAAAAAAAAAAATTAGCTGGGTGTGGTGGCAGGTGCCTGTGGTCCAGGAGGCAGAGGTAGGAGGATCACTTGAGCCCCGGAGACGGAGGTTGCAGTGAGCTGAGATCATGCCACTGCACTTCAGCCTGGGTGACAGGTGAGACTCTGTCTCTAAATAAATAAATAAATAAATAAGAGTGGTGGGACCACAGGGTGATTTTTGTGTTTCTTTCTAAGCCTGGTATTTACTAGATTTCTGAAGTTATCTAGAGAAACACACAATGAGTCAACTTGAAAATGCTAATGTCAGCCACTTGGTATAATTCTGTAGTATAGTTCATCGAATTTACCAAATCCAGGGTTAGAAATAAATCTCAATGCTGGGCGCGGTGGCTCATGCCTGTAATCCCAACACTTTGGGGGGCCAAGGTGGGCGGATCACCTGAGGTCGGGAGCTCGAGACCAGCCTGACCAACATGGAGAAACCCTGTCTCTACTAAAAATACAAAAATTAGCTGGGCATGGTGGTGCATGCCTGTAATCCCAGCTACTCGGGAGGCTGAGGCAGGAGAATTGCTTGAACCCGGGAGACGGAGGTTGCAGTGAGCCGAGATTGCACCATTGTGCTCCAGCCTGGGTAACAAGAGCGAAACTCTGTCTCAAAAAATAAAATAAAATAAATAAATAAGAAATAAGTCTCAATAAAGACACATTGAACTTAACTGCTAGGATTTAAAGACGTGCTGTAATTAAATTAAGAGCATGTTCCCTATATATGTACTTAACTGCATTAGTAATAACAGCCTACCAAATGGCCGTAGCCTATTTATTAGTAAACAACTTGTCAGACTACTGACTTGGTCCATAAGACCCTAACCAGTTTGGAGATGAGACGGGGCCTCACCATACTACTGTGATTAATATTCCTGTTTAATTAGTGAAGTTACACACCTAACCAAGATATAGGAGATATTTCTTCTATTCCTGAAACATTTTTATTTTAAATATTTTTGATTAATGGAGTGACATAATGTAGAGTTGTTGAGTTTCCAGTTTCCTTAGAATCTGGACATCTTTAATGTTTTGTTGTAACATCTTGACTACTTGATAAAATGATTGTAAATCTGGGAAGGGAAATAGACTTTTTTTTTTTTTTTTTTTTGTAGAGACAGGGTCTGTCTATGTTGCTCAGGCTGGTCTTGAACTCCTAGTCTAAGCAATCCTCTTGCCTCAGCCTCCCAAAGTGCTAGGTTTACAGGCACGAGCCACCATACCTGGCCTGAAATAGACAGTTATATTTCTGACTTTGGGAACAAGAGCTAAAGTTATAGTTTGCCTTTTCCCTTATCCCCCACTGGTTTATCAGCAAGGTAATTATTGAGTTTATCAAAATCATCCCTCTAGGGAGACTTAACTTCCTTCTTTTCTGAAACTGTTAACAGAGAGCTGAGAGCTCTGATGCCAGAGCAATGACTGAGACTCCAAAGCATGGTAGGATTGGAGGATGGAGTTCTGGGAAGTCCTAACAGTGGGAGTAACAAGATAGTAAATCCAAGATCCAGCTAAGTAAAAGCTGAAACCAGTTGGGATTAAAGAAGAAGGAATGAATTTGTAACTGGGTAGTACGAAATTTCTTAAAATCAGTATTTTTTAAGTGCGTGAATATTGGAATCATTAGAATGCATAAAAACAGTAATAGTTTTTATAGCAACTCTGTTGCTATAAAATTCATTGAATTTCTCATATCAGTTGCCCTGAAAAATCCTAAATATCACTGTTGTTCACCTAGTAGCAACTCTTTGAATTGTAGCCAGATGTCTAGAAGAAGGTTGTTCTTTAGTAGTAATTCCTGCTAAAGTATGTGGAACACCCCCTCCTTACAAGTACAGAGCTGGGCAGGATGGCTTGCACCTGTAGTCCCAGCTACTAGGGATGCATAGGCAGGAGGATCACTTGAGGCTAGGAATTAGAGACCAGCCTGCTCAACATAGTGTGACTTCATCTCCAAAAACATAATTAAAAAACAATTAGCCAGGTGTGGTGGTGCACACCTGTAGGCCCAGCTACTTAGGAGGCTGAGGCAGGAGGATTGCTTGAGACCAGGAGTTGGAGGCTGCAGTGAGCTATGATTGCGTCACTGTACTCCAGTCTGGATGACAGAGTGAGACCCCGTCTCTCTCTCTCTCTCTCTTTAAAAAAATGTTTTTTAAGAGACAGGGTCTTGCTATGTTGGTCAGGTTGGTCTTGAACTCTTGGCCTCAAGCGGTCCTCCTGCCTCTGCCTCCCAAAGTGCTAGGATTATAGACGTTAGTCGCCACGCCTGGCTGAGACAAGTATTACTACAGCATCTACATGCATTTGAAAGTGTGCTAGTATTCCATGCATAAAAAATGATGAGTTCATGTCCTTTGTAGGGACATGGATGAAGCTGGAAACCATCATTCTCAGCAAACTGTTGCAAGGACAAAAAACCAAACACCGCATTTCTCACTCATAGGTGGGAATTGAACAATGAGAACACGTGGACACAGGAAGGGGAACATCACACACCGGGGCCTGTTGTGGGGTGGGGGGAGGGGGAAAGGATAGTATTAGGAGATATACCTAATGCTAAATGATGAGTTAATGGGTGCAGCACACCAACATGCAACATGGCACATGTATACATATGTAACAAACCTGCACTTTGTGCACATATACCCTAAAACTTAAAGTATAATAATAAAAAAAAAGTGTGCTAAACATTGATTTTACAGATGAGTCACTCACCCCAAGCTGTAGCCTGAGGCCTACAAACTGGAAGTACCTGATTTAGCAGGCGAGAATTCTACCCCTGAACCACCAATGCTACCAGCAGGAAGTACCTGATTTGGAAATCCAACTCTTTGGGAGTTAAAAGAACTTTTATTTTGTTCATTGCTAGTCTTCGGAGCCTAGAAAAGTGCCTGGCACATCCTGGTGGTTCACAACAAATATTTGTTGAAAAAAATCAATGAATTGACTCTGGCTTTTGCAGGTACTCCTTGTTGTTTTTCGCCCAGCTAATTTCTTTTTTTTTTTTTTTTTTTTTTTTGAGACGGAGTCTTGCTCTGTGGCCCAGGCTGGAGTGCAGTGGTGTGATCTCAGTTCACTGCAACCTCCGCCTCCCAGGTTCACGCCATTCTCCTGCCTCAGCCTCCCGAGTAGCTGGGACTACAGGCACCTGCCACCACGCCCAGCTAATTTTTTTGTATTTTTAGTAGACACGGTTTTTCACTGTGTTAGCCAGGATGGTCTCGATCTCCTGACCTCATAATCCGCCCACCTCGGCCTCCCAAAGTGCTATGATTACAGGTGTGAGCCACCACCCCCCGGCCTCACCCAGCTAATTTCTAAAAAGCACCAGACCTTCAAGCTTTTGTTCGCAGCAGAATTCTCTTACCATTTTCTGAAGGATGTTTTCTTCCTTGTTATTTTTTTCCTTCCCATTAATTATGTAGATTTATGTTATTAGGTAATACTGTTTTGAGGATCTATACATATTTGTCATTTACTGCTATTAAAGTGTTCAATATAGTTTCTAAACTTTGAATTAGTTATTTTAGCTCTATCTGCTATATCTTTCTTGAAGCAATGTATTCATTTGGTGGTGTTTTAACGAAATTAACAGCTAATCTTGGCGAGCTCTTCAGTTGATCTTTCATGTCGTAACAGCTCCATCTTGTGAATCTTTAGGGTACTGCTGCTGGAAACCGAAAGCCCTGACTTGTTCTTTTCACAGACCTACAGATCTCTCGTTTTTACACCTGAGAAGTGGACAAAATACTTGAAAACCTAGTGGACAAGGTGAAATTTAGTCAAAGATTGGTTCTGAGGTTTTCTACCCAGGATTAATAATTAGTGTTACATTTTCTAAACCATCTGGTTATTTTAGAGGGAAACAGGGATAGAGCAGTTTCTTCAGTCCTAGATTTAAGTAATATCTCCATTCTTTTGGTTTTTATGTTGTATTGGGTAAGTGAGGTATCAGGAGGCTTGGAGCAGAAACCTATGGATGCTTTAGTCTCCCATGGTTTCAGCAGGAACTTAAAATGACAGAAGTTCTACACTTTTGAATCAAAATCAGTGTAGTTTTTCTGCTTGGTAGCAGCAGGTAATTATTGACTTGAAACCTTTGACTTATTCCCTTGTGGCTTATCAGTTCCCGTTTTTTGATGGAAAGTAGCAAAGAAGTAATTCTAAAGAGTGGTGTAACCAAGTGATTTTCATTTTAAGTTAAGTTCTTAAAATGTACTTTACCAGTCTGGGGTAACATGGCAAAGCTCCATCTCTACAAAAAAAAAAAAAAAAAAATATATATATATATATATAAATTATATATATATATAATTTATATATATATTATATATATAAATTATATATATGTTATATATATAAATTATATATATAGTATATATATAAAAATTATATATATTATATATAAATTATATATATAGTATATATAAAAATTATATATATTATATATAAATTATATATATAGTATATATAAAGTATATATTATATATATAAGAATTATATATATAATATATATAAAAATTATATATATAATATATATAAAAATTATATATATTATATATATATAAATTATATATATTATATATATATAAATTATATATATTATATATATATAAATTATATATATTATATATATAAATTATATATATTATATATATATAAATTATATATATTATATATATATAAATTATATATAATATATATATAAATTATATATATTATATATATATAAATTATATATAATATATATATAAATTATATATAATATATAATTATATATATTATATATATAATTATATATATATTATACATAAAAATTATATATAATACATATATAATTTATATATATAAAATTATATAATATATATAAAAATTATATATATATGCACATACACGCACACACACACACATATATACATATACACACACACACAATTAGCTGGATGTGGTGGCATGCATCTGTAGCTCCAGCTACTCAGGAGGCTGAGATGGGAAGATTGCTTGAGCCAGGGTGGTTGAGGCTTCAGTGAGTCAAGCTCATACCACTGCACTCCAGCCTAGGTGGCAGAGTGAGACCTTGTCTCAAAAAAAAAAAAAAAAAGTACTTTTTATAAGCATAATTGCAGGCCAGGTGCGGTGGCTTACACCTGTAATCCCAGCACTTTGGGAGGCTGAGGCGGGTGGATCACCTGAGGTCAGGAGTTTGAGACCAGCCTGGCCAACATGGCGAAACTCCATCTCTACTAAAAATACAAAAATTAGCCAGGTGTAGTGGCACGCCCCTGTGTTATCCCAGCTACTCAGGAGGCTGAGACAGTAGAATCACTTGAACTCAGGAGGCAGAGGTTGCAGTGAGCCAAGATTGTGCCACTGCACTCCAGCCTGGGTGACAGAAAACAGTAATTGCAGATTTAGCTTCATCTGTGCCCTTTGTAGAGGCTAAAAACTGAAAAACTGCAGTTAAAGTTCTATTCCGTGAAAAAAAATAGTATTCTGAATAATTAAAGCTCAAGTTTAATTAAATAACCTATGGCATATTTAACTCCAGTGTGCAAAATGGGTTGGCAAAGTATGGTTTGTTTTTTCATTGTGTTTTTAAACTGCACATCTGGGAATTTACTCCCTGAATATATCATCTATTTTATAGTAGTCAGTTTAAGGCTATAAGCCAATTACAGTAGAACTATCATTGATTAAAATATTTTTAAAGCATATTCTCTTATCTTCAAGGTCAAAGTCCTTTTCAGGGGGGCTTTATTTCTAAAAACAGCCGAATTGGGAGAATAATGTGGATAATGAAGCTGATGAGTTTTGTTTGATGCTAAAACTAAAGTATGACCAAGTAATTAGGCTGATGTGGGGTTCGTCTTATAAACTAAAGTATGATCAAGTAATTAGTCTGACTTGGGGTTTGTCTTATAAACTGTCTCTGAAATAGAAGCTCCAAAAACATTTTGAGTAATTGCAGTGTCTCTGAAGGAAATAACACTGGCCTTTGGAGAGTGTTTTGAAGATGGTCTTCTTCAGAGATACAGGTTCTGTTACGTTTATTTAAGAACTGTTTCCTTCCTAGGAACATTCTTTCCACTGTCAGCTTTTATTCTGAAACACTTAAAGCATACAGAAAAGTTAAAAGATTTATATAGTAAGTTGGCTGGGCAAGATGGCTCACACCTGTAATCCTAGCACTTTGGGAGGTGGAGGCAGGAGGATCACTTGAGGCCAGGAGTTTGAGACCAGCCTGGGCAACACAGTAAGACCTTGCCTCTATAAAAAATTTAGAAGTAAATAAAAATTAAGAAGAACTATACCGTAAGCAATCATATACTGACCACCTTGATTCTATAATGAATATTTTCCTATAATTGCATTATTTCTTCATCCATCATTCTCTTTTTTTGATGCATTTTGTTGAAAATCCAATTGACTTCAAAGATCTGATACAATGAACAGTTTGACTTTGGAAGAAATAGTGCATGCTCCCTCAGAGAACAAATTGGCTCCTGTGACCATCTCACTTTCTCTTTGTTTTTTCAGGATGTGTTTCACATGGTAGTTGAAGTACCACGCTGGTCTAATGCAAAAATGGAGGTAATATTTCACCTTACATTTGAGTCAGACTTAGGATATTGGTTTTGATCTAGTCACACTGACTTGATCAAGGATGAACCATCTGAACGTCAAGGTTTTTCTCTGTCTGGTCCCAGTCTATTTTCTAGTTGTATCTCCCATTGCCTACTAGTCTTCCCTTTGGGCTCCAGCTAAACTCAACTGTTTACAAATATGCCCCAAACTTTTCTTCCCAACATCTTTGCTTCCAATGTTCCCAAAGCCTAGAATTACTTTTTCTCCTCTTACTCTCTGTAAGCCCTTCACTGACCCCTCCTTAGTCACCCCAGCCACAGATACTCTCATTGGAATTTCAGTTGCATGGTGTTAGTTTCTTTCTGATGATACCTACCATCATTGCCTTTTTGTTATGGATATTTATAACATATTTTATATCACAAACTCTTAACAGTAATCACTTTTTTTGTGTAATAAATACCCAAGTATTTGAATAATTTTAAATTCTGTGAAGGAAAACTAAAATTGGATAATATTTATTTTGCCCTTTTAATAAAAATTGTGGTATTTTTATTACTCAAACATTAGAATTTATTCCAGCTAATTTTAGTCTTTGCTTTCTAGAATTAGTAAATGTTCTTTTTCCCTTCTTGATAGTTCCTTTATACCTCACATAACCTTTCACTTAATGGCCGATTATGGAAACACCTTAGTTCAATTATAAAAGTGTTAGGGATAAAATATATCATTAAAGTGGAATTAGGGAACATAGGTACCATAATTCATTTCCTCAGATCCTTATTTGAATAGTATTTCACATCCAAATATGCAAAGATTTGAAATTTTCTTATTTCAGATTGCTACAAAGGACCCTTTAAACCCTATTAAACAAGATGTGAAAAAAGGAAAACTTCGCTATGTTGCGAATTTGTTCCCGTATAAAGGATATATCTGGAACTATGGTGCCATCCCTCAGGTATGTCTTCATGCAACTGCTGACAATGTACTTTTTAGCTTACTAAATATTAATTTACTGCTATTAGTAAAAAAGGTTTGAATACCTGTGGAGAGTTTTTTCTATGGTAGATTTTGAAAACATAAGAAGGGATAATTAACTCAGAATGCTTCCTTAAATAACTTATTTTCAAGATAAACTAAATATTTACAATGTTTAAATTCAGATTTGAACGTTTATTCTTTCCTGAAATATTTCTTCTTTTTTGGACTGGTTATAAGCTATATAAATTCTCTACAGACTGAGTTGCAAGTCTGTTCAGTCAAGAAAGAGTGTATGGTAGTAGTCAAAAGCACTGATTTTTGGCACCAGACAGACCAGAGTTCAAATCCCAAGATGGCCAATTCCTAGCTTACCTAACTTGCCTCCCTTTCTTTCTCCTTGAGACGTCCATATCGCCTCCCTGAGCTATTCACAGTATGTAGGTGGTATGGTTATTTCAAAAAATAAAGCACTTAATACCTGCACACAACAAGCTGTCATAGCTGCTGACTTTATGTTTAGAGTTTTGATTCCCTCTTCTTCAGGTCAAGCTCTTTGTGGTAAAGTAATGAGAGGATCATGTTTTCTTAAGTAGTCAACCTTTTTTTTTTTTAATTAAAAAAATTTTTTTTTGAGATGGAGTCTTGCTTTGTCACCCGGGCTGGAGTGCAGTGGCGTGATCTCGGCTCACTGCAAAAGCTCCGTCTCCCAGGTTCACGCCATTCTCCTGCCTCAGCCTCCCAAGTAGCTGGGACTACAGGTGTCCACCACCTAATTTTTTGCAGTTTAGTGGAGACGGGGTTCACTGTGTTAGCCAGATGGTCTCGATCTCCTGACCTGTGATCCGCCTGCCTTGGCCTCCCAAAGTGCTGGGATTACAGGTGTGAGCCACCATGTCTGGCCTAATAGTCAACCTTTTGAGAAGGGTTGTTTACCAATTTATTCCCAGCACAATGTCAGTATGTAGTAGGTTCTTATTTGATATTTGAAGAATCACTAGGATCTTATCTATAATGAGTAAATGACATCTATTTAATTCTATTTTGGCTAGGCCAGTGCTGTGGCACTTAAAATTTAATGCTGAGACACTAACTAAATATTCAGTTTAATTTTTTTGCTGTTGATAAATGGTTTGTTTTTATTAACAATGAAGTCTGTTAAATGGAACGTACTATGAAACAACCCATAAGATAGTAGAACATAGGTCTGACCCATCTAGCTTGTTAGGTAAGCACAAAGTCATTTGTTTGTCTTAATTACAGTGTTTCACCTTATACTTTAATTGAAATTTTTTTTTTTTTTTTGAGACGGAGTCTTGCACTGTCGCCCGGGCTGGAGTGCGGTGGCGCAGTCTTGGCTCACTGCATCTTCTGCCTCTCAGGTTCGAGTGATTCTCTTGTCTCAGCCTCTTGTGTAGCTGGGATTACAGGCGCCTACCACCACGCCCAGCTAATTTTTTGTATTTTTATTAGAGACAGGGTTTCACTGTATTGGCCAGGCTGGTCTCAAACTCCTGACCTTGTGATCTGCCTGCCTCGGCCTTGCAAAGTGCTGGGATTACAGGCATGAGCCACCACGCCCGGCCTCAATTGATTTATTAATAGTATTTAGCCTTGATATATCATCCTTGTAGGAGAACATTGCTGAAATACTTACTCTTCTGTGGGTTGGATTTTGCTTTCTTAATGTTGGATTTGTTAGATGTGGTCTTCCTTTATCCCCCTTCTCATTTATCTTTTTGCCTTTACTCCAGCTGAGTAGACAAACAAATCTGAGTAACGTGTTCTAGTTGGAGGAAAAAAGAACCAATGCAACAGCTACATTTTAAACCTAACATCCTGGCTAGCACAGGCTTTCAGTTCTTTTGTGAGATGTTCTGCAAGGACTCTGGCTTACAATTTAGGAAGGAAAGAAAACCAGTCATGTAAAGCTCCAGAAAATTCTGATTAAACTTTTCAGTCCGGGCTCCTGGTCAGTGATGATACTTTTAACATCAGAACATAACCTTTTGGCTGGGTGTGGTGGCTCATGCCTGTAATCCCAGCACTTTGGGAGGGCAAGGTGGGAGGATCACCTGAGGTCAGGAGTTCGAGACCAGTCTGGCCAACATGGTGAAACCCCATCTCTACTAAAAATACAAAAATTAGCTAGGCATGGTGGCATACACCTGTAATCCCAGCAACTCAGGAGGCTGAGACAGGAGAATTGCTTGAACATGGGAGGCAGAGGTTGCAGTGAGCCAAGATTGCGCCACTGCACTCCATCCAGTCTGGGCGACAGAGCAAGACTCTGTCGCAAAAAAAGAAAAAAAGAAAAAAAAGGAAGAAGAAAAACAACCTTTCCATTTTACTATTATTGCCTATCTACTTCTGTTTTGGGAATTTATTATAAAGAAAATCTAAGACCAGGTACAGTGGCTTATGCTTATAATCCCATACTTTGGGAGGCCAAGGTGGGAGGATCACTTGAGCCCAGGAGTTTGAGACCAGCCTGGGCAACATAGTGAGACCCTGTCTCTACAAAAAAGAAAAAGAAAAAAACCACACATTTTTGTTTGTTTTGTTTTCTTTTTTTGTTTGTTTTGTTTTGTTTTTTTGAGATTGAGCCTTGCTCTGTTGCCCAGGCTGGAGTGCAGTGGCATGATCTAGGCTCACTGCAACCTCTGCTTCCTGGGTTCAAGCGATTCTCCTGCCTCAGCCTCCCAAGTAGCTGGGATTACAGGCATGCACCACCACGCCTGGCTCATTTTTGTATTTTTAGTAGATACAGTGTTTCACCATGTTGGCTAGGCTGGTCTCAAACTCCTGACCTCAGGTGATCCACTCTCCTCAGCCTCCCAAAGTGCTGGAATTACAGGCATGAGCCATCATACCCAGCCTAAAACCACACATCTTTAAAGTAAACGTTTGGGTCTATATTTGTGTTTCCCTATTGTCTCAGTTATTGAGTAGTTGGCTTTTGCTTGTTTTAAATAGGATCATTATCTGTTTTAAAGCTTAAATTTAGTTTAGCATTAGATGTGTAGTAGGAGCTACAGCATTTAATTGAAACTCTTGTGTGTAGTTAAGATTCTTAAATGCGAATAAAGAACTAAAACAATGAGAAAAAAGTAGCTGAAGAGTCATAGGATGTTATCTGTTATTCTCAACATGATCCATTTTGTCAGTATGTATAGGAATGATATACACTGTCTTATATTTTTAGACTTGGGAAGACCCAGGGCACAATGATAAACATACTGGCTGTTGTGGTGACAATGACCCAATTGATGTGTGTGAAATTGGAAGCAAGGTAATGAAATGTGACATTTTTTTCTTTAGTGTTGAGATATTAATGAAGTATACCAAATTTCATACTTTAAAAAATACTGTGAATAAAATGCATGAATATTAGTGAAATAATGATGTCTCTTTGGTATTAAAGGCTTCTTGCATTTTAAGCATTTGTATATTATAATTTTTACATTTAAATCTAGTCTGGAAAAAAATGTGTCTATGTATGTATGATTGAACATATATCTAGAAGAACTGGACATGTTCTGCATTGCTTTAGAAGATGGATAATTAGTCAATAGGTGAAAGGTACCAGGAGGGAAATTCCCTCTCAAAACATGGCAAATCTTGCCTAACAATTTAGAATGATCAGTAAATTGACCCGAACCAAATAACCTCATGAGTTGGAGATCCATGGTAGTAACTCCTCCATCAAGTAGGGTTGTTCTAAGATTCTGATTATAGTTATTTCTTTATGTCTCTCTCAGGTGCAGAGAAATAGTAAACAACTAAAAACAAAGTTATCATTTTGTTTTTTAAGTCATAAAGTTTTTGAGTCATCGTATGACTTGCTTAACTCATGACTTTTATAAAATAAAAGGTAAAGCATATTAAGATACGTATTTGAGACTATGGAGGACTTATTCTTCAGTATAATCAATGACAGTGCAAAAAACATTGATTACCCTGAGCTATGTACTGGTTTCCCTATGACCTAGAAGAAAATAGGACCTATAAGTCCTGTTTTCAACTTTAATAGGACTGATGAAACATTTACTCATTTAGGTTTTTAAAATTTGCTTAAAGGAACAATCTTCAGGTAAATTCTCAAGAACTTGGCCTCTTTCTTATTTCCTGTTAGCCAAGTAAAACTGTCTTCTAGAGTGTGGTTCTGTAATGTTGTCCTGACTTTGGCTATTGACTCTCAGGTATGTGCAAGAGGTGAAATAATTGGCGTGAAAGTTCTAGGCATATTGGCTATGATTGACGAAGGGGAAACCGACTGGAAAGTCATTGCCATTAATGTGGATGATCCTGATGCAGCCAATTATAATGGTAAGAAAATTTGAAAAGTCTGAAGTCTTTCTAATTAATTCATAAGCACCACCATACTTAACCTATAATGACAGAATTGTAAGCCCTTACCTTCAAACTGTTAAAGGATGGAGGAACAAAGCACTGGACAAGCATTATTTCTATGACTGCACTTGTAATTAACTAAGTAAACTTTCTCCTTCATTCCAGGAAAGAAAAAATCTGGTAGGTTCTTACTGTTTTTTTGGTCCTTTCCTTCCCCACATACCAGCACTCAGTTGGTATGTTTATTTATTTTAAAACATTTAATTGAGATATTCACATATCAAAGAGTCACCATTGTAAAATGTACAATTCAGTGGTTTTTAGTATATTCACTAAGTTGTACAACCATCACCACTCTCTAATTGCAGAACATTTCATCAGCCCAGAGGAAATCCTGTATCCATGGGCAATCACTCCCTGTCCCCCTTCCCTCAGTCCCTGATGACTGCAGATCTACTTTGTGCCTATGGATTTGCCTATGCTGTTATTTCATGTAAATGGCATCATATAGGTGGCCTCTGTGTCTGGTTTATTTCACTTAGCGAAGTAAGTGTCTTCAGGATTCATCCGTATTGTAGTATGTATCAGCACTTCATTCCCTTTTTTTTTTTTTTTGGTGGTAAATTTTACATAACATAAAATTCACCATTTTAATTAAAGTGTGAAATTCAGTGGCATTTCATTCATTCACAAGGTTGTGCAGCCATCACCACTAGTTCAAGTCATTCCCTATTCCCTCCTCCTCTCCAGGCCCTGGCAGCCACTAATCTGCTTTTTGTCTTTATAGCTTTGCCTATTCTACCTATTCTAGGTATCTCATATACATGGACTGGTACAATATATGGATCTTTGTTGTTGCTGTTTCTGGTTTCTTTCACTTAGTATAATGTTTTCTAGGTTTATCCATATTGCATATTGTGGCATCTGTCAGTACTCCTTTTTATGGTTGAATATTATTCCATTGTGTGGATATACTACATTTTGTTTATCCATTCATCAGTTGATGGACATTTGGGTTGTTTTGGCTGTGTAATGCTGCCATGAACATTCCTGTACAAGTTTTTGTGTGGACTTATGTTTTTATTATTGGGTACATACATAGGAGTTGCCAAAGCTAGAACACTTTGAGCAAGAAAATAAAGTAGTATTGTAATATAACCTGGAACATAAAATAAATCTCCATGAGTCTATACTGACAAATAAATGATTGAATAAATAGACAAATGAGGAAGAATAGACAAATCTCAAAGCAGAAGAATTCCAAATAATTTATGCAGATACTCCATTCTCAAGGAGGTCCTTAATTGTGAGTTGTGCCTGGTGACTTCCTTCCAAAGAGTACAGTGTGGGTAAGGGAGAGGAGAGGATGACTTTAGAGCAGAGAAACTTGACAAACACTGCCTCAGCCAGGTGATGGAGGTCAATGTCAGCAGTGATAAGAGTCACCTTGAGAGCATGTTCCCTCAAAATGATGTGATGTATATTTGCATCTGTGTTAATTCATTGAAGAAGGACTGGAAGAATGCCAATCCTTTAATGTTTCGTTTCAATTTTGAAAGGTGAGAGTGCATTCACACCATCTGTTCACTACTTGGTAGTACGGCTCTGTTCTGTTGGTCCGTGTGTGCATTTCCAACGTGCTTCTTATGCAAGAGAACTTGGCATGCTGTGGCCACAATTAGTGAAGCCAAGCCCATCACTCTGTCAGCACTCATTTACTAAGGCTTTATTTTCCTGCAGTTCAGGTTATTAGAACCCTGAAAACTTTCTCGGGGTGGCTGGTCCCATGGCGCAAGTAGTATGCAGCTTTCCCTAATGTCAACCTAAGGCAGTGTCTATTGTCCATCCTATAGCTTGCCCCTGTGCATCTCTTCCATTTGCTGTCCCTGAGTTGTATTTATATAACGAAATTTAAACTTCAGTGTTTTCCTGAGTTCTGTGAACCATTTTAGCAAATTAGGGGACCTGGGGAGAGGATTGTAGAAACCCCTAATTTATAGCTGATAGTCAAAAGTACAGGAGGCATCTGAAGTGGGGCAGTCTTGTGAGACTGAGCCCCTAACCTTTGAGATCTGATGCTAACTCCAGGTAGATAGTATCAGAATCACAGTGAATTACTGAGCACTCAGTTGGTGTCTGAATAATTGGAGAATTAGTTTCTGTTATTGGAAAACATCAACATTTGCATGTTGGATTTCTGGATTTCCAAATTATTTCTATATCAGGTGACACATTTCATGTAAATTATAAGTTCTTTGAAATTTACTAGTGCTTAAACATTTCCCAGTGCATTCTGTAAAGTTTCCATACTTTTAGTGATATTATGATAATAGAATGCATGCTATTCTTTATGCAGATTATAAATTGGATTGAAGCGGCCGGGCGCGGTGGCTCACGCCTGTAATCCCAGCACTTTGGGAGGCCGAGGCAGGCGAATCATGAGGTCAGGAGATCGAGACCGTCCTAGCTAACACGAAACCCCATCTCTACTAAAAATACAAAAAAATTAGCCAGGCATGGTGGTGGGCACCTGTAGTCCCAGTTACTCAGGAGGCTGAGGCAGGAGAATGGCGTGAACCCGGGAGGCAGAGCTTGCAGTGAGCCGAGATTGCGCCACTGCACTCCAGCCTGGGAGACAGAGCGAGACTCCTTCTCAAAAAAAAAAAATAAATTGGAGTGAAGCAATGTTATCTTATACAAATATAAATAAGCTTTTGTTATTGTTGAATGTATTTCTCTTCCTCATAATACTTTTCCTAACTGACTTTTTAGGATGTGTATCTCTGTTTGCTTGCATTGAGCAGGAGTTTGTTATTTGAAGTGCAGTTTGATAACATTGAGGCTAGCCATTGTTGATGGCTATACAGAAACTTAAAATTTTTAAAGCAGTGCACTTTTCTGTCAGCCAGAACTAAAGTATTGTTATGTACAGTGCCTGTACTATCCAGCAAAGTCTAGTCACATTTAATACGTAACCCATCAATGGATATCAATCTAATCTATTTTTCTTATCTTTTAGTATGTAATAGTGTTGTGATCCTCTGACATAGCCTCTGCCTCTGGACCAGGGATAGTACCTCAAGCCTGTAATCCCAGTGCTTTGGGAAGCCAAGGCAGGAGGATTGCTTGAGCCCAGGAGTTTGAGACCAGCCTGGGCAACATGACGAGACCCCATTTCTACAAAAAATTTAAAAATTAGCTGGGCGTGTGCATGCTTATAGTCCCAGCTACTCAGGAGGCTGAGGTGAGAGGATCGCTGAACTGTGGAGGTCAAGGCTGCAGTGAGCCTTGTTCGGGCCACTGCATTCCAGCGTGGGTGACAGAGCGAGACCTTGTCTCTGAAAAAAAAAAAAAGATAACCTCTGTCTTTTTCAGTATCTTGTACACTTCTCATAGGAATTATCTACATTTGCCAAACTGGTTGTTTCATTATGTAGCCACCAGCTGTTTGCCCTTACCTAACAGAGATTACTATTGTACTGATTGTTCTCTGTACTTAGTGTCAGAGCTATTCAGAGATACTAGATGATTTTCTTTCAATGTATATGTGTATGGCTTCTCTTCTCAACAAGGGGCTTCGCTCCAATGTTATCTTGAACTTCCGTGATAAGTCATTCCACAGCTCTTTCAAAATAAGTACTTGGAATTTTTGTTGAGTGTATAATTATTTGTGCATCTTGAAATCTGCTTATTCTCTTCTTTCTTTTTAAAAAAATCATTCTCACTGTCATCTTATGCTTCTTCTCTTCTTAGATATCAATGATGTCAAACGGCTGAAACCTGGCTACTTAGAAGCTACTGTGGACTGGTTTAGAAGGTATAAGGTTCCTGATGGAAAACCAGAAAATGAGTTTGCGTTTAATGCAGAATTTAAAGATAAGGTAATATGTCATTCAGAACTGTAGCTTTAGGCTCATTTGTATTGAGACTCATAATTTAACCATATTGTTACCATCTAAAGATTCACAAAACAGAAGTCTGGAAACATAACACAGTCTTGGTGTTTATTTATTCACTTTAATATTCTCTTCCATTTTTAGAATAAGGAAATGATTCAGAAGAGACAAAGTATCAGGCTTTGGGGAAATGTTGATAATAGGAAAATAATACCTTTTTATCATTGTAATGCAAACCTCTTCAAATTATAGGACTTTGCCATTGATATTATTAAAAGCACTCATGACCATTGGAAAGCATTAGTGACTAAGAAAACGAATGGAAAAGGAATCAGTTGGTAAGTGTAAACACTTTGCATGTTTAACACACAAAGCAGACCAGCTTGCAGAAAAGGTTTTAATAATCATAAGACACTGTACTGTTACTTTCACTTAGAAAAGAGATACAAGGCTGGGTGCGGTGGCTCACACCTGTCATTCCAGCACTTTGGGAAGCCAAGGTGGATGGATTGCTTGAGCCCAGGAGTTGAAGACCAGCCTGGACAACATGGAAAAACCCTGTCTCTACAAAAAGTACAAAAATTAGCTGGGCATGGTGGTACATACCTGTAGTCCTAGCTACCTGGGAGGCTGAGTTGGGAGGATCACCTGAGCCTGGGGAGGTTGAAGCTGCAGTGAGCCGTGATCGTACCACTGTACTCCAGCCTGGGCGACAGAGCGAGACTCGGTCTCAAAAAAAAAAAAAAAAGAGTACGAGAAACAGCCAATGTACAAAAATAATTCTCCCAGAAATCTTCTATTCTGTGTCAGGATAATGTCCTATAAAATGAAAACATTGTCCTTCCAACAAACAGAAGAAAAATGGAGAAGAGTTATATGTGTAAAAATGTACAGTCCTAAGAGTTGGCATTTGTCTGGGTGCTATATGGCTCATTCCTGTAATTCCAGCACTTTAGGAGGCTGAGGCAGGAGGATCACTTGAACTCAGGAATTGGAGACTGGTGGGGGCAACATAGTGAGACCTCATCTCTACTAAAAATTAAAAAAAAATTAGCCAGGCATGGTGGCGCTTGCCTGTAGCAAGGCTGAGGTGGGAAGATCACTTGAGCCTTGGAGATCAAGGCTGCAGTGAGCTGTGATTGCCCCACTGCACTCCAACTGGGGCACCTGAGCAAGACCCTGTCTCAAAAGAAAAAAAAAAGGAAAAAGATTTGGCTTTTAAGTTAACTTCTCTATTTTTTCGTATCTTACGATTTCTATGAAAATGGTCTTAATGTATGTTAAATAACAGGTCAGCAAAGATGATTCATTTTTCATTTTGATGGTGTATTTCTTTGTTGTTGTTGTTTTCTGAGACAGAGTCTTGCTCTTGTTGCCCAGGCTGGAGTGCAATGGCATGATCTCGGCTCATTGCAACCTCCGCTTCCCGGATTCAAGAGATTCTCCTGCCTCAGCCTCCTGAGTAGCTGGGATTACAGGCGCATGCCACCACGCCCGGCTAATTTTTGTATTTTTAGTAGAGACGGGGTTTTGCCGTGTTAACCAGGCTGGTCTCGAACCTCTGACTCATGATCTGCCCGCCTCGGCCTCCCAAAGTGGTGGGATTACAGGCGTGAGCCACCACACCCGGCCTTGATGGAATATTTCTAATTGGGCACATATTATATTAGTACTATAATGACTAATATATAGGAAAACTTGAACTACGGATAAACAAAAATAAAATGTATTTTTAAAACATGATCCATATTTTAGACTAAAGTGGGCTAAAAAAACCCAAAAAACATATTAGGATTGTATTATATACACGACTTGTCTTACGATTTTTAAAATTTAACACTATGTAATAAGCATTTCCTCATGTCATAAAAGATATAATTTTTTTTTTAGAGACAGGGTCTCTCGCCCAGGCTGAAGTGCAGTGTTACTATAATAGCTCACTGTAACCTCAAAGAAGTGATCCTTCTGTCTCAGCCTGCCAAGTAGCTGGGTACTACAGGCACGCATCACCACTCCCAGATGATTTTTAAATTTGTTGTAGAGACAGTGTCTTGCTGTGTTGTCCAGGCTGATCTTGACCCCCTGGCTTTAAGTGATCCTCTCACACCTCAGCCTCCAAAAGTGCTTAGACTACAGATGCGAGCCACCATGCCTAGTCTAGAAATATCATATTTTAATAATATAATATTCCATCTCTGTATAATATGTTTTATGGATAAACCTTTTTATTTTTAAATCCCTGCAAAGAAGGATAAACTATTTTTAATCATTTCTTATTATTGGACATTTTGGTTACTTCCAATTTTTCACCACTATTAATAGTGAAATAGTATATGGTAAACACCTTTGTAAATTACCGTTTCAGTATTGGATTGGGTTCTTAGAGGTGGAATTTCTCTATCAAGACCTATGAGCTTTTTAAAAGGTTTTGGATACATTTTACAGAAATATTTTTCAGAAAGATTGAACCAGGACTCCTGCCAGAAGTGTCTGTTTCAGATGTCTCACCAACACTACAGGAACTGGGTTTTTTTTTGTTTCATTATTTTTTCCAATTAAGAAAGATATGTTTCTCAATTCACATTTCTTAGCTATTTCAGTGAGAATTACAAAGCATTCAATCTCAGTTTCTTTCGTCCTCTCCTCCCCTCCCCTCCCCTCCCCTCCCCTCCCCTCCTCTCCTCTCCTCTCCTCCTTATTGCAACGCAGTCTTGCTCTGTCACCAGGCTGGAGTGCAGTGGCGCGATCTCAGCTGACTGAAATCTCCGCCTTCCAGATTCAAGCGATTCTCCTGCCTCAGCCTCCCGAGTAGCTGGGACTACAGGCATGCGCCACCATGCCCGGCTAATTTTTGTATTTTTAGTAGAGATGGGGTTTCACCGTGTTGGCCAGGATGGTCTCGATCTCTTGACCTCATGATCCGCCTGCCTCAGCCTCCCAAAGTGCTGGAATTACAGGCATGAGCCACCACACCTAGCCCAATCTCAGTTTCTTAAATCCGAACTTGTTAAGATATTTGAATAAAATTGATCACAAGAATAGCTATGCCTTGCCAAAATACATAATTAGAATGTTAAATGTAGGTGAAAAAGCTTTCGACTAAACTAAACTTGAATATCACCTGGTCAACCACTTTCAACTCATTTTTTAACTCTTAAGAGATAATTTTTGTTATTTTGTCTTATGACTACTTTTGTTTTATTTAATAGCATGAATACAACTTTGTCTGAGAGCCCCTTCAAGTGTGATCCTGATGCTGCCAGAGCCATTGTGGATGCTGTATGTAAAAGTTTCCTTAAAAAAAAAACAAGCCTGGTTGCTAAAAACTATGATGCTAAATGGGGAGAGGAAGTACTTGTTTCGACAAATACTTGAGTGCCTTTTGTATGCATGTTACTGTGTGGAGTCTTGAAATTAGAAACCATGAACACATGCAAGTGGCCATTTGACTGAGGGAGAAGCTGAGGGAGTGATTCTAATCAATCATAAGTTGGACAGATAGCATGGTAGTAAGATTTGTAAAAATCAGAATGGTTCCAGAATGTACCAAGTAACCTGTGTGCCTATGACCCATCATAAGCCATTTCCGCAAAAGAATCAATGGGAATTTACTTGACTTGGTTCTAGCAAGGACTGAGGAAGGTATCAAGTTTTAGGTACCATTGCAGGAATGATTCATAATCTAAGAAAGGCTTTCATGTGAGGTAGTAAAAGCACCCGTCAAAGCAATAATTTTGTTTTTGTACTATTTTTAATTATTTGGTTTGGATTAACCAAAAAATTGAACGAGATCATCTTAAATTATTTTCATTTATAATATTAAATAAGGAAAACAAAAGAAAATGAGGTCTGACTTTTTTACTGCCTTGTAAATGGGGTAGAACAAGGAAAAAAGGACAATTTAATGATGAAACCAGTACATTTAGTTTTATCTTTATTTATGTATGAATCCCGACAAAGTTGAGATAAATAAGAAAAATTATAAGGGAAAAGCCAGTGGTTAACTATTATAATTTTTCAGTGAGAACACTGCCCATATTTTATAAATATGTGTGTATATATAAAATTGTTATATATGCATAAATCAGTTTTTATTATTTCAAAAAACATTCTTATTATTCTGCATGTCATAAAAAGTCAAGAGGCTTGAATTTTTTTTTTTTTTTTTGAGACAAGTCTCGCTCTGTTGCCCAGACTGGAGTGCAGTGGCGCAATCTCAGCTTACTGCAACCTCCGCCTCCCAGGTTCAAGCGGTTCTCTGCCTCAGCCTCCCGAGCAGCTGGGATTACAGGTGCCCGCCACCATGCCCAGCTTTTATTTTTAGTAGAGACGGGGTTTCACCATCTTGGCCAGGCTGGTCTTGAACTCCTGACCTTGTGATCCACCCACTTCAGCCTCCCGAAGTGTTGGGATTATGGGCATGAGCCACTGCACTGTCCAAGAGGCTTGAATTTGTTAGCATCTCAGCAGTAGAGCAAACCTTCTATTGTTCCTATATATTATAAATTACGTTTAGATCCTAAAATTTGGGATAGTCTTCAGATTCTCTTAAATTTTTGTCAGTATACCTTTTTAGCTTTTTAAAAAATGAGATTAGACTAATAGATTTTAATATTTTATATTTTAGTTACCACCACCCTGTGAATCTGCCTGCACAGTACCAACAGACGGTAAGATTTCTATTCCAGTAAAATTTCATTAAACATTACACAGTTATGGAAAAATTATGTTACTTTTATTTTTAGTTGACAAATGATAATTAAATATATTTATGGGTACAGTGTGATGTTTTGATATATGTTTACAATGTGGAATGATTAAATCTGGCTAATTACGAAATCATTACCTCACATACTTAATCATTATTTGTTGTGTGGTAAAAACATTTGAAATCTACTCTTAGCAATTTTGAAATAGATGTTACAGTCACCATCCTGTGCAATAGATCACTAAAGCTTATTCCTTTTGTCTAACTAAAACTTGGTACCCTTTGACCATCGCCTGCCCTTTCCCCATCCTTCAGCTCCTGGCAACCACCATTCTACTCTCTACCTCTATGAATTTACCTTTTTTATATTGCACATATAAATGAGATCATGTGGTATTTGTCTTTCTGTACCTGGCTTGTTTTTTGTTTTTTGACACAGAGTCACCCAGGCTGTCACTCTGTCACCCAGGCTGGAGTGCAGGGGCACAATCACAGCTCATTGTACCCGTAACCCCCCCAAGTTAAAGTGATTCTCCCATCTCAGCCTCCCAAATAGCTGGGACTGCAGACATGTGCCACCATACCTGTCTAATTTTTTTATAATTTGTAGAGATAGAGTTTCACCATGTTGCCCAAGCTGGTCTCAAACCAGGTCTCGAACCAGGCTGGTCTTGAACACTAATCAGGCCGGGTTTCGCCATGTCACCCAGGCTGGCGATCCACCTACCTTGTCCTCCCAAAGTGCTAGGATTACAGGCGTGAGCCACTGCACGCAGCCACGTACATATTTTTAACATACACAGGAAGAGAGGGAAGAAGGGTGAGAAGAGAAGCATTTTTAGAATTCTGTAGTGTACGTGGGAAGGAAGATGAGCTGCTACATACCACCTTTAGTGCCACACTGTATCACAGTGGTTTCCAAACCATGACCCATTGTGCCCCTCTGAGTTCCATGGAGGTGCCCGCTGGACACTGGAGGGGACCCTGAGTGGGCTGATCTCCACATTCCCACCTGGCCACAGGCTGCTTCACCCAGAAAACAGTTCTCTCCTCCTTAGATGTCAGAATTCTCTGTAAGATTTTTCTGGTAAGAAAATGATTCTGCCACTTAAAAAAACAAGTTTGAAGGCTGGGTGTGGTGGCTCACACCTGTCATCCCAGCACTTTGGGAGGCTGAGGCGGGCGGATCACTTGAGCCCAGGAGTTCGAGACCAGCCTGGCCAACATGGAGAAACCATGTCTCTACAAAAAAAAAATACAAAAATTTGCTAGATGTGGTGGCACACGTCTGTAATACCAGCTGCTGGGGAGACTGAGGCACGAGAATTGCTTGAACCTGGAAGATGGAGGTTGCAGTGAGCCATGATTGCTGCCACTGCACTGCAATCTGGGCAAGAGAGTGAGACCCTGTCTCGAAATTAAAAAAAAAAGTTTGAAAATCACACTATGCAATTAGCATGAAGTGTAAGGAAGCCCAAAAGAAAACACCTGCATTTGCTGTAGAGAAATTTTGTATGTATGCCTGTTAATTTTCAGGTAATTCATAGTAGGATTCATTAAAGCAAGTATATTAGTCTTTGTTATATGTTAGGTGTATTTTTGATTCTCAACAGGAATTCTAATTTGTTTTTCTTTTCTCTGAATACAGTGGATAAGTGGTTCCATCACCAGAAAAACTAATGAGATTTCTCTGGAATACAAGCTGATATTGCTACATCGTGTTCATCTGGATGTATTAGAAGTAAAAGTAGTAGCTTTTCAAAGCTTTAAATTTGTAGAACTCATCTAACTAAAGTAAATTCTGCTGTGACTAATCCAATATACTCAGAATGTTATCCATCTAAAGCATTTTTCATATCTCAACTAAGATAACTTTTAGCACATGCTTAAATATCAAAGCAGTTGTCATTTGGAAGTCACTTGTGAATAGATGTGCAAGGGGAGCACATATTGGATGTATATGTTACCATATGTTAGGAAATAAAATTATTTTGCTGAAACTTGGCTTAGGATATTTTTATTTTAATCTGAAGCCAACATTAAGTAGGTATGGGTATTTTTTGGTGTTTGTTTTCTGTTGATAGTCTTATAATTCAAATTTATAATTATTAGACGAAGAAATCGCTTATATTTATAGTACTCTTGATACTATGCTCTAGTACATAAGTCCTAGCATACCATTCTAAAGCAAAAGTTTTTAAATTTATATCATATTAGCAGAAAGCACAATGTTGCTCACCCTTTGAAGTTATATATTAATAGTTATTTTTTTACTTCTTCAGTCAACTAATTGGACGCTTAAGTCATTTATATTATATTCTAAGTTATCAGCTGAACAAACCAGTTTGAATGCCAGCCCATCTTCTTACTAGCTCTGTAATCTTAAGTCAGTTTACCAACCACTCAACTTCAGTTCCTTCATCTGTGAAACAGACATTATTCATGTAATGGCATGTAGTATGCATTCAGATTCTTTTTTTTTTTTTTGAAACAGGGTCTCACTGTCGCCCAGGCTGGAGTGCAGTGGTGTGATCTCGGCCCACTTCAACCTCTGCCTCCTGGGTTCAAGTGATTCTCCTGCCTCAGCCTCCCAAGTAGCTGGGAGTACAGGCATGCACCACAATGCCTGACTAATTCTGGTATTTTTAGTAGAGACGGGGTTCACCACGTTGGCCGGGCTGCTCTCGAACTCCTGTCCTCAAGTGATCCACCCACCTCAGCCTCCCAAAGTGCTGGGATTAGAGGTGTGAGCCACTGTGCCCAGCCCATTCAGATTTTTTTAATGAAAATTTTATTGAGATGAATATAGATTCACATGTAGTTCTAAAAAAGTAATTCAGAGATAATTCAAATAATTCTGTATACCTTACCCTGTTTCTCCTAAAAGTAAGATTTTGTAAAACTATAGTATAACAACCAGGACATTGACTTTGATATAATCCACCAATCATATACAGACTCCAAATCCACCAATCATATTCAGACTTCCTAGTTTCACTGTATTAATGAATATTTGTATGATGTATTCTATATAATTTATAATTCTATAGTGTAATCACCTAGGTAAGTTTATGTATCCTATAAGATATTGAACAGTTTCAACACCACAAGATCTCTCGTGTTGCCCTTTTATAATCACACCCACCTCCCCCCTGTCTTCTGCACACCACCATCCGTAACCCCTGGCAACCACTAATCTGTCCTCCATTTTTCTATGATTTTGTCATTTCAAGAATATTATATAAATGGAATCATACAGTATGTAACCTTTCAGGATTGGCTTTTCACTCAGTGTAATTCCCCGGTATTCCTTCAAGTTGCCACATATATCAATGTTTCATTCTTTTTATTCATTCCTTTTTATTGCTGAGTACTTTCCATGATATGTTTTGTTTTACCTGTTGAAGGACATCTGGGCTGATCCAGTGTTTGGCTATTACAGATACAGCTGCAATGAACATATTTGTACATGTTTTCACGTCAACATAAAACATTTTCATTTCTCTCAGATCTCTAGCAGTGTAATTGCTGAGTCACATGATAGATGCATGTTTTATTAGAAGGTACCAAATTTTCTAGAGTTATGGTCACATTTTACATTCCCAACAGCAATGTTGGAGTGATTCAATTTTTCCACATCCTTGCCAGCATTTGGTTTGCCTTTTTTTTTTTTTTTTTGAGACAGGGTCTCACTGTCACCCAGGCTGGAATGCAGTGGCACAATCTTGGCTTACTGCAACCTCCACCTCCCAGGCTCAAGCAATCCTCCTGCCTCAGTTTCCCAAGTAGCTGGGAATACAGTTGTGTGCCATAATGCCCAGCTAATTTTTGTAGAGATGAGGTTTCACCATGTTGCCCAGGCTGGTCTCGAACTCCTGGGCTCAAGTGACCCGCCCGCCTCGGCCTTCCAAAGTGCTGCTGGAATTACAAGTGTGAGCTGCCCTGCCTGGCCTACTATATTTTATTTTAGCCATTCTGTTGGGTGTGTAGTAGTATCTCATGGTAGTTTTAATTTGCATTTCTCTAATAGCTAATGATGTTAAACATCTTTTCATGTGCTTGTTTGCCACCTGTATATCCTGTTTGGTGAAATGTCTGTTCATGTCATTTACTCATTTTAAAATTGTTTAGTTTCATTTTTAATGTTAAGTTTTGGAGTCCTTCAGAGTTCAGATATTTGGTTTGCAAACATTTTTTTCCCAGTTGGCAACTTGTTCTTTCATTTTTTTCACATACTCTTTCACAGAGCAAAATCTTTTAATTTTTAAAAAGACCAACTTACCACATTTTCCTTTTATGGTCATTCTTTAGGTATCAAGTTAGAACTTTTCCTAGCCCTAGATCACAATATTTTCTCCTGTGTTTTTCTCTAAAAGTTTTATAGCTTACATTTAAGCCTATGATTCATTTTGTGTTTATTTTTATATAAGGTTTATGGTTTAGGTATGGGTTCATTTTTTCCTATGGATGTCCGGTTGCTCCAACGCCATTTTTTTGAAAGCTTATTCTTCCATTGAATTGTTTTGCACGCTTGTCAAATATCCATTGAGCATATCTGTGTGGGCCTATTTCTGGGTCCTCTGTTACATTCCATTGATCTGTATGTCTGACCGTCTGCCGATACCACACTCTCTTGATGACTATAGTTACATGGTAAGCCTTAAAATCAAATAGATTCTTCCCACTTTATTCTTCTTTGTCAAGATTGTATAACTAGGGCCTGTGCATCTTCATATGTATTTTAGAATAAGTTTTGGCTATGTCTATTGTCTATGCCTGTAAAAAATCGTACTGGGATTTTAGTAGGCATTGCATTAAATCTATAGATCAATTCTAGTCATGTGTTTAGACATCTCCTAATGTGTTTCTGTTACTAATTTCTAGTTTGGCTCCATTGTGGTCAGAGAACATGCTGTCATTTTGATTCTTTTATTGAGGTTGTTTGATGGTCTGTCCAGAGTGTTTCATGGGTGCGTGTGTTTTGTTATTGTTGGGTGGAGTGTTCTGTTTATGTCAGTGAGATCCTGTTGGTTTATGTATTGTTCTGATCTTCTATACCCTTGCTGATTTTCTCTCTAGTAGTTCTATCAATTACTGAAATGGAGGTTTTGAATTCCCTGATTATAACCATAGAGGCCTTTGAACTTTTAGCTCTATCAGTTTTTGTTTAATGTATTTTGAGGCTCTGTTGTTTGGTGAGTACATTTTAGGATCCTATATATTCTGGTGGATTGAACTTTCTGTTATTACATATGTCCCTGTTTGTCACTAGTAATTTTCTTTGCTCTGAAGTCTACTTTATCAGATATTAATATAGCTACTCCTGCATTTTTAAAAAATAACTAATGTTTGTATGGTATATTTTGTTCTATTCTTTTACTTTCAACCTATTTATGTTGAATTTGAAGTGAGTTTCTTATAAGCAGCATAAAGATGTCTTTATTTTTATTTTTATTTTTTAATCCACACTGCCTCCTTTGCCCTAGAAGTACTCACAGCGGCGGGAGACTTCTGGCCTTTTCCTGAGCAGTGCTTCCTTTTAGTCCAACATCTCAGTAAAGCTGCAGAGGTCGCCACTGCACTCTGAGCTTTGCAATGCCTCCCAAAGACCACAAGAAGAAGAAAGATGCCAGAAAGTCAACCAAGAAAAAGACCCAGTGAACAGATCTGGGGCCAAGGCTGAAAAGAAGTAGTCCAAAGGCAAAGTTCGGGACAAGCTCAATAACCTAGTCTTGTTTGACAAAGCTACCTATGACAACCTATAAGGAAGATCCCAACTATAAGCTTATGACCCCAGCTGTGATCTCTGAGAAACTGAAGATTTGAGGTTCCTTGGCCAGGGCAGCCCTTCAGGGGCTTTTTAGGTAATTATGGATGTGTTAGTACTTTATCCTGTGAGATTTGCTCATCATCTTGGATCTGTAGGTTTGTATCTTTCACCAAATTTGAGGGATTTTTAGCCACTTCTTCAAATACTGTTTTTTTTTTGTTTTGAGACAGAGTCTCACTCTGTCATCCAGGCTGGAGTGCAATGGCACAATCTCGGCTCACTGCAGCCTGGTCCTCTGGGTTCAAGTGATCCTCCCACCTCAGCCTCCTGAGTAGCTGGGATTACAGACATGTACTACCACATCTGGCTCATCTTTGTATTTTTAGTAGAGATGGGGTTTCGCCATGTTGGCCAGGCTGGTCTTGAACTCCTGACCTCAGGTGATCAGCCCGACTAGGCCTCCCAAAGTGCTGGGATTACAGTCATGAGCCACCACACCCGGCTTCAAATACTCTTTCTGTCCTACTTTCTTCTCTATTTCTGGGACTCTGATATGAATGTTAGATCTTTTGTTATTGTCCCTTGGGTCAGAAGCTTCTGTTCTTTTTCTTTTTCACCTGGCTGAGTTCTGTTATGTCCTTATGTTCATTGATTCTATCCTCTGTCACCTAACTTCCATTTTGGGGGATTTTCTATTTATTTATTTAGAGACGGAGTTTTGCTCTTGTTGCCCAGGCTGGAGTGCAGTGGTGCGATATCAGCTCACTGCAACTTCCACCTCCAGTGTTCAAGTGATTCTCCTGCCTCAGCCTCTCGAGTAGCTGGGATTACAGGCTTGCGCCACCATGCCCAGCTAATGTTGTATTTTTAGTAGAGACGGGGTTTCTCCACGTTGGTTAGGCTGGTCTCGAACTCCCAACCTCAAGTGATCTGCCCGCCTTGGCCTCCCAAAATGCTGGGATTACAGGTGTGAGCCACCATGCCTGGCCGGGGATTTTCTATTTTTTAATTTGTTTCTACCAAATTTCGAATTGACAGTGCACTTTTAAGACAGTTGCTTTAAAATCCCTATCAGGATTCACCTCAGTGCTGGCATCTGTTGATTGCCCTTTCTCATATGAATTGTGATTTTCTTGGCTCTTAGTATGATGGGTGGTCGTCAATAATATTGGAGACATTTTGTCTATTAGGTTGGGAGACTGTAGGTCCTATTTAAATCTTTCATTTTAGCAGGCAGCACTCTGTTTAGCTTTCGCACATGGGTCTTGGTCTACAGTTGTGGTCTGTGGTTCCAGTGGCGGTTTAATTTTCAGCAGCTTTGCAGGGTTATCTTGGTCTGCATGGTTTATCCAGTGCTACTGGGCTCCTGTTTGTTCCTGCTGGTGCTGCCTGAAGGGGCTCATTGTTGTCTTTCAGTGGTGGAAGGGGGCGTCCCCCAACTGGTCCCCCACCCCTGCTGCCCTAGTGTCTGAATTGGGGAGAGAGTCTTGGGCCACAGAAATTAAGCTTCCTGAAGCTTTAGGCCACTTGCTATAGCTCGGTCTTTCCTTCAGCTCAGCCTGCCCACCTACCTGCCTCTGTAGCTCTTGGTGGAAAAGGTGTCTCAGGGCTTGCAGGGAGGAGAGTCCCTCCCCTGGTTGCCTGATTCTGGCTGGGCTCCCAGTTGATCTCCCTTGCCAGTGGTGTCAGCCTCACCAGAACAAACCCCGTTTGATCAGGGGAGAAATGAGCCTTTTGCTAAGTCAGGAGGCTGGGTGACAGGATGCATGTGCCTTGCTGTGTGCTGCGCCTCTGATCCTAGGGTCCCAAACCAGTTTGCCCTCTTACCACCTTTCAGAGTTCTTTGGTCGTCTCTCTTACCATTTTCAGGGTTTATAGTGTGCTTAGCATGGAGAAGCAGGGAAAAACAGATCTATGCATCTTGTCACCAACATTCAAATTTTTTTTTTTTTTGAGACTCACTGTGTTACCTGGCCTGGGGTACAGTGGCATGACTGCAGCTCACTGCAGCCTCAACCTCCTCAGCTCAATCAATTCTCCTGCTTCAGCCTCCTGAAAAGCTGGGACTACAGACACGTGCCACCACCCCCAGCTATTTTGCATAGAAGTGGGGTTTCACCATGTGGCCCAGGCTGGTCTTGAACTCCTAGCCTTAAGCCATCTGCCTGCCTAAGCCTCCCAAACTGTGTGAGCCACCGCGCCCACGCCACATTTGGATTTTTTTTTTTTTTTTTTTTTTTTGAGATGGAGTTTCATTCTGTCACCCAGGCTGGAGTGCAGTGTTACAATCTTGGCTCACTGCAACCTCTGCCTCCCAGGTTCAAGCAATTCTCCTGCCTCAGCTTCCTGAGTAGCTGGGATTACAGGTGCCTGCCACCACGCCCGGCTAATTTTTGCATTTTTAGTATAGATGGGGTTTCACCATGTTGGCCAGGCTGGTCTCGAACTCCTGACCTTGAGTGATCTGCCAGCCTTGGCCTCCCAAAGCGCTGGGATTACAGGCATGAGCCACCATGCCTGGCCTGGATTTAAATAATGTTTTTCTTATTCCTTTTGTAAGTGCTTCTATTTTTAAATGATGTCTCAGTCATTGTAATATGTGATTTATAAAATGATTCAATTTTGTAGGGGTAAGAAGTCAGTTTTCTAATGACGATTATACAGTGTGAGAGACCTCACATGTATTGGCCTCCTAGATAGGAATTACCCATATTATGAAAAGGAAAGAGGATGGAATAGTACAGGAGGAAATATTAGCAATAGTTCTGTGCAAGATCCTCTGCAGAAAGCTGTCACTCCTCTGTTAAAAGCAAGGAAATGTATAATACTTGTGTATTTGTTTGCTAGTGCTGCCATAACAAAGTGGCAAACAATGCATTAAACAACAGAAATGTATTGTCTCATAGTTCTGAAGGCTAGAAGTCAGAGAGCAAGGTGCTGACAGGGCCGTATTCCCTCTGAAGGGACTGGGGAAGGGTCTGTTCCAGGCCTCTCGTACCTTCTGGTGGTTCCTGGATTGTGGCAGCAGAACTCCAGTCTTCACATGGTATTTCACTGTGTGCCTGTTTGTGTCTAAATTTCCCTTTTTTATAAGGACACCAGAAATACTGGATTAGGGGTCCATCCTATTCCAGCATGACCTTATCTATTTTATTATATTTTATTTTTAAAATTTTATTTATTTATTTATTTTTTGAGACAGCGTCTTACTCTGTGGCCCAGGCTGGTGTGCAGTGGTGCAAGCTCGGCTCACTGCAACCTCCGCCTCCCGGATTCAAGCGATTCTCCTGTCTCAGCCTCCCAAGTAGCTGGGATTACAGGCACCCACCACCATGCCCTGCTAATTTTTTAATTTTTAGTAGATACGGGGTTTCATCATATTGGCCAGGCTGGTCTTGAACTCCTGGGCTCAGGTGATCCACCCACCTCGGCCTCCCAAAGTGCTGGGATTACAGGTGTGAGCTTATCTTAACTAATTACATCTGCAATGACACTGTTTCCAAACAAGGGTCACATTCTTATTCCTTTTATAAGTGCTTCTATTTTTAAACAATGCCTCAGTCATTGTAATGTGTAGTATATAAGTGATTTATTTTTGTTGGAGTAAGAAATTTGTTTTCCAAACCAAACATTGTATGTTCTCACTCGTAAGTGGGAGCTAAGCTATGAGGATGCAAAAGCATAAGAATGACACAACAGGCTTTGGGAACTCAGGGAGTAAAGAGTGGGAGGGGGTTGAGGGATAAAAGACAACAAATTGGGTGCAGTGTACACTGCTCGGGCAATGGGTGCACCAAAATCTCACAAATCACCACTTAAGAACTTATTCATGTAACCAAACACCACCTTTTCCCCAATAACCTATGGAAATAAAGATTTTTTTAAAAAATTTCATAATACAATTGCAAGTATTAATAGCAGAATAGACCAAGCTGAGGAAAGAATCTCAGAGCCTGAAGACTGGTTCTCCAAATTCACTCAGTCAGACAAAAATGAAAAAAATAAAAACGAATGAACAGCGGGGCACGGTGGCTCACACCTGTAATCCCAGCACTTTGGGAGGCTGAGGTGGGCAGATCACGAGGTCAAGAGATCAAGACCATCCTGGCCAACATGGTGAAACCCCATCTCTACTAAAAATACAAAAATTAGCTGGATGTGGTGGTGTGCGCCTGTAGTCCCAGCTACTCAGGAGGCTGAAGCAGGAGAATTGCTTGAACCCGGGAGGCGGAGGTTGCAGTGAGCCGAGATCACACCACTGCACTCCAGCCTGGGCAACAGAGCGAGACTCCATCTCAAAAAAAAAAAAAAAAAAAAAAAAAAAGGAATGAACACAACCTCTGAGAAATATGAGATTTTGTAAAGAGACCAAATCTATGACTCATTGGCATCCCTGAAAGAGAGGGTGAGAAAGGAAGCAACTTGGAAAACATTTGAGGATATCGTCTACAAAAATTTCCCCAACCTCCCTAGAGAGGCCAACATTCAAACTCAGGAAATGCAAAGAATCCTTGTGAGATACTATACAAGACCATCCCCAAAACACATAGTCCTCAGATTCTCCAAGTTCTCAGATTCTCCAAGGTTGACATGAAAGAAAAAATATTAAAGGCAGCTAGAGAGAAGGGGAAGGTTGCCTACAAAGGGAACCTCAACAGGCTAACTGAACTTTTCAGCAGAAACCCTACAAGGCAGAAGAGATTGGGGACCTATATTCAGCATCCTTAAAGACAAGAAATTCGTTTTCCAAAAGAGGGTCATAGGCTGGGTGCGGTGGTTCATGCCTGTCATCCCAGCACTTTGGGAGGCTGAGACGGGCAGATCACCTGAGGTCAGGAGTTCGAGACCACCCTGACCAACATGGTGAAACCCTGTTTCTACTAAAAATACAAAAAGATTAGCCGGGCATGTGGCTGGCGCCCGTAATCCCAGCTACTCGGGAGACTGAGGCAAGAGAATCGCTTGCACCTGGGAGGTGGAGTTTGCAGTGAGCTGAGATATCGCCATTGCACTCCAGCCTGGGTGACAACAGCGAGACTCCGTTTCAAAAAAAAAAAAAAGAGGGTCACAAACACCTCACATTCTGAGGTGCTGGGGATTAGGACTTCAATATGAATTTTTGTGGGACACAACACGTAACTCTCAAAGAGAAGCTTTGGGTGTTTGGAAAGTTCTCTTTTTCATCATCCATGCTAGATAAAAGTCATCTGGGTACTAAAGCCAAAAGAAATCTTAATTCCTGGAACAGCCCTCTTAGGAACACTTCTTGAGATTTGAGTTTGCCAGGCACTGTTTTAGACACTGGGGATATAGTGTTGAGCAAGACAGATGAGGTCACCCTGACAGTAGGATGGGCTTGGTTATGCACAGCAATCCCCCCAAATCTCAATGGCTTAAGGAAACAAAAGTTGATTCCTCACTCACATAAAGTAGGCTCTGCTTGTGGGCAGCTGTTCCCCTATGATAGCTTAGCATCACGCCTCCGTGTTAACACGTGCTTTCTCATGTCGATCAGCCTCTCGGAGGAAGAAAGTGGTGGAGCCTTGCACTGGTGATTAGGTGCTTCTGCCCAGAAGTGACGCACATCACAGACATTTCACTGGCTAGAGCAAGCCGAATGACCATGCCTGACCTCAAGGTGGTAAGGAAGTCCAGTCTTACCATGGAGTAAAGGAAATAACTGTGAGAGTGCCAGGTATTTTGACACACCTCATTTAACACAGAGAGAAATAAGCTCTTCTTATTTATTTATTAGTTAGGGTTTTGCTCTGTTGCCCAGGCTGGAGTGCAGTGGTATAATCATAGCTCATTGCAGCCTTGAACTCCTGGGCTCAAGCGATCCTCCCACCTCAGCCTCCTGAATAGCTAGGACTACAGGCATGTGCCACCATGCCTGGCTAAATTTTAAATTGTTTTGTAGAGATGGGGTCTTACTATATTGCCCAGGCTGGTCTCAAACCTCAGACTCCTGGACTCAAGTGATCTTCCCAGCTCAGCCTCTCGAAGTGCTGGGTTTACAGGGTTTACAGATGTGAGCTACCACACCCAGCCTCTTTTTTTTTTTTTTTATAAGAAAAAGATGCAGAGAACCTAAGTAATTTAGCCAAAGTCACTTAAATTTATCCAAAGTCAGTAAGTGGCTGAAGCAGGACTTAGACCCAGGTCATCTGACCTTGAGACCAGGGATTTTCCTACTAGCTTTATGTTATTTGTCTGCTTTCACAATCATTATTAGTGGGTACTTAACATGTCTGGGCTTTAGTTTTCCCATCTGCGTCACAGGATTGGCAGGAACATATGTGAAGGAGCTTGCCCACTGTCCATGTCATAGTGGGCGTTCGGTGAAGCCTGGTTGTTTATAGTTGTGATCTCAGCAACTCTTAGTGTGATCAATGCATTTTTTTTTCCCAGGTAAGGAAACTTGATGCCTTGGCCTGGTTATTTAAAGGGTCTGAATGAGAACCCAAATCACTCACCACTGAGCCCAGGCCTACACGTGCTACTGCTCTGATGGCAATTATTTTCAATCTGATAAGCATATTTGCTCTACAAGGGCCTAACTTGTGCTTTTGCACATGACGTTCTTTACATTTAGAAAAAGCTGCTCCTACTGCTTCCTGGGAGTCTCAAGGCAGAAAGGAATTTACTTTTGCATTAATAAGAATGTTGTGCAAATTGCCATGGTGGAAAAGTTTTTATGAGTTATAAATTTGAATCAATTGCTATATAGTTCATTGCTACCTCTGTCGATCTTTGAGATCTTTCCCTGATTATTACAAAACCTTTAAATTAAGGAAATACTTGCCAGGAATAAGGTTAAGCAATGAGAATCACAAGGTTATGTGGCAATCTGAACTTGAAGTCTGAGAGCAATTTGGCAATATCTATCAAAAATTTAAATTCATACTTAATCTTTGACTCAGCAATTCTAGGAATTCATTCTGCAGAACAGTCAACCAAACACATAGTATACAGCAGCTTTGTTTGCAATAGCAAAATCTGGAAAAGTACTTAACTGCCCCACAGAGGAATGGCTGAATCTGTTACTCATACCCACAGCACTTAAAGAGTGAAATCACTGCATGGACTGATATGGAAAAGATGTTCAAAATATATAAGTGAGGAGAGAAAATTGTAGTACTCTATAGTGGTAAACTATGACTTGTGGGCCAAATCCAGCCTGCTGCCTGTTTTGTAAATAAAATTTTATTGGAACATAGCCAACATCTTTTCATTTGCAAATTGTCTGTGGCTGCCTTCCGTCTACAGTGGAGTGTTCAGTAGTTAGGACAGTGACCATATGGCCCCAAAAGCCAAAAGTATTTACTGTTTGTCTGTTTACAGAAAACATTTTCCAATCCCTGCTCTATCATATGATCCTATTTGTGTTTTTTACAAAGGGAGCATTTGGAGGAAAGACGTATATCAATAGATATGCTTCTATAAGCATAGACAATGAAAATCCAAATCCAAACCACAGTTAAGAAATCTAAAACCACAGTAACAATGATTACCTCTGGGGAGTGGAACTGTGGAGTAAGCAAGGAATAGATAAGGTCAGAGAGTTTCCTTCTTCTTTAAAAGCTTCTGTACTCTTGGAATTATTTTTCTAAAAGCATATGCAGTATGCCTTATTTTATTAAAAAAAAAAATCAATGAAGTAGGAGGAGAACACTGATGAATGGTGTTCAGCACACCCAGTGATATAAATGCTGCCAGCTCTCTAAGGCAGACTTTCTCCAAGTGGTCCCTGAACTACCAGAGCTATCTGTTTAAAAAAAAAAAAAAAGCCGAATGAATCAGAATTGGGAGGTGCTGGGCCCTAAAATCCACTTTTTTTTTTAGACAATCTCACTCTGTCGCCCAGGCTGGAGTGCAATGGCATGATATCAGCTCACTGCAACCTCCACCTCCCAGGTTCAAGTGATTCTCCCACCTCAGGCTCCCAAGTAGCTGAGCCTACATGCGCACGCCACCACGCCTGGCTAATTTTTTGTATTTTTAGTAGAGATGGGGTTTCACCATGTTGGCCAGGCTGGTCTTAAACTACTGACCTTAAGTGATCCTCCCGCCTCAGGCTCCCAAAGTTCTGGGATTACAGGCATGAGCCACTGCACCCAGCCTAAAATCCACTTTTCAACCAGGACTCTGATGTTTGAAACCGCTGCTCTTGTAATAAATGCCAGAGATCAGCAAAAGATTTCTCAGTGGGGTTTAATATAATCAGTGTGAGATCATCCAGCAAACATCTACTCACAGCAAAAGCAACAACAATAATAGCTCCCAATTATGAGCACTTCCTAAATGCAGGCCCTGTGCTATAGGCTTTACCCACTTGGACCTGTCGAATTCACTTAGCAACCCTGAGCTGAGTGTTACTATGATGAACTTGGCTCCGGGAAGGTTGCGTGGTGACCCGAGGTCTCTGAGCTCCTTATTTGGGTCTGTCACAAGGCTAGGGGCTGGAAATGCAGATCCTAGCCCCATGGCACTTGCACAGAGATGAGTTAGTCTTCTTCTTCTTTGTGTTGTTCACCCAGCAAGCCATGTGATGCTGGTTTAATAGCTGGATCACCTTCAGCACATGAGTTCCACACCTGCAAAAGAAGAGGTTGACCCAAGTACTCTGGAAGGCCTGTTCCAGCTCCAACATTCCTCTGGCTTAAAGCAGACTTGTCACCGTAGTGCGGATGTTCAAATGTGACATGTGGCTCCTTGTCACTGCCCCCACGCACCGGAGCCCTCTTCCTAGGGCCTGTCCTCCTGTCCTTCCCTGTTGAGACAGGCAGAGGTGCTGTGCCCCGTTCCTGCACATTCAAGTCTATTTCCTTGCTTCTCTGTCTCTCCTCATGAAAGTGGATCGTGACTTCAGAACTTATATCCCTGACTAGTCTGCCAGCTCCTCACAAGCAGGGGCCATGTCACAGTCATGTTTATGCCCCTGACGTCCCGCACTGCCCATAGCAGGAACTCTGTTAATAACCTTCTGATTGCTTCTCGAATGGCTTTTCAAACAGGACTGCCTTTTTGTGCTCCTCAAGGTGACAAAGTCAGCAGCCTAGTGACTGCCTGATTCCACAGAGAGGTTCTGCGTGGGCATTTCACGTGGCACTGTGCATGGCTTTCCACACTGGGATTTCTACACCCCACAGGGACACAGAGTGTGTGCCAAAGGAGACTGAAGCCACAGGGTAGACACCATGCAAAGCCCTGGGGCTTCCATTTTACTGGGGAGTGAATAATGACAAGGTTCTTCATAGGCTACAATTTTATTATTTAAAAAAATTAAAAAATATTTTTTTCAGATGGAGTCTCGCTCTGTTGCCCAGGCTGGAGTGCAGTGGCATGATCTCCACTCACTGCAACCTCTGCCTCCCAAGTTCAAGCAATTCTCCTGCCTCAGCCTCCCAAGTAGCTGGGACTACAGGTGCCTGCCACCATGCCTGGCTACCTTTTTGTATTTTTGGTAGAGATGGGGTTTCACTATGCTGGCCAGGCTGGTCTCCAACTCCTGACCTCAGGTGATCCACCTGCCTTGGCCTTCTAAAATGCTGGGATTACAGGCGTGAGCCACTGTGCCTGGCCATAGGCTACAATTTTAAATGCCAGTTTTCCATGAATTTTGAAGGAAAAATGTGCTATTTCAGGGCAAGTTGCTATTGGTGGCTTCCATGTCATGACTGTGCCACTAGACTCCTGGAGTTAAAGTTGAGAACACTCTGGGGAAGAACTCTGTGCTGGAAGTCCTAAGATCTACATGCTGGCCCTGGCTCCTTTGTGACATCAGGCAGGTCTTTTCACTTCTCTGGGACTCGGTTTCCTTATTCTGGATAACAAGGTAGTGGGCTCCCACCTTGTGCATATGTTTTAATGTGGAAGATGTCACATCCCCACGATTTTGATATAGTCCAGTGGGGCAGGATGCAGTGGGGGAAAAAAAACCCTCTCTACCACTGAACTGGACAAGGTGGGTGATTGGGAAACTGATATTAAAGTTCAAAGCCATATTTGCATGATTCTGAAATTGCAGACCACAGAGACTGGTCATGACCCTTCACCATGTCAGGATGTGTTCATAGCTTCTGTCAGAGGATGTGACAGGGGAAGGTGGGACCTCACAATGTCATGCTGTGTCCTGCTGTAGCTTTAACTCCACAGTTCCTGCCATGGGGATAGTGTGCAGGGTTAGAAAGTTAAGGTCATTATTACAGAAAGTAGAACAAGTCCTCGGGCACCCTCAGGGTCCTAGTCTAGTGCTCAGTCACAGGTGTGCAATCTCTTTTTTTTTTTTGAGATGGAGTCTCGCTCTGTCACCCAGGCTGGAGTGCAATGGTGCAATCTCGGCTCAGTGCAACTTCCACCTCCTGGTTTCAAGTGATTCTCCTGCCTCTACCTCCCAAGTAGCTGGGATTACAGGCATGTGCCACCATGCCCGGCTAATTTTTTGTATTTTTAGTAGAGATGGGGTTTCGCCATGTTGGCCAGGCTGGTCTCGAACTCCTGACTTCAGGTGATCTGCCCACCTTGGCCTCCCAAAGTGCTAGAATTACAGACTAGGACCCTGAGGGTGCCCGAGGACTTGTTCTACTTTCTGTAGCGTTTTTTTTTTTTTTTTTTTTTTTTTGAGTCAGTCTTGGTCTATCACCCAGGCTGGGGTGCAGTGGAGTGATCATGGCTCACTGTAGCCTCAGCCTCCCATGCTCAAGTGATCCTCCCACTTCAGCCTCCTGCATAGCTTGGACCACAGGCATGCACGACCATGCCTGGCTAATTCATTCATTTATTTTTTGTAGAGATGGGGTCTGTCTGTATTGCTCAGGGTGGTCTCAAACTCCTGGGCTCAAGGGATCTTCCTGCCTTGGCATTCCAAAGTGCTGGGATTACAGGCTTGAGCCACCATGCCTGGCTGCAATCTCTGCCAGTAGGAACCACAAAGAAATCTGCTGGAAGAATTTGAGGGGGAAAGTGTATGCAGAATTGGGCTCCCTTCTTTTTGAACAAATTCTCTTTCCTAAGGAACAGCAGAGGGAAGCAGACTCAATGTTTGGGGTGACTTTATAGAACATAACTATTGCAAATAGCAAGAATCAATTGTAGATAGAGACACATGTCTTTGTGTGTGTATATATATGTATATTTCTAAAACAGGCCAGGCACAGTGACTCACGCCTGTAATCCCAGCAATTGTGGGAGGCTGAGGCAGGCGGATCACTTGAGGTCAGGAGTTCTAGACTAACCTGACCAACATGGTGAAACCCCGTCTCTACTAAAAATACAAAAATGAGCCAGACGTGGTAGTATGCACCTGTAATCCCAGCTACTCGGGAGGCTGAGGTTGCAGTGAGCCGAGATCACACCACTGCATTCCAGCCTGGGCGACAGAGCAAGACTGTGTCTCAAATAAAATAAAAATATGGCACATATGTACCATGGAATATTATGCAGCCATAAAAAATGATGAGTTCATGTCCTTTGTAGGGACATGGATGAAGCTGGAAACCAGCATTCTCAGCAAACTATCGCAAGGACAAAAAACCAAACACCGCATGTTCTCACTCATAGGTGGGAATTGAACAGTGAGAACACATGGACACAGGAAGGGGAACATCACACACCGGGGCCTGTTGTGGGGTGGGGGGATGGGGAGAGGGATAGCATTAGGAGATATACCTAATGTTAAATAACGAGTTAGTGGGTGCAGCACACCAACATGGCACATGTATACATATGTAACAAACCTGCACGTTGTGCACATGTACCCTAAAACTTAAAGTATAATAAAAAAAAAAAAAAGAAAAAAAAATAGCCGGCCAGATGCGGTGGCTCACACCTGTAATCCCAGCACTTTGAGAGGCTGAGGCGGGCAGATCACGAGGTCAGGAGATCGAGACCATCCTGGCTAACACGGTGAAACCCCATCTCTACTAAAAATACAAAAAATTAGCCGGGCGTGGTGCCGGGCGCCTGTAGTCCCAGCTACTCGGGAGGCTGAGGCAGGAGAATGGCATGAACCCGGGAGGTGGAGCTTGCAGTGAGCCAAGATAGCGCCACTGCACTCCAGCCTGGGCGACAGAGTGAGACTCCGTCTCAAAATAAAATACAATAAAATAAAACAATAAAATAAAATTAAAAAATGGGGAAATTGATTTACACCTTTGTAACCTTTTATTTTAACTTAAATGTGAACTCTTCTTCATTTATAAAGCTATTCAATACTATACAAAATGACTCAATTAATTATGTAATGAAGATAACAGTTCATGTATTCAGTCTCTAGTGATTCACCTTTTGGTTTATTTCCAATTTCTTCTGATTTTAAATAATGCTGCAATAAGAGAACGTCATTATAAATAAACCTCAGAGAATATCTCTGGCTTTTTTCCTGAGGATAAATTTCTAGAAGTGGAAGTGCAGGGTCAACAAGTGTGCACATTGACAAAGATCTGGACATGTGTTAAATTGCCCTGCAGAAAGATCTTACCGGCTTGCCCGCCTGTTTATGAGAGTGCCCCAAATCTCAGGATTTTGAACATAATAAAAAATTTTTAAAACCTCTTGGCTTATTAAAGCCACTTTCCCCCTCCTCCTAACAATGCCTAATTCAGCCTTAAAAGAATACTGTAACACTGTGCTTCTCAAACTCCAGCAAACATCAGAATTACCTGGAGGGCTGTTAAAGCCAATTGCTAGGCCGCCTGCCCAGAGATTCTGATCTCCTAGATATGGAATGGCACCTGAGAATGTGCGTTTCTAATAAGATTTTGGGTGGGGCTGGGGTGTGGACTGCACGTGGCGAGCACAACGCCAAGAAGAGGCTTTCTTGGTTTCATGGTAAGACTAAACTTTTCCTGTGGACCTTGCATTTCTCTATATTGTGAATTTCTCTGAGTCATGTGTCTTACTCTGTACTCTGAATATTGCTTCCTAGTAGCCCCTGACTAGCAGCAGAATGTGGACCTGATGGGCTTTCTGCTACCTGGTGAGCATGTGTTGCAAGTTGACCCTATGCTGGCACTGGGCTAATAACAGCCGGGGTGGCTGAATACCACAATTACACTCTCTTTGCCTTCAAGGGGTTCACTAGTAAGGTGCTACTCGTAGTAAAAATCTATCATGGGCATGGTGGCTCATACCTGTAATCCCAGCACTTTGGGAGGCCAAGGTTGGGGGGGTCACTTGAGCCCACGAGTTTGAGACCAGCCTGGGCAAAATGATGAGACCTCATCTCTACAAAAAATGTAAAAATTAGCTGGGCGTGGTGGCACCTGCCTGTAGTCCCAGCTACTTGGGTGGCTGGCGTAGGAGGATTGCTTAAGCCCAGAAGAACAAAGCTGTAAAGAGCCATGATTGTGCCCTGCACTCCAACCTGGGCAACAGAACAAGACCCTGTCTCAAAAAACAAACAAACAAACAAACAACGGAACAAGACCCTGTCTCAAACAAACAAACAAACAAACAAACAGCACGTATTGTAGATGTGGAGAAACGGGAACCCTCATACACTGCTGGTGGTAATGTAAAATACTGCAACCACTTTGGAAAAGTTAGTCAGTTCCTCGAAAAGTTGAACATAGGTGGGGTACAGTGACTAACACCTGTAATCTCAGTAGTTTGGGAGACTGAGGCGGGAGGATCGCCTAAGTCTGGGAGTTTGAGGCCAGCCTGGGTAACATAGCGAGATACTATCTCTACAAAAAATGTTTAAAATTAGCCAGGCATGGGCCGGGCATGGTGGCTCACACCTGTAAACCCGGCACTTTGGGAGGCTGAGGCAGGCGGATCTGAGGTCAGGAGTTCGAAACCAGGCTGGCCAACATGGTGAAATCCCATCTCTTCTAAAAATACAAAAATTAGCTGGGTGTTGTGGTGGGCACCTGTAATCCCAGCTACCTGGGAGGCTGAGGCAGGAGAATTGCTTGAACCCAAGGAGGCAGAGGTTGCAGTGAGCAGAGATCACACCACTGCACTCCAGCCTGGGGAACAGAGCATGATTCCATCTCAAAAAAAATTAGCGAAGCATGGTGGTAGTCCTAGCTACTTGGGAGGCTGAAGCTGGAGTCTCACTTGAGCTTAGGAGTTCAACGTCACAGCGAGCTGTGATTGCACTACTGCACTCCAGCCTGGGTGACAGAAAGAGACCCTATCTCTTAAAAAGAAAAAACAAATATATATGTGTATATATATATATATTTTTAAAGTTAAACAGAGTTACCATATGACCCAGCAATTTCACTCCTAGATATATAGCCAGGAGAACATACATTCACAGAAAAACTTGTACACAAATATTCGTAGGAGTATTATCCATAATAGCCAAAAAGTGTAAACACCCCAAATATCCATCGGTTAATGAATGGATGAACAAAATTTGGTGTATACATACCACAGAATATTATTCAGTTATAAAAAGGAGTGAAGCATGGATAATGCCGCAGCACAGACAAGCCTTAAAAGCATTATGCTAAGTGAAAGAAGCCAGACGCAAAAGGACAAACAGTGTATGATTCTATTTATGTGAAAGTCTAGAATAGGCAAATCTATAGTGACAAAAAGTAGACTCGTGATTTCCAGAGGCTGGGTTGAGGTGAGAGAAGATGTAGAGTGACTGTTAACAGGTTTTCCTTCTGAAATGGTGAAAATATTCAATTTTTTTTTTTTTAGAGAAGGTTGGAATGCAGTGGTGTGATCATAGCTCACTGCAGCCTTGACATCCTAGTCTCAAGCCATCCTCCCGCCTCAGCCTTCTGAGTAGCTGGGACCACAGGCGTGAGCCACCACACCTGGCTAATTGTTTGATTTTTTTGTAGCGATGGGGTCTCACTATATATTGCCCAAGCTGGTCTTGAACTCTGGAGCTCAAGTGATCCTCCCGCCTCAGCCTCCCGAAGTGCTGCGATTATAGATGTGAGCCACTGTACCCGGCTGAAAATATTCTAAATTAATTGTGGTGATGGTTGCACAACTCTGTGAATATGTACTAAAAACCACTGAATTGTATACCTTAAATGGGTGAATTTTATGGTATATGAATTATATATCAACAAAGCCATTACACACCCCTCGTCATTAGGTATGAACATTAGACGTATTACAGTGATAGGAAGGAAGCAGGCAGGCAATGTGGGGAAGGACCACCTGGGAAAGGCTGACTATAGAGGCTTGCTTGACCTGGGTCTTGACAAATAAGATGGAGAAGTAGAAGGTGCTCCAGGCAGAGTGGTAGCCTGTTCACAGGTACAGAGGCAGGAAGGAGTCCAAAGGCTGAAGAGGATGTGGATGGTAATACTCAACATCTATTGAATGTTTGTGCTAGCAAACTAAAATTATATAATCTTATTTAATCTCCAAATAAATTATATATTAATTCATTGATTCACTCAGCCAATTATTAAACAAATTTCTTTTTCCTTCCTTCCTTCCTTCCTCCTTCTCCTCCTCCTCCTCCCCTCCTCCTCCTCCTTCTTCTTCTTTTCTCCTTCCTTCTTTCCTTCCTTCTCCCTTTCTCTCTTTTCTCCCTTTCTCTTTTCTCCTTTCCTTCTTTCCTTCTTTCCTTCCTTCCTTCCTTCCTTCTTCCCTCCCTCCCTCCTTCCTTCCTTCCTTCTTTCTCTCTGTCTCTGAGACAGGATCTCCTTCTGTCCCCTAGGCTACAGTGCAGTGGTGTGATCAGGGCTCACTGAAGCGTAAACCTCTGAGGCTTAAGCCATCCTCCAGCCTCAGCTTCCCAAGTAGCTGGGAGTATGGGCATGTGCCACCATTCGCAGCTAATTTTATTTTTTGTAGAGACAAGGTCTCACTGTGTTGCCCAGGCTAGTCTTGACCTCCTGGGCTCAAGTGATCCTCCTGCCTTGGCCACCCAAAACGCTGGAATTACAGGTGTAAACCACCGCACCAGGTCTGAACAAATTTTATTAGGCACCCACCACATACCAGGAACTGTGTTAACGACTGGAGGCACTATAATGAAGTAGACACTATTATTATCCATTTTATACAAAGAAAGGTTAAGTAAGTTATTGAAATTTACAGAGCTAGTTAGTGGAAAAACTGAGACTCAAATGCAGGTTGTCTGATTCCAGAACCCATTTTTCAAAAAAAGTTATAATCTTTTACCTCCCCACAGATAGTTGTAATTTAACATAAATGTATACACACAATCACATACTCCTCTTTCTCTATTATTCTCTCTCCCTTTCAATCTTTTTCTTTTTTCTTGCCTATGCTCCTCTGCCTCTATCCTTCCCCCTTGACAGTTGCTGTCCCCAACAAAGGTTCTTTGTGGGGGAGAGGTGAGACTGAAGTAGTTTTATTAATTTATGTTTAAATAAAAATTTAATTTTAAAACATTTTTAGATTTACAGAAAAATTGTGAAGACAGTAGTACAGAAAGTTGCTGTGTGCCCCACCCCATTTCCCTGTTATTCACATCTCACGTTACTATGGTACACTTGTTACAATTAATGAATCAATATTGATACATTTAAAATATGTATATTTTTAATTTTTAAAATTTTTATTATTTTTCTTGAGACAAGGTCTTGTTCTGTTGCCCAGGCTGGAGTGCAATGGTGCGATCTTGGTTCACTGCAGCCTCAACCTCTCAGGCTCAAGCAGCCCTCCCACCTCAGCCTCCCAAATAGCTGGGACCACAGGTGCAAGCCATCACACTGGCTTTATTTTGTAGAGATAGAGTCTCACTATGTTGCCCAAGCTGATCGTGAACTCTTGGGCTCAAGTGATCTTCCTGTCTTGGTGTCCCAAAGTGTTAGGATTACAGGTGTGAGCACCACTCCTAGCCTGAGGTATGTCAACATTATTAATTAAGGCCCATACTTTTTTCAGATTTCCTTAAGTTTTTTTTTTTTTTTTCTTTTTTTTTCTGAGATCGAGTTTTGCTCTTGTTGCCCAGGCTGGAGTGCAATGGCGCGGTCTTGGCTCACCGCAACCTCCGCCTCCCAGGTTCGATTGATTCTCCTGTCTCAGCCTCCCGAGTAGCTGGGATTATAGGCATGTGCCACCACATCTGGCTAATTTTGTATTTTTTTAGTAGAGATGGGGTTTCTCCATGTTAGTCAGGCTGGTCTCGAACTCCTGACCTCAGGTGATCCACCCGCCTTGGTCTCCCAAAGTGCTGGAATTACAGGCGTGAGCCACTGCACCTGACCCAGATTTCCTTAGTTTTTTACCTAATGTCTTTTAATGTGTTGAGATACCATACTCTATTTATTTATTTGAGATGGAGTCTTGCTGTGTCACCCAGGCTGTAGTGCAATGGCACAATCTTTGGCTCACTGCAACCTCCGCCTCCTGGGTTCAAGTGATTATTTTGCCTCAGCCTCCCAAGTAGCTGGGATTATAGGTGTATGCCACCACACCTGGCTAATTTTGTATTTTTAGTAGAGATGGAGTTTCACCATGTTGGTCAGGTTGGTCTCGAACTCCTGACCTCAGGTGATCTGCCCGCCTCAGCCTCCCAAACTGCTGGGATTACAGGCATGAGCTACTGTGCCAGGCTGAGATACCATACTATATTTAGTTGTCCTATCTCCTATTTTCTTCTTAGTGGTTACTATTTCTTAGACTTTCCTTTTTTTTTTTTTTGAGACAGAGTTTCACTCTTGTTGCCCAGGCTAGAGTGTGCAATGGCACAATTTTGGCTCACTGCAACCTCCGCTCCTGGGTTCAAGCGATTCTCCTGCCTCAGCCTCCCAAGTAGCTGGGATTACAGTCATGTGCCACCATGCCTGGCTAATTTTTTGTATTTAGTAGAGAGGGGGTTTCACTATGTTGGCCGGGCTGGTCTTGAAATCCTGACCTCAGGCGATCCACCCGCCTTGGTCTCCCAAAGTGCTGGGATTACAGGCGTGAGCCAGCGCACCTGGCCGCTTTCCTCATTTTTGATGACTCTATCTTTGAGGAGTATGGTCAGGTATTTTATAGAACATCTCTCAGTTGAGATTTGTCTGATATTTTTCTCATGATTAGACTGGGGATATGTGTTGGGAGGAGGAAGATCATACGAATAAAGTGATATTCTCATCATATCATATGAAGGGCATGTACTATCAACATGGCATATCACTGGAGGTGTTAAACTTCATCACCTGGCTGAGATTGTGATTGTCATGTTTCTCTGCTGTAATTATATTCTCCCCCTCATCCCCTTTCCACACTGTTCTCTTTAGAAGGATGTCACTGTGTGTAGCCCAGACATGATGGGGAGTTACACTCCACCTCCTTGAGGGTAGACTATTTACCTTAATTATTTGGAATTCTTCTCCATGGAAGATATGTCTGTTCTTCTTCATTTATCTATTTATTGTTTCTTTGTTTTTGAGACAGGGTCTTGCTTTGTCACCTAGGCTGGAGTGCAGTGCCCTGATTATAGCTAACTGCAGCCTGGACCTCTTGGGCTCAAGCAATCCTCTCAACTCAGCCTCCAGACTAGCTAGGACTACAGGTTCACACCATCATGCCTGGCTAATTTTTTAAGTTTTTTGTAGTCATGGGATCTTGCTGTGTTGCCCAGGCTTTCTCAAACTCCTGGCCTCAAGCAGTCCTCCTACCTTGGACTCCCAAAATGCTGGGATTACACATGTGAGCCAGCATGCCCAGCTATCTATTCAGTCAATTATTTATTTATGTCCATATGGACTCATGGATATCTATCTTATACTTTAGGTTCTAATCCAAAGCTATTTTAAAATTTATTTTGTTGCTTAAATTATGCCAGCTTTGGCCGCTGGGAGCTCTTTCAGTTGCTTGTCTCATTGATCCCCTCATTCTGGGTGTTTTTTGGATATGGGGATACTTCTATACTTTTTGGCACAAGGTGTTCCAGGCTCATCTTGTATATTCCCTGCCCCAGCCCTAGAATCAGTCATTTTCCCAAGAAGCCCTGGTTCCTTTCCTTGGAGAATGGTATTAGAAACCAAGATCTGGGCACTAGGGTGCTCACTGCTACTGAGTTGTTGTTGTTTCTATGCCTTCTCAGCTGACATAGCAAGGAAATATATATGTGTATATTGACATATATATAAACATATCTATAAATACATTTCTGTCTATATCACACTAAGCATGAATTCATACTGATATCTCCAACTCCAATCCATTACTACATGGATCATTGTAGCCTCTTCTCTCCTCGCTTATCTATAACCTCACACTCCAACAGTGAGTTTTCACCTGCTCCCATCATCCACCATCCATTTGCTTAATTGGTAAATTCCAGTATACATAGGGGTTTCCAAATTTTATAATGGTTTCCAAATTGTTGGCCTTTACAAACCCTGTGGGAAACAACCTGATCAACTGGAATATAGTGTTTATGTGTATTCCTTTTGCCTTTAGTCTTACAGACTTCAGTCATTTCCAAAGTGACTTAGTTCAGCACCTTTTCTGCCTACCTGCTTCAGTAAGGTTGTTCATACATTTATAATATAGTTTTTTTTTCTCAGATTCTGCATCTTTTCTAGGATCCCCTGATCTCTAAAGGATTTTTTAAAATTTGCATATGTTAAAGTTCAATCTTTGTCCTATAATGGACTATGGCTTTTGACAAATGCATCGTGTCATGTATTCACTATTGTTTTATTTATGTATTTATTTAGACAGAGTCCTGCTCTGTCATCAGGCTGGAGTGCAGTGACGCAATCTTGGCTCACCGCAACCTCTGCCTCCTGGGTTCAAGCGATTCTCCTGCCTCAGACTCCCAAGTAGCTGGGACTATAGGCGTGTGCCACCATGCCCAGCTGATTTTTGTATTTTAGTAGAGATGCGGTTTCACCATGTTGGCCAGGACGGTCTCTATCTTTTGACCTCAGGATCCACCTGCCTCGGCCTCCCAAAGTGCTGGGATTACAGGCATGAGCCACCGTGCCCAGCCTGTTTATTTTTTAAATTACACAAATACTAGTATGTTAAAAAATTTCAGCCAGGTATAGTGGCTCATGCTTGTAATCCCAGCAGTTATGGAGGCCGAGATGGGAGGATCCCCTGAGCCCAGGAGTTCGAGACCATCCTGTGCAATATAGTGAGAACTCACCTCTACAAAAGATTAAAATACATTTTTAAAAATTTCAAAAATACAGATAAAAAAATTCTATCTTGATTGCTGTTAATCCCACTCCCTTCTTATAAACACTGTTATCAGTTTGATAAAAATCTCTCTAGATTTTTCTCTATGTCTTTATACACATATTTGAACATATGTAAAAGTATAATTTTGTGTGTGTGTTTTTTGAAGAGGCATAAGATTATACTTTGTATACATTTTGAAATCTCATGTTATTACTTTGTCAGTATACCTAATTCTTTTAAACTGGTATAAAGATAATAGGGATGTACTGTTGAACACGAATGCTTAATCCACTCCATGTGATATGTTCCAGAACCCTAGTGTATTCTAGAAAGCTGGGACATTGGGTACAAGTTGGAGAACAGAAGAAGGGCAGGCAAGAAAAGAAGCAGGAGCCTCATGCTTAACAAAGGCTCTGTGCTCCCCTGCTAAGGAGATCCTGGACTTTAAAGAGGCCCTGAAGAGGCATCAAGAGTTTTTAAAATTAGAAAGGAATATGGTTTTATTTCTGTAATGGGTACGGAAGAATTTTAAGGAATGTTAGTTATGTGGAATGCTGTTTGATAACATATCCACTTTTTACCCTTAAACTCTTCTTATCAGAAAATATTCAAGTGTATTTCTTGAGTGTATGACTGCTCTATAAATACTGGAGTAGCCATGGTATGACACGCCATTTGGACACCTTCATCTTCTCAGCTATTTATTGGGTGGCACCATAGGAGCAGTAAAGGAGACTACAAAGCAGTGTAGTTATTTATTTATTTATTTATGTATTTATTTTGAGATGGGGTCTGGCTCTGTCGCCCAGGCTGGAGTTCAGTGGAGTGATCCCAGCTCACTGCAACCTCCACCTCCCGGGCTCAAGCCATCCTCCTACCTTAGCTTCCCGAGTAGCTGGTACTGCAAGGTGCACACCACCACACCCAGCTAATTTTTGTGTTTTTTGTAAAGATTGGGTTTTGTCATGTCGCCCAGGCTAGTCTTGAACTTCTGAGCTCAAGTGAGCTGCCTGCCTCAACCTCCCAAAGTGCTGGGATTACAGACGTGAGCCACTGCACCTGGCCCAGTGTGGTGATTCTTAAAGCAGGGTCCAAAAGCCTCTGAGGGGTAAGAAAGTCTTCCAGTTGGGCCATTAAAACTAGGGGGCCAGCTAGGTGAGATGGCTTTACCTATAATTTCAACACTTTGGGAGGCCAAGGCTGGAGGATACCTTGAGCCTAGGAGTATGAGACTAGCCTGGGCAACATAGCAAGACCCTATCTCTTAAAAAAACATTGAGCCAGGGCATGATGGCATGTACCTGTGGTCTCAGCTGCTTGCGAGACTGAGGTGAGAGGATCACTTGAACCTGGGACATCAAGGTAGTGAGCTGTGTTTGTGCCACTGCACCAGCCTGGGTGACAGAGTGAGACCCTGTCACAAAATAAATACATAATATACACATAAAAAAATTAAAAATAAATTAAAAACTAGGAGATGATCTCCAAGTGCTGCTAGACTGTAAGCTCTATGAGTTTAGGGACCCCATCTCTTTTGTTCCCCATTACCTATTCCCAGTGCCTAGCATAGGTCCTCACATATAACATGTGTTTCATAAATATTGAATGAATTAATTAATCTAAAAATGCACAACTTTTTTTGTAAAGGTAGGGTCCCACTATGTTGCCCAGGCTGGTCTCAAAATCCTGGCTTCAAGTGATCCTCTCACTTCAGTCTCCTAAAATGCTGGGATTACAGGTGTGAGCCCCCGTGTCTGGCCTAAAACTGCAAATTCTTTCACTCCTTCCTAGAAGCAAATAGTCTCTTCTATTTCTTCCTTGCAAATAGTTATGTACCAATATATCACCATAATTCAGTATTCACAAAGGAAAACGTGAACATTACTGGAGTTTACTCAAATTCAGTATTCCACTAAATCTAGCTAGCTGTTACATGATAATTGGCAAGTTTATAAAGCTTCCTCATTCAGGTTTTTTTTCTCTTCTCCTTTTTTGCATGGAGGTAGTTGGAATTTCTGCAGTTTGAGGAAAGATAGTTTTATTATTGTTGCATAATAAAACTCAGTGCTTCTTGAATTGGCTGGAGACCTCAACTAATGCTTTTTAATTAGAAATTATGATTAAATTAGTGTCACTATTATCAATGTAGTACATTGTAGGAGTTACGTTCACCCTGTAAGGTGAACAGATGCATCAACTGTACTTTTCACCCGTAATGTTTCTGATGACTAGATTTTTTTAACCATCTTAACCAATTTTAAGTGTCCGATGACTAGACTTTTAATATATGTTTGCATCATGGTACAAATATGAATCATCCATAACACTAGCACCAAAAGAGATCACAGTCATCTCCCCCAACTCTGCCTGTACAGTGGAATTCCATTACTATTACAGGTTATTTTTCTCCTGGACACCAGGCAGGTGTAGCATAGGTTAGCCTCTATCATCTCTATCCTGCTTTAAAAAGACTAGATGGGGCTGGGCGCCGTGGCTCATGCCTGTAATCCCAGCACTTTGGGAGCCCGATCATGAGGTCAACAGATCGACACCATCCTGGCCAACATGGTGAAACCCCGTCTCTATTAAAAAATTACAAAAAAATTAGCTGGGTGTAGTGGCACATGCCTGTAGTCCCAGCTACTTGGGAGGCTGAGCAGAAGAATCACTTGAACCAAGGAGGCGGAGGTTGCAGTGAGCTGCTATCACGCCGCTGCACTCCAGCCTGGGGACAGATCAAGACTCCATCTAAAAAAAAAAAAAAAAAAAAAAGAAGACTAGCTAGGCTGGGTGCAGTGGCTCACGCCTGTAATCCAAGCGCTTTGGGAGGCCGAGGGGGGCAGATCACAAAGTCAAGAGATAGAGACCATTCTGGCCAACGTAGTGAAATCCCATCTCTACTAAAATTACAAAAATTAGCTGGGCGTGGTGGCTGAAGCCTGGGCATGGTGGCCACCGTGACCAGCCATGGCCCGAACCATCTTAAGATTCCATTTGGATGCCCCATTTTAGTGGAGGTGGGTGAGAATTCCAGAAAGCAGTGCTGTTTCTGGGGAGTGAGGAAATTAAAGACCACTTTTCTGGTCTTTGGGTCTGATGTGAGAGCTGTGGAGGCAGGACACAGCCGGCATCCTGGCTTTCTCAGGCTGAGATTTTCCAAGATCAGGAAAGGATGGAATTTCTCAAGATGCCCAGTACTTGTCAAATTGAAGATATGCCAAAAGAGGGTCATGAAAGTCATGGAATACTTTAAATGTTTTAAATGTCTACATTTAAATATGTTTAAATGTCTATGCTTACCAAACCAATGCATTTAACACACATTAAAAAGCAGAGCAGAGGGCTGGGAGCAGTGTGTCATGACTGTAATTCCAGCACTTTGGGAGGCCGAGGCGGGAGGATCACTTGAGGTCAAGAGCTTGAGACCAGCCTGGGCAATATAGAGAGAACTTATCTGTACAAAATATTTTTTAAAAATCAGCTAGGCATTCTAGCACACGTCTGTAGTCCTAGCTACCTGAAAGGCTGAAGCAGCAGGATCCCTTGCCCAGGAGTTTGAGGCTGCAGTGAGCTACGATCATGCCATTGCACTCCAGCCTAAGGCACAGAGTGAGAAAAAAAAAAACAAAAACAAAAACCAGAGCTAGCTGGGCATAGTGGCTCACGCCCATAATCTCAACATTTGGGGAGGCCCAGGCAAGACGATCATTTGAGCCCCAGGAGTTTGAGTCCAGCCTGGGAAACATAGCAAGAATTTGCCTCTAAAAAATAAGAAAGATTTTTTATCAAGCAGGATAAAAAAAGGAAAAATAAAGAGTAATATGAAGAACAAGTGACAGCAACTCCTGGACAAACCAAAGCTGGTATTGGCTGCATCCTTGCAGGCAGTGCGTATTCCCCACCTCCACTGCATCAAGCCCAAGAAAAAGGCTGAAGGGGATGCTAAGGAAGTTAAAGCCAAGGTGAAGGACAAACCACGGAGAAGATCTGCAAAGTTATCACTAAAACTGCTCCTCCACACCAGAGCCAAAGCCTAAAAAGCCTCTGCAAAGAAGGGAGAAAGAGGTACTCAAAGAGAAAAGGGGGAAAGCAGATGCTGGCAAGGGTGGGAATAACCCTGTCTATCTAATGCTGAGAATATGTAAAGGAGTAAGCATACAGTCGGGGGAAGAATTACATAAGATGCCTCCCCTCAAACCCTCCATTGGTTCTTCAGGTCACCAAAAATAAAAGCTAAAGTCCTCACCTACAAGGCTTTCAAGATTTGCCTCCTGTTAAGAGACAATTCTCCATGAAGCTCTTTGATTTTTGCACTTCTTTCAAACAGAGGTGCCAGCTGCCTTTGTTTGGACTATCTTTTGAAGGACATTTATATAATGAACAGCCTTGGAAGACAGTGTCCCTCTGGTGCAGGGGACAGGTCTGTATACTGCCCAGTGTCATACCATTTCCCACTGGGTCAGAGTTCAGGCAGGTCCGCTTGCAGCCATTATGAAAGATTTGGGTTCCCTAAGTTCTGGGTTCCTCAGCTGTGTTGCACACCATCGAATGGGCAGTGTCCATTCAGACTGCTCTGTGTCACCCCATTGTCCTCAGAAAGGAGGAGGGAGGAAGGGGCAAGTGGAAGTAACACAAACAGGAAGTTCATGCTGCTCGCTATGCCGGAAGTAATAACATAGTTTGTCTCTGATCCAGGAGTCCTGTGACTGCCAGCATCTGAGACTGTGTCAGGCTAACCTGTTAACCTGCAAGTTAGGTAGAACCCCAGAACCTCCACAGTTCTGACCACAAACACCTCACCCCATTTCCTACCACTCCTTCTGTTGCTCACCTTGCCTGGTCACACTGGCCTCCCAGATGTTCCTGGAAACTGCCAGGCACACTCCTGCCTTAGGGCCTCTGCTGTCAGCCTGGAACAGTCTACCCTGACAGCCATGTAATGTCCTTCATGTTCTTATCCAAATAGCACCTGGGTGGGGCCTTTCTTGACTTCTGTATTTGATTTAGTTAATTAATTAATTAATTTAGAGACAAGGTCTCGCTCTGTTGCCTAGGCTGGAGTGCAATCATGGCTCACTGTACCCTCAACCTCCTGGGCTCAAGCGACCCTCCTGCCTCGGTCTCCCAGTGTTGGGATTACAGGCATAAGCCACCATGCCCAGTCTGACTTCTCTATCTGAAACAGCCTTCCCACCAATAAACTGGTGAACTTTTGCCAATCTGACAGGTGAAAATGGTATCTCAGTAAGTTTCAAATTTATCTTTTATTTTTTAAAATCTATTTCTATTTCAGTATAGATATAACTATACAGAGATACATAGACAAATAAATGGATTTATATATTTTCTATATCTATTATTCTATAATATCTATATTTATATTTTCTATAGTATCTATATTTCTATTACTATTTTATTATGCTTGAGTCATTTTTGGGCCAGGCGCAGTGGCTCATGCCTGTAATCCCAGCACTTTGGGAGGCCTAGGCGGGCGGATCACTGGAGGTTAGGAGTTTGAGACCAGCCTGGCCAACAAGGTGAGACCTCATCTCTACTAAAAATACAAAGACCATGTCTACTAAAAATACAAAGATTAGCCGGGCTCGGTGGCTCATGCCTGTAATCCCAACTATGCAGGAGGCTGAGGCAGGAGAATCGCTTGAATCCTGGAGGCAGAGGTTGCAGTGAGCCGAGACCGCCACTGTACTCCAGCCTGGGTGACAGAGTGAGACTAGGTCTCAGAAAAAAAAAAAAAAAAGAAAAGTCATTTTTATTTCCTTTCCTATGAATTATCTGTTCTGAACTGTTGCCTATTTTCCTATTGTGTTGTTAGTCTTTTTCATACTTCTTACTTGCCTATGATGTGATTATTTTTCTCAACTTGTCATTTGTCTGAGTTTGCTTATGGTGTCATGATTGTTGTTATGCCATATAAGTTTTTAATTTTTATGTAGTTAAATTTGTCAATCTTTTCTTTTATGGCATCTACATTTTCTTTTCTTTCTTTTTTTTTTTTTTTTTTGAGATGGAGTCTCAGTCTGTTGCCCGGGGTTGGAGTGCAGTGGTGTGATCTCGGCTCACTGCAACCTCTGCCGCAGGGGTTCAAGCGATTCGCCTGCCTCAGCCTCCCAAGTAGCTGGGATTACAGGCGCCTGCCACTACGCCTGGCTAATTTTTTGTATTTGTAGTAGAGATGGGGTTTTACCATGTTGGCCAGGCTGGTCTCGAACTCCTGACCTTGTGATTCGCCAGTCTCAGCCTCCCAAAGCGCTGGGATTACAGGCATGAGTCACCACGCCCGGTCTAGATTTTCAATCATACCCAGAAAGGTCTTCTCATTGCAAAATTATAAGGAATCCATGCTTTCTTCTGTTTTTCTAGTACCTTTATAGTGTCATTTCAAAATACACACATCTTTTCATCACTTGAAACTTGTTTAGAGTAATAAACTTTTGGAGATTCAACCTGTAGGTTTTTTTGACTACCCAATTGTCTCAACCCCTTTTATTATTTATTAATTTATTTAACAACACATAACAGAATCATTTATTGAAAACAGTACTCTGGAAAAACTATGTGCACAACAATGCCTGTTTCACCCATTTTACAGTGGGTACATGGTGGTCTGGGGCATTCGTCAACTTGCTCAAGCCTTTAGGTAAGTAGAGTTTGCGGCTTTTCTGAGAATCTGCCTGCATGTTCCCTCCTTCCCCAGCCTCCCAAGCCATCCTGTGGTTCAGACACCTCCACCTCGTGCAGCCAGGCTCTCAACAAAGCCAGTAATCCAATGTGTTGGCTTGCACTGGGCTTGCATCTGTGTCTCCAGGATGCACAAGGGGTTCCAAGCCCCATGGACACATTGTCCCTGGTTTAGCTAAAGCTGGTGAGAAGCCTCAGAAGTGGCCTGACACCTTTCTGTGACAGGACAGGGTTCAAATTCAACATCTAAGACCCCAGGATGAGCGGAGGGTAGAGGGTGGTGAGCTTGCCCACTCAGCTCCCTGAGTATTGCTGGAGTCCCAGGTGCTACTTTAGTTTTATTTCTGCATGTACTTTAGTCATTTCTGTACTTTGCTCTGTTCCATTGTGTTTTTTGTGTGTGTGTGTTTGTGCATGTGCACGCACACCAGTTTTAATAACTTAGGCTCTATAATATGTTTTAATATCCAACAGGGTTAGTTCCCACCTCCTTGTTCTTCATTTTGAAAGCCTGTTTCTGGACTAGTTTTGTTTGGTTTTCTATACGAATTTTAGGAACAAATAGGGTAATTAAAAAAAAAGAACGAAACCACACACGACCTATTAATCCTATTAGTACTTTTATTGGGATTATGTTAAATTTAAATTTTACTAAAGGAGAATTGAGATCTTCATGAACCCACAGACGTCATTCATCTTTCCATTAGACTGTTTTATTTGTAAAATGAGAGTAATAATAGTACCAATCTCGTGGGACTGTCCTGAGAATTAAATGAGAAAATGCATGCGAAATATACTGGGGTGAACACGTTGCTTTGCCACTTAGCTGTGTGAACTTGGGCATGGTAGGTTATTCTGAACATTGCTCTCTCATTTGTCAATAAGGATAATACTAGCATCTGGAGTCACAGGACTCCAATGACGGTGAAATTAGACAAAGCGTGCAAAGTACCCAGTGCTCTGCCTGGAACATAAGTGCACAATAAATATTAGCTGTTTTTCTGTTTTTCTAAAACATAGGCCACCCCAGGGCAAGGAAGTGCGACTCAAAGCAAAAGCAGCTGGGCGCGGTGGCTCACGCCTCTCATCCCAGCATTTTGGAAGGCCGAGGCCAGCGGATCACTTGAGGTCAGAAGTTCGAGACCAGCCTGGCCAACACGGTGAAACCTGTCTCTGTAAAAATACAAAAAAATTAGCCAGGTGTGGTGACATGCGCCTGTAGTTCCAGCTACTCGGGAGGCCGAGGTATGAGAATCGCTTGAATCCGGGAGGTGGAGGTTGCAGTGAGCCGAGATCGCGCCACTGCACTCCAGCCTGGGCGACAAAGTGAGACTCCGCCTCAAAAAAAAAAAAAAAAAAAAAAAAAGCAAGGAAGAAAAAAAGCAAAAGCTTGGAGGGATCCACCTCAAGTGGAGGGCCCCAAGGTCAACTCATCTTTCCCAGGACCTATGTCACCGTCGGTACCCACTTCTGACTTTCCTGGTGCGTCTGGAATGGGAAGCCGCGATCCCGAGTGTACCAGGCCGCTCAGGGACTCCAGGACCCAGCCCCGGACCCAGGGTTCCGGCGCTGCCACGTCTCGCGCGGTCAGCTAGCCAGACGGGAGCAGGCGGGGCCGAGGCGGGGCCAGACCCCGAGCGCGCTTTGTCACGCCTTATGCCCGCCCCTCCGCGGCCCGAGTCGCTGGTGGGACGGCACCGGGGCAGAGAGGCGTAACGCTGTGAGGGGGCGGGGCCCATTACGCGCCCGGAAGTCCCGGGGAGGGGTGTGACGTACATCCGGCGAGTAGCTGGCGGTCCCGGGTGCTGCTGGTTAGTGTGCTCTGAGGGAGGGTCCGAGCCAGCCGCTGTTTTGCCGGAGGAGCCCCTCAGGCCGTGAGTCTGAGGGTCGCGTCGGGGAGGGGAGTTGGGGCTCGAGGGGCTGGGACGGAAGGCGGGGAGGTCGGAGCGGAGGCTGGCCCTGGCGGGGTTGGGTGGGGGGGAAGTGACACGCAGGCGGTTCTGTGGGGCCGCGGGGCTGATTCTGGGCGGGGACGGGACAACTTGGCCAGATCTGCTCCGTCCCCTGCTGTCCTCTTTGCCTGGGGTCCACTTGCATTCCGCTCGGGGGTCTCGCAGCTGCTGGGCCGGATAACAGTTTCTTGTCTGTACCGTGCGCTCCGGTTTACGAAATGGCTCCATGTCCTCTGTCTCGGAAGAGCCTCACAGCCCTCGGTGAGGCGGGTGGGAGCCCTTTATGATTATCCTTGTTTTGTAGACTCGGAGACTGAGGCTGGCCAAGGCTCCGCAGTTAGCGAGTGTGAGCGCTCGAACCTGGTCTACAGGCCCCTAGTCCAGGGCTTACCCCCAAGTCAGCGCTTGGTTGTCTTCCGATGGCCCGGGTCGAACCCTGTATTTTCTCCTTCTCCCTTCCCCTTTTCCCCTGTCTGGTCTCTGCATGGAAAAATTTCCTTATGTGCATTTGACATGGATTAGCGTTTTCTTCACGATTCTAGCCAGTGGGTCAGGAGCATCTTTGTCTTGTTGATTCCATCGGCTTCGGTTGCGACAGGGGGCTTAGGGAGATTCGCCATGGGGCTGACCTTTGACATTTACCCCGCAGCTAAGCAGAGTTAGCTAAAAGCCAGCCGCCTACTACCCCAAATCTGCCTGGAATGGCGTCTTAAAGTTGCCCTGATTATGTATAACAAGTAATGCGTAAATTTTTAAATTGGCTAATGGTCAGATTGGTGCCCTCCTTTTCTATTAACATTTGTTTGAATCATTTAGCCCTGGAATTCGCAAGTTTTCATTTTAGGTACATTAATAGTGTTTTGTTGATAGTTTAGAGACCTACCTTAAATTTTAGATTACTCTTAACTTCTCGTAAGGTGGTACAATGGACCAAGAATAGAAAATAAATAGAATGCTAGTTATTAAAATACCATTCAAAAGATGTGATGAGTTGTAAGGAAGAGAACTTCGGAAGATCATCCTCTGTGTAGTTGGTGGGTTAAAGAAGTTTTAGTTTTTTTTTTTTTCCCCAGCAATTTTGTGGTTTGGGTTTGAATTTTATGTACTGTTAACAGGAAGAGCTTAGGCTTTGGTGTTAGAGATGAGGGTTTAAGCCCTGGCACTATTACTTTTTCAACTGAGCCGTCTTAAAGGACTCAGCAAAACTAGGAGTATCCTCATCTTTATCTTGTTAAATGAGGCCAGTGATCCTTGCCTGGTAGGGTTGGTGTGGGGATGAAATGAGATGTACAAGTACTGTGCAGATTGTAAAACTACTGATGAGTTGGTACAAATCCTAAGATCTTAAGGAGAGAGGAGCCACCAAGGCCATTTTCAGCTGCTGAGGAGGCTGAGGTGGGAGGATCTCTTGAGCCTGGGAGGTTGAGGCTGCAGTGAGCCATGATGGCAACACTGCACTTCAGCCTTGGAGACAGAGTCTTGGTCTGTCTTAAGAAAAGGGGGGCGGGGGCATTTTCTTAACTTTGGGTAGCAGTGCAACCCGACTCTTTGGATCTAGTAAGGGTTTTTATTATTTTTAGCTCACCTGAAGAGTTTCTTCAGTCAGCCTCCACTCTCATCACTCCTTTACAACCCAACACTTCTATATACATTTGTACTACACTGGTTTTCAGTCAATACTTTACAGACTTGTAAAAAATGTTTACATCACTTTAGAAATTTTTCTTTCTTTCTTTTTTTTGAGATGGAGTTTTTGCTCTTGTTGTCCAGACTGGAGTGCAATGTCATGACCTCGGCTCACTACAACCTCTGCCTCCCGGGTTCAAGTGATTCTCCTGCCTCAACCTCCCGAGTAGCTGGGATAACAGGCGCCCACCATGCCTAGCTAATTTTTGTATTTTAAGTAGAGATGGGGTTTCACCATGTTGGCCAGGCTGATCTCGAACTCCTGACCTCAGGTCATCCACTTGCCTCGGCCTCCCAAAGTGCTGGGATTACAGGCATGAGCCAAGTATTTTCAACTAGATGAATTCTGCAAAGGTGAAAAGGAGAAAATGCCACACTTTAAATAGTTTTTCATGGCAATTGAACTACTTTAATTTTCCATTTTATTTTCCTTTGACACTCCTGCTTTTAAGCCATCTCCTCCCTTGGAGCATACAAATCAGCAGCAGCCGGGATTTAGCTACTTGGATGCTTTAATTCTTCCCTCCAAAATGATCTGAGTGGGAATGACCTTAATGAGGGGTGTGCTCTAAAGGTGAGCTGTGCTTCTCCAGGCAGTAGATTGAGAAAAGTATAGGAGGATGTTTGGTTTGAGGGAGTTGCAGAGGAAGGGCACATTGTTCTTTTACTTATTTACAGTAAATGGGAATTTCAGCACAGGAGCTTTATTAAGTATATTTAAGTTGTTGGACTCCTTAAAGTGCGGACTCAATTTCCAGAGAAAACTATTAGTTAATGTGATAAATGCAGTCTTTCTGCTGAAATATATTTGTTATTGAAAAGGCAAAAAAGAAATCACCTCATTTAGTATTTTTTCGTAAGAGCCTAGTATGTATCCACCCAAACTGCCAAACTTTATTTGGCTGTCTTTGGTAAGGGCCGTGAAAAATAAATATTAATTAGGCCCTAAAATTTACAGATTAGGCCATGGGCCTGATAAAAACCCAGTAATTGGATGAAAAACATACCAGCTCTACTTTTCAATTTACTCTTTTTTTTTTTTTTTTGAGATGGAGTCCTGCTCTGTCACCCAGGCTGAAGTGCAGTGGAGCGATCTCCGCTCACTGCAACCTCTGCCTTCTAGGTTCAAGCGTTTCTCCTGCCTCAGCCTTCTGCATAGCTGGGATTACAAGCAAGCGCTGCCGCGCCCAGCTGTTCATTTTATTCTTCATCTGGCATTCTTTGAATGTAAGGGGATTTTTTTGTGGGTAATGCTTTTACTGGTTACTGTTCATGAAAATTTTGAATGCAGTTGGTCATATCTAGTATAAAGCCCTGTGTTCAGATGCTCCTGCTGATGGAGAGGAGTAAAAGTGTGGACCTTCCATTTTTCTGCACCGCATCTGAGATACTAAAGCAAAAATTCAGCATGGCCAGACAATGCTGAGAAACCTTAAGACCCACCAGTGTGTCTAGATCCTACCCTCTTAATTTCATTCAGAGGTCATTTTGCTTATTACCAATATATGTAAACCTTTTAGTAGCTTTTGATAGCTATGAGAAACAATAGAAAAAGTAGTGTTAATATCAGTACCAGTTAAGTTATTTACTGGCTTGGGAACTTACTGCTATATCCTGAAAAGTATTCTTTTTTTGCTTTTTTGTTTCTTGAGACAGGGTCTTGCTCTGCCACCCAGGCTGGGGTGCAGTGACACAATCATAGCTCACGGCAGCCTCAAATTCCTGGGCTCAAGCAATCCTCTTGCCTCAGCCTCCCAAGTAGCTGGAACTACAAGCACGTGCCACCATGCCTGACTAATTTTAATTTTTTTTTTTTTTTTTTGTAGAGATGCAGGTCTCTCTATGTTACCCAGGCTGGTCTTGAACTCCTGAGGTCAGGGAGGAATCCCCCACCTCAGCCTTGCAAAATGCTGGGATTACAGGTGTGAGCCACGGGGGCCCGGCCTGAATAAGTATTCTTATTTTAAGAAAATCTATTTGTAAAATGAGTTTGGGTGTGATTATTCATGTATGAAAAGATTCTCTTCTTATCCCTTAATGGTTCTCTAAAATAGTGATGTCATTTCTTTTTATAAATTGAGACCCGTGTCTGCAAAAATGATTAAATATTGAGATAACATTGGTAAATGGAGCAGGGCAAGTGGTGCTGGCCAGTAGAATTTTGGGTGACTTTTGTTTTTTAGAGTTGTTTACAGGATAGATTAATATGTTTTTCATTCAAATCAATGTGCTTTTCATTCTTATTTTCTATTTAGTGCATCTAAGTGGCATTCTGATTCACATTATTGATAAGACTGATTTCCTAGAGTTGTTCTTCACTGGATGACAGCAGTCGTATGTCTAGGGAATGTGAATGAACCGCTGCCTGGAGGAGTAAGTCACACAGTAAAAGAAAGTGTAGGCATACCTCGGATATACTGTGAGTTTAGTTCCAGACTACTGAAATAAAACAAGTACAGTAAAGCAAGTAACACGAATATTTTGGTTTCCTAGTGCACATAAAAGTTACGTTTACACTATACTGTAGTCTGTTAAGTGTACAGTAGCATTACGTCTTAGAAAATACGTACCTTATTTAAAAAATACTTTATGGCTAAAAAATGCTAACAAGCATCGGAGCCTTCTGCGAGTCATAACCTCTTTGCTGGTTGGGGATCTTACCTCCATGTTACTCCACGTTGATAGCTGTTGACTGATCAGGTTGATGATTGCTAAAGGTTGGGATGGCTGTGGCAGTTTCTTAAAATAAGACAACAAGGAAGTTTGTTGCATCAGTTAATGCTTGTTTTCAAGAAAGATTTCTCTGTAGCATGCAATGCTGTTTGATAGCATTTTACCCAAAGCAGAATTTATTTCAAAATTGGAACCAGTCCTCTTAAACCCTGCTGCTGCTCAAGTAAGTTTATGTAAACTCAAGTAAGTTTTTGTAATTTTCTAAATTGTTGGTGTCATTTCAACAGTATTCATAGCATCTTCACCAGGACTAGATTCCATCTCAAAAAAACCACTTTTTTTGCTTATCCATAAGAAGCATCTCTTTATCCATTAGTTTGATCATGAAATTACAGCAGTTGTCACATCTTCAGGCTCTACTTCTAATTCTAGTTCTCTTGCTGTTTCTACCACATCTAAGGTTACTTCTTCCTCCAAAGTCTCGAACCCCTCAAAGTTTTCCACGAGGGTTGGAATCACTGTCTTCCTAACTCCTGTTAATATTGATATTTTGACCTCTTCCCGTGAATCATAACTGTTCTTACTGGTACCTAGAATGGTGACTCCTTTCCAGGAGGTTTTCAGTTTACTTTGCCCAGATCCAGCAGAGAAATCAGTCTATGGCATTGATGGCTTTGTGAAATATATTTCTTTTTTTTTTTTTTTTTTTTTGAGACGGAGTCTCGCTCTGTCGCCCAGGCTGGAGTGCAGTGGCGGGATCTCGGCTCACTGCAAGCTCCGCCTCCCGGGTTCACGCCATTCTCCTGCCTCAGCCTCCCAAGTAGCTGGGACCACAGGCGCCCGCCACTACGCCCGGCTAATTTTTTGTATTTTTAGTAGAGACGGGGTTTCACCGTTTTAGCCGGGATGGTCTCGATCTCCTGACCTCGTGATCCGCCCGCCTCGGCCTCCCAAAGGAAATATATTTCTTAAATGAAAGACTGGCAAATCGAAAATACTCCTTGATCCATGGGAAGCAGAATGGATGTTGTTAGTAGACATTAAAACAACATTAACTTCTTTCTGCACCTCCATCAAAGCCCATGGGTGACCAGGTGCGTTGTCAATGAGCAGTAATATCTTCAAATCTTTTTTTCTGAGCAATAGGTCTTCACAGTGGGCTTAAAATACTTAGTAAACCATGCTGTAAACAGATGTGTGGTAGGCAGAGTAGATTTAGTATAATTCTTTTTTTAATTGTAATTTTTTTAATTGGAAAACAAATACACAACTTGGAATGGATTTGAGGCAAATTGTGCCATAAGCACATTTTCTTTAAGTGGCTAAACAAAGTTTAAAAAGCAAGTAACAGTAAAAGAAAATGTTTCTGGTACAGGACCAGCAGTACAGAAAAAACAGTGTGTGAGGTACCTGGGAGTACCTGGATAATACACCCATTCTGCAGTAGTGCAACTTTTAAGTACATATTGTTGGCTGTCCGTAGTCCACACAGAGTTACAACTCCATACTTCAACACCATGCTGACAGTTCCTAAAGAAAACTACTTTAAAAAAAGGCATAACCCGGATGTTCCCTTATTTGACCAACTCCACCTAAGTTTAGATGTGCAGAAGGGCTTAGATATATCCGGAGTAAGCCACAGGCAACATGTTACTTCATCAGTTTTCTAAAATAAGGTTTCAGGGCAATGACAGTAAGGGAAGAACACATGGAGGAATGAAGTCCTGATTACCATACATGCATATTTTTTTTTGACAGTAGGGAGAAGCCTTTTACAGATAAGTTACAAACAAAAGGCAAATAAACAGTTTTGTGCAAGAAATTTAACACATTCTGTACAAGGTCTTCATTATGCTGTCATCATTTGTACAAACTCATAGTTTACTTGACCATCACCATCAGGATCTGCTTCCCTGATCATTTAATCAACTTCTTCATCTGTTAACTTCACTCCAAGGTTTGTCATCACATGGTGAAGTTCTACACCACTAATATAGCCATTGCCATCCTTATCAAACACACAGAATGTTTCTCTAATTTCTTCTTCACTGTCTGTGTCTTTCATTTTTCTTGCCATCATTGTCAGAAATTCAGGGAAGTCAATTGTGCCATTACCATCAGCATCTACTTCATTAATCATGTCCTGTAACTCTGCTTCTGTGGGATTCTGCCTGAGACCTCATTACAGTTCCTAGTTTCTTTGTTGTTATAGTTCCATCACCATCTTTGTCAAATAGTGAAAAAACTTCTTTGAATTCTACAATCTGCTCCTCAGTCAGTTGGTCAGCCATGCTGCAAGTGCTACTGGTTTCCGAGACGCAACCACACAACCACTCTGCTCGCTCACTTGCTCCACTTGGACTGATTTAGTGTCATTCTTCAGGGCCCTAGGATTTTCAAAATGGTAAATGAGTATGGGTCCTAGGATTTTCAGAATGGTAAATGAGTATGGGTCCTAGGATTTTCAGAATGGTAAATGAATATTGGCCTCAACGTAAAGTCACCTTGCATTAGCCCATAACAAGAGAGTCAGCTTGCCCCTTGAAGCTTTGAAGCCAAGCAATGACATCTCCCCTCTAGCTATGAAAGTCCTAGATGGCTTTTCAAATAGAAGGCTGTTTTGCCTACATTGAAAATGTGTTGTTTAGTGTAGCCACCCACCTTCATCAGTTATCTTGCTGCAGCTTCTACATCAGCACTTGCTTTTTTACCTCGTGTTTTTATTTTATTATTATTTTTTATCAGCAATAAGGCTGTTTCATTTTCTTGACGTTCATGGGTTTGCTGGAGTAGCACTTTTAATTTTCTTCAAGAACTTTTCCTTTGCATTTGCAATTTGGGTAACTGTTGAGTGCAAGAGGCCTAGCTTCTGGCTTATCTCAGGTTTTGATGTGTCTTCGTCACTAAGCTTAATCATTTCTAACTTTTGCTTTCAAGGGAGAGACCTGTTACTTTCACTTGGAGAATAGGGAGGCTTGGGGTGGGGGCAGGACTGTGGAGGAAGTCAAGTTTGCTGTCTTCTATGGTTGTGGTTTGTGGCACAACAAAACAATTATACTAGTAATACCAAAGATCACTGATCATAGATCATGATGACAGATATAAGAATAATGAAAAAGTTTGAAATATTGTGTGAGAATTACCAAAATGTAACATAGAGACATGAAGGGAGCACATGCTGTTAGAAGATGGTACTGATACACTTACTCAACTCAGGGCTGCTTCCAACCTTCAATTTGTAAAAAAACCAGAAAACCTCAGGATCCACAAAGTATCATCAAATGAGGTATGCCTTTATATTTTTAACTCCTAGTTCTCTGAGTATCATAGATCAAAAACTATTAGGAAACAAGTTATTTTTGCACATATAAGGATTCTAGACTCTCCTCCAGATTGCAAAATCTGTGTCAAGAAAGAATATTAGTTTCTCTTTACTTTGCTTCCTCCCCTCCCCTTCCATCCCCTCCTCCCCTTCCCCTCCTCCCCTCCCCCTCCTCCCCTGCCCCGCCTCCCCTCCCCTCTCTTTTCTTTTCTTTTCCTTTCCTTTCCTTTCCCTTTCCCTTTCCCTTTCCCTTTCCTTTTCCCTTTCCCTTTCCCTTTCCCTTCCCTTTCCTTTCTCCTGTCCTGTCCTGTCTTTTTTATCAGAGTCTCCCTCTGTTGCCCAAGTGAGTGCAGTGGCACCGTCATGCCTCACTGCAGCCTCAAACCCCTGGGTTCAAGTAATTCTTCTGTCTCACCCTCCTGAGTAGCTGGGACTCTTGGTGTGTGTCATTATGTCCAGCTATTTTTTTAGTTATTTGTAGAGATTGAGTCCAGCTTTCTTGCCCAGGCCAGTTGTGAACTCCTGGGCTCAAGTGATCCGCCTGCCTTGGCTTTCCCAAATGCTGGGATTCCAGGTGTGAGCCACCATGCCTGGCCTGCTTTCTTATTCCCGAAAACAAGAGACTATAAATGTGCATCATGGCTAGGGAACAAGAGTTAACCTCTCCACAATTGTACTGTCATTCAGAAAGCTAATGTTTGCTACTTTCATATTTTATACAGGTAGTAAGCATTAATAATGTCTTTCATCTTTGAGTGGATCTACAATGGCTTCAGCAGTGTGCTCCAGTTCCTAGGTAAAGCCATTTCCTTGAAATACAGGTTTCAAAGTTTGTGCCTTTCCCTCAGTAATTTAACTACAAATAGGCTTTGGTCTGTAGAGAGCAAATGTGTTAACAATTTTTTTCTCTTTTAGGACTGTACAAGAAATCTGGAAAACTTGTATTCTTAGGTTTGGATAATGCAGGCAAAACCACTCTTCTTCACATGCTCAAAGATGACAGATTGGGCCAACATGTTCCAACACTACATCCGAGTAGGTTTGAAAATATCAGGTGACCTTTTGATCTTTAAAGGTCAGTGTTAGGCGTGGAGGATGAATCCCTAGTTGGTGGAGTTCTTTTATTAACTGAAGTCCCAAAAGCCAACTCATACGAGAAAGTTCCCTGTAAGACACACTCAGGTTATGTACTTTCAGATCTAAACCTCTGGAACTTTGTCATTATCTGTTGTCACTGGTCCTGTAAAGGGACACCTCTCCTATACCTACTTCTAAGAAGTGGAAAATAGCTTGGAAGAAAAGAAACCTTTGGCTTTTAGAATAGTTTAAGAACATTTCACCCTTGTATTCCTTTTCTTTGTTGGGAGTGGGGCGTTGCCTGGGCTGGTCTCAAAAATCCTGGGCTCAGATTATCCTCCTGCCCTCAGCCTCCTGAGTAGCTGGAACTACAGGCGGGTACCACCACACTCAACTTCTTGTATCTTTTTCTTTACAAGATGAAAGCATTGATATTGGCTTATAGTACTAGTAGTTGGGGGTTGTTGAGTTGACAAGTTTTTTTCTTCTTTTTAAACAATTTTTCAGCATCAGAAGAGCTAACAATTGCTGGAATGACCTTTACAACTTTTGATCTTGGTGGGCACGAGCAAGGTAAGTGATGACTCAGTGGAAAGCATGTTTATTGACTTATTTTTTTTGTGCCTCCCAGCTCCTTTTAAAAGCAGTGTGTCATTTTTACCTTTTAAATTACTTACATTTTAGAATTAGGATCTTATTACTTTAGTGAAGTTGTTTTATTCATTTATTTTTTTAAGTAATTTCAAACTTGTCAAAAGTTGCATTAAATAATACACAGAAGTCCCCTTCAATATTACCCTATTGAGCTGGGATAAAGTTAGCCATAATGTATAACTATTCATGAACTTTTAAGTATTTGCCTGATATAGCCAAACTCAACTCAAATCTTGACTGAAAATTTTTACAAAGCAGGACAGCATCTTGCCATTTTAATCTTTACTACATTTTTACTTATTAATGTAATTTACCTTGTAACTGGAAAATATGTTAAAAGATATATGTATTGCTTCAACAAGAGTAATTATTTCATCATTTTAACTAGGCTTGCCCTAAGCCAGTATATTTTCTTCTATACCTTTTGCTCAAATTTGTTAGTCTCCTCCTCCCTACATAATACATATTAATGCTTATTTTTTATGAACTGTTTGTGAGCATATCATGCCCCTTTACTCTTTAATACTTTAGTGCCTCTTCTTTATATAATACATATTAATGCTTGTTTTTAATGAAGTGTTGGTGAGCATATCATGCCCCTTTACTCTTTAATACTTTAGTGCCATTTTCTAAGAACAAAGATATTTCCTTGTATATAATCATAATAGTTATCAAATCCAGGAAGTTTTATTTTTATCCACTCTGTATTTCCTTTTTTTTTTGGTCAGTTGTCCTGATAATCTCTTTTATACCATTTTTTTCATCTTGACCAGGTATACGGTATCATATATCTAGTTATGAAGTCATTTTTGCATCCTTTATTCAATGGAGTGAAAGTATGTAGGAAATTAAATATTTATAAGTAATTTCAGACTTGTCAAAAGTTGCAAAAGTAATACAGTGACTATGTGTGATTACTCTGATACAAGTTGATATTTTGTATATTCTATCCATTTCAGACAGTTGGTGGAACATTTCCTTCTACCTTTTTGCTTTCCTCAGAAGTGCTTTTTGCCTACTCAGGCTATGTCTTTGGTTTCCAGATTCCTATCAGGTGTTTAGAGACATACAGAGTGTCATCTTTGTCTGATGGGCACTCAGTTCACATTTGACAAGACCGTAGGTATAGGAGTAAAACATTTAAGATGTGAGAATAAATATTCTGGGAAAGTAGGGAAAAGGAACTATTGAGATTCTGTCAGATTTACTTACTTGTTATTACACTGAGTGGAGAAGTCTTGTTTTGAAACATTAGGTTGAGCTAATACCGTTTTTTTCTTTTTTTTGAGATGGGGTCTTGCTCTGTTGCCCAGGCTGGAGTGCAGTGGCACAATTTTGGCATACTGCAACCTCTACTTCCTGGGCTCAAGCAATCCTCCCACCTGTTTTTTGTAGAGACTGGGTTTCCGCCATGTTGCCCAGGCTGGTCTTCAACTCCTGAGCTCAGGTGATCCACCTGCCTCAGCCTCCCAAAGTGCTGGGATTATGGGCGTGAGCCACTGTGCCCAGCCTAATACAGTTTTTAAAAAATGTATAGTAAAATATAACATTGGTCATTTCTAGTTGTTAAGCCTAATAATTTTATAGTCAGTGATTTCATTAACATATAATTACATTTTAATTAATTTATTTAATATTTATGCCCTGAAAAATCATGTATATTATGATCATAATCACATAAAATACCAGTAAAGAAAAGAGGCTGGAAGAAAATATCAAAATATTGACAAGGGGTGTGTTTTGATAGAGGGATTAGAAATGATTTTGTTTCCTTTTTTTCTGTAAGGAGCTTGTATTTTTTTCATTTGGGTAAGAATGGGTATATGGTGTCCTTTCTGCTGCTTCCACAAAAGGATTTGTAACTGCTTACAAATTTAAATTCAGAGCAAGATAAGACTGAACCTAGACCATCTGGAGAATGTAGAAGGACCAGACGCCAGATGGTTTTATATACCTGAACTGGGAATTGTAGATTGTTTGGTGTGATAAATTTAGGTTTCAGGTTTTGTTAAAAGTAAGAAGGGAAATGTATTGATGTAATTAGTTTTGTTTATTTGACTGAGGAAAATCTACTTAACAAAAACACTTTTACATAATAACCTAGCCACCATTTTATAAAAGTTACTAAAGTACTGTACATCTGGAGGTTTCCTTTTTTTTTTTTTGTATAACTTAAAAATTTTAACTTATAAAAGGAGAGCAAGTTCGATGTAACAAAATCAGTATAGAACTACGGAAAGTAAAATGGAAAGTTCCTTCAACCTCTTTTTCCTAGCTCCACTCTTTAAAGGTAACCATTATTAACTGATGTAGAGATGGTTCGTTATTCATTCTATTGCAAGGGCTAGAAATTAATGGCTTAGAAATGATAGTACAATTAAATCACTGCTTCCCAGCCTTTATCGTTTCATGTCACAAGCAAAAAACCAAGTAATATTTATAAGGCATGCTGGGTTAAATATGGTAGGTTGAGATAACTGGCCTGGGGCCTTGAACCACTTGTCAGGCCTAGTCTCCCTAAGGGCTGAGCAGAGGAATGTGTCAAGACGCCTACACACAAGTTGGCTAGAAACTAACTGGGACTAAAGTTACATGGACAAGTAATTTGTATCCTGATGTTTTAACTCAGAGGTTGCAAACTAGACTTGGCCCCAGGGGCAAGGCAAGTCATTTAAGTGAGTAAAATTGGCTGACTGTAAGACAGCAGGGAAATTTTGTCAAGCAAAAGTGTTCAGACATCATCTGAAGGGGCAGCCACTGCTTAGTTCCTGCTGATAATTGTCACGTGGATAAGTAGGCATGGGATTGCCAGATGTTGCAGTTTTTCAAAAAAAGCGGAAACTCTGATTTTCAAATTTACAAAAATCAGGTTCAGCTCATGGACCATCAGTTTGCATCCTCTGTTCTGAATTAATACTGGCCAGAACTTGGAGAAATCCATAGAGTCTAATCTTACTGAAACCCGACCAAGATTTGTCCATTTTATAGACCATTAGGTTATTCATTTTCACAATGTATATTTTTTACTCATGCAACTACAAACTTTGTTTTTTAGCACGTCGCGTTTGGAAAAATTATCTCCCAGCAATTAATGGGATTGTCTTTCTGGTGGACTGTGCAGATCATTCTCGCCTCGTGGAATCCAAAGTTGAGCTTAATGTATGTTTTGTCCTTTAATGTGTATTTTAATGTATATTTTGTTCTTTTTTGGCCTCTATTTTTTTTTAAGGAATATAGCTCAGTAGTGCCAATAATTAGTCATTCCAGTTAACATTTGGCAAAAAGACCTAGTTGCAGGAGGAAAATGTTTTAAATCTAAGACATTGCTTTTCAATGTCCTGAGGAAACTCAGCTCAAACTTAAATAAATTAACTGTTGTTTCTATCATACAGTGATTATATGGCCAAGTTTGCTCAGGATACTCCTCATTTATGCCTGTTGTCCCAGCATAATTAATAGTATTCTGTTTCACGTGTCATGAACAGTAATTCTGTTTTTTTTTTTTTTTTTTTTTTTTTTTTGACGGAGTCTTGCTCTGTTGCCCAGGTTGGAGTGCAGTGGCGCAATCTTGGCTTACTGCAACCTCCACCTCCTGGGTTCGAGGGATTCTTCTGCTTCAGCCTCCCGAGTAGCTGGGACTACAGGCACGTGCCACCACGCCCGGCTAGTTTTTTGTATTTTTAGTAGCGACGGAGTTTCACCATGTTAGTCAGGTTGGTCTTGATCTCCTGACCTCATGATCCACCCGCCTTGGCCTCCCAAAGTGCTGGGATTACAGGCATGAGCCACCGCGCCTGGCCCATGAACAGTAATTCTTTATAAGTAGTGTTGGCATAGTGAAAGCCTAAAAGCGATATTAGAGTTCTTTACATTTTTGAATCTGCATTCTCAGCTTGTGCCTACCCACCCTCCCACTGAATGACTTGCCAGACCTTCATGGTCTGTTCTCAGTCTTCAGTTTTGGTTGCATACATCCTTTGATACTATTAAGGACTCACTTCAAGTTTTCTCCTTTGTCAACATTGCATTTTCTCATGGCTTGATGGTTTCTATACTATTGGCTTTGTTATCCCTACTCCTTTACCCTATATCTCTTCTTTCTCTTTGATTTATAACTCCTTGCATTCTTGTTTCTGGCAACTTGAACCTGTCTTGAATTTATTTCTAAGTATGTTTCTCACATCTATAGCTCCAGCCTCATGTAGAATTGCCTGCCACGCAGTCTTTACCTTGCTTTTTTTTTTTTTTTTTAAACAGAATCTTCCTCTGTGGCCCAGGCTGGAGTCCAATGGTGCAATCACGGCTCACTGTAACCTCCAGACTTCTGGGCTCAAGCGATATTCCTGCCTCAGCCTCCCAAGTAGCTAGGACTACAGGCATACACCACCACACCCAGCTAATTTTTTTTAAAAAAGTGTTTTTGTAGAGACAGGGTCTCATTATGTTGCCCAGGCTTGTCTCAGTCTCCTGGCTTCAGGTGATCCTCTGCCTCGGCCTCATGAGGTGCTGGGATTACAGGCATGAGCCACCATGCATGGTCTCCATTCTCTTTGTTTAAACTCCTCTTTTCACTCTTGATTTTGGAGCTACCTCTCTGGCTGATACTTCTGTCTCTTTGAGAAGCACTAGTTCTTCTGGTTAGTCCTTAAATGTTGGTGTTCTCCAGAGTACTTTCTCCTAGGCTGGTCCCATCTACTCCCTTCATTTGGCACCTACATGTCAGTGACTCTCAAATGCATTTCTCTCCTCTAGACCTCTCCTGAGCTCTAATCTCATACCTAATCCTGCCTACTCTCGACAACTCCTACTACTGATTCTGTTTTCCTAGAATGGAACTATTTGTCTTTCCCACCCACCACCTACCTGGACATGCAGTCCACAAATCTGTGAATTAATATAAATCCTACCATGACCCTGATATGCACCATAATGCTAGAAGGAACTTTCTCAGACTTAATTGCCCTACTTAATATCCTTTGATAGTTCTCTATCATTTTCAGGATAAAATCTATAAATCTTTTGCATAGCACATAGGATCATTCATGATCCTCCCTCTGTTTCTTTTTACTGCCTACCTTGAACTATATTCCAAACAAACAACTTAGCCATCCTTGAATATGCACAAGTAGCTACTGCCTGGCTTTTTCACCTGTACCTCTCCTCAACCCCTCGCTTTGTCGGCAAATTTTAAAATGTTCTATAAGAGACCTCAGAGTTCAGATATGACTGCTTCTGGTAAGCCTCCCTTGACCTCTGAGACTGTGTTAGACTCCCACCTTACCAATGTCTGTTGTCTTTATTGATTTTTTTATAGTTCTCTCTCATCAGACTATGAACTAACATGATAGGGACTGTGTCTTATTTCTTTGCAAAACCCCTGCACCTAGCAAAGCATTAGACACATTAGGTACTTTGTTGTTGCTTAATGAATGAAGGACATTCTTATTCTAATTTTGTGTAACATTTCCTGGAATTCCAGATGGTCAAAGTACATTCCTCTTTATCTCTTTAACTCTGCTTTCCCCGCTAGCTTTCCTATTGGTGACAACTAGATTCCCAGGCTTGAAATCAGTGGCAGTTTTGACTCATTTGTCTTTTTTAAATTTTTTTTTTAATCATTTAGACATTGGTCTCTTCAATTCTTTCTTCAAAATGCCTCCTGCAGTATTCATTGAATGCTCTACCTTAAGCTAGATCATGATCTCTTACATGAACACCACAGATAGATACTATTTGTGAATTCATTATACTGAAAAATAAGATTTTATTCACTAACTTCTGGATTTGTGGTCTTTTAGGATATATTGCAGCTCACTTCTCACACTGGCCCCTAATGTGAGTCATCTCTTCTCATCCATTTACTTTGTCGCTGCATGTCTATCTAAATGCTTGAATCCAGCCATGCAGTACTGTGTGGCTTCCTGAATTATTGTCCTAATGCAAAGCCGTTGTTTATGTTCTTACTTCTCCTTTACACCTATCCAAACCCTGCCCTTCCTTTAGAGCCCTGTTTAGGTTCCAGATCTTTTCTAAGACTTTGCTCAAGCCCAAAATTGCCATTTTATTTCCCTGAACTTGTCTTAATGTTAATATTCAGTTCCCATTCATTGTGACACTTATCCACTATATTGTGTTCTTACTTGGCTTTGTTAACATAAATGTGGCTGGGCGTGGTGGCTCATGCCTGTAATTCCAGCATTTTGGGATGCTGAGGTTGGCAGATTACTTGAGGGGCAGGAGTTTGAGACCAGCCTGGCCAACATGGTAAAACTCCATCTCTACTAAAAAAATACAAAAATTAGCCAGGCGTGGTAGCACATGCCTGTAGTCCCAGCTACTCAGGAGGCTGAGGTGGGAGAATCGCTTGAACCTGGAAGTCACAGGTTGCAGTGAGCTGAGATTAAGAAAAAAGAAAAAAAACATAATGTGAACATAGAGTGAGGATTTTTTTGAGGACAGGAATGTGCTTCCTTTTGTATCCTCAGTGCCTGAGATAGTTACCCTTCCTACTTTATTCCTCTCAATGCCTGAGAGAGTTCTTCGCACACAATGGGACTTGGTGAATACTTGGGGAATTCCTGTAGTCATCTTTGAGGCTCTGTAGCCAGAGCATTCATTCTTATAGGACTTTGCTGAGGGACATCCTGAGGATAGTTTGTGGCTGAGCAGATTAGCTCAAAAGTTAATATTGGGGCAGTTCTGCTGCCTTGTAAATAAATAGAATAAAGTTGCAACTGTTTCGAGGCACTTAGGAGATTTTTACTTAATGTCATGGGTGTTATGTAATGTCAAGGTGAATCTTTAATCACTCAGGTATAAAGTTGATCAGATTTTCACTTTACATTAATGCCTTAAAAGATTAGTGGAAGTCAGAATTTTCATTATCTGGTGGGCTTTTGTAGATTCCTCACTTAATTCTTTTTTTTCTTTTTTTCTTTTTTTTCAATCTTTAGGCTTTAATGACTGATGAAACAATATCCAATGTGCCAATCCTTATCTTGGGTAACAAAATTGACAGAACAGATGCAATCAGTGAAGAAAAACTCCGTGAGATATTTGGGCTTTATGGACAGACCACAGGAAAGGTAAGAGAAAAATATTTGGGTTACATATAAAGGACATTAACAGTTTTTAAAACATGATGTTTCGCTATCTAGATTACCCTTTTCTTTTAAAGGCTTAAACAGGCTTAGGATTAGTTTTACTGTGAGTATTTTGTAAGCTCACTAGAGGCAGGAGTGTGTTCTTTTTAACGTTTTAAATGGGATTCATTCATCAGGTATTTGAGGAAGAAGGAAATGGTAGAAAAGGCAGATTTACTCTTCTAAGAGTTTATGATTATCTTTCAAATTTGATTCTGAGAAATTGCTTTTGAAATAGCCCTTTTTAGCCAGAAAATAATTTTTTTTTTGGACTGGAGTTTGCAGGTTATGAAGAAAAATAATCATTTCAATCACTTTCCAAGCATTGAAATCAAAGCACTTGATTATCCTCATTGCTTCTTGCTGAGAGAGGTAGGACTGTTGGCCGCATTTTGCAGAGGAAGAAACAGAGAGTGATTTGTTCAGGTCTACACAGCAAGTCAGTGATAAAACCAGAAAAAGAACTTGAGTCTTCCAAATCAATAGTTTTTACTGTCTTCAATTGGAAGGAGGACTCTTGTAGAAAAGCAGGCTTGAGAGAGAGAAAATCTAGATCAGATAAAGTTAAGCAGGAATCTTACTGTTCTTTTTAGCTTGGGGTTTTGGCATATTTAGTTTTTAAATATCTTCCTTTTCTGTGATAACTTTCTGACTTTTTTACATGGTTCCTTAGTCTCACCTCTTCTTGATTATCGGTTTCTTTATAGAAATACTTCCTTTCTTTCATTTAATTTCTCCTCTTTTGCATCAGTATTAAATACACATGAATTCTTCATTTCTTCAGTGCCACCTGTTATGAGTGTTTATTTCTGCATGCTTTTGTTAATGAGAATGTCCTTATTTTTAAACAGTCCCAGACCTCTTTTCTGCATCAGAGGGCATGCTGGTTCCATAAGTCCCAGTGGCTTTTTTCTTGGTTTGCTGCCATAACTTTACAGATAAATATTGGGTGTTCAAAGCAAATGCTCTTCAGAGAGAGAAAGGCTGGGAATAGAACTGTGCTGCTTATTCTATCCTGAAAACACGAAGCCTGGGGAAGTCATCTATATGGCCTTGACCACATTTCTGTAATTAATACCTACTTAGGTTTGCTTTTAAGGAATGGATAAAATGATTGTAATGATCGTCCTTTCAATCTTTTCCACCACAGAGATGCTAACAGGCCTTTCTTGGTTTTGCCTCCTTTAGGGGAATGTGACCCTGAAGGAGCTGAATGCTCGCCCCATGGAAGTGTTCATGTGCAGTGTGCTCAAGAGGCAAGGTTACGGCGAGGGTTTCCGCTGGCTCTCCCAGTATATTGACTGATGTTTGGACGGTGAAAATAAAAGAGTTTTACTTCTCTGGACTGATCCTATTCACAGCTTCCTCATGAACTTTTCTAATAGAACAAGGAAAGCTCTCCAACCATGTCTGGCGTTGAGAAGCCAAGAGTCTCTGTCAACTCTCTCATTGCCCAGTGGTGACATGTGCTCTTCTCCACACTGTTGGGAGGTAATGCTGCCCCACGTGCTGGTGCAGGTCAGTATCCTGGGACTTGGAAGCTGGCAGGATTTGCCGGGTAAAGCTGTATGCCATCATGGGGCACCTGAAAAGAAAAACACGTCTCACCACTGTGGTTGATTCAAAAGAAAGTGATTCTATTTTTTAAAGAAAGCGTTGTTAATGTAATTGGTATCCCTCCTAACTTTTTGAGTTCACAATTTACTTGGTCCAGAGTTTTCTATTCTTTTTTTTTTTTAAACTAATGAATGACATTTAGATACTTCATAAAATTATGAACAGATATGGAGGCCAGAGCTCATTTGGGTAAACTTACTCCTGCTGAGTTAGCAGGTTGGTGAGAGAAGCTCCCCTGAGCTCACCTGTCTCTCTGACTGCCTTGGAGTAGGTGGCATAACCTTGTGCACAGAGAACTAGAAAAGGGGCAGAACCCCGGCCTTGCAGTTGTGGCAGGTTTCCACTGTGGTAAGCTAGGTTCATTCCTCATCAAGGAATGTGTAGCAGATTGTTCACTGTGGAGGAGTTAATTATAGAATGGGTTATTGTTGTTATTCTTACTCATGAAGTTACAGATTTTAGCCAGTCTTTGCTTTTATACTTTTGTGAAATTTAATTTCTCTCTATAGCACCTTCCTTTTTCGTTTTCAGTTATCAAAAGTGACTTTGACCTCATAAAAGAGTTGAGAACATCTCTCGTGTCACATACTGCAGGTGCATCAGTTACTTTTGCACAGATTCTAGGGGGACATTTTTCTGAATAGGAAGACAGGACAAAGTTAACAGCTTAAGGGCTCTTAATTCTGTGAGTTGAGGACTTAAAAGTATTGTAGCATTTGTTTGGATCCATGAAAAATGTATTCAGTGGGCTTTAAAATTTCCATTTGCAGAATTTGGTCTCTCAGGCTGTTTGGGAGCTCTTTTTTTTACATTTTTTCTCCTTTGACACCTATTTTATTGGTGTTTAAAGTAAAGGTTAACATCTGTAGCTTTTCCAGGTTTTTTTTTTTTTTTTTTTTTTTTTGGTATGAAATTGTCTTTCTCCATTGCAGAAATAAGCTAGGGAAACACTAACCCAAAAACTTTCTGTAGAGCTGTTCCTTTGGAGGCAGCATCACTTATTGGCAGTAAAGACTCAGTATAAAAGCACCGGCATCCCTACTTGGGTGATGGGGATTAATTTTATAGCATTCCATTTTCCTAGTGCCACATGTGAAATTGGATTTTGATGATCTTAATCTATATTCTACCCTTATAATAAAAGATCAAAAGATATATCTCCTATGAACAGATTGGAGATAGGAGATGAAAAGTTGGGAGGATGTCTTTATTCTAATGTGAGGGTAGGGAAAATGTGGATAACATTACTGGGGTGAGGGAGGCATTGTTCTTTAGTTGGAGTTCTCATTCTTATTCTCCAGTACTGACTTGTGGGGAAAGCATACTTTTTCACTGCCAGGTACTGAATGCAGAGGCTCAGTGAAGTATATATGTGGGAAGTGCATGCATTTCGTTTATTAGCAAACATAGCTGGATTAAGACAAAGTTGTTGGTTTGGAAAGGGGTTAAAGCCTTAAGTGAACAAATCTAGCTAACAGTGAATGAACTAGGTAATATAACTTGCATATTTTTAATTTCCTTTGGTTAAAGGTCCCCCATACTTCTCTGTTCGGAGACATGAGAAGTATGATTACTTCAGTGTTAGTTTTCTTAATTTTTTTTTTCCCCTATTTGTCCCTTGTCACTTTGTTGCAAGCTAGAAATCTGTGGGTTATACATAGGGCAGCTCTTTGTGAAAGTGGTTTATTCCACTGGAGAAAGGGGATTGAAAATCAGTTAGAACCAATGTATTTCTTGCCCCACGGAACACTATTCCTATAAGATAGCTGAAAGAAGCTGCTGTGAGGAGCTCAGCTCCAAACACAGGATCAGCACCTTGTATAGGAATTCCCATGAATTATGACTTCTCATTCTGTTTTATCAGAGTGCATATATGTCCTACTTCAGGAAAAGTAAAACAGTCATTTACGAAAGAAAGTCAATCTGTATCCTAAGCATTTTAATAAAAAGTTAAAACAAATACGCTATTTCCTTTTTTTTTTTTCATTGGTTTGTTCTGAGCTCTGAGTTTGAACAATGCCGTTTATTTGGGGAGGCAACCAAAAGTTCCCTGCATAGAGGAAGAGACATTTAGGGTGCGTGTGAGATACTTGAATTTTGCCACCAGGAGGGGGAAAAAGGCTGGGGTACTAGAAGTAATAGATTTAGTACTACTTGAGAGATTTGGAACATGCTGTGGACCCAGGGTTGTTGGTCATCTCTGCAACAGGATGGGGATGGCAGATGTTTGAGCAAAATCTATATTAACATGCTAGCAAGGACTAGTTCTAGTTTAGCTGTGTTTCACTCATTTTACACAGAATTAGAATTGGCCAGGTGTGGTGGCTCACGCTGTAATCCTAGCACTTTGGGAGGCTGAGGTGGGTGGATTGTCTGAGCTCAGGAGTTTGAGACCAGCCTGGGGAACAGGGTGAAACCCCATCACTACTAAAATACAAAAAAATTAGCTGGGCATTGTGGTACATGGAGTAGCTCCCAGCTACTCTGGAGGCTGAGGCGGAGAATCGCTTGAACTAGGAGGTGGAGATTGAAGTGAGCCGAGATCATGCCACTGTACTCCTGCCTGGGTGACAGAGCAAGACTCTCTCTAGCTCAAAAAAAAAAAAAAAAAAAAAATCAATTAAATGCTACATTTGGCAAAATGAGAAAGAAAGAATTTCCTTTACTAGGCTTGTAGGAAGACTGCTTTTACAAAAACCCAAATGAGATCATAAAACTAAAGTACTGGGACAAACAGTGGGAAACAGTGCAATGGGTTCTTTTCAACCAAGTATTAAAGTATTGGAGATATTGCCGGGCGCGGTGGCTCACGTCTGTAATCCTAGCGCTTTGGGAGGCCAAGGCGGGCGGGTCATGAGGTCAGGAGTTCAAGGCCAGCCTGACCAACATGGCAGAGCTCCGTCTCTACTAAAAATACAAAAATTAGCCAGGCACGGTGGGACGCACCTTTAATCCCAGCTACTCAGGAGGCTGAAGCAGGAGAATCGCTTGAATCGGGGAAGCGGAGGTTGCAGTGAGCCGAGATCGCGCCACTGCACTCCAGCCTGGGTGACTCCCATCTCAAAAAAAATAAAAAGTACTGGAGGTGTCCTGTTGTCCTTGTTACTGTGAAAGGATGCCATGGGTTGTATGGGCAAATGAGTTGTTTTGTTTGAGGCAGAGTGGAAAATAAGATTAGGCTCAGTCCATGAGCCTAGCACTCAACAGATCTTACTTTGGCGTTCTGGCTGTGACTTGGGACTTCTTTTTACCATGGTCTGCTGTAAACACAGAAAAACCCAATGCCTAACAGTTCATGCTGGAGTCTTGAGCGTTGAGGGAGAATCACTGGACTCGAGAGAGAAAGTTTGTTTGTTTGTTTGTTTGTTTGTTTTTTGAGTTGGTCTCACTCTGTCGCCCAGGCTGGAGTGCAGTGGTATGAACATAGGTCACTGCAGCCTTGACCTCCTGGGCTTAAGTGATCCTCCCATCTCAGCCTCCCAAGTAGCTTGGGACCACAGGGTTGCACCACCGTGCTCAGCTAGTTTTCAAAATTTTTGTAGAGTTAAGGTCTCATCATGTTGCCCAGGCTGGTCTCAAACTCCTGGGCTCAGGAAATTCTCCTACCTCAGCCTCCCAACGTGCTGGGATTCCAAGTGTGAGCCCCTGTGCTCCACCAAGAGAAAAACTCTTTGATTGCTAGGAAGTTGGGATAAAGAAATTGTGCTGTGATCAAGCCACCTTCTGTGTCATAGAACCAAAAGAAGACCGCCTGCTATGGCAAGATGGCCTAATTTTATTCCTGCCTCATACTATCATGGATAATCGTTTTCCTTTCTCTAGCAGGTTTGTGTCACTGGGAGTACTGGGAGCATTATCCTGTGTTGTGCTGGGGTTATACCAAGCAGTGTTAACTTTATTTAAAGAATTCAGGCAGAAAGATTAGAGAATTTAAGTAGCAATTGTATATGGTAAGCAATACAGTAACCTTAATAAAAATTAATGATGGCCGGGTACGGTGGCTCACGCCTGTAATCCCAGCACTTTGGGAGGCCGAGGCGGGCGGATCACAAGGTCAGGAGATCGAGACCATCCTGGCTAACACGGTGAAACCCCGTCTCTACTAAAAATACAAAAAATTAGCTGGGCGTGGTGGCAGGCGCCTGTAGTCCCAGCGACTGGGGAGGCTGAGGCAGGAGAATAGCGTGAACCCAGGAGGCGGAGTTTGCAGTGAGCGGAGATCGCACCATTGCACTCCAGCCTGGGCGACAGAGCGAGACTCCGTCTCAAAAAAATAAATAAATAAATAAAAAATAATGTGTATTTTATCAATTCAGTGATAAAGCAGACCTTTGTAAACTGTCTAGCTTGTGGTGACTGATTGAGGGTATCATGAAGCTCCGCGCCCCCCCACTCCCCGACATACTCGTTCATCCTCCTCTGTCCTAAAGCGTACTTCTTTGGAAAAGTAGAGCAGTTTATGTTAGTGTACACTAGAGATGGTAAACTATGCCTTGTGGGTCAAATCGGGCCTGCTGCCTGTGTTTGTATGGCCTGTGAGCAAAGAAAGGTTTTTACATATTTAAATGGTTGGAAAAAATATTTAAAGAATGCTATTTTTGGACACAAAAAATTGTATGAAATTAAAATTTCAATGTCTGTATCTTTTTATTGGGACACAGCCACCGCCATTCCTTTAGCTTTTGTATGCAACAGCTGCAGAGTTGACTATTTGAGACAAGTTGTATGGTCCCCCCAAACTGGAACTGTTTCCATTCTGGCCTTCTACAGAAAGTATTTGGACCCTGGCCTAGATAAATCCTGGCTGGTGGTTATGTTATGTGAAATGTGCACACTGTAAAATATAGGCCTGTATGATTAAAATTTTTGATTTCAGCTACTGTTCATAGTCGATTTAAAGGGCAATTTAATTTACAGCAAATCCAGTTTCTCGGAGATTTGTGTTGGGGCTTTGGCAGCAAAAAAAAATCCTAGGAGTAATCTTGAGAGTTCCATGCCCCCTAGTGGATTGCTATAGGGTTTACTTTTAAATTTTCAAAACACTGAATTGGCCAAGGATTTCCTTGGTCCATATTATCCCAAGGGTCAGAGGCTGAAGGTCGCCTAGACCTGGGCAGATGCTCACAGGTACTGTCGTGGCCTGGGCAAATCTAGGCACGTCAGCGCTCATTTCTATTCCCTTTCCCACATTCCAGCAAACGAGACTAGGCTTGAAGGGACCCACCCTCCTCTCCTCTGATTCCTCGTGACGCCGCACTCCTCTTACTCTCCCCGGGGCTCATCCGGGGGAATGGGGCAGATTATGTCCCACCGGTTGGACAAACTAACGAGGGCGGGGAAAGGAAAAAAAAAATCAGAATAGGAAGCCAATCAGAGCTCGGTACAAGCCCAGCCAATCGGGTCGGGTCAATTGGGGCTTAGCCAATCGGGCTCGATGAGGAAGACGTGAGTCAGAGCTTGCGCCTCTCGCTTCCAGCTGTGGGTGGCGCTAGGCAGCTTCAGCCGGACCGGGTAGGGGTCCTCGCTCGCTAGCTTGCTGTTTCTCGGAGAAGCTCCCGAGTGTCCGGCCTAGAGGCCATGAGAAGGCAGTGGGGGTCTGCCATGAGGGCGGCCGAGCAGGCGGGCTGCATGGTGAGCGCCTCCCGGGCCGGACAGCCCGAGGCGGGCCCGTGGAGCTGCAGCGGGGTAATCCTGAGCCGTAGCCCGGGCCTGGTGCTTTGCCACGGGGGCATCTTCGTCCCCTTCCTGCGAGCTGGCAGCGAAGTCCTGACCGCGGCCGGCGCCGTCTTCCTGCCTGGCGACAGTTGCAGGGACGACCTGCGCCTGCACGTGCAGTGGGCCCCAACGGCCGCGGGTCCCGGGGGCGGCGCGGAGCGGGGCCGCCCAGGGCTGTGCACGCCCCAGTGCGCGAGCCTCGAGCCCGGCCCACCTGCCCCGTCCCGCGGGCGTCCCCTGCAGCCCCGGCTTCCTGCTGAGCTGCTGCTGCTGCTGAGCTGCCCGGCCTTCTGGGCCCACTTCGCGCGCCTCTTCGGGGACGAGGCAGCGGAACAGTGGCGCTTCTCGAGCGCGGCGCGGGATGACGAAGTGTCGGAGGACGAGGAGGCGGATCAACTGAGAGCGCTGGGCTGGTTTGCGCTGCTGGGCGTGCGGCTAGGCCAGGAGGAGGTGGAGGAGGAGCGCGGGCCAGCCATGGCGGTGTCGCCTCTCGGGGCCGTGCCCAAGGGTGCGCCATTGCTGGTCTGCGGCTCCCCTTTCGGCGCCTTCTGCCCCGACATCTTTCTCAACACGCTGAGCTGCGGGGTGCTCAGCAACGTGGCCGGCCCACTGCTGCTTACCGACGCACGCTGCCTGCCCGGCACCGAGGGCGGCGGCGTGTTCACCGCGCGGCCCGCGGGGGCGCTGGTGGCGCTGGTGGTGGCGCCGCTCTGTTGGAAGGCCGGCGAATGGGTGGGCTTCACGCTGCTCTGCGCCGCCGCCCCCCTTTTCCGCGCCGCCCGCGACGCGCTTCACCGCCTGCCGCACAGCACCGCTGCCCTGGCCGCCCTTCTGCCGCCAGAGGTGGGCGTCCCGTGGGGTCTGCCCCTCCGAGACTCCGGGCCCCTGTGGGCAGCCGCGGCAGTGTTGGTGGAGTGCGGCACCGTATGGGGCTCCGGAGTGGCTGTGGCACCCCGCCTTGTAGTGACCTGTCGGCACGTGTCCCCTCGGGAAGCAGCCAGGGTCCTGGTGCGCTCCACCACCCCCAAGTAAGCCCGCAGGGCTGACGCCACTTCATCCCTTTCCAGGTCTCAGATCTGGGTCCAGCCCTAATACTCTTGAGTATTGTGCAGGCCTTTCTTGTGTCACGCGGATGCTTTGGGCGTGTAGTGGGTAGAGACCTGGAACCCTCCCCTCATCCTTTATACCCAGAACCCCTGTGGGGAGAATCTGGGGCAAGGTGTCAAGCTCGAAGCAGCTCTGGATTTGGGTACTGTGGGACACCCTGAATCCGGAACAGGGCATCTTTGAGCTCCCCTCAAAGGCTGAGTTTCTTCTGGGCAGCTTCACTGTCTGATAGCCCTGCACGCCATACCCCTCGGTTCTCTGGCCCTTTGAACAGAGATTCCCTAACCCTGCTGCTTCTCCTCTGAAAGTGATAAGGTCCCAGAGGCCCAGGATGGTGCTCTCCTGGGGTAAGGAGATGGGTATGTTAATTTTATCCATCTTTTAGTGCTTAGCCAGAGCTTCCCGTCTGAGTGAAACGTGAGTTTCTACGTAATCAGAAGGTAGGGGGGTGGCCCACGCAGCTGTACATGGTTCAGCCCAGCCTTGCAGCCCAGGCTTTTCCAAATCTCTTCCTGAATCCCCAAGCTTAGCCAGGTGTGGGTAACACTGCCCAGTTTTGCCATAGGTGTCCCCACTGTGGCCTATAGGACAGCCATGACTTTATAGGGAAGACTGATGATGAAGGTTTGCCTATGGTGTGTGGCCCCCACCAGATTCCTTCCACTCCCCCCACATGCCCCTTGCTCCTAAGGAGACTGCCAGGTCTGTTGGAAGCTACCCCTGCAGAGTGTGTAGTAGGACGCCCCTGTCTGATCCCGGGCAAGTCACTTAACCTGTCTAAGCTGCCTCCCCGGGAGTTGACGCTGAATGTCGTGGAACGGAGCCTGTCACGTCGTGTGCTACAGAAGTGTTAGCGTGTACGTAAATAGGGACCCAGAGGAGTGAAACCATGTCATATCTGACCCACCAACTGACGGGATTGTTGTGGGTATCAACGAGGCAGTGAAGGAAAGTGTTGTGTTTGCCTTGGCTCCTCCCACTTTGTTTGGTGTTGGGAATGTTACTGAGCGTCTCTGGGCCTCAGTTATACCACCTAAAATGGAGATAATGCCAGTGCCTAGTTTATAGGGTCGTGAAGACTAAATAAAGTGATGTCCACAAAACACTAACACCAAACCTGGCCCACAGTGCTCACTAAGTGTCAGGTTGATTATTCAGGTACAGGAAGCTTTAGAGAAGTAGCACAGTTTGTCAACCACCTTTGGAGATACCACAGAATGGTTACATGACTTGCCCAGAGTTGCCTGCTGGTCGATTCAGGGCTGATACCCAGATCTTCTGACTTTTACTGTCACTCTCAGCTCCTTGATTTCTCCCAAGTACTGAGGAGTCAGAAAGCTAGCCTGTCATTTGTTTCCCTTGCTCCCAGGAGTGTGGCCATCTGGGGCCGTGTGGTATTTGCCACTCAGGAGACATGTCCCTATGACATAGCAGTGGTGAGCCTGGAGGAGGACCTGGATGATGTCCCCATCCCTGTGCCCGCTGAGCACTTCCATGAAGGTAAAGGACGAAGGGCGCAGCCTGAAGGAGGGCCCCTCTGAGCTAGGGTGGGCCTCAGGAAGGAGAATCAGTGTTGGGCATTCTCATGAAGTCAGGGTAGCATTGGTCAAGGTCCTTGGAGGCCTGCCTCCCTTTTTGTGCTGGTGGGGCACATGGAGTGCCCTGGGAAGGATAATGCTGCACGCCCTTTCCCCGAGTGCCTGCAGCAATGTAGTGTGAGGATGCTGGGCCTTTGGGGTTCCTTAACACTTCAGGCTGGTCAGAGAGGCATGTGGCACTTTCAAGGCTCCAGGGGCACGATTTGGGTAAAAGGCTTTGTGATGCTGCCACATAAGTACTGATGTTGCACTCCATGGAGGCAGTGTGATACAGTGATGAAGGGTCCAGGGGCTCTGGATGGGCATCTTTCCTATGCCACCTATTAGTCCCATGTCCTTGGACAGGCTAGTTAACTATCCTCTGCCTCATTTTCCACGTCTTTGAAATGGGGCTAATGCATCCTATTTCTGGGTGTTGTGAGGGCTGGGTGTGACGTTGCCTGTAAAGCACTTACCCCCATACCCTGCACTTGGAAAAGGAAGGTCATGGCTGCATTATAGCCATCATCACCATTTCTTTTCACGAAGAGACTTCTTAGGAGTTCCAGGAGGAGATGGGTGTGAATTCCACAAACATTTATTGAGCATGTAGGTAGGTGTTAGGAACTCCTAAAAGTCACTGCCCCGCCTGTCCAGGGAACAAGGACTAGGGAACAGCCTGTTGCTCAGAAGTGGTCATGCAGATACAGTGCTAGGAGCTCAGTGGAGTTCTCAGCCTCTTCCAGCCAGGGGACATGGGGAAGGCTCTCTGGAGGCAGGAGTATCTGAGCAGAAACTTGAAGGGTGGAGAGGTTTGGAATGTTTGGAGAGGGTAGGGATGGGAGTTAGGGAGTGTGAGTCCTGCTGTAACACAGGTGTCCCCAGCTTCACCCTCCTTCCTTCCCTGGCAGGCGAGGCTGTGAGTGTGGTGGGCTTTGGCGTCTTTGGCCAGTCTTGCGGGCCCTCGGTGACCTCAGGCATCCTTTCGGCTGTGGTGCAGGTGAATGGCACGCCCGTAATGCTGCAGACCACGTGTGCTGTGCACAGCGGCTCCAGTGGGGGACCCCTCTTCTCCAACCACTCAGGAAACCTCCTTGGTAACCAGCTCTTTGGCCCCCTCCCGCCCTCCCACTTGCCAGAACCTCAGTCCCACCCCATGAGTGCTTGTGGCCAGCCCCAGTGCACCCTCTGTCTGGGAAAATGGTGGGCATTATGAGTGAGCTAGCGAAGGTTTGCAGGCTGTTCTCCTGATGGTGGAGAGGGACGGATGCTGGACTGGGAGGAAAGAGATCTGGGCTCTGGTCCCTTCTCTGCTACTAATCTAATCTGGTTTGATCTGTGAAATTGAGGAGTTGGATTAGTCAAAGCGTCACAGACTCAAAAGCCAACAGAGGCTGGAAAGATAAAGCAAATGAATGAGAAGACAACAGGGAGGGGAGGGGAGGGGTCTAAACTGAAGCGCACTCGACTCAGCTGCTGCAGACTGTGGCCATGAAGGAGGATGGGCCTAACGTTGGCTGGTATTCTAATATTTTCACAAGACATGTAAAGCTTTTTTAAAAAAATACATGTGGCCGTTAAATCGATCAATTTTTAAATTTTGGTAACATTCAGGTTTTTAAAAAACAGTCTGTTTAGCTGTCAAAAAGAAAAAAACATGAGTTCATCTAGAAACCTCCAACTCCAGTCCAGTCTAACTCTCCTTGTTTCTTCTTTCTCCTGTAGTGAAAAACCTTGCTCTTGTTGTCTACAATATGTTTACTTATCTGTTCCATCCTAGTATACAAGTAAAATTGTATTTGCATAACTTTAGTATATTTCCTCTAAATATTTAGTACTTACAAAGAGGAAATATTGGAGCCGTAAGTAATATTTAGAGCCATAAGTCTAGGCCTGGTGTGGTAGCTCGTGCCAGTAATCCCAACACTTCCGGAGGCTGAGGCAAGAGGATCACTTGAAATGGGAGTTCGAGACCAGCCTGGGCAACATAGTGAGACTCTGCCTCTATTTTTATTTAAAAAAATTTTTTTTAATTAAAAAAAAAGAAAGGAAAATACTAAGTCTACCTTGGAGAGGCCTGGCAGATACCACCTCAGCCAAGTGATCAAGGTGAACGTCAGAAGTACTCCATACAGACATCAGATAGCTGAGACACTGGGAAGGACACATGGCTTTTATGGTATTCTTCCCAATAATGTGTAACCTTAAACAATTAAAAGTAATGGCAAAACAATTAAAAGTAATGACAAAAACCGCATTCATTTTTGCACCAACCCAATAGTCATGAGAAAACATTAGGTAGGCCTCAATTGAGGGTCATTCTCTAAAATCACTGACCTGAGCCAGACATGGTGGTATGTGCCTGTAGTCCTGGCTCTGCAGGAATCTGAAGTGGGAAGATCACTTGAGCCCAGGAGTTCAAGGCTGCAGTGAACTATGGTCACCATTACACTTTAGCCTGTGTGACAGAGCGAGACCCATCTCAAAAAAATAAACAGTGTTTATTTAAAAAAAAAAAAAAAAAAGCCAGGTATGGTGGCTCGCACTTGTAATTCTAGCACTTTTGGAGGCCAGGGCGGGAGGATTGCTTGAGTCTGGGAGTTCAAGACCAAGCTGGACAACCATAGTGAGGCCCCATCTCTACAAAATATTTTAGGGAGGCTGAGGCGGGAGAATCACTTGAGCCCAGGAGGTTGAGGTTGCAGTGAGCTATAATCCCACCACTGCACTCTAGCATGGGTGACAGAGCGAGACCTTGCCTCTAAAAAAACAAAAACAAGAACAAAAAAAAAAACTGTAAATAAATAAAATAACCTGCACTTTTAAAAATGTCAAGGCCACGAAAGATAAGGAAAGACTGAGGAACTGACCCAGATTGGAGGAGATTTGGGAGATGCGACAACTAAATGGAATATGGAGTCCTAGACTGGATATTGGAACTGAAAAAGGACATTAGTGGAAAAACTAGTGCAACTCATGTCAATGAGTTCTGTAGTTCACTTAATAACAGTATTCTACCAAGGTATATGTTTTGGTTTTGATAAATATTTTTTGGTGACATTAGATACGAACATAAAGGAAAGCTGGTCAAAGGGTATATAGAATTCTGCAATATTTAGGCAAGACTTCTGTATGTCTGAAATTATCTTTAAAAAACTACACACACATCCATGCACCGAGCAGGCCAAACAAAATATGTCTGTGGGTCTGATTCATTCATTCATTCATTCATTCATTCATTCATTCATTCATTCATTCAACAAGCCTTTGTTGCGCGCCTACTTGGCACAAGGCACTGTTTCAGGTACTGGGGAGACTGCATGAACAAAACCTCAAAGTCCTGCCCTTATGGAGCTGACACTAGGTCGAGAGAAAGATAACAAGTGAAATAAGTGAACTATCTAGTGTGTTAGATTTTGAGAGTGTTAAGGAGAAAACGTAAAGCCAGGAAAGGGTGTGGGCAGCAGGTGTTCATGTCTAGAAGCTCAGCGTCTGTCACCACGTGGGGTGGTATCCAGCCCTACCAGGCCCTGGGGGCTCCAGGGTGGAGATGGTCCTCCTCCCTTCTCCAGCCTTTCTGCCCCCTGGCTCACATCCTCTTTTGCTCTCTGACTCCTCAACAGGCATAATCACCAGCAACACCCGGGACAATAATACGGGGGCCACCTACCCCCACCTGAACTTCAGCATTCCCATCACGGTGCTCCAGCCGGCCCTGCAGCAGTACAGCCAGACCCAAGACCTAGGTGGCCTCCGTGAGCTGGACCGCGCTGCTGAGCCAGTCAGGGTGGTGTGGCGGTTGCAGCGGCCCCTGGCAGAGGCCCCGCGGAGCAAGCTCTGAGGCTGTGTTACCACCTTTGGAAAGAAGAGTGACCTTTTTCTGCTGTAGGAAGTGATGTTGAGGTGACGGTGGCCTCAGGATTCAGGGCCCAGCCCCTGCAGGGGCCCAGGCTGCCTCTCATCTCCACCCACTGACTGCAGACTGGGCTTTGGGCTCTGGGGCAAACTTCTCTTCAGCCCCATGGATCCTTAACCTGGCAGCCCGTTTTGGGGTGCTTTCTTGAGCCCCCAGTTCTCTGTCCCCTAGCACTAGACTCAGCTGTATTGTTTTTCCTTCTGGGGAGCCCACTCCAACTGCACAGAAGTTCTGGGCCTGACAGGTAGATTCCAGCTGGAAGGCAGGCCCGTGCCTGGTTTTGCGTCTGTTCCCCTGAGGGCCATCGTCATCCTGGAGCTTCAATGGGGCCTTGGCTCCTGTCTGCCTCTCAGTCAGAGTCAGGGCTGACAAAGGACTCAGCTTCCTTAGCATCTCAGCAGAAACCTTGCTCTGAAGACCAGAGACAGAAGGGACAGAAACAGGAGTGCCTCCTGCTGTGCCAGGCCCATGGGCAGTGCAGGCAGATCCCTGAAGGTCAGCACTCCTGGGTCTTCATATGCCAACAGGGGCGCTCTTGACACTGTGCCTTCATTTTCCAGCCCACAGCCTGGGTCTCAGGGATCTTGAGGGGTAGAACATGTCTGGTTGGGGCTTGGGAATAAACATGATCTATTGAAAAACCTCTGTATTTATATATCAAATTGTTTCTTTTTTTCAGGAGTTGAACTGGGAATAGGCAAGTACCAGGCAAAGAAACACACCCTTTCCTTTTTTTTTTTTTTTTTTCTTTAGAGCTGTGGTCTTGCTCTCTCACCCAGGCTGGAGTGCAGTGTTGCGATCACAGCTCACTGCAGCCTCAAACTCCTGGGCTCCAGGAGACCTCCTGCCTCAGCCTCCTGAATAGCTGGGACTACAGTCGCGCACCACCACGCCTGGCTAATTTTTTATTTTTGTAGAAATGGGGTATTGCTTTGTTGCCCGTGCTGGCTTCAGCCTTCTGGTTTCAAGCAGTCCTCCTGCCTCAGCTTCCCAAAGTGCTGGGATTACAGGTGTGAGCCACTGTGCCCAACCCAGAAATACACCCTTTCTGTGCTGTTTTCTCAGCAGGGTGTGAGCTCACGGGATACGGTCCTGCCAGACTGGCCCTCATAGCTGGTCATGTGCCAGTCAGAGCTGGGTGGGGCTTGCAGGTCCCGGAAGGTGGTGGTCTTGACCTGGCAGCAGATGCTTAAAGAATGCCTAAGGTGGGTGGCAGTTGGGGAGTTCAAGGGTGAATGAGGCCAGGGCAGCCCCCAGGAGCTGAGGCCAACTCTTTGAGTCAGGACTGTGCCGTGTGCCCAGGGCCTTGCATGTGTGGGCCCTCGAGTGATTTCTACTGGCAGGCTGAAAGCCCTGTGAGGGGCGGCTGTGGGCGGAGGCCACGCAGGAAGAGTGCTTAGGAGTAACTTGTTTCTAACACCTGTGTGCTGAGTGCCAATGCTGGGTGTGGTGTTATGATATATATTGGTTTTCATCCAGCATTCCTGACTCGTAACTCTCATAGTCCTTGTTCCAGTCTTTGTTAGAATACTGGGTATGTTAGGGCTTGGGACAGGCCTCTGACCTCTGGGTATCCTTTCACTAATGTTCGCCCACCTTTTTCACAGTGGGTCCTAAAGACCTTCCCATGAGAGGGTCTCAATCCTAGGGGAAGGAATGTTGATGTCATGAACCTTCCATAAAAACCCAAGAGGACAGGGTTCAGAGAGCTTCTGGATAGCTGAACACCTGGCACTTCCTGGAGTGTGGCGTGCCCAGGGAGGGCACGGAAGCTCTGCACTCCTTCCCCTTCCCTCATTCCTTGCTCTATGTGCATCTCTTCATCTGTATCCTTTGCGATATCCTTTATAATAAACCGGTAAACATAAGTAAGTGTGTCTCTGAGCTCTGTGATCCACTCTAGCAAATTAATTGAACCCAAAAAGGAGGTCGTGGGAACTCAACTTGAAGCCAGTTGGTCAGAAGTTCTGGAGGCCTAGACTTGTGCCTGGTGTGGTTGAGGGGGGCAGTCTTGGAGACTGAACCCTCAACCTGTGGGGTCTGACAATGTCTCTGGGTAGATAGTGTTGGAACTGAATTAGAGGACACCCGGCTGATGTCCACTGCTTTTGGTGGGGAAACCCCACACACATTTGGTCACTGAAGTCTTCTGTGTTGATGATTGTGATGGCATGAGAGTAGAGGGAAAACACGATTTGAGGAGAGTTTTTCCTAAAACACGGGGCAATCACAGAACACTCCTGGGATGGTTGTTCCTCCCTTTACAGATTAGGAATGGGTCCAGAGGTCATGGCTAGTTTAAGAGAAGTTCTACAGTAAGTTAATGGTAGCAGAATCCTAGATCTGAGGTCTGACTTTGCTGTGAGAGGGAGTTGCGGTGGGCGGGGAGGAGGGTTTATTCTTGCACGTGTGGGTACTGATATGGTTTGGGTGTGTCCCCACCCAAATTTTATCTTGAATTGTAACTCCCACAATTCCCACGTGTCATGGGAGGAACTTGTTGGGAGGTAATTGAATCGTGGGGCTGGGTCTTTCCTGTGCTGTTCTTGTGACCGTAATAAGTCTCACTGATCTGATGGTTTTAAAAGTGGGAGTTTCCCTGCACCAGCCCTCTCTTTCTTTGCTTGCCGCCATCCATGTAAGACGTGATCTGCTCCTCCTTGCCTTCCGCCATGATTGGGAGGCCTCCCTAGCCATGTGGAACTGTAAGTCCATTAATTCTCTTTTTCATCCCAGTCTCAGGTATGTCTTTATCAGCAGCGTGAAAACGGACTAATACAGGCATCAAGGCACCCACAGGCTACTCTGGGGAGACTGATGTGTCAGCCCATTAGTGCAATAAGCAGGGAAGCTCTGTCCAGGGAAGAGTATGTCTGGGGGCCCAGAAGGGGTGGGTTAGGTAAGGCTTCAAGGTGATTCAGGCTCTGAACCATGAAAAGAGAGTTCAGAGTTTACCAAGTGGACTGGAAACAGAGTGTTCCAGGCTGAGAGTGGCAGGAGCTGGGACAAGGAAGTGTGGCACAGCTTCCTTGTGGAGAGAAAATTGGAAAAGTGCAAGACAGGCCCAGGGACCAGTTACAGTGGCTTGGTGAGAGAGAAGATGGCTGAGGCAGGACTGGTGGTGGTGAGATCAAGTGACAACACAGGAGGTAGAACTGATGAGCTCCCTAATTTGAGACCAGGTGCTGTATCTCACGCATGTAATCCCAGCACTTTGGGAGGCTTGAACCCAGGAGTTTGAGACCAGCCTAGGCAACATAGCAAGACCCTGTTTCTTCAAACACACACACACACACACACACACACACACACACACACACAAATTAGCCAGGTATGGTGGTGCACACCTGTGGTCCCAGCTACTTGGGAGGCTGAGGCAGGAGGATGGCTTGAGCATGGGAGTTCGAGGCTGCAGTGAGCTATGATCATGCCACTGCACTCCAGCCTGGGTGACAGAGGGAGACCCTGTTTCTAAAAAAGAAAAACAAAGATCTAATTTGGGACCATGAGTGGCACTCACTTGCCATGTCCTGTTAGCCTGGTCCCTGGATGCCTGTGTGAAGGGAGACAGCCTCATAAACCAGTCCACTGGCCTGGAACTCATGCCCTAGCAAGAAGTGCACTTCTGTTGTATTTGAGCCATTACATTTGGAATCTATTGGTCATTGCAGCAGAACTTACCTTCATTAATATAGCCTCTCCCTAGCTGGGAACACTATACCAAATCATGTGTTGGGGGAGAGAGGAAGAAACGAGGATATTCCTCTCTTCTTTGAAGCTTACAAATTTCGTTGGAACTACGTATGGAAAAGGAGAACATTTACCAGGCTCTTCAGATCTAAGAGTTGCCTGTTCTTCGAGTGGGCATACTGCCTCTGTTTCTCTGGGCTCCTGAGATGACCCAGTACCTTGGAGCTCCTCCAGCCCTGGGAGCCAGCAGAAAAGCCACCTGTTGTCTGTAAGGAAGTACCCACAGGCCTGGCTGAGCTCATTACAGCAGAGAGCCAGCAACGCTTCCTCCTCTTAGATTCCGTCATGTTAGACAATCTGCCTGCTCTCCCCACTAACCGTCAAAGTTCCATGGAATGAACTTGCCACTTTTTCAGGATCCTAACCACCGCACTTTCCTGCTACCTCTGGCACTTGGAATTTCAGAGACAAAACCCCTTTTTTAGGCAGCGAGCCCTGATTTTCAGTTCCAAAGCTATGGGCACTGCTGAGTGGGACCAGAGGAGTGGTGTGCAGTGAGCTACCTGGAGGGGTTGCATGAGACCATGTCCCCTCTCCTGGATGGAGGTGTCTTCTGGTTGCCAAGAAAGTATTGAGTGATAATCAGAAAAATTCCTTGATTTTCATGGTTTGTTGCTTTGTAGCAGGTCTTAAGGAAAAAAAAAAAGTTTTTCATGGTTTGGGACAGGTCCTTAGAGATGGGCCACACCAGCCCTGGCACACCTGAGCCCAGTGTTGGGCCACCTCACACCTCTCTCGCCTCTCTTCCAGCTTTATCTTTGTCCTGCTCTTTCTGGAGTCCTTTCCTTGCATCCTGCCAGCTGGCATCCCCTTCATCCTTGCACGCCTACCTTCTACACAAAGCCTTCCATGACCATCCCAAGCCTCAGGGCTGATTCCGTGCAGTGGGCAGGCTGTAGCCTCTCTGTTCACCTCTCTGTGTCACATCTTACTGGGTACATGCCCAGTAAATTCCCCACAACTGAGATTCTGCTTTGCCTGAGCAGTGCCCTCTGGCTCCTTAGGGATGATGCTTGCTGAGGGGTTTCCTGGCTTTAAGGTCATGGTTCAGGCTGGGCTCAGTGGCTCACACCTGTAATCCCAGCACTTTGGGAGGCCGAGGTGGGCAGATCACTTGAGGCCAGGAGTTTGAGACTAGCCTGGCCAACATGGTGAAACCCCGTTTCTACTATAGCCGGGTGTGGTGGCAGGTGCCTGTAATTCCAGCTGCTTGGGAGGCTGAGGCATGAGAATCGCTTGAGCCTGGAAGGTGGAGGCTTCAGTGAGCCGAGAGCATGCCACTGCACTCCAGCCTAAGCGACAGAGCCAGATTCGTCCCCCTACCCCCCAAAAAGGGGTCATGGTTCAGACCTCCATTGTAGGCCCACCCCCTTGCTTTACTAGCTGAGGGACCTTGCCTAAATTCTTTAGCCTCTAGGAGCCTAAATTTCCTTATCTGCAAAATGGAGATTAATAAAACTTACCTTGCAGGACCTTTGTGAAAAAAACAAAAACAAACAAAAAAACTTGAGAAGTCATTCAAAGCACTTAGTTCGTGATCAATAAATATTAGCTTATTGTTTTTCTAAGACGATGAGTAGGATTTTTCATCAAAAATAAATCATTCTGGTTGCCTTGGGCAAAATAATCTGCAATATAAAATATCTATAATAAATGGCTGCTGTGTATTCATTGCTACTGTGTGCCAGGCACCATGTTAAAACACTTTATAAAAATGATCTCATTGAGGCCTTTCCACAACTCTTTTTTTCTTTTTTTAGAGATGGAGTTTCGCTCTTGTTGCCCAGGCTGGAGTGCAATGGCATGACCTCCGCTCACTGCAACCTCTGCCTTCCTGGTTCAAGTGAATCTCCTGCCTCAGCCTCCTGAGTAGTTGGGACTACAGGCATGTGCCACCATGCCAGGCTAATTTTTTGTAGAGACAGTGTTTTACCATGTTTGCCAGGCTGGTCTCGAACTCCTGACCTCAGGTGATCCACCCACCTCGGCCTCCCAAAGTGCTCGGATTACAGACGTGAGCCACCGTGCCTGGCCCTTATCCACAACTCTTAAAGTAGGTGCTAATATTTGCAGTAAGTAGATGGAGATGGCTTATCTTTCGCTGAGTTAGCTTGGTCTGATTTGAGCTGGCAATACACTGCCTTCCAGGTCATTGTCCTGCCTGTGGGTCTTTGCACATCCAGACCACACTTCCTTCCTCTTTACCTAAATCTACCTCTTTCTCATCCTTGGAGAGAAGTATTTGCACCCTTCCTTTGCCCTCAGTCTTTCTTTTTTATTTTTTCATTTCATTTCATTTATTATTATTATTATTATTATTTTTTTTTTGAGACAGAATCTCACAGTCACCTAGGCTGGAGTGCAGTGGAATGATCATGGTTCACTGTAGCCTCAAACTCCTGGGCTCAAGCAATCCTCCCACCTCAGCTTCCCGAGAAGCTGGGACTACAGGTGTGCACCAACAAGCCCGGCTAATTTTTGTAGGTCTCGCTATGTTGCCCAGGCTGGTCTCCAACTCCTGGGCTCAAACGATCCTCCCGCCTTGGCCTCCCTAAGTGCTGGGACTGTAGGCATGAGCCACCGTGCCTGGCCATGCCCAATCTTTCTTACTGCAGTTGGTGATACATGGTTTTTGTTTTCTCTATACATGTATTTTTTGGTGGTGTGTTTAATATCTGTCTTTTCCCAGACTGTCGCCTCCGTGAAAGCAGGAACCTTGTCAGTTTTCTCTCCAAGTTATCCCTCCAACGCCTAGCACAGTGCCTGGCAAATGTAGGAGCTCAACAGGGTTTGCGGAATTATTATGTGTATGTCTGAAGGAAGGATGTTGGCAGTGCGCCCAACGTGTGAGGGGAACCCCACTCTCCAAGGTTCCAGTGGCTTTAAAGGTGTCCTCGAGAAAATCAGAGGAACAGGGGGATGCTTGTTTTCCTTCCTTCCTTCTCTCTCTCTCTCTCTCTCTCTCTCTCTCTCTCTCTCTCTCTCTCTCTCTCTCTCTCTTTTTTGCTTTAAAGTATGCTGAAAGGACACTTTAAACCAAGTCTGAATGGCTCGGCAGGACTGGGGCGCGGGTGCTGGCAGGAGCCGGAGAGGCGACATCTGGCCATGGGAGCATTTGTTTCAAAGTTCAAGGCCGTTCGCTCAGGGTCAAGGTTAGTCCGGCGGGCCGTTCGGAGACCAGCCCCAGCGTGCCAGGACCGTTTCCGGGGCCTGGCCGGGGCGTTGCCGCGGGGTCGGGGACCAGCACGAGTGCTGAGTCACGCCCCGCCCGGGAGCGCCTCGGGTCAGTAACTCGGGAAGACGACCAAGCGGGAGCGGGAGCGGGAGCGGGAGCCGGAGCGAGAGCGCGCGGGCGCGGCCGACAGGTGAGATCGCGCCGCCAGGCGGGCTCTCGAGACCCCGGGCGCCCCGGGCGGGACCGGGACCCGGAAGAGGGGCGAGCGGATTAGAGGCCTGGCTCACGCCGCGTCTGGCGTGGGGAGGTCGGTGCGCGCAGTTGTGGCGCTGCGAGGAGAGGGATACTCGACTCAGGCCCGCCCCTCTCTGTCTCCCCCAAAAAACGCAACAGGGAGATGTGCTCCTGGCCGAGGGCAAAGAAAACTCCACCCTCCTGGTTTGGCCCCTAAATCCCTGCTAAGTTTTCCTAAGGAAGATGGGCTTAGGCCGGGAAGGGCGAACCGGGGAAGAGGGAACACGGGGCGGGTGTAACCCGGATCTTGCGAGGACCGTCCGAGGGTCCGCTGGGTAGAAGCGGCCGGTCCGGACAGAAGCAGGTGTGAGAGGAAAGGGAGAAACCTCAGTCTCTAAGAGGAAAGAAACTGGAGTCAACCCAGTGCCCATAGGCTCGGGGGAGCTGGGGGGTGCAGCACTAGGAAGTCTGCTTCTCCCTTCCCGAAGCCCTGGGTGCTGCAGGGACAAAGACCAGCGGTGAGTAAACTAACTCTGATGGGACGCGTGCAGTCCACCTGGAACTGAATTAGTGGCCTATATTGGGGCTCTCCTTCCAACACCACCTGATCAACACACCCTACCTTTCCCTACAAGGAGAGTCTTTTTGACCCTGGAATTTAAGGTGAGGATGGGGAGTGGTGAGGTCTCTTGGGGGCTGATGATCCTGTAGGAGGACAGGCATAGGGCAGAGAGTCAGATATAGTTTGGGATGGGACTTGCAGGTTTCTGGACTGTGCACCTGTGTTCAAAAGCCTGTATCAGGTTCCAGTGTGCGTGCATGCACCTGCCAGAGAGCCCCGGGATCTCAGATCACACCTGCCCTCACCCCAGCACCTAGAGAGGAGTTCTCCAAGGAGCACAGTGTGTCACCAAGAAGAGGGCACTGAGCCCCAGCCAGGGTGGGCTGGGCAGGCTTAGCACTACCTAGCCCAGAAGTGATGGGCTGGGCAGGCCGGTGGACTCCAGGGCCAGCCTGACTTTTGTCTGGTGGCCAAATGAAGCCAGCGTCCAGGTACAGGTGGTGGGCAGACCATGGGGACCACAAAACTGGCTCTGAGGAGGATGGACAAATTGCTTGGCCTAGGTTTTCTGTGCGGGAGTGAATATGACATCCAGATGAACCTGTCTGCCCCAGAGCTGCCCTCCCCTGGGGATAAAAGGAGGCTGCCTCCCTTAGACTTTGAGTCCCTTTTCAGAAACTGGTCTTTTGGGGGTTCTGTTCTTCAAGTAGTCCCTGAGGGGCTGGCCATGGAGTGTCCCAGGAAGGGAGGCCGCCCAACCGTCTCCATCCTGCTGTGTCCCGCAGGTGGAGGAAACCTCCATGGTGCTGTGAGTCGTGCTGTAGTGGCCTTCTTATCCGGGACGGCCACTCTGGGAATGTGGCTCTCCAGAGGCTGATGTTGAAACCTACCCTTTGTGTGAGCCATGACGACTCAAAAAGCATCGTGTTTTATTTGTAATATTTGTGAAGCAATACTGGAGCAACTCTGGGATGACATTCTTGCTTTGATCAGAGCCCACACGGTTCCTGCTGTGTGTCTTCTGAGGCACAACCTCTGAACAGCTTTGGCATAAATGTAACTTCCTGGTTTTTCAGTAGTCCTATGGGCTGCTTATTGTGGAATAATACCCTTGAGATCAGGGTGGATGCTCTTGGCAGAGAAAACAGGATTGACTGAGCAAATTTTTGTGTAAATCAGATTGTGTGTGTGTGTGTCTGTGTGTATGTGTGTTGTGGCAGGGAGCAAAGGTAAAGTTACTGAGGGGTTCCTGGACAATCAGGGTTTGTTCCGCTCTCTTAGGCCTTCTTTTAAGCTAACATTCTTGAACCTAGACAGACATAGTTAAGATTCTCTGTGATTCCCACTGGGGCTTTGGTGTTCAGTTCAAAATCAGATGGTGGATTTAGCAGTTCCTCAAAAAGTTAAACTTCAAGTTACCATATGACCCAGCAATTCCATACCTAAATATATACTAAAGAGGACTGAAGACTGGTTCACACAAAAACCTGTACACAAATGTTCATAGTGGCGTTATTCACATAGTCAAAAGGTGGAAACAACCCAAGTGCCCGTCAGCTGATGAGTGGATAAACAAAATGTGGTCTATTCATACACCAGTAATGGACTGTTTTTCAGCCAGGAAAAGGAATGAAGCACTGATAACATGCTACAACTCGGATGAACCTTGAAAACATGATGATCAGTGGAAGACGTCGCAAACAAAAAGCCACATAGTGTATAATTCCATCTACATGAATTGTCTAGAACAGACAAATCTATAGAGACAGAAAGAACATTAGTAGCTACCCAGGGCTAGGGTAGGTGGGGTACAGGATTTATTTTGGGGGTGATGGAAGTGTTCTGGAATTAGATAGTTGTGATGGTTGCACAACCTGGTGAATACACTAAAACCCACTGAACTTACATCTTTTTTTGAAATTTAAATTAAAAAAAATTTTTTTTTGAGACAGAGTCTTGCTCTGGCGCCCAGGCTAGAGTGCAGTGGCATGATCATGCCTCACTGCAACCTCGACCTCCTAGGCTCAAGCGATCCTCCCACCTCAGCCTCCTGATATCAGGGACCACAGGCATGTGCCACCATGCCTGGCTAATTTTTGTATTTTTTGTAGAGATGGGGTTTCACCATATTGCCCAGGCTGGTCTGGAACTCCGGAGCTCAAGCAATCTGCCTGCATTGGCCTCCCAAAGTGTTGGGATTAGAGGTGTGAGTCAGCCTACATCTCATTTTTTTTTTTTAAAAGATGGGGTCTCATCTAGGCTGGAGTGCAGTGGTGCAATCATAGCTCACTGTGAACTTACATCTTAAGTGGTAAATTGTATATGTGAATTCTATTTTGATTAAAAAATTAGATGGTAAGCGGTCTGTCCTATTATTAAAGACATTATTTCTGCAAAAATGACATATGCTTGTTTGAAAAAAATTCAAACAATACAAAAGCTTAAGGAAGAAAATGAAAACATTATCTATGACCACTATTAGCACTTTGGTTCAGACAGCAGGTTTGATGTGTTGAGAATTGAACTTGGGCAAGTTGTTGAACTTTTTTCCAAAATAAGGAGAAAAAACTCATACCTTAAATCGAAGATATGGGCAAAAGTGCAACAGATGCTAACTGCTGTAATCATTACCTGTATATGTGTATACATACCGAGGTGGATGTGTCTTATTGGCCATAAATGGGATTAGATCTTTCATGTGGTTCTGTGGCCTGACTTTTTGGGACTGGGCAAACTAATCTGCAACATATATTTTATATATATATATATAAAACGTGGCTGCTGTGTATTCATTGCTACTCTGTGCCAGGCACCATGCTAAAATGCTTTACGTAAATGATCTCATTGAATCTTTTCTACAGCTCGAAATCACAGTGGCTTACCCCTGTAATTCCAGTGCTTCGGGAGGCTAAGGCAGGAGGATCCCTTGAGGGGCTAGGAGTTCAAGATCAGCCTAGGCAACATAGTGAGACCCTCATCTCTACAAAAAAAAAAAAAAAAATTAGCCAGCTCAGGAGTTCAAGGTTATAATGAGTTATGATCATGCCACTGCATTCTGGCCTGGGTGATAGAGCAAGACCCTGTCCCTAAGAAAATTAAAAATAAGTAAATAAATAAATAAATATTGCCTGACTTTTTCTTTTCTTTTTTTTACTTTTGAGACAGGGTCTCACATTGTTGCCCAGGCCGAAGTGCAGTGGTATGAAGCACTGATCCATGCTACAACTTGGATGAACCTTGAAAACATGTTTTGTGTAAATCAGATTGTGTATGTGTGTCTTTGTGTGTGTGTGTTGTGGGAGGGAGCAAAGGTAAAGTTACTCACTGCAGCCTCAAACTCCTGGGCTCAAGCAGTCCTCCTGCCTTTGCCTCCTGAAGTGCTAGGATTATAGGCAGGAGCCACCACACCCAGCCCTTGCCTGACTTTTTCATGGACAGACTTTTTGTATAAAAACGTCATTCACAGGCTGGGCACAGTGGCTCGCACCTATAATCCCAGCACTTTGGGAGGTCGAGGCAGGCCGATCACTTGAGGTCAGGAGTTCGAGACCAGCCTGGCCGACACGGCGAAACCCTGACTCTACTAAAAATACAAAAAACAATTAGCCGGGCATGATGGCACATGCCTGTAGTTCCAGCTACCTGGGAGGCTGAGGCAGGAGAATTGCTTGAACTCAGGAGGCAGATGTTGCAGTCAGTGAGCTGAAATTGAGCCACTGTACTCCAGCCTGTGCAATAGAGTGAGACTCCATCTCAAAAACAAAACAAAACATCACTCACCCTTTAAAAACAACTGGCTACACAGTACTGCATTGTATGGGTTTATAATATTTTATCCTGTAGCCTCTCATTGGTGGCAGTTTCCATTGATTGATGGAGTGTCACACAGGTGGAGGTTTGCACAGCACTACTGCTATGTTAGAACATACAACTGGGCATCCACTAATTCCATACGTGCATTTTCATCTCCTACAGGGTGTGTGGCTGGAAATGCAGCTCCATGGCTTAAGCCCTTGCTTTAGGTGTCTGGCCAAGTAGATCATGGCCAAGCAGAGGGGAGTTCACTGTTTTCTGGGGCCAGGCAAGAACCGACACTGGCAGAGCCAAAGAGAGTCGGCATGTCCAAGAGTATTGGGCAAGGGGCTGCCAAAGAGGCAGGGTGAAATCTGCTGGAGAGTCACTGGCCTCCCTATTCCACAAGTAAGCGTGGCAGGGGTCAGTAGAGGAGAGAGAAGAGAGAGAGAGCAGATTGCAGGAGAGGCCTCAGGCAGCCTGAAGAGGAAAAGTGCCTCCCCTCCCTGGCCCTGCTCTGGTCTGGGTGTCCCCTCAGGCCCCAGGCCCTTCACAGGGAACCCCAGATAAGCAATTTGCCTTCCTTGGGTGAGGCAAGAGTTTGCCCTTTCGGGGAAGCAGGTTGATGATACTAGGGGCCTGGGGGTCAAGGGCTTGGCTCCTTTGGTCAACTCATTGCCCCTGAGGTCCACTCTGGGGTCACTAGACTTTCTTTCCCTGGAGGAAACCCCATGAAGGGCCCGGAGCAGGCTTGTATGTCCACCTGATTGTCAAAGCTGCCCTGGCATGGCAGGCTGTCTGTCTGTCGGCCCCTGTCACCTGTCCTCTAAGCCTCTCCACCTTCTGCCACAGGTGCCCTGAACTCTACCTGCCTCCTCCCTTCCTGCCACTGGGCCTCTGGCCCAAGTTGTTTCCTCTGCTAGGAAGGCCCCCTGATCTCAGCTCTTTTTCAGGGCTCTAGGCTGTCCTTTTTGAGTGTCCCTGGGTGCTCCAGTGTGACCTGACGCACAGTGGACTCCCCTGTCCCTATCCCCGGCCAGCTGCGTAGCCCCTCTCAGGGGCCATGCCCAGCTAACTTGGAAGTGGGGCTTTCTGGGTGTTTTCTTGACCTCATCCCTGGCTGACAGCCCCAAGGGTAAGACCCAGCACAGAGGGTTGCACGCTGCCAGGGGCTGGTGAAACACACGCCACCCACGGCCTGCCTCATCACTGCCTACATTCTCAGGCCCTGCGCAGCTCCTGGTGTGCACTGCTACCTCTGGCTGGGCCTGTGGGCCCTCCTGGGTCCTGGTCCCTAGGAGACATTCCCTTCTGGCCCAGTTGGCAGATTCAGCCTGAGGTACGCTTGGGATTAGCTCTAGACAACCCTTCTGAGGGCTTAGAGGAGCCAGGGTGGCCCTGCCTGCCGGGGGGTTGTCTTGGGTCCTAATCTCTACGAGGGCTCAGCCTCCTCATCTGTGAAATGGGTATGTTCAAGCCTCAATGCTTTGGGGACCATTTGACCCACGAGAAACAACTTTAAATTCCCTCCAATCCATTGTGTCAGTGCCCTCCGTCCGCTCTACTGTCCGCCCCCAGGGGAGAAGTTAGGCAGTGGGCATTTGAACACCAATGGGAACAGTGCCCGGAGTTCTAACCAAAAGCTGCCCCATAAGTGTGGGATGATTTGGGGACCGTCTTGGGGAACCACCACCATGTCTTGGAAACCAGTGTGTACGAGGACAGCTCAGGATATTATAGCTGGTTGGGCCTTATAGTCCCCTCCCATTATAGGGGGTAAATTGAGGCCTAGAGAGGGAAGGGGTTGTGCCCCAGACCCGCAAAGATGATCAGGGCAGTGCAGTGGCCTTCCAGCGGCCTGAGGGTCCCAGATGAGCTGGAACACACTTCCTTATGAGGCTGTTCAGTGGCTTGATGTCTATCCTTCAAGGTTGACCTCAGAGTCTACTTCCTCCTTCGCTGACACCCGCTCCAGTCCCCCTTCCTGAAGCCCACAGCAGCTGTTGAGCCTCTGGGGCTGCTTTCTGTATAGTGTGAGTTTTGTTTCTTTTTCTCAGCATCTCCCCCCAGCAGCCTGGCTTATTTCTGCCTCTCTTTAGGGCTCAGCACAGGCCAGGAGGAGGGTTGATTGCTTGTCACCTCTCAGGGTCTCAGCTGCAGTCAAGAGTGCCCCTCAATGGGCTGTGCGGCTCCTCCCACACCAGCAGCCCTCTGCCTGCCTGAGGCCCACACTGCAAGCATCCTAATTTGGGGTTCTGCTGGGCTGGAGGCAAGGCCTCTGGTGCAGCCCCAGGCCAGCCCCTGGGCCCTCCTCTGTCTGGGGCAGACTCTGGGATGCACAGGTAACCCTGTTTACCAGCCTTCCAGGCTGGCTTGGGGAGCCCAGGCAACTTTGCTGCTGTAGGGCCCAAGGCTGTTGAGTTGGATAAAAGGCAACTTTATACAAATATAAAAATATAAATTTATTTAATGTGTGTATACACAGGAGCCTTCAGAAGGAAGACCCGACCCCCAAAAGAGGTACAGAAGCTTATATACCATCTTGAGGTCATACAAAGAAATGGGGACTGGGTGCAGTGGTTCATGCCTGTAATCCCAGCACTTTGGGAGGTTGAGGTGGGAGGATCACTTGAGCCCAGGAGTTTGAGACCAGCCTGGGCAACAAAAGGAGACCCCCATCTCTACCAATATTTATTATTTTTATTGTTTTATTTTTTTGAGATGGGGTCTCACTCTGTGGCCCAGGCTGGTGTGCAGTGGCATAGTTACGGCTCACTGCAGCCTTGACCTCCCTGGCTCAAGTGATCCTCCCACCTCGGCCTCCCAATTAGCGGGGCCTATAGGTGCCCATCACCACGCCTGGCTTTTTTTTTTTTTTTTTTTTTTTTTTTTTTTTTTGTAGAGACAGAGTCTCTCTATGTTACCCAGGCTGGTCTGGAACTCCTGGGCTCAAAAGATCCTCCTTCCTCAGCCTCCCAAAGTGCTGGGATTACAGGCGTGAGCTGCTACACCCAGCCCCATCTCTACAAGTAATTAAAAAATTAGCCAGGCATTGTAGCATATGGTTGTGGCCCCTCCTTCCTACTCCATGATCACAGTCTTAGTTCACACCACATTTGTCTTAGTCTGTTTTCTGCTGCTACAGCAGAATACTACAGACTAGGTAATTATAATGAACAGAAATGTATTGGCTCATGGTTCTGGAGGCTGGGAAGTCCAAGATCAAGGGCCCAGTGTCTGGTGAGGGCCTTCATGCTGAGTCATCCCATGGTGGAAGGCAAAAGAGAGAGCGAGAGAGAGGAAGAGCTTGAACTTGCAGCCTCAAAGCCCTTTTATAATTGGTATTAATCCATTCATGAGGGTGGAGACCGTATGACCCAAACACCTCCGATTAGGCCCCACCTCTTAACACTGTTCCTTTTTGGGAGACATATTCAAACCCTAGAAGCAGAATTTTGCAGGATTCTTGTCGTAACCTGCTAATTGACCTCCTTAGACCTGGACCTTAAGTTGGTGACCTGTGAGCTGGGCTGAATCTGGTTGCGGTGTTTGTTTAGTGCAGTGCTTAAAGAATGTTTTTTGTTGTTCCTTTAGATGTGGCCTATGCTTGCTGGTTCCCCACAGGTGTGCCCACTGTTTCTTGTTATTGCACCTTTTCCCAGCTTCTCACATCATTGACATTGCCCACCTGGTTCTTTGACTTTGTAAGGTCTGCCCTTATAAGGGCAGGGACCATATCTGCCTGTCTGACCACAGGATACACAACACAGAGCATGTCAAAAAGCAGGAGTTCAATTCATATATGTTGTTGAGTGAACATTATTCCCCTCTTCAAAAGTCTTTTTTTTCCTCCTGCCCCACTGCAATCTCTCCCAAAAGTCTTTGATGGAATATATCAAGTAAAAAACAAATGTGCAGAACACTTTGTTTAATGGGTGCAAAAAATAATCGTGATTATAGTTGCATAAACTATCTCTGGAAGGAGTCATCCAAACTTGTTACGTAACAGTGGATGCCTCTGGAGAAGGGAACTTGGTGTTTGGGGAATGGGCTGGAAGTGGGATACCCCCTTGTTCCTTCTGAATTTAATTCAAATTTTATAAAATTGGAGTTTCATTAATCAAAGATTTACCTCATCTAAAAAGGTCAATTCATGATCGAGGCCTCTCTCACTGTGGGTCCTCCCAGCCCTCCCAGCCTCCCTGACTCTGATATGCTCTCCTCTTTCTTCCCAGCAGTGCCTGATTTGAGATGGGGTCCCAGGTCTCGGTGGAATCGGGAGCTCTGCACGTGGTGATTGTGGGTGGGGGCTTTGGCGGGATCGCAGCAGCCAGCCAGCTGCAGGCCCTGAACGTCCCCTTCATGCTGGTGGACATGAAGGACTCCTTCCACCACAATGTGGCTGCTCTCCGAGCCTCCGTGGAGACAGGTAATGTGCTCCCGTCTGGGGCTGTCTCTGTGAGGGGGGTCTTGTCTCTGCTCTGGGGCTTGATTTTAGGGCTGGGGGTGGTTTTCTCCATTTAGGGCCAAGTGCCTGCATTCCACTGTCAGACAAGTTCTGGAGAAGCTCAAGGTCTTTGGTCTTAAGTAGCCACCACAATGAGACCCTAGAAGTAAAAGCTTGAGCTTTTCTGACGGTCTGAGGCCCAGATTGGCATTTTAGGAAGTAGGGGTACCCCAGGCATACCTAATGGCCCGACGCTTTGGTCAAGGGCACCCCTGTTGGTTTGCAGCTCGTGAAAGGTTCTGAGTCACTCTGGCTTCCCGTGGGCAGCCTGGCTCTGCCCTATGACCTCTTCTGTGTCCCTTCCCCAGGGTTCGCCAAAAAGACATTCATTTCTTACTCGGTGACTTTCAAGGACAACTTCCGGCAGGGGCTAGTAGTGGGGATAGACCTGAAGAACCAGATGGTGCTGCTGCAGGGTGGCGAGGTGAGTGAGGGCCAGCCCGGCTGCCAGCTGGCTCAAGGGCCCTCTGCAGGGCCTGGGCGGGATCCTCCAGGGTCAAGAGAGAGCTAGGCTGGGGGCGGTGGCTCACACCTGTAATCTCAGCACTGTGGGAGGCCAAGGCGGGCGGATCACCTGAGGTCAGGAGTTTGAGACCAGCCTGCCCAACATGGCAAAACCCTGTCTCTACTGAAAATACAAAAATTAGCTGGGTGTGGTGGTGGGCGCATGTAATCTCAGCTACTCAGGAGGCTGGAGAATTGCTTGAATTCGGAGGTGGAAGTTCCAGTAAGCTGAGATTGCACCACTGCACTCCAGTCTGGGTGACAGACAGAGACTCCATCTCAAAAAATAAAAATAAAAAAAAGAGAATGCTGTCTGTGAGCCCCAAGCCCTGCCTGGTGCTGGGCAGATAGCGGATTCCTCATAAACAAAGGCTTGACCACAGCAACCACAAGAATATGGTGGCAGATATTTCTTGTGTAATTCCTGCATGCCAGGCCCTGTTTGTAGCCTTTACGTAAGTCTCATGAATGTTTACCGTGCCTCTATGGCGAAGGTGGTATAACTTCATTTTACAGAGAAGCTAAAGGGTTAAATGGCTTGCTTAAGATCCCACAGCTGGTAAGAGACTGAACTAGGATTTGAACCCATGCAATTTTAGCCCAGAGCCCATGCTCTAAAAGCCAGCGTCCCAGACAACTCCCAGGCCTGGCCAGCCCTCGGCTCTGTCTAGAACAAAAAGGCACACGCATGGTCCCACATCCCCCGGATCGGGACGTCACTGGGGCAGAGGTTTCCCTTCACTCATTTGTGTGTTCCCCCACCTCACATGTGCATCATGGAGCCTGGAACACACCTGCCATGACTTCAGCTCCATCGATAAGCTGCCACCAGCTCTGGATGAGTGTCATGTCCAGCCCAGCCCCATTTGGTGTTTGAAGCTAAGGGGGCGTTGACAAAAGGAAACACAATTCCTTTCCTTGATGAGTTGTGATTTCGTGTGACCCAGCCCTTCTTGAATTAATGGGGCCAGATAGTTTCCTGGTTGGAAAGATTACTGAGTGTCCCCTGGTCCTGCAGTCTCCAGCCATGCGTTTCAGAGCCCTGGAAGATTCCATGAGGGCATCTTGGAGGTTCAGGGGAAAGTAGGGGCTGAGTGGAGTCCAGGCCCTCCAGCCCCTCCCATTGGAGCAGCTCTGTTTTTGTCAACTTTATATATTTAGGCTCCAAACAAGATTTCCTTTTCTTTGTTTACAATTTTTTTAATTAAAAAAAAATTTTTTTAATTGTTTTTGAGATGGAGTTTCGCTCTTGTTGCCCAGGCTGGAGTGCAATGGCATGGTCTCGGGTCACCACAACCTCTGCCTCCCAGGTTCAAGCGATCCTCCTGCCCCAGCCTCCTGAGTAGTTGGGATTACAGGCGCATGGCACCACGCCCAGCTAATTTTTGTATTTTTAGTAGAGATGGGATTTTGCCATGTTGATCAGGTTGGTTTCAAACTCCTGACCTCAGGTGATCCGCCCGCCTTGGTCTCCCAAAGTGCTGGGATTACAGGTGTGAGCCACTGTGCCCGGCCTAAAATTTTTTTTATTTTTAATTTAAAAAAATTAAATTATTTTTTAATAAAATATTTAATAAAAATTAAATTATTTTATTATTTATTTTTAATTTAAAAATTAAATTAATATGGGGTCTTGGTATGTTGCTCAGTGCAGTGGCTGTTCACAGATGTGATGCCACTACTGATCAGTCTTTCTTTCTTTCCCTTTCTTTTCTTCCTGGCGGAGGCAGGAGGAGGGTTCTTCTAAAACACCCGGGAGGTTCTGAGCTAACTCCCGTGGGCAGTGTCCTATCCTGCAGCCCTGCCTCCTGCTTCCAGGCACCCCTCCCACTGCCATGCTGGGTGGCTCCAGTTGCCCCCACATTCTCCACGCGGAGGTAAACTCTACTTCCTTAGGTCTTTCCCCAGGTTCTAGTGCCATCCTTTGGGCTAACCAGTGTGGTGGTTTCACCCCCTCCCATGGGGGCTGCCTCGGGTGCCTAGAGGGGCCTCTTTGCCTGGTTTGTCCCGGCTGGCAGGCCGGGAGTAGGATGCAGAGGCCTAGGCCTGCCCTGCCCTGCCCTACCCTCATCTTTTTTTTTTTTTTTTTTTTTTTTTTTTTGGTTTCTCTCAGGCCCTGCCCTTCTCTCATCTTATCCTGGCCACGGGCAGCACTGGGCCCTTCCCGGGCAAGTTTAATGAGGTTTCCAGCCAGCAGGCCGCTATCCAGGCCTATGAGGACATGGTGAGGCAGGTGAGCTGTGCACTGAAGGCATGGGGCAGTGTGGGCAGATGGAAGGACAGCCTTGGGGATGCCTAGGCCTGCAGCTGGGAGGCCACGGGGTTACTCAGAGCTGCTGGCTGTAGCCATAGAGTTGGAGAGTCACTAGGAAGAGACTTTCCTGGGAAGAGACCTTGAACTTGCTGCTGGAGCCAGGATGTGAGCACCCTAAACCTGCTCATGTTGCCCTTGGTATGTCTCTGACTTTCCTCTCCTGGGGCTTTTCACGGGTCCCTTCCACTCCTGTTTTCATAAGGCTCTGTTTTGTAGAGCAGGCTTAGATCCACAATCTTCCACAGCAATTCTGCGAGGTGGGTGGGAGGAAGCACGTTTGGACTCAAAATGTGGAAAGGGTTCTCTGCCCTCCTTTGGCCCAGGGAGCCACACCACAGGCTGAACCAGCAGACAGAGGTGGATGTGTAGGTGTGTTTCATATGTCCCTGTTTCACATGTCCTCTTCTCCAGGTCCAGCGCTCACGGTTCATCGTGGTGGTGGGAGGAGGCTCGGCTGGAGTGGAGATGGCAGCAGAGATTAAAACAGAATATCCTGAGAAAGAGGTGAGCCAGGCTGCCTTGCCTTGGAGCTCTAAGTGGTTGGCTTTTTTCTGCATTATCTTAGGAACATCAGGAATTTGCTCAGGGCAGAGAAGTCTGGAGCTCTATTCACATAAACTGGGAGTGTGTATTTCTGTTTTGTGCCAAGGTGTGATTCTATAGGGGATTTTTCCTGCAGAGCTGGGATCCTGCTGCACCTGACCTTACGGAGCTGCTCAGGGTGTGTCCTTTCTCAAGGAAAGGTCCTGCCCTCTGCTCCAACTTGGAGGATCAAGCCCAGGGGCAATACCTTGCAAAAGCGGAACTTCTGTGTCACCTTCAGAATTCAGGCCTTTGTGATACAAATGTATATTTGATTACCTCTTGCTGGCAACCAGTATTTGATTACCTCTTGCTGGCAACCAGCTTGGACAAAGACACCTTCAGTTGTTGCTTTGGTCTCTGCCTGATATGGTAGCCCCTGCTCTGAGCAGCCCCATGGTGGTGGGGAGCCTGCAGCAGAGCCCTTTCTGCCCACGCTGGGCAATGACTGAACAGCACTGCCTTCTGCCCATGGGTGGGAACGGGGAGGGGACATCAGCCTGCCCTGTTGCTTTCTCATGCTCAAAAGACAGAGATCCTACCGGGCAACCTAGCGAGAAAGAGGAAATCCTGGCACCCTGTCCAGGCTTGGCAAGGGCTGAGTGAGAAACGTCCTTACAGGTCCTCTAGGCGAGAGCTTGCTTGCGGTTGAAGCCAGATCGGCTTCTGAGAGCCATGTGGGGCCTCTGAATGGATCTTTCTTCCTCAGGGAAAGGCAGGTTGGTTTTGAAAAGAAAAATCAATAGAGGATAACTTAATTATATGGCTGTTCTCTGACAAATTGTTGGAAATTATGATGAGTGATTGATCTAGTTACATTCATTCATTTTGATGTATGAGGGTTCTATAGGGAAAAACCAAACTGTTTTTCTCCCTACTCACTCCACACTTCTGGGATAAGATGTGTGGGTTTTTCCCCCACTGACCAATTCTCTGACACCAGCTGGGTGTCCTACGGTTCAATTCAATTCTGACACTACCTGGCGTTAGCGCAGACCCCACAGGTCAAGGGCTCAGTCCCACGATCCTGCCCCGACTTCAAACACCAGTTGCAAGTCCATAGGTCCCCAGCTTACCCACGCTTCTGTCCCACTTGGCTACAAGATAGAGATTCTCATGACTCTCTCCTTGGGTTAAATAATTTGCTAGAGCAGCTGATGGAAGCCAGGGAGACAGTTTACTTGCTGTTGCTGATTTATGACGAAGGATGTTTTAAAGGATAAAAATGAACATTCAGATGAAGGGGCACATAGGGCGTGGTCTAGAAGGGTCCTGAGCACAGGGGCTTCTGTCCCCATGGAGTTGGGGTGCATCACTGTCCTGGCATGTGGACATGTTCACCAACCTGGAAGCTCTCTGAACCCTGTACTTTAGGGATTTTTATGGAGGCTTCATCAGGTAGGCAAGGTTGATTATGACCTCAATCTCCAGCCCCCTCTCGTCACTGGAGCTGAAAGTTCCAGACTTCTAAGCTGGCTTGGTCTCTCTGGTGACCAGCGATCATCCAGGAGCCCATCAGGAGTAGCTTCATTAGAACAAAAGATGCTCCCATCACCCGGGAACATCCAAGGAGTTAGGAGCTCTATGTCAGACCCTCCCATCACTCAGGACATTACAAAGATCTCAGGAGCTCTGTATCAAGAACCGGCAATGAGGACCAAATATTAGAACAAATGATTCTTAGTACCCCAATTTACAAGGGTTTTAAGAGCTCTGCATCAGGAACTGGGGGCAGAGACCAATATATACTTTTCTTCTTATTTCACAGGGGTCAGACCAGTCTGAAGTAGTAAAAAAGTTCAAGTAACTCAGTAAAATATCCACATGTTTAGGATTTGTAGACAGTAAGGGTAGTAGCAGCCACCCTTTATTAAGGACTTAATATGTGCTGAGTTACATGCTTTGTACGTATTTTTTTGCTCATCATTACAAAATTCCTATGAGTGGGGCTATTGTGCCCATGTTAATGAGCCTTTGGGAGGTGTCCAAGTGAGTATCAGAGATGGGATTTCAACCCAGGCAATTTGATACCAAAGCCCAGGCTTTGAACATGATTGCAACATGAGGTGCCCGGGACGCTTCCCTGTGTTGTCCCAGACAGCAAGTAGACATGCCTGGAAGCACTAATTTTAAACAAGCTTTAATGTTGACATCAGTCTGATTGACTGTTGGAATGCCCATGGCTTGTATAATTATAAGTGCCCAAGGATGCTTGAAGATAATTTTCCAGGTGGCCCTAGGTGAGGTGTAGGTTGTGACATGTTGGCATATTGGTAGTCCTCTGGCCTGGGTGTGGCAGGAGGGTACTGAAAGAGTCCTAGTCTAGAACATGTGGGCTTAAGCCCAGCTCACCACTAATTGGTCCTGGCATTGGACAGATTACTTCTCTGGAGCTTCAGTTTCCTCATCTGTAACCTGGAGGTATGAGTGGAGGTGGACGTTCGTGCAATGATTGTGTTTGAAGACTTGGGGGCTCCTTCTCAGGCCCTGTGGTCGTTTTGTCCTCAGGTCACTCTCATTCACTCCCAAGTGGCCCTGGCTGACAAGGAGCTCCTGCCCTCCGTCCGGCAGGAAGTGAAGGAGATCCTCCTCCGGAAGGGCGTGCAGCTGCTGCTGAGTACGTGCACCCTCACCTCCCTCCCTGCCCTGCCCTGGCCTGGTGAGATGTGGCTTGGAGGCTTGGTGACTGCTTCCAGCAGGAGGGTGGCTATGGTCCACCCCAGGCTCTCTCTTTTCCACTGTGTCCTGGGGTGGAGCATGAAGCGCTCAGAAGAGGCCGTGAACATCAAAGCCCATCTGAGCCTTGTCCAGCTGGAAGTTGTGCCCGTCCCTGGGCAGGGAAGAGGGCCTGGTACTTACGGGATTTCCATGTCCTGGTTATTGCTTTGGATGCAGTGCAGATGGTGGGATGCCTGTCTGCTGAATGATTTTTCTTGAGTGCATCTGAAGGATTTGCCCCAAATAGGATGTCTCTGTGGTTGAGGGAATAGGTTTATTGGTTTATGTTTTGAGAGTGGTGAGGAGTGTGGCCTTCTTGTAGAGCAGGGGACGAGACCCACCCAGCAAATGCTGGAAAGTGAGGTTCTCTTCCAGCGCTGTGGCCCCTACACTTCACTGCATGGGGCCCCAGCCCCCTCACTGTTTGCGGGAGGGTGAGGCACCTGTCCTGTGAAGGGCCCGCATGGCTGCCTCAGCCTCCTTTTGGTAACTGGCTGTGGAGTGCTGCCGTCACTGTCACTTTAGGCAGTGAGTGTAGCGAGCTGGCTTCTCTTTCTCTGGCTTTCCCCTTTGTCGTGGTGCACTTGGAGCGCTCGTCCTGCCTAGTTAGGATGGCACGGCTGGCACTCATAAGAGGCGCGTCTGAGATCTTCCATTAAACAGCTTTTCTGAGAACTTCTTGGGAAACAGCCTCGCTTCCCTCCAGGGGCTTCTTGGAACTTTTCTCCAGAGGGACCCCTCGGGGCCAGATGTCCAGATCAGCTTTGTGGGGCATAGAGTGGACTGAGGGAGGGGCATGGTGGGAAGACAGGGTGCAGCCATTGCCCAGTTGGGCCCCAGAGGTCCAGGCCCTCCCCAGGGTTAGCCTTGGCCTGGGGTCCAGGCTTGATGGGGTCCCTGTCCCCACCAGCCTCCTGGTCATGAACCCCCTTCTAGGTGAGCGGGTGAGCAATCTGGAGGAGCTGCCTCTCAATGAGTATCGAGAGTACATCAAAGTGCAGACGGACAAAGGCACAGAGGTGGCCACCAACCTGGTGATTCTCTGCACCGGCATCAAGATCAACAGCTCCGCCTACCGCAAAGCGTTTGGTGAGCAGGTGCCCAGCCGGGCTTCCCCTGTGCCTCCTTGCTCTCCAGTACCCTCTGAATGCCCTGCAGTGCTTGCCCCCAGGAGTCCACACCTTGCTGCCTTCCCCCTTTCTTCCCAACAGCTCAGACTTTAAATTCAGTGAGGGTCCACCCTTGCTGAGCTCTCCTCAGCTGTGACCATGGCTCGGCCCCAGGTGGCCAAGGTGACCAGAATCTTCTGAAATTAGGGCCGCCCCCTAGTGGTAAGAGATGGGAACAGGCGTCAGAGAGATGACAAAGGTTGGTGGTGTTTCTTTCCCCCTCACCTGAGGACAGAGGAAATTCAGGGTCAGGCCTTCCTCTCTTGGCAGGCGTGCTGCCGCCCCCAAACCCAGATCAAAACATTTGGTCTCTTGAGCTTGGATTGACTGGGGAGTGGGGTTGGTAACATGGCCTCGTTTCTTAAAGCTCAGTATTTGCGTATTTAGCTGGCTGGAGGTGGCAGAGGTGGACTGATGTGTGTTTAAGCCTCCATTTGTGAGCAGGAGACTCAGTGGCCAGGCCTGGTGGTTGCTTTGTGTCCTCAATTCCCTGTCATTTACTCCCAAATGCCCTTCCCTGACAAGGAGCTCCTGCCTTGTGTCCAGCAGGAAGTAATGATCCAATCCCAGGAAAAGGAAGCCAGTCCAGGCTGTGTGTAGCAGTGGGATTGAGGGCTTATAATGGACAGAGATCCCAGAATTTAATACCAAATTGTCCTAATGTTGTATTTTCAAATACAAGTTTTTAAAAGTCCCTTTAAAAAAGCAGTTTGCCATTTATTAAAGCTCTGCATTTATTTTTAATGCTTCAGTTTTGTTTTTTATTTTTATTTTTTGAGACAGAGTCTTGCTCTGTCATCCAGGCTGGAGTGCAGTGGCGTGATCTTGGCTCACTGCAACCTCCACCTCCTGGGTTCAAGCGACTCTTGTGCCTCAGCCTCCCGAATAGCTGGGATTACGGCTGTATGCCACTAAGCCCGGCTAATTTTTCTATTTTTAGTAGAGATGGGTTTCACCATATTGGTCAGACTGGTCTTGAGCTCCTGGCCTCAAGTGATCTGGCCGCCTCGGCCTCCCAAAGAGTTGGGATTACAGGCATGAGCCACCACACCTGGCCTGCATTTATTTTTAAAATCTCACTTACATTCAAAAGTCAATTCAAGACTCAGCTGATCATTGTAACTTGTTGAGAGTTATGTACATTTCTAAAAGGAGGCTTGTTGGTATTTTGACCCATTTCCACTCTGGCATCAGCAACCTTGCCTCTGCAGGAAGAGTTGTGAGGTAGAGACTTCAGGGGGGAATACATTAGGTGGGAGGGTGGCCTCTAGAGCAGGCACCTCCAGGGGGTGGTCATGCCTCAGGAGGGTGACCTGACCAGCACCTATTGACCAGTGTCTAGAGCTCGCCCTCTCCTCCTCCTGGTGGCCACTTAACACAGCAGCTCAGTGTCTTGGTTTCGGTGTCATTTCTTCTGGCAGAGAGCAGACTAGCCAGCAGTGGTGCTCTGAGAGTGAACGAGCACCTCCAGGTGGAGGGCCACAGCAACGTCTACGCCATTGGTGACTGTGCCGACGTGAGGACGCCCAAGATGGCCTATCTTGCCGGCCTCCACGCCAACATCGCCGTGGCCAACATCGTCAACTCTGTGAAGCAGCGGCCTCTCCAGGCCTACAAGCCGGGTAAGAGAGGCCCCATGTGCTTTGCAGTTTTAATAGAGTTTGGGGTTAAACATGGGGAAGCCTTTTTGGGCTATCCCATACCTGGCCACTAGAACAAACTCTCCAAGCTGGTGATGGAAACATCCCCTTAGAGCTCTTTAAAAATAGGCTGGGCGCGGTGGCTCACACCTGTAACCCCAGCACTTTGGGAGGCCGAGGCGGGCAGATCACCTGAGGTCGGGAGTTCGAGACCAGCCTGACCAACATGGAGAAACCCCGTCTCTACTAAAAATACAAAATTAGCCAGGTGTGGTGGTGCATGCCTGTAATCCCAGCTACTCGGGAGGTTGAGGCAGGAGAATGGCTTGAACCCAGGAGGTGGAGGTTGCAGCGAGCCAAGATCACACCATTGCACTCCAGCCTGGGCAACAAGAGCAAAACTCTGTCTCAAAAAAACAAACAAAAAAAAATCAGGGTCTCACCCACCTTCCTAAAGCGATTTCACATTTCCGGCCCTGAGTCTGAAGGCCTCGGGAAGGATCGGCACTCTGGGAGGTGCAGCCCCAGGCGGTTCAGTGAGGTTCTGGTTGTTTCTGTGTCTCTGCTTGCAGGTGCACTGACGTTCCTCCTGTCCATGGGGAGAAATGACGGTGTGGGCCAAATCAGTGGCTTCTATGTGGGCCGGCTCATGGTTCGGCTGACCAAGAGCCGGGACCTGTTCGTCTCTACGAGCTGGAAAACCATGAGGCAGTCTCCACCTTGATGGAGAGGCCAGGCGGGAGAACTACCGCAGCAGGTGGGCGTACGGACTGCTTGGCGCATGGCACCCGCCTGGCAAGTGCTAGAACTAATGCTATTCTTCTGGAATAAGATGCCAATGATGTGGTGGCTAGAAATGCAACTTGTATAAAACAAAAATGGGAGAGAGAGAGGTATTAAACAAATACCCCCCTTAGAGGATACTTTCTGGGTTTGGAAGGTGTGCTTGCTGTGGTACTGGGTGAGCGGCTCATGTGTGCTGGCTGCATGGTGCTGGGGAGGCCACAGCCAGCCCTTCCTCTGCACCTGCCTCCTCTGGGATGTGCATGTGTGTGTACGTGCTTGTGGTCATGACGCGTGCCATTTAGAGCTCTCAGAGCAGGGCAGATTGCTGGGCTCTGGTGGCCAGTGTCTGTCTGTGAGGGCAGGAAGGAGAGCTGCACATTGAGAACAAAGGAGGGACCTGAGGTGGAGAGAGGCCCAGCACCCCAAATCTCTGCCATCACACGGTCGGGGAGCCCATACATTCTGCAACAACCAGGGACTTCACAGGAGCCTTGTTTTCAATTTGCTAACAGGTGCATAATCCCTGTGCTCCTTAAGCCTCATGGCCTTCCTACATTTCCACTTTATTTGTTTGTTTGTTTATTTATTTTTGAGACAGTCTCGCCCTGTCACCCAGGCTGGAGTGCAGTGGCACGATCTCAGCTCACTGCAACCTACGCCTTCTGGGTTCACGTGATTCTCTTGCCTTAGCCTCCCAAGTAGCTGGGACTACAGGCACGTGCCACCATGCCTGGCTAATTTTTGTATTTTTTAAATAGAGACGGGGTTTCACTGTGTTGGCCAGGCTGGTCTCGAACACCTGACCTCAGGTGATCCATTCGTCTTGGCCTCTCGAAGTGCTGGGATTCCAGGCGTGAGCCACTGCGGCCAGCACATTTCCACTTTTAGATCCTACTCCATACCACAGGTTTCATTTAAGAAGAAAGAGCTAGATAAATGTGCTCTTCTGGTTACCCCACCCTGACAGAGTGCATTTTTACACGGCTAGCAGGGGTTGAGACTGCAGCCTGGCCTGCCAGCCATTGGAGGTGTTTAAGGAAGGGCAGATAATGTGACTCTTTGCGGGGTGCCATCTGCTTACCCATTAGCGAGCAGAGGGGGTTTCTGCGGGTGACCCCCAGCATATTTCTAGGTTACTTATGGGCAGATTTGTAAGTGACAAAACTCCAGCTGATGCTGGGAATGGGGAGAGGGCCCTTGAGGGACTTTGTGGTTTTGTGCTTCTGGTTTCCTGGCCAACCCCAGGGTCACTTGTCTGGAGGCCCAGCTGGGCACTAATGTCTGCCACCGACTATGTTACAGTGTATAAATGATTCCTCTATTTGGGAGAGATCTTCCAATCCAGAGGAGCCCCTCTTGGACTGCCTGGGTTAAATCTGCATAGCAGAAGTGGTTGATGAGTTCATCTGAAGAAATTCAGGCCCCACCTCCCCACCCTGCCCCTCCCTGCTCCCTTTTGATGGTGGCCTCTGGGTACTCGGGCAGAGTCCTTGGGACACCAGCCTCTCTGGGGTTCTCAGGCCATCCCGTTGGGGCTGTCGCCCAGGCCTAAGTGAGTCGTGTGCCTCTATTGGAGGATGGCTGTTCCCCTGGTGGTTGCATCCAAGTATCTGTCTTTCTTTATGGACCACGAAGGGAAGCCCACCTTCCTGGAGGCAGGACCTTCGGCCTAAGAAACACAGGCCCTGGTGCTATCTGACCTGGGGTCCAGCGAGGTGGGAATCCCAGTGTGTGAGCGACAGGCCTTCTTCTATTGACTTACAATATTCTAGAAGGACCTACGTGTGGGGACACAGTTTTCCAAACTGAGGAAAATGTTGCAATAAAAGAATATGTTGTAAGAAAGACACTGGATCTTTTATTTTTTTCCTTTCATTTTCTTTTTCTTAAAAAAACAAAATGAAACCAAAAAAAAGCCTGAATCAAAACCTTTTTAGGAGTAGTTACAGATATTATAGGGATGGGGGCGGGGGGCACTAAAACAAAAGAGAAAAGCACCAGTGAGATGTCTTTCCCATTTTCTTCTCTCCGCCACGGAACACGCACACCAACAGAGCCCAGGCCACTTTTTGCCCTCTTCCCTTGGAAAAAGGAGGAACAGAAGATTTAAGAATTTTGAAAGGATTTTTTTCTTGTGTGAATGTGTGTAAAAGTCAATGCTATAAATCTAAAACGAGGTCTGTTTTTTTAAAAAAGTTCTAAAACAACAGGAGGAAAACACATGGAAAGAAACCCCTCGCGGAGACCTGCTTCCTTACAGATGGAGGCTCTTTTGGAGGAGAGTGTGAAGGGCAGAGGGCTCCCTGCGCCGGCAGGACCTGCCCGGCCACCCTCCACTCCCCTGCCATCACCCCTCCTCTCTCCTTTTAAAAAGCAAAACCCCACTCTTGGGACTCGGGTCGTCCTCCGATCCCTGCTGGAAAGTGCGGCGGCTACTTGGCGTCGAGCTTGGCCATCTCCTGCACGTAGATGCCGATGCTCTCGCTGTCGAAGAGCAGGAAGTACACGTTCTTCAGCGAGGACGCGCTCGAGTCATCAAAGTGGGCTGAGATGGCTTTGAGGGTCACCTGGGCCGCAGTCTGTTTGGGAAAGCAGTTTCTGTGCCAAAGCAAAAGAAGAGCCGATGTCATTTTGGTCCCTGGGACCCATGGGAGCATGAAGTGCCTTTGTTTTTACTGGGTGGGGCCTTGCTGTGTGCAGGGCTAGTCCATGCATGATCTCCTTTGACCCTAGCCAAAGGGACAGCCTGGGGGTGGCAGGTGGGGCATGTTGCCCCCACTTTATAGGTGTCACACTGACTCGGAGAGGCACAATGATTTAATTTGATTAAATTAATTTATTTGTTTTGGGATGGAGTCTCTCTCTGTTGCCCAGGCTGGAGTGCAGTGGCGCGATCTCAGCTCACTGCAACCTCCACCTCCCGGGTTCAAGCGATTCTCCTGCCTCAGCATCCCAAGCAGCTGGGACTACAAGTGCGCACCATCATGCCTGGCTAATTTTTGTATTTTTAGTAGAGACGGGGTTTCACCATGTTGGCTAGGCTGGTCTTGAACTCCTGACCTCAGGTGATCCGCCTGCCTCGGCCTCCCAAAGTGCTGGGATTACAGGTGTGAGCCACCGTGCCCTGCCAAGCACAATGATTTTAGTCAAGGTCACAGGGCTGGCCAAGTGAAGAGTGCCCTGTATTTTATTTTTTATTATACTTTTTTTAAATTAGTTTTTTTTTCAGAGGCAAAGTCTTGCTCCATCACTCAGGCTAGAGTGCAGTGGTGTGATCATAGCTCACTGCAGCTTCAAACCTCTGGGCTCAAGCTATCTGTCTTCTGCCTCAGCCTCCTCAGTAGCTGGGACTAAAGGCGTGTGCCTATAAAAAAATTTTTTTTTTTAAATTTTTTGTAGAGATGGGTCTTGTTATGTTGCCCAGGCTGGTCTCGAACTCCTGGCCTCAAATGATCCTCCTGCCTCAGCCTCCTAAAGCTTTTGGATTTACAGGCGTGAGCCACCGTGCCAGCTCCCTATATTTGATTCTATGTCACCTGACCAAGTCAAGCTTGGCTTTAAAAATGCTAGCCATTCAGCATTAAAAATACCTGGTCTTCAAACAAGCAAACAGAAGTTTTATTAGCTCCCTCCAAACTGGTTTATATACTAACCCAATTGCTTAGTAAAGGGCAAAAATGTATGCTCCAAACCTGTCTTCGTAAGTCCTTTTTTATGCACTTAATATTTCATAGGCACAGGCCCATGTAATTTCAGCATTGTGACTCCGGGCATGGCGGGGTTAATGAAAGTTTGTTAAAGGCCCCAGGTTCCAGGGAGCTACTGATAGTGCCATCCACCAGGCTGGGCCACAGCACCAGCTTCCAGGGACACAGCCAGAATGGTCGTTAGGGGTCAGCCACAGAGACCCCTGGAGCAGGTCCAGGAGGGGCCTGTTAATAGGAATTCTTCCCAATCGCATGTATTCCAGCACAGAACAGCACTGCCGTGGTTCCACCGACGAAAGAATGCATCTCACAGCATCTCTGGGCCTGGAATGCTGAGACTCAATGCTGCTTGCCTAGGTTGATGTGTGATTACAGCAGGAACCTAGGTCTCATTATTTTCCTCTTGGGCTTCCCAGGACACAGCTATAAACCATAGCTATATTATAAAGGACAGCTCTCAAGGTGAGAGGGTGTTCAAAATTAAAGCAATAGATTGGCTAGGGGCATGAAGGGAAAGGATATGTTTTATGTGACAGCAGATATCCTCATTATGTATCTGAAACAATGCCCAGCTGGGATCTGTGACAATCCAGTCATTGCCCAGTCTCCTTTTCAGCAATCACTCGGGGACAGATTTTCACTTCTCTGGGTGTATTCATCAAAGCCTCGAACTCCTGGCTCTGCAGTCTCCCAGAGCAGCAACGGAATTCTCTGGGGATTCTGGAGCCAGAGGTCGGAGATGGGGGGCCTGAGATTCTGCATTCTGACATCGGTCACTGCTGCCTATGGACCACACTTTGAGTAGCAAGGCCTTCGAGCCTGGCGTTTTCTGATCATGTGTCCTGGACATGGACAGCTGGTGGGAATATGGACTTTGAACCTGGAAGGCTCTCAAAAAATAACACACCAGCTGGCCTCTGCCTCCCGCTCCTCCCCTGGGCTAGCCTTCCTCCTGGGGCTTTAACATCAAGGAGGCACTGGGGCTGGCCCCAGCCGGGGAAGACCTGCTGCCTAGGAGCCAGTGGGCTCGCTTCCCCATGGTTTCTGAAGGATGAAAACCGGGTTTCCTGCCCTGTCATCTGGTCAGCATACTTGGCTGTGCTGGCAGCCCTTGGCAACACCCAGATCAGATGTAAGTGGGGGAGCAGCTGATTTCCAGGGAAAAAGCCGGAGGAATCAACTCAGGGGAACTGCATCTTACCTGCCGCTGGGGAAAGGCGGGAACGCGACGGACTTTAGCTTCTTGTCCTCCGCCGCTGACAGGCAGTTTTTGATGGTCTCTTCAAGCTGTTCTTCACATTTGTCGGAGCCCCACTGAGGGATGTGACAGTGGATGACAAATTTGGCTGCGAGTCCACTGGATTGGCTGACGGCGGCTGGGACATAGGAGAGAAAATGCCGCGGGTTATTTCCTAAGGTTTCCTAGGTTATAGCCTAACCTCATCAGGTACCTGTTAGATCTGGAGATAAGGCAGTGATAGAGACGTTGGCTGGGCAGCATCCTGTGCTCCTGATGTGGACTATGTTTAACGAGAGCAAGAGCTGGGCTGTATTGCTTTGCACAGTTAGCACAAGCTTTGGGTAGAAGCGTTTAATGCTGCTCTGATGCGCCATTTTCATATGGTCTGCCAAGTAGTCCCTGGGTTGGGCTACCTCCTCACAATGGTTCCTAGTTAAAGGGACACATCAGATCCTCTCTGGTGGCTGTGGCAGGTAAAGTAATGGCATCCCAAAACATCCACGTCCTCCTCCCTGAAACCTGTGGGTGTTCCCGTACATGGCAAAAAGGACTTTGCAGATGTGATTAAGTGAAGGCTCTTGAGATGGGGAGATGATCCTGGACTGTCTGGGTGAGCCTGGGACCTGATAAGAGGGAGGCAAGAAGGTCAAAGGCAGGAGAAGGCCGTGGGATGAAGGAGACAGAGATTGGAACGATGCAGCCAGGAGCCAAGGAATGTTGCAGCTTAGAAGCTGGAAAAGGCAAGGAAGGGATCCTTCCCTGAGCCTCCAGAAGGAACCAGCCCTGCCAACACCTGGATCTTAGACTCTTAAAACTCATTGTGGACTTCTGGCCTCCAGAACTGTAAGAAGACAAATTTGTGTTGTCTGAAGCCACGAACTTTGTGGTAATTTGTTACAGTAGCCACAGGAAATGAATACAGTGGCTTTTATTTTTATTTTTTTATTTTTAGTTTTTTTTTGAGACAGAGTCTTTTTCTGTCGCCCAGGCTGGAGTGCAGTGGTGCGATCTCAGCTCGCTGCAACCTCCACCTCCTGGGTTCAAGTGATTCTAGTGCCTCAGCCTCTCGAGTAGCTGGGATTACAGGCATGTGCTAATTTTTAAAATTTTTTTATAGAGATGAGGTTTTGCTATGTTGCCCAGACTGGTCTTGAACTCCAGGGCTCAAGTGATCCTCTTGCCTCAGGCACCCAAAGTGCTGGGATTACAGGCGTGAGCCATCACACCTGGCCTACTGTGGCTTTTAAAAAATAGCTGTGCCTGGGCCCCACAGAGTCAGGGTACTGACCACCCAGAGGTCCTGACTCAGTAGGTCTGGTGCAGGGGCTTATGCTTATGTGATTTTAGGACCTTCTATGAGTTGAGAACCACTGAACTTGATTGTGTAGTTCCTTGACAGGGACTGCCATTTGATGATCTCCACATGCCCTGCAGAGAGTGGGGTTTCAAAAGCGGGCTGTGAAACTGAATTAGGCCAGCCTTGTCTCACAATTTCTGTCATACTCCTTTGTTTTACTGTTTACTCCCCTAAATGTGGTTCCCATTGGTGACAGAGTTGATAAAGCCCCGTGGCTGCTAAGCTCGAGGGAAGTCCCTGTGGGACTCCCCAGGGGAGCAGTTCCCTCGGATCTGCCTGAGGCAGCTGCAGCTTCAGCCATGAGCCATGCTTGCCCCCACGCTGCCCGTCTGCGCCCTGTGCCCCTCCAGGAACCCAGGAATCGGCGTAGCAAGGGTCCGTGGCCACTAGGGGCAGCACTTGTAACAGAAACGTGTGTCCGCCGTATTCCAGAGCTGTGTGTGGGGTTGAGGTGAAAGACTGACTGGAAATCTATGATGCCCACCTAGTTTATATAAGTATTTCCTGGCAATGTCCACAGTGTCAGGGAAGTGCTGACTGCACTTCCTCACATGGGTAGAAGCCAAATCCAAGGGACCCCTTCGTCCATCAGGGGAGGCTGTAGGCTCCCTGCCTTCCAGTGCCTAGACGGGGCTCAGTGTCATCACACGTGAACGCCTGAGTGCAGGACCCAGGCCACACAATACACCGAGGCCCTGGGTAGGGGCCCGCCATGCGTGCTGACTCTACGACCACGTATATTTGTGCACCAGAAGCAGAGTGTCCCTCTTTGGACTGAACAATGATGCCCCTAAAACTGGAGGCTGCTCTGCTGAGAACCAAGGACCCTGGAGATGGGCCTTGCCTGCATGGTGCCATCTTCCCGAGCACCTGGCTGCTATTGTATGCCGGACAGAGTTTGGCTTGTTACAGTCATGGCTGATTTATTTCATATATTTTAAAAGTATAATCATGTTACTAGCAGAATGGTATTCCTCTAATGTAAAGTCTTTTTTTTTTTTTTTTTTTTGAGACAGGATGCCCCTCTGTTGCCCAGGCTGGAGTGCAGTGGCTCGATCACAGCTCACTGCAACCTCTGCCTCTCGGGTTCAAGCGATTCGATTCTCCTGCCTCAGCTTCCCAAGTGGCTGGGATTACAGGCACCCGCCACCATGCCCGGCTAATTTTTTGTATTTTTAGTAGAGATGGGGTTTCACCATGTTGGCCAGGTTGGTCTTGAACTCCTGACCTCAAGTGATCCACCCACCTCGGCCTCCCAAAGTGCTAGGATTATACTGCACCCAGCCAAAAGTCATTTTTAAATAAAAGGAATATGTTCCTATTGGCAATGTCAAACATCCAATCAAGTAAAAAATGACTTTCAGGGTAGTGCACGATGACATTTCAGTCCAAAACAAAGTATGTTCATGGCAACTGGAAATGAATAACACAGCTTGTAGCCATAATGCTTTGTAATGTTCTCCAGAGTTGTCAAGGATGAGGGTCAAGTTATTGCAAGGGCTGTGACCCTGGTATTTGGTATAAGCACCTATCCACATAATGACTAGGGGCATTCTCTTACCTAATGTGATGTTGCCTGGTGAAGACCTGCATTCTGAGGGTGGCAGTGCTGCTGCTGGGAGCTTCTAGAACCTTCCCCCAGGTGAGCCATCACAGTTCTTGGGAGTCACCACAGCAAAAGGGGACTCTAGGTTGGCCCCTTGTCCTGCTGAGAGGCTGCTACTGCTGATGCCTGGTTTCCGTGACACTGTGGGTTTTCTTTTAACAGCACCTCAGTTTCCCACAATGGCCTCTCTTCTTCCTGCGTGTCTGGGCCCAGTGCTCTTCTCTCTGCTGCAGCCCCACCTCCTAAGCAGCCATCTGCAAGCCATTTTCCTCCTTAGCTTTCAACAGGGACCTGCACCTCATGACCTTTCTGGGGCCCCAGGGCTAACACGTGCCCAGTAAAATGGCCATTCACTCCTGAAACCCGATTCCCCTTTTTCCCTCTTTGTCACTGCAGACACCATCAGTTTCCTCTGCCTTGTCTCATTTCAGGCCCATGTGCTTCATTTTCACCCCCACTCCACCCCCACCCTCATCCAATACAGCTTTCTTGATGGTCTTCGGGCCCCAGCCCTCTGTCTGCCAAACCATCCTCCACACGGTTGCTGGAGCCAAGGTCCTTAAACTCCACATTTAAACTCAGAATCTGCAACTGCTCCTGATTGCCCCCTGGCCTTACTGCAGTCCTCCCAGGCTCCCTTCATGGTCGGCCCCTCTCCCCTTGGAGTCTATCCATTTCTTGCTCTTTCTGGATGCCCAGTCGTCCTCCAGCCAGTGGGCTCAGTCCCCTGCACACATGGGTCTGGCTGCACCTCTGTCTCCACACTTGGCTATCCTCCTTTGTCCCTGACTCCCTCGCCCATTCTCTCCGGGCCTCTGCCATGCAATTCAGCAGCCAGCTGTGCTAAGTGATGTACTGTGTTACCCTGGGGTCCCCGCCTGGTTGTAAAATTCAGGAGTGTTCAGGGCCTACAATCACATCCACATCCTGATGCCTGCGCCCGACAGCACACACCGTAGATGCTTAACGTGAACTGGTTCTGCCCCAGCTGACATCTTCACTGAAGCACTTTTGTATTCCTTGCTGCTGCCTGGCTCCTGCCACAGTCACTGGCAGGCAGGTGCTCCAATATTCAACAAATGAATGAAAGTCCTGACTTTTCATCAGTTTGCTCAGCCCTGGAAACCCTGGACTTACCTTAGCTCCAGCTTCTGCCTCCCTGAACATGCAGCATCGCTGCCTCTCACTGACTCTGCACCTGAAATATTTTCTTGATCCACCCTCCCCGACCCCCTGCCACAGGGTGGGCCTGCACTGCAGTTGGTCTGTTTTAACCATGTTAAGATGCACTTTTTTTTTGTTTAAATATTTTAATATTGTTGAAATCAGGAAGCATCTTAGAACTGCTGTCAGCCTGGAGCTGAGTTCTTCCAGAAAGAAATTACATTTCCTTCTATGTCACCTGGGGACACTACCAAACTAAGGCTATGTCTCACTCTCTTCTCTGCCTCAGGTTTTGAGCTGCACTGGATCTGGCTGCAAATCTTCAGGAGCACTGGCTTGCGGTTCAAATTCTTTTTCTGTTTTTTAGACACAGAGTTTCACTCTTGCCACCCAGGCTGGAGTGCAATAGCGTGATCTCGGCTCACTGCAACCTCTGCCTTCTGGGTTCAAGTGATTCTCCTGCCTCAGCCTCCCAAGTAGCTGGGATTACAGGCACCCACCACCACGCCCAGCTAATTTTTGTATTTTTACTAGACAGGGTTTCTCCATGTTGGTCAGGCTGGTCTCAAACTCCCGACCTCAGGTGAGCCACCCGCCTCTGCCTCTCAAAGTGCTTCGATTACAGGCGTGAGCCACCATGCCTGGCCAAATTCTTTAGTGAGGCTTTTTTTTTTTTTTTCCTCTCTGTCCACTGGATGCCAAGGTCAAGATATTTGCTCCTCCTTTCTGCGTGGTGGGTTCATGTCTTGCTTGCTGTTATACTAATGTGCCCCAGCTTTATGTGGGGCCTCCTATTAGACACTTTATTTTGGAAATTTATTTTTTCTTAATGTTACATACAATAAGAGTATATCTTAACAACTGATGGTGTTTTTAAATGAAATGCAGTGTGGTGTTAGACAGTGGCGAACCATCTCCCCTTCTCCATTTTTCCCAGGGTGCTAACACTCACTGGCCCCAGGCCATGGCTTCTTACACCTAACATATTTGCACCAATGTCTTAGCTCAAAATTGTGTCCTGTAGCCCTCTCCTTCCTTCCAGGTTCATGTCTATTTCCTTGGTGCAGACTTTTGTATTCTTTCCAGCTAGTGTCTGGATTGCTGCCTCTCAACTTCTGCACGTCTGAAATTGTACATCTTTTGTCCTCATTCTTGAATGACAACGTAGCAAAATGTGGAATTCTTGGTTGACAGTTTTTTTTTTCCCTTCAGTGCTTTGAAGGTATTTCTTTCCTGTTTCCACACATCTTTTTTTTTGCTGATGAGAAGTCTGCTGTCAGTAGAAGAGCCATCATTTCTTTACAAATGATCTGCCTCTCCTCTCGGGTTACTTTGAAGGTTTCTTTTGATTTTTCAATTTCTAAGGCTTTACCACAACACTCCAGGTTTTGGATTTATTTTCATGTATTTTGCTTGATATTTTCAGCTTAAGGGCTCATGCTTCATCCTAGAAAATTCTCAGCTACGATCTCCTTAAATAATGCTTTTCTACTTTCTATTTCTGCCTTTGGAACTCTGTTTAGAAGTGTGTTGGTGCTGGGCACGGTGGCTCCCACCTGTAATCCTAGCATTTTGGGAGGCTGAGGCAGGAGGATCACTTAAGCCCAGCAGTTCAAGATCAGCCTGGGCAACACAGCAAGAACCCATCTCTATTTAAAAAATAATTTAAAAAAGAAGTGTGTTGGAGCTTCTCATTCTGTGCAGAGCAGCTATTTTTCCTCTCCTTTGCACCCTATCAGGCAGTTTCTGGGGAACCTTCCCCACACCCAGGCCCCCAGTCCTGATGCCGTCTTAGATGACTGAGTTGGGGCTTGGTCTCATGGTTATATCGGGGATGTGGTAGAGCCAAACATTGAGTCGGTGGGCAATGTGGCCCTGGGCTTGGGTGAGGGGCTCTCTTCTCCCTTCTGCTACCCTAGAAAGACAGATTTTTATAGAAGTTGTAGCCCTGGGTGGTGGCGAGAGCTTTGGCTTCTTGTAAAGGCCGCGAGAGTCTCATGCAGCCCCTTGCTTTGGGCAGTGAGTCTGGCTCTGGCCCTCTTTATACTCTGATACAAAGTGAAGCGACTCTGCATCTTATAGACCTGGAGCCGAGGCCTGGGGCGGCAGCATCCTGCAGGTGCTGCTGCAGCCCTCCTGTCTCTGTCTACATGGAGGCTTATCTTATATTTGAGTGTGGCTCTTAGGGTTTTTAAAGAGACACTGCATCTATTACTGCTTTGCCTGTGGGGAGTAGTGGGTGGAGATTTAAAGTGTGGGCTCTTGTTCTTTCTGGACTAGAAGCCCCCATTACTTTTTTCTTTTCTTCTTTTTTCTTTTTTTTTTGAGACAGAATCTTTCTCTGTTGCCCAGGCTGGAGTGCAGTGGCACGATCTTGGCTCACTGCAACCTCCACTTCCCAGGTTCAAGTGATTCTCCTGCTTCAGCCTCTGAGTAGCTTGGGATTACAGGCATGCGCCACCATGCCTGGCTAATTTTTGTATTTTTAGTAGAGACGGGGTTTCACCATGTTGGTCAAACCGGTCTTGAACTCCTGTCCTCGTGATCCGCCTGCCTCAGCCTCCCAAAGTGCTGGGATTACACGCATGAGCCACAGTACCTGGGCCCTACTTTTATAACAATCAAGTCTAATCTGGACAGCCCCCTGCTTAAACTTCCAAGTGCCCTCATGTCCATGTAGGGTCAGATCCAGACCCCTTCGCACAGCCCACAGGCCCAGACTCATCTTGGCTGCTGTTTCTCTCCTCCCACGTGCTGACCCAAGACTCCCTGCTCATGCAAGACAAGCGTCTTCTTGCATGCAGTGCTCCTATTGCCCTCTGTGTCCCACCCCCAAGGGGTCTCACAGCCTCACTGCAGTCCTCCCACGCTCCCCTACGCTGAGGTCGTGGCTCCTGCTCTGTGCCCCAATTATGCATCTGAGGGCAGCGGTGGGTTTTATTTTCCTCTGAAGCCCTGCGGCACTTGGCACTGACTGAGGGTACAAGGAGTGAACTGATTGGGAGTCATGTGGGTGGGAACATGGATCTGAGGTTGAATCCACCTGTCAAAAAGTTGCCCAATATCCTGGACAAGAGATGTTTAAAAAAAACTTGTGCACAGATGTTCACTGCAGCTCTATTCACAATCACCAAAGGCGGAAACAGCCCAAATGTCCATCAGTAAATGAACGGTTAAACAAAATGGAATATTATTCAGCCATGAAAAGGAATAAGTACTGACCCATGCTACAGTATGGATGAACTTTGAAAAAAATGTTAAGTGAGAGAAGCCAGACAGAAAAGTCATATATTGCATGATCCCATTTATATGAAATGTCCAGAATAGGCAAATCCGTAGAGACAGAAAGTAGATTAGTGCTTGCCAGGGCCTGAGGGGGGCACTGGGCATGACTGCTTAATGGTTAGGGGGTTTGTTGGGGGAAAAGCTAAGTGTTGAGAGAAGCTGAGGCAGGGCTTGCATGTCTGACGTAATGTAAAAGAGTCTTGGAACATGTCCGGGGTCCAGATTCGAAAACGCCTTGTGGCCTTTGGAACACCAAGCTCTGTGCCAAAGGGTGGAAGGCCACCCTGACACACCATAATCTAAGCCCAGGGCATAAAACCCCTCGTGGCTTGGATAGAATCCAGGGCTCGTGGCTCTGAATGTGTCTAGACTTGCTGGCTTCTTGCTCCTTGCTCTCCCAGGATCGATTGTATCTTGAGTTAAAAGAACCTGCTCTCCATTATCTCAAGTAGCAGAATATGTTCCAAATGCTTCAAAGGAAATGCTAAACTGTCACAGCTGTAGATCATGCGCTTGCCCTTTCGACCCCCACATCCTCATCACCTGTTTCTTTGTTTGATCACCAATAAATAGCCTGGGCTTCCAGAGCTCGGGGCCTTCACAACCGCCACACATTAGTGACAGCCCCCTGGACCCACTTTCTCTCTCAAACTATCTTTTCTCATTCCTTTGACTCCGCTGGACTTTGTCACCCCCATGACCTGGTGTTGAGTCCGATCAACCCAACAGGGTTTCTGTGTGAGGTGATATCAAAGCTCTGGACTAGGTGGTGGTGATGGCTGCACGACACTGTAAAAGTACTTAATGCCACTGAATTATACGCTTTAAAATAGTTCCAGTGGCCGGGTGTGGTGGCTCATGTCTGTAATCCCAGCACTTTGGGAGGCCAAGGCGGGTGGATCACTTGAGGTTAGGACTTTGAGACCAGCCTGGCCAACATGGCAAAACCCCATCTCTACTAAAAATACAAACACTAGCCAGGCATGGTGGCATGCGCCTGTAATTCCAGCAACTCGGGAGGCTAAGGCACAAGAATCGTTTGAACTTGGGAGGCAGAGGTTGCAGTGAGCTGAGATCATGCCACTACACTCCAGCCTGGGCGACAGAGTGAGACTCTTTCTCAAAAAAAAAAAAAAAAAGAACAAAACATAGTTCCAGTGGTAAGTCCTATGGTGTGTGTATTTTATCACACACATGCAAAGTTCACCCAATGGCTCTAGACCATTTTGGGGGATCTGATGCAAACTGACTTGAATTATTCAAACATATTGGAGTCCCCAGGACATCTGAAAGGATCTCTATGGGCCTGCCCAAATTACCTGAGATGCTAAAACAGCTTTCTGATTAGTTATGGCATACTTTGACTCATAAGCTGAATAGGCATGAGGCACGTGAGGCTGGAGACTCCAGAGAGGAGGGTGAGGCCATGCTGGTGACAGGAGCCTAGTTCCACACTTACCTTCGGCGACTTCCAAAGGGCCTTGGGATTTGCGAAGCTCCTTTACCGTTTCCAAGAACTCTTTTCCCCCAGCCTTTTCCAAGGCTTTACCTGCAAAGGAGAGCAATGGGAAGCCACTGTGGTTGTTCTTTCAATCTAATTACACTGTTTGACATATTTGTAGTAGGCCAGGAGAAAACAAAAGCACTGTTAGAAACTAGGAATTGAACTTCCCAATTGTTATCCTGGTTTGCCAGTGGTCAGGGGAGGCAGGGGACTCTGGGCCTCAGTCTAGCAGACTTAGATTGGCAAGCTTTTACCAAGGATATTTTAAGGGGTGATTTGGCCATAAAGCGGTCTCATGGCTTGAGTCTTGTAGATGATTTAAAAACAAAACAACAAAAAACTGTGATTCTAGTGTTGTGTCCCACAGGTTTAGTACTCATGTGGAGAGCTCTGAAGTCCTGGTCCCATCACAGTGCCATCAACGTACTGTACGTGCTTGAGTCAAAGGACAGACAGAGGCCCAGGGCAGCCTGGCATGTTGTTCCCCCAACCCGGTGCTCAGTTTGCAATGGAGAAATGCAGAGAGGCTAATCTCTAAGGACTTTCCTGCCGGGAGATGCCCTGAGCCTTTGATGTTAGGGGAATGCCCCACTCTTTCTTTTTTTTCCTACCTCAGCTCTTACTTCTACACAGGCCAAGTGGAACCCCTGGGAGATGACAGGACACCACCTCTGACCCCACAGGAACCCTGTCGGTGTGCACCAGCGCATCCAGCTCTCATGTCTCTGAGATGACATGGGTGTTTTGTCCAGACTGGGATGACGGCAGCTTTGGGGCAGCAGAGGAGGCATTTTTCAGATGTTTTCATCTTCGAATGAACTTGGTGATCTGGATGTCTGCAGCAAGTCTCAGCAATCTCTTTATGAATCATCATTATTATTATGGTTCAGTTCATGGTCTTTCCCAGGGCCTGGGTGCTGATGCTTCCCCACTCCACACTCGAGCCTCAAGTATATGTGGACAGCCACAGTACACTGTGCAGCTGGTTTAGGACAAGTGTCTATTCCAGTGGTCACTGTCCACTGGGGGAGGGCGTGCAGAGGGGTTTTCTTTGTTAATGTTCTTGGGTTTCCATGATGCAACTGAGAAATGGTGATTGTGCATTATACCCAGTACCCCTGAGACTCCTTTCTGGCCCCCAGATTCCTGGACACTGTTGATCTATTGGGTCCAGAAGCCTGGAGAAGGCCGGGTAACTGAAGCTGGTAGCCAGTTCATGTTGAGAAGCAGAGGACTAGGTCTACACTGGCGCCCTCTGCATTCAGGTCAAGGGCCAAATGGGAATGTGCAGAAGGCAAGGGGAATCCACCCTCCTCACTGAAGCCTTTTAAGAAAAAAGCATCCTGGAGAGAGGTAGTTTCTCTCTACAGAAGCATTCCCAAGAAGGAAAGGAGCAATGCTAGAATGAGAATACCACAGCTTTGCAACTCCTAACGAATGGCGGAATCTAGAGAAGAGGCATCAATGGCCACCAGCATCACACCAATACAGACAACCAGGCACGACGCGCCTCCTCGGGCACGAGCACTCGCCACTGACCAAGGAGTCTTGGCAAAGTTTTCGAACCTACACCTCATGAAACCTCTAGATCCAACCACCAAGTTATAAAAAAGCAAAGAAACATGTTTTATGATGCCAGGAGGATATAATCAACAAAATCCGGACTGCATGAAACCCTATAGGACAAATGGCCCAGCTTCCTCAACAAATGAATTGCAAAGAAATAAGAAAGAGATGAAGGAGGAACCTATGGTATAAGAGACTCATCAACCAACTGCAGTGCGTGGACTGATTTGGATCCGAAATCAAATAAACAAATTTTCTTTCTTTCCTTTCTTCCTTTCTCTCTCCCCCTCCCCCTCCTTCCCTCCCTCCTTCCTTCTCTACCTTCCCTTCCTTCCTTTCTCTCTCTCTCTCCCTCTGCCTCTCTCTTTCTCTCTTTTTCTTTCCCTCCCTCCCTCCCTCTCTCTCTCTCTTTTTCTTTCTTTCCTTTCTTAATTTCTTGACATGGTCTCACTCTGTGCACTCTGTGGCCCAGGCTGGAGTGTAGTGGTATGATCACAGTTCACTGCAGCCTAGAACTCCTGGGCTTAAGTGATCCTCCCACCCCAGCCTCCCACCTTAGCTGGGAGCACAGGCATATGCCACCAAGCCTGGCTAATTTTTGTATTTTTTGTAGAGATGGGGTTTTGCCATGTGCCCAGGTTGGTCTGGAACTTCTGAGCTCAAGTGGTCCGCCCACCTCAGCCTCCCAAAGTGCTGGGATTACAGGTGTGAGCCACCGTACTCGGGCCCCCCTTTTTTATAAGAGATGAGGGTCCCACTTATATTGTCCAGGCTGGTCTCAAACTCCTGGGCTCAAGCGATCCTCCTGCCTCAGCTTCCCAAGTAGCTGGGACTACAGGAGTGTGCCACTGTGCCTGGCTTAAACAAATGTTTAAGAAACTTGACATTTATGATGTAACTGGAATTGGAACACTGGTAATTTGTTGATATTGCTATCTTTTTAAGGGTACAATAATGGTATTGTGGCTGTGTTGTTAGTAAACAGCCCTTATCTGTTACAAGTCATTGTGAAATATTCATAGATAAAATGATGTCTGGAAGTATGTGGAGGGGGTAAGAGCTGAAACAAAGGTGGCCATGGGTGGTGATTATTGCATCTGATTGCATAGGGTTTCATTATACTTTTCTGTTATTTTTTGTGTATGCTTGACTTTTCCCATAATAACATAATGTTTTGAAAAGAGTAAGACAGGGCCTTGGCTGCTGGGATGATTAGTTTGGGTGATGGTGGTGGAAAATGGAATCGTAATGGGAGGGACTCCTCCTAACACAGCAGCAATAAAACCACTGTCAATTACTAACTGCCTAGGAGCCCAGCACTGTGCTAAGCCCCATCACAGCACCCCTATGGGACAGGTACTATTGCTATCCTCCCTTACAGAGGAGGAAACGGAGGTTCAGGGAGGTTTAGAAACCTGCCAAAGGTCAGCTAGGAAGCAATTCAGAAAAGCTGGGACAGTCCAGGCAGGCCGACCTGGAACCTGCCCTCTTAACCACCTGACTGCCTTTAGCCCATTTCTCCTCCCAAGACCCTGAAGCGGTTGGCCTTAGAATCCACTGCTGGGATCTGAGCGTGAATTTTTGCTCCCAGACCAGTGCTCTTTCTACTCTGCCACCATGCCAATTAAAAAAAAGAAGCATATTATTTTTCTTACATAAAAATTTCATTACTATAGAAATGTGTAAAGTATGAACACTGCAATGTGTCAGTGAGAGGCAGGACACCTATTAAAAGAGCTCCAGATGAAGGCTACTAGAGGGCGTCCTTCCATGGAGAGTGGAAGGAGACCTGTTTCTCTGTAATGCTGACTTTTCCCAGGGCTGTCCTATCTCCTTTTCAGCACAGCAAGTGGCCTCTGATGCCAGGAGGAAGCCCTGAGTGAGTCCAGCTGCCTGGGGCCCCTGGTGCTACCAGCCAGGGCTGAACTACTAGCATCTACCTCAAATTGCCTCCCTCACAGGCAAGCCCTGTACCCTAGAGACAAAGCCCCTTCTTTGCTCACTTTACCCTTTCCGTGGAGAGTTTAAGGCAGTTCTGCTTGGTAAAAATGGATGGGATGGGGACTGTTAGCATGCTGTTATTTCCAGCGCCCATAACAGCTTACCCTCCCAAGCTCCTCCACCCTGGCTATTAACAGCTCCCTCTGCCACTCGTGGGACAGGTGGCAAACCACAGGCAAAAATAACTCAATGCTCATAGCTTAATGGACAATCTAATTTTTTTCTAGATGTCCATTTCCCTTTTATCAATAGCACTCTCAATATTTAAGCTTACGATATATGTAAACATGTACAACAATATTTATAGTAGCACTATTCACTATAGCTCAAACTGGAAACTACCCCAAATGTCATCAGTGGTAGAATAGATCAATAAACTGTCATATATTTATAGAGTGTAATACTACAGAGCAAGGAAAATGAATGAATACAAGCATACTCAACGACATGGATAGATTTCACAATACTAAGTTGAGCAAAAGGAGTCGGACCCAGAAGAGGACAAGATTTCATTTTTACAAAATTCAAGACAGATGAAACCCATCTCTGCTTTGATAAGAAAGGACAGTGGTTACCCTTGGAGGAAATACTGACTGGGAGTGGGGCTGAGGGAGACTTCTGGGGTGCTGGTAAGGGTCTGCTTCAGGATCTTGGTGCTGGTTGCAAAGTGGGGTTCACTTTGAGAAAAATTCATCAAGCTCTATGCTAATGATTTGCTTTTACACAATACCCCAATAAAAATTTCAAAAATATATGCAGAATTAAAACAAAGTTAGCTTCTCTCTAGTGAAACTGTTCAACTACACATAAAGACAGAGCTTGACATGGGACCCCAGCGGAGGGACAGCCAGTTGACAATGATCAGCTTCACAAGAACTTGCCTGAACAGTGGCCTATTCTATGGCACTTCTACTGAAGTCTCAGGACCTTACCTATATCTTCTTTGAGGTCAATTTCGGCTGTGGTTGGGTGGACAATGCCCTCCACTCTCATGGAGCCAATATGGCTGATGTCACTCTGGGTTAAGGACAGCTGCATTAGGAAGAAAAGGTGGTGAATGTGGAAAAGATAAAATTCTGTTGAAAAATCTCATATTTTACTTGCATTCATTAATTCTCTTTAATTATTCATACCCAATGTCAACATAGGGGCTGCATAGAGAGTGACAACCTCCAGTTTCCCAGGTGTTTGGCTTGCAATAAGCTCTTTGAGCTCAGTGGATTTGCTTTCCACTCTGGGGCTGGCAGCATGCAACAAATCCATTTCTTCTTCCCTGGAACAGGAACAGGGCCTCCCCTCTCTTTTTTTTTTTTTTTTTGAGACGGAGTCTCACTCTGTCTCCCAGGCTGGAGTGCAGTGGCGTGATCTCGGCTCACTGCAAGCTCTGCCTCCCAGGTTCACGCCATTCTCCTGCCTCAGCCTCCTGAGTAGCTGGGACTACAGGCGCCCGCCACCATGCCCAGCTAATTTTTTGTATTTTTAGTAGAGACGGAGTTTCATCGTGTTAGCCAGGATGATCTTGATCTCCCGACCTCTTGATCCACCCGCCTCTGCCTCCCAAAGTGCTGGGATTACAGGCGTGAGCCACCGCGCCTGGCCCCCTCTCCTTTCTTTCTTTCCCTTACAGCTCATGCCTTTGGTTCCCAACCCTGGTGGCCTTAGTTTTCAGTGATGCATCTTCTGAGAAGCTCCTGCAAGGAAGCCCAGGGCTTGCTCTCTCTTCTCCCCTCAGCATCCTGCATTCTCCCTAGAAGAACACAAAATCTGTGGGGCAGGGCTCTGAAGCCAATAACCTTGCTGGAGAGAAGTAATGGGCTCTGGGATTCTGACCTGGGGGTGTCTGGCTCCCTTGCCCTTTGGAGACCACAGTCTTGGGGCTACCATTGGGAATTGCTATCCTATGTGTTCACAGTAGAGTGGAATGGAGGGCATTCTCTATTGTTGGCCCATGTGAGCAAGACCTTTATGTTGCCTTAGCTAAGTGAGAGAAAGCTAATCGTCATGTAACAGTGAACAGGCCAGAGAGGGGACATAAATTCCACCTCTTTGTTTCCCTGCTTTCATCAGTGACGAATTAGCAACCAGCCACACCGATGCTCTTCTTAGAACATACTCTTCCCAATTCTTTGAATGGAGGCTTACTGTGTTGTCAAGATGGAAACATTCAGCTACCAGAGATATGATTAACTGACTCTTTCCTTGGGTGTCTTATTTCAGCCCCAGTTGACTTGGTAGATAAATTGTCTGCTCAGTAAACTTTACACTTGTAGGAATGAATTATTTGCATGTCTGGTTGGGCTGCTGTTGTGTTGCTGAAGACTGTTCAAATGCATAGCCCTGTTTGTTTACTTTCTAAAGCCTAGGAAGGCAGGCAGACTGAATTATTGGCAAATAATTCATTTCTAATACCAAGGATATTTGGGAAACATATATTTCTATTTTCTTTCTTTGATAAATTACATTGAACCATGTAAGATGGGCCTCTCAGAAGCTGTCTGAGAAAGTTAGCTATGGATTTTTTTTTTGGCAGATGTAGAAATAACTGGGGTGTGGGGAATTCCCAGCAAAACCAGTAATGCCATCCTATCTACTGACCAGAAAGAGCTTCCATGCTCACCCTTGTCTGACCAATGTTAGCGTTAACAATTCTCAGCAAAAAAGAACAATTCTCACTCTCACAATGCTGACACTGCCACAGCTCTTTAGTTTAAAAATGAATAATTCAAGACTGCAGTGAAAATCATTATCAGGGGAGGAAAGGAGGCATCATTGCTTGTAAACAGTAGGTTATAAAAATACAGTGGTGTTTTAATATAGCACAAGGCAATTCTCTTTGTTACCTTCTGTCCCAGAACAAGGCTCTTAGAAGACAGAATGGTGAATCCATCCCCTGGCCCATCTTCAGAGGTGGAATTTGAAGTTCCTTCTTTATCGCTGTCCTTTGGTTTGGACTGTCGGTAAAAATCAAAAGGCAAGATGAGAACCAATCCAGAAAAAGCCTGAGGTGCCTTTATTAAGCTCTTCTCACGGCTGCCACCAAGTTGAATATGAAAGGAAGTGGTTAGGTGATGTGTTCTGCTGTTTCTTGAAGGAGGGGAGCAAAAGTCAGCAATATAAGGAAAGAAAAGGGTACCGCAAAATAGCAAAATAGAAAGTGTGTTAAAGGGCTCACACATACCTGCAGTCCTCACCTACCCCTGTGCACCAGCACATTGTCCTTGCTCATTTCAATGCCTGCAGCTCACGACGACAAGCATCGGAGCTGGGTGGGGCCGTTGATAGCCCATTGCTTAGCCTTCTTTCTCCCCAGGATTTCTCGGGGCACAGAGGCAGTGTGGAATGAAACATCCACAACTTCTACAGTAGGGTTGTCCAATAGAACTTTCTGTGATCGTGGAAATATTCATCTTGATCCTCAATAATGTTGCTGAGTGCTTGAAATGTGGCTGGTACAATCAAGGAGCTGAATTTTAAATTTGATTTAGTTTTAATTCAAATCCAAATAGCCTTGGCTTGTGTGCCTTAGCTCACACTTATAATTCCAATGCTTTGGGAGGCTGAGGCAGGAGGGTCGCTTGAGCCCAGGAGTTTGAGGCTACAGTGAGCTATGATCTCGCCACTGCATTACTGTACTCCAGCCTGGGTGACAGAGTGAGACCCCTGTCTCTTAAAAAAAAAAAGCCACATGTGACCAGTGGTTACTGTACTGGGCAACATAGGAAAACATTATTCTATCAGTGGCATCTCTGAGCTAAGCTACCTAGTATATCAAGCTAACCCAAACACCTAGTATATCAAGTATATGCCAAACACCTGAAATTCCACTGGCGGAACTCAGGGAATGCCTGCAGGAGACTAGAGGCTGTTTGGAAGGCAACACAGAGCTCTGCAGAGAAATAAAATGCAGGTTCCTGGCTATCATCGCTCACTTCAGATTTTGCTGGGGGTAGTAAAAGGGATCTGAAAACCATCCCTGCTTAGGGTTTGGAAACCTAGAGAAGACCCATTTCAGCTCTAACCTCAAAGGCCCTTTATTCTTTTACCTGTACATTCTTGTCATTTTCTTCCGGCACCAAGCTGCAAGAGTCCTCGGTCCTTCAGAGGTGTCTGCTACGAAGTCATTGTCTCATCTTTAAACTTCCCTCCTGTTCTGTGAGCGTCTTAGTGTCTGCCTGGGCTGCTCTAACAAAATGCTATAGACTGGCTGGCTCACAAACAACAGAAACCACTTTCTTTTTTTTTTGTTTGTTTAAGAGACAGGGTCTTGCGCTGTCACCGAGGCTCGAGTGCAGTGGTGCCATCATGGCTCACTGCAGCCTCTAACTCCTAGGCTCAAGCCATCCTCCTGCCTCGGCCTCCCAAAGTGTTGGGATTACAGGCATGAGCCACTGTGCCTGGCCCAGAAACTTGTTTCTCATAGTTCCGGAGGCAGGAAGTCCTTGGCGCAGGCAGGTTCTGTGTCTGGCAAGGGCTCACTTCCTGGTAGATGACGCTTTCTAGCTGTGTCCTCACATGGCAGAAGGGTCCCTCTGCCTCCCTCAGGCCTCTTTTATAAGGGGACTGTTCCCATTCGTGAGGACTCGCCCTCATGATCTAGTTATCTCTCAAAGCCCACACCTTGTAATCCTATGCCTCTGGGGTTAGGTTTCAACATATGAATTGTGGGGGAACACAGACATTCAGACCATTGCAGTGGGAGTGCCTGGCCCAGGACACGCAGCCTCGGCCTACCTTTTTGGACGTCCGTGGTTTGGCAGCCTTGGATTTCTTCCCCCCCTTCTTGCCTGACGTGGCCTTCCTGCCTCTTTTCTCTGGGGGTGGGGAGAGGATCGTTTCCGACTTGCCTTTGGTCCCTCGCTTTTTGGCCAGCAGTTCGGGGTGAATTCTGGGCAGGACGCCTCCACTGGCGATGGTCACTCCTTTTAGCAGCTGAAGAGAGAAATGCATGCGCTCATGTAGCAAACAGCCTGCTAGTTCCCAATTTCATACAGTTCTTTTTTTTTTTTTTTTTTGATACAGAATCTTACTCTGTCACCCAGGCTGGAGTGCAGTGGCGCGATCTTGGCTCACTGCAGCCTCCGCCTCCAGGTTCAAGCAATTCTCTTACCTCAGCCTCCTGAGCAGCTGGGATTACAGGCACCTGCCACCACCCCGGCTAATTTTTGTATTTTTAGTAGAGACAGGGTTTCACCACGTTGGCCAGGCTGGTCTCGAACGGCTGACCTCAGGTGATCCACCTGCCTTGGCCTCCCAAAGTGCTGGGATTACAGGCGTGGGCCACTGTGCCTGGCCTGGACTTAATACGGTTCTAACTGTTAAATGTGGCCTCCGCTTTCCTAAAGAAACTGCGTAATACACCATTTAATTGGCTTTTCCCACTTTCAGTTGTAGAGCATTTCTCCGTAGGTTAACAAGGCATCCTGTGATGTTGTACAGAAAGCAAAACGAAGTAAAGCAAAATAGAAGGGACACAGAAGTTGAAACCAGGGATGTTGCCCAGGGCTCTGGAATTCCAGACACAACACAGGATAAAAAGCTTCCCATGTGGGGAGCGCAGCTTGAGAAAATGATGTTCAAAGGTCATTGCAAAGACTAGACCCAGTTAATGATGAACCAGTGGTCTCCACAAGCTTGCACATACATTCCATCAGTAAAGTATGTCTGGCCATGCTCCTCCCAATCAATATAAGTTAATTTATCTGCAAAGAACAGACACGTACTACTCCACTAATATATTCTGCAGATTCGAAACCAACACTACCCCAAGCATGGTCTGCGACCATGGCTCACCCATGAACTGGTAGTTACCCGTCAGTGACAACAGAAGTATAGCAAGCATCTAGAAACTTTCACAGCAAACTGACAGTTATTGTATATCTGTTGAATCTGATAACAAAAAATTATGGCTTGTAGTTTGCTTTTTAATTTTTCTAGTGATTTTTATTACATTTCTGGAAATTATCAGTCCATGATGGATTGGCCATAAAAATGGCTTCTTCACTACAGTTTGAGAAGAGTGAGATTAGAAAATAAAGATAAATGAAAAGAAACAGAAATAAAAATTCTTATACTATTTACCTACCACCTTACATATACTGTAGGTGAAAAGGGGGTATTCGCTTGACTTTGGAGTCAGTTTCAGAATATAAACAGTCAGTTCTAAAATATAAAGAGTCTTCTGCCTTCATCAGAAAAAACTGTCAACTAAGTTTGGGTGAAGAAAGTGAAGAGAATAACATTTGTGCCACACCTTCCTCAGCAACACACAGAACTTGTCTTCAAAGAGAAAAGAAAGGTCTGATAAGACCTAGAATATATAATGAGATCTATGCCAGAGGCAATTTTATTTTGAATCTGAATGATAAGAGCTAGCAGAATTTGTTCTTTTATATGGCCTGAGTTTTTTTTGTATAAATGTAATTGGGAACTGTAGCAGGAGTGACTCATGGCCAGCCAGGCCCACACATTAGCATGTTTGGCAAACCCATTCTACGGCTTCCCTCAAGGCTTCAGACATACCTGGTTGAGCTCCTCGTCATTGGCAACTGCCAGCAAGATGTGTCTCGGGGCTATCCGGGCCTTCTTGTTGTCCCTCGCGGCATTGCCGGCCAATTCTAGAATTTCCGCTGAAATCACAAGGAGGCATTAACAGGCAATCACAGAATGGGGTCTGAGCTAAAGCTTTTCTTTAGAAATGGCCTTCAAGTTTGATCACATTCATTCATTTGTGATTTCTATGTCTCGGCCTGGAAAGAAATCCAGGAAGCGTAAGAGAACTCAAGTTAGTCCCAGCTACTCAGGAGGCCGAGGCAGGAGGATCGCTTGAGCCCAGCCAGGAGTTCAAGGCTGCAGTGAGCTATGATTGTGCCACTGCACCCCAGCCTGGGCAACAGAGTGAGACCCTGTCTCTAAAAAAAAAATTTAAAAAAATTAAAAAATTTAAAAAAAGAAAAAATAAGTCAGGTCACAGAGAAGTAAGCTATTTTAGCAAGATGTTATCCGATCCTGTGGCAAAGCCTCCTGGTTGTCCCTCAGCATCAGTTCTCCCTCTTCCTCTTCTTCCTTGGTACAGGACTTCTGATTTTTTTTGCCAAGCCCATAACTGCAGGAAAACTATATTTCCCTTGATAAGTGTGGTTCTGTGACCAATATTTGGCCAAAGAAGGCAAGCCATTGTGTTTTCTGGTCCTTCTGGGAAGTGTCCATCAATGAAGGGGCTGTGCCCTTCTTTCCTTTCTAATGGTGGGCTGAGGACACGATGGCTGGAATTTGGGCAGCCATCTTTGACCAAGAAGAAGAAGTTGTGCATGCTAGAGCAAGAGCACAGAAGGAAACTGAGTCTCTACCAATCTAGACTGTCTTTTCTAGACTTCTTTTGTATGAGAGTGAAATAAACTCTCTTGTTGAAGCCACTGTCTATAGAAGTGAATCCTGACCAATACAGAATCCTGCTATAGAACCTAAATTCCTCTCAGTCTGTGGGGCACAGGGCCATCTCTGAAGAGAATAGTGATGTAGGTAAAGTCTGTTCTGGGTGCCCACTTGGACTTCTCTTAGACTGTCTTTTTCTTTTTTGTTGAGACGGAGTCTTGCTCGTTCTGTTGCCCAGGCTGGAGTGCAGTGGCATGATCTTGGCTCACTGCAACCTCCGCCTCCTGGGTTCAAGCAATTCTCCTGCCTCAGCCTCCTGAGTAGCTGGGATTACAGGCGCACACCACCACACCTGGCTAATTTTTGTATTTTTAGTAGAGATGAGGTTTCACCATGTTGGCCAGGCTGGACTCGAACTCCTGACCTCAGGTGATCCACCCGCCTGGGCCTCCCAAAGTGCTGGGATTACAGGCCTGAGCCACTGCGCCTGGTTGACTCTCCTTTTCCTCTTTGCTCAATGCCCTAGGTCCTCCCTGTCCTAAAAGAAAAGTGGATGGAAGGACTGACTTACACTCTGGGATGAGGAAATGGTTAACCCGAAAAGTGAATTCCTAAAGGGAATGCCAGGAGACCTGCGTAGGAAAGCACATAGAGCCTGGGGGTCTTCCACATACTTCCCAAAACTTTAGCATGGCTGACTTTAACAAACACGCCACTTGGCCAATGTGAAAACATTGATAAGAAGAAATTTTCCTAAAGCTATTTCCCATGCTATTAAAACCTTGGGGTAAAAAAAGAAATCTGTAGAATTGGTTTCTACTATCTATATGCTTTCCCCCTTCCTCTTCTGTTTTATTTCGTTATTTTTCTTTCTTCCTCAATTTTAGAAGGATGTTCTGCTAAATCAAATTTGCCTTCCAAAGTATGAATGAGCCTTTAAAGAAAAATTCCTTCCCTTAGAAAGCTAGAAGGAATGTGCCAATGTGTTGTTGTCTCACTGATAATGAGGGGGGAAAGTGTGCATGTGTGCGTGTGCGTGAATGTACTGTGTGTGTGTGAGTGTGCAGGCGGGCATATGTGCGTGTGTGTGTGCGTGAATGTACTGTGTGTGTGTGAGTGTGCAGGCGGGCATATGTGTGCGTGTGTGTGCGTGAATGTACTGTGTGTGTGTGAGTGTGCAGGCGGGCATATGTGTGCGTGTGCATGTGGGTATGTGCTGGGAGGATATGCTGATACAATGGCACAAATACTAAGCCCTAAAATTAACAGATGACTTTGTATGAGTCTTTGCAATCAATCTAATTTCAAATAAAAGAGCACATGAAATTGCCATCATTCATAAAATCTACGGCAATCACAAAAACTTGACATAAGTATGCTGTATTAACTAAGCACATGTGATTAACAAAAAATTAGAATAAAATAAACATTACAGTTAAATATTCATAGGCATTTCCATAAAGAAAAGTGCTGAATCACCGCAAATTCATTCTCACATCTTTTCCAGATTATTAAGCAATGAATATTGTGTTTGCCAACAATTCATTTATGCAGTGACCGTGTTTTCTGAATCAAAGATTGGGGCACTAAAATTTGAGGAGTGTGAGCATGCGTGTCGGGACAGTGGGATAGGGTATTTGAAATTAATGCTGTCTGTGAACCCATGGATTATACTGGAAAAATGAAATTAATGCTGTATTAGATAAGCAGGCTTGTGCTTTCAGGCTGTTGCCCAATCCTTGCTTTCTCTTCAAAAGGATGCCCATTAAAAGGAAATGGAGTGGCCAGGCATGGTGGCTGATGCCTGTAATCCCTGCAATTTGGGAGGCAGAGATGGGTGGATCCCTTGAGGTCAGGAGTTCGAGACCAGACTGGCCAACATGGTGAAACCCCGTCTCTACTAAAAATACAAAAATTAGCCAGGCTTGGTGGCGTGCGCCTATAATCCCAGCTACTTGGGAGGCTGAGGCAGGAGAATCACTTGAACCTGGGAGTGGAGGCTGCAGTGAGCCGAGACTGGGCCACCGCACTCCAGCCTGGGTGACATAGTGAGATTCTGTTTAAAAAAAAAAAAAAAAGAAGAAAGAAAAGAAAATGGAATTATAAGGCTTTCAAATAGACTTTATTTTTGGAGACAGGATCTCACCTCTGTCACCCAGGCTGGAGTGCAGTGATGGCTCACTGCAGCCTTAACCTCCTGGACTCAAGTGATCCTCCCCCATCAGCCGCCTCAGTAGCTGGGACCACAGGCTTGTGCCACCATGCCAGGCTAATTTTTAATTTTTTTGTAGAGACAGGGTTTTACTTTGTTGTCCAGGCTGGTCTCAAACTCCTGGGCTTAAGTGGTCCTCCTACCTCAGCTTCCCAAAGTGTTGGGATTTCCAGGCGTGAGCCGCTGTTCCCGGCAGGCTTGCTTTATGGCTCTGGGTTAAAATGTGCAGCTCTCCATTGTGCACAGTGAAGGGAAGTGTGCTGCCCCTGCTCATCTCAAGGGACTCTCATTTCTGGGGTACACATGGGAGGAAGAAGCACTCCACTCATCCCTTTTTCTAGATGGGTCTGGGGGTTAATGAGCCTCCCAATTTTAAGCTTCTGAGCAACTGAATTGAATTTAGCATCCTGGATCATTACTTTCCTCTCTCCTGTTACCTGCATTTAGAGGGAGAAATTAAGCGCCCTCCCCAAGTTCATCAAATTAACTGTCAGCAATAAGAGGCAGGGCCATGGGAAGCACTACATATTTGGAGTCTTCAGGAAGCCCATGAAGGTCAGGTTATTTTCAGCTTGACAGACAGATGCACAGACATTCACAGACAAAATAATCTGCCGGAATCAAACGTAGCATAGGACGAGACTGAAGGCAGAGACTCAGCATGCAGCACAATTCAGGGAATGCAGATGATGCTTGGGGATCATGCAACTGGGCTCTTAAAAAACTCTTTTGAAACAATCTATAAGAAAGAAAATCTTGATTATGTGTTCTAGTGCAAAAGCAGTGGTGGGACTTTTTTTTTTTTTTTTCCTTAGAGAGAAAAAGATAATACATCACAGAAAATCTACATCAAATAGTTCTTATCTCTTTTGGATGTTTAGTCTGGACATCCTTGAGACATGGACTTCACCATTTAAATATTTGTAATAACATTAATCATTAGCCAGGCACAGGGCTCATGCCTATAACCCCAGCACTTTGGGAGGCTGGGGTGGGAGGATCATTTGAGCTCAGGAGTTCCAAGGCTGCAGTGAGCTGTGATAGTGCCACTGCACTCCAGCCTGGGTGACAGAGGAGACCCTGCCTCTAAAAAAAAAAAAATTCAAAGCAAATGAAACAAGAAAAACATTAATCATCATTAATAGTTTCAAATGTTATTATGGCAAATATAGTCCCATGAACTATAAAAGTTTGTTACATTCTTGAGTGACTTTATTGATCTTGGGGATTTTATTAATCCTGCCAAATCCTTATATTGGCAATCAATAGGAAAACTGGATTTATACAGCACTAAATTTACTCTACTGCAAATGTTGTGGGAAGATCATAATTCTGTTAAGTGGTGGGGACTTCTATGGCAAATCCCTCACTTCTCACAAGTCACACTTCTAGCAATAGTAACCATCTGGAATACAGCTGAGTATCTAGCAGTAAAAAGAATTTCTTTAGCCAAAAGGGATGCTGTAAAGCTCATACACATTATTTTGGAAGAGTCTATGTCCCTTCATTTTGTATACAATTTAAACCAACAGTGGATATTCCAGCCCACAGAAGATGGGAAATAGCACATTAATTATAGGGTTGGGACAGGTGAGGTGGAGTGAGCAAGACTCTGTCTCCTTGCCAGGCCCTTTCTTCCTTGTCCACTTGCCCACTGCTTGGCAGTGTCCCTGGGGTTCTGTCTGTGCCTTCTGCTCTGCTAGGGCCATGCAATCTTCTGGGTAAAACCCCACTGGACTCATGGCTCCAGCTTCTACCCACCCGTCTGTACTACTGAATCTGCACCTCCAGCCCTCCCATGATATCACCCAGATAGCCTCACCTGGGGGCTTCACAGGTAAAGCAAAATCAGTCCCCAAATCAAAATCATTTCCCCAAACCTGCGTTTCTCTTCGCCCTTAGAACTGGTATCTCCATCCACACATGGCTCCTACCAGAGATCTAGGAGTGATTCCCTATCCTTCCCTCTCCCACTCCCCATCTCCTTCCAGTCACCACATGGGGTCCATCCAGCCTCATCAATCTCACATACTTTTGGCCTTCTTGTTGCCATTGCCTGAGTTAAAGCTCTCTTCTCTTCCAGCCCAGATAATTGTATTGAGTGTCTAGATGGTTTCCCCGTCCCTAGTTTTGTTGTTCTCCAGATCCATGCCAGCAAGGCCACTGGTGACCCAATAGGTACCTTTGTGCAAATTAGAAAAAGATGCTCCTAGCCGGGTGTGGTCCCAGCACTTTGGGAGGCAGAGGCAGAGGCAGGCAGAGCACTTGAGCTCAGGAATTCAAGACCAGCCTGGGCAACACGGCGAAACCCCGTCTTTACAAAAAATACAAAAATTAGGCAGGCTTGGTGGTATGTGCCTGTAGTTCCACCTACTTAGGGGGCTAAGGCAGGAGGATTGCTTGAGCTCAGGAGGTCTAGGCTGTAGTGAGCCGTGATCACACCACTGCACTCCAGCCTGGGCAACAAAAACTTACCCTGCCTCTAAAAAAAAGAAAGAAAAGACAATCCTGCCTCAAGACACTTTTTTATATTTAGAGACGGAGTCTTGCTCTGTTACCAAGGCTGGAGTGCAGTGGTGCTCTCAAGGCTCACTGCAGTTTTAACCTGGGCTCGCAGTTTTAACCTGGGTTCAAGTGATTCTCCCGCCTGAGCCTCTCGAGTAGCTGGGATTACAAAGGTGAGCCACCATGCCCAGCAAGATGCTTTACTTTCTGGATTTTGTTAGAACAAAACTCTTTACTACCATCTGCTGGAAATTCTCATAATAAATACACAAATCTTTGTAGTCTAGGATTTGAATGATATTCCCTTAAATGTGTGTTCTTGTGCCGTGTACAACCTGCACGGCCACATGTGCTGGTGGTCAAAGTAATCTTTTAAAAACACAAATGCAATAAATAAGGATCATTAGATAAGAAAATTTTTGGTGTTAAGTGGTGAGACCCAATAATCTGGAAATGACATGTAAATGACAAGTGTCTATGTTACACAGTGATTTCATGGGATGTCCTGAAATTCAGCCCTATTTTAAGACCTACTTGTTCTGGTCAGTTGAAAATGTATTATATGACAGAACATTTTCTCATCATCAAAATGATTATAAACAATTCCTTCTCAATATCTACTATCAATATCTACTGTCAGCACATACAAAACGCTACTGCAGAATTTGGGGCTTGTTTTTTCAGTCCATTTTTCCTCACTTACATTGGAGATGTGAACTGGGCCAACATTATCACAATTCCACAGATCAAGAAACTGAAGTAGGAACGTGATAACCGTTCTGGGAGGCAAGCTTGTTCAGGTCAATGGGGCATTCTAGATGAGCAGCTGAGCATGCACTCTTTGCGGAACTGTGCACCCTCCTTCACCAGGTTGGGGCTAGAGACACTGTGGCTCTGGCATCATGATCACATGTGAACCTGGGGCTAGCCAGTCAGTCCATAGAATCAGGTGAGGCAGGCTGCTGTCTCTCACCCAGTGTGGCTGAGAATTTGTGCCCTCCTTTTTTGACTGTGTTGTCCCCAGCCTTCTCTTCCTGGCCATGCCTGTGGCCCCAGGTTGCCTTCCAGAGGCAGTGTGTGGAAGAGAGGGCCTTCAAAAACCACAGACATAAACCTGACAGGAGCAGTAGACTGGCCAGGGGAAGCCTACTGATGGTGGCTCATTGGCCCCCAGGACATCAGCAGGAGAATCCAGTTCATGTGGGGGTGAAGAGCACTGCTTGCCACAGAGATTTGGGTGGGAGAGAAGAGTGGAATACTGTCACTTAAGAGTTGTGTAATGAGGGTCACTTAGAGAGGCTGTGCCTGTGTGTGGGAAGAAGGTATCTGGGGGCTGCTTGTCTCTAGGGGCATACTGCAGTGTCTGCATCAGTCCCCAGCAGCCCTTGTTCTGGGAGCTGGAGGAGGTGCCTCCCCACCTGGGACCAAGGCCTCCAGCCAGCTCTGGAGACCCCGGGGGCTCAGCTTTCCCACCAGGCTCCTTGTCTCTGTGTTTCCAGCTCTCCCCCTCCTGCAGGGGGGCTATACCCTGTTGGTGCTGGGAATCCCTTTGGTGGTCTGGTGAGGCCCAACAACTCTTCTCAGAACAAGGTGCTTGATTAAAAAAAAAAAAAAGGAAAACATACATAACATACATCTACCATTTAACCATTTTAAAGGATACAATTCAATGGCATTAAGTATATTCACAATGTTGCACAACCATAACTATCCATTTCCAGAACTTTTTCATCATCCCAAATGGAAACTCTGTACCCATTAAACAATAACTCATCTTTTCTCCCTCCCTCTCCCCAGCCCCTGGTAACCTCTATTCTACTTTCTGTCTGTATGAATTCACCTCTTCTAGGTATCACCTACTCTGGGTATCTCATATAAATGGAACAATATGATATTGCCCTATTGTGTCTGCCATCCTTCACATGCATAATGTTTTCAAGATTCATCCAGGTTGTAGCATGTACCAGAATTTTATTCCTTTTTGAAATCTTACGGCTGAATAACAGCCCATTGTATGAATATACCACATTCTGCTTATCCATTCGTCTGTTGATCGACACTTGGTTGCTTCCACCTTTCGGCTGCTGTGAAAAATGCTGCTAAGAACATGGTTGCACAAATATCTGTTTGCGTCCTTTCTCTCTTTCTTTCTTTCTTTTCTTTTTTCTTTTTTTTTTTTTTGACACAGTTTCACTCTTGTTGCCCAGGCTGGAGTGCAATGGCGCAATCTCGGCTCACCGCAACCTCCGCCTCCCGGGTTCAAGCGATTCTTCTGCCTCAGCCTCCCCGGCAGCTGGATTACAGGCATGCACCACCACACCCGGCTAATTTTGTATTTTTAGTAGAGACGGGGTTTCTCCATGTTGGTCAGGCTGGTCTCGAACTCCCGATCTCAGGTGATCCGCCCGCCTCGGCCTCCCAAAGTGCAGGGATTACAGGCGTGAGCCACTGCGCCCGGCCGAGTCCCTGCTTTCAGTTCTCTTAGGTATATGGCTAGGAGTGGAATTGCTTGGTTGTATTGGTAATTCTATGTTTAACTTTATTAGGAACCATCAAACTGTTATCCACAGTGGCTGCACGCTTTTTTAAAAATACATTTTTATTTTTAATCTTTGTGAGTACATGGTAGGTGTATATATGTATGGGGTACATAGATATTTTGATACAGGCATTAAATGTGTAATAATTACATCATGGAAAATGGGGTTTCCTTCTCAAGCATTTATCCTTGGTGTTACAAACCATCCAATTATACTCTTTTAGCTATTTAAAAATGTACAATTAAATTATTTTTACTATAGGCTGCACCATTTTACATTTCATTCATTCATAAGATCTGGTGGCAGCTCTAATAACTACTTTGAGTGTGAAGAGTCCCCACCCCCTCTGTCTCCCAGTCCATACCTCCCACTTCTCAACTCACTGTGGTTTGGTTCTGACCTCCCATGCCGTCCTTGCCAAGGTCACCATGACCCTGAGGTGGCTAGATCTGTTGTCCTTGTCTGATTTTTATCAGCGTGACCCTTAGGGGCTCCTGGCCTTCCCTTCCTTCCCTTGGCCTCTGACGCGTCACACGCTCACATCTTTCCTCCTTACCCTCTGGCTTTCCTCAGCCTCCTTTGCCATCCTTTCCCCCTCTCCCTGGCCCACTGGGCACACTGGTGTCACTCATGCTGGGTCCTGTGCTCTCTCTGGGTGACCTCCCTCACTTCCACTGCCTTAACACACCGATGTGAACCTCCTGCTCACAGCTCCCTCCTGAGCTCCCGACACACCTAGGGGGTCTTCACTCAATAAGAGCAATAGCCACATGGATGGAGTTGCTCATGTGTGCCGAGCGGTGCTAAGCACTTTTCATGCATTATTTTATGTAATCCTCACAGTAACATCATGAATGGTAAAGCAATGATCCTGAGGGTTCATAGCTGATACGTGGCAGAACCAGCATCTAGGTTCAGGCCTGGCTGGATCCAGCATTTCTATCCACTCTGCTCTTCTGGACATCTTTTTTTTTTTTTTTTTTTTTTTTGAGAGACAGGGCCTTGCTTGGTCACCCAGGCTGAGGAGTGCAGTGGTAGAATCATAGCTCACTGCTGCCTCAAATTCCTGGGCTCAAGGAATCCTCCCACATCAGCCTCCCTAGCAACTGGGACTATTCAGAACATGCCACCACACCCAGTTAGGTTTTTTTTTTTTTTTTTTTTTTTTTTTTGAGATGGAGTTTCACTGTTGTTCCCCAGGCTGGAGTGCAATGGTGTGATCTTGGCTCACTGCAACCTCCACCTCCCGGGTTAAAGTGATTCTTCTGCCTCAGCTTCCCAAGTAGCTGGGATGATTACAGGCATGCACCACCATGCCCGGCTTATTTTTGTATTTTTAGTAGAGATGGGGTTTCATCATGTTGGTCAGGCTAGTCTTGAACTCCTGACCTCAGGTGATCCACTCGCCTTGATCTCCCAAAGTGCTGGAATTACAGGTTTGAGCCACCGTGCCCAGCACACACCTGGTTAATTTTTTAATTTCTTGTAGAGACGAGGTCTCACCATCTTGCCCAAGCTGGTCTGGAACTCCTGGACTCAAGTGGTCCTCCTACTTTGGCCTCCCAAAGTGTTCGGATTACAGGCATGAGCCACTCTGCCCAGCCCTCTTGGACATCTTATAGACACCAAAGCTCAACAGGTCCCAAACTGAGCCCCTCCTGCTGCAGCCTGGTTCTCATCCATTGCTCCCTACTTCAGGTACAGGCACCATTCTCCATCCACTAGCTGCTTTGCTCTCTCTTCTCCTTCCTCTCGGCAAGACTCTTTTTTTTTTTTTTGAGATGGAGTTTTGCTCTTGATGCCCAGGCTGGAGTGCAATGACGCGATCTCGGCTCACCACAACCTCCGCCTCCTGGGTTCAAGTGATTCTCCTGCCTCAGCCTCACGAGTAGCTGGGATAACAGGCATGCACCATCACGTCCGGCTAATTTTGTATTTTTATTAGAGATGGGGTTTCTCCATGTTGGTCAGGCTGGTCTCGAACTCCTGACCTCAGGTGATCTGCCCGCTTCTGCATCCCAAAGTGTTGGGATTACAGGCGTGAGCCACCACGTCCAGCTGGTCAGACTTCTTTTACCCATTCCCTACTCCTTTTGTCTCCAAGTCCACACCTCAATCTACTTCTCACCCCATGGCAGTGTGGCCTGAGAGAAAGTAGCTAGTCCATACCTACAAGATTCATATCATCCTTGATGCCCCTCCCTGTGGATCCAATCCATTATGGAGTGGAGCTGACTCCGCCCTCCAGAAAGCTCCCAGATTTTCCATTTCTTCTCACCATCCCCACTGTGCACCCTTGGTCCTGGCCACTGTCAGTTCTTCACAAAGTGACACTAAAACAACTCCACTGGTCTCCTGGAATCTGATCTTGCTCCTTGACAACTGATCTCTACCTAAAGCCAGAGTGATGCCTTGCAGATGCTGCCACCTCTCTTTGATGCCTCCTCTGCCGTGTGTGTGTGTGTGTGTGTGTGTGTGTGTGTGTGTGTGTGCGCGCGCGCGCGCGAACCCTCAACGTGGCCTTCAAGGGCCGTCACAGTCTAGCGCCTGCTGCCCTGCCCCCATTTCATCTCTCACTCCTCCCATTTCCAAGCTCTGCTCTCGGCACATTAGAAAGGGCCACACACTCTTTTAAACTTGGAGTCTTCTCCCTTACTCCCCACCTCCCTTACTATCTTCCCCTAGTTCACCCGCCCCCCCAGTCTGAATCTGGCTGACTCCCTTCCCCACCTGGCTGCCCATCAGAATCATTTGGGGGAGCTTTTAAGAATCCTGATGCACAGAAAATACCCCAGAGTCTCGGGGGTGGGACCCAGGCATCAGGATTTGAAATCAATCGATACGAGAAAATGCAGGGTTGACAACCTGGTTTAGGTCTTAACAACACTTCTGTTAGATTAGGCAGCCCTTCCCCCAACCCGCAGTTCCCGAAGTTCCTCTCATTCCCTGCCCGACAGCACCTGATCTTATTGTGAGGCGTTTCCTTCTTGTCCTCCTCACTAGGCTCTAAGTCCAGCAATGGGAAGGACCAAGTTAGCTGGTTTTCTGCTGTATCTTCAAGACCTGATTCAAATGAGGCACTCAGTCTAGATTTGTTTCATGAATGTGGAAGTCATTTCAAGGGTGACAGGAGGCTTCCACACTTTGACCCCCCTTCCCTAAACAGAATCAATGGATACCTCTTTAAAAAACAAACAAACCAAAAAACAGACTAAAATCCCCCATGTCATTTACTCAACAGTAGCTTGCAATTCCACTAATATGATTCATTCCCTTGGATTAAAACACCTTGTCTCATTAAAATGCAAATTCAGCCTGAAAATACAACACCTTAATGGAATTAGTCATTTATACTTTGTCCTGAATGATTTTGTCAGCTCTTAATAGAGGGGGGAGGAGAAGAATTAGCATTTATTGAGTGCATCCTATACGCCAGGTGTTTTACACATATTAGCTCATTGAATGAGGTTAAAAGAGTTAGTTCTGGAAACACCTGGAGCTCAGAGAGGTTAAGGTAACAGAGCTGGTCAATGAGTCATCCCGATTGGAACCGACATCTGAGCCTGCACTCAGTGCCTGCCTGCCTTTGGGGGAGAGAAAGGGCACAAAGAAGGGAGGGAAAGGACACAGAGGACAGGCCTGGGCCTCAGGAGACCAATGTCACCTTCTCCTCCTCCACGTGGCCCAGGATGGTCTGGACACTGGGACTGGCCGGGGGCAGGAGGACTTTGGCAATGGCACCCTTGCAGGTGCTCATCCTCTCCATGTTCAACCCACTGTATAAATGGCCCAATTCTATTGCGGGAACTCTGCCTAAGGACTTACTGTGTGTGCTGACGTGGAGATGCTCAACAAATGCTCTTTGAATGGATGAACGAACAGGAAGAGGTAAGCTTCGTTTATCTCACACATCTGAACCAAAGACTAACAGAGATGCTGGGGATTCCAAAGGCCAAATTTTGTATATGCACGGATTAGACTTTTGCCAAACGGAGGCACAGGAAGTACTTAGTTATTTTCATCACACAAATATTGGGGTAGTGTAGGGCAGCAAAACTGCGTGGCTTGAGGTCGAGGGCGTGAGGGAGTCCTAGTTCCCCATCTGGAAGCTGTGGGATCTTGCAGTTAACTCAGTGTCTTCCAGTCCCAGTGGGTGACACACACCTAACAGGTTGTTTTAAAGCCTCATAAACTCTTCTCAAAGTCTGTTCTCTCCCTGTCTCAGCTGGGAGGTTTTCCCATCAGATTCCTTGGCCTCACTCCAGATCCAGTGAATCAGACCCTTTGAGAGTATATCTAGGAACTTGCATTTTATTTTTTATTTTTATTTTTGTATTATTATTATTTTTTAGTAGAGATGGGGTTTCACCGTGTTAGCTAGGATGGTCTCGATCTCCTGACCTCGTGATCTGCCCGCCTCGGCCTCCCAAGTGCTGGGATTACAGGCGTGAGCCACTGTGCCCGGCCTTTATTTTTTGAGACGGAGTCTCGCTCTGTCACCTAGGCTGGAGTGCAGTGGTGTGATCTCAGCTCACTGCAACCTCCAACTCCTGGGTTCAAGTGATTCTCCTGCCTCAGCCTCCCAAGTAGCTGGGATTACCGGCCTGTAATCCCAGTAGCTGCCATCACGCCTGGCTAATTTTTGTATTTTTAGTAGAGATGGGGTGTCACCATATTGGCCAGGCTGGTCTCGAACTCCTGACCTCAGGTGATCCACCCGCCTCAGCTTCCCAAAGTGCTGGGATTACAGGTGTGAGCCACTGTGCCTGGCGGGAACTTGCATTTGAAACAAGCATTCCCCACATCTTTTGGCTTGAGGTTAAAAGGCTGGCTACAATCTTGCTATTCAACATGTGGTCCCTGGACCAGCAGCATCATTATCACCTGGGAGTTTGAGGAATGGAGTCTCAGGTGCCACCCTGCCCTTGTCAACAAGATCCCTGCGTGACCCCACTTGGAAAAGAACTGCTTTTCAGAGCCCTCCAGCTCTCCCCAACCTCCTAAAGGAGGGAAGGACTTTTAGCTCAGGAGGAAGGCTTTCATTTCATAAGAGGAAGGAAGGCTCATGATGCAGAGGTCTGCCTGGTGGAAGCTCTCGGGGGAGGACATTTCCTCCTTGGATCCGTGGATCAAGGAAAACCTTTCACCAATAAATGTTGGTTGGTGGGCGATGGGGACTAAGAGGGCAGGGCAGGACTGAGCATCTAAAGAGGAAAAACCAGCAGAAAAGAGGAATCTGGGGACAGAAGAGAGGACCAGCCCTGCCACAGCCCAGAGGATTTCATGCAGTGAGGCTTGCCTCCCCAGTGTTAGACCATCTGGGGAGGTTTGCTTTTTAACCTGGCAGAATTTCCAAGGAACTTAACCTTGGTGTCTAGGGAATTTGTTAACCTTGGGCAAAGTCAGAGACATTGTTGCTCGTGGCTATTACCCAACAAGGGACTAAATCATACTTATTGTACATATATATTTATATATTTTATTTGTAAATACTTCTGAAAAGCACCCCTGATATTGTAAAGTTTGGTTTCTATTTAACTATGACATAAGAGAACAACAACAAAAAAGCTAAAGAGAAAGTTACTAAGATAAAGAACACACACAGCAAAATCTCATCTTTCAGTAAAAAAATTAACTTTAACAACAAATATGGGAAACTATTTTCTGTGCACCCCTATTAGACGAGAATCACCTCAGTGAAGGAGAGCAAAATTAGAACATTACATCGGCTTCATGCCAGCACCTGAAAGATGCTTTTAATGATGCGATAAATGTTATTTATGGACCCTGAGTCCCAGTTTAAATATACCAGGAAAACTAATGTTTAATGAGCAATTTGATGTAAAAAGACTCCCTTTTACAAAATGAATATCAAATCCCCCATTCTCCCTGCAGTTTATTTTCTTCAGGAGCTTAGATATTTATATATTGCATTCGCTTAAAGCAAGACATATCTTTTGCAGGACTGGTCTAGGAGGGCCACTTACTTGATTGTGGGTTCTCCGCCTTCCATGCTGATCACCTGTCCTTCCTATACCCTCTTCTCTCCCCTAAAGTCTGCAGAAGTTGATTTTAGCCAAGCAGGCCAGTTGCAACCCTGTCACCACCCACAGTAGCCTTGAGCCAGCCAAAAGGCAATTTGGAGCATCCCTCCCCAGCCTGCGAGGGGGACCCAGGGGAGGGTGGGGACCTGGGAGCAGGCAGCCTCCTTTGCGTGTCCTCATTACCTGCCAGGTACTCAATGACTGCCGCCATGTAGACAGGGGCGCCCACGCTGATCCGGTACTTGAACGTCCCTTTCTTCAGATAACGCATCAGCCTCCCCACTGGAAAGATGACACCTGCCCTAGCTGAACGGGACAGCTTGGACATTTTCTTCTTCCCACTCCGGCCCGACATCTTGCTTCAGTTTCCCTCTCAGCTTGCTGACACAGTGGCCTCCCGGCACTAACACAATGCTAAAAAGGAAAGAAGACAGAGTTGAGGAAGGGTAGTTGGCAAACATCTTGGGCACAGTGGCATGGCCCTTGGGCACCACTGTGACACCTCTGACTGCCCTGGGGAGGCAGCTGAAATCTGGCTGCTACTGCAGGTGCAGGAGGCACGGAGTCAGGCATGGGGTCTCTGAAGGGCATGGGCAAGCCCACCCACAAACATCCCTCCCCCACCAAAGCAGCCTGACCTCAAGAGGAAAGGCCACAGAAAACTGTCACTGAATAGGGAGGTCTCGGTCCTGTGGTCAGCTGAACAATGATCCCCAAAGATGTCAATTTCCTCATCCCCAGAACCTGTGACTGTTATCTTATATGACAGAGACTTTGCAGATGGGATTAAGCTAAGGGTCTTGAGATGGGGAGGTTTATCTTGGATTATCTGGATGGGGCTAACATAATTGCCTTAGAAGACGGAGGCAGGGGGTCAGAGTGGGCAGTAAGAGATGTGAGAACAGAAGGAAAAGGATTTTCCCCTCAAAGCCATCAGAAGGAATTAGTCCTGCTGATACCTTGACTTTAGCCCAGTAAGGCTAATTTTGGACTTCTGACCCCTGAACTATAAGAAAATAAATTTGTATTGTTTTAAACACTAAGTTTGGGGTAATTTGTTCCAGCAACAATAAGAAAACTAATACAATTCCTCTTGGCTTATATGACTTTGCCCATTATAATGGTTAGTGTATTAGTCTGTTCTCACACTGCTAATAAAGATGTATCCAAGACTGGGTAATTTATAAAGAAACAGAGGTTTAATGCACTCACAGTTCCACGTGGCTGGGGAGGCCTCACAATCATAGTGGAAGGTGAAAGGCACGTCTTATATGGCAGTAGACAAGAGAGAATGAGAACCAAGCGAAAGGGGTTTCCTCTTATAAACCCATCAGATCTCGTGAGACTTATTCACTACCACGAGAATGGTATGGGGGAAACCACCCCCATGATTCAATTATCTCCCACCAGGTCCCTCCCACAACATGTGGGAATTATGGGAGCTATAATTCAAGATGAGATTTGGGTGGGGACACAGCCAAACCATCCGTTAGGTTTGACAGACATAACTGAGAGCTGATGTGTATTTTTTAGACACTTTTCTAAATCCTGCAATAATGTAGCACTCAGAAATGGAAACAGGCCAGAAGAGGCAGTTTTACTGAATATGTGTGGTATGCAAACATAGCAAATGAAAAGCCATAATGCAGCCTGAGCGTCTGTTCCTTGGAATGAGGAATCCAGGTTGATTTTGGGAGAAACTTCACAGTCAGCACAAAGAGGTGAATTCAGCACCAGGAACTAAGAGAGAAACATTCACTGTTGCTTAAGGAAGCTATCTTTTGTGTGAAGACAAAATAATCACATATTCCTGGACAGAGTCTTTGTAAGCCCACCCACAATCTAGAAAATTGTAGTAGATCTTGGGTAGGCTTGGTCTGCTGGTTGACAGGGTACCGTAACCGACAAATGGAATATAATCTTCAGTAAGTAAAAGCAAATTACAAGGGACAAACGGTCAGGAGCAAAGAAAAGGAAAATGACATTTTCTAGGAAATGTGTTAATATATCAAAGCTCTCTTCCCCAAGGTCAATGGCGTTCTCAGGGGCCGTTTCCTCTGGAGATGAAAAATGAGAAAGTCAGAACAAATTGAAATTGGTTCTATCCATTGATCCTGGTTAGGTCATCATACCAACAGGCAAGATGGCAAAGGAAAGGAGGGCCCAAGAAAGTCCCTAAATATGACAGAAGAAGATATTAAATGAATGCTTGGTTAATATGAAATAGATACAAAACCAGGATTTACTTAATCTAGGTGAAAGAGTGAACAGATTTCAATTTTCTAAAGCATCTGATAACTCCATTACGACCAAGGAGACTATATTAAAAGCTCTGAAATTAGCAACAAAGCCCTTTCTCAACTCTCACCTGTCCCCGAGGTGAATGATTCAAGTTTGGGGCATTTTAGTATATACTTCATATACATTATTTAAAATGCTCATATGTACTTACTACTCCCCTATTTTATACTTCATATGTCGTTTTGCCACCAAAGGATGTAGCTATTCATCAGTTAGGTACAAGCAAAGATGAGAGAAGTGCCTTAGACTATTATCTCTTTGACTGCAAGGCCCAGAGATCAGGCAATGTTGCCATGTTGTTTTATCACGTTGTTTCTTCATCTGGAAGAAACAAGATCTCCCACCTTTGCCGTGCTGCTGCTGTCTGTGGCTGCTCACTCTCATAAATCCACTTGTAGGGGTTTTCTCTTTGAGGAAGCAAGCAACTATGTGTTAGGTAAATGTATGGAGGGCCTGCTGTTAGTCAGCCCTGTCGCAGGAAAGAGGGGAAACAGACAGCATTGCTAAGTGGTCCCTGTCCTCACATAGCACGTGTTTGCTAGCTGGGTTGTGGTGCTCTAAATGGAGGTGGCTCTTGCTATAGTGGAAGGAGCCCAGGACTGCGGAACAGAAAGTCCTGGGCATAGCGCCGCTTCTACATAACTACAGTCATGCACCCCACAATGACCGCATATGACGGTGGTCCTGTATGATCATAATGGAGCTGAAAAATTCCTATGCCCTAGTGACATCTTTTTGTTGTTGTTGTTGTTGTTTGGGAAGGAGTCTTGCTCTGTCCCCTAGGCTGGAGTGCAGTGGTGCAATCTCGGCTCATTGCAACTTCTGCCTCTGGGGTTCAAACGATTCTCCTGCCTCAGCCTCCCAAGTAGCTGGGACTATCGGTGTGCACCACCATGCCTGGCTAATTTTTGTATTTTTAGTAGAGACGAGGTTTCACCATGTTGGCCAGGGTGGTCTCAAACTCCTGACCTCAAGTGATCCATCTTCCTCAGCCTCCCAAAGTGGTGGGATTACAGGTGTGAGCCACCACACCTGGCCAACCTAGTGACATCCTAACGGTGTAGCACAATGCCTTACTCATGTGTTTGTGGTGATGCTGATGTAAACAAACCTACTGTGCTGCCAGTCATATAAAAGTCTAGCACATATAATTATGTATAGTATATAATACTTGATAACAAATGACGATGTTACTGGTACTCCTTCTACTTATTAAAAACAAAGTAAACTGTAAACCAGCCTTAAATGGATCCTTCAGGAGGTATTCCAGAAGGAGGCATTATTATTACAGGAGATGACAGCTCCGTGCGTGTTATTGTCCCTAAAGACTTTCCAGTGGACAAGATGTGAAGGTGGAAGACAGTGTTATTGATGACCCTGACTCTGTGTAGGCCTAGGCTAATGTGTATGTGTCTTATTTTTTTTAACAGAAGTTTAAAAAGTTAAAAAAAATTTTAATAGAAAAATGCTTATAAACTTAAAGTATAATAATAATAAAATAAAAAAAGAAAAATGCTTATAGAGTAAGGCTATAAAGAAGGAAAATATGTGTAGTAGCTGTGCAATGTATTTGTGTTTTAAGCTAAGTGTTATTACAAAAGAGTCAAAAAGTTTAAAAAGGTTAAAAAGTTTATAAAGTAAAAAAAATTACAGTAAGCTAAGGTTAATTTATTATTGGATAATTTATTGGAAAATTTATTATTGGGTAAGGTTAATTTATTATTAAGGAAAATATTCTCTTTTAAATGTAGTGTAGCTAACATGTACGGTATAAAGTCTACAGTAGTGTACAATAATGTCCCGGGCCTTCACATTCACTCACCACTCACTCACTCACCCAGAGTACTTCTAGTCCTGCAAGCTCTATTCACGGCAAGTGCCCTATACATGTGTACTGCTGTTTACATTTTATACTGTATTTTACTGTCCTTTTCTAAGTTTAGAGACACAAAAACTTACCATCACCATTGCCTGCAGTATTCAGTATGGTAAGATGTTGAGCAGGTTTGTAGCCCAGAAGCAACAGATCATAGGATTATAGCCTAGGTGTACAGGAGGCTGTACCATCTAGGTTTGTGAAGTCCACTCTATGCTGTTTGCACAATGACAAAATCACCTAACGATGCATTTCTCAGAACGTACCCCTTTCGTTAAGTGATGCATGACTGTAGTTATGTGAGCTTCATATGTTATTTATTTGGACCTCAGTGGCCTTCTCTGTAAAACAGGGCAGGTGGCTAACATCCTTACAGTTGTTCTGCTCTTAAACATCCTGATTTTTCTGAAAGGCACTTTTCAATGATTTTGGTAGAGAAGCTTAGGCTCTTTAAGCAGTCGGTTCTAAAGACTTAAGAGCCTACACAGGCTCATAAAGGTGCATTAGTGACTCTCCTAAGCCAATTATGTGCTTTTCTCAGTTAATGGTAAGTGGGATTGGAGGATGATTACTAAGTCTGGTTGTCAAGAAACCACCTGAAAAGCCCATCACAGGGTGGACGTGCTCTGTGAATATGGTGTGTGCTGGCTGGTCTTAATCTCTCCCTACCATGCTTCCACCAGAGAATGCTGCATGAAGTACAAACACCACAAGGGCAGGGACACCCCCTGTGCACACGCGCACACACACACACACACTCATGCACATGCACACGCGCGCCCACACACGCATGCACGTGCACACGCATACATGCACGCGCTCACACACACACACACATGCACATGCACACAGACACACACACACACACACACACTTTCCTCAAAACAGCCAGAGAATGACTAGGTGTGCAGGATAAAGCCATTTAGGGACTTTCCTACTATTAGCTGCCAAGAGAAGTCACAAACTGCCCTAAAAATTGGAACTTAGGACTAGGAGTATAAGAAAAGCAAGTGACTTTAGGGGACGGATGCCTAAAACACTCAGGAAGAGGCCAAGCGTGGTGGCTTACGCCTGTAATCCCTACATTTTGGGAGGCTAAGGTGGGTGGATCACCTGAGGTCAGGAGTTTGAGCCTGGGCAACATGATGAAACCCCGACTCTACTAAAAATACAGAATATTAGCCGGGCGTGGTGGCGGGTGCCTGTAATTCCAGCTACTCTGGAGGCTGAGGCAAAAGAATCACTTGAACCCAGGAGGAGGAGGTTGCAGTGAACCGAGATTGTACCATTGCACTCCTGCTGGGCAACGACAGCGAAACTCCGTCTCAAAAACAAACAAACAAACAAAACTCAACACTCATGAAGATAAAATAGCCAAGTAAGGAAAATCAAAGTAGGAACAAGTAGAGAAACATACCACCTGCACATTGTAAAAAAGTACCTAAATGTAAGAATCATCCTGAACATGGTACTTTATAATAAGTTTTTCCCTCTGTGGCTTCCAGACTTCCCTCTAAGTGAGGGCCTTAGAGGAAATCCCCCTGGGTGGGGGATGCAGCTCCATCTGAAGTCTAAGTGTGAGATGGACTGACTTATGCATGTATTTTAAGCAGGACTGGAGAGTCCTCTATGCCTGCCAAACCCATCTTTTCAGGTCTTGTGCGGAATTTAAGCAGCCAGGCACCTATCTCCCAGGCCCTCCTGGGGACTCAGGGCTGTGAGGTCCCTGGACACGGACAGTAAGAATTAGAGCACATCCAGGAATCCCTAGGGGAAGCAAGGAGGGGCTTATGGAGCTGACATGTTACATCTACCAGAGCCCACCGACGGGAGGAAGTGCTGAGCCTCTGGGGCCACTCCAGAGAAGACCCTGCTTTCTAAAGACCACCTCTCCCCAAAGCCTGTGCTGGATTATGCCTGGAGTTATGATAAATTATAACCCTGAACTTCCTTCTTTCCCGGGCCACCCTTTCCTCCAACTCTATTCCGTCTTGGGAAGTCAGGAGTCAAAAACTTGAATGGGTTTTTATCCACATCCTGGTAATTGGAGTCTCGGTGTAGGCCTACTGTCTAAAAAGAACCATTGCAAGGTGAAAATTTGTTTTCTTCAGGCTAATATTAAATGTTTACATTTAAGTATTAGCCTGAAGGAAACAATTTCTGCTCTAAGACAATTTCCCTCTGATTAGGCAAAGCTTAAGGACTACAATACACTAAGTTTACATGTTTGGAGAGAATATGGCTGGACGCAGCTCTTGGTGTCCTCAGAGACACCATGTGGGCAATCCCTGGAGGCCACGTGGCTCTGTTCAGGTGGCCCCATTTTCCCAGATGCACGTGGGCTATAGAGGAAACCAGACAAACCCTGAATCTGCAATGTACCTGTCCTTTCATAGCAGAAAGACCAAGGTATACAGTCTTATAATTACTCGTAGAGTGGATCAGAGCATTTCAAGAATGTTAACGGTGAGAAACAGGGAGGTAAAACTCCAGACTCAGAGAGGAAGAGGGAGAATGTAGGGCTCCTGGCTCGTTCCCCCGAACCCCCAGGAGCACAGCAACGGGAAGCACATCGTTGGTCTTGTGTGTGCTGGGGAAGAGGGCGTATTCAGACTCTGTTGTTTCAGAATTTATTTCTAGGTTTGGCTTTTAAGCCCATAACAACACCGACAGGTTAGATTTTATATATAACACCGGGTAAATATGAAGTTGCAGCACTGACTCAGACACGGGCAATAAACTCACACCAGACTATTCAAATAACTACCGTATTTCACTGATTTTATGATGCACTTTTATTTTTTAACATTTTACTGTCTCTAGAAGTTGGTATGCATCTTGCAATCGATACCATCATAGATTCAATCTAAGACAGTATTTATGGAGCATTTATTATTGAACAAGAAACTACATTAGATGTTGTTAAATTTATATGACCCTTGTCCTCCAATATTTTCCAATGAAGTTGCCTGACAGACCAAAATGAAGTTTCAAATAGATGTCAGAGCCATGGTTCCCAAACTGTGCACCAGGGTACACTGGGGCAATCAACAAACCCACAGAAGCACTGCAGGAAGGTTTAAGCTTTCCCTTGAATACAGCCATAGTTGGCCTCTGTGGGACCCCACCACTACCAGCTCCCGATGGTTCAGTTTCAACAGTAGGGTGCACTATGTTCCTTTAGATGATGCCATTTTTTTCTTGCAAAGCTGGGTTTTTGGCTGTTGCTGTGATTAAAAGCGAGTGTTGGGTGAAAGTCAATACAGAACAGAAAATGAGGGTGGCAGTGTCCAATCTGACTCCAAGGTCTGGGTACCTGTGCAGTGCCCAACAGCTGTACACATCCTATTTGTAATTCATTGTGGTTATTTAAGAACAGAATAAGAATACTTTTTCCTTTTAATTCATGTGTATTATTTTCCCATATGGCTAGTACGATGTTAGAACATGAATACTTATTAAGTTGTTTGGGCCTCAACACTTCATAAATGGAACAGGCAGGCATTTCCTCTGCCCTAGTGGTATCAAGAACATGCTGGAGACATTAAGAACTCTGAGAAAGTGAGGGAATTTCTATGCTAGGGCCCACCACCAACAAGCTTAAACCTATACTTCTGACTTGCTCAAGGTTACCCTAAAGTAAGGAAAATAAGAAAGTTAAAGAAATTATTTAAATATTTTGAGTTTATCTTTAAATCTGAGGAATATTTGCACATAGTAAAAAAAAAAAGCAAAAAGGAATCAAAATGTATAAAATGAAGAGCAACAGTTTCTCACTCATTGGTCTCATTGAGAGAGACAAGTACAGGCAACAAGGGTTAATTTCAGTTCTGGTGGCTACCTCCAAAACTCTCATGCTTATACCTCCACTTCTTGATCTATTTTCATTTTTAGACAGTCTCTATCTGTGCCAAAGAAGGATGAGGCCTTAACCCACCTTCCTCCTCCCTTTTCAATTGTTGACAGTTATTTTTTCAGTTTTATTTCCTCCACTGATCGCCTTGGAAACTTGAAGTAATACTGTACACTCCAATCTCTGTTTCTGACTTCATCAACTTTGGGGATTATCTCTCATGTCATCATCATATGAGAGGAGGATATGAGCGCCCTAATCTTTCCCTGGTCCTCTCCTCCCTACATCACCTCCCTAAGCTCTACTTCTGTCTTCTATACTTGCTATTGTCCTAGTTCATAACATATATATTTTATTCTATAATCACAATAAAATCATTCACATTTTGACTCTAGATTTATTTTGAAAGTTAAACTCCATTTACATGGTTAAGACTTTCTAAATATTGTTCCCTGCAGAACTGAGTATAGTGCTCATCACATTTGTAAATATTTTCTGCAGAATCAAGTGTGATGCTAGCATCACAGTTTCTTCTCTGTGGTCCAGCATCGGAATTCTTGAGTCCTCATGTCAAGACGAATTGTTTTTTTCTGAAAACCTAATGTTCAAAAGCATTCCACGTTTTCCGTGGCTTCACATTTGGACCATGTCTTTCTTGTATAGCTCCTCTCTAACCCTGAAGTTATTAACTATAGTTGATTCTCAATATGTGGGGTAGTTATGTTCTATAAAGTAGTCAGAAACACAGAATTAGCAAAAACTGAAAAACTGTGCTTAGGGGAAATACATGGTTAGGCTCCTACAAGCCTCTGGTCACAACATTTCATCAACTAATCAATACTTAACTTTGTTTTATGTGTGTTTGTGTTCAAAGACACCTTGTTTAATAGATATTGTTGACTCATTAACATTGAGCTTCTGGCCAATAGCACTGTTAACACGTGCCTGAAGGAAGCTTGCACATCATGGCCTTCTTGCACTTAGGAATGCTAGACATCATTTCAGCACTACACCTGGGGGCCATTCTAAACAGCAAAATCACCAACAAAAAGCACAAACATATGAAAAACATGGCACTAAATAGGGCATGGAAAGGGCACTTGATTGCATTGTGAGCTGAAACAAGAAGGCAGTCACCTGGAGCAGTCTCAGCTGGGAAGGTGTGCTTGTGGCGACTAAGATGTTTTGCTGCTCCGTGTACGTGCATGTCTTAGAATGACCATGAAAGTGCCGCAAGTATTGATTTGGGGGCTCCAAACACATTTTAGCATGTAGGCAAATTCACAAATATAGGATCCACAAATAGGAACGTGGACCATATTTTTCTGTGTTGACAAAAGATGTTCCTTTACCATGTCCTCAAAATCACTCAGCTTCTCAATCACATTGTTCTTTGTAGAGACCCTGTTTTTCCCAGAGAACCGTTTGCAGAGGGGTTATTCTCAAAGCCCTCTGACCTCCAGCTCCAGTTTGGAATGGGAGTGTTTTAGCCAGCGGTCTTCCTGGGACTGGTCTTTCTGGGACCTATCTTCTCTGTTCATCCTTGGCCCTATGACTTCCTCTTTCTTGGTTTTCTCCCTTGTTTTGTTGGTATCCACCTGATGTAACTCTTCAGAAACAGGACAGGGAAGTAAACTTTGTTTTCTTTCTTTCTTTTTTTGAGAGTCTTGCTCTGTCACCCAGGCTGGAGTGCAGTGGTATAATCACGGCTCACTGCAGCTTTGACCTCCTGGGCTCAAGCAATCCTCTACCTCAGCCTCCTGAATAGCTAGGACTATAGGTGTACACCACACCCAGCTGATTTTTTTGTAGAGATGGGGTCTCACTATGTTGCCCAGGCTGGTCTTGAACTCCTGGCCTCAAGTGATCCCCCCGCCTGTGAACTCTTGGCTTCAAGTGATCCTCCCATCTCAGCCTCCCAAAGTGCTGGCATTAAAGGCATAAGCCACCACATCTGGCCTAAACTTTGTTTTCTTACAGAAACAGAACTATCTTACTTGAACGATCTTTAGGTTATCATTTAGTAGAGTATTAACATTTTTAGTGTCAAAATCATTTTGCTTCAATATTTTGAAGTCATTGAACCCTGCTCAGCATTTGGCAATAAGTTGGTTCAACCTGAAAACTTAGACTTTTATAACATGGATTTTTTTTCTATTATGTCTTTGATTATCCCTCCCCCCTCAACCCACTGCCAATTTCTTTATTTCTCCCAATACCCCCTTTCTTTGTCTCTTACTGAGATTCCTGTAAACCAGGTATTGGATCTCCTGGATTAATAGTCCAAGTCTCTTATCTTTTTTCTTCTATTTTTTCTTCAGTCTTTATCTAATTTTGGTAATCATATTTTTAATTTCCAAGAGCTCTTTTTGTTCTCAGGTTATTCCTTTTTTATAGCATCCTGTACTTTAATGAATGCACCATGTCTTCAAATCTCTCTGAAACTAATTAGAATGTGTTAAATTTATCTTCTGTCCTCTAAATTATTTTATCAGGCAGTTGTTCTATTTATTTATTGATTGATTTTCATCTTTCACTTCCATGTAGGCTTTTCTTAAATGTCTGGTGATCTTTGGTTATGCGTTTGTATTTAAGAATGAAGGACAAGGCCGGGCGCGGTGGCTTACGCTTATAATCCCAGCACTTTGGGAGGCCGAGGTGGGCAGATCACTTAAGGTCAGGAGTTCGAGACCAGCCTGGCCAACATGGTGAAACCCTGCCTCTACTAAAAATACAAAAATTAGCTGAGCGTGGTGGTGCGTGCCTGTAATCCCAGCTACTAGAGAGGCTGTACCTGTAATCCCAGCTACTCGAGAGGCTGAGGCAGGAGAATCACTTGAACCTGGGAGGTAGAGGTTGCAGTGAGCCAAGGTCCTGCCACTGCAACGATCCTTTTTCAAGCACTCCAGCCTGGGCGAGAAAGTGAGACTCTGTCTCAAAAAAAAAAAAGAAAAAAAAAAAGAATGAAGGACAAGATTGATGATTATAGGCAGATAGAAGAGCTTTCTTGAATTCTTCAACCATTGGTTGGTGGGCATGCTTCCTGTTTGGGATCTCCGGGTGTGTGTGCAGGGCATGCATTCAATTAGCAGGCATGGCTTTAGGTGTCCAGTTAGGAACTAGTTGTATTAGTTCATTTTCACACTGCTGATAAAGACACATGCAAAACTGGGAACAAAAAGAGTTTTCGTTAGACTTAACAGTTCCACATAGCTGGGGAGGCCTCAGAATCAGGGCGGGAGGCAAAAACCACTTCTTACATGGCAGCAGCAAGAAAAAAATGAGGAGGAAGGAAAAGCAGAAACCCCTGATAAACCCATCAGATCTCGTGAGACTTATTCACTATCAGGAGAATAGCACAGGAAAGTCCAGCTCCCATGATTCAGTTACTTCCCCCTGAGTCGCTCCCACAACATGTGGGAATTCTGGGAGACACAATTCAAGTTGAGATGTGGATGAGGACACAGCCAAACCACATCAGCAGGCATGGCTTTAGGGTGTCCAGTTAGGAACTGAGAACCCCCAAATGCCAGAATGAGCAGGGAGGTTTATTTTGTGGTGTGATATTTATCCTAGAAATTCTACGTGTGCCTTGTAGTTTTTTAATCTTTTTTTAGATGGAGTCTTGTTCTGTCACCCAGGTTGGAGTGCAGTGGCGCAATCTTGGCTCATTGCAACCTCTGTCCCCCGGGTTCAAACAATTCTCCCTGCCTCAGCTTCCTGAGTAGCTGGGATTACAGGAGCCTTCCACCACACCTGGCTAATTTTTGTATTTTTAGTAGAGACAGGGTTTCACCATGTTAGACAGGCTGGTCTCGAACTCCTGACTTCAGGTGATCTGCCTGCCTCGGCCTCCCAAAATACTGGGATTACAGGCATAAGCCACCATGCCCAGCCTCTTGTAGTTGTTTGATTGCTTTAGAGAAGAACTCTCAGATTGTTAGCTTAAGGGCTAAACACCAAATTGCTGGAAACTCTTCTAGTAGTAAAGGAGGGAGAAAGGATAATTCACCGAGCTGTCCTGGAAACAGGCCTTCAATGAGTCCCCACTTATCACGCTCCCCACCTTCGCCGCAGTTCCCTCTTGCTTTTACTCTCAGTTGTGGCTTCCCCTGTGACGTGCATATGTTCTTATGTACTTTCAGTCTTCTGGAAATTTCTTGCAATCTCCCGTCTGCTGTTGACTAACCACACCAGCCCCTACCCCTTTGTTATTGTTTATTTTATTTGTACTTCTTTACCATTATTTCTGTGGCTCTGGAGAGGAGGGGTTTGAAGGAAAGCACATGTGCTCAGTCCATCATTTTGAACTGGAAACTGAAAATGTCATTTGACTTTAACATTTTAACAAACGTCATTTGTGGATCAGCCTAGAAATGAGTATGCTGCTGAGGAGAAACAGCTCAACTGTTTTATAATTGAGTAATAATGTCGTGTTAAAAAATTAAGATCACATTCATCACCAGGTGAGTCACTGAAAACTAACCGGTCTTGAGATAATTGAAGAATATAAAATTTTGCATCAAGAGACGATAAAGCCTCCTGAATAGAATAGAATCAAACTCAGTGTGTCTGTATTTGCACAATTGCAGCATATGAGGTTCCCATAAACAATATTTAAAATTATACTGTGATCCCAGATGGGAGGAGAGGAAAGAAAGGAAACCCCTTAGCATGTGCCCTTATTGAATGAGTTGCTTTTGGTGAGAAACAGGAAACTTTATTTAACACCCTGATGGCCTTCATCAAAAGACAAAATAGTCCGGTTTCTTTAGACCAATATTTTCTTTTTATTCAAATAATTTCTTTATCAAGTATAAGGAGCTGATATACGTTGAGCCACATTTTACACCTCAACTTTTCCACATTTTAATTTTTTTTTTTGTAAACTGTGGAGGGCTGCAACAAACCCTCTGCCAGCCAGCAAGGTGGGCCATTAGACAGCTCCAGCATCCTGATTTATTTATTTATTTATTTAGTTTTTGTTAAATTTTTTATTGGTGGTATTTGGTTACATGAGTAAGTTCTTCAGTGGTGATTTGTGAGATTTTGGTGTACTGAACCTGATTTGTAGTCTTTTATCCCTCACCCTCTTCCCACCTTTCCCCTGAGTACCCAAAGTCTATTATGTCATTCTGATGCCTTTGTACCCTTACAGTTTAGCTTCCACTTATGGGTGAGAACATACAACAGCATCCTGACTTAAATGACCATTTTTTTCTACAGTCAAGCTTCTACAACGAGGCTTTGAAAAAGAGACAGCAGTCAGTAATTTGAGGATTGGGAGCTATAATTATAGGCCAGGGTGTCACAGGTGGGGTTCGGTCACACCGATGAATCACCTTGACAAAGGATCTAGACTCACGAGACGGCTTATTTTTAAAGCACTCTTTCGAGATCATTCTCTTCAGAAGTATGCAAATCAAAATGCTTTCATCATACATTATTTTAAATCTAGAAATAAGAGATCTTAGAGCTTTTAATGATGGAATTGAAATTTAAAAAAAACTTTAAACATTGTTTTCATGAACATGAAATTCACAGTGTCATCCCTAATGGACTCATGTACTGTTTTAAAATTGCTGAAATTTATTCAATTTATTCATTTTTATCCTCTATGATATTTCCCTAATCTGTGGTATTGTGCTTCAGAATATTTTATATTGCAAATATTATGAAAAGTGATGGAGACACTGCAATGAAGCATCTTTGTCAGTTCAGAATAATCCTTTGGGAGAATACATTGAGATGAAATAAAACAAAACTAGGTAGGAAATGAGGGGATTCAATATAAATATATTAACTATACATTGAAATATATTTTAAAGGGTATGAAAAAAATCTTAGCTTCCCACCTAATAGAGTTTGACTGTATTTTGGTGTGTTACCCTAAGTACTGTATTAAAATAATAATAGTTTGTTAGCATTATTTTGTAGCTGTAAAAATCATTTTCAGTAATAAGAGCTAAATCACTGGCTCTATTACACTTCCATTTATGAACTCCAAGGGCAAATCATTATAGTATAATACTTTCCAAACCATTTTCTTTCAAGGCCACCTTTAAGTGAATGAGAATAGTCAATAATTTTATCGTCATATATGTTACAGCACATTAACAATTTATAACGTAAAGGGCTATATCAAATGCAATTTCATCAAAATGGCACGCAGATCAAATTAACCAAATTAACCAACCATGAATGTTAGAACCAAGCATTAATCCAATTTATTTAAATTATACTATTGGATAACAAATCATTCCCTTTTAAAAAAGTATTTCAAGTCACGTCGTGTAGTGGGAAGTTCAACTGCCGGCACATTCTTTGTCATTCAGAGGCAGAGCATGTGTGGTCACTCTAGAGGAGCTGGGGACAAGGGGTAGGGGCATTTAAGGGGTAGATTTAGGATATCTGCTGCTACTGCAGGATACTAAGACATTTTAACATGTTTTGTTGTCTCTGTTGAACCTGAGCTGTGGTTATTTTAAAAAAGAGAAATGCAGAAGTTGTTGATCTATAATGTAGCTTGTTTCTTTATTATTGGCCTTATGCTATTTTCTAATATAAATACGTTTGGCCACCTGTGGTACTTGGATGAGAAATGAATGAAAATAATTTTAGTTTTCTTTGAATCTGAGTTAGCAATGCATTCCTAAAGAAAGCCAACCAGAAAATGAACCAGTTTGCCTTCCTGAATCTATTCATCCACAGAAAACAAAACAAAAACACCCTCACTGGGTCCAGCCTGGTCTCTTCTTGTCTTTTTGTTCTTTGAGGCTTGACAAATAGGAGCAGTGGGATTTCCATAAACAATATTTAAAATTATACTGGGATCTCAGAAGGGAGGAGAGGAAAGAAAGAAAAACCCCTTAGCACATGCCCTTATTGAATGAATTGCTTTTGGGGAGAAAGGATAAACTTTATTTAACATGCTGATGGCCTTCATAAAAAGACAAAGTAGTCTGGTTTCTTTAAACCAATATTTCTTTTTTCTTTTTTTTTTTTTTAGACAGAGTCTCTGTCACCCAGGCTGGAGTGCAGTGGCCCAATCAGCTCACTGCGGCCTTGACATCCTAAGTTCAAATAGTCCTCCCAACTTAGCCTCCCAAAGTGCTGAGATTACAGGCATGAGCCACTGAGACCAGCTTGACCAAGATTTTCTTTTAATTTAAATAAGTTCTTTATCAAGTATAACAGTGGTTAAACTATCTTGTTTTCTGCAAATCTAACAGATCCAAATTAGTAATGCAGTTTATTGTTATAAGCAGCACATTCTTTACTTCTCTGAGCAGGGCACTGGCTTTGTCTGAGCCAAGATGAGATTCCCAAATGGGAGTAGAGGTGTGCAGGCGCACCGTTAGGGGCTAGGGTGAGTGTTCCAGTACCAGACAGCAGGTGGACTGTATGCCTTGGTGTGCCTGATCCACCAGGGGCTTCCAGAGACATCCATGTTTGCTGAGCAACTGAGTTCATCAGTGGGGCCAGTTGTCTGCTCTCAAAGCTAGAACAACAGACTGCTCTGGAACCCCTCTTCCTCCATCCCTTTCTCTGCCTGCACCTCCCTACCCATTTTTTCTTGCTGTCTGTCCTTTTTTCTTTTTCTTTCTTTTTTTTTTAAGAGAGTCTGGCTCTGTCGCCCAGGCTGGAGTGCAGTGGTGCAATCTTGGCTCACTGCAACTTCTGCCTCCCTGGTTCAGGAGATTCTCCTGCCTCAGCCTCCCAAATAGCTGGAATTATAGGCGCCCACCACTGTGCCCCCCTAATTTTTGTGTTTTTAGTAGAGATGGGTTTTCAGCATGTGGGCCAGACTGGTCTCCAACTCCTGACCTCAAGTGATCCGCCCACCTCAGCCTCCCAAACTGCTGGGATTATAGTCGTGAACCACCGCACCTGGCCCTGCTGTCAGTCCTCAGGCAGTGGCTGCACTGTGGGGACAAGTGGCTTGGGTCTTTTGCTGCAGTTCTATGTTCTGTGCTCTTGACAGGCAGTGTTGCTCCCTGGTTATGCACGTGTGGGTCCCCTGTAGCTCCTGGGCCCCGGCACATTGTATCAGCTGCTTCAGCTAAGGGCTACCACTGGCCACACCACACCACACCATCCTCTCTGTGGGTGTAACCAGCCACTGGCCACACCACACCATCCCCTCTGTGGGTGAAACCTGCCAAAGTTCAAGGGGGCATCAAGGTGGTAGAATGGAAGGTGCGGTGGACCACGGGGAGGGAGCCTCCAGTTTGGCTGTGACTAGCTGTGGCCTGTAGGCAAATCAGTAGACCTCGTAGGGTTCCCCTTTTGCTTGAACAAAAATTTGTAGGAGGCCAGGCGCGGTGGCTCACGCCTGTAATCCCAACACTTTGGGAGGCCGAGGCGGGAGGATCACTTGAGGTCAGGAGTTCGAGACCAGCCTGGCCAACATGGTGAAACTCTGTCTCTACTAAAAACACAAAAATTAGCCAGGTGTGGTGGCGCACGTCTGTAATCCCAGCTACTTAGGAGGTTGAGGCAGGAAAATCATGAACCTAGGAGGCAGAGGTTGCAGTGAGCCAAGACCACGCCACTGCACTCCAGCCTGGGTGACAGAGTGAGACTCTGTCTCAAAAAAAAAAAAAAGAAATTATACTCTAATATATAAAACAGATGCAAGGGGAGCTGTCCTGGCTGGAGTGGGCAAGTGCCTGGGAACTTCAACAGCTTGGTCGCCACCTTTCCTGCCTTGGGCCTCCAAGGAGCACTGGGTTCTGTGGAGCCCCACCTGAGAACCATTGCACCAGCTCACCTCTGAGGTCCTCTCCAACCTATAAGATGCTCAAAACAGACTCCCTCTGAGCCCCACCTGTCACTTACATTCACAGAGATAGAGCAACCAGGATAAATAAGTCACATTCACAGGATCTGTCCTTTGAAGTTGCTATTTCTTCACCCAGGATAACCACAGAAAAGAAAAACTGGACCTGAAAAAATCTGCTTGATTTTATATCTAGGACTGCCTTTTCTTCACCCCAAAACAATAATCTACATTGTTTACTATGGAACAGCTGAGGTGAAAATTCAGTTTAGTCGTGATAGGGTTGTTGGCGGGGTGGTGGGGGGACGGGGGACTTAAGTCAATGATCACTTCATTGAAATTCTGCAAGAAAGCTCAATTTGGAAGTTTACCACTCGGGATGAGCAACCCAGTGAATTACCACCTGACCTAAAAGTTTATGTTGCATATTGTATAAGCTATTGGGGTTTGCCTTTTTGTGGTCCACCACCACTATTTAATTTTAATGGTCTTATTGAGCAGTGAAGGCAGGAGCGCAAAATACAAGTTACAAAATTCTGTGTGTGTGTATATATATATATATATAAAATTGGCAGTGCCAGCCCAGCCAGCATGGGGCCTGGGTTCCAGGGTAGGTTTGATTTTATCTTGTGCTGCTTTTATCCTGTTGTCATAGAAATATCCCAAATTTGGGCATCTAAACTCTTATCATCAGGACCGCCTTTCATATCCAGAAACAACCCCTAAATCTTTGGCCAGATCATGTGTTGTAACTTTGAGTGAATAAATGTGGTCAGTGTATCTAACCCTTCTGACATCTCAGAATCAGTTGGAGTAAATGTCTGTACACTGGTGGTCTATGCATATTTCCACACACATTTCTATCAAAGCATGAGAATTTTGACTTGAATTACTTACTCCATTCCAAGTCCAAATTGGCAATGCCAGTCAAATAAATCGGGCAAAGTATGATGGATGGTGAGATGGATAAATGAACAGTAAGGGCTTCAGAGAAACCACCAAATTTATCTTATTTAATACTTTGTGACAAGACAGCTTAAAGTACAGAGTTCTGTGGCTCAGTCTCATATTCTTTCATTTGTCATAGTTGGATAAAGTAGTGAGACAAATAAGTTTTGAAAATAAAAATTTGCCTACACAAACATTAAGCTGAGTATCATCTGAGAATCATCGGAAAGCTACCAGCTCCTTGCTCTTACCACGTGGGCATAAGGATGTAGGGCTTTGGGGTCATGCTGCCTGGCCTGGAGTCCCTTGTGTGGTGACTTTGGGGCATGTTCTTCACCATCCCCCCACCATTTCGTTTTCCTGTGATGGGTGTAGTAATAGTACCTACTTATAGGGCTGCTGTCAGAATTAAATGGGTTAATACATGTAAGGTGCTTGAACAGTACCTGGCAGGTAGCAGACATTTAATAAACATTAACTACTGTGATTTATTTCCACAAAAGAAATCATTATAGAGAACTATTTTCATGAAATGCAGTCTGACATTTTCTTGGGCATATTTCTGCCTCTTTGTCCACTCTATTTCAAAACCAACCGCTACAATTAGTACGGTACTTGAGGTTGTATGTGTGTAAAGGGGTAATAATGAAAGTTTAACTCTAGGAAAACCCTGAGAGCCACATCATCTGCTGAGAACCCTCATGACAGCAAATAGTTTTGTTTTTCCCAAGGCTGGGCACTTTCAGATCCCCTCGGTCTAATCCTGTAGTCTCCAAATTCCATCTGCCTGAATTCATAGTCATTGCAATGTTGGAAATCACAGGATTTCACAAAATCATAATCTAAGACTGAAAGGGACTTGAGTGATCAATCATTTAGCATTCTCCCACTCCCCACCCCCACCCAAATGTAGCTACAATGAAAGGAATGGCTTGGAAGGGAACGTGCTCATTGAATGACTTGTCCATGGCCTGTGAGACCAAACTAGAACCAGCCCCCTTACCTCAACTGCTGCAACTGGGCTGTTCTTCCAAAATGCTATTGCATGTTTTACCCCCAGATGCCACCTAGCATAGTGTTAGGTCACAGTTGATATTCAATAAATATTCCTTCAACTAGTGTTTGAATAAATGAAACCAGCCTTAAATATTTTGTTTCAAAAGGTCTCTTTTGTGATTTTTTGGGGGAAATGAATTATCCTCCCAAACACTTATCTTTCCCTCCAACCTAATTCCCAATATACATCCCAGTGTATATTGGGGAAAAAAATTCTATCTTCAAGATTTCACTACACTCCTTTTAAAAACATGATCTTCCAATACTATATTGGAACTCATATACTTCTCTACTGGCTCGTTTTTCTCTTTCTTCTATATATAGAATTTAAGGTAGTCACAGACTTAAATGGCAATGAAAAAAATTGTGAGGGTTCTTTTAGTTCATCCTTCAACCTGAACCTTGGCAGGGTAGGCCAGGCCAGGACTCTCAGCCTTGCAAGGGAATCTCATAATCATGTTGAAGAATGAGGACTAGCTGGAACACAGCATCTGCATCCAGCTTCCTTCCACCTGCCTCGCTCCCTTACCCTTCTTCATCCAAATCCTGCCACGTTCTCTATGAAGCCTAGCCCAACACCCTCCCTTCAAGTCCAAAACTCTCTTCTCCCTTTACAAACTACTGTAGTAAATTTTTTGTGTATATCGTTATGTATTAATTATGTATTATCATTATGTATTATCAATCACTTTAAAATTATTACTTGTATTTAGTTATCCAAGCAAGACATACATTAATTCAAATTACAGAACTTGGCCGGGCATGGTGGCACACGCCTGTAATCCCAGCACTTTGGGAGGCACAAGCTTGTAGTCCCAGCTACTAGGGAGGCTGAGGCAGGAGGATCACTTGAGCCTAGGAGATGGAGGTTGCAGTGAGCTGAGATTGTGCCAATGCACTCCAGCCTGGACAAGAGATACTCCATCTCAACAAAACAAAACAAAACAAACAAAAAAAACAAATTACAGAACTTCAAATATTGTAACAAGGTTATGGATGGGTATCAATAATGATATGGCTAAAGCCCTTCTTGACAATTCCTCTAGTTCTTGTCTCTCTTAGTGGGCATCTTCTATACTTTTTCTGTCCATTTTGTATGAATTTTTACTTATAGAGATGTATAATTTTATATCGTTTTAATATCAATAGTACCATATAGTATGTACTGTTCTGCAATTTGCTTTTTTCATTAATAGTACATCTTGGTGATCTTTTTCTGTCTCAGTATGTATAGATCTGCTTCATTCTTTTGAACTGCTGCCTAATATTCCAGAAGACAGATGCACCAGAGTTTATTTAGCCATTCCCTGTTGATGGCTGTTAGGCTGTTTTCTACTTCAGAATGACCAAAATTGCAATGAACATCCTTATACATGCTGAGCTCACGGATGCCTGCTTCTTTGGGTGACATACTGAGAAATGGAATGGTGAGTCACAGAATGTGTGCATTATTAATTTTATAGTGCCAAACTGCTCTTCCAATTGGTTATATCAATTTACACACCAGTCAGCAGTATATGAAAGTACCTGTTTTCCCACTAGCTTGCCAAAATCACTTTTTACCTTGTTTTACCTGCATGTATATTTTATCTCCTAGGCTTGGGGTTGTAAGCTTTATGAGAGAAGGGCCCAATGACTTCCTTATATTTCATTTCTTTCCCTATCTAGAGGTGTTTAAGAATTGGTGTATACTCAGGAGGCTGAGATGGGAGGACCCCTTGAACCCAGGATTTCGAGACCAGTCTGAGCAATATAGCGAGACCCCCATCTCAAAACAACAACAAAACAAACAACAAAAGACTTGGTGCTCAATAAGTGTTTGTTGAATGATCTCTAACCACAAGTTCTTTGTTAATCTCTGTGCAATATACTTTCCATTTACCAAGACTGCATCTAACTTGGAGGTTATTTCTTAAGGTTGAAAAACATTCTTAAGAAAGTTGGCTGAATTTTTGCACATCCCTCCCCGGTAACAAGTTACAGATACCTTTCATTTAAAGTTGCCTAAGACAGGACTCACCTCCTGTTCTGCTGGCAGGAGGCAGTGAAAACAGATGTGGTTGTCTCAGACAATAGCTAGCAGGGTGTCCCACCCACTGGGAAATGGCAGACCAGAGGCGCTTTAAAAATCCTGGGAACCAGACAGAAGATGGAATGGTGAGGGAGTAGGGTCAGAATCACAGGGACACTCCGGATTCAAGGAGGTAAATTCTTTTACGCAGTTTTGATATAGAGGAAACCACTAATAATGTGTAAAGTCTGACAATTAATGGATCCAGGTGAGGTGTAACTGTGGTAGGATAGGAAAAACCAGAGAAGAGGAGAACTGGGCATGTTTTAAAAGGAAATTTGGCTACAGGAAAGAGGGGTTATGAAGATGTGAATTATGCGACTCAAGATAAACTTTTCCGCCGGGCAGTGCCTCTATTTATTTATATGTAATTTTAGGCTAAAACAATTCTAAAAATCACCAGTATGTTTCCAAATCTTGGAGCTCTTAACATTTAGTTTGAAAATAAAAAGTGTGTTAAAACGGATTGAGAATTATGTGTAGCTTAGTTTGTGGTTCAAAACAACACACACGAAGACACGTTCTCGCTCTTAATAATGTTTTCTTTTTCTCTCACCTATTGAACCGTTTCAGTAGCAACTGTGCAGCCCAGTGAGGTGACAATTGGATTTCAAAACAAACACAAATGAGCAAAGTGAGGAAACCATTTGCCGCGGTGGACTAATGGCCCCTAGGGGATCCTGGGGTCTGTGGGGCTTAGAACTGGGCCCTTGTTTTGAATTCCTCTGAGGTGGACAGAAGCTGGAAGGACACCTCAGTTCCAGCGTGGCTGTGACAGGGTAACTGCCCTTAAAATCAGGGCAGCGGAGCCACGGTTCCCATCGCGTCCCCTCAAACACTCAGGGCCCCGCACTTTGGTTTCTCAGCCCATTTCTTCTCGCGCCTTTCATCCCTTCACTCATCCAGGGCCGTTGCCAAAAAACCCTGGCAAGGACCAGGCCTCAGTCAGGCCCACGGTGGTCCACTGCACGCGACGGGAAACTCCTGGAGGAAGCTCGTTTGGCCCTTGGGGAACCAATGCCCCTTTGGCCATTGTTGTAAGGAACAAAGAGGGCAAGAACTGAGGGCGCCCCCCCAAGGAAAGGCGGGGGAGGACACCCACGGGCGATCCGGGGGGCTGGCCGGGCTGGGGCTGAGGTGCGCCGGGGCTGGAGGCTGGGAGCCGGGGGAGGCAGGGCTGGTCCCCAACCGCCGCGCCCCGCGAGCGATACGCACGGCGTCCGGCGCCCGGCAGAGCCCTTTCCTGCGCCGCAGCCAGTTTACTTTTATTCCCTTTTTCGATATTTTTATTATTATTATTTTTTCCCGCGCAAAGCGGGAGCCAGACTGCCCAGGCGAGCCACGGCCGGGCCGCCATTTCCCGGTGAAAGCGCAGCGCGCGTCGGCACCGGGCGCCCCGGAAAGGGAACCGAAGGGGAGTGCCCGGCCTCGCGCCCTCTTCCGCGCCGGCCCCGGGGCGCACGCCCGCCCGCGGCGCCCGGGTGTCCGCGCAGCAACCCCCAGCCCTCGCCCCGCCACCCGGCGTCCCCGACCTGACCTTCCCCGGCGCGGCCCGCCCCCGGACTCGGGTCCCTAACCTCCGCCCGGCTGCTCCGCGCCCCCTCCATTGTCAGCCTGGAGCCGCCGGCGCCCTGCCCGGGCACCTTCAGAGGCCCCCGAGCGGCCCTCCCCGGGCTCCCTCGGGCCCTGCGCAGCCCCCCACCCATCGCCCCGTGCCCATCGGCGGCCGGGCGCCTCCGTCCTCCCGCTCCTGCGCCCGAAACTCCGCATTCCCAGGAGACCTCCGCTTCCTCCGGGTCCAGCCTCGCCTGGGGCCCGCTGCTGAACCTCGCATCCCTCCTCCTTCCCCTCTCAGTACCCTCGACGCCCCCGGCCCCTCGCTGGCCGCAGGAATTTGACCACTTCTTTAGCAGCCCCCCCTTTATCGCCCAAGGAAGCAAGTTGGGCAGCTGGATTTAAGAATTTGTTTTTGCAGAGGGTGGGTCGGCTATCGAGGGTGCGCCCGCAGGGGCTCGGGGGAGAGGCAGAGGTGGTTCTCTCCGGCCCCTGCACTGCCCCGGCGGCGCGTTTTGTTTCCAGACCCCGGAGCACCCTAAACAATAATGCCATCGCCATGGCGGGCTCACCTGGTGCTGCGCCGCCTGCTCCCGGCGCCCGGTGCCCTCTGCGCGCCCCTCCACGGGCGCAGGTTTGGCCCACGCGGCGCCGGTGCCGGGCAGGACTCTTTGCCTTTCTTTGGGTTCTATCTGTGCGTGTCAATGGCGGCAAGCGGCAGTTCTCTGGGCCGCGGATAGTAGCGGGGGGAGGAGGAGGAGGGAGAAGGGATTGCTCCTTCTCCACATAACCACCTCTAGGAGGAGTTGCTCAGCCTCATCCCCCGCCAGCCCAGGCTCCGCGACGGGTCCGGGGCTTTCGGTGGGGCTTGATGAGCTATTGTCCTTCAGGAGTATTAATGGTGAAACCGCGCGGCCTCCGCGTACTTGGCCGATCTGCGAGACGAGCCGAGGGCCACTCGCTAACATGAGGCTTTCCCCAGAACTGGGCACAAACGCGCTATGGTCGCGATCCAGTCTCCTGTTAGCTGGATCCACCTTTGGTGGGAGAAGGTGGCGTGGGCGTTCATCTGGCAGCTCTGGGGAGAGTCTTCGAAGGGGAAAGCGAAAAATGCCACCTTCTATATTTTTGTGTCCTTAAATAATAACAAGTACATTAACGTTTGTGTCCACCACTGGGAAGAGTGCATAGGGCGGCCACAGCCACGAGAGCTGAGAATTTATATCCGTGCCTGTAGGCTTTTTAGAAATTAAGACCGATTTAGAATCCAGCGTTGCATAATATTTGGAGAGGCAGATGTATGTTTTGGTGGGTGAGACTGTGTGTATGGGCATAATTTTTAATTGGGTTGCTTTACAAGGTGTTAATTTGCAATATCCCAACGGGTATTTAGATGAGCGCGAGGCTATTGTCTTCAGGACCAGTTTTTATTAGTTACTAGAAAATGCATCTTTATGGGGGTGTGGTGGACACTGTCGGGTGTGATAATGGGGATTAGCAGTTGCTGTGTTCCTAGTGGAAGCCAGTCTCGGCTTTGTATTGTGAGTTGTTGGCCAGGGCTCCATGGCTGGAGGGGAGTCAAAAGAATGTGTTTATTTCAGTGGGAAATACTAACTTGCTGTGGACCATCCAGGTTTCCTCTGATTTCTCCTACAGTCAAAGGACTGTGAGAGGCAACATTTTGATCCCTTCCAAAAAGAGAAACCGGTGCAAACAGAATTCTCCAGCCTTGGCCAAATGGCTGATTTTTAAAGCTGTTACATTTGGTAATATTGTGTATATTTGCTACTACAAACTTGTAACTATTTAGGCAGTGGGGACTTTGGAGTGACTGAAAGCCTCCCAGTGCCTGAGTGGGAAGAACTCATGCCTACCACCCTCTGCGTCTCTACTAGTTAGTTAATCATGGCTATTGCTGGCGTTTATAGATAGCGGGTTAGGTTTAGAACATGTGCATTTTAAAGTGTATTTGCTGAGAAATCAGCCATGTTTCTCTCTGACTTCCTCCAAATCACGCATATATCATCAACATATGCATAAGCCTCTATTTCAGTCTCCTATGGCTTCTCAAACTCCCCTGGACTCAACAGTCTCTGTTTCTTGGGGCTTCCTTTACTCTTTTCCTAAGCCTTTCACGCCCTCTGTGTATGACCTCACTGTTCTTTGTCTTGGAAGGTATTTTCCAGGTCAGATATCCAGTCAGGATAAAGTCTTCTTTCCCCAAGATGTATATTTAAAGGGTTTCAAATGATCCCCTGGGGCATCCCATAATGATGTCCTTTCCCATTCCTAAAGAAAGGGTCTCTCTTCTTATACCTTCAGGTGTCCATTCTTCACCAGAAATAACCATCAAGCCAACATTCAAGAGAGTTCAGGAGTTTTCTATGAGTGCTTGAAAAATACTCATACTCTGTCATCCAGTCAGCCAGGCTGACTGAAATATAGTTGAATAATTCATCAGTAGATATTAGATTCACATTCTCCTTGTAATTTCCCAATAAAAGTGGCATATGTGGTCATTTTTATGTGAATTTTATATAACAGTTCATTCTAGCATTTTGTTATGTGCTATCCTGAGAGAGGCTGGATCTAGTAAATTTACTGGTTAGGATTCTCCCATTTCATACTGGTTGGTTTCTTCAGACAGATGATGCTGTCACAACTCAGAAAATCAAGGAAGAGGTCAGCTTCAAAATACTCTGATTCTTAGGATAAAAGGGTTCTTAGAGTTCACCTAGTGGAAACCTTTGCTATAGGAAGAAATCTGGTATTTGGAAGGGTGAAATGACTCAGCCATGGCCTCGCAGGACATTAGTGGGAGATCCTCCAATGCATGTCCAGATACCCAGTCAATGCAGTTTCCGCCAATTCCAAACTTTTCAGGATGTATAGGGGACAAATATGCCACTTAATATGCAGATCTAGTTGAATTATGTGTGTTTAATACCGAACATTTAACACATAAAAATTTAACACTGAGATAGTATCATATAATATTATATAAAATTAAAATACATTTTAAAAAGTCAACATGATCATAAGTTGATAAGTAATCTAGAGTTCCGCAGTGGTCTCTAGCTCGGGGAACCTCTGACAAGTTGAATAATAAAGAATGATAAGAGCTTACACTTATTGAATGTTTACTATGTGCACTGTACTAAGCACTTTATCCTAACTTATTTAATCCTTTCAACACTTGTATGGGGCAAGCACTATTTTCTCCTTTTTACAGACTGAGGCAGGGAGTGGATGAGAAACTTTCCCACAGTTATAGAGTTAGGAAGTGGCAGATCCATGCTCTTAATCACTGCCTTAATCTGAAGGTGGAGAAGTGCATTTGTTTTAAGCAAAGGAATTTTGCACTCAGTCACATGATCTGAGTCTAAGAGGGGCCCTTGGGCCCCTCCCAATAAATGTCCCTAAGGAGTCAGCAAACAGCCTAATTACAGGAGGGTTGGTTGATTACAGTTGCACTGAAAACATTTTCTTAACCCTTGACCTGTATGTGTGCATAATATTATGAATACAGGTATTGATTGTGAGTTGACTCCATTACAGCAAACATGTCTTTAATAATTTTATTGAGATGCAGGATGAAGCACTTCTCCATTTAGAGAGAGGCATGTAGCATAATTTAGAGATGAAAAAAAAAAAAGAATCAAATGAATCAGTCATCCAACCAGATTTGTATCCTATTGGGTTGCTAGTAATTCATCCACAAAATCATCTACTTCAAAAATAGCTTCATTGATTTACCCCCCAAACCCTTTTTCTTGATCCAAATTTGTGATTTTGTGTAAACTGAGTGGACTTTTATTTTTCATGATTAGTTCTAATCAGTTTACGATACATATTATAATTTGTGATCATTTTACCCTCCTAGGATCTTAATATGCAATTACCTTAGTAATTTCCTGACTTTGCATCTTCCAGAATTTACCTATGTGCATGTAGGTATATATTTATATCTGGCATATGTAAGTATATGCGTAAGATTTGTAGATCTAAATTAATTTTATTTGGGAATTTCTGATCTCCTTTGAAGTAACCTGAGATTCCCTGGGAGTGTCATAGAAACAGATGGAAATCATTGGTTTATGCACTTCTTTGGATGTAAGTTAGGAACTCTAGACACTGTATTAATTTTATCAAGACACCAACTGGTATAACTCTAAATAACAATGTGGGAGCTTGAGGTTATGAATGCAGACAAAGCACCAGGCTAACAGTATCCCACCCTGTGAAAGAATAAACACAGCGTCCAAAAGTACGTTGTAGCTAGGAAAATACTGGACAATTTGACACATAAATTTTTGTTTAAGCTGGAAACTTACAAAGTCTTTCCTGTTTTTATATTTTGAATAGTGAACATGATTGGTGTTAAACTTTTATTTCCTTGATCACGACTGATGACTTTAGGATCTTAATCATGTGTGGAGGGGGAATAATATCCTTAAAAAAAAAAGGACACGCAGGCAATCATTAGGCCAACAAAGACTATGCTTATAATTTCTGGCTAAAATGAATGTCTTGGTCTCCTAGCAAAAGAAACATTTTACTAGTCCTGGTTCTTAAAAACAGTGACAAACTATGTCTTTTTTGATACTAAGTCTTGACCCTTTGGTTCTGGGAAAGGGGATTTGCATGAGTAGGTATGTGTGTGTATAGATGCATATTTAGATATGTACATTTATATATGAATCAAATATTTGATGCATATGTTACATGTGTATACCTTGTAAGATGAGTAATGACTGAGATTCCAGTGTGCTCAGAGTTAGGGCTGGTTTGGATTTTAAAGAAATCTACCGAATGTTTAGCGTTTAACTGATGAACTATATTGTAAAAGAAAATGAAGTGTTTCAGCTTTTTAAGACAAATACACTGTCAGTCCCAATTATGCAAAGTTGTGGTTAGGAAAATAAGGCACGTGGTATCATTACGTTTAATGGAAACAGAGCCCAGAGCTAAGGGGAGTGTGCCAGTTGGTAACTTGCTCTGATCGGTTACGGAGCTTTCTGGGAGATCATCCTGTTACCTCCAGGCAGAGTTCTTTGTGACAATTGTGATGAGAAGTGGCAGCAAGTATCCAGAGAGTTTGGACTTTAGCATCTGTGTTGGCAGATCTGTGCAATGTGACCTCACACCTAAACAAAATTGCTCTTTACAGTTTAGGCCCAGTCTGGAGAATGGGGGCATTGATTTTCCAAATCCACAAATGCAGAATACCATAGTGAAACTATAATTTATTTATACAAATGGTGTGTTTTTACAAAGGCCATCTGTCAGTTGACTCTCTGATCTAAAACAAATCTGTTTGTTCCCCCAGAAGAAATAACATGTCTGTTGAAAAAAGATTTATGGACGACAGGCTGCCCAATCCACCAACCATTGGTATAATAGTAACTATTTATGATATATTTACTTCTAAAGGAGTGCTGTGAGTGGAATCTATTACTTGTAAAGTATGGTAATTAATTTTTCATTACCTCAAAGCCAAGAAATGGAGCCCACTTGCATTTATTAAGATTGCTGTGTGAGAAACATGTTCCTTCTGGAAAAAAATATCCAAGTAAAGCATTCATAGAGCTGTGGCTCTGTGATAACTCACTGTTCTGATTGGGTAGATATAGGCCCATGGGGTTGATCTCAAGCCTTTGATTATTTTCTGGAGGACAAGGGGACGAATCACTCTTGAATGACCATGGCTACTTTATCTCTAGGCACCATGGATGGCCCTCATTAAAAATTAGAACTTTCTATTAATACTAAAAGAAAAGAAGATTCTAGGCTAGGAGAAATTGAAATGGAAAAGAAGGGAAGGCTCTCTGCCCTATCTCCACTTCTCCCCAGCCCCTGACCCCTGCCAGAAAAGAGATACTCAAACTATTTATCTGTTTATCTATTTATTCCTGGACTCCCACCCCCAGCTTTACTGAGGTATAATTGACAGATAAAATTGTACAGTTGACCCTCTATTTCTTTTTATTATTACTATTATACTTTAAGTTCTAGGGTACATGTGTACAATGTACAGGTTTGTTACATATGTATACATGTGCCATGTTGGTGTGCTGCACCTGTGAACTCGTCATTTACATTAGGTATATCTCCTAATGCTATCCCTCCCCCCTCCTCCCACCCCATGACAGGCCCCGATGTGTGATGTTCCCCACCCTGTGTCCAAGTGTCCTCATTGTTCAATTCCCACCTATGAGTGAGAACATGCGGTGTTTGGTTTTCTGTCCTTGTGATAGTTTGCTCAGAATGATGGTTTCTAGCTTCATCCATGTCCCTATGAAGGACATGAACTCATCCTTTTTTATGGCTGCATAGTATTCCATGGTGTATATGTGCCACATTTTCTTAATCTAGTCTATCATTGATGGACATTTGGGTTGGTTCCAAGTCTTTGCTATTGTGAATAGTGCCGCAATAAACATACGTGTGCATGTGTCTTTATAGCTGCATGATTTATAACCCTTTGGGTATATGCCTAGTAATGGGATGGCTGCAGTTGACCCTTTATTTCTATGGGTTTTGCATCCATGGATTCAACCAACCATGGTTTGAAAATGTAGTTAGGCCTGTAATAGTTGCATCTGTGCTGAACTTGTAGGGACTTTTTTCCTTATCATTATTCCCTAAATACAGTATTACAACTATTTACATAGGATTTGCATTGTGTTAGGTATTATAAGTAATCTAGAGATAATGGGCATAGGTTACATGCAAATATGGACCATTTTATATAAGGGACTTGAGCATCCTTGGATTTGGTATCTGCAGAAGTTTCTAGAACCAATCCTCTGTGGATACTGAGGGACAATTGTATGTATTTAAGGGATACAATGTGATGCTTTCATATGCATATATATTGTGAAATTATTGTCACAATCATTAACACATCAGTCACCTTACATAGTTACCTTTGTGTGTGTGCACTGAGGACATTTAAGACCTACTCTCTTAGCAACCTTCAGGTAAACAATACAGTATTATTAACTCTAGTCACCATGTTGTACATTAGATCCCCAGAATGTGTTCCTTATAACTGAAAGTTTGCACTCTTTGGCCAACATCTTTTCATTTCCCTCAGTTCCCAGCCCCTGGCAACCACCATTCTACTCTGTTTCTTTGAGTTTGGCTTTTTTTTTTTTTTTTTTTTGAGTTAGAGTCTTTCTCTGTTGCCCAGGCTGGAGTGCAGTGGTGCGATCTCGGCTCACTTCAACCTCTGCCTCTCAGATTCAAGCCATTCTCCTGCCTCAGCCTCCCAGGTAGCTGGGACTATAGGCATGCACCACCACGCCCAGCTAATTTTTTTTTGTATTTTTAGTAGAGATGGGGTTTCACCATGCTGGCCAGGCTAGTTTCGAACACCTGACCTCAAGTGATACTCCCGCCTCAGCCTCCCAAAGTGCTGGGATTACAGATGTGAGTCACCGCACCTGGCCAAGTTTGACTTCTTTAGATTCCACATATAAGTGAGCTTATACATTTCTCCTTCCTTGTCTGACTTGTTTCACTTATTAGCATGATGCTCTCAAGGTCCATCCATGTTGTCACCAATGGCACGATTTCCTTCTTTTTAATGACTGTATATAATGGCAAAAACTGCAATGACTTTTGCACCAACCTAATATATACATACACACACACACATACACACACACACACACACACACACACACACACACACAGAGTTTCTTTATCCATTAATTCATCAATGGACATTTAAGTTGTTTCCATGTCCTGGCTATAGTGAATAATGGTGCAATGACCATAGGAGTGCAGATATATCTGAAGCTACTGTTTTTATTTCCTTAGGATATATACCCAGAGGATGGGTTGCTGGATCATAAGATAGTTCTATTTTCAAAATTTTGAGGAACCTGCATACTGTTTTCCATACTGGCCCTATCAAATTTCATTTTCACCAGTAGCTTACAATGGTCCCTTTTCTCCACATCCTTGTCAATGCTTTTAATCTTGTCTTTTTGATAACAGCTTAACCTAATGGAGGTGAGGTGATATCTCCTTGTGGTTTCAATCTGCATTTCCTTGAAGACTCATGATGCTAAGCACCTTTCATGTACCTGTTGGCCATTTATCTGCCTTTGGAACAATGTCTATTCAGGTCATTTGCCCCTTTTTAAATGAGGGCTTTTTTAATTTTAATTTTTATTTATTTATTTATTTATTTTGCTATTGAGTTGTATGAGGAGTTCCTGATGTATTTTGGATATTAAATCCTAATGGGACATATGGTTTGCAAATATTTTCCCCATTTCATAAGTTACCTTTTCATTTTGTTGATTGTTCCTTTGTTGTGAAGATTTTTAGTTTGATGCCATCCCATTTGTTTATTTTTGTTATTGTTGTTGCCTCTGCTTTTGAGGTCATATCCAAAAAAATCATTTCCTAGACCAATGTCAAGGAGCTTTCTCCTAGGTTTTATTCTACATGTTTACAGTTTCAGGTCTTACATAGAAGTCTTTAATCTATTTCAAGTTATTTTTTGTGAGTAGTGTAAGACGGAAGCTCAATTTCATTCTTTTGCATGTGGATATCCAGTTTTTCCTATGCCATTTGTTGAAGAGGCTGTCCTTCCCCCATTGTGTATTCTTGGCACCTTTGTCAAAGATCAGTTTACTGTATTAAATATTTACTTACTTTGGAATATTTATTTTTGAACGGGACCTAATATTTCTCAAGTACATATTCTCTTCCAGAGGCTTGGCTAGGTCACAGGAGAGGTACAAAAACCCATGCCTTCTTCCCTCTGGAAACTTGCGGTCTACCTGATAATTCAGGGCTTGGTGATGGGTAGACAAATCCCCTTGAAATTGTCCATGAAAAGTGGTTAACAAGAGTCGGTAGTTATCTCCAAACATCTTTCTTAAGTTAACATCTTTCTTAAGTTTTCTGAACCATTCTTAAGATCAGCTAAACCAGGTTTCTTCCTCAGATGTCTTACTTTATTTGCTTTTTATTTATTTTTGCTTTTCAAATATTTAAAAACATAAGTAATACTTGAACATGGTACAAAGGTAGACAGTCCAAGGGACCCTTTCTCTTATGTCTCTGTATTAGGTCATTCTTGCATTGCTATTAAGAAATACCTGAGGCTGGGTAATTTATAAAGAAAAGAGATTGCACTATTTACAATAGCAACGACTTGGAACCAACCCAAATATCCATCAATGAGAGACTGGATAAAGAAAATGTGACACATATACACCGTGGAATACTATGCAGCCATCAAAAAAATGAGTTCATGTCCTTTGCAGTGACATGGATGAAGCTGGAAGCCATCATTCTCGGCAAACTAACACAGGAACAGAAAACCAAACACCACATGTTCTCACTCATAAGTGGGAGTTGAACAATGATAACACAGGGAAGGGAACATCACACACTAGGGCCCGTTGGGGGATGGGGGGCGAGGGGAGGGAGAGCATTAGGACACATACCTAATGCACGTTGGGCTTAAAACCTAGATGACGGGTTGACAGGTGCAGCAAACCACCATGGCACATGTATACCTATGTAACAAACCTGCACGTTCTGCACATGTATCCCAGAACTTAAAGTAAAATTTAAAAACTAAAAAAAAAAAAAAAAAAAAAAAAAAAGATTTAACTGGCTCACGGTTCTGCAGGCTGTGCAAGCATGGAGCCCACATCTCTTTGCTTCTGGGGAGGCCTCAGGGAGCTTTCACTCCTGGTAGAAGGTGAAGCGGGAGCTTATGCATCACATGGCAAAAGCAGGAACAAGAGAGGGTGGGGAGGTGCCACACACTTGTAAACGACCTGATCTCGTGAGAACTCACTCACTGTCTTGAAGACAACACCAGGCCACGAAAGACCTGCCCCAATGGCCCAAACACCTCTCGCCAGGTCCCACCTCTAGCACTGGGGATTAGAGTTCAACATGAGATTTGGGCAGGGACAAATATCCAAACTATATCAGTCTCCCAGGCAACCAGTTGTCCTTTTTAAGGTGACCAAAGTTCACAGTTTCTTCTATGTTCTTCTAAGTGCATATTTTTCTCCCATGTTTCTCCCTGTGGACAGAGGTCTTATTTTTCTTCTCTGGGGGATTTTGGGGGAGTCTTAAGATTTGAATCCCTCAAGAGACAGATTTTTAAGACAGCATATTTACTTCTTGTCTGTGAGGTCTCAGGCAGAAGAGTGGATGCAGAGGCTCAGAGTGAGACTTTGGTGAAGGTATGGTTGTGGGATCTCCTGCCGGGCCTGCAAAGTGAAAAATCTCCATGTCCAGATCTAGAAATCCTGCCAATTCCTCCCACCCATGGCATAAGTCGAAGCTCATATGAGGGGCAACCCAGGGACACAGCTGGTACTGAAATATGTTTTAGGTCTCAGGCTTATAGCTCTGAAGATAAGAGGACCCTTCCTTTCTTCCTGATACATCCTTGTGGATGCCCAGATGCCATTCTGCTTTATTTCCCAAAAATGCTACTCCCAGCAGTGGTGCCAGAGATGAAGTGGCACTGTCCAGGATGTCCATTATATGGACAAGTCTCAGGACAGTTGGACTAAGCCTGTGGACCCTCAAGCTCCCTGCTGCAAAAAGCATCAGAAATGATGTGATGGATCCTGGCTGGGATCACATCCAAAGTCATGTCTACCTGGGACCTCTGAAACATGGGGTCCACAGGCAGGGTCACCTGCATCTGGAGTGCTGCTCTCTAGTTTGGGCTGCCAACCTTTCCATCTGGGGTCTGGGCCTCAGCTCAGCCCTTGGGGGATCTGAGGGTAGTGGGCCAGGGCATACACTGCCCTGGGGGCTGCATGGATAGGAGACTGATGTGGCCAAGGCACCCTGGGAGCATGGGTTTCAGAAATAATGGGGATGGGAGGCAGCCCATGGCTTCCTGCAGCCACTCAGCTGTGGCCTTCTCCATATTTGCTGCAGGTATGGCTCTCAGCAACTTCTCTACCTGCACCCTGTTCCTACCTTTTATACAGGAATTTCTATCTCTGTTCCTGGGCCTCTACACACCACTGCTCACCTCACCGGATTGGTCTTTTGGTTTTATTTGGGTTGGGGAAGAGTACTCAGATGAGGGGGAGAGAGCGCACATCAAAGGATATTGGGGGACCTGCCCCGATAATCACGTAGGTTCTTTTCTATTTTTCCTAAGCGTCGGCCGGCTTGAGAAATAAAGGGACAGAGTACAAAAGAGAGAAATTTTAAAGCTGGGCATCCGAGGGAGACGTCACACGTTGTTAGGATCCGTGATGCCCCACAAGCCACAAAAACCAGCAAGTTTTTATTAGAGATTTTCAAAAGGGGAGGGAGTGTGCGAATAGGTGTGGGTGACAGACATCAAGTACTTAACAGGGTAATAGAATATCACAAGGCAAGTGGAGGCAGGGCGAGATCACAGGACCACAGGACGAAGGCGAAATTAAAATTGCTAATGAAGTTTCGGGCACCATTGTCATTGATAACATCTTATCAGGAGACAGGGTTTTGGGATCAACCGGTCTGACCAAAATTTATTAGGCGGGAATTTCCTCTTCCTAATAAGCCTGGGAGCACTATAGGAGACTGGAGTCTATTTCACCTCTGCAGCCTCAACCATAAGAGACGACCATGCCCCGGCGGGGGGGCCAGTTTAGAGACCCACCTCCAGGTGCGCATTCTCTTTCTCAGGGATGTTCCATGCTGAGAAAAAGAATTCAGCAATATTTCTCCCATTTGCTTTTGAAAGAAGCAAAATATGGCTCTGTTCCTCCCGGCTCAGCAGTGGTCAGAGTTTAAGGTTATCTCTCTTATTCCCTGAACAATTGCTGTTATCCTGTTCTTTTTTCAAAGTGCCCAGATTTCATATTGTTTAAACACACATGCTGTACAATTTGTGCAGTTAATGCAATTATTACAGGGTCCTGAGGCGATATACATCCTCCTCAGCTGACAGGATTAAGAGATTAAAGTAAAGACAGGCATAGGAAATCACAAGGGTATTGATTGGGGAAGTGATAAGTGTCCATGAAATCTTTACAATTTATGTTTAGCGATTGCAGTAAAGACAGGCATAAGAAACTACAAAAGTATTAATTTGGGGAACTAATAAATGTCCATAAAATCTTCACAATCCACGTTCTTCTGCCATGGCTTCAGCCGGTCCGTCTGTTTGGGGTCCCTGACTTCCCGCAACAAAGGAAGCTCAGTTATTCTTTGCTGTCACATAGGTTTATGCCTCCATCTTTTTCCTTCCTTCCTTCCTTCTTTCCTTCCTTCCTTCCTTCCTTCCTTCCTTCCTTCCTTCCTTCCTTCCTTCCTTCCTTCCCCTTACTAGGGCTCTTGGACACTTTAAGGTCCACTGAGATCTGTTAGGGCTCTTGGAAGATACTAAGGGTCTTAAATGTTGAATGTATGTGCATTTCTGTTGAAAAGATCCATCTTATGCTTTGTTTTGGCAGGTTCTCAAAGGGATTTCCACTACTTAAGGTAGCTAATCATTTCATCTTCTTGCCTTTCCCTAGGCTCCCATTCTGTGTTTTTTTTTTTTTTTCTTTGAGACAGAGTGTCACTCTGTCGCCCAGGCTAGAGTGCAGTGTCGCTCACTGCAACCTCCTCCTGGGTTCAAGTGATTCTCTTACCTCAGCCTCCCAAGTAGCTGGGATCACAGGTGCATACCACCATGCCTGGCTAATTTTTGTATTTTTAGTAGAGATGGGGTTTTGCCATATTGGCCAGGCTGGTCTCGAACTCCTGACATCAGGTGATCTGCTCGCCTCGGCCTCCCAAAGTGCTATGATTACAGGCGTGAGCCATCATGCCTGACCTTCCCAGGCTCCCATTCTTACCAGCCGAGCCCTAGTTCCTTTGTTATGTGCTCTGAGAAACTTCATTCCTCCCTTTACAACAGAGATGGACGAACTTTTTACATAAAGGGCCAGATTGTGAATATTTTAGATCTGTGAGCCAAGAGGCAAAATAATGTAAGTACTTACATTACAAGAGAAAACAAATTTCCACCATTTTTATTAATAAAATTCTAAATATAATAATAATAATAATAATAATAATGGAGTACAATTTTTTTTTGTAGTACAGGCCTACCAATGAGAATAATGGAGTTCTGTTTTAGAGGTTATAACATTTCTCTTAGTTGGAAGTCAAATTTAGTGTTTGCTGTAATCAAAACTGATCATAAATGTTCATCTATTAATGTTGGGCAGTAATGAATTTTTTATATTAAATTTTTAAAAATAAAATGTGAATATTACCTAATTTTTATGTGTCATCAAATATTCTTTGTTTATTTTTCTATTTTTTATTTATTTTTAAGTGTTTTTGGAGACAGGGTCTTGCTTTGTCACCCAGACTGGAGTTCAGTGGCATGATCATGGCTCACTGCAGATTTAACCTCCTGGGCTCAAGTGATCCTCCCATCTCTGCCTCCCGAGTAGCTGGGACCACAGGCTTGCACCACCATGCCTGGCGAATTTTTTAGCATTGTTTGTAGAGACAGAGTTTTGCCATGTTGCCCAGGCTGATCTTGAACTCCTGAGCTCAAAAAATCTGCCTGCCTCTGCTCCCAAAGTGCCCAGATTATAGGTGGGAGCCACCACACCTGGCCTTTTTGTTTTATTTTTATTGAAACATTTAAAAATGTAAAAATCATTCTTAGCTTATGTACTGCACAAAAATAGTCTGTGGGCTAAATTTGTTCTTAGGGCCATCATTTGCCAAACTTTGCTTTGTAGTACTCACCACAACTTATGCTATACTCATTTGTTTTCTCCTCTTCCTCTTGCTTTAAATATCAAATAATCCTAAATGGCTTTTAGCAAAAAACAGCATTTTCCTGCTCCACTTTTTTCTTGTTCCACTGCTCATCTCCAAAGGTAAGCACTGTAAATTCTTAGCTGTTTCTTCTGATATTTATCTACATACATCTAGAAATAAATAAAGGAAGGAAGGAAGGGAAGAAACAAAGAAGAGAAAAGAAAAAGTAATGTAACACTGTTTCTTGACTTATCAGTTTGAGACACTATTCCTAGTGATTTATTACTGTGAAATGAGGATTAATTCTCTTACACTCTTTCTTTTCTTCCCACTTCCTTTTTTCCTATCCCCTTGATATAGTTATATCATAGTTTTTGGTTAAATTAATATGATTGTGATCATATAGTTATTGCAGCAGAGCCATATAGTATACTATACTTCCTATCTTGTCCAATATTTGTTTTTCCTGAAAACAATAATTGCCTTTTACCCACTTTGGCTTAACTATCTTTGTGCTTTTTGGCAGATCCTGTTCACAACCTCCCAGGCCATGTAATGCTGGAGGTAACTGTGCCTAGTAATATTGCTACAATGCTGCCATACAACTATGCATGGGTGATGCCTGTCATTTTCAGTATAACTGGTAACAGTGTAGCAAGATGGAGCTGTGGTATGGTATGAAGTTGTACCCTTGACCTAGATGTTAGATTCTGCAACTTATGCAAGGTGGTTTTGCAATCATGTATACTAATGATGTTGAAGTTTCAGGATGACCAGACTGGAAGCAGCAGAGACTTTGCAAATGCCCCTTTAGGCTTCCTGCAGGATGTTACTGTAGGCAAGTAGAAGGTCTTCACCACCTTGAGCATGCCTCCTGTGAGGACCTGGAAATTTGAGGAGCCACCCTCAACCCCTACCCCAAACAGCTGACATCTTTCTTTCCTTCATTCCTGGCAGCATATCCTTTCAGCTTGCTACAGTGAAATACTGTTTGTATTAGGTGTTTTTTTTTTTTGTGACAGAGTCTCACTCTGTCACCAAGGCTGGAGTGCAGTGGTGAGATCTCAGCTCACTGCAACCTTGGTCTCCTGGGTTCAATCAATCTGCCTGCCTTGGCCTTCCAAAGTGATGTGATTACAGGCATGAGCCACTGCGCCTGGCCCTAAATCATGCTCTTAAAGGCAAGAGGCATGTCTTGTTGCCTGGAAGGAACATGGCTATAGTGGTGAGCTAGCCTCAACCATGCAGAAGAGAGTGGCATCCTGGAAAGGCTGAGCACCAAAAGGGAAGGATATGAGTTTCCAACATTGTAGGGTACCCTATTAGCCTTGGCCTTTTTTTTCAAGAGATAGGTTATTGCTATGTTGTTCAGGCTGGCCTAGACCTCCTGGCCTCAAGCAGTTCTCCCACCTTGGCCTCCCAAAGTGCTGGGATTACAAGCGTGGACCACCATGCCTGGCCATCTAGGCCTTCTAATGCTTCTTGTAATATGGAAGAGAAGTACAACTCCATTTTATTTCATTCATTATCAGTAGAATCTGCATCCTGACTAATCCATTACATGTGTTTAATCTGCCAAGTTGTACTGGAGGAGATCCTTCATTACATGTAGAATAAAGATTTCTTGTCTTTTTCACATAAAGGAAATAAAAGCCTCAAAAATGTTAAACAGTGGAGGAAGAAACATATCTCTCAGCTGGATGAATAGATGAACTCTTGGCGTGCTACCATACTTCCAATTTATTTTATTTTTATTTGCATGGTTCATGGAAGGAAGAAGGAGCTTAGAAACTAAAGACTCAGTTCTAGTTTTAGTTTCTCCACTGTGTGACCTTGGGCAATTAATAGAATCTCTGAGTTTTATCATCTACAAAATGATAATAGCTAACCGCTATTATCCCTTAACCAGAGGGGGGCTGTATACCAAATTCTACTTTTGTAATGATGTCTTTAAATATTTGCTTTACAAATTCATTTATTTACAATGAGTCTAAAATTAATCTTTAAAATGAATGATTATTTATTTTACTTAAAATGAATGGCATTTAATATATAAACTTATATGTATTATAATATTATTGATGGGCTAGGGGCAGTGGCTCATGCCTGTAATCCCAGGACTTTGGGAAGCTGAGGTGAACAGATCACTTGAGCTCAGGAGCTCGAGATAAGCCTGGGCAACATAGGGAAACCCCATCTCTATAAAAAAAGAAAAATATGGGCAAAGGATATGAACAGACACTTCTCAAAAGAAGACATTTATGCAGCCAAAAGACACACGAAAAAATGCTCATCACTGGCCATCAGAGAAATGCAAATCAAAACCACAATGAGATACCATCTCACACCAGTTAGAATGGCAATCATTAAAAAGTCAGGAAACAACAGGTGCTGGAGAGGATGTGGAAAAATAGGAACATTTTTGCACTGTTGGTGGGACTGTAAACTAGTTCAACCATTGTGGTAGTCAGTGTGGTGATTCCTCAGGGATCTAGAACTAGAAATACCATTTTACCCAGCCATCCCATTACTGGGTATATACCCAAAGGACTATAAATCATGCTGCTATAAAGACACATGCACACGTATGTTTATTGTGGCACTATTCACAATAGCAAAGACTTGGAACTAACCCAAATGTCCAACAATGATAGATTGGATTAAGAAAATGTGGCACATATACACCACGGAATACTATGCAGCCATAAAAAATGATGAGTTCATGTCCTTTGTAGGGACATGGATGAAATTGGAAATCATCATTCTCAGTAAACTATCGCAAGGACAAAAAACCAAACACCGCATGTTCTCAGTCATAGACGGGAATTGAACAATGAGAACACATGGACACAGGAAGGGGAACATCACACTCTGGGGACTGTTGTGGGGTGGGGGGATCGGGGAGGGATAGCATTAGGAGATATACCTAATGCTAAATGACGAGTCAATGGGTGCAGCACACCAGCACGGCACATGTATACATACATAACTAACCTGCACATTGTGCACATGTACCCTAAAACTTAAAGTATAATAATAATAATAATAAAAACTTAAAAATCTTGATAGCTGTTATTTATTATACATTTTCCATATGTCAGGACCTGCAAAGCACTTTAATAATGGTAGTGATGTTGACAGTAATGAACTGTTATTGCATGCTTGCTATATGCTATATGCTGTATACTACACTAACTGCTTTATGTGTATTAGCTCATATACTGCTTACATCAACCCCTTATGATGTTCTGTTATTAAGCCCACTTTATAGGTGAGGAAAGTGAGACCAGCAGTGGTTATGTAACTTGTCTAAGACAAGGATTCATATCCATGTGCAGGCTGACTTTAAAGCCTTTGCTCTTATGCTGCTATGTTGCTTTCTCTTTTTTTTTTAAGAGACAGAGTCTTGTTATGTTGCCCCATGATGGAGTATAGTGGTGCAATCATGGCTCACTGCAGCCTTGAACTCCTGGGCTCAAGCGATCCTCCCACCTCAGCCTCCCAAGTAGCTAGTCTGCAGCCTGTATTTCTTTCTAAATAAAAAATGTATCAAGAAAATGGGCAGGTAAGATTAGAGAATCATAAACTGAACCTTCAACAAGATTTGCCTCTAACTTGAAACTTACTGTTTGGAACCCATGGCCATGACACAGCTTAGAACCATGGAAGGGATGTAGGGTCATCCCTTGTAACCCCCACCCAGGGTGAAAATTCTGTCTGTGATAGCCTGGACAGATGGTCACCCCGCCTGTGTTTTAACACCTCACTGGCTGAGCTTCCACTGCTTTTCTAGTGCCTGTGCCACTGTTGGGAAATCTCAACAATGTTGGTTTTCAGACTCAAGCCCCTGTGTTTCTTGCTGCCTTTGCAAAGCTAAAGCCATCAAGTGGCAGCAAATCTCTCCCTGGCTCTCATCCCTCTCCCTTTTCTGTCTCCCACCCTTTGATAGAAAATTTCATAAAGAAGATGGCATTAGAGCTGAATATGGAAAGGCTGCATGGGATTTCAGTAGGTGGAGATGGGAGAAGGCAGGATTAGAGGCAGAGACTGGAAGTTGGCCAGGTGGGGGTGTGGCTGGTGTGCCAGCCTAGCTGTTCATTCAGTGCCTGAGAGCAGGTTCACAGGAAGGTATCTTTGGAATGGCAGGCTGAGGCCTTAATATGAGAAATTATCTTGAATAGACTCCAAAGTGATTCAACTAAGAATTTTTGCAAGTGTGCTTTATGTTGAGAAGTTAACACAGCCCGATTGCCTTATTTACACATGCTTATTTTCATAAAAAGACACTTGCTGTGGTCTGAATGTTTGTATCCCCCAGAATTCATATGTTGAAACCTCACCTCCAATGCAATAGTACTAAAAGAGGTGGGGTCTTTAGGAGGTGATTAGATCATGAGGACGGAGACCTCATGAATGGGATTAGTGTCCTTTTGAGAGGCTGGAGGAAGCTTGTCTTCTCTTCTGCCATGTGAGAATGCAGCAAGAAGGTGCCATCTCTGATGAGCAAGCCCTCACCAGATGCTGAAGTTGCTGGCACCTTGATCTTAGGCGTCCCAGCCTCCAGAACTGTGAACAATAAATTTCTATTGTTTATAAATTACCTAGTCTAAGGTACAGTCATCCCCTCATATCTGTGGATTCTGCATCTGTGGATTCAAGTAACCAGGGATCAAAAATATTTGGAAAAATTATTGCATCTGTACTAAAAATGTACAGAATTTTTCTTGTCATTATTCATTAAACAACACAGTATGATGATCATTTACCTAGCATTTAAATTGTATTAAGTTTTATAGGTAATCTACAGGTGATTTTAATTATATGGAAGGATGTACCTAGGTTATATGCAAATACTACACCATTTTTTAACAGGGACTTGAGCATCATCGAGTTTTGGTATCCACAGGAGGTTCTGGAACCAGTCCCCCACGGATATCAAGGGACGAGTGCATTTTGTTATAGCCGCTCAAAAGGACTAAGACAATATTCTTCAAACAGGCATGTTAAGTAGATTTACCGATGAGTTATCTGTACAAGGTCGCAGCAGCCTGTCCCTTGTGTCAGGTTTTGTCAGGAGGCCCACTTCTCTTTCTAGTACATCATGCTGCCTGTCTCTCTGATTGTCCCTTGCTTCCAGCTTATTTGATAAGAGTATTCTCCACTTCATTTTGTGTTGCTGATCATGAAATTGAGTGCTCCCAATTATATGACAGGTGAGCAAGAAGAACCTTACTTAGAGCCAGAGGGGAAGGTCACAATTAAGATCTTTAAGAACTTTCAAAAAGACATCCCTGCAGAATGGCTATGACAGCTGCTGCTCATTGAGATTAGGAACCGTTGGCTTGAAACCAGCTAGTGCTGAACAGCGGGACTTCCTGCTCTGCTCCAAAGTGTTTATTTCATTCCACAGTGGCTGCCGAAATGCAGCCTCTAGGAATCCTGCTTTAAATGTGCCCCTGGAGACCCTGGGCTATTAAGGGTTATTGCTATTGGTCCTCTGTCTAGGAAATGATTCCAGTTCTACGTTATACATCTTTGAGTTGGCTTAAAGCACTGCATATGTTACTACAAAGTGTTGCAGTGATGTATATGTTTGTTTTGGTAACCCATATAGTCATTTTTCAGGAAAATTATGTTGGGGACATTATGGCACATAACCCAAGGAAGCAAATGTTCACCCATCAGATTTTTTCTTTTTAGAATAAACCCTTAGAGTAACTCTCACGTGTACATGTTTCTATTTTCCAAACAGAATGAGTGTCCAGATAACCTTTAGCTCACACCGATATACCCTTAAAATGGTTATATCTGTGAATGATTCAATTAAATTAATAGCCCCCAATGCCTCTTGTGGAACTAGTTTCAATTTTATTTTTTTAATTTATCATTTCTTTCTTTATTTGTAGAGATGGGGTCTTGCTTTGTTGCCCAGGCTAGTCTCAAACTCCTGGCTTCAAGAGATCCTCCTGCCTCAGCCTCCCAAAGTGCTGGGATTACAGGTGTGAGCCACTGCACCAGGCCTAAAATTTTCTTATATTGCTCAAAGGTTAGATAAAATCCTAATTTTTGAATTCTGTTACCATGAAACAGACCCTGCAATATATATACTTACAATACATGACATCCCATGTACCATACTATACTCCTTTTCACATTTGTAAATTAAAAGAAAATCAACGATCAAACGAGGCATTCTCAGCACCCCTCCCTTTTTACTGTGCTGTAGTCCCTTTGCTAATCTTTAGAATGTGTGCGGTGTTTTCTTGGGAACAATAGTAGGGCTGATATTCTACATGGCTAGCCTTACTTGACCCAACCCTAGCCATTCACAAACAATGGACATTAGTGGTATATTTTTCACTTTCCTGCTTGCTCTCTGAGCAATTAACTGTGCAGTAGGATATGTCTTTATCAGGTCCTCTGATTTCTAGTTAAACCTGGTATTTTCCTTGTGCTGATATTCTCTCCCTTGAGATACAGCCTTTTGCTGATGCTAAAGGTTTGTAGCAGTCTTCATTTAGGCTTGTTCTTATTTTTGGATACAGCTAATATAGGCATAAGGTTTCTGTCAGATGAAATTTAGAGGCACTCTATATTTCTGTTTAGAATATTAAAAACACAGAGCTGTTTCTACAGCATTTGTAAATGCAGCACCTCCTTGCTTACAAAACAATCACAAGATCCTCTGAACCATGCAAAGTCTCCCAAAGAAATCTCCAGGGTAGCAGATTGCAAACTGGCTTCGAGATAACTGTTCTTCACCTCCCGTCTCTCAGCCAAACATTATTATCAGCTAGAACAAGAAGTTCTTTAAAAGTGTGATTGTAGCTGTTTTTATTTTGATTCTGTGCATAAAAGTTTAATTATTTAATTTTTTTATTTTTTTTTAGAGATAAGGTCTTGCTCTGTTTCCCAGGCTGGAGTGCAGTGGTGCAATCATAGCTCACTGCAACCTTGAGCTCCTGGGATCAAGCGATGTTCCTGCCTCAGCCTCCTGAGTAGCTGAGATTACAGGCATGCATTACTGCATCTGGCTAATATTTTTATATTTTTATTTTTAGTTTTTGAGATGGAGTCTCGCTCTGTCACCCAGGTTGGGGTGCAGTGGCGCAATCTCAGCTCACTGCAATCTCTATCCCCTGGGTTCAAGCAATTCTCCTGCCTCAGCCTCCCGAGTAGCTGGGATTACAGACGCACACCACCACGCCCAGCTAATTTGTTGTTGTTGTTATTTTATAGTGGAGACAGGGTTTTACCATGTTGGCCAGGCTGGTGTCGAACTCCTGACTTCAAGTGATACACCTCCCAGAGTGCTAGGATTACAGACGTGAGCCACTGCGCCCAGCCAATAATTTTATTTTTTGTAGAGGTAGGGTCTCACTTTGTTGTCCAGGCTGGTCTCAAAATTCTGGCTTCAAGTGATCCTCCCACCTTGGCTCCCTAAAGTGCTGGAATTAGAGGCATGAGGTACTGTGCCTAGACTGTATATGAAATTTTAAAAATGCCTGCCAGTTCCTTAATTCTGGTTGCTAGTACATACCACAGAGCAATGCAGATAGGGATGGACAGGACTGATGTAAAAATGGAAGCAAAGAAGCCAAGGTAGTGAAGTAAGTGCAAAGGTATAAATTTTGTTTCCAAGGAAACATATACAATGAAAGTATTTCCATTGAGAATATTTGTTTTTACTTATTTTTCCTCATTAGAGAAGTAAATAATATTTATATAGGCATTTTGGAAAAAATAGAAAAGCAGTCCTCATCCTTAATCTCAATACCCATGTAATAACTACTATTATTTCATATCCTTTCTGTATTTTCTTCTACACATCTATATAGTTCACAAAAATGAAATGATTCACTTTCAATTGCTCTTAAAGATTTTGTGTTATAAAACAACACAAATGTATGGCTTAACATGAGTTATCACAAGGTGAACACATTTGTAACCAATACCCACATGAAATAGAACCTTGTCAGCCATTCCAGGAATTCCTGAATCTGCCCTATCACCAGCTCAAACCACCTGGCTTCCCACATGAGTAGTCACTGCCTTGGCTTTTATCATAGGTTCATGTTTTATCATTTATAACTTCTACATATATGTTATAGGCCCCATCATACATTGTTATTATTTTTTCTTTAAACTGTCAATGATCTCTTAAAGAGATTTTTTAAAAACCACTTTTATATTTACCCACATATTAACTGTTTCTGGTGCTCTGCATTTCTTTGTATTGACCAGATTTCTGTCTGTTATAATTGTCTTTGTTCCAGAAGGACTTTAACATTTCCTGAAGTGCAGGTCTACAGCTAGTAAATTCTTTCAGTTTTCTATGCCTGAAAAAGTCTTTATTTCACTTTTGTTTTTTAAGATATTTTTGCTGGGTATAAAACTATAGGATGACAGCTTATTTTCCCTCCTCTAGTACTTAAAAATTGTTGTTTCATTGTATTCTGGAATGTATTATTTTCAAGATATATTTATTATCAAGAAGTCAGCTATATTCTTACCTTTGTTCCTCTTCTGTTTATAAGACTTTATCTTTTTCACCAGTGTTAAGCAATGTGACTATGATATGCCTTGGTAGAGGTTCTTATGCTTTGGGTTCATTGAGCTTCTTGGCTCTGTGGGTTCAGTAATTTTAACCAAACTTGAAAAATTTTCAGCCATTATTTCTTAAAAAAAATTTTTTTTGGCCCTACTTCCTCCTGTTTTCTGTCCTTCAGGGACTCCATTTTTAGGCTGCTGGAAGTTATCCCACTGCTCAGTGATGCTTCATTTATTTGTTTCGGTCTTTTTTTCCTGTGTGTTTCATTTTGCATAATTTCAATTGCTATATCCTCAAGTTCATTACTCTTTTACAGTGTCTAGTATGCTGTTCATTTGGTCCAATGTGTTTTAAAAATCTCTTCTGTTGTAGTTTTCATCTCTAGAAATTCATTTGGATCTTTATAAAAAAATCTATCTTCCATATTTCTATATGCTCAATCTTCCTTCTGCATCATTGAATATATGGACTATAATTATAACTGTTTTATGTCCTTATCTACTAATTCTATCATTTTTTGTGTCATTTCTCTGTCTACTCATTATGGAAACAGTTTAATTATTTTGATGCTTGTTTTTAAGTTTTGTTAGGTGGGATCAGAGCAGCTTTTCTTCTAGGGCTGATTTTGCCTCACTACTCAATGCCTCATGAATTTTGAGGTTGTCCACTCTGATAGATGAGACTATGGACTTTTTCTGGTTCTATGCAACCTCCAGAAATGTTTATCTTATTTGTTTTGAGTGGTTCTTTTCCAAGCTTTGGGTAGTTGCCTCACACACATGTGCTGATGAATACACAAGGGGTGTCGCATGCACATCTCTGGAGCTCTCTCTGGGCACCTCTCTCCTCACCAGTACTTTGCTTGGTGGACCCTAGCCACATGACTTCCATGAACTCCCAGCTTTGCCTTCTCAACTCAAGGAGACTGTTGGGTCCCCCTTCTCTGTGTTCTGGCCTGAATATTCTCTCCAGGGAGTAAGCTGGGGCAATTTTACCCCTCTCTCAGGGATCACTATTATTTGAAGCCAGATATCCAATGTGTGAAAACAGAGATTTGTTTCTTTCCATGTATTTGGTCTAGTATTTTAGTTCTTTTGAGCAGGAAGGTAATCTGGTCCCTGTATTGCATCCTAATCAGAAGCAGAAGTCCTTATCCTGACTTTTTACAGTGATCACTTCCTTATGTTACTTTGTAGTTTTATCACATCAGTGTACATTTCTAGGCACTGTAGTTTAGTTTCGCCTACTAAAAATTATTTATCTTTTAAATCTCTTAATATACAGAATCCTTCTCCATCCCTTTCTTTTTCTTTCATTTTATCTATTGAAGACCTGTAGCATTTGACCTATAGTTTCCCACTGTCTGGAATTTGCTGATGCACATTTGCAGTGCAGTTCAACACATTGTTGTAGTCTTTTGTATTTCTTGCAAATGAGCAGCTGAATACAGAGGTTCGGTTAGACTGGGGTTCAATACCTTTGACAGGACTACAGGGCTGCTGTGCTCTTTCATCAGGAGGCACATAATTTCTGCTTATCTTTCCTTTTGTAATACTAGCAGCCATTAATTCTACATGCCTACATTTATTAATTCATCGGGGATGGAAAAATGGTGGTATTTGAATTCTTTAATTTTTTCATTTATTAGATAGAGTACCTTTATAAAGAGACACATATTGTCATTAGTATTTGATTACCCATGGTATGGTTTATACAAGAAGGCAGAGTAAATGCTTCATTTAAGATAATGAATTGGTTTCATATCATTCTCTCAAGGTTACCCATTAGTTTTTAAAAAATCATTTTAAATATCATTATTAACTCACTGATTGATGGGTTTTAATCAATTGCAATTATTATCCTTTAGAAGCTCAAATTTTCCTATCTCTGGCTGATGGGAGCCCCTTCAAGTTGGCACTGAGTCCTTTTTACACCTTAGTAGCTTGGTAACTCCTTCTTTTCCAGTGTAAGAAAATGCTCCAGGCCCATCTTCCACATTTTCTGCCCCAAATCAGGAATCAACAATTTCCCCAAGAAGTCTTAGTTTTATTTAGTGGAAAATAGTATTTCAACCAATCTGGGTGCTAGGGATAATCAATGCTATTAGGTTGGTCATCATCTTCAGGCTCCTTTAGTGAACAGAGCTAAGATATTATATGTATGTGTACATTTTTTTTCCTTTTAAAAGATAAAATACATTTGGGAGGCCAAGGTGGGTGGATTGCCTGAGCTCAGGAGTTCCAGACCAGCCTGGGCAACGTGGTGAAACCCTGTCTCTTCTAAAAATACAAAAACTTAGCTGGGCATGGTAGTGCACACTTGTAATCCCAGCTACTCAGGAGGCTGAGGTGGAAGAATCCCTGGGACCTGGGAGGTGGAGGTGTCAGTGAGCCAAGATCGCGCCACTGTATTCCAGCCTGGGTGACAGAGTGAGACTCCCTCTCAAAAAACAAACAAACAAACAAACAAACAAAATCCAAACCAAAAAAGAGATAAAATACAATTACTCATCTCTTAAACAATGGGGATACATTCTGAGAAAAAGTTTTTAGGCTATTTCATCACTGTGTGAACATCACAGAGTGTACTTACACAAACCTAAATGGTATAGTCTAGGTTTGGACATATCACATACCTAGGCTATGTGAAATGGACACATGTCTAGGTTGTGTGATATGTGATAATACTCCTGAGCTATAAACCTATACAACATGATACTATACTCAGTACTGTAGGCAGTTGTACCAGAGTGGTAAGTTTCTGTGTATCCAAACATAGAAAAAGTACAGTAGAAATATGATATGAAAGCTCCATTATAGTCTCCTGGGACATTCATTATACATATGGTCTCTTGTTGACCAAAACATTGTTATGTAGTGCATGACTGTATCTTCTGAGTTCAGATTGACACGTCTAATTCATAACCACAGAGTTATAAAATTCAACCTCTTCTATATCACATTTGTACCTCCTTTCTTTTTCACCAAGAATCTTGTTTCTCAGGGACATAAGACATGATAGAATGTGCCATAATCATTTACTTCATCCCATGTTTACACGAAATACCCTCAGAATAATAGTAATACCACTGCCACCAATGTTATTACTGAGAGCAGTTAAAATACATTTTTGCAGTCGGGCACGGTGGCTCACGCCTGTAATCCCAGCACTTTGGGAGGCCAAGGTGGGCAGATCATGAGGTCAGGAGTGACCAGCCTGTCCAACATAGTAAAACCCTGTCTCTACTAAAAATACAAAAAAATTAGCTGGGCATGGTGGTGCACGCCTGTAGTCCCAGCTACTCGGGAGGCTGAGGCAGGATAATCATTTGAACCCAGGAGGCGGAGGTTGCAGTGAGCTGAGACCGCTCCATTGCACTCCAGCCTGGGTGACAGAGTGAGACTCTGTCTCAAAAAACAAAACAAAACAAAACAATAAAAAACCTCAAAAAAAAAGCAAACAAATAAACAAAACATTGCTGCATATTGTATCCTCATTCTACCCCTGTTTAAGAATAATTATCTACACTGTTTGAACATCAGCCATTGTATACTATAATCTTCCCCTTTTAGCTCTCATTTAGTATTTGTTATATAACTAATACTGTAACTGCATGTTTATTACTCATCACCAGTCATTATGTTAAATGTTTTCTTTAGTCATTTTGCATGGCTGAAGCTCATTCTGTAGTATATTTCTCAAAAAGGGTTCATGGGACCAATATTCCCAACTTTTTTTTTGCATATGTTGATAACAGTTTATGCCCTTTGCACTTGAATGTCAGTTTTGCTGCATATACAATCCTTGGCTTGCATTTTCTTTCTTTGAGTATCTTAAATATGTGCTCCATTTGCTTCTGGAGAAACACTGGTATAGAAATGCTTCAGGATAATCTAATTTTCTTTCTCTTATAACTTATTCACTGTTTGATTAGATGTCAAAGGATTTTTCTTTTTTTCTTTATAGTAATTTTATTTGAATATTTTGTGATATTGGTCATTCTGGGTCAATATTCTCAGGTACATGGTGTTTTGTTTTGTTTTGTTTTTTGGGTATATTTGTTGTTGTTTTTGAGACTGGGTCTTGCTCTGTCACCCAGGCTGAAGTATGGTGGCACGGTCTTGGCTCTCTGCAACCTCTGCATCCAGGCTCAAGCAATCCTTCTGCCTCAGCCTCCTGAGTAGCTGGGACCACAGACATGCACCACTACGTGTGGCTAATTTTTGTATGTTTTGTAGAGACAGGGTTTCACCATGTTGCCCAGGCTGGTCTTCAACTCCTGGACTCAAGTGATCCTCCCATCTCAGCCTCCCAAAGTGCTGGGATTGCAGGTGTCAGCCACCATGCCTGGCCTACATGGCGTGTTAATTTATTTTATTTTTTTTATTTTTAAGGCCAGGGGCAGTGGCTCATGCCTGTAATCCCAGCACTTTGGGAGGCCGAGGCGGGCAGATCACTTGAGGTTGGGAGTTCGAGACCAGCCTGACCAACATGGAGAAACCCTATCTCTACTAAAAATACAAAATTAGCCAGGCGTGGTGGGGCATGCCTGTAATCCTAGCTATTCGGGAGGCTGAGGCAGGAGAATTGCTTGAACCTGGGAGGTGGAGATTGCGGTGAGCCGAGATTGTGCAATTGTACTCCAGCCTGGGCAACAAGAGTGAAACTCCATCTCAAAAAAAATTTTTTTTAATATCATGGTGCATAATAGCTGTATATGTCCTGGGGCACACATGATGTTCTGATACAGGCATACATTGTGTAGTAATCACATCAGAGTAGTTGGGGTATCCATTACCTTAGCATTTATTGTTTCTTTGTGTTACAAACATTTCAATTCCACTCTTTTAGTTATTTTTAAATACACAATAAATTATTATTGACTATAGTCACCCTGTTGTACTATCAACAGCTAGATCTTGTTCATTTTATCTAACTATATTTTTGCAATCCAACATGGTGTGTTCTTTTAAAATATAGTTTCAGAGCTTTTATTTTTAATTTGAAGAAAGTTTTCTTAAATTACAGTATTTTGGCATTTGTTTTGTTCTTTTGTTTTAGTTTTCTTCTTTGGAGACTCCTATTACCCATATTTTGAATCTTCTTTGACTGTCTTCAGTATTTGTTATTTTCTCTCTCATTATTTAAATAATTCGAAAATTTCTTTTTAAAATAGACTTTATTTAAAAATTTTACTATTATTTTTAAATTTCAATAGGTTTTTTGGGGACAAGTGGTATTTGGTTACATGAATAAGTTCTTTAGTGGTGATTTCTGAGATTTTGATCTGAGATTTTGGTGCACTCATCACCCGAGCAGTGTACACTGTACCCAGTGTGTAGTCATTTGTGTTTATCCCTCACCCTCCTCCCACCCATCCCCACAAGAAGCCAAAGTCCATTGTATCATTCTTATGCCTTTGAGTCTTCATAGCTTAGCTCCCACTTATGAGTGAGAACATACAATGCTTGGTTTTCCATTCCTGAGTTACTTCACTTAGAATAATGGTCTCCAATTCCATCCAGGTTGCTGCAAATGCCATTATTTCATTCCTTCTCATGGCTGAGTAGTCCATGTTGTGTGTACACACACACACACACACACACACACACACACACACACAACATTTTCTTTATCCACTCATTGATTGATGGACATTTGGGCTGGTTCCATATTTTTGCAATTGCAAATTGTGCTGCTACAAACATGTGTGTGCAGGTATCTTTTTCGTATAATGACTTCTTTTCCTTTGGGTGGGATTGCTGGATCAAATGGTAGATCTACTTTTAGTTCTTTAAGAAATCTCCACATTGTTTTCCACAGTGGTTATACTAGTTTACATTCCCACCCTTGTGTTCCCTTTTTACCACATCCATGCCAACATCTATTATTTTTTGATTTTTTGATTATGGCCATTATTGCAGGAGTAAAGTAGTATTTCATTGTGGTTTTGATTTGCATTTCCCTGATCATGAGTGGTATTGAACATTTTTTTCCATATGTTTGTTGGCCATTTGTATATCTTCTTTTGAGGATTATCTATTCACATCCTTAGCCCACTTTTTGATGAGGTTCTTTTTTTTCTTGCTGATTTGTTTGAGTTCCTTGTAGATTCTGAATCTACATCTGTCCTTTGTCAGATGTAAAAATTTAGCACTTTGTCAGATGTACAGATTGTGAAGATTTTTCTCCCGCTCTGTGGGTTGTCTGTTTACCCTGCTGATTATTTCTTTTGCTGTGTGAAGGTTTTTGTTTAATTGAGTTCCATCTATTTACCTTTCTTTTTCTTGTGTTTGCTTTTCGATTCTTGGTCATGAAATCGTTGCCTAAGCCAACGTCTAGAAGGGTTTTTTCAATGTCATCGTCTAGTATTTTTATGGTTTCATGTCTTAGATTTAAGTCTTTGCTCCATCTTGATGATTTTATGTAAAGGTGAGAGATGAGATCCAATTTTATTCTTCTAAATGTGTCTTGCCAATTATCCCAGCACCGTTTGTTGAATACGGTGTCCTTCACCCACTTTATGTTTTTGTTTGCTTTGTCAAAGATCAGTTGGTTGTAAGTATTTGGCTTTATTCCTGGGTTCTCTATGATGTTCCGCTGGTCTATGTGCCTATTTTTATACCAGTACCATGCTGTTTTGGTGACTATGGCCTCATAATATAGTTTGAAGTTGGGTATTGTGATGCCTCCTGATTTGTTCTTTTTGCCAAGTCTTGCTTTGACTATGGGGGCTCTTTTTTGGTTCCATATGAATTTTAGGATCATTTTTTCTGGTTCTGTGAAGAATGATGGTGGTATTTCGATAACAATTGCATTGAATTTGTAGATTCAGTAGGCAGTATGGTCATTTTCACAATATTGATTCTACCCATGCATGAGCATGGGATGTGTTTCCATTTGTGTCATCTACAATTTCTTTCAGTAGTGTTTTGTAGTTTCCTTTGTAGATGTCTTTCACCTCCTTGATTAGGTATATTCCTAAGTATTTTATCTTTTTGAGTCCTTGATTTGATTCTCACCTTGATTGCTGTTGGTGTATAACAGTGCTATTGATTTGCGTACATTAATTTTGTATCCTGACACTTTACTAAATTCATTTATCCGTTCCAGGAGCTTTTTGAATGAGTCTTTAGGGTTTTCTAGATATGTAATCATATCATCAATGAACAGCAACAGTTTGACTTCCTCTTTACTGATTTGGTTGCCCTTTATTTCTTTCTCTTTCTGATTGCTCTGGCTGGGACTTCCAGTACTATGTTGAACAGAAGTGGTGAAAGTTGGCATCCTTGTCTTGTTCCAGTTCTCAGGGGGAATGCTTTTAACTTTTCCCCATTAAGTATAATGTTGGCTGTGGGTTTGTCATAGATGGCTTTTATTACCTTAAAGTACATCTCTTCTGTGTCCATTTTGCTGAGGATTTTAGTCACAAAGGATATGCTAGATTTTGTCAAAAGCTTTTCCTGTGTCTATGGAGATGATCATGTGATTTTTGTTTTTAATTCTGTTTATATGGTGTATTACATCTATTGACTTGCATATGTTAAACCATCCCTGCATCCCTGGTATTAAACCCGCTTGATCATGGTGGATAACCTTTTTGATATGCTGTTGATATGTTTGATATGATATGTTGGTTAGCTAGTATTTTGTTGAGGATTTTTGCATCTGTGTTCATCAGGGATATTGGTCTCTAGTTTTTTTTCTTGTTGTTGTTATGTCCTTTCCTGGTTTTCATATTAGGGTGATACTGGCTTCATAGAATGATTTAGGGAGGATTCCCTCTTTCTCTGTCTTTTGGAATAGTGTCAATAAGATTGGTACCAATTCTTCTTTGAATATCTGATAGAATTCATCTGTGAATCTATCTGATCCTGGACTTTTTTGTTGGCAATTTTTGAAATTACCACTTCAATCTTGCTGCTTATTATTGGTCTGTTCAATTTCTATTCTTTCCTGGTTTAATCTAGGATGATTGTATATCTCCAGGAATTTATCAGTCTCGTCTAGATTTTCTAGTTTGTGTGTGTAAAGGTTTTCACAGTAGCCTTGAATGATCTTTTGTATTTCTGTGGTATGGGTTGTAATATTTCCTGTTTCATTTCTTTTTTTTTTTTTTTTTGAGACAGAGTCTGCTCTGTCACCCAGGCTGGAGTGCAGTGGCACAATCTCGGCTCACTGCAAGTTCCGCCTCCTGGGTTCACCTCATTCTCCTGCCTCAGCCTCCCAAGTAGCTGGGACTACAGGTGCCTGCCACCATACCTGGCTAATGTTTTGTATTTTTAGAGAGACGGGGTTTCACTGTGTTAGCCAGGATGGTCTCGATCTCCTGACCTCATGATCCGCCTGCCTCGGCCTCCCAAAGTGCTGGGATTACACGCATGAGCCCCCGCGTCCGGCCTCCTGTTTAATTTCTAGTTGAGTTTATTTGATTCTTCTTTCTTCTTTTCTTGGCTAATCTCGCTAATGGTCTATCAATTTTATTTATCTTTTCAAATAACCAACTTTTTGTTTTACTTATCTTTTGTATTGTTTATTTTGTTTCAATTTCATTTGGTTCTGCTCTGATCTTTGCTATTTCTTTTCTTCTGCTGGGTTTGGGTTTGGTTTGTTCTTGTTTCTCTAGCTCCTTGAGGTGTGACCTTAGATTGTCTATTTGCGCTTTTTCAGACTTTTTGATGTAGGCATGCAATGCTATGAACTTTCCTTTTAGCACTGCTTTTGCTGTATTTCAGAGGTTTTGATAGGTTGTGTCACTATTATTGTTCAGTCCAAAGAATTTTTAAATTTCCATCCTGATTTCATTGTTGACCCAATGATCATTCAGGAGCAGGTTATTTAATTTTCATGTATTTGCATGATTTTGAGGGTTCCTTTTGGAGTTGATTTCCAATTTTATTCCACTGTGGTTTAAGAGAATACTTGATATAATTTGGGTTTTCCTAAATTTATTGAGACTTGTTTTGTGGCCCATCATATGGTCTATCTTGGAGAATGTTTCTTGTGGTGGTGAATACTATGTATATTCTGCAGTTGTTGGGTAGAATGATCTGTAAAATAACTGTTAAGTACATTTGTTTTAGGGTATAATTTAAGTCCATTTTTTCTTTGTTGACTTTTTTTTTTTTTTGAGACAGAGTTTCACTCTTGTTGCCCAGGCTGGAGTGCAATGGCGTAATCTTGGCTCACTGCAACCTCTGCCTCCTGGGTTCAAGTGATTCTCCTGCCTCAGCCTCCTGAGTAGCTGGGATTACAGGCATGTGCCACAACACCCAGCTAATTTTGTAGTTTTTTTTTAGTAGAGACAGGGTTTGGTCAGGCTGGTCTTGAACTCCTGACCTCAGGTGATCCACCCACCTCTGCCTCCCATAGTGCTGGGATTACAGGTGTGAGCCACTGAGCCTGGCCTCTTTGTTGACTTTTTGTCTTAATGACCTGTCTAGTGCTGTCAGTGGAGTGTTGAAGTCCCCCCCTATTATTATGTTGCTGTCTCTCTCATTTCTTAGGTCTAGTAGTAATTGTTTTATAAATTTGGGAGCTCCAGTGTTAGGTGCATATATATTTAGGATAGTGGAATTTTCCTTTTGGACTAGTCCTTTTATCATTATATAATGTCACTCTTTATCTTTTTTAACCATTGTTGTTTTAAAGTCTGTTTTGTCTAATATAAAAATAGCTACTCTTGCTTGCTTTTGGTGTCCATTTGCATGGAATATCTCTTTCCACTCCTTCAGCTTAAGTTTATGTGAGGCCTTATGTGTTGGGTGAGTCTCTTGAAGACAGTAGATACTTGGGTGGTGAATTCTTATCCATTCTGCCATTCTGTGTCTTTTAAGTGGACCATTTAGGCCATTTATATTCAAAAGTAGTATTGAGATATGAGGTACTATTCTAGTCTATTCATTGTACTGTTTGTTACCTGAATACCTTGGGTGTTTTTTTTTCATTGTGTTATTTTCTTATAGGTTCTGTGAAATTCATGCTTTAAAGAGTTTCTATTTTGGTGTATTTCAAGGATTTGTTTCAAGATTTAGAGTTCCTTTTAGCAGTTCTTGTAGTGCTGGCTTGGTAATGACGAATTCTCTCAGCATTTGTTTGTCTGAAAAAGACTGTATCTTTCCTTCATTTATGAAGCTTAGTTTCGCAGAATACAAAATTCTTGGCTGAAAATTATTTTGTTTAAGAAGGCTAAAGATAGGACCCCAATCCCTTCTTGCTTGTAGCATTTCTGCTGAGAAATCTGCTGTTAATCTGATAGGTTTTCCTTTATAGGTTACCTGATGCTTTTGCCTCACAGCTCTTAAGATTCTTTTGTTTGTCTTGACTTTAGATAATCTGATGACTATGTGCCTAGATGATGATCTTTTTGCAATGAATTTCCCTGGTGTTCTTTGAGCTTCTTGTATTTGGATGTCTAGATCTCTAGCAAGGCCAGGGAAGTTTTCCTTGATTATTCCCTGAACTATGTCTTCCAAACTTTTAGATTTCTCTTCTTCCTTGGGAACACCACTTGTTCTTAGATTTGGTCATTTAATATAATCCCAAACTTCTTCGAGGCTTTGTTCATTGTTAAAATTCTTTTTTCTTTGTGTTTGTCAGATTGGGTTAATTTGAAAGCCTTATCTTTGAGCGCTGAAATTCTTTCTGCTATCTGTTTGAATCTATTGTTTGAGACTTTCCAGTGTATTTTGCATTTCTCTAAGTATGTCCTTCATTTCCAGAAGCTGTGATTGTTTTTTATTTATGCCATCTATTTCCCTGGAGATTTTTCTGTCCATATGATTTAACATTTTAAAAATTTCTTTAAGTTGGTATTCACCTTTCTCTGGTGCCTCCTTGAGTAGCTTAATAATTGACCTTCTGAATTCTTTTTCTGGCAATTTAAATATTTCTTTTTCTTTTAGATCCATTGTTGGTGAGCTTAGTGTGATCCATTGTTGGTGAGCTTAGTGTGATCTTTTGGGGGTGTTAAGGAACCTTATTTTGTCATACTACCAGAATTGTTTTATGGTTTATTCTCATTTGGGGAGACTATGTCATAGGGAAGACCTGGGGCTCAGGGGCTGCTGTTCAGGTTCTTTTGTCCCACAGGGTGCTCCCTTGATGTGGTACTCTCCCCCTTCCCCTAGGGAAGGGGTGGGGCTTTCTGAGAGCTGAACTGCAGTGATTGTTATTTCTCTTCTGGGTCTAGCCACCCAGCGGAGCTGCTGGGCTCCAAGCTGGTACTGGGGATTGTCTGCAAAGAGTCCTGTGATGTGTCTTCAGGTCTCTCAGCTGTGGATGCTGGCACCTGCTCTGGTGGAGGTAGCAGGGGAGTGAAGTGGACTGTGTGAGGGTCCTTGGTTGTGTTTTTGTTTGGTGTGCTGGTTTTGTGTTGGTTGACCTCTAGCCAGGAGGTGGTGCTTTCAAGAGAGCATCAGCTGTGGTACTATAGAGAGGATACAAGTTTGCCCTAGGGTTGCCTGGATAAGTATTCGGGTTTCTCAGGTGATGGGCAGGGCCATAGAGCTCCCAAGAGATTATGTCCTTTGTCTTCTGCTACCAGGGCAGGTAGAGAAAGACCATCAGGTGGGGGCAGGGTTAGTTGTATCTGAGTTCAGACTCTTGTTGGGTGGGGCTTGCTGTGACTGCTGTGGGGGATAAGGGTGTGGTTCTCAGGCCAATGGAGTTATGTTCCCAGGGGGATTATGGCTGCCTCTGCCGTGTCATACAGGTCGCCAGGGAAGTGGGGGAAAGCCGACAGTGACAGGTGTTACCCAGCTCCCACGCAGCTGGAAAGGCTGGTCTCACTGTCAGCATGCTCCCCCAACAGCATCAAGTTTATTTCCAGGCAGCAGGCGAGCAGGGCTGAGAACTTGTCCCAGGCTACAAGCCTCCCTGCTGACAACAGAAGCAGGGCTTTCAGGTTTTATGCCTCTCTGCCTGCCACAGCTTCTGTGCTTGTATCTGCACTCCCTGTTTGACCCCCTCCCCAGATTCTGTCCAGGAAACTTCATGTTCGGTAGAAATTGTTATAAAATTCAACTGGAAGTTTTCCTCTCCCTCTGGTTTTTCCTCAATTCCACTGGCAGCCCTCCCCAAGTTGCAAGATAAAGACAGAAAAGGCTTCCCTGAGGACTGAGAGTGCCCACAGGGCTCTTGCTGCTGCTTTCTCTACCCCTATATTTTGTGCGGCTCTCAGCATTTGTCTCAGCTCCAGGTAAGGTCAAATCCTTCTCTTATGATCTGGACCTTCAGGTTTCCCAGTGAAAGTATGTGTTTGGGGGCAGACATTCACCCTCTCACACTTTGGCACTCACAGTTTATTGGCTGTCTCATGGAGCCTAAAGTGGCAAGCTGCTTCCTTCAAAGGGTCTGTGGATTCTCTCAGCTTTCCTGGTACATTCCTGCAGTAGTTCTTGGAGCAAAAGTTCATGATGTTAGTCTCCATATGCTGCTTTGTCTGTCCGAGTGGGAGCGGCAAGTCAGTCCTTCCTCTTATCTGCCATTTTCAAACTTTATTTTTTTTTTAGAGCAGTTTTAGGGTCACAGAAAAATGGAGAGGAAAATAGAGAGTTCCCATGTATGCCCCTTCTTACTCCAGGTATCCTCCCTCACTAGGAACATCAGCACCAGAGTGGTACATTTGTTAGACTTGATGAAGCTACACTGACACTTTGTCATCACCTGTAGTCCATAGTAGGGTTCACTCTTGATGTTGTCCATTTATGGGTCCTAACAAATGTATAATTACATATATCCACTATTATAGCATCATGCAGAACATTTCACTGTCCCCAAAATCTGTACCATGCCTATTCATCCTTCCCTTCCTCCCTCCCTCTAACTCCTGGTGACCACTGATCATTTTACTGTATTCATAGTGCTGTCTTTTCCAGGGTATCCTATAGTTGGAATCATACACTATATAGCCATTTCAGATTGGCTTCCTTCAGTTAATAAGATACATTTAAGATTCTTTCATGTCTTTCCATGGCTTGATAGTTCATTTATTTTTATTGCTGAATAATATTCCCTTGTAAGGATGTGCCACAGTTTATTTATCCATTCGTCTACTGAAAGACTTCTTGGTTGCTTCCCAGTTTTGACAATTATGCACAAAGCTGCTCTAAACATTGGTGTGTAGGTTTTTGTGTAGACATATGTTTTAAACTCATTTGAGTAAGTAACCAAGGAGTGTGATTGCTGGATTGTATGGTAAGAGTACGTTTAGTTTTGTAAAAAACTGCCACACTGTCTTCCAAAATAGCTGTACCATTTTGTGTTCCAAACAGCAATGAATGTTCCTGTTGCTCCATATCCTCACCAGCATTTGGTGTTGTGTCTTGTTTTTTTGCCATTCCAATAGATATGTAGTGGTATCTCTTTGTTGTTTTAATTTGCAATTCTCTAGTGACATATGATATGGAGTATCTTTTCATATGCTTATTTGCCATCTGTATATCTTCTTTGGTGAGGCATCTTCAGGTCTTTTGCCAATTTTTAAAATGAGTTCCTTCCTTCCTCCCTTCCTTCCTTCTTTCCTTCCTTTCTCTCTCTCTTTCCTTTCTTCCTCCCCCTCGCCCTCCTCTCCCCTCCCCTCCCCTCCCCTCCCCTCCCCTCTCCTCCCCTCCCCTCCCCTCTCCTCTCCTCTCCTCTCCTCTCCTCTCCTCTCCTTTCCTTTCCTTTCCTTTCCTTTCCTTTCCTTTCCTTTCCTCTTCTTTCCTTTCCTTTCCTTTCTGAGATGAGGTCTTGCTATGTTGCCCAGGCTGGTTTTGAACTCCTGGGCTCAAGCAATCCTTTCACCTCAGCTTCCCAAAGAGCTGGAATTACAGGCATGAACCACCATGTCTTGTCCAGTTGTTCATTTTCTTATTGTTGAGTTTTTCTCAATTTTAAAATTGTGTTAAAATACACAGAAGATAAAATTTGCCATCTGATCCATTTTAAGTGCATAGTTCAGTGGTATTAAATATATTCATATTGTCATGCAACCACCAGCACCATCCATTCTAGAGCTTTTCCATCTTGCAAAATGAAAACTCTATATCCATTAAACAATAACTCCCTATTCCCCCCACTCCTCAGTTTCTGGCAACCACTGTTCTACTTTCTGTCTCTATGAATTTGGCTACTCTAGATATCTCATATAAGTGGCATCATAGAATATTAGTCTTTTTGTGACATTAGTTCTTTTAGGTATATACCCAGGAGTGGAATTGCTGGATCATATGGTAATTCTATTTTTAATTTTTTGAGGAACTGCCATACCATTTTCTATGGTGGCTGTACCATATACATTTACATTTACATTTCCACCAATAGTCCACAAGGGTTCCAATTTCACTAACACTTATTATTTTCAGGTTTTCTAAATAGTAGCCATCCTAATGGGTATGAGGTGGTATCTCATTGTAGTTTTGATTTGCCTTTCCTTAATGATTCATGATGTTGAACATCTTTCCATGTGGTTATTAGCCATTCTGTACTTTCTTTGGAGAAATGTCTATTCAACTCCTTTGTCCATTTGTGAATTGGGATGTTTGTTTTTTGTTGTTAAGTTTTAGGAGTTCTCTAGATATTCTGGATATTAATCCTTTATCAGATATATGGTTTGCAAATGTTGTCTCCCACTTTGTGGGTTGCCTTCTTACTTTTCTGATAACGTGTTTGGATGCATAACATTAAAACATTTTGATAAAGTCTAATTTGTCTATTTTTTTCTTTTGTTGCCTATGCCTTTGGTGTCATATCCAAGAAATCACTGCCAAATCTGATGTCAGGAAGGTTTTGCCCTGTTTTTTTCTAAGAGTTGTATAGTTTCATATGTTATGTTTAGATCTTAGATTCATCTTGAGTTAATTTTTTAAATGGTGTTAAGTAAATGTTAAACTTCATTCTTTTGCAAGTGGATAGCCAGTTTTCCCAGAACTATTTGTTGAAAAGATTGTTGCCTTCCCAATTGAAAGATCTTGACATCCTTGTCAAAAATCATTTGACCATATATGTGAGGGTTTATTTCTGGGTTCTCTATTCTATTTTATATATATATATATCTGTTTTTATGTTAATACCACATGATTTTGATTATTGTAGCTTGGTAGTAAGTTGTGAAATCAGAAAGTGTGAGTTTTCTAACTTTGTTCTTCTTTTTCAAGATTGTTTTGGCTATTTGGGGGCCCTTAATATTCCATACACATTTTAGGGTGAGTTTTTCTATTTCCACAAAAATCAAATCACTAAATTTTTTTTTTTTTTTTTTTTTTGAGATGGACTCTTGCTCTGTCACCCAGGCTGGAGTGCAGTGGCACAATCTCAGCTCACTGCAACCTCTGCCTCCTGGGTTCAAGCGATTTTTCTGCCTCAGTCTTCTGAGTAGCTGGGATTACAGGCTTGTGCCACCATGCCTGGCTAATTTTTGTATTTTTAGTACAGGCAGGGTTTTGCCATGTTGGCCAGGCTGGTCTTGAATTCCAGACTTCAAGTCATCCACCCATCTTGGCCTCCCAAAGTGCTGGGATTACAGGCATGAGCCACCACATCCGGCCTGGAATTTTGATTACATTGAATCTATAGATCACTTTGGGCAGCATTGACATCTTAACAATATTGAGTCCTCCAACCCAAGAATATAGAAGGCATTTCCACTTATTTATGTTTTAAAAATATTTTTCAGGCCGGGCGCGGTGGCTCACGCCTGTAATCCCAGCACTTTTGGAGGCTGAGGCGGGTGGATCACAAGGTCAGGAGATTGAGACCATCCTGGCTAACACAGTGAAACCCCATCTCTACTAAAAATACAAAAAATTAGCCGGGCGTGGTCGCAGGCACCTGTAGTCCCAGCTACTCGGGAGGCTGAGGCAGGAGAATGGCATGAGCCTGGGAGGCACTCCAGCCTGGGCAAAAGAACGAGACTCCGTCTCAAAAAAAAAAAAATTTTTTTTCAGCAATGTTTTATAGTTTTTATTGTACAAGTCTTTCACCTCTTTGGATAAGTTAATGCCTAAGTATTTTATTCTTTTTGATGCTATTATAAATTATTGTTGTGTTTTAAAAGGTTTTTGTAAATTTTGGATAACAGTTCTTTATCAGACATGTCTTTTGCAAATGTTTTCTCCCCAGTCTGTGGCTTGTCTTCTCATTCTCTCAACAGTGTCTTTCAAAGCAGAAGATTTTAATTTTAATAAAGTACAGATTATCAGTTATTTCTTTCACAGATTGAGGCTTTGGTATTGTATCTAAAAATTATGAAACTCAAGGTCATCTAGATTTTTCCAGTTTATCTTGTAAGCATTTTATTGTTTTGCATTTTACGTTTAGTTCTATGATCCATTTTGAGTTAACTTTTTTGAAGAATGTAAAGTCTGTGTCTAGATTCCTTTTTTTTTTTGCACTTGGATGCCCAGTTGTTCCAGCACCGTTTGTTAAGAAGACAATCTTTTCTCCATTGTGTTGCCTTTGTTTCTTTGTCAAGGATCAGTTGACTATACTTGTGTGGGTCAATTTCTGGGCTCTATATTCCATTCCATTCCATTGATCTATGTCTCTGTTCTTTTGCCAATATCACACTGTCCTGATTACTGTGGATTTATAATAAGTCTTGAACTTTGGTAGTGTCAGTTGTTCAACTCTATTCTTTGCTTTCAACGTCGTGTTGGCTATTCTGGTTCTTTTGCTTCTCCGTGTAAACTTTAGAATCAGTTTGTCAAAATCCACAAAATAACTTGCTGGGATTTTGATTAGGATTCGTTGAACCTAAAGATCAAATTTGGAAGAACTGACATCTTGACAATATTGAGTCTTTCTAACCATGAACATGGAATGTATCTTAATTTATTTAGTTCTTCTTTGATTTCTCTCATCACAGTTTTGTAGTTTTTCTCATATAGATCTTATACTTACTTTATGAGAGTTATACCTAAGTATTTCTTTCGGGGTGTTCCTAATGTAAATGGTATTGTGTTTTTAATTTCAAATTCTACTTATGCATTGATGATATGTAAGAAAACAATTGACTTTTAAAATTTCCTGCATTCTCTCTCTAACCACTTATTAGTTCCAAGAGTTCTTTTGGGTCAATTCTTTTGGATTTTCTACATAGACAACCATGCCATTTGTTAACAAAGAAGCTTTTATTTATTCCTTCCCAATCTTTATATCTTTTATTTCCTTTTCTTGTCTTATTGCCTGGAGTGCAGTGGCATGAGCATGGCTGCCTGCAGCATCACCACTCAGGCTCAACTGACCCTCTTGCCTCAGCCTCCTGAGTAGCTGGGACCACAGATGCATACCAACATACCCAGCTAATTAAAATAAATTTTTTTTTTGTAAAGATAAGATTTTGCCATGTTGCCCAAGCTGGTCTCAAACTCATGGGCTCAAACAATCCTCCCATCTAAGCCTCCCAGTGTGCTGGGATTACAGGCATGAGCCACCCTGCTTAGCTTTCAATTTCTTTAATAGATACAGCCCTATTCAAATTGTCTATTTCTTTTCGTGTGAGTTTTGGCAGATTATGTCTTTCAGGGAATTATTGGTCTATTTCATCTAGGTTAGCATTTGTAGGCACAGATTTTTTTTCATAGTATTCCTTTATTATCTTTTAATGTCCATGGGCTCTGTAGTGATGTCCCATCCTTCATTTCTGATATTAGTAATTTATGTCTTATCTCTATTTTTCTTAGAGGTTTATTAATTTTATTGACCATTTCAGAGAACTAGCTTTTATTAGTAATTTATGTCTTATCTCTATTTTTCTTAGTTAGAGGTTTATCAATTTTATAGGCCATTTCAGAGAACCAGGTTTTATTGATTTTTCTCTATTGATTTCTTATTTTCAATTTCATTTATTTTTACTGTAATTTTTATTATTTCTTTTCTTCTGCCTATAATGGATTTAATTTGCTCTTCTTTTTCTAGTTTCCTAAGATGTAAGCTCAGATTATTGATTTTAGATATCTCTTTTTTCTAATATATGCATCAAATGCTATACATTTCTGTTTATACACTACTTTTGCTGCATCACACAAATTTTGATAAGTTTGTATTTTCATTTAGTTCAAAATATTTTTAAATTTCTCTTGACATTTCTTTTTTGACCCATGTATTATTTAGAAATGTGTTGTTTGCTGGGCACAGTGGCTCACACCTGTAATCCCAGCACTTTGGAAGGCCAAGGGGGAAGGACCACTTGAGCCCAGAAGTTCAAGACCAGCTTGGGCAACATATGGAGACTACATTTCTAAAAAAAAAAAAAAAAAATTAGCTGCATGTGGTGGCACACACCTGTGGTCCCAGCTACTTAAGAGGGTGAGGTGGGAGGATTGCTTGAGCCCAGGAGGTTGAGGTTGCAGTGAGTCATGATTGCACCACCACACTCCACCCTGGCTAACAGAATGAGACCCTGGCCAAAAAAAAAAAAAAAAAAAAAAAAAAATGTTGTTTAATGTACAAATATTTCTGTTACTGATTTCTAGTTCAATTTAATTGGGAGTATACACTGTATGATTTTTATTCCTTTAAATTTGTTAAGGTATATTTTATGGTTCAGAATGTGGGTCTAAGGGAATGTTCCATGTAAGCTTGAGAATAGTGCATATTCTGGTATTGTTGGATAAAGTATTCTATAGATGTCAATTATATCCAGTTTATCAATGGTGTTGTTGAGTTCAACTATGTCCTTATGATTTTCTGCCTGCTGGATCTGTTCATTACTGGTAGAGGAGTGTTAAATTCTCTAACTGTAATAGTGGATCCATCTATTTCTTCTTGCAGTTCTATCAGTTTTTGTTTTATGTACTTTGATATGGTGTAGTTAGGCTCTCATGCATTAAGAATTGTTATGTATTCTTGGAGAATTGACCCCTTTATCATTATGTAATGCCCCTCTTTATCCCTGACCATTTTTCTTGCTCTGAAGTCTCCTCTGTCTGAAAATATAACTACTTCAGCTTTCTTTTTTAATGTTAGCATTGTATATCTCTCTCCATTCCTTTACTTTAAAAAATGTTTTTAACTTTGATAAAGAATACACACTGCCCAGCATGGTGGTGTGTACCTATAATCTCAGCTACTTGGAAGCTTGAGCTCGGGAGTTTGAGACCAGCCTGGGCAACATAGTGAGACCCTGTCTTTAAATAAATAAGTAAATAAATAAATAAATGTATTAAATTATCCACACAACATAAAATTTACCACCTTAACCACTTTTAAGTTTACAGTTTATTTATTTATCCATTCACCCATTGATGGACATTTTAATTGCTTCCACCTCTTGGCTGCTATAAATAATGCTGCTATGAACATGGATGCATAAATATCTCTTCAGAATCTTGCTTTTAATTCTTTTGGATTTGGGCAATCCCAGAAGTGGATCATATGGTAATTCTATTTCTAATTTTTTGAGGACCCATCACACTGTTTTCAATAGTGGCTGTACCATTTACATTCCCACCAACAGTGCACAGGGTTCTTGTTTTTCCACATCCTCATGAACATGGATTATTTTCTGTTTCTTTTTTAAAAGTAGGCATCCTAATGAATATGAGGTGGTATCTCATTGTGGCTGTGATTTTCATTACTGTAATAATTTACAAAGATGATATTCAAATGTCCAAGAAGCATATAAAAAGATGAACATTTGAATATCATATAAAAATATGATCTTTTTTATATGCTTCTTGGACATTTGAATATCATTTTTGGAGCAATGTCTATTCACATCATTTGACTGTTTTAAGATCAGTTCTTTTTGTTGTTGTTGTTGAGTAGTAGCTCTTTATACATTGCAGGTATCAACCTCTTATCCATATATAATTTGCAGATATTTTCTCCCATTCTCTAGATTGTGTCCTTTGAAATATGATGTTTTCAAGCTGGATGTAGCACCATTTATCTATTTTTGCCTTTGTTGAATGTGCTGTGGGTGTCATATCGAAGAAATCATCGCCAAACCCTTATATGCCTTTACTTTTAATTGATATGTATCTTTACATTTAAAGCAGGTTTCTTCTAGACAACATATATTAGTGTCTTGTTTTTTGATCCACTCTGACAATCTTTGTCTTTTAATTGCTGTATTTAGACCATTAAAATTTAATGTGATTATTGATATAGTTGGGCTCATATCTACCATATTTGTTACTGTGTGCTATTTGTTGCCTTTGTTCTTTGTCCTTATTTTTGTTTTCCACACTGTTCCTGCCTTTTGTGGTTTTAAGAGAGCATTTTATATGATTCCATATTTTTCTTTCTCAGCATATCAATTATACTTTTTTTAAAACTTTTTCAGTGGTTGCCCTAGACTTTGTCATATACATTTACAACCAAGCCAAGTTCACTTTTAAATAACTCTATACCATTTCATGGATACTGCAAGTATTTTATAATAACTGAGTATTCTTATTTTCTCCTCCTGTATTATTGCTGTCATTCATTTCACTTATACATAAGCTATAATCATCAAATGCATTGTTACTATTACTATATTGAACAAACTGTTACATATTAAATAAATTAATAAAAAAGTTTTTAATTTTATCTTCACATTTATCTATTCTCTAATGCTCTTCCTTTCTGTGAGAAACATCTGAGTTTCTCACCTACATCATTTTTCTTTTCTTTGAAGAACTTCTTTTAACATTTCTCACAAGGCGGCTCTACTGCTAACAAATTCCTTCAATTTTATTTGTCTGAGAAAGTATTTCTCCTTCACTTTTTAAAGATAATTTTGTAGAATACAGAATTCTAGGCTGTTGGCTTTCATTTCCTCAACTCTTTAAATATTTCACTCTACTACTCTACTCTCTTTTTGGCTGCATTGTTTTGCAAAGTTGAATACAATTCTTATCTTTGCTTCTTTATAGATAAAGTGTTCTCCCTGCAACCCTCCCAACTTCTTCCTGTAGTTTGAATATAATATACCTACATGTCATTTTTGGAGGCTTTTATTCTGCTTGGTGTTTTCTGAACTTCCTGGATTTGTGGTTTGGTGTCTGAAATTAATTTGAGGGAAATCCTCAATAATTATTGTTTAAATATTTTTTCTGTTCCTTTCTCATTTTCTTCTCCTTCTGGAATCCCTATTCTGCATGTTATACCTTTTGTAGTTGTCCCACAGTTCTTGTAAACTCTGTTCCATTTTTCTCCCAGTCTTTTATCTCTTTGCTTTTCAGTTTCGAAAGTTTCTATTGATATATTCTCAGGTGCAGAGAATTTCTTTTCCAGTCTACTAATGAACCCATCAAAGGCACTCTTTATTTCTGTTTTTGATTGCTAGCATTTCTTTTTTGCTGTTTCTCAGAAGTTCTATATCTCTGCTTACATTACGCATCTGTTCTTGCATGTTGTCTACTTTTGCCATTAGTTCCTTTAACATATTAATCATAGCTATTTTAATTAATGGTCCGATAATTCCAACATTCTTGACACTCCTGGGGGGTTTGATTCTGGTGTTTATTTTGTTTCTTCAAACTGTGTACGTATTCTTTTAGTATGCCTTGTAATTTTTTGTTGAAAGTCAGACGTAATGTGTTGGGTAAAAGGAACTGAGGTAAATAGGCCTTCAGTGATGTGGTGGTAAGGTGTTGGGGAGGGGCAGTGTTGTATAGTCCTGTGATAAGTCTCAGTTTTTTTTTTTTTTTGAGATGGATTCTTGCTCTGTTGCCCAGGATGGAGTGCAGTGGCATGATCTTGGCTCACTGCAAGCTCCGCCTCCTGAGTTCACACCATTCTCCCACCTTAGCCTCCCGAGTAGCTGGGACTACAGGCGCCCGCCACTACGCCCGGCTAATTTTATTTTTGTAGTTTTAGTAGAGATGGGGTTTCACCGTGTTAGCCAGGATGGTCTCGATCTCCTGACCTTGTGACCCACCCACCTCGGCCTCCCAAAGTGCTGGGATTATAGGCGTGAGCCACCGTGCCCAGCCAAGTCTCAGGTTTTTTTTTTTTTTTTTTTAACCCCTTTAGGTGGGACAGGATGGCTACAGGGGCCTGGATTTGGGTATTTGCCTTCCCTCAGGTTTGTTAGGATCTGATAAAATCCTAGTAGGGTTAGGCTTTGGTAAAATAGTTTCTCTTGAGGACAGGCCTTGTTAAGAAGAACAGAATGTTCTGGAGTATTTCAAAATTACACCTTTACTTTACTATTCCTCTCCCTCTTACCATTACTTTTCCCTCTTCCTGCTGGAAGCCCAAGGAGATTTTTCTCTGATGTTCACTGTGAGAACTCGGAGGAACTCCTGGAGGTAAAGTGTAGGCATCCCCCTTGCAAGTGGGCCCTCCTGGAGCTTTAACTCCCAGACTTGTCCACACGGAGCCTCCAGCAATTCATCAACTACAGTTCAGGTTTTTCTAGCCTGGTATTTGTTCCTGCACAGATTTCTTTTTATGAGTTTCTGCTCCTGTAAGTTGATTCTCTGTATCCTCCTGTCTAGGACTACTGGTTTGCTCTGCAAATTTAATTTTCTAACAAATCTAAGAAGAGGTACTGATTTTTGTTTTGTCAAGTTTTAACTTGTTAGGACAGAGTGATGACTCCTAAGGTCCTTATGTGCTAGATGGGGCAAGCTTCTTTTTATTTCAAAGGCTTTTCTAATTTTCTCTTAAGGCATTATACATTGTGATTACTTGCTCTTGTGTTCCTTATAGTATAATATTTATTCTTGAATAATGTATTTTAAAATTTGAATTCTTTGCTGAATTGCGTCACTTCAATTTTTTTTATCTTTTTGTTTTTCTCTTTTCTCAAATAGGAAGTACTGTCATTCTGACAGCAGGTTCACCCAAAGGGTACACCTTGACTTTGTAATAGTATCCCTGACTGTTCTGTTAAATTTCAAAATGAGAAAACTCTTTTTCGTCTATTGACAGATAATGTGCACCCAAATTAAGTGTGAGTGGGGGTCTGACTGTATGTCTAAAGTGTACAGGCAGAGATGAATGTGTGTGGCTTTAGCAGATCCACACTCATCCAGGGATAACTGGACCATGGGGGCAGGGTGGGAGTGGAGAGAAGTCATCATAGGATGGTAATCAGGTGCTTGCAGGGAGAAGAGAAGGAAAAGCAGATGAGTGAACAAGGGCAGATGGTGCTGGAGAATTCCATCAAGTGGGCATCAAGAAGGGACTGGAGGTTAAAACCTTTGGGATAAAGAAGAAGAAAAAAAGACAAGCTGGTAAAAAGTAAGGTCTGGGGGGTGGAGGCAAGAAGGGGAGTTGCTAAAAACTCTAGAATAAGCAGTAAGACATCTTTCAATAAAACTGCCCCTTCCCAGATGGCACCTGGGCACTGTTTGCTGGGCACAAACATGGCACTGTTTCCTAGGAGATGATTCCTCCAGTTCTTTAAGGTAGTAATGAATGACAACAAGAAGTTACTTCTCTATGCTACACACGGTGTAGAATCCAGAGCCTGACTGGCTGTGACGCGCCCATGGTGACACCAAGGGGACTCTGCATGGGCACATCCCGGCCCTCCTCCCTGCATGTTCTCCAAGCCAGGTCTTTGAAACCTCCAGTGATGGTAGGTGTTAACTCCTACATGTGGGTGGTTGGCTAGTGACCCCAAAGAGCCTCTGAGAAACTTGGAATTCCCCTTCTCTTTCCAGGGAATGACAGAATCTGGGATGATTTTCTTCTGTTTCTTATCTAAAAAAACAACAAAAAGCTCAGCATACACGGACTCACACAAACCTTTTGCTAGAGGCAGCTCTGTAGACTTAAGACGCTGTCATTTTTCAGAAGAACCCAGCTTGCTTTGGAACTACAGTCAGCCCTGCAACCCACCCTCACCTTGGACCCTGCTGCTGCTGTCTGTAAAGGTGAGTGAGATAATACCTGCTGCTCAGCTCAGGTCCCTCTGTCCAACAACCTGGGTCTGCTGTTGGGAACAAAGAACAGGAGAACAAAGAAAAACTCCCAGCGGCCTTACGGACCACACGGCTTTGCAGCAGACTCAGCCGAACAGTTGTCGAAACACCTGTCACCAGTATGTGGTTTTTAATGATGAGCTGTCGCTGCATTTCTGAGTTGCTCTAGTTCTTACTTATGTTATTGCATGTGTTATATCATTTAAAAATGCCACTTAGCTCATTTTGAAATGGAAGATTACATTTTGATCAGTTCTGGGACCTATTTTAGTGGCATATTTTCATGATCTGTAGGAATGTTATTTTGTTCGTGATCTTTTTTCTTATAATAACTTTATATGGACTTTGATGTGCATGCTTTTCTGTTATTCGATTTCATGCAAAATTAATTTCCTAAACTTTTGGAAGAAGCTATGATGCAGAGTGGCTTTGCTAACTTGCTAGAGCTCCCTCTTCAAGGAGTGTTTTGTGAAGTGTTAAAAAATATAGTGATGTCCTTGCTGAGATTTTGTGGCTCTGTTCATCTCCTCTATTTTCATGTGGATCTTCTCTTTTCTTCACCTCCATTGTCCTGCAAGGTGGGGCCCTGTCCTTAGAGGGAGGCAGGTCAATTTTGAGAATTCACGGAGAGTTGACTGCCTCTGGTCCTTCATATCTTACTGGGGACCCCTTGCACTCACTAGCCATTGGATTGTGTAAAGCACTCTCTTTCAGGTGCTAAATTAAAACTGACCCATATACTTTCCAACCAATGCCTACTGGATATTTTGGGGGTCTCCTGTTTTCAGGTTTATTATGTGTCCCATTGTTTTTCTCTGCTCTCCTCTGCACCAATGCTAGTGCAGGTCTTGTGGCTACTAAGGTTTTGTCCCCAAGTGTATGTTGATGTTGTGGGGCTAGCTTAACACCCAACATTTTTTTCCAATTGAGGTATAATCTACAAACAACAAAATGTACAAATCTTAAGTGTTATGTTGAGTGAGTTTTGGCAATGTGTGCACTCACCTTGTCACCTGATTTTGAGATAAATATTGTCCACAGTTTTTTTTTAAATAGAGATAAAATTCACATAGCAAAATTCACCATGTTAACCATTTAAAAGTGTATAATTCTGTGGTTATTAGTATATTCACAAATTTGTGCAATCATTACAACTATTTAAATCCAGAGCATTTCTATCATCCCAAAGAGAAAACCCATACTCCCTATTGCCCCCCCAGCCCCTGGCCACCACTAATCTGCTTCTGTCTCTATGGATTTGCCTAATGAGGACATTTCATGTAAATGGAATCACACAATATGTGGCCTTCTGTGTCTGGCTTCTTTCACTTAGCATAATGTTTTAAAAACTCATCCATGTTGTGGCATGTATCAGCACTACATTCCTTTACTTGGCTGAATAATATTCCATTGTAAACATATACCACATTTTATTTATCCATTCATCAGTTGATGGGCATTTGTCCCCCTGCCCCCTCACTTTTGGGCTCTTATAAATAATGCTGCTATGAACATTTGTGTACACATTTTTGTGGGAATGTATATTTCATCTCTCTTGGGTATATACCTGGGAGTGGAATTACTAGGTATATGGTAACTATATCCTCTTGAGAAACTATCAGACTGTTTTGCTAAACTGGTGGCACTACTTTACATTCCAATCAGCAGGCTATGAAGGTTCCAGTTTCTCCTCATCATGCCAACCCTTGTAATTATCGATCTTTTAAATTAGAGCCATTCTAGTGGTATGAAACAGAGTATCATTGTGGCTTTGATTTGCATTTCCCTGATGGCTAATGATGTTGGGCATCTTGTCATGCGCTTACTGGCATTTGTATGCCTTTTTTGGAAAAATGTGTTTTGAGATCCTTTCACTACCTTCTATTTGGTTTATATGTCTTTTTTTAATCATTGAGTTGTAAGAGTTCTTCATATATACTAGATAAAAGTCTCTGATTAGACATACAATTTGCAAATATTTTCTTTCATTCTCTGGTTTGTCTTTTTTCCTTCCTTCCTTCCTTCCTTCCTTCCTCCCTCCCTCCCTCCCTTCCTTTCTGTCTTCCTCTCCCTCCCTTCCTTCGTTCCTTCTTTCCTTCTTTCTTTCTCCCTTCCTTCCAACTTTCCTTTTTTCCTTCCCCTTCCTTCCTTTCTTCCTTTCCTTCCTCTCTCTGGCTCTCTCTCTCTCTTTTCTTTCTCTCTCTTTCTGTCTTTCTCTTTTCCTTTTCCATTTCCATTTCCTTTTCCTTTTTCCTTTTCCCTTTTCCCTTTTCCCTTCCTCCCCTCCCCTCCCCTTCCCTTTCCTTTCTTGTCTCACTCTGTTGCCCAGGCTGAAGTACAGTGGTACCATCTTGGCTCACTGCAACCTCCACCTCCTGGGTTCAAGGAATTCTCCTGCCTCAGCCTCCCAAGTAGCTGGGATTACAGACATGTAATCCTAGACCACACCCAGCTAATTTTTATTTTTAGTAGAGACAGGGTTTCACCATGTTGGCCAGGCTGGTCTCGAACTCCTGACCTCAAGTGATCTGCCTGCCTCGGCTTCCCAAGTGCTGAGATTACAGGTGTTAGCCACCATGCCCAGCTGTCTTTTTCACTTTCTTGATGGTATCTTTTGAAGCACGAAGTTTGGTATCCTTTGAAGGATGAAAGTTTTAGATTGTGATAAAATTCAATTCATTCTTCTTTTGTTGCTTGTGCTTTTAATGTTATACCTAAGAAGGCTTTGCCTAAATGAAGGTCATGAATACTTTTCCCTATATTTTCTAATAAGATTTTATAGCTTTAGTTCTCACATTTTGTTTTATGGTCCATTTTGCATGTTTTTTGTATGTATGTTTTATGTGAGAGGAGTCCACATTTATTCTTTTGCATGTGGATATGCAGTTGTTGGAGCACCTGTTTTTGAAGACCATTCTTTCCCCCTTGAACTATCTTTGCACCCTTGTCTAAAATCAATTGGCATGAGGTTTTATTTTTGGACTCTCAATTCTATTCCACTGATCTATAGGCATATCCTTGTGCTAGTACCAAAGTATCTTAATTACTGTAGCAAGTTTTGAAATTGGGAAGTGTGAGTCTTCCAACTTTGTTTTTCTTTTTAAAGATAATTTTGGCTATTCTAGATTCTTTGAATTTGCATATGAATTTGAATTTGCTGTCTTTTTTGTAAATTTAAATACTTTTATGCTTCAAAGGATACCATCAAGAAAGTGAAAAAGACAAACCAGCGAGTGAAAGAAAATATTTGAAAATTGTATGTCTAATCAGAGACTTTTATCTAGAATATATGAAGAACTCTTACAACTCAATGATTTAAAAAAAGACACGTAAACAATTAAAAGGAGGTCAAAGGATCTCAATACACATTTTTTCAAAAAACACATACAAATGCCAGTAAGTGCATGACAAGATGCTCAACATCATTAGCCATCAGGGAAATGCAAATGAAAACCACAATGAAACTCTGTTTCATACCACTAGAATGGCTGTAATTTAAAAGATGGACAATTATTAATACAAGAGCTCATGAGATAAGGAAAAATTGGAACTTTCACACACTGCTGATTGGAATGTAAAGTGGTACAACCACTTTAGAAAACAATCTGATAATTTCTCAAGAGGATAAACATAAAGTTACCATATACCTAGTAACTCCACTACTAGGTATACCTAAGAGAAATGAAATAGAATCCACATAAAAATTTGTATACAAGTTTCCATAGCAGTTTATTTTATGGTAGCCAATTGTGCTATGAGATGTCTGGGTGTGGATCTCTGCATTTATTCTATTTGGAGTTCTTTGAACTTCTTGGAAATATAGAGTAATACTGGCTTTCATCAAATTTGGGAAGTTTTTGCCATTTTTTAAAGAATTTTTTTATACCATTTTCTCTCTCTTCTCTTGGTACTCTTATTTATCATATGTTGATGCAATTAAAGGAGTCCCAAATTCTTTGAGGCTTTGTTCATTTTTCTTCATAAGTTTTCTCTGTTCTTGAGATTGCACAAGCTCTATTCATCTACTTAATGTTCTCTGATTCTTTATTCTGCTAGGTTAAATCTACTGTTATGCCTTTTCTGTGAATTTTAAATTTCAGTGATTGTACTTTTCAACTCAAAAATTTCCCTTTCGTTCTTTTTTGTACTTTGTATCTCTTCATTGGTATTCTCTTTTGATGAGACATTGTCATCATACTTTACTTCTTTAGCGTGCTTTCTTTAGTTCTCTAAACATATTTATAATGGCTGCATTTCAGTCTTTGTGTGTTAAGTGTAGCCTCGGGGCCCTCCCACAGGCAGTTTCTGTTGCTTGATTTTTCCCCTCAGGTATGGGTCACAACTTCCAGTTTCTTTGCCTGTCTCATAATTTCTTGTTAAAAGCTGGGCATTTTATATTTTATTTTGCAGTAATTCTGCATACAGATCCTTCTTCTTGAGTTTGTTGTTGTATTTTTCTTATTATTTGTTACTCATTTAGCTGGACTATTTTAGTAAAGTCTGTTTTCCCACAGCTGAAGCCTTTGGTGTCTCTCCTCAGAGGGTGCAGGCTTAGCCATGCTCATGGTCACCTTGGAATAAGTAGTTTTTTTTTTTTTTTTTTTTGAGACAGAGTCTTGCTCAGTTGCCCAGGCTGGAGTGCAGTTGCACGATCTCGCTCACTGCAAGCTCTGCCTCCCGGGTTCACACCATTCTCCTGCCTCAGCCTCCCGAGTAGCTGGGACTACAGGTGCCCACCACCACGCCCAGCTAATTTTTTTTGTATTTTTAGTAGAGATGGGGTTTCACCATGTTAGCCAGGATGGTCTCGATCTCCTGACCTCGTGATCCACCCACCTCAGCCTCCCAAAGTGCTGGGATTACAGGGGTGAGCCACTGCACCCGGCCCTGGAATAAGTAGTTTTAGCAGGGCTATCTCTGTCTCTTTTCCTCATTTCTTTGTTATGCTGTTTGCCTCTGTTGGTATCACACCCAGATGTTGGGCTCCACTGTTAGCTAATTCCTCTATTTAGTTTTTGACAATGTCCTAGGGCATAAATTGCTCCACAGTTTTATTCAATTAAATTTAAACTCCTTGGCCAGGCGTGGTAGCTCATGCCTGTAATCCCAACACTTTGGGAGGCCAAGGCAGGTGGATCACTTTAGGTCAATAGTTTCAGACCAGCCCGACCAACATGGTGAAACCCTGTCTCTACTGAAAATACAAAAATTAGCTGGGCATGGTGGCATGGGCCTGTAATCCCAGCTGCTTGGAAGTTGAGACAGGAGAATTGGTTGAACCTATGAGGTAGAGGTTGCAGTGAGCCAACTTGGTGCCACTGGACTCCAGCCTGGGTGACAGAGCAAGACTCGGCCTCCAAAAAAAAAAAAAAAAATTAAACTTCTTTGCAGGAGTAGTTTTTGAGGCCAATCTCTGAGGTTTGCTTTGATCTCAGGAGGACTCTTAGCGGTCTCCATTCATGACACTTTCTGGTAAATTAGCTGGACTGTAGTTTAGTTTGCTGCTCTCATGGAGCTGCCAACCTTTCCTTAATTGCTTGCCACCAAAACTTCCACTGTTTTTGAGAGAGCCCTTAGGTTGAACTTCCCTATATTCTTTTCCAAAAAGTCAGTACCTTTGGAAGGTGCTTTGGAGCTCTCTATTCTTGTAATCTGCCTTGTCTGCTGGGCAGAATCTCTGAGCCACTATTCTGGAGCTGGAAGCAGTGATAGTAGCCCAATTCTCTTGCAGTGACAGTTTGGTTGAAGAGTAGGGCACTGAACCGGGCAGTGGTAGCCTCTGGTCTTCTTGGCTTCCCTTTCCTGGCATGGACCCTCTGAATGATGCCTTTCCTGGCATGGACCCTTTGAATGATCTGGAGCCTGGTGTTCTCAGCCTGCTGTTTCTGATGTCGAACCTCTGCTTTACATTTAGGGTCTGGATGAAGGAAGGGAGCCTCCAGCTTGTCGGCTGTACTTGCCCAGAATTTAGCCTTTGCAACATGGAGCTGCGGGGATGGGAAATGTTGTCCACTAGCCTTCCGTAGGTATATACTGTGGCCCTTGAGTGGGAGCTGAGGGAAGGGGGAGCCTGTCTTCTAGGCCACACCCACTCATAGTGGAGCTTCCATTACCCTGACCTGTGGGGGAAGGGTGGATAGAGGGTGGGTCATGGCTGAAGTGCCACAGACTTGCTATTTCTGCTATGATTTAGTAGAATTTCTTGAATAAAGATCTCTACTTGATATATTTCCATTAAGAACATTTCCAGATAATTTAAATGATTGGTTTTTTTCTTATAATTTTCACCATTTTATAAAAAATTCTGTGGTGGTTTCACTGTGGGGCAGGTCTGTGAAGCTCCTCACAATACCATTTTCATTTAGAAGTGGAATCACTAGTTTGAGTTAAAGTTTGTGTCTAATAACTAAAATATTTGAATTTCCTGTTTGTTTCTGTTGTTTTTGCTTTTGTCTTGATTTTTAGTCAGTATTTATACTTTTATCTGCTTGGTTATCTTTGGTGAAATGCCAAAGATCACACACAAAAATTTTAGAGATAAATTGTGTCTCTAGATGATTAAATTTCCTTCCAAAGAGAATTTACTTTTGCTTCTGGCAAGCAGATCAGTGGCAGATAACCTTAGTTCAATTAGAAATTGAAGGCCAGGCATGGTGGCTCACACCTGTAATCCTAGCATTTTGGGAGGCTGAGGTGGGCGGATCATTTGAGGTCAGGTGTTCAAGACCATCTTGGCCAACATGGTGAAACTCTGTCTCTACTTAAAATACGAAAACTAGCCAGGTGTGGTGGTAGGTACCTGTAATCCCACCTACTGGGGAGGCTGAGGCAGGAGAATCACTTGAACCTGGGAGACAGAAGTTGTAGTGAGTGGAGATCGTACCACAGCACTCCAGCCTGGGCAACAGAGTAAGACTCTGCCTCAAAATAAATAAATAAATAAATAAATAAATAAATAAATAAATAAATTTTTAAAAAATTAAAAAAAATTAGAGATTGATATGATATAAAGGTAGTTGTGATGATTAATGGCATGTGTTAACTTGACTGGGCTACGTGATGACCACGTAGCTGGCAAAACATTATTTCTAGGTATGTTTGTGAGGGTGTTTCCAGACTCAAATTGCAACTTGCACCATTGACCTGCCCGTTTCTCAGGCCTTTGGACTTGTCCTGAATTACACCATTAGATCTCCTAGTTCTTTGTCTTGCGGATGACAGATTATGGGAATTTTCAGCCTCTATAATTGTGTGAGTCAATTCCTATAATAAATCTCCATCTATCTGTCTGTCTGTCTATCTATCTCCTATTAGTTCTGTGGTTATTTTATTTTATTTTGTTTTTTTGAGACAGGGTCTTGATCTTATACTCAGGCTGGAGTATAGTGGTGTAAACACAGCTCACTGCAGCCTTGACTTCTTGGGCTCAAGTGATCTGCCTGCCTCAGCCTCCCTAGTAGCTGGGACCACAGATACACATCCTCAAGCCTCGCTAATTTAAAAAGTTTTTTTTTGTAGAGACAGGGTCTCATCATGTTGCCCAGGCTCGTCTTAAACTCCTGGCCTCAAGTAACCCTCCCACCTTGGCCTCGCAAAGTGCTAAGATTATAGCTGTAAGCCACCATGCCCAGCCTTAGTTATGCTTCTCTGGAGAACACTAATACAGTAGGCTTTAATCCTTAGAAGGGCTGGTCTATTTTGGCTCACTCTTTCTTTTAGGGTATAACCCTTCAGGGTTTCATTTGAAATGTCTTACCTCCTTGGTGGGCCTAACTCCGATTTTTAGGCTCCCAGTCAACTTGAAGTCAGTAAGTCAACTGAAAGATTGTTCAGCTCCTCAGCTATTGTTTTCAAATTGGCAAATACTTTAAGGGAGGAAGTTATGTTATAGTCCCCTTTCTGGGATTTCCTTTATTTTGGGTCTTTTGTTCTATAAATCCTAACTATTTTGATAGTTCTCCAATGCCTTCAAACAGGTTAAAAATATTTAGTCTAGCTTTTATAGCTGTTCTCAGTAGAACAAAACCAGCCAACCCACTTATTTCATCACTGAGTTTTAATTTTAATGAATATTTAAATATTTTCCAGAAGTTTTTCTTTTTTCTTTCTTTTTTAGACAGAATTTTGCTCTGTTCCCCAGGCTGGAATGCACTGGTGCAATCACAGTTTACTGCACCCCTGACCTCCTGAGCTCAAGCAATCCTCCCATCTCAGCGTCCTGAGTAGCCAGAACTATAGGCACACCACTACACCTAGCTTTTTCTTTTGCCAGGTTTAAAATTGTTTCCTTAAAAAAAAATTGCCCAATCTTTTTCATAGTGTCTTGTCCACTTTGTATAGTTTCTACAGTAAAAAAAAAAAAAACCTCTCTGTTTTTTTAATTTTTTTATTTTTTGAGACACCGTCTCACTCTGTCACCCAGGTTGGAGTGCAGGGGCTTGATCTCGGCTCACTGCAACCTCTGCCTCCTGGGTTCAAGTGATTCTCCTGCCTCAACCTCCCAAGTAGCTGGGACTACAGGTGCCCGCCCCCATGCCCGGCTAATTTTTGTATGTTTTTTTTTTTTTTTTTTTTTTTTTTTTGAGACGGAGTCTCGCTCTGTCACCTAGGCTGGAGTGCAGTGGGGCAATCTCGGCTCACTGCAACCTCCGCCTCCTGGGTTCATGCCATTCTCCTGCCTCAGCCTCCCGAGTAGCTGGGACTACAGGCGCCCGCCATCACGCCCGGCTAATTTTTTGTATTTTTAGTAGAGACGGAGTTTCACCGTGTTAGCCAGGGTGGTCTCGATCTCCTGACCTCGTTATCCGCCCACCTCGACCTCCCAGAGTGCTGGGATTACAGATGTGAGCCACCGCTCCTGGCCTAATTTTTGTATTTTTAGTAAAGATGGGTTTCACCATGTTGGTCAGGCCAGTCTTGAACTCCTGACCTCAAGTGATCCACCCGCCTCAGTCTCCCAAAGTGCTGGGATTCAGGCATGAGCCACTGTGCCCGGCAAGAAAAAATCTCCTTAAACATTTTTTTTTTTTATTTTTTTGAGACAGAGTTTTGCTCTGTTCCCCAGGCTGGAGTGCAGTGGTGCAATCTTGGCTCACTGCAACTTCTGCCTCCTGGGTTCAAGCAATTCTTGTGCCTCAACCTCCCAAGTAGCTGGGATTACAGGTGCCCGCCACCATGCCCAGCTAATTTTTGTATTTTTAGTAGATATGGGTGTCACCATGTTGGTCAGGCCAGTCTCGAACTCCTGACCTCAAGTGATCCACCCGCCTTGGCCTCCTGAAATGCTGGGATTCAGGTGTGAGCCACTGTGCCCGGTCACATTCTTGTACATATGTTCTTGTGGGCTAATTCTTTTAGTTCTTATAAGGTGGAGTCCTATAAGTTGGACTGTTGTGTGAAATGTACGTGCATTTTGTAAGTCAAGAGCTATTGCCAGATAACTTTTTTAAAATGCTGTAGAATGTGAAACTTTTCTTAGCCATGTATGAGAATGCCCGTTTTCCTGAGTCCTTGCCAGTGCCATGGGAGCTGTTGTAGCCTTCTCTCAGCTTGGCATGAGAAAGAGCCTGCAGCACTTTAACCTGGGTAAGCTTCCAAGTGGTCCGTAGGTAGTGGAGGTGGAGGAGGTAGAGAGAGGATACCTCAAGAGGGATATGTTGGACTGCTTCTAATTGGGCAAGTGGTTCTCTGTATAATTAATTTTTGAAAAGGGAAAGAGAAAATTTATAGTTTGTGAAGCAGGTGTCATCAGTTGTGGAAGATCTACTTCATACTAAAGTTTGGATCTATTCATCTTTTAAAGCGTATGCTTTTAAGTCATGCACCAGGTGTCAATTGGTTCATAAAGATAATTCCAAGGCCCCCATTAAGGTGATTCTAGTAACTGTTCAATTGTTCTGGCATTGTTGGAGCTTTAATTCAGTTAATTCAGTTTTGGCCTTACTCTTTGAATCCACCTCTCAATTCTTATTCTCAAAGGGATTGACTTTGGTAACTATTCTTGCTGGCTTAGGCTCAAGACTTTCCCCTTTCAGAAAGTTGATCTTGTCCTTCTCTCCCAGTTTTTTACTCTATTGGGCTGTGACCCTTGATTACACTATGTTGGCCACCCCTAAGTTCTATTCCTGGCCCACTTGCAATAACTTCTATTCCTGGCCCACTTGTGATGAGCTGGGGTTGGTGGAGAATAGCCATCTAGATGATGCAGGGCAGGTGAGCTCTAAAATTGGGGCTTAGCCTACCCCTTACCTGTTGAAACCTGTGTTTCATGTGCTATCATGGAAGATAGCACAGGAAGTTAAGGAGAAGATACATTATAAAGATGAGTGTTATCTTGAGAATATTCATATGTGAAATTAACATTGATGTTTTTGAATGAATGGTAAGGGAATGGAGAGAACTGGCTGATGACCAGTAACATAATGAAGCTGTGAGTTTCAAGCAGAGAGTGTTTAGCAGAAAAAAAAGTTATATTGGGCAACATTTTGCAGCTTATTTTGATAGTTTTTAAATTAGAGGAAATGCAGTAGATGTTATATGCGTAAATGTTAGCAACACATTTCAAACAGTGTTTGGAAATTTTACTAGTGAAATTTAAGATGGCTTGGAATTAGAAACAGTCACATGGTTTGCAATCTGCTTAAAAGACTGCAAATTGCAAATGGTATTGTTTAGTAGTTGGCTGAGAACCTTAACAGAGGTTGTAGAGTCTGAAAATTATCGCTGGCATCTCTAATTCTTAAGAAAAATGTCTTGGAATTTCAGGAGTTTCTAAGCAGTATATTTGTAAGAAAACAAAATAATTTCTGTCCTCTGGGGAATCTCAAAGTGCTGAGAGCTGACCTGTTAACAAAGTGGTAGGAGTGGACAGTGCTTTATGAAGACGGACATTTTATGTTCAGCTGTGGCAACCAGCCTGGCCCTAAGAGATGCTCTGTAGCAATTAATTCTCTTTGTGGTGGCTGATGGCTTCATACTCTGTGTGTTGTAGGGATTTAGAAAGGTTTTCCTATAAAATAGAGTTGTCTGTATTCCAAATCATTGTGGGTTACTTTATGTAAATTATTCCATTTATTTTCTTGAATAACTTTTGGTATTGTTTGCATGTTGTATTGATGTTATTTTCCATGATTAAAAACAACTCAATTTCAGGCCAGGTGCAATGGCTCACACCTGTAATCCCAGCACTTTGGGAAGCTGAAGTGGGTGGATCACTTGAGGCCAGGAGTTTGAGACCAGCCTGAGCAACATGGTGAAACCCTGTTTCTGCAAAAAATACAAACAGCTGCGAGTAGTGACTACGCACCTGAAGTACCAGCTATTTGCAGGGCTAAGACAGGAGAATTGCTTGAGCCCAGGAATTTGAGGCTGCAGTGAGCCATGATCATGCCACCTAACTCCAGCCTGGGTGACAGACTCTGTCTCAAACCAAAAACAAACAAAAAAATTCTGAACCATTGATCAGAATTTGTCTGTTTTATTGTATTCCAGGGAAATTGTTTCCCACTTATTTTCTGCCTGTTTCCCCTGCTCCATCATTGATTTTTATCTATTCTTAGAGCAATCTTAAAGGATATATTGACCAAAAAAAATTCATAATCCCATCACTCTACCTCAGAAACATTCAGGGAGCTACTTTTTCTTTGAGTTATATTTGTTAACTTTGTTCGTGTGTAATTAGAGTCTACAGTTTTGTTTCTTCCTTTTTTTATTCTACTTAAAATCGTCAAGAACATTTCCTCCTGTAGCTACAAAGTCTGTCATCGTCATCTTTATCATCACCACATGGTTTTAAGATTAAATGATAATCTGAAAAGATGAAAGAGCAAATTTACTTAACTACTTTGTGGAAACCATCCTAAAATGCAGTAGAAAAGTCCTCATCCTTTTTCCCAAAGGTACATAGGTCTGTTGGTTTCTATTCAGAAGAGCGAGGCTACTTTCAGGAAGTGAGTTGGAGAAATACCAGGCACTCAGTCAGTTTACTGTCCAGCTCAGAGACAAGTTAAAAAAAATTTTTATTCCAAAAACAAATAAACTATTGCAGAAAAATTGGAGAGAAAAATCAGTTTTAATTTCACCATTGATACTACCATTGTATTATATCTCTTCACTTTTTTGTTTTATTAGTACACTCTCCTTCCCCAATTTGGTTTCTTTTCATTCCCTGTCTTTTGTTTTTTAAAAAAGTGGAATACATGAAAACATTCTTACTGTAAAATATTAAAATAATTATTAAGTGGATAGAAAACAATAAAGTTTGCCTTCTTTCTAGCACACTCATCTCCCTGCTCTAGGGATAAGTTACTGCTGTTTGGTGAGCATAATTCCTATTTTATTTCCATGTGGTTTCATATGTACTAGTATATTCGTAGGACAATTATATATTGTCCTATGAATAGTATCATTTGTATATTATTGTGTATCTTGCTCTTCCAGTTTGCTGTATATCCTAGAGCTAGTTTCCTTTCTATAGAAGGAATTATGTCAGAATTTAAGATTATTTCCTCTATTGATGGACATTTAAGTTTCTTTCTTTTTTTTTCCTGTAACAGACAATGCTGCGATGAATACACCTGTGCATTCTTTTTTAGAACAAGTGTAAGAATTCCTATGTGGTAAGTCTGTTTAAAGAGAATTTCAGATTCACGTGTAGATGTGTTAAGTTTGAGCGATGTTGCCAAACTCTCTTGAACTTATACCCTCTGTAATAATATATTGGGATATTTGTTTCCTTTTGTTCTTGTCAGTTTTCATACTATAAAACTTAAACATGTTTGACAATCTGACTGGAAATGGCTTTGTACTGTTTTAATTTACTTTTCTTTGCATTATGGTAGATATCTCTAACTGTCCTCTAGTATCGACCTTCTTCCTTTTAGTGGTTAAAGACTACATTTCCCAGCTGCCTTTGCAGCTGGCTGTGGTCATGTGACTTAGTTCAGGCCAATGGGATGAAAGCTTGCCTTGGTCTTCCCCTTTTCCTCTTTCCAGCAGCTGGAAAAGTGCTGACCAGAGCATTGTTGAAGGCCGTATAGTAAGAATGGCAAAGCTTCCCTACCAGCCCAACTGACTGTTTTGTGGTGCAGAGGCCATCTATTATGTGAGAGAGAGCAATAAATATATATATATATATTTTTCTAAGAGACTGGAGTCTCACTATGTTGCCCAGGCTGGCCTTGAACTCCTGGCCTAAAGCAATCCTCCCACCTCAGTCTTCCAAGTAGCTGGGACTACAAGTGTGTGCCACCATGCCCAGCTCTATAAACGTCTATTTTTATTGAGTCCCTATGTGAGATCATTTTCTTGTAGCAGCTTACATTCTGTACTAAATTATACATGCAATTTTTCAAATGTATTGGACATTTACACTTTTTCTTCCATGATTTGCTTGTTCAAACCATTTGCTTGTTTTCCAGTTAGGTTTTGCTTTTTACATATTTTAATGGGTATTCTTCGAATATTTTGGAAATTTCTCCTTTGTTAAAATGTTATACCTCCCTCTCCCTCTCCCTCTCCCTCTCCCTCTCCCTCTCCCTCTCCGTCTCCCTCCACGGTCTCCTCTGATGCCGAGCCAAGGCTGGACGGTACTGCTGCCATCTCGGCTCACTGCAACCTCCCTGCCTGATTCTCCTGCCTCAGCCTGCCGAGTGCCTGCGATTGCAGGCGCGCACCGCCACGCCTGACTGGTTTTCGTTTTTTTTTGGTGGAGACGGGGTTTCGCTGTGTTGGCCGGGCTGGTCTCCAGCTCCTAGCCGCGAGTGATCCGCCAGCCTCGGCCTCCCGAGGTGCCGGGATTGCAGATGGAGTCTCGTTCACTCAGTGCTCAATGGTGCCCAGGCTGGAGTGCAGTGGCGTGATCTCGGCTCGCTGCAACCACCTCCCAGCCGCCTGCCTTGGCCTCCCGGAGAGCCGAGATTGCAGCCTCTGCCCGGCCGCCACCCCGTCTGGGAAGTGAGGAGCGTCTCTGCTTGGCCACCCATCGTCTGGGATGTGAGGAGCCCCTCTGCCTGGCTGCCCAGTCTGGAAAGTGAGGAGCGTCTCTGCCCGGCCGCCATCCCATCTGGGAAGCGAGGAGCGCCTCTTCCCCGCCGCCATCCCATCTAGGAAGTGAGGAGCGTCTCTGCCCGGCCGCCCATCGTCTGAGATGTGGGGAGCACCTCTGCCCCGCCGCCCTGTCTGGGATGTGAGGAGCGCCTCTGCTGGGCCGCAGCCCTGTCTGGGAGGTGGGGAGCGTCTCTGCCCGGCCGCTCCGTCTGAGAAGTGAGGAAACCCTCTGCCTGGCAACCGCCCCGTCTGAGAAGTGAGGAGCCCCTCCGTCCGGCAACCACCCCGTCTGGGAAGTGAGGAGCGTCTCCGCCCAGCAGCCACCCCGTCCGGGAGGGAGGTGGGGGGGGTCAGCCCCCCGCCCGGCCAGCCGCCCCGTCTGGGAGGGAGGTGGGGGGATCAGCCCCCCGCCTGGCCAGCCGCCCCATCCGGGAGGTGAGGGGCGCCTCTGCCTGGCTGCCCCTACTGGGAAGTGAGGAGCCCCTCTGCCCGGCCAGCCGCCCCGCCCGGGAGGGAGGTGGGGGGGACAGCCCCCCGCCCAGCCAGCCGCCCTATCCAGGAGGTGAGGGGCGCTCTGCCCGGCCGTCCCTACTGGGAAGTGAGGAGCCCCTCTGCCTGGCCAGCCGCCCCGTCCGGGAGGGTGGTGGGGGGGTCAGCCCCCCGCCCGGCCAGCCGCCCCATCCGGGAGGTGAGGGGCGCTTCTGCCCGGCCGCCCCTACTGGGAAGTGAGGAGCCCCTCTGCCCGGCCACGACCCCGTCTGGGAGGTGTGCCCAGCGGCTCATTGGGGATGGGCCATGATGACAATGGCGGTTTTGTGGAATAGAAAGGCGGGAAGGGTGGGGAAAAAATTGAGAAATCGGATGGTTGCCGGGTCTGTGTGGATAGAAGTAGACATGGGAGACTTTTCATTTTGTTCTGTACTAAGAAAAATTCTTCTGCCTTGGGATCCTGTTGATCTGTGACCTTATCCCCAACCCTGTGCTCTCTGAAACATGTGCTGTGTCCACTCAGGTTTAAATGGATTAAGGGCGGTGCAAGATGTGCTTTGTTAAACAGATGCTTGAAGGCAGCATGCTCGTTAAGAGTCATCACCACTCCCTAATCTTAAGTACCCAGGGACACAAACACTGCGGAAGGCCAAGGCCGCAGGGTCCTCTGCCTAGGAAAACCAGAGACCTTTGTTCACTTGTTTATCTGCTGACCTTCCCTCCACTATTGTCCTATGACCCTGCCAAATCCCCCTCTGCGAGAAACACCCAAGAATGATCAATAAAAAAAAATAAATAAATTAAAAAAAACAAACAAACAAACAAAAAAAGTTATACTTTTTTTTTTCTGTTTGTCTTCAACTTTATGGTGTCTTTCCAGAGAGAACAGTTAAAATTTTTTTTTAAAAATAAGCATGTGTTAAATCTTATAGTTGATTAATTTTTTAAATGAAGGAAATGGTAAGATATTATAAGCAGTTGAAAGGATAATCCAACAGACATATTTATATATCAGAAATATTGAAATGAAAGTGCAAATGGAAAAATAACTGGCTTCCTGCACAATGGAAGAGGAAAATCAATGGAACTTTCACTGAATATAATTAATTTTCATGTTTATACAAGAATTATTTTGCATTAATATCAGTTATCTACAACTTACAGAGTTGTAAAGTAGCTCAAAGGCAATGATAGAGTTAGATTTAGATTACCTGTAAGAGTGTGCACTAAAAATGCATAGCTTTTTATTAGAGACAACAAGTCCTCTTTTCTGCCTATTCCAAAGTTCCTTACATTGTCACATTCTGGTTGATAGGTTACCTCCATCTCTGATTAGTTACTGTATATTCGTGAATCTTTTCCTCATGAGCTACAGATTGAGCATCTCTATCTTGTACTATTTTTGCCTCCCCATTTTTCCAAATATAGTATTAGAAGAAAAACTGGTGCTTCTTAACTATAATACTTAGTGTAATTAACTTACCGAACCTGCAAGTTATTGGTCAACCACAATGACTGTTTGATTTTCATGACATGTTCCAACAACATGAATGTATGTTTTACTATGCATTTTTTACTATGCATTCATAGTTTAAAAATGCCCTTGGAGGTCTGTGGAAAGTGAAATTTTAAATTTTAATGAAGCCAACTCTCTAAATCTTATGACATCTACATTTTATATGTTCTTAGAAAAAACTATTCTACTCTAGAATTATAATCTTTTTCTTTCCCCTAGTAGATTTTTTTTTCAAAAAATTGTCTTAATCCCTTTGGAGTTCATTTTGGAAAAGATGAAATAAGGGCTAATTTTATTTTACTTTTACAAATGGATATTTAGTGTAGCACTAGATACTGAATAGTTCATCCTTCACTGATTCGAAATGCCAACATTTTGTATAGTAAGCACTCACATTTACACATGGATCTGTTTCTGGATATCTCTTCTAGTCCATTACTTATTTATCTTAGGTTGAGCCATCAATAGTCTGTTACTTAGATATTGTTACTTATGAAAAATTTCAAGCATACATAAAATAGAGAAAATAGTATCATAAATACAACATATCACTATCGCAGTTTCAGCAATTATCAATATTTCCTTACAAATGCTTACTCTATCCCTTTTCTCTCTCTCTAGTTGCTGCACTGTTTTAAAGCACATCTCAGACATCATACCATTTGACCCCTGAATACTTCCATATACAGCTCTGAAATAAAAAATTACGGCATTTTCCTATATAACTGTAATACCATTATCACCTCTGAAAAATTAAGAGCAACTCCTTAATGTTATTGAAGTTCCTACCTACGTTCAGTTTTCTCTGGTATAACACACTATTTTAAATATCTCTGTATCAACATATGATGCTTTTATACCTTGCAGGGCAAGTCTCCCTTGCATTATTCTTTTAAAAACATTTCATTGCTCTTCTCACATATTATTTTCTGTGCCAGAAAATTATTTCCAATCACTCTGTCAAATTTCATAACAAGTTCTGTAGAAATTTTGCTTTGAATTACATTTAATTTATAACTTAATTTGTGGGAGCTTTACAGTATTGACAGCTTTACAGTATTGATTCAATTCATTCAGAAATGTAATGTCTCTCTATTTATTTAAGTCTTCTTTCATGGCTTCAGTAAGGAGTTAGAGTTCTTTTTCATAGGCAGGTTACATTTACTTCTGTTTGCCTCCTCTGTGTTCTTCCATTTCTCTTGCTTTCTTTTGGATTGTATTAAAACTGTTTGGACTTCTATTTTAATTTATCTATTAACTTTCTAGCTATTCCTCTTTATATTACTTTTTATATTACTCTTTGTGTTACTTTTTAAATAGTTCCTCTAGGGCTTACAACATATTTCTTCAAATCTTCACAGTTGGAGTATTGTTCTACTACAACTAATGGAAGTTAGTATTGTACTACTTTATGTGAACCCTAAAATCTTGCAACTGTATAGATCCAATCATGCCTTCTCATCCATTATGCTATGTAGTTGTCATATGTGTTGCCTTTACATATGTTATGGATCACATGTCATGATTTTTAAAACCATTTTTTGTAGTTGAAAAAAAAGAGAAAAATATTATGTTATATTTACCTAGATATTTGCCATTTCCAATGCTTGTCACAATTCCTGAAAATCTAAATTTCCATTTCATCTGGAATCATTTTTTTCCTTTAGCATTTCTTATAATGTGATTCTGTTGGTTCTTAGTTTCTTTCTTTCTTTTGTTCTTTTTCTTTTATTTTCTTTTTTTTTTGAGAAAGGGTTTTGCTCTGTTGGCCAGGCTGGAGTGCAGTGATGCAATCATGGCTCACTGGAGGCTTGAACTTCTGGGCTCAGGCAATCCTCCCACCTCAGCCTGCTGAGTAGCTGGGGCCACAGGTGTGTGCCACCATGCCCACCTTTTTTTTAAAAATTTTTTTGCAGAGACAGGGTCTCCCTGTGTTGCCTAGGTTGGTCTTGAACTTCTGGGCTCAAGCCACCCTTTTGCCTGGGCATCCCAAAGTGCTGGGATTACAGGTGTGAGCTACCGTGTCCGACTCTTATCTGAAAATATCTGTTTTTCGCTTTCATTCTTGACATGATGAATATTATAGAATTCTTTGTTGATAGGTTTTTCTGAAACATTTTAAAGATATTGTTGCATTGTCTTTTGGCCTTCATGATTTATGATGTCAGCAGTCATTCAAATAATTGTTCAATGTTTATATGTGTCACTTGTATCTGGTCACTTTAAAAATTTTATCTTTTTTTTGTTTGCAGAAGGTTGATTATGATCTTCCTAGGTGTGGATTTTTTATTCTTTTGGGGATGCATTGAGCTTCTCGAATATATAAATTTACTTCTTTTATCATATTAAGAAAATTTTGGTCATAATTTCTTAAAATATTTTTTCTGCTCCATTCTCTCTCCTTCTTTTGTGCAACTCCAATTACATGGATGTTAAACCTTTTGATATAGTCCCACATATCACTAAGTCTCTGTTCATTAAAAAATGTTTTTCTCTGTGCTCTTCAGATTGTATAATTCTATTGATCTATTTTTACGCTCATTGCTGCTTTTGTCCATCTTCCTCAATTTGCTGTAATTGTTTTCCAGATATTGTATTGTTCAGTTTTAGTATTTCCATTTGGGTTTTTTTTTCTGTAGTTTTTATTTATCTGCTGAGATTTTCTATTTATCATTTATTGTGAGCACATTTTCCTTTATACCCTTAAGCATAGTTATACTAGCTGTTTTAAAATCCTTCTTGCTAATTTAAACATCTGGGTCATCTTGGGGTTGTTTTGTATTTATCAACATTTTTCATGAGAGTGAGCCACATTTTCTGTTTATTTGGGTATCAAGTAATTTTTTATTGTCTATTGGGCATTATAAATGCTATGCTATGGAGATCTAGATTTTGTTACAGTCCTATGAAGAACCTTGATGTTGTTGTTTTAGCATGCAATGTATTTGGTTTGACTCAAATTATAAACATCGTGTCCTTGTGTCTTTGGTGACAGATTAAATTTCAGTTTAGTTCTTTTAGCCTTAGCTGGCTGCTGAAGTCTGTCCACATATGTGTGGTCCAGGGGTCAGGCAGGGATTTAAGTAGAGTTTATATACGAAAGTTAGTCACTACCTCTGTGACTCTCTCTTTTCTGGTATTACTGCCTCATTGTATAGTGGCTATATTTGTCCTGAACTCTGTCTTCTAGGTTTTCAAGTCAGAAAGACTGCAATTTTGATGTTTTAGTCACCCTATATGGCATAGACTGAAGCCTGCTGTCAGGCTTGAAGCCATGAAAATGTGAAACTCACCCAGTGTCATTCCTATATTTTAACTGTCAACTCCGCTCCAAAATCTACCTGCTTTTGGTCTTTTCCCAGTGCCCTCAAGTATTTGTTTTTTTTTCATATTTTTTCCAAAGGTTATTGTTTTACCTGTGGAAGGGTTGGTTCATTTAGAGCTTCCTTGGTCATTATCAGAAGCTGGAATTCCATATTTCTTGTTTGGTTAATTGCTAGGCTGCCCTTCCTTCCCTTCCTTCCCTTCCTTCCCTTCCTTTCCTTCCCTTCCTTCCCTTCCTTCACTTCCTTCCCTTCCTTCCATTTCCTTCCTTCCCTTCCTTCCTTTCTTTTAGGTTTGATAACCTTCTGAAGGGAATTTCCCCCCATACAATATTTTCCCACTGGTTTTTACTGATATAGAAAAAATATTAAATTTTGTTCATAATATTGTATCTGGCTACTGTGCTAAACCCTTTTATTAATTTTAATGATTCATTAATCTGTGCTCTTGGGATTTTTCTAGAAAAGTGTCATAATATTTACAACTGAAGATGTTTGTCTTGTTCTTTCCACTATTTATACTTTTAATTTTTTAATTTGTTATTCCATTGACTAGGACTTCTAATACAATGTTACCTCTAATACTTCACCATTAAGAAGGATGTTTGTGTAAAATTCTTGTAGATATTCATTCTTGAATGAAGCTTTCATTTTTAAATTCATAATTAGTTAAGATTATATTAGTTTTGATTTATGGGTATTGAAAAGTATCAAATACTTTTCCTTCATCTATTACAATTTTCATTTTTTCCTCATTAATCTATTAATATAGTCCTTGCATTCCTGGCATAAACCTCACTTGATTCTCATGGATTAATCATGAAATGCATTGTTGAATTTCATTTCACAACATATTATTAGGGATTTTTGTTTCTATATTCCTGAACAGAGTGGACCTACAGCCTAATTTGGGGGCTGTTCTTGTCTAGTCAAGTACAGGGTTATGTTAACTTCATAGTTTAAGTTCAAAAAATTTTCATCTATTTTTATATACTTTTATAGTTGATGTACCATGGCAATTATCTGTTTCTTAAAAATTTGGTAGAACTTGCCTGTAAAACCATTTGAGCCTGGAGTTATTTCTATTAATAAATCTCTGATGCTTCTTACAGTTGTTTATTCAGGTTATCTACCCCTTAATTGTGCTAATTCTAGTATACTTTATTTTCCTTGAAAATCGTCAATTTCACCATCATCAAATTTATTGGTATAAAATTATATATAATAATATCTCGGCCAGGTGCAATGGCTCATGCCTGTAATCCTAGCACTTTGGGAGGCTGAGGCGGGTGGATCACCTGAGGGTCAGGAGTTCCAGACCAGCCTGGCCAACATGGCAAAACCCCGTCTCTACTATACAAAAATTAGCCGGGCGTAGTGGTGGGTGCCTGTAATCCCAGCTACTTGGAAGGCTGAGGCAAGAGAATTGCTTGAACCCGGCGGGGTGGAGGTTGCAGTGAGCCGAGATTGTGCTACTTCACTCTAGCCTGGGCAAAAGAGTGAGACTCCATCTAAAAAAAAATTATATATAATAATATCTCATAAATTAAAAATTCTCCCCCAAATTTGTAATATACTTTCTCATTTCTAATATTCTTTATTTTTGTTTTGTTTTCCTTTTTTTCTAATTATATAAACTTATCAGAATTTTGTCTATTTTATTAGTCATTACAAAGAACCAGATTTGGATATTACTAAATAACTACTCTTTTTCTTTCATTTGTTTATTATTAAATTAATTTCTGTTTTTATCTTTAATAATTCTTTTCTTCTATTTTCATTGAATATTTTGGTTATTCTTTTTTATAGCTTTTGGGTTATTTTTATCCTTTTTTTATTAATAAATTAATGTTTTAAATTTTCCTGCACTATTTTGTTTTCATGTATAAATTTTGTGTGTTCTTAGTGTCACATATTTTAAAGTAATTTATAATTTGTTTTGATTGCTTCTTTATCTAGTTACTAAAAATACTGCTTAAAAATGTACACATGAATAAAAATACATGTATTCTTTAAATATCCTTGTTATTCATTTCTAAATCGATTGCATTTTGGACACAGGAATGAAACCTTCATGATTTCTGCTTTTTATAATAGATTGAATAAGGTTTTAAAAGAAAGTAATCTTCTGTTTTGGCAGTGTGATGCCTATAACTAATCAATAAAACTTATTTACTAATTATAATCTATATTGTTATCTCTTTTTGTTTACTTAGTCTGAGAGAAGTAGATGAAAACTATCCTATTATGGCACAGTGTGGTAACTCACACCTGTAATCTCAGCACTTTGGGAGGCTAAGGCAGGAGAATTGCTTGAGCTTAGGGGTTCAAGACCAGCCCGGGCAACATAGTGAGATCTGTCTCTGCAAAAATTTAAACAAAATTAGCCAGGCGTGGTTGGCTCACACCTGTGGTCCTAGCTGCTCTGGAGGCTGAGGTGGGAGAATTACCTGAGCTAGGGAGGTTGAGGCTGCAGTTACAGCCTGGGTGATTTAGCAAGATCCTGTCTCAAAAAAAAAAAAAATCGATGTTGTAGCATGGATCAGGACTTCATTCCTTTTTTTTGGGTGAATAATATTCTACTGTGTGGGTATACTGTATTTTGTTTATCCATTCATTAGTTGATAGGCATCTGGGTTGTTTATACTTTTTTTTTTTTAGAGACAGAGACTTGCTCTGTTGCCCAGGCTGGCATGTACTGGCACAATCTCGGCTTGCTGCAACCTCCACCTCCTGGGTTCAAGCGATACTCCGCCTCAGCCTCCAGAGTACCTGGGACTACAGACACCCACCACCACACCTGGCTAATTTTTTTTGTATTTTTTAGTGGAGACGGGGTTTCACCATGTTGGCCAGGCTGGTCTCAAACTCCTGACCCCAGGTGATCCGCCTACCTCGGCCCCCCAAAGTGCTGGGATTACAGATGTGAGCCATGGTGCATGGCCTGTTTATAATTTTTAACTACTAAGTAATGCTGCTGTGAACATTAGTGTACAAGTTTTTGTGTGAACATGTTTTCATTTCCATTTCACATATACCCAGGGGTGGAATTTCTGGGCCATCTGATAACTCTATGCGTAACTTTTTTTTTTTTTTTTTTTTGAGATAAGGTCTCACTTTGTCACCTAGGCTGGAGTGCAGTGGCATAAACATGACTCATTGTAGCCTCAGCCTCCTGTGCTCAAGTGCTTCTCCCACCTCAGCCTCCTGAGTAGCTGGGACTACAGGCATGCACAACCATGCTCAGCTAATTTTTAAAAACTTTTCTGTAGAGATGTAGTCTCACCATGCTGCCCAGGCTGGTCTTGGACTCCTGGGCTCAAATGATCCTCCTGCCTTGGCCTCCCAAAGTGTATGCTTAACTTTGAGGAACTGCTAAACTGTTTTTTAAAGTGGCTGCACCAATTCACATTCTCATTAGCAGTTTATTAGGGTTCCAGATGTTTTCATATCCTTGATTTTCATTTTTTTGTTCTGTCTTGTTTTTCCAGGTTTTTTATTATAGCCATCCTAGTGGGTGTGGAGTGGTGTCTCACTGTGGTTTTGATTTGCATTTTCATAATGATTAATGATGTTGAACATCTTTTAATGTGCTTATTGACCATTTGTATATCATCATTGGAGAAATTCTATTAAAATTCTTTACCAATTTTTCAATTCAGTTATTTGTTTTTTAGAAGAGTTCTTTAGTTCTTTTTTTCAAATATTGTTTTAGCTATTCTGTGTCCCTTGCATTTCCATATGCATTTTAGTGTCAGCCTGTCAATTTCTACAATTTCTATAGCTAGGATTTTGACAAGAATTGCACTGAATATACAAATCAAGTTAGGGAATATTGCCATCATAACCAGATTAGTCTTCTGTGAACACAAACTGTCTTTCCATTTATTTAGGTCTTCTTTAATTTTTTTCAGTAATGTTTTGCTGTTTTCAGTGTATGAGTCTTGCTCTTTTTGTTTAATTTATTTCTAAGATTGTATTCTTTTTTTTTTTTTTTTTTGAGACGTAGTCTTGCTCTGTTGCCAGGCTGGAGTACAATGGCGTGACCTCGGCTCACTGCAACCTCCGCCTCCTGGGTTCAAGTGATTCTCCTGCCTCAGCCTCCCGAGTAGCTGGGATTACAGACCTGTGCCACCACACCCAGCTAATTTTGTATTTTTAGTAGAGACGGGGTTTCACCATGTTGGTCAGGCTGGTCTTGAACTCCCGACCTCAGGAAATCCGCCCACCTCAGCCTCCCAAAGTGCTGGGATTACAGGCATGAGCCACCGCACCTGGCCGATTGTATTATTTTTAAAGCTATTGTAAATGTAATTGATTTTCATATGTTAAGCCAATCTTACGTTTCTATGATAAATCTCATTTGGTCATATTGTATAATTCTTTTTATATGTTGCTGGATTCACTTTGCTAGAATCATATTGAGGAGTTTTGCGTCTATATTCATAAGGAATTTTGATCTACAGTTTTATTTTTCAGTAATATCTTTGGTTTTGATACTAGGATAATACTAACCTCATAGAATAAGCTAAGAAGGGTTTCTTCTTTCTTCTTTTCCTTCCCACCCTCTCTCTCTCTTTTCTTTTCTTCTTTTATTCTTTCTTCTTTTTTCTTTCTTTCTTCTTTCTTTCTCCTTCCTTCCTTCTTTCCTGCTCTCCTTCTCTCCTCCTCCTCCCCCTCCATTTTTTTTTTTTTTTTGAGATGATGTCTTGCCATGTTGCATAGGCTGCTCTTGAGCTCCTGACCTCAAGCAATCCTCCTGCTTCAGCCTTCTAAAGCATTAGGATCACAGGTGTGAGCTATTGACTAAATTCAAGGTTATTATTGATTGGTAAGGACTTATTCCTGCCATTTTGTTAATTGTTTTCCAGTTGTTTTGTAGATCCTTCATTTTTCTTCCTTTCTTGTTGTTTACCTCTGTGCTTTGGTGTTTTTTTTCTGTGGTGTTGAGCTTTGTTTCCTCTTTCTTTCTCACTTTTGTATTTCTTTCTTTGTGGTTACCATGGGGTAGCATAAAGAGTCTTATAATAGGCTATTTTAAGCTGATAACGACCTAACTTTGGTTGCTTACAAATACTCTAGACATCCCTCCTTACCCTTACTTTTGTTGCCTTAATTTATATCTTTATCTATTGTGTGTTCTTTAGTCACTAATTGTAGTTGTTGTTCTTTTTGACCATTTTGGATTCAAACTTTCATACCAGAGAATTGAAAGATTTACATAGCACCATTATAGCATTAGGGCATTCTGAGTTTGATTATGAATTTACCTCTACTGGTGAATTTTATATTTTCATGTGTTTTCATAATTGTAATTATCATCCTTCGTTTCCAGTTGTAGCACTTTCTTAAGCATTTCTTTTAAGTTCAGTCTACTTGTTATGAATTCCCTCTGCTTTTGCTTGTCTGGGAAATACTTAATTTTTCCTTCATTTCAGAAGGATAGTTTTGCTGTATACAGTAATCTTGGTTGGTGGGCTTCTTTTTATTTTTCTTTTCTTTTTTTTCTTAGGGTCTCACTCTGTCACCAGGCTGGAGTGCAGTGGTGCAATCTTGGCTCACTGCAACCTCTGCCTCCTGGGTTCAAGTGGTTCTCCCACCTCAGCCCTAGTAGCTGGGACTACAGGTGTGCACCACCACACTTGGCTAATTTTTGTATTTTTTGTAGAGATGGTGGTTTTATCATGTTGCCCAAGCTAGTCTCAAATTCCTGGCCTCAGCCTGCCTCGGCCTTCCAAAGTGCTGGGATTATAGGTGTGAGCCACTGCGCCTGGCTGACAGTTTTTTTTTTTCTTTGAGCACTTTGAAACATTCTCTCCTGGCCTGCAATGTTTCTGCTGAGAAGTCTGCTGATAGTCTAATGAGATGCTTTTCTCTCATAGCTTTTAGAATTTCCTCTTTGTGACTTTTTTTTTTTTGAGTTTAGAAGCAGAGGTTTAATAGGCAGAAGAAAGAGAAAGGAGAACAGCTTTCTCTCTACTGAAACAGAGGGGCTTCCAAGAAGAAAAGGCCAGCCAGTGGCAGAATTCACTGGATTTTGTAGGCAGGCTTGAAGGGGCAGTGTCTGATTTATGTAGGGCCCATAGATTATTTCCCTGAACTGTAAAACTTCCTGCACATTGCATACACAAGGAGGATAGGAGACATGGTGGTTGCTTACAGGAAAGGAGGAAATTATGATAGGAAAGTTGGAGATCCTGTGGCTGACACAGCATTGGTTGGTCAGAGGCTGGGGTCAGTCCAGAAGTCTTTGGATAACACCAGCGGGTAGCCCCAGCCAGAAATCCTCAGTTGCTCCAGGACCTCTTCCAGCCCCATGTGATGGCTATGTCCTCCATGAAATGAAGCTGGTTCAAACATGGCCAATATGCCCAGCAATATGCCCCTTGTGGGTACTGGGGGATTCTCCATGTTCTCCCCAGCAAGCCTCACATCCAAGTCTTTAAGAATGGCAGCCATGCTAATTGTATTCTTAAATGGCTGAAGGATGCCCGTTGTTGATTTGATTTGGTTTAAAATGGAGGCCGAGAGCCCTAAAATGAAAGGACAGAGTTGGAGTTCTGTCCTCTTCTTACCGTTTTCATGAATGTTGCACCTTAGGATCCTGGATAATTCCCCCATTATGAAGCAGCTTTGTCATCTGGGGTAAATACCCAGGGTTCATCTTCTCATGCCAAGAAAATTTGGGACACAGACATACACGAGGAGTTTAGGAGCGGAGGTTTAATAGAAAGAAGAAAGAGAAAGGAGAACAACTCTCTCTCTAGTGAGAGAGAGGGACTTCTGAGAGGAAAAGGTCCCACTTTGTGACTTTTGACAGTTTGATTATAATGTGCCTTGGAGAAGATCTTTTTGGGCTGAATCTAACTGGTGTCTTTGAGTTTCCTGTCTGTGGATATCCATATCTCTTCCAAGACTTGGGAAGTTTTTAGCTATTATTTTGTTAAATAGGTTTTCTGTGCCTTAATCTTTTCTCCTTCTGACACCTCTATAATGTGAATATTTATATGCTTAATGGTGTCCTATAACTCCCATAGCGTTTCTTATTCTCTTTATTGTTCTTTTTTTCCCCTCTCTCTCACTGGGTTGTTTTAAGAGACCTGTTTTCAAGTTCAGAAATTCTTATTTTCTGCCTGATCTAGTCTGTTGTTGAAGCTCTCAATTGTATTTTTATTTCATTCATTGAGTTCTTCAGGTCCAAGATTTCTTTCTTTTTTTTTTTTTTTTAACGATAACTCTCCCTTTGTTGAATTTCTTATTCAGATCATGAATTGCTTTCCTGATTTTATTGAGTTGTCTGTATACTATTGTATCTCACTGATATTCCTTAAGATCATTATTTTGAATCCCTTTTTAGGTATTTTGTAAATATCCATTTCTTCAAGATCTATTACTGGAAACTTATATTGTTCTTTTGGGTTTTTTATGTTTCTTGTGTTCCTATGTTGATATCTGTGCATCTAGTGGAACAGTTGCTTTTTCCAATTCTCTAGACTTACTTTTACAGGGAGAGGCTTTCCTGTAGATGGGTTCTAGGGTGTTGATTGGGCATTGTGTTAGCTTTGGCTCTGGGTGGACTCAGTACTGTGGTCTCTGTGTGTTTTTTTTTTCAGCTGTAATCTCACCAGTAATGTCTCTGATTGCCTCAGTGGCCTAAACTGCAGAAGTTTGTGATGGCAGTGGCATGGTTTTGCTGGAGGGTGGGGAGTCTGGGCAGGTTTTAGGTCAGGCATGTTTGGGCATGGTGGGCCAGCAGACTATGTGGTGGGCTTTCTAGTGGGGGCTTTTCATGCTGCCAGCCTTGCTGTCAAGCTGGGCACTTACAGGTATAGCAGTCTAACCAGCTATGCAGTGGGCTCTCTGGGAAGGTAGGACCACTGCTATACTGGCTGTACAGCTGGGCATGAGTGCATGCTAGTGTGGCAGGCTGGTTGGTCTCTCTGTGAGGTTGGGCTGCTGCTTTGCTAGCTGTCAGGCTTCGCATGGGTGTGTGCAGGCACAGCAGGTTTGCCAGCTGTGCAGCACGACTCTGTGTAGGTGTGACAGGCTGGCTGCCTGATCAGTGGCATTCCTACTATACAGGTTCACCTGTTCCTGGGAATTGGGGTGGCAAGGAGTGCTCTGTGGGTTTGACCACCAGAGTCTCCATTATTCCATTGGTTCTAGGCTCCATGAAGCTGTGGTTATGGTGTCACAGTCACCTATGTGAACATGTTGGAATGATAACAGGGTCTTATGGATGGAGAAAGGCAGTGGCCACCAGCCCCTAGGGCAGGATGCACTCTAGCAGTGTGTCCAGCTTGAAGATGGCACCATGTCATAGCAGCTCAGGCTGTGGGGATAGGTAGTGCCCAACTTGGGCTCTTCCTCCAGGGCAGTGCAGCACAGAAACTTCCAGAACTCCCCAAACTGGATTCAGGGCCTGTGAGGACTGAGAGACTCTTTTCTAGCAAGAACTGCTGGTGTCTGTAGTGGCTATGAGGACCACTAGGGATCTCCAACTTACCTTCTCCCTGTAAGAAAAAGTACCCCCTGACTCCTAGCCAATCCTGGTGGGGAAGACAGTGCTACAGATGCAGGGTGTGCCACTCCTCTCTCTATGATGCTATCCTGGACTTCCATGCTCCATGGGGTTTTCCTATCCTTAGGTGCTGTCCAGCATACTTCCTTAGTCACTCCAGTTGTTTATTCATTGTTTTGGTCCCTTTTTGTCAGGGAGAAAAAGTCCCAGGCAACTCTAGCCAACCCTCTTGCTGACATCAGTGGTATAATGACCATATCTTCTTGATGGATTGACTCTTTTATTATTTTAAAATGTCCTTCTTTGCCCCTAGTAACAATTTTTGTCTTAAAGTTTGTTTTGTGTAATATGAGTATAGCCACTCCAGTTTTCTTTCGATTATCATTTGTTCTATTCGTGTCTCTGAATTCAAAATATGTCTCTCGTAAGTTACATATAGATAGATCATATTTTCATCCATTCTGATGATCTCTGTGTTTTGATTGGCATGTTTAATCCATTTGCATATAATATAATTGATAAAACACTATTTACATCTGCCTCTTTGCCATTACTTCTTTCTTTCTTTCTTTCTTTTTTTTTTTTTTGAGATGGAGTCTCACTCTGTCACCCAGGCTGGAGTGCAATGGCAAAATCTCGGCTCACTGTGACCTCCGCCTCCCAGGTTCAAGTAATTCTCCTGTGTCAGCCTCCCAAGTACCTGGGATTACAGGCACTTGCCATCATGCCTGGCTAATTTTTATATTTTTCAACAGGGTTTCACCCTGTTGGCCAGGCTGGTCTTGGCCATTATTTCTTTGTATATTCTTTCTGTCTGTTTCTCTTCCTTCTTCTCAGATTCCCAGTATGCGTGTGTTGATATGCTTGATGATTTCCCTTATGTCCCTGAGGCTTGTTTAGTTTTATTTATTGCCTTTTCTTTCTGTTCCTCAGACTGAATAACCTCAGTTGAACTGTCTTCAAGTTTGCTGATTCCGTCTTCTGTATGCTCATATGTGCTGTTTAACCTCTTTAGTGACATTTTCAATTCAGTTGTATTTTCTTTCTTTGTTTTTTGAGACGGAGTCTTGCTCTGTCATCCAGGTTGGAGTGCAGTGGTGTGATCTTGGCTCACTGCAACCTCTGCCTCCCAGGCTCAAGTTATTCTCCTGCCTCAGTCATCCAAGTAGCTGGAACTACAGGCACCTGCCACCACTGTCAGCTAATTTTTGTATTTTTAGTAGAGATGGGGTTTCACCATGTTGGCCAGGCTGGTCTTGAACTAGCCTCAAGTGATCTGCCCGCCTTGGCCTCCCAAAGTGCTGGTATTACAGGTGTGAGCCACCGCACCTGGTCCAGTTGTATTTTCTTAACCTTAGAATTTCTGGTTGTTCCATTTTATAATTTGTATCAATTTATTCATATTGTCTATACAGTGAGATATTATTCTCATATTTTCCTTTAGTTCTTTACCCATGGATTACTTTTTTTTTGAACATATCTAAAATAGTGATTTTAATGTCTTTGTCTAGTAAGTCCAACATCTGGCTTCCACAAAGGTAGTTTCTGTTACCTGCTTTTTTCTTGTATGTAGGCTTTCTTTCTTTTTGCATATTTTAAAATTTTAATTGAAACAGAACACCATATAATATTAGGTGTCATCTCTGGGAATCAGATTCTTTCTTCCCCCTCCCCACTCCATGATTTGCTGTCCTTGCTGTTTGTTGTTATTATTGTTTTCTTTTGATAGCAACTTTTTTGAGGTAATTCTATAATGTCTTTATTCATCATGTGTGCTCACTGATGTCTCTGCTCAGTTAACTTAGACATCAGCTAATGATTACACAGAGATTTCCTCAAATGACTAGAACAAATAAGTCTCCCAATCTGTGCTAAGTGGCTCTGTATGCATATTGAGGCATACCTTTAACACTCAGCCAGGGATGACAACTCTTGCTTAGTGTTCACTTACTGTTTGTGTAGGGCCTCAAGGTCAGCCAGAGGTGATAGCCTAGGGCTTTCTCAGATCTTTCCTGAGCATATCCACAGCCCTCTACATGCACATGTTTTTCTAGACTACTGTAAGTTGGAGTTTTAAAAAAATCCCCATGGATATCTCATTTCTCAGATTTACCCTTTAAACATTTTGGTTGGAATATTGTTTGTCCCAGCTGTTAGCCACCACACAGGCAGCCACAATGTTAAATAGTCACTGCTGTTTGTTTCTGACAAATTCTCCTGGAGAAGAGGCTGTTTACACTGGGCTAACCCTGATCTGGGTCAAATAAGATAAGTCTTGTGAATACGGTCTTCCAGGGAATGACCAGACAGGTTAAGTAATGATAATTCTCTGGAAGCATGGCCTTGAATGAGCTCCAAGCTGGTTCTGCCTCCCACATAACCACCTTCCTTCCTGCACCCCACTTCCTGCCTAACCCCAGGGCGTCTGGCTGCCAGGCTGCTGGTTTCATATTTTCAAGGCTACTGCTGAGCTGAGGAGGGTCATGGAAAAGGCAAGTTAAAACTCCACAAAACTCCCTGTTCTTACCAAGTTTCAGCCAGTTTTCTTGAATAAATGCTCCTGGATTGCTGTAAGCCTTTCATTAATTTTAGAGTTCTGAAAAAGTCGATTCTGACAATTTTTGCCATTGTTTTAGTTGATTTTATGGAGGAGAGAATGTTCAGAACTCCTTACTCCTCCATTTGTACTGATGTCACCCTGAATACCTTTAAAATTTAGCACATGGTATCTCCTCTGTATGACCACAATTAATCAGTATTTCTCTCTTCCTCTTATTCAGAATAATGGATAAACTAGATATGATTTACTTTCTCCTTCCCCAGGTCTCTGCTACTTTCCTTGCTGAAACTATTTGGGATTTTTGTTTCTTCTAGATTCTATCAATAAAACAACAATTATTTAGGCTTAGCTGCACGTTTTACCAATTTCTATGGATATAATAGTTTCTTGTATCCCATGTCTTTTTATTTGCTCAAGTACATTTTCTAGCATTAATTTCAGTGAGAGTTTATGGCCAAAGAAATATTCTAAGTCCTGCAGTCTGAACATGTTTTTATTTTGTCATAATACTTAAATAGTTGATTGCATATAGAATTTAGGTTCAAAATTATTTTGTCTTAGAATATTGAAATTATTTCTACAGTGTCTTCTTTTTAATATATTTTTGTAAATAATTTCAAACACAAGAAATAGCTATAGCAGTGTAAAGAACTCCTGTATATCCTTCATCCAGATTTGTCCCTCTTTGTCTTATTTCCCACATTTGTTTTCTTATTTTCTTTTTCAGTTTTTTCAACTTATCTTTTTATCTTTTTTCAATTAAATTTTTTTTTTCCTGAATGATTTGAGAGCAAGTTGTAGACATCTTTCTCCTTTACAGCTAGATACTTTGGTGTGTATTTTCTAAGGACAAGAATATTCACTTATATATTTCAGTATGTATTTTCTAAGGACAAGAATATTCACTTATATATTTCAGTGTGCATTTTCTAAGCACAAGAATATTCACTTATATAATGTCACACCATATTCAAACGTTGCCAATTGCTCTATAATGAACTTTTTGTCCATTTTTTTTCTGGCCCTGAATGTATTTTCCATGTCTCTTTAATCTTTACTCTTTGTTATTCTGGATCAGTTCCTCATTGTTCTTTGTCTTTCATGACACTGATATTTTTGAAAAGTACAGGCCAATGTTTTTGCTGAATCTCTCTCCATTACATTGTATTTTTATATCCATTGTTGCCAGTGAGAATGTGGAGGTAGAGGGGCTGAACAAGAATGTATTTAAGTCGGCATAACCCATCCTCACTCTTCAAAAGCCAGGGAGATAAACAATCTATTTGGGGAATATCCAGTACCTAAACTCCTGAAGACCTGTTCAAGCTCAGAATCCTTGGAGATGCCATTTAATAGCTTGTTTTTGGGAATTTACTACTTTCTCAAATGAGGCGTGAGTTAGGAAAGAGATCTCTATGTGATTGGAGTTATCCAAACCAATCTCTTTCCAATTCCCACATTAAAATCTTACTTCCGAGAGGGTACACTGCCGTTTTCCAATCACACATACAGGCTGTTAACAGCTACTATAGTCACAATATATTAAAGACACCAATGGCCACAATATGTCACCAGCTATCACTGTAAACCGTGATAGAATCAAAAAAGATTTAGAATTCAATGTCTTCACTTTTATGAAGAAGAGGCCGTGGGAGATGAAGGGCTGGTGAAGGCACATAACTTGTTAGTGCCACAGCCACATGACTTCTTCGGGTCACAGCCACATCTTGAATTAATATTCTGATTTATTATTTTAACTTGAAAAGATCCAGCAATGCTAAGGAAATCACTGTATCCTTAGCAATGGCAAGAGTATAATGACCACATTAATTAATACTGAAAAAGTGGGGAGGGAGACATAGTTCAAGTCTCCAGGACTAAGATACTATGATTCTGCCAGCCCAATTAAAAAGAGTGGGTGGATGATAAGCATGAAGTATCATTGGATGGGCCTCTGTGAGGTCAGGAGGGAGACTGCATGGGGGTGTATGAGGTCAGGAGGGAGACTGCAATTTATTATTCTAAGAGCATCTTAGCTGTTGGCACATTGAATTAAGAAGCCAGTGACAAAGATGTTCTTCCCAGTCAGCGGCCACAAATGTGAAGGTTTAGTGGTCTTTAATTCAGAGGAAAGACTCTAGCCATATAAACATAGAGATTTATTACTCACCCAGTGATGACTGCTATGAAATCCAGGGTCAACATCCTTCACTACATCTGCTTTTGATCAGCTCTGCAGAGTTAGTATTTATGTCAAGAGTTCTTAGCCCCAAGCTAAGTGGGGGTGGGGTATGAGGTGGAGACAGTGAATAGACAGAGGAAAACGGCTCAGAGAATTCAGAGGTCAGAAGCTTAACACTCAAATACAGGGCTCCATCAATATCTGCCCAGGGGTTTTTCTGATTACACATTTACCAGCCTAATATATGAGTTGAAAAGGATGATGTGTTTTAATGTCTGTGAAATAAGTCTAGGTATTAAATAAGGCAGAGCATTGCTTTACAATTGTAGGAAAAAAATTCTATGCTTTAATGGAAAATGATGCCACATCTGTAGCATATCCTTCTGGGGTATCAGGTTCTATACTATTCATTGTCTTTGAGCTATTTTGCAGCCCTTTCTAACTTGTAGGTAACCGATAGTTATATAAATTATATACTGTCCAATAGTGATAATTGACTTTGTTTCCATTTGCAGTTCATCTCAACCTTCCTTTACTGCATATAATTTGTGCTTGTTTGATTTTTCCTTTGGACCGGTGAAAACATCTGTCTGGTTCCCTCATCATATGAGTCAAATGAAATCTTTAACATGTGTTCATTTTTATATCAGTTTAAGAGTATGATTTTACCTTTTCCTGAACATTATCTTTTAGCAAAAATCCTTCCAAATCCTGATTGTTTGTGGAAAGATTCAGCCACTTGTTTTTCCTGTCTTTCCAAGATTTGGTTACCCAGATCAATTTTCTGGAGACTTTTAAACTAGAGCTTTTAAACATCAGTCATTTAAAACAAAACACAGCTGAAGTTCTTTCTAATGCCATTTTCTGAATTGTCAGGTTAATTAATTGGAAATCACAGGACTGTGTATCTAAGATAACTTCCTGTTTTACCAGTCCTGCATCAAGGATCTGATAGAAGTTCAGGGCTGGCAGTGAGACAGGAAAAGCCAGGAAAGAGAAAGTGGAGAAGGTGCTTTTAAATGCTCAGTGCTAGCATTTCACAGAAGGAAGGGCTCATGATCATGCTTAATGGAAGACTCAGACCTGGAACCCACTTCTTCAGGGACTTCTCAGTCCCATCCTGCTTCTCAGAAAAGGAGGAGAGATGGAAGCTTTTACTTTTATGACACAATTGTCCTCATCCACAGCCAAGATCCCCAAACTGTACAGTGCAATGCCTGTATTTCTGATGGTCTCAGGGGAAGATGGAGGGCCTGTAAGTGGCTGAGAGATGAAAGCACAAGTTCCCCTCCACCTGCCTTCCATGTCCCTCATCCTGAGCTGCAGGTGGAGCAGGTGGAACCACATCTGCTGAGAAGGACTATATTGTCTCTTTATCCCTAGCTGTTTTTCTCATGAGCTGGAGGGCCCATGATTTTGAATGACCCTGGATGAGTCACATAAATTCCCAGTCTTTCATCTGTAAGATGCGAGGGGTGCAGATGATCTTTAAGGCTTCTTTCTACTCTGACATGGCAAGAATCCACGGTCAAGCCTTTTGGTCTGTTGAAGTGTGAAGTAAGCTGCTAGTCATTGTGGCTTTCCTTTGAGTTGAATTGGTTCAGTTTGGTCATTTACAAAGGAAAAGAAGGCACTCCTCAGTTTGATGTATTTGTATATGTGAGTTCCTTGGATCCAAAGTAGAGTTTGCCTGGGACATTCCTTGGGATTCCTTCCCCCTTTGGATGGATTGCCAATTCCACATCATTTGATTACATTTCTGCCTCCGGAAAAGGCTTCATCATGGAATGTTTGTTAGGCACTGATGAAGAAATTTTGGTCAAACCAAGAACATTCAGACTTAAGAATTTTGTTAAAAATTATTGAAACTTATTTCTTCCCCAGTGCTCTTAAAGGTCATAAGATCATTATGATTATTAATTATGGGCCTTTAGAAGTACCAGTAGAAGTTAACTTGACATTCAATTTCCATTTGGTTTTGTCCCAAAATAGAATTCAAGCAAAATACAATAATTAAACAAATTTCCTATATATAAAATTTTCATCCCTCAACCAATGAACACAATGACAATTAAGGCTTAGTAATTCCATGCCTTTGAGTACACCTTTTTACTTTCAAAGCATGTTGCATCTATTACCTTATTGAGTTTTAAAACAATGTTGGCAGCTGTTTTCAGTTTTAGATGAAGCTCCAAGAGGTTAACTGACTTAGTCAGGGCCCCACATCTGTTAATGAAAAAGTCAGAGCAAAACCCACTCTCCTGACCCTTCATCTTTTCCTCTTATATGGCACCATCTTACTTCCATTAGTTAGGAATGAAGTTTCTCTTTAATCATGAAACTCTTTCCCTTCTGAAGGACAGTAAAGGTATATAATTTCTAAAAAAAGAAAAAAAAAGAACAAGATATAGATGATTTGTAATTTATTACTTGGATCAACTTCCATTTTAGAAAAGACAGAAACAAAAAATATAGTTAATATTTACATTTTTTACAATGAAAAGTATTTACATCATAGAGAAGAAGTATGAAATGGCATATAAAACTCTAGAACAACACAAATAGCAAGGACTACAATTTCAGCAAAAAATTATCTGTCCATTTTTTTTCCTTATAAGTTGAAGTGTGTCAGGCTAACTGTTGTCTAACCGTTTTGCTAATTTAGCCAGTTCCTGCTTCATTTTTTTCATTTGATGGCTTTTTCGAAAGAGCCTTTATTTAGTGCAATTAGTAATTGGTCTTCCCACATCACTCTTTTGGGTTCACCTTTGATCTTTAGGATACCTATTACATTACTGTGGTTCAAGTCATTGGCCCCTGTGGTTCCCAGCGGGTAGGACCTCTTACTTAAAAGAACAGTTGTGTTCATTTGCTAAAATCCTCCACATCTGGACAGTAGCAAAGCTACATTTCAAAGAATAGGCTGTTTTGTTCAGCTAAGTCTTTCCATACAGAATACTTGTGTTGCATTCAAAGTCTAGCCCTGTATTTTATAGGACCAAGGCCCAGAAAGCCTGTCATTGCACCAGTGACAGAACTGGAACCAGAACCTAGGTCTTCTGTCTCCCCATGCAGGGACCTCACCCTGGTGTCACACTGCCCAGGATGGATGTGTTCAGGTTAGGGAGAAAGGTCTCTTCTGAACTGAGACCACACTGCCTGTCTCTGTGTGTGCTGCCTCACTGGTGAGCAGGGCCTGGGTCAACACATATTTCTAGAATTCCAGGTTGAAGTCTACCTGGAGGTGGAGAAGTAGGAAGCAAGAAGTTTTAAACAGATATGGCTATGGGCTAGCTGGATAGTCTGTCCCCCACTGCCAAAACACTTGAGGAGCCGTTTGTGAAGCTGTCTGCTCAGTAGGTTCTGAGCAAACCCTGGCCACTTGGGCTGTTTTTCTTGCTATTCACTCTCAGCCTGGAAGTTAGCAAAATGGAGAGAAGATGCCACTGTCAAGGGAAATATCTATCTTTGATGTGGTATATTCAGGCATTGGCAAACCGAATCACAGGCAATTAAAAATTAAAGTCAGAAGCGGAAAGGACAGAGTAGTTCAGCAGAGAAACAAGTTTTGTTGAAATAGCACCTGTTAATTGGAAGAAAACCATATAGATAGCATTTAAGAGGACCAAATTTTAAGGTCAATATCTGTCTATCAGAGAGCTTACAGCTTAATTTAAGCACAGCACTTTCCTATGTCTACGTACACAAATAGCTAACATACTTTCAAAATATCCAAGGTGATTAAAAAAATAGAGTGCACCAGAAAAAAAATCCAACATTAAGAATGATAACAGAATCATGGTGATAATGATCACAATAAAAGTAGAGACAGAACTTGAAACACCAAAGTATGTCAAAAAGTATTTACATATATGAAGTTAGAAACAGCACAACATATATAAAGTGGGTGCGAAGATTTAAACATTTCTGAATTATCTGAAGACTATGAGAAGGAAGAGAAACTCTGTTCTATAATTAAGCTAATTATGGAGATAAAATACTGTACATTTAAATATTGTACACCAAATAACAAGAAAAAAAGTTTAAACAAAAGAGCTAAAGTATCAAATGTATAAAATCCAATTGCTTTAATAAACAGGCAAGATCATCCTGGGCTGCCGTGGAAGTTTGCAGTGTTCAGTTGGGCAGAAAGGAAGTATTAAGAACAAGGGAACCAGGCACCTCCCCTTAGTATTCTTTTCCCAGCAAAATGCTATTTTTACTAAATTGCTGAAATATGATATGAGATTCTATACTCTTTCTTATAAAGAAAGCTCTCAAAATTATAGACTAATTAAAATTCCGTGGAGCCCCCTTTTTAGATTATCAACCAAAGAGGCCACGGGATGATTTTGTGCTTGGTGGAGTCTGGTGTAACAGACTAAAGTAGTTATGGATTATTGGAGAAAAACTGTGGTTGAAGGCACAGGTATTCTGCACAGGAGGGGTCCCTTTGGTCAGCACCAAGAGGCTGCATGTGTGGCCAGGGCCATGGGAGGCCCACAGAGACCACTATGCTCTGGGATTACTACCACCCAGTGGAATGCCGCTCTGGGGTCGCCAGGTTCTGCAGAAGACTTCTCCCTCATACTATGGTCAGCAGCCTGGTGTGGACAGGCTGGGGGCTATGGGCACTGACAATCAACACCACGCATATTTGAAGAACCCTATGTGAGTGCCTCAGGACCCAGAAGGACACCCACACAAGTGGCTATTTCAGAAAACAGCTGGAGAAATCAGACTTCCTTGAGGGCTCCTCTCAAAGTGGGGAGGGACATCTTTGGTTGATATTAAGTTAATATTTTGATAGGAAGACTGGAGGCTGTGTCTCGATATAGGAGCGGCCAGTTCCTGTGAGTTTGTGTGCCAGTTAACAGCGTATTTTCTTGCCAATTAATATAGTAGGACATTGCTCTGTTCTGTCTCTACCCCTGCTGGGTGACAGCTCATGTGACACCTGTTTTAACATGGTCCCTGCACAACCATATTCCCAGAGACATCACTCCATTCTATATGAACCCTGCAGTAACACCACAGAAAACACAGGTGCTGATTTTCTCTTCAACACAATCTATAAACTCTTTTGGCAACAGAACCACTTAGAGATTGACATTTTTACATTGATCATTCCAGAGCGTGTACACTGAACTCAAATGGCTTCGGTGATGGAAACTCTGTAGACCCCTGATCATTCATGGGAAATATTGGTGGGGGATCTTCTCTCAGGGTCTTGGATGGCCATGGAACTGGCTTGCTTACTTTTGGCTAAACCATAAACTAAAGAATTGGTTAAGAAAAAGACGAGTTATTCTATATTCTGCCATAAATACCAGGCACTCCGTTTCTCTGGATGTCTCATCGCTTGTTGGGGATCTAATCCCAGATTCCACCAAGCCATGCACTGAAGGGAAGCCAAATGGATTCCCTCTCTGAAAGGAAAGAGCATTTCTGGAAGCACTTGCTCGTCTTCTCAGCATGGGGAACTGTAGCCCTTCTTTGTTCACTGTAACTTTCCGCCCGGGTTTGGTGGGGAAAGGGTGGGTATCAACTCAAGCCTGAGCCAGAACATCTCTTTAAATCAACAAAATCCAGTAGGCCTAAAGAAAAGTGTGTTTGACTTACTGAAATCAACAGAAAAGTTACTGAATTATAGAAGCACAAAGTAGGACACCTGGTCTTCCCTTTTGGTTTTAAAGACCAGGAAGCGGAATCCATCCCTTTGCATTGTAGTTGGCTGCTGCCCTCTCCTGAGCTGAGTGTGTCACAGGCCTGTGCTGAGGAGTTTGCTGTGACATGTCGGACCTGACACCAACAGGAAACCCTAGACACTTTGCTTATGACCATGAAGCCAAAAAACAAAAAAACCCAAAACATTTCTTTACCCGTAGGACCTAATAGCAGTGTTTTATGAGACTTAGAACATAAACTAAAACTAAAAATTTTAAAAATGTACATTTTTTTTCCCCTGAAAGGGAACCTACTAAGATATATCTGTCAAAGAATCTATTTAAATGAAAGGCACCAGGAGTGTTTGACAGGAAAACAAAACTGTCACAAGGTTGACAATATTGTTGATGTTTTCTCCCTGGGTGTCGTTTTGCAGAGGTGAGCTGTGGTAGTGATCAGTGGGCTGTGCTGAAAGAAGTGTCTGGAGGCCTTGGGGGCAGAGGGAATGGTCAGGGGCATCGGAATGGAGACGAAAAGAGATGGAGACAGGAACAGGGGAGGGAGCCAAGGGGTCTGGGGGTGAGGAGCCGATAAGAGAGTATTGAAAAATAAAGAAAACAGTTAACAAGGGGGCGATGCAAGAGAAAGGGGTGAGGAATCGTCAGAGGACACCAAAAGGAAATGGGACTGTGTTAGGGAGAGCTATGGCCAAAGGAACCATCAGAGCTGAAGGGCTGGGGTCAGATTCTGTGAAGGGTCAGAGTTTGCTCTGGAGCTTTGGAGGCCATATGGTAACGTGCCAAAGAGCAGCAAGAAGGTAGAAGACTCTGAAGCTCTCCTACCATCTGCTTGGTACCACGAGGAGATGTGAGCCAGGGGCTCCCTAAGGATGTGAACATGGCACACACAGAGACGGTGACTGACCTGTCAGCCCGGGAAAGGCCCTGGGTTTTGGGAAATGACTTCTTTTTGGTAAGAGGCACGAGGGTGGACAGGGGGCTCTGGCAGGGGTCATGTTGGGCATGTGTGTGGTTGGGAAACCTTAGGTGAGGAGCCGGGAAGGCCTCACGTTGGGGGCTTAGCACCAGATGGCCTCACTGGGGGCGCTTCTGTCCTGAAGGAGAGTTCAGGGGAAACAACATTTTAAAAGTCATAGGAAATGTACAACAGTTAGCAAAATGAAGGCACCTTGCCTTTACATTGAAACAGAAATGATTAAAAAAACCAGCATACTGTATGCAGATAAATGTTTTCTTCTTCCATACAAAATACCCACTGCCTGCAGTATGGACAGGTCCTTAACAAAAATAACTACTGCAAGAAAAAAAGTAATGAGTTCGTGCTTTCATCATCTAGGGATTACTCTGGAAAATCTTTTTTTCCTAGTGCCTAATATGTGGAACCAGTCGGTCAGCTGTGACCGTCGTTATGCAATTCTGAAAATTAGGTTCTGCCTTACTTTCATATATATATATATATATATATATATATATATATATATATATATATTTTTTTTTTTTTTTTTTTTTTTTAAGACAGAGTCTCGCTCTGTTGCCCAGACTACAGTGCAGTGGTGCAATCTTGGCTCACTGCAACCTCCGCCTCCTGTGTTCAAGCAATTCTTCTGCCTCAGCCTCCTGAGTAGCTGGGACTCCAGGCGCCCGCCACCACACTTGGCTAATTTTTTGTACTTTTAGTAGAGACGGGGTTTCACCATGTTGGCCAGGCTGGTTTCGAACTCCTGACCTGAAGTGATCCTCCCATCTTGGCCTCCCAAAGTGCTGGGGATTACAGGGGTGAGCCACTGCACCCAGCCTGACTTACTTTTAAAAGTATACGAAACCCTCCATTAACCGAACTGAAGTTTGCCACAAGACACAATGAAATAGAACTTTTTCTGCTGATATACTGAGGTAATGACGTTTAAACTTAAGACGTCAGATTGATCACATGGGGAGTCTGCCCAGCGTGTCTCCAAGGGCACAGGGGGGCAGGAGATAGAAGGAGGGAGGTGGGGGCAGGACCAGGATGGAGGAAACATTGCAGGCTGGAGCCCTCTGAAGAGAAAAACCTCATTTAACGAGCAATATGGGGAACTGGAATTTTAAAGCAAAAATAATTTAAGTTGCTGACTTTTCTAGGAGAAAGGGAAAAAAATCTCTTATGAACATTTATGGACTTTAGTTTGAAAAAGCAACTTCCTAGATCTATCCTCATGTCTTTCCCCAAGCTGGCCACCATTTCCACATCTTCATTACTCAGTGTCCACAGTGTTTATCAGTCAGGCCTTCTTCATGCCTCCAAGGAGGTCCTCTTTGAACCTAATTTCACCAGAAATTTTAACGAACCATTCTTAAGTGATTCCATGTAATTGAGGTTTGTCTATGAAAAGCAAGGTTATTTTTTGTTTTTTGTTTTTCTGAACAGCAAACACTAGCAATCGCATTGTCTAGCCTTTGCATGGCTCTTTACTGTGTTCCAAGTGCTTCCACAGAGATAGCCCTCATATCACCTGGGAGGTAGGCAGTGCCTGCCCCAGGTCACACATGAGGGACTGGAGGCTCAGAGCATGGGCGGCACTTGCCTACGGTCACTCTGCTAGCACGCTGTGGCCGGAGCAAGCACCCGATCTCCTTACTCCCATCCCAGCCCAAGTGCTTTCCCACTGGCTGGGGGAGCTGCAGGCACGTTTATTTTGGCAGACTTTGCAATAAATTGCTTTGTCTTTGGAATGAGTGGAGTGCAAGAAAAATGTCTCTTAGCAAGCAGTTTCACTGCATTTGTGATCTTACAGTGAGCCCTGGGACTTGGCTGTGTCTTCTTAGAAGGTGGTCGTGATGGGTTTGTCTTCCTCGACTGTTGTAGGTTTAGAGCGGGGTGGTTTGCTGGCAGGAGATGAAGACCATTTGACTATATACAAATGTACAGGATCCTGTGAGTCATCTGGAATCCTCAAACCCACTCACACGTGTGTCATTTTAAATAGGGATGCCTTTTATTTCTGCCATGCCCTGGGAAGGGCAGGAGGGTTGGGTGACTGGTTAACTTGGCTGTGAAAAATCTCTAAGTACCCACTGAGCCTCACATCACATCTGGATCACCATCGGGGTGCATTAGCTGTGACTTTTGCTGCATCCAGTCATGCACATGTGCCCTTGACCCCAACGGGGCCGCAATGGACCTGCGCAATTTGTTTGCAGCCCTGGACATACTGCTCCTCCCCATGTAATGAGGCTGCTGTTCCTACTTTACAATAAGCACCAAAAGAGAGGAGAGAGATGAGGTTATCAAATGAAGATCAGGAGTGTGCTTTAACCCACAAGCCTTGTGGGCCAGATACTGTGAATGGGAGAAAACACTAAATTTGCTCTAAAGCATTTTCTTTAACCCACCAGGGCCGAGGAAAGATGTTGTTATGAATTTAAAGTCAGAATCCCAGCATTTAAAGTCAAATCACCAGAATGGCCTGGTAACCCTGGCGACCCAGCCTCTCCATCTTAAAATAGTGTCGGGGAAAAATTCCCTCCAAATGTTTGTTTATTCAAGATCTTTCTATCCTTTGAATGTCCCCTGCCCTTCATTTCTGCCTTCCGCTGGCCTGTCTGTCCTGCCTTCGGTGAGAGTTGTCATTTGTGTTCTGATCATATCCCACTCGCCCAGGTGCATGGAGGTGAGAACAGGGGCGTGTTCACTTTGTTCTCCACACAATGTCCACCTGGCCCTGTGGACACCTGAGGCCATTGGTGAATGGCTGCAGCTACAAGGCACCAGGAGGGGTTGAGCTGTTGCCAGAGCTTGGCTTGGAAGGGCTGGAGGATGACGTGGGTATTGGGTCATTGTCACTGTGACCACCTGCTGGTTTGCCAGGTTGACATCTGCTGTCACAGCCTACTGACTACCAGGGCCCTTCTTAATTGCAAAGTGTCCTGGATAGAACAAGAAAATATGGTCATTCTATTCACTGAAGAAGCAAGCAGCAAGGTGGTTTGAGTGTCATGACAAAGGGAGATGTAAGGTGGTTAATTTCCAGCCACTGTCCCTTCAACAATTTTGCTAAGAGGGCTTACTTCAGACCCTCCTGAAACTACATAGACTGCTGCCTCCGTCTGTGTCAGTTTAGTACTGGCTGGGGCACCTCTGGGCACCGGACTAGATGTGTGAGGCTCCTGGTTCTGAGGACCAGCCCAGGCACCCGGCATGGCCACCCAGTATTACTCCTGGGCTTCTCTCCTCCATTATGTTGCGGTTCCGTCCTTTCTAAGACAAACGCTCCTTGCTTTTCCAGCTTGGTACATTCGTCTGCTTATGACACTGGAAAGAGCCCAGGAAGTAACAGGGTTGATGGTGGCAGCACCAAAGGAAATTGAAGGAACTCTGTTGAGAAGAGGTGGGAGAGGTGACAGCTGCCTGGCCTGCCTCGGGAGGAGGCTTTCCCAGTCAGATCAGGATGGTACTGACAGCCCCTTCTGCAGAGAGGTTGCTCACAGAACCACAATTCTTCATGAGCAAGAGGAGTCCGAGAGCCCTCAAAATTGCAGCAACAGCAGAGGGTCCTGGCTGGGGCTGCAGCAGACACCTCAGCAGGCCACGAGAGCTGGAGGTGTGCGGATGTGGGGGCCTTGGCTTTCCTGGCTGAGCTCTAGCCCTTGGAGAGGACAGAGGCCCATCCTTGCACTCCTGAGGTCACAATACACTTTGATCATCCCCTCAAACCAGGTACCCCCTGGAAGGATTCGGCTGGCGACCCTCTGTCCAGGGGCAGCTTCTCCACCTCTTTCCTCCTCCAAGGCAAGGCGCTTTCCCCAGGGCTCTGGGCTTGCTGGCTTCACTTCTTGGCGACTAACCAAGGACTCTGGCCCTTGAGGAGGTATAGAGAAGGGGCATTTGAGAAGGAACCTCTCTGGTGATAGGCACATCCAGGGGTGCCTCCCTGGCCAGGACATCCCCCACCCCCAGCCACTGGCTGCCAGACTCCCAGCCCCTCCGAGTTGGGAGGTGCCCTCTCTACCCTCTTCCTTCCATCGCCATCCCACTTGTCCTCCCCTACCTGAGAAGCGAGCATGGCCCAGGCTTGAGCTCACTGGAAGATTCTACCGAGGAAAGGAGCTTGAGCCCAGGGTGGGGACTGCCTACATGCAGGGCCAGCTCCTCCATCTCTGCTTTGTAACACCCCTCTCAGCTGACTCAGTCATCTGCTCATTCTGTCCACACTGGCCACCGCAGGAGCTTCTGTCCTCAGCACCCCTGCCCTGGCTGGCTGTACCTCTCACTTAGCACTTAGCACACTTGTCCCTGATGGGTGTGCTCCTGGTGGTTCTGGTGAAGCTCCTGGAGGGTGGATGGGTGTGCTCTTGGGTGTGCTCTGGTGAAGCTCCTGGAGGAGCTGGGTCTTACAGTCCTAGGGGCCTCTTCCCTTTCCTTCCCAGCCTGGCAGGAAGCACAGTGTCTGCACACAGCAGGTGCTTAACAAAGCTGGCTGATAACTCAGCAGGTGGTAGATATGTATGATCCCCCGTCGATGGCTGGATTGTAGGGGAGACACTGAGCTAGGTCCCTCCTGAGCCTGGGAGTAAGAAAGTCCCTGCCCTTTAAGAGTTCACTATCAAAAATGGAAGAGCCCCTTTGCACACTCTCACATAAAGTGGAGGAAGAAAAGAACACTGAGTTCCAGGCAGTTGCAGGGAGGAGAGACTCCACCAACTGAGGAGCCCAGAACCGTCTCTCCAGGGCCATGGGATCTGAGCTGGGCCTTGAAAGGAGGCAGATAAGAAGCAATGGCATCTCCAGGTAAGGGCCCGGCTAGGGCAAGCGTGTGGAGGGGCAGCAAAGTGTGTGCGCAGGGTGAGTGGCAGGCCTGGAAAGGAGGTGGGCCTGCTGGGGAGGGCCCTGGGGGTACAGGGGCCGTGGCCCTCTACCTCCCTCTGAGTCGCCTTCCACAGGTGCTTGGCTGTTTCTCAGAGATGAACTTTTCTAGCAGCCAGAGGTCACTTTGCATGTGGATTGCACCCAGTTCTGCCTGAGTGGCTAAGACATGGCTCCCTTCCCTGCACCATCCTCCTGTTTCCTTCACCACAGTGAGGGGCATCCTGCTTCAGCGACCCCTTGGGAGTTCTGCTCCTTTGAGAGGTGAACGGCTGCTCCTGCCCTTGCTTTCCTTCTCTGCTCCACATCTTGATGTGGTGTCCTTTTTTCTGAACACTCACAGGGAGCCTACTCTTTTCTTTTGCAATGATGTGGAGTCTTGGGTGCTTGATGTCTCATGCTGGCTGAAAATGTGTCCAAGTCCAGGGCAAGGGGAGAGACACGCTGGGGGAGTGTGTGGGGTGGTGAATGGGAGAGACACAGTGGGCCTGAGAGGAGGGAGGGAGGTGGGCCTCCCCATGCCAGTGCGGTGTCCCTGAATGTGTGTTGGGGCTTGGGGATTCCCGCGTGTGTCAGGTGGCCAGTGCTTTATTGCTTTCTCTCTGATACATCCTCTGTGTCGACACCAATGTGAGAAACAACCCCTACAGCTGTTCTTGCCCTAAGGCAAGCTGACCCCGCTCACCCTACTCCTGGGTGGCACAGGCCTACTCCAAGTTTTGTTATTTGGGGTTACAAAGCACACACATGCCACACACAGTTTTGCAAAACCAATGCCATGCATAATACTGTCACAGCCAAATAACTCTAGGTGGAGGGGGGGACATGGAGTACTCCCGCCTCCACAATCCTCCCAGGAGGTGACCTGCCTGTGGGGCCAGAGGGCCTCAGGGTGTCGGAGCTGGAAAGTTTTATGGAGGTCACCCATGTCCAGCTTCTTCACTTGACGCTTGGGGAAACTAAGACCTGGAGTAAGGTGCCCAAGCCACACAGTGAGGTAATGGTAGAGAAAGAACTAGAAGCTGAGTCTCTCGACTTGCTGGCCAGTGCCCTCCTCCACTTATGGGTTAACGACAACCCTCCCCAGCTCCATCCTATGCCATTCTGCCAGGCGAAGGCAGGGCCGGGGAAGGGAGGCCAGCACTGGGTGGGGCGGAGATGGGGCGGGGTGGGCATGTGTGGAAGGAGCCTCCTCTTCCCTCAGCAAGGGAAGCAATGTGGCTTCCCTTGGCTCACATGACCACAACCACAACTCCCCAGCCTTGGGGAGAGGCACCATTCGGGCCCAGATGACCCGGTCACACTGTCACCCATGGGGTACTGGCTCATTCTTTGCAGGTATCCAGGTGGACAACGCTAGGCATGTGTCCTGCTGTGCCAGAGCACGCAGCCACAGGCACTGGAATGAGAGAGGAACTGCAGGAGACAAACGGCCTTAAGACCCAGTGCCTTACAATTTACAAAGAACTTTCACCAACATGCTCAGTGGGCAGGGCTGGGTGCACCTCTGGCTCCCTGGGCAGGCAGTTCTCACCAGGAGGTGCCGCAAGTCCCCCAAAACAGACAGCATGTCTTTCTCCTCTGCAAGCCCTCTGTGGCCCCTGTCCATAGGGCTGGCCTTTCCCTGGTCCCTCCTGCAATGTGCCTGCTTCTCCTGTTCCATCACTGGATTGTTTCTTCTCGCCTGGTTGTCCTGGTCTGCTGGGCGTTAGTATGGACTCACAGCTACTGTGCAAACTCTTTGACCACGTGTCTTTTTACTTCTCATCTCCCTGTACTGCATTTGACACACAGCCAAGATTCAAGTGGAGAGGCTTGGGGGCAGGGGCCTGAAGTCAGGAGCCCGGGGTGCAGTCCAGTGATAGGGTGGGGTCCTGGCTGAGTACTATGGCAGCAACAACCGTGTGGGGAGACAATGTGTTTACACACACGGGGCTAAACCTCGGGGGGCTGCAACCCACTGGGCAGGGCAGTGTGGGCTCCGAAACCAGGCCCAGCCTTTTTTTTTTCTGTGACCACTAGGTGGCCTGAAGTGATGTGTGTGACCCTGCCTCAGTTACGGCAAGGACCTTCCCCATCCCCTGGGCTTCCCAGCCACAGCTGTCTCCTCTCTACTTGTTTTCCTTGACTCTGACTTTTAAACTTCTCTTTACACACATTTCTATTTTATTACATAGATTCTTGTGACTTTGAATCCTTTGTGGCAGTAGGTAAAGTGTCATAAGTAAATGAATAACCCCAGGACTGGAACAAAAGAGGTTTCTTTGCCCATTTACCCAGGATATTCAGCTAACACTGACTCTCCCCTTTCTGGGTTCCAGTGAATGTTCTACTCTATCCTGAGATCATCAGTGAGCTGTGATTGCCCTGGCCAGAGCCTGAAGGGGAGGGGGTCAGAACGGGGTCACACCCTGATTGCCTGGGCCCTCGCCTGGGAGGGGAGGAGTGTGGCCTGGAGGTGGGGACACCCGCAGCTAGGGTGACTGTGAATTCTAAGGGGCAGAGGATGTGGGCTGGGCTGCGTTATGACTTTTGGGGGCCCTGGGCAGTTTTGCCTTCCTCCATTAAAAAAATACAAAAAATTATATTTTACAATTGTGCTGGTAGAAAGACAAAAACAATCCTGGCTGGATTCATTGTTATATATTCATTTTTTTTTTCTAAATTTAAAAAGGTGAAAAATTAAGATATTTTTGTGGCCTCTAAAAGTACTCCGTGGCTGCTGGAGAAGTTGTCCCTGGGCTACAGGGCCATGAGAATCCGGCCCAGGGCAAGAAACATCCCTGGGTTCAGATGAACCCTCTTTGTGTCCACAGAGATCAACTCTTGTTCACTACTGCATGGCTTCACTTTTCTTTTTTCTTTCCTTCCTTTTTTTTTTTTTTTTCCTTTTTTTTCTTTTAAGGCAGGGTCTCACTCTGTTGCCCAGGCTGGAGTGCAGCGGTGCGATCATAGCTCACTGCAGCCTGAAACTCCTGGGCTCAAGCAATCTTCCCACCTCAGCCTCCGGAGTAGCTGGGACTACAGGCGAGTGTCACCACACTCAGCTAAATTTTGAAAAATGTTTTTGTAGAGATGAGCGTCTCATTATGTTGCCCAGACTTGCTTCACTTTTCAAATGAGGAACCCAAGACTTAGAAGAGGAAGTTGTCCAAGTTCTAAGCTAAGCTAGTGACATTTAGAGTAAGAATGTTGGTATAGACGTTTTGGGTCTGAGCTGCGTGTGATTTCATTACCATGAGCGCTTGTGAGTGTGACCTCATCCCCACACATGGCAGGGGTCTAATGACTGTGAAGCCCACTAATTTAGAGTTTTGTGTGACAGCATGTGGACAGAGTCTGAAGTTAAATTTCCCTTTGCGTTGTCTAGGAAGAAAGGATGTGTAAAGAAAATGCAAAATGTAAACCAGATGGGGATGTATGTAAAGTACTGGAGTAATTTGTTGTTTTCAAGCTTTTAGAAGCATGAATTTATGTTGTCAAACAGCTAACGATAAACCTGTATGCTACACCACAGGTAAGACTTAACTGGTCATTAAAACCGGTTTCCTGAGACCTTTTCTAAGCAATGCACTAAATATGGAAAGCAATACAACATTATTTCTTAAAAAAATAAAAACAACTTCAGATTGGCCCAGCCCAAGCCCAGATCTAGGCATGTTTCTGAATGCTCTTTGCTGGAGTGGAACAGCAGATGAGGCAAAGCTCCTTCAACTGCTAGTTGTGAGTGAACCCACAAACTCATATCAAGTCAACAGCTGTGATTAGCAATAGCTGGTACTAGGGACTGTAGCTCAAAACAAAACAAAGCAAAACAAACAAGCAAAAACCTACCATAACCCAACAGCAAGAGCAAATGGCTCCTTTGAAACCCTGGGTGCCCTTAGCACAACTGAACCTAAATGCTCACACAGCAAGCACTGTGATAAACTTGGGATCTGTAACAACATACATTGCTCGATAAAGTTCCCTTCCCTCCCTTTGTTGAACCTCACATTTCAAAACCTTACTCCACACTTCTGAGGACCCCTACTTCTGGGAATTCCTGCTTTCACAGGAGAGAATGTATTTAATATAATGATTAATCAGGATCATGAATTGCCATGTTTCATTTCCTTTAATAATGAAAATCCATAAGGGTTTAAAATACTCTTAGACACACCTAGCTTAGCAAATATCATGGACCTCTACATTTATGTGAATTCACACATGAGCTAGCCAGCACCTCAGTTCTGGCTGGCCCCCTTTGGCACCAGGACACAATAATTTATTAAGCTTCGATACTTAATAAATGTGCACAAATATCATGCAGACATTACGACCAAACAAAAAATGTATTAGAGACATAGGCTTATACAAAACATCTTGTAAACAAAAGGGAAGAGGTTGATATTTTCTGTACAAAATATGCAGGTTTTTCTTTCTTTTTTAATAATCTGTAAGATGCATCATACTTCTGGCATTTTCAAAAAGTGAAAACTGTATAAAAATAAATATTCTATGTACAAACACACACACAGGCCAATCCAAGGTTAGAGGCATCACTGCAAAACAAAAACAAAACAATGTTCTGTTAGTTTCAGTGGGTCTGCAGAGGTTTATTTCCTTTGTAGGAAGGGAGGTAAATCTTGTCCTGGGTTGGATGGGAGTTCTGGACAGGAGAACTGTGGGAACCCTGAGCCCCTAGGTGAAAGAAACTGGTGGCGACCTTAGCTCCCTGAAGGGAGGAAACCAAGTTCACCTCTCTGTGAATCCCCTTTGTGGTCACTAGAGGGCACTCTCTTTCTCTGCTGCCTTTGGAGGCCTGATTGTTGTAACCACTGCATTGTCCCAGATTGGACTTAAGGTGTGAATGAGTAGTCTTGAAGCTCTCTGGTTGCTTCTCCAAGACATTGCAGCTCTTGGTAGTGGCTGTTCTTCCCCTGCTAAGCACAACCATTTCTGTCTCCTAACCATTGGCAGCAACTTTAAAGAGGAAATTTTTTTAGGGGTCAAGGGTTCAGAGGTCTTATGACACCTCTGACCTGCTTTTGTGGCGCTTTAACTAGGTCTAAGTGGAGCTTGGCAGGAGGACGAGGCCAGCCTCCAGGGATGGATTCTGGGGAGGCATCTCTCTTGAGTGTTGAGCTTTTCCTTCTTGGGTTAGGGGGTGCTTTAGGTATCCAGGCAGGTAGGTGGTCAGCGTTGGCCTGGGGTCTTGGTGGTTTCACCACTTTTACCCAACCCAGTGCACTAGTGAGATTCTGGCATCTTAGTACAGGGGAGCTTGTTCATCTCATTGTAAGTGTGACTCTGCTGCCACTGGAACAGGACTGGATTCGTTGAGCACAGATTCTTGAACATGTTGGAGTCTCCGGTCCCTTTATGAGGATGAACCTTGAGACAATGGTGGTGGGGGGTTGGTGAGAAGACTTGGAGTGACAGGCAAGGTGGAGGGAGACGGTATGGGGCAGCATAGTGGCTGCCACCATTGCTGGGGACCAAGGCGGGTCTTCTGGATTAGTTAGCAAGCAGATGGCCTCTGTCTGCCTGGGCAGCCCTGTGCTCTGGGGAGCCATGGTTGAATGGGGCGATCACATGCAAGGGCACAGTCCTATGATGTCAGACTGCTCTAACAATGGCAAATGCCAAGGCCAGTGTGAATCAATGAAAACTCATTGTTGGTAGGAACTCTGGGAGCCCAGGAGAGATTTGGCTGCAGGTCACATGTGTGGTGGCATGAAGCTCTGCCAGCTTAAATGCAAGGGGAGTGGTAGAGTGGTGAGGAGCACAGCCCCTAGGGGAGGCACAGTAGCATGTGAGTTCAGAGTGAAAGCAACTGAGATGTCCTACGTCTAAGACATGTCATCACGTGGCATAAACGACCTTAGAGGAACTCTATGAGTGTGATCTGGAACTCCTTGGGGAAGTTCCTTGGGGGAAAGACACTATGTACATTGAACACACAAAGCATAAAGATGTCACCTGTGTGGCTGCATGGACATTCCGCCTAGGGTTTACTGATGTTCTAAGAAGCATTTTAAAATGTTTGTTAACAGCATGCAGTGTATGGGATGTTTAATGGGCACCCTGCCTTTGAGACAGTGACTATTTGACCTATGTCTTGCTGCCTCATCTGTAGCAAGGCAGAATGGAAATTGTGGAAGCTTTATGGCACTGCTGAGAACGGAGCCCCAGTGCACACCAATGGGAAGCCTTACCTTGTTCCAGCAGCCTTGGACTGGTAAGCCATCTTCGCCCTGCAAGGAGAAAGGAAGGCAGAGGGCTCAGACTTCCTGCAATGGTCCACCAAGTGGGCAGGACAGGGGTAACAAGGGCCACACGCATTTTGGCAGCTGATCAGGATGTGGCCCACCCACGCTTGTCTATTTCTTTTCTCTACTACAGGTCAGAACCTCAGAAGGAGGTGGAAACAAATCCGGCTATTTTACCATTGGTTAAAGGTCACATGCAGCTATAGTGCAACGTCAATAGGGGCTGTCCTAGCCCGTGGGACCAGCAAGCAGAGATGTCCTTCCGTGCCACGAAGAAACAGTCTCTGCTGTGGCCCTATGGAGTGCCGGCTGCTCACGGGTAAGCCACTCAGCACAAGGCGGCCTCAGTTTCCTCCTCCATAAAACCTTGGCAAGGACAGTTGCTTGATGTGACCGCTAAGGGCCTTCCCAGCCTTCTCATTCTCTTATTTGTCTCTCTTCCTAAGCACAGGGAGGAGGACATGTAGACAGTCCTTCTTTGATGATTAATCCTGGGGTGGGGTGAGGGGCATGAAGGGACAGGCAACCTCATGAGTATTGCAGGATGGCCCTGACATGCCTTTGGCAAGAAGACAAGGGTTCCTGGCGAAGCCTTAGACCTTGCTGGGAATTTGGGGGTGAAGTGCAGTAAAAACATGGGAATCAACTGCACACCGTCGGTCTCCTTTGTTGGTAGCAACCATGCAGCTCCTTTAGCCTCAAGATGTTCGTGTTCTGCCCTTGGTGATAGAAACTTTCCTGAGTTTTCTTGGGCCCTCATATCCTCTCCTTGCTGGCATACCCTATGGGGAATCTAGAAATCTAGAGACCCAGTGGGGAAGGCGAGGCTGGGCCAAGGGCAAAGGTCTGGTTCTCAGCCCAAGTCTGCTAGACTGGCAGGGCAGACAAGGAGATGGACATGGGGCTTCAGGAGACCCGGAGCAAGTGCTCAGTCCTGAGGGAGCTTGTGGAATGAGAGTCCTCTGCTGCCCTGGTCTGACGTCATCCACCCACGCCAGGGGCTGAAACCTCTCATCACCTGGCATTCAGCAGAAATTGGTCCCAATATGGAGGGCTTAGGAAGTCTGGTTATCTTGTAGTAAAAGTCATGAGCAATAGCTACCCCTGCCCCTCAAGCCCATAATAACACAGAGGAGGAGGCAGAGTGAGAAACAAGGGGAAGACACTTCCCCAGTAAAATTAATAGAAAATTGACACATTGATATGGGATGTTATGGAAGAAAATGCCATTTTACATGGAGAGTCAAATCAGGGTGACCTTCATTTTCCCCTCTGGGTTGGGGAGGGGATTGCAGGGGGAGGAGGTGCATTCCACAGTTTCAGGGTGACCCTGTGCCCCTTCCCCAGCCTGCCACGGTGCGGTATGACACACGTCACATGGATGCCGGGAGGGAGAGGAGCCTCTGTGGGCCAGAGCGGCATTCCCATTGGTGTGTGGATGGTGGCAGGGGGATATGGAGGGCAGGGCAGGCAGAGAATGAAAAGTAATGTATGGTGAGGAACAGAGAGGCCAAGGCAGCTGCTGGCAGAACTAAAGGTGCCCAGATTGTGGGAGGGGATTGTGGCTGAGGGAAGACCTGGCCAGTGCTCAAGGGAGCCCCTGCGGGCCAGAGCGGCATTCCCATTGGTGCGTGGATGGTGGAAGTCCTGGTTGAGAAAGGTGGCTGTGCAGTCTGCAAGCGCAGGGTTTGGCAGGACCAGCAGGGACAGGAAGCATGCTACCCGCCTGCTTGCTCTGCACTCTCCTTTTGTTGCCTATGCTCCTCCTAAAAAGTCCCTACTGCCCTTCAAGGGGCTCTACGACCACCTTTCAGGGTCACACAGCATAATTTCTTGTATCTTTTTCTCTTTTGTTCAAAGAGAATTCCTGTGTGACCCCAGGGCGGGGATGTGAGACCCCAAATTCTCTTATTACTGGTATGATAAAATAGCTCTTGAACTCCAAACCTATTGGGGAAATTTGGGGAGAGCTGTAACCCCTTGAGCCTTGGAGTGAAGTGTTCCCTTCAGCTTCTTTTGCAGTAAGAGGATCAGCGTGGAGGCCTAGACTGTCCATGCCTAGAGAGGGACTGGGCAGGCGGGAATAAACTGCTACCACTTCGCCTGGGACGTGCTTGGAAGAGAGGTCCTTAGCTGTCTCCCTGCCTCCTCCTTAACTACATTCTTGACCTTTCCGTCTCTCCCAGACTCTTCAGTAAGAAGCCATCTGATCATGAAAGAAAGGGACGAGGAAGGGTCTGGTAATGTCTTTGGAGATTTAAGCAAGAAGGACAAACCCTTTAGGATCCGAAAACCTAATCCTGGACCATCCCCTAGTTCTGATGGTGTCACCTGGGCAGCGACCCACGATCCAACCTGGAAGAATAGGCAGGTGGCCCCTCCTCCAGCTCACTTCTAGAGCTTCTCAGTCTACTCTGTAATCATGCCCTTCTGTCCCCCAAATCATGTGATGGAGGAGCAGGGGATACAGGGCTGATCAGGCATCTCATTCACATGTTTCGCTAGGTGCTCAGCCAGTGATTCTGAACTAACTTCACTGCCTGAAGGAAAAGAAGTGAGTCATGGTTCTGAAAACCAGTCCAGAGAATCCACTTTCCTAGCTGGTATCTGGTGGCAGCTTTGTCTAGAATCAGCTTGGAGATGAGTATCAGAGGCAGCCAAAACCAACTTCAGGGTGGGAGAGCTGGCTGGCATCAAGTGGCTGTGCTTTAGAGGTAGCTGCAGCAGGAAGCCAGGAAACATCCCAGTAAACTTTGCATGCAAGAGGGTGGCATGACTGGGAGCCCCCAGAGTACTAGCCTAGGCGGGGTGACCCTTGGCATTTACAGAATGAAGAAGTGGGAAGTGGAGCCTGGGGGGGATGGAGGAGGAGTGTGGAGGGTGGCTGGGGAGAAACCCAGTATGAATCACACACATGGGGAAGCCCAAATCGGCCATGCAGGCAAGCAAGGGCAATGCCATACCAATGGGCATGGGGCATCCAGTCCGTCCAGCCCTGGTAACCCCGGCTCCCCTTTCTCTCCTTTAAAACCTCGGTGTCCCTGTTCACAAAACCAACCACGATGATTATTCAGGTCAAGGCTGGCCAGCTCCAACCATGGAATAGAGAGGCCCAGTCCTACCCTGGCCAGGATGCAGGACCCTTGAGGCATCTACAAACAGGGGCTAAATCCCAGGTGATCCCCCATCTCCCAAATCCAGCTTTTGTGCTCTCTTTGTGCTCTGGAGAGTTCAGCTTTGCACACATACAACCTGCCCCCTCTCCGTTGATCCTCCTCTCTCTACAGACTCACTTAGTGTAAACACAGACAAACTTCAACTTTAGTGCATCATAATTTTTAGAACCTTCAAATGGATTCAAAGGCACTTGAGAAACCCAGCAGAAGTGCCTCATCATTAATTGCTGGCTCTTTTGAGAAGGCTTCCCATGGGGTGTCTGTCTGACTACCAGTTCTGGTCTGCAGCTTTAAAGGTTTCAGCTGGATGGCTGGTGAGTGTTGGGAGGCTGTGCATTAGAAGCCCCTCATCTGGCCTTGTTCTGCCCAGTTTTGAGCATCAGTGGCCCTGAGGAGACGCTAACTCTGGTGTCCTGCATCCTGATCAAGTGAGGATTCAGACAGCTTGAACTACTGGCCCACAGAGGTGGCCATGAAACGAAGAAGGCAAATCCGTGGCTCACAAATGCTACACTGGCTTCCAAAGCCATCCTGGAGCTAAGAGCTGAGGCCTTCCCTGAAAATCCCTTTCCTAGTGGTTTCCTCACTTCCACACATCGATTGCTCTGTATCTTCAAAGGAAAAGGATTCAAAGGCAAGGGATTTAGCCAGAATTACTTGCAGCTGTGGTTACAAAGCAAATCCAACAGCGGGCAGAATTTCACCAGTCAAATGAACAGAGAGATTTTGGTAGCATCCGTGTAGACATTTGGTTCTCATCTTAGTTTATTTGCCTTCTTTGTTTCCAACTTACAAACCTCAAGAACAAAAACCAGAACAATGCAAGTGATAAACAAAAACATACCAATGGGCAGGGGGCATCTAATCCAGGCGCTCCTTGGTCTCCCTTATCCCCTTTAGGCCCTCTAGAGCCTTTCTTCCCCCTCTCCCCCTGTAAATAATGGTTTAGTCCGAGAAAAAAACATCAAAACTTTAAGATCATTCATGTGTTAAGGTTGAAGACAGAAAAAGAAAAATAAAATTAAAAAGGGAAAAAGAGATGCTTTAAATTAGGATATTCTCCCCAGTAGGATTTGGAGTCAATACCCACCTCCTCCCCACCCCCCAGGAACCTGAGAATTTGGCTAAGGTGGGTGGGAGGGGGAGGGGAGGACAGGCAGAGGGCTCAGAGCTGCAGGTGCAGGGAACCACAGACTGAAGATTTTGGTGGCCGGTTTTGCTAATACTAAGCCCAGCGTGGGTCTGTGCTGAACACAGTGGCTAGGGACCAACTTCCTTCTCTTTGAGTCTGTTTTTGAAAGGCTTTGGGGTGAAAACTTTTTTTTTCCCCAATTAATGTTTATCCTTTTGACATTCTATTAGGAGGCAAGGTGATTTTGCTTGGAGCCCTGGGATGTGTGTGAACATAGCATGTATGAGTGTATGCATATATGTGCTTGTGCACATGTGTGTATATGTATGTATGAGTATACAGGTATGTGCTTGTGTATATGTGTGTGTGTGCCCACGTTTGAGTGTGTGTGGGTATGTGCTTGGGCACGTGAACACATGTGTGTGCCTTTATTATGCATGTGTGTCCATGTGCACATATGTATGTGTGTGTCCAGAGCTCACGGATGGCCCCTTGTGCTCAGCTGGCTTCTCCTGTTCTATCTGTGTCTCTGGTTCATCCTGGTCTGAAGTCAGACCGTTATTTGTATATGAATATGTTGGTTTAAGGAATTCATTTGTTTCTGAAAAGCTACAGTAAACATCATTTTTCTAAATTGAATCCTATATTGTATGTGTCAGAGTCTATTTAAAGAAGGGCTGTGGGGAATTCTTTTTAAAAGTGAAGCATCACTTCTGTAATGAATTTGCATTTGCATTTTTATATGTGTTTCCTAAAAAGGGGGCTCAGTATGCCCCTAGGGAGTCTTCCTGGGAGCTCCCCTCCTCTATGGAAGGGGGATTATCTAACGCTTGGGGACTTCAACTGTGTCACTCCAGGGTGACACTGAATGCTGGGCAGCGTATTAGAACAAAGGCTTGCAGTCAGAGTTGGTTCTGACAGTTAGCTGCGTGACTTTGTGAAGTTACTTCTTTGAGCCTTAGTTTCTTTACCTGTAAAATGAGTACAATAATACCTGCCTCAAAAATTTGTTGTGAGGCTGGGCATGGTGGCTCATGTCTGTAATCCCAGCATTTTGGGAGGCCAAGGCAGGAGGGTCACTTGAGGCCAGGAGTTCGAGGCCAGCCTGGACAATAAAGCAAGACCTCATTTTTGCAAAGAATAAAAAAATTAGTCGGGTGTGGTGGCATGTCCCTGTAGTCCTAGCTACTCAGGAGTTTGAGGCAGAAAGATCACTTGAGCCAAGGACAAGAGTTTGAGGCAGCAGTCAACCATGATTGCACCACTACACTTCAGCCTGGGCAACAAAGCAAGACCCTGTCTGAAAAAAAAATGTTGTGAGTTCTTTGTGCACATTAAATGCTTAATAATGGAATATAGTATGTGCACAGTAAACGATAGCTGCTTCATAATGATAATAATGGTCATTATTTCTTTTTAGCCAGTATAGGAGCCAAAGGTTGGGGTCAGAGGTTGTCATGTGCACTGTTCCTGCAGTGGAAGGCTGCAGGGTAGATGTTCATTAGAGGAAGGCAGAGGATAAGAATATTTTTGGCTGGGCACAGTGGCTCATGTCTGTAATCCCAGCACTTTGGGAGGCGGAGGCGGGCGGATCACTGGAGGTCAGGAGTTCGAGACCAGCCTGGCCAACATGGCAAAACCCCATCTCTACTAAAAATACAAAAATTAGCCTGGTGTGGTGGCACTAGCCTGTAATCCTAGCTACTCGGGAGGCTGAGGCAGGAGAATCGCTTGAACCCAGGAGGCAGAGGTTGCAGTGAGCTGAGATTGTGCCACTGCACTCCAGCCTGGGTGACAGAGTGAGACTCTCACAAACAAACAAACAAACAAACAAAATAATATTTTTGATGTTCTTCCAGATCTTCGGAAATTACTCAAATTTCTCTATTTCAGAGGTGGTCTGCAACTGCCAGTGCATTATTCTAAATGAATTTTCTAAAAATGCAAATCCTTACTTAGAAAACGACATGCGTTTAAATATGTATGCACATATTAGGTATATTCCCATCGGCCTGAAGTTTTGTCTGCCAACAAGAACATCATGGCACAAATCATCCCCAAATGGTAGACCAGCAAAACCACTAGCTATTTGGGTGGGGAAGCCCCCTGGTAAACTCTCTCAGGAGTGTGGCCCCTCATTCTCTGGGTCATGAGCAGTTTCCTAATGAAGAAGCCGGGCAAATCTGCCAGAGTGGGGGATCCCAGTCCAGGATACCCCGGGGGTAACAGAGGGTTGGCGTGTTCCAGACTTTCACAACAGGTAACGGACACTATGGGGAGTTGTGTTCTAAGAACCTGTGCAATTGCCCCAAATCCGGTGTCCTTTGAGGCTATTAGAGTAGTAACGTTGCCTGCGTTCTCCCTGCCTCCCACCCCCAGACAGTGACACAAAAGAGATCCATTGCACAGAGGGAACCCTAGCTGGTAAGGGAGAAAGGGGCAAATAAAGTCAAGGGGCAAAGGCTTCTTAAAAACATAAGTAAATGTCTAACAGTGGACTTTGGAGGAGATAAACTGACAGCTGGTGAGGGGGAGGGGAAAGGATGAAGGACGTGGGACTATTATAACGGAATGAACATATCTGGGGGGAGAAGCAGTAAAGGAAGAGGCCAAAAGAGATAGTGGAGGAGGAAGAAGTGAGGAGACAAGACGGACTTAGGAAGTGAGACGTACACACACACGCACACACAAACACATGCACACACACACACACACGCACACACAAACACACGCACACACACACACACACAAACATGCGTGCACCCCCCACCCCCCCAAAGTTGGGCATCTCAGAGAGCAGAAGCAGCCTCACTGCATGCACACAGACCTTTTCAGCTGGCTGGTTTGCAGGCAGCTCCACAGTAACATCCAATTTTCCTGAATGATTATATTGCCAGATTCATGCCACCCTTTATCTTTTGACTGATTTCTTACCCTAAAGGTGGCTCCCGGGCCAAATTCACAGAGCTACTTAGGGGAAAGGGAAGCACCCTTAGTGACAAGGTCAGGATATTCTTTCCACTGGCGTGTGTGTCCCTTAGAAAGCTCCTGGTCTGGGGCTCCGGGCCTTTGCCCACCATGACAAGGACTTTCCTTCCATGAACAGGAAAGAGGCTCTGAGACCATCCTTTGATGGGACATGGAGAAGCATACCTGTAAGGTTGTATCTTGGTTCACTGTAAGATAAAACAAATCTCTGGGCCAGGTGCGGTGGCTCATGTCTGTAATTCCAGCACTTTGGGAGCCGAGGCAGGAGGATCACTTGAGGTCAGGAGTTTGAAACCAGCCTGGCCAATATGGTGAAACCCTGTCTCTACTAAAATACAAAAAATTAGCCGGGCGTGGTGGCGCATGCCTGTAGTTCCAACTACTCAGGAGGCTGAGGCAGGGAAATCACTTGAACCCGGGAGGCGGAGTTTGCAATGAGCTGAGATCGCGCCATTGCACTCCAGCCTGGCGACAGAGCAAGACTCTGTCTCGAAGAAACAAAGAAAGGTCAGAATGGGAGGCAAGATTGAGGGGAGACTCTTCCAGGACATTTGGGCATCCTGAGAGTCAAATCCCCGGCATGAAGAGGACAAGCTGCCCTTGAGTTGGAAACCTGCTCTTTGGGAATAAGTCAATTGGCTCTTTATGGTGTGCTCAAAAGAAAGGTGCGTGCCACCTCATTGTTTTCTGAACTTGACTTTTACTAAGTGACACATTCCTAATTTGTAAAGGGGATGGAGGAAAGTGTGTCAAACATCGGGAAGGGGAAGGGGAATAGAAATACTTTCCCACTGATTCCTGGGGCCTCCGTGGATGACTCAATAACCTCAGTTGCTGCAGCATCAGAGCCGCCAGCCCCCACCCTCCCTCTGTCTGTGACAAGGGTACTTGTCCTGCCTCCACCTCTAGAGCAACATGGTCACCGTCCCTTGAAGGACCGATTTTGCAGCCTTCAAACGGCTCAGTGTCTCCAGCCAACTGAAAAAGTCTGAAGAAGGAGGTTTAGAAAATACTAATTGAATATAATAAAGAAAACTAGAACATGTCAGAAAGACATTTGAAAGGAAGTTAGTATGCCAATGAAGAGGTGGAATGATCAAAGATTTTAGAGGCCTAAATCCTTTGATGCCACACTGAGGAAAGTCCTTCCCAGCGTGCTTAGAGCATCTGGAAGCAGGTCTGTTTATTCCGGCAGTTTCCAGACCTGGTCTTGCCATGGGCAGGGGTGGCGCTGCTGCTCCCTCTTGTTTATAGAAGATGCGGGACAAACTGAGTTGCTTTTGACCAGCTGCCAGTGAAGAGCACTTAGGAAAATGGGAGTGCTCAGTAAATAGATCTTGAGTTGAAGAGATGGAATTCACTGTTGCCAGATAGGAGCATAGGCATTCTGGCACTTTCTGTGCATGAACATGGTATCAGTGTGCAAAGATCAGCCACAAGACCTGGGTTCTGGAGACCGTGTGCTCTTCCTCTAACTCTCCATGGGATCCCAGAACACATAATCATTGTCTGGGCCTTGTTTCTCCATCTGTTCCTTCTCCTCTAAGCGCCTTGGATTTTAGGACCCGCTAGGAGACACACTTGGTTTCTAGGGGGTGTGCCCCCCACTCCAGGAAGCCCCATGATGCAGCAGCAGATGAGACCCTCCAGAGGGGAACCCAAAGGCCATCTCTTGGTCAGATGTAGTTAAATTCTCCCTGCTGGGCCCAAATGCTGAAGGCTGTGGTCGGTGCCACCCCCTGTTATGTGGCTGTGGGTGCCATGGGCATTTGGTAAGTGTGTCCTGGTGAAGATGGCAGAAACCAAAGGGACAGCAAGGGTCTGAGAAGGCGCAGTCCTTTCAGAGCCCTGCCGACTCTTTCCAAGAGAAATAGTGGCTGTAATATTTTTTAAAAGGGTTGGCTGCTTCCAACAACTGTCTGCTTGTTCTTGGAGCTGGAATTTATTTTCTCTCTCACCAGTGGCCTGGAATGCCTGGCAAAACCAAGTTTCAGAGGGCAAGGACAAGGTAGCAATGGATCTAAAATGATCACGTAGGGGCCCACAATCAGGGCAACCTAGAAAGAGCTGGACACATGGATCTTGTTGCTGGATAGCAATGCTAAGCTGGTGGCTGCCATGGGATTCAGTCTCTCCTTGCTGTGTGGAAAAATACAGGCTTCCATGTGAGGATCAGGCCCCAGGCTCCCTACATGCCACAGGTTAAGGCCCTCCTTGTAAAGCCTTTCAATTTAGGATGACTTATCAGGAAAAACTGTTCGCCATGTTGGTCAGGAATCACCGATCGATCATTCCACCCCATCATGAAGACATTAGTAACTAGAGCACGAGTGCAGGGGCTCAGACTCACCCGGTTTCCCTTGTCCCCGGGTGGTCCATGTAAACCCTGCAAGAGATCAGAGGAAGAAAGGCATGTTAATGAGGACACACAGGCCAGCTGTACAGTGCTTTCTTCCAGGCTCATCAAACTCTCCCAATGCCTCACTCACTGGAGACAGGTTTAGTTATTCCCACTACACGGAAAGGGGACAGAGAAGCAAATCGCTAAGAAAACCTGACCTAGAGGCAAATGATGAGTTCTGGGCAAAGCCAAGAACACACTTCAGGCTGGGCACGGTGGCTCACGCCTGTAATCCCAGCACTTTGGGAGGCCGAGGTGGGCGGATCACGAGGTCCAGAGATCGAAACCATCCTGGCCAACGAGGTGAAAGCCCGTCTCTATGAAAAATACAAAAATATCAGCTGGCCGTGGTGGTGGGCACCTGTAGTCTGAGCTACGCTGGAGGCTGAGGCAGGAGAATCGCTTGAACCTGGGAGGCTGAGGTTGCAGTGAGCCGAGATCATGCCACTGCACTCCAGCCTGGCGACAGAGTGAGACTCCGTCTCAAAACAAAAAACAAAAAACAAAAAAACACAGTTCTGGTTTTCTCACCTCTCCAGCCCAGGTCCTGGCCTGTGGCTGGGTTTTCCCGAGGTCACTACCGCAGGTGAGGGGTCAGTTCTGAGGATGCGCTTGTGGGGGCCAGGAATGCTCTAGGCAGAGGGGAGTTCCCAAGGCTCTCCTGCCAGGCTCTTGCTAGACCCTCTTTTCAAGGTGCAAAATGCTCTTCATTCTACAGCTAGGGGAATTTAGCATGAGACAAGCCTGGCCCAGATGTGCGTACCTGGCCAACACACACAGCCTCCAGTGGATGGGAAACTAAAGTGCGGGCTCTCTCAGGCAGACACTCAACTTCTGTAACACAGTGGTGGGAAAGCATGCCGTGATGGAAAGCCAGGTGTCCCCTGCAAGGCCCAGCTGCTCCGCTCATGAAGCCTCTCCTATCACAGGGGTCTGGATTTGATTCTGCCCCTTCTGAGGGCAGGGGCCATGGCGCACACATTGCTGAGGGCAGGCTGCACTTAACACAGTGGGAGGGGCTACATCCCATTACAGGGTCCCCATGGCAGAGGCCCTGGTCCTCTCACAGCGCAATGCCCAGCAGGGCATGCTAGCCTATCACCAGTTGCCTCTTGGCAGCTTTGTCTGTCATGGAAATGAGAGTTCTCCCTTGGCCCTGGATTTGTGCTCCAGGCCCTAGGTGATTTTTTTTTTTTTTTTTGGTTTGTGTGTTCGTTTTTTTGAGATGGAGTCTCGCTCTGTCACCCAGGCTGGAGTGCAGTGGTGCGATCTCGGCTCACTGCAACCTCCACCTCCTGGGTTCAAGAGATTCTCCTGCCTCAGCCTCCCGAGTAGCTGGGATACAGGTGCGCACCACCACACGTGGCTAAGTTTTGTATTTTTAGTAAAGACGGGGTTTCACCGTGTTGGCCAGGATAGTCTTGATCTCCTGACCTCGTGATGCGCCCGCCTCGGCCTCCCAAAGTGCTGGGATTACAGGTGTGAGCCACCATGCCCGGCCGGCCGTGGGTATTTCTAATGGGGGCAGGGGTGGGAGGAGAGGAACCTCTGATCCCAAGAGACTCACAGGAAGCCCAGCTGCTCCCGTTGGTCCTGTCATCCCAGGGTCTCCTTTGCTGCCCTGAAATGGGAGAAAGAAATGCATGAATCCTGCCAGACACGGTAACAATCTTCCTTGCCATTTTCTACTTTGGTATGAAATACAGGAAACCTCTCCAGTCCCCTCAAGAGCCCTCCGGGAAGCAAGGGCTATGGGAAAGGTGGGGTGCTGCTGATGCGAACACTGCCTTGGGGAGGGGGCTCAGAAGCCCCCCTCACTCTCCCTCCAGCAGAGCCTATCCCCCAAGGCCTCCCAGAATGACCCGTGGTGTCCTGGGCCTGGCTGGCCTGAGGCTGAAACAGGGGCGAAGAAAGCAGGGCAGGAAGGCAGGGAAAGAGAAAGGGAAGAGAAAGAGAGCTTTGCTTTCTTCTCCAGAGCCTCAAGGGTCACCTCTCAGAGCAGCCTCCTGGTTTCCCCAAGCTGGTGGTCACGGAGAAGCTTGTGCCCTCTGCAGAAGCTCCTGCCCTCCCCACCTGAGACAGAGCCAGCAAGGTGGGCGGATGGGGAGTGCAGGGAGCTGCCCACACAGGCAGAGAACTCGACGGATGCCCACACAGGGACCTCCGAGCCCTGAGTGTGTAGAACCCAGGGGCTGGCTGGGAAGAGCTGATATAGAAAGACACAGCTCCCCTGCCTCCACTCAGCTGACACCCTCCACCCTCACCCTCGGACATGCCCATTCCAGCAGGACAGGCCAGGAACTGCAAGTCCTGTGACATGGCCAACGTCCATCGACAGCGACCGTGGGAGCCTGGCCTATGGCTCTGGCCTCCTGACTTCCTGCTGTCCTCGAGGAATTATCTAAACACCACCTGGCCCTCTGTTCCATGCAGTTTCCCTAAATCATTACAAAGTTTAGGCATGTCCAGTGACAATGGCGCCCAGGGCCTTGCCAAACTGAACCTGAGATGGACACAAGGTGGCCAGAAGCCAAAGTGGAGGAAGTTCTCCAATTCCTTTTTTTTTCTTTTCCTCTTTTTTCTTTTTCTTTTTCTTTCTTTCTTTCTTTTTCTTTTTCATTTTTTTTTTTATAGAGATAAGGTCTTGCTCTGTCTCCTAGGCTGGAGTGCAGTAATATAATAATGGTTCACTGCAGCCTCCACTTCCTGGGCTCAACTGATCCTCCTGCCTCAGCCTCCCAAGTAGCTAGGACTAGAGGTGTGCACCATCATGCCTGGCTAATTTTAAAAAAATTTTTTGTAGAGTCTGGGTTGCGCTATGTTGTCCAGGCTGGTCTCAGACTCCTGAGCTCAAGTGATCCTCCCAACCTGGCCTCCCAGAGTGTTGGGATTACAGGTATGAGCCAACGTGCCCGGCCTCTCCATCTCCTTGATCCCTCCAAGTCTTGTCAACTCATAGCTACACAACCAGCACCCCCTGTCCCAGGCTGCTGTGAGGATGACCAGGAGAAGAGATGGAAGAAGGAAGGCATGAGGGCTGAGACCCCTGGTGTTGGGTCCCAGGCATGCCTCTCCCTCCTGGCCGCCCAGGCCCCTGGCTCAGTGACACTCACCCTCTCGCCCTTTGGTCCCGCTGGGCCTGGAACTCCAATTGGTCCTGGAGTACCCTGGGAAGGGGAAAGAAAGCAGAGGTGAGGGTCCCCACACTCTGGGGAGCCCTGGGTGCCCCACCTGATGCCTAGAGATGAGCAAGGTCCAAGGCCCAGTTTTCAGAGTTGGCGAGGCCAGGCTCGTTCAGGGCAGTCATTCGACTGGGCCGTGATCCTCTTTGGGTTCAGGGGCTGTTGGGGAGAGAGCACCTCCCCATGCCTCAGAGCCAGATTTGTGGACTGAAACCCTTTTGCTTCACAACCAAGCTTGCCAAGGCTGAAAACAATGGGAGAATGGTTGCTTAGTTTTGCTCCCAGAAGCACTTGGGAGGGAGTGGACCCATCCCGGGGCAGGGGCCGGGGGCTGGCACCCTCTTTGCTTTGCAGCTCCACATGCAGCGGGAGGGTCTTCATGCCACAGAGATGGATGCGGATGCACACACAGGGGCAGACGAGAGAGGGTTGTTCAGCCAACACCCACCCCACCGGCCCACCGCAGACCCACAGCCCTGGCCTCAGTCTCTGGCCGGGGCCTTCTCGCCCCACTCACAGGCCTGCGGAACTGGCTGGATCGGGGGGTGAATTAGGGTGCCTCAATGTCTGCACCGACACCGGCCTGGCAGGGAGGCGTGTCATGAGCTCTGCTAGCCCGGGGCTGGGGGCGCTGGAGCCATTGGAGCTCACGGCTTAGACATGGAGCATCAGGGCTTGCTCTGGCCTCCTCCAACATCTTCCCACGTTCCCAGTTCACAGCCTGGCCAGACCAAGTCTCTAGTTCAGCGTCTCCTGTTGTTGGCCTCAGATGAGGACAGGAGGAGTTGACTTGGGCTGTGGACAGTTTCCTGTGCTCTGAATGTATCTGTGAATGGCGGGGCATGACTTACTTCACGTGAGACAAAGAGGGGAGTAAGATGTCCTCAGGGCCCCCCTTTGCAACCACAAGGAGGGAAGGAAGGCTGCAGGCATCCATAATAGCACAGCAGAAAGAAAAAGGAGGCTGGGCGCAGTGGCTCACGGCTGTAATCCCAGCACTTTGGGAGGCCGAGGCGGGTGGATCACCTGAGGTCAGGAGTTCAAGACCGGTCTGGCCAACATGGCGAAACCCCAACTCTACTAAAAATACAACATTTAGTCCGGCATGGTGGTGGGTGCCTGTAATCCCAGCTACTCGGGAGGCTGAGGCAGGAGAATCGCTTGAAACCCGGAGGTGGAGGTTGCAGTGAGCCAAGATTGCGCCACTGCACTCCAGCCTGGGTGACAGAGCGAGACTCTGTCTCAAAAACAATAAGGAGTCAGCTCGGGCCAGTGGTTGGGCACAGCGCCACGGAGTCATGTGGCTGGCCTTGCCTCGGAGGCCTACAAACTCCTGGGTATTGGAGAAGCTCCTTAGCCTTGCCGAGTGTCGGTTTCCCCGTCTGTACCACGTGTGTCTGCCTCCTTGACCGTGCCAGGTTTCCATGCATGAATGCGTAGCAAGCATTTGGTGCTGAGCCTGACGCGTAGGAAGTGCTCAATAAATGTTAATATTGGCAGGGAAGGCTTATTTTTTTTCCCCACATTTTCCCTTAAAGTTAGGATACTGATTTTATGAGGAAAATAAAGACTCAGTTCCTAAGGGACAGAGTGTATGAATTTGTACTGCTTCCCTCGGTCTAACATAAAAGGGAGAAGCCATTGAGAGGAAAGTCTTGGTTTCTCTGATTGCAACCACAGATCATCCCCGAGCCCTGCCCGCACCTGAGACAGGTTTGCTAGGTGGGGAAGGATGGAGAGGGAGGGACTGTGGCGAAGGAGCAAAGCCATAATAACTCCTGGAAGCCAGGGCATGCTCTCTGCATGTAAGGGTTTACAGTGTGAACTCCATCAGTGCAGGGAGGTGGGGGGCTCTGAAGAAGTCTGTCATCTTGGGCAAGCCATGTCATCTCCTATTTATGAGGGCACAGAATAGGCATTCAGTAGGATGGGGCTCTCACAGAGGTCTATCTTGACCCTCCTACCTCTAAAAGCTCTGGGCTTCTCTTGGTGCCGGTTGCAAGTGCCCCCGGCCACCTGGGAAGACCTGTGAGCCTGTGCTTCAGTGTGTCCCCTACGCTGCACACATGAACCCTGGCAAGGTCTCGCCTCCCCTGAGGGTGGCTCCAGCCAGCTAACTAGAACTCCATGCAGGCCATGGGCAGATGTGGCCTTGAAAGCCCTCTGCAGGACAGAGCAGGGCCTCCCTGGCTGGAAGGGGCTGGGTGCACAGAGCTCTCGTGATGGTGTCCGAGCAGGGACTCGAGACTTGAGGGCGAGTGAGCTCAATACCCTGGGAAGGTTGACCTCAGAGGGCGCTCACGGGAGGGACCGGAGGTGGACAGGAGGGAATTTTCCTCTGATCCTTCAGTTGTTAGTCATAAGCAGAAGGGCCAGGTGCTTTCTAGTCAATAGTAAATGATGCCTGTTTTCTGGAATCAGAAAGAATGGAGGAAGAGAGGACCCAAGTGTGCCTCACTTGCTCTGTAGTGAACTGCCATGTTGGGTTGCAGGGCGACTGTGCTGTCATAGGCAGTGCAAGGGTGGTTAGAACGTGCATAAGACACAGAGCTGGGACTGGCTTCTATGCTTCTGCAGGCTACTCCTGTCCTCAGCCTTCAAAGCTGTCCTACCCCACATATACCAGACTGGTGGCTGCACAAGACTAGGAGGCCCTCGTGGGAAGACAGGAGATGGACAGAGCTCACAGCATGAAGACAACACAGCATGACGGGCACACACAGACACTGGTGTGTTTGGTGGGGAGAGGCCATGGCTCAAACCTCCAGGGCTGGGCACCCAGGCTGGACTCAGCATTCCTGTGGAATCAGGAGCGGTGCTGCTGGAGTGGCCTCCCACCCCACACCTGGCAGGTTTGAGGTCCCTGGGTGTATTCTGTGGACAGGGGCATTCAGATGAAGGCCAGCCATATTTGGTCAAGAGGCCAGAAAAGGCACTTCAGAGCATCAGTGGCACCTTTCTGGTGTCGGAGGTGGGACCAGGCATGATTCACTGGGAAAATGAGGCCACAGTGGGACAGACAAAAGGGATCACAGGCCAGGTGTGGAGTGGAGTGGGGTGAGGGGTGATGGAGAAGTGACACTCACCGGTGGCCCAGGCCTGCCGTCCAAACCTGAAGCTCCCTGGACGAAGGGCACAGTTTGACCAAAAGAAGGGGAAGAGAGGATTGGGAGGGAGAAAAAGGGAACAATGGGGAGGGAAGAGGTGAGTAAAGCAGTGACTCTGGACAGACATAAATGCTGGTAATCAAACACAACTGGAGAAATAAGCTTGGGAGGACACGGAATGGTATTTACATGGAAACCAACGAAAACATGGAGACACTGAATGCAGTGGCTGGCTGCTGAGCAGGCTGGGTGGAGGTCGGCGCAGATGGCCACCTGCTCCTCCCGCCCCCCTTCTCCTCTCTCCCTTTATTCCCTCTCAGAAACCCCTCTCCCTTCAGTGTTATGGGGAAAGGGATACAGAAAGGAATGCTTAGAGAGATGTCTTGGAATCAGAGCTGTGCACCCTTCCCAGGACAGGTTTCACTGGGGAGGGGCCCCAGGTGAGGACGGCTCTCCCAGCCTCTTTGCATTCCTGTTTGGATCAGGCCATGCTGGGGTGCCCCTGAGGGTCTCAGCCCTGGGTGACAGCACCCAGTTGTGAAATCTGGGTAGGAGTTGTTCTGCTTATCCTTCACCCTGGGGGAATGAGTTGGCTCTTAGATGATATTACAAATGATGCCTGACATTTCGCTGGCACTTTACAGTCTGAGATGCTCAACCTAAACTCGATCCATTCATATGCTCCCAGACAAGGGCTCTTGTGTAGGCAAAGGCTTTGGAGGCAGCGGCCTGGGACAGAGGTCTAAGGCCATGTATTTCCCAGAGCAAATGGGCAGCAGGTGGGAAGCTACTGAGACCAACCTGCTATCAGCACCCTTACTTGCTCTTGTCCAGTGAAATACAAGGTTGGTGGGTCGGGGGTGGGGTGGCACTCCTGTTCCAACCCTGGGTTATGAAGCTGCCTCTGAAACCCACCCAGGAAAACCCAGGGACCCTTTTCTAATGATTCCAATGTGACAAGTCAGGGAGAAGGCAGCGGCAATACTCTGGCCTGGTAAGGACTGAGTGCTTGAAAACTGCTTCCAACTGAGCCTCAGCCTCAGAATTTCAAATGAAAAGGAAGTCCCAAGAAGGAGGCAACGAGCTGCTGCTTCATGGAAAAGGTGTTGGGTAGAAGGACTCTGCAGGGACTCTTCTCAGATTTAGGACCACACGATTCTGGGACCGACCTTGACTCACTGGGCTAGAGAGCTGTGGTTCTCAGCCCTGGCAGCACATTAGAATCTCTTGGGGGCAATGTTAAATAAAACAGATGCCTGGGTCCCACCCCATCCCAGCCCGATGCAATTCAAAATCTCCAAGAGTGAAGCCCGGGGTGATGGTGAGTTTGAAAAGCTCTCAGGGGATTCCAGTGTGCAGCCAGCATTGAGAATTGCTTCTGCAGGGCAAATGGGGGAACACTCCAGGATATGCCTGGAGAAGCAGGCTGCTACTACATAGAATAAAACATCCAGGTGAAACCTGGAAACAGAATGGTAGCTAAATATCCATGTACTTTAAAAAAATGCAGCATTAAAACTCAGTTGTCTTGAGAGGTCTGGAGCAGAAAGCACAAATTAGAGGCTTTCAGGCCATATGTGGGCCACTGACATATTTTTTATGGTCTGCAGTGTTGCAAATAATTTTGATCTAATATTAGAAAATGGAAAGATTTCACATAAAACACCAGATGTTTAACTTCCTTTGAAAAATAGGAAGATCCAGAAATACCAGCTCCGCCTTCCTCCAAGGCAACAGTCAGCTGAGCTGAGAAGGGACGGTTCCCCTTAAGAAGGGATACACGGTCTCTAGTGCACCACAGTCCCCTCCACTCCCTAGTGTCTCCCTCAGGTTTGTGTCAGTTGTCTCATATGAATGCTTGTTCTGTTGTTTACTTAAACTAAAAAAAAATACTTCTCTGTACCCATGCCTCTATCAAAAGTGAGAAAATTAATGATAGAGTAGGTACTTTGTCTTTCATCTGGCACTTTCCTTGTTTATATTAATATTACCTGTTTGGTCGCTGTGCCTTTTGCATTTCAACCCCTGACTGAATTCTCGAGTGTTCATCAAGGTCGTTGGGGCCATGAATGTGGATAAGAAGAGGTTTGTGGTTGAGTGGGGCAGGAAGGCTCTTTAATAGTAAGGAGCACTTAATCATTCCAGACACAGCTTAAGACATGGGAAAATGCCTGCTAAAGTCATCAGTTTTCTGTAGTCTGTCAAGCAGATTGGCTTCTTAAATATTCCTACCTCGAATGCATTCATGAGGGTATAATTATACCTCCTGCATTTGCTGTTTGGTTGCTGTGATTGTATTAACCAGGCCTTCAAGCTCTGCCAAGCGGGGGTAACTGGGCTTTCCATTGTTTCTCTGCTCTTTATGGCTACCTGGGGTGGGAACTGGCCTTGAGCCCAGGACAGAGGAAGCCTGAGTGGCTGGAAGGAGTCGCTTTGCAAGGCCATGGCCTCAGATCAGCCTCTGGCTTGGCCACCAACTTTGTATGTGACCTCCAGTGACCCACTTTCTTCTCTGGGACCATCAGTGAAATGATGGGATGGATCGCTAACATCCCTTCCAGCTCTTGGAAGAATGCCAACCTCAGTGGAGGGTTAGGGGGCATGGAGCCCGGGCTCCAGGGAGGGTGGTGGGATGCGCTCACCTGTACACAGGTGAGGCAGTGAAGAGGCCATCAGCCCTATCCAGCCCAGCCCCATATCATGACATGTGAACACCTTCTGAGCAGCTCCCCACCTCTGACCTGGGGCTTCTGGCTCTGGGCAGGCTGAGATCAGAGATCTCCACGAACCCAGGAGATGAACGGCCTTGGCCTGCTGGGACCACAAAGTCTGACTTTGTCTGTGCCTTTCTGCAATGACCAGTGCTTAAGAGGGGGGAGCAAGAGTTCTCTTGGGGTCCCTCTGGGAAAATGGACTGTAATGGAGACTATCTTCTTGTCCCACTACTTCCAAACCCTCCAAGCTTGGCCCCGTAAAGGCAGCAGGCTTTGATTGCTTCTGAACCAGGCTCAAGCAGGGCCTGAAGCTGCCCTCCCAGCTCAGTGCCCCTTGGGGTGGGGGAGCCTGTCTTCTTCAGCATTGCCTTTCCCCAGCACCAAGGTGGGGCCTGGGCCCAGAGGAGGAAGAGAATCAGAGCCTGTGGTCTTGCCCAGGTGGGAAAGACAAACCACATGGAACTCTGGATGCTCAGACTCTAGAACCTTAGCTTTCCGCTGGCTGTCCCCCAGTCCCAGCCCACACCCCTGGCCCATCAAACCCACCAGTCTTGCTGGGTCCAAGGTACTTACGGGTAGTCCCAGGGGACCACGGTCTCCTTTTTCTCCCTGGAAGCCTTTCTCTCCTTTTGCTCCATCTAGTCCTGCTTCCCCCTGGAGGAAAGGGAGAGGGGACGAGATCACACAAGGACATGTCCCAGACAATTCATTCTTGCATTCTGGGGTCCTGGAGGCTGGGGTGGCATTTGTAGAGGAAGGAGGGGTCAGGGTGGCAGGCTGAGGATACCAAGAATCCCTGAATTCTTAGCCTACTCTCGCCTCAGTTAGTAGCCCCTGTATCCTGTGGGAGCTTTGAGAGCCCCACAGAGAAAAGGACTAGGTGGCCTGGGGACAAACCCACAGGTCAGGCCTTGGCACAGGTGCCCAACTGCATGGCAGGAGAATGGGAACCTTACAGAGATTTGCTCAGATGCCTGAGATGCTACCTCCAGAGCCCTGAGGCTCACAGCCTAGTCGGGAGAACAAACTGCCCCGAAGTCTCTTGAATACCAGGGCATGAGGAAAGGGCCATTGTCACATCAACAGCCCCCAGCCCCCTCATCCATTTGAAATGGTTCAGGGGAGGCCGGGAGAGCCCAGTGCAGAGTCCCCCCAAGCTTGACCCAGGGAGGGGTCCCACCCTATGTTGCTGTCTCTCTCCCACCTCTACTCGGCATGAGTGAAGGGGCCAGGGCAGGTTTGATGGGAAAAGGATTTTAACCATTGGCTAAGAATCTAACCTGTCCCTTTGTGGGGTGACAGATGGGAAGCTTCTGAAGCCAAAGCACACCAGGTGTCAATGATGGATGCTAAAGGGAATCTAGGACTTCCTCCTGCCCTGACTGGACCCCCTTGGCTGGAGTGTCACCTAATGCCTTCTAGGAAAAAGGGTCAGCTGGTCTCAGGTGCACTTTCCCTCTTTTCTACTAGCACTGACACAGCGCCTGTCATGTGACTTCTCCTTACCTTTGGTCCAGGAACACCTTGGAGCCCCTGCATTTGGAATAAAGCAAGGTGCATTAGAACTGCATCTCTAGTTAACACAACTGCCTAGTCCACAAATGGATCACAGAAGAACAAGGGTTTTGGGTGCAGAGTATGGTTTGGGGTCCCTGCCCATGAGAGGTAGAAAGAAATGCTAAGTGGGGGTCATGCTTGGGGCTTCCTAGGGAATAGTCTGAGCCAGTCTTTTCCAGCCAGGGCTCACAGAAAATCTCTCTGTGGTCCTCATGGTTGACCCAGAGTCTCATGAAAGAAAGACACGGAGGTAACACAGCAAACATTAAATTAATACAGGCAAAGTGCTTGGAACAGTGTCTAGCATCCAATAAGTTTCAATAAACGCTGGCTCCTATCATTATTCCTACTGCTACTTCTACCATCCACAACAGAGGACACACAGTGCCTTGGGGACCATGAACCACACAGAGGCATGGGCCAGCATCTGTTGCTTCAGGGTGCTTGGGGGCCCTCTAGGGGTGATGCACAGGGGCCCCATGGTTACATTTCTGTAGCCAAGGAAAGCCAATCCAGTGGGGCTGGGGCTCGCCCTTCCTTCCTTCCTTTCCTTTCCTTCCTTCCTTCCTTCCTTCCTTCCTTCCTTCCTTCCTTCCTTCCTTCTTTCCTTCCTTCCTTCCTTCCTTCCTCCCTTCCCTCCTTCCCTCCCTCCCTCCCTCCCTTCCCTCACTCCCTCCCTCCCTCCCTCCTCCCTCTCTTTCTCTCTTTTTCTTTTTTTTTGAGACAGGGTCTCACTCTGGTTGCCCAGGTTGGAGTGCAGTGGTGCCATCTTGGCTCACTGCAGCCTCGATCTCTGGGGCCCAGGTGATTCTCCCACCTTAGCCTCTTGAGTAGCTGGGATTACAGATGTGTGCCACCACGCCCAGCTAATTTTTTGTATTTTTAGAAGAGACAGGGTTTCATTATGTTGCCCAGGCTGGTCTCAAACTTCCGGACTCAAGCGATCCACCTGCCTCAGCCTCCCAGAGTGCCAGATTGGTATCACGGGCGTGAGCCACTGTGCCAGACCGGTGAGTCACTTTCAAATGAGGAATGGGAGAAGCAGATGTTTGATGGCAAAGGGTGAGGTAAATGTTGGGCAGAGCTTAGAGACAAGGGACCCTGGGGCTGCCCTACCAGTCAGCTATTTCCAGGAAACCAGGCAATGCCTGGGCTCCTTGGTGTCCCCAGTATGGTGCTGTTTAACATGGGAGGGAAAAGGAGCGGGGAGGGGTTTGTAGACCAGAAAATCCCTCCCTGGGAGGAAGAGGTGATAGTGACTAAGGCTGAGGTTGAGCCCAGTGACTGCTGTGGAGAGGGGACATTAGTGGACTGGCCACTGACAAGCCCTCCAAACTTACCGGAGGTCCGGGAGGCCCCTCTGGCCCTGGCAGCCCAGGAACCTAAAAGCCAAAGGGGAGCCCTGTTACATTTGAAGTGGCCCTCCCTCCTGATAGGGCCTAGAGCCCAGCTGGAGACTGCAAGGCCAGAGGAGGACATGGCTGCCCACTGGAGGTCAGCCAGTGACTGCCCAGCACAGTATCCCCCAAAAAAGGCTCAGAACAGGTCAAAAACTCATAGCAACCCGGTGGACTGCTCAATGTTGAAAAAGCAAATTTCCAGGAACTGTCCCTAAAGATCTATTCTTCCAGATTTTTCTTGGAAAAAAAAAAACAAAAAAAACACCAGAAGATCTAGCAGCACTAGGTTCTTGTTCATGCATGGCAACAACAGCCTGGAGTGGAATTAGAGCTTTCCCCTCTAGGTGGGGCATGACACCTTCAGTTTACCCCAGTCCTCACCACTCCTTATTGTCTTTGATCCAGCGCTCTTGCAGTCACTTTTTGCAGGCCTGACCCTTGTAGACATTTGAGTTTGAGACCCTTGGCTTAGAGAAGCAGAGATTGGTTATCTGGAATGTGGGGAGACTGAGCTGTTCCTGGAGATTGCTCCTCAAGTCCCCAAGGTTTGTTACAGACAGGATGGGGACTGCTGGTCTCTGTTTCCCTTGAGAGCAGATGCAGATTGTGCTAGAGGAGATTCTGACTGGACAGTGAAGATGGAGGAGCTCAGGGCTGCCTCCTCTACAGAGGGTGGTGCCCATTGCAGCTTCTGTCTCTGATGAACACACACATCCTTTCATCCACAGGCAGCCACTGCTGGGTCCTTCTGAGCTGCTCACCCCGCCTCGGCTTCAGGGCTCTCCTCAGGTGCCTCGTCTTCCCAGGGGTAGAATTCCCTGGAGCATGGCCAGGGGAGTGACTCCTGTGCCAGGCCACGACAGAGGGCACCCCTACACTGGGCAGACAGGAGGTCCCTATTGTTTCCTGGACCTGTGGACTTTGTCGCTCCATCACAGTCTCCTTGGAGGGAACACAGTCTTTGGAAACTCTGCCTTCTTAAAAAAAGCTTCCCATTTTTAACAAAAGTTTACCATTTTAATTCTTATTATAAGTAAGTGGTTTATGTATCCTAATCATGGTATTGGTTATACAAATCTCTACATGCATTAACATTCACAGAACTGGACACATTCCAGAAGAAGTCAATTTTACCTGGGTGGTAATTTTAAAAATAATAAAAAGAATAAAAAGAATTTTTAAAATTTTCTTTAAAGAGAAAATTTAAACATTTTCTTGATGTATCAGATGTGCTTGAATATATGTATATACTTTTGATATTTACATATAATATGTGTAGAATTGTATATACATATATGTATATGCTTATGATTTCATATATGTATAAAATTTCGTTTTCAACTCTTTTTCACTTACTGTGAAACTGATGTTTCCATTTTTTATATGTTCGCCACCAGCTTCCTGGTAACGGTGCTGTGCTATTCACTGGGTGGAGTGAAAATGAGTTGTTACATACCCAGGGCTTAGTGCGGTGCTTGGCACGAGGGAAGTGCTCAGACGTGGTGACTATTATTACTATTAGTATTATTACTATAAGTTATTTAATCCTTTCCTTCTTGATAAAATTTAGAGTGTTTCTAATGTTTATTTTAAATACTTCTTGGAGGGACAATGTGCGTATAATGCTTTTCCTGAATTAGGATCATTTCTTTAGGAGGCTATCCATTTCGAAACAAGTACCATACACATTGTACAATCAGGCCTGTTTCACTACATTCAGACGGGGCTTGGCAAGGTGAACCCACCCTGATGGGGACTGAGAAGGCTTGGTGGTCTCTCCCATGGGTCTGAGGTGCTATTTGGGTTGCCCAGACCCCGCCACCAAACATCCTGTCTCTCACGCATCCTTGATCTCCGTTGCTTTCCGGGTTCTTGCCCCTGAGCCCGCAAATATGCCTGATTCTCTGCTGTCTTTTGAAAACCTTGCCTCCATCCTGACTATTCTCACTCAGCCATTCTGTTTTCTCTTCCTTTCACCACACTTCTCAAAAGAATAATGCCTCTATCTGGAAAGCCTACCTCTGAAACTTTGTGGCAAACTCCTACAAAGCCGTCAAGACTCTGCCCAAATAGAAAGTCTTTTGGGATGCTTGCCCGATTCCCTGAGTTGCTCCCATGCTAGTGCCCATTATGGGGTATTGTGAGCTGTGGAGGGATGGTTCTGTTTTTTTTTTTTTTTTTTTTTTTTTTTTTTTTGAGGCAGAGTCTCACTCTGTTGCCCAGGCTGGAGTGCAGTGGCACAATCCTGGCTCACTGTAACCTCTGCCTCCTGGGTTCACGTGATTCTCCTGCCTCAGCCTCCCGAATAGCTGGGATTATAGGCACCTGCCACCACTCCTGGCTAATTTTGTATTTTTAGTAGAGATGGGGTTTCACCATATTGGCCAGGCTGGTCTCAAACTCCCGACCTCAGGTGATCCGCCTGCCTCAGCCTCCCAAATTGCTAGGATTACAGGCGTGAGCCACCGTGCCCGGCAAGTTCTGTTTATTTTCGTATCTCCAGACTCTAGCACCAGGATGGAAGCATGGGAGGTGCTCTGTGAAGGTTGCTGAGAGATGTGGTTTGGGAAGACTGGAGCAGTCCAGAGGATCAGTGCCTGACCTATGGTGGTGCTCAGTAAACGTAAACATCAGGCAGTTGCAAGCTTCATTCTAAAGCACAGAAATACTGTGCATGCTGCAGAGACTGTCGCTTGATGAGTCTCTGTCAAATTATCTCTCATGTACCTCTGCTCCTGGATTGCCCTTCTCCCCGGCTTCTCCTTTCTCTCCCTGTGGGCACAAAACACCACTGCATGAATGCCAGCCCTTGTGAAAGCCTGGGACAGACGCACCCTCACATCTGTGACAAACTAGACTGGGACGTGACTGGTCTAGGGGTCAACAAGGAACACCATGGAGGATGTGGAGGTGTCAGCCTGCAGGACAGAATCTGAGGCTCTAGTACAGGGGAGGAGAGGCTGATACTCTCTGTGGACTCTGCAGCGTACAGGCCTTAGGGTGACCTGTGACTTGTTTCTTAGCCGTGGAGTAAGGCACATGGCAAAGGTGGTGGGACCTCACTTCTATGATTATGTTGCAGATTATAACATACATGTCATACAGATGGTGACATATAACATATATTAAGATTATGTTACAAATATGTTACATGAACACACAAACACACGTGCACACAGCTCTGTCTTGCTAGCACTAGACACTAGAGAGACCCTACTGCTGGCCTTGTCCTTGAAGATGCCAGTTGCTATAATGTGAACTGTCTACTCTGCGGGAGGTGGGGAGGGCAGGGGCGCAGGTGGCAGGAACTGTAGGTGGCCTCTAGGAGCTGAGTTCTGTTCCAGCAAGGAACTGGATTCTGCCAATACCAGTAGCTTGGAAGGGGATCCCTAGCTCCAGATGAGAATACAGTTGGCTGAGACATTAATTGCAGCCTCATGAGACCATGGGCAGAGGACCCAACTAGGATGTGCCTGAATTCCTGACCCACAGAAACTATGTGCCAATAAGTGTGTATTTTCTTAGGCCGCTACGTTTGCAGTGATTAGTTATGCAGCAATAGATAATAAATATGGCTCCAGAGGCCAGAGGCTCTGAGGGGTCAACTCGGGGAGGCTGACAAGGGAGCTTCCACACCATATCCAGGAATGCTCCCTCCATCCTGGGGCTGCCCCATGGTGCAGTGGACAGGTCTGGAGGCAGTGAGCTGCCTGCCTGTGCCGGTTGAGTGAGGAGTCCTGCACTGGGTCAGACTTGGGACTGGTTGACCTCTGAGGCTCTTTCCACTTCCTAGAGGAGAATTCTGAGACCAAGATTCTAGCACCGTCGAACTAGGTTGGTGCTCCTAGAGGCCATCATACCGTGAGCCAAGGAAGATGCAACTCCTGTTTACACTCAAATGAAGTAGCTGCTTGTTAAGAGGACCCTCCCTGCCTGCTCCCAGGCTGGGTCGGCAGGCTTGGGATTAGGGCAGCCTCGTCACAGTGTCAGGCACCCACTAGGCTGGTGGCCCCCAGGAGGACCCTCATCTGTGGCTGCCTGCAGGCAACCTTGACACCCAGCCCTCTGGCTTCACTGTAAACCTCAGGAGCCCAGCTGGATTAGGCAATCCTGCCACTCTGGGTCTGCTCTGGCCACCATGTTCTCCTCTCCCCAGTTGGGCCATCTAGACCCTACAGACTGACAATGATTTCTGTTAGTGGAGCTCAAGGTGGTCTTGCTGAGTGTGACCAACTGTGGCCTGCACAGGATGTGGCTCCCTTGCTCCAAGGGTAGGTGTCTAGGATGGCACCCATTTCACAGATGGAAACCCCTGAGACCCAGAGAAGGCCCCTAAGTCAAGTTAGCAGCCTAGTGGACTGGGCGAAGGCCCCGTTTCTGTACATGCAGCCTCTCCCGGGTATAGGGCTTCTGTACACTTTCCAAAGAGGCAGCTCTAAACCATGTCTTCATCTCTTTCCCAACAATCCAGTGAGGTATCCAGGGAAAACATTATTATCGCCAGTTTAGAGATGAGGAGACGGAGACTCTGCAACAGTGAGTGGCTTTCCCAAGGATACAGATGACAGAGCACAACTCAGGTCTCCTGAGTCGGGAAACTGGCCTTCATAAAGTGAGTGACTTGAGGGGAAGCTGAGTGAATCCTCCACCCCTAAGCCCTGGCCCCAGGTTTCTAGCCCAGGCAGCAGCTCACATCATGCAAAGTGCAAAGCCCTGCAAAGCTGGCGTCATGCTTGGGAGTGGTGTATGCACGGAAGGGCAGCCAGCCCTGCCACTCACCGGTGAGCCTGCTTGTCCTGTCTCCCCTTTTTCCCCCTTCTCTCCTGGGCTCCCTGGGTGCCCGTTTTCTCCCTTCACTCCTGGAGGTCCATCCTTTCCTGGGGGGCCTTGGGGACCAGGAGGGCCCATGTCTCCTGGTTTACCGCGAGGTCCCTTTAGAAAATACCAAAAACGCTTCTTAGACACATTAATGGAGAAAAGAGGAGAGAGGGAGAGAGAGTAGAAAAGTCCAAAGGCCTTGGCTCTTTGGTGCTTGTCTGGGGCAGGCAGAGACAGCCCAGCCTGGGTCTGCCTGGCTCCTCCTGGGGCTTGCAGGGTGGGCCCCTCTCCCTGCCCCCCCCCATCTCCCCTTCCCTTGCCCACTGGGCTCACACCAGGGCCAATTCTAGAGCCTTCCTGCCCGACCTCCTGCCCCCAGGGCCAAGACTGTCTTCAGAGGTTTGACCAGAGGACGTCTGTTCATACCTTTTCCCCATCGTGTCCTGGAGGGCCTGGCAGTCCAATCTCCCCCTGTAACCGGAACAACTAAAGGTGACTCTCAGGGCAGAGAACATAGCAGCCATCAGTTACGCATTGCTTAGTGCACCCGGCATCCCACTCCACACTTTCCCATAGAGTTTGCTCATTTAATTCTAACTGTGTTGCTGGGAGGTATGAATTTGCATTGCCTCTCTTCTACAGACAGGACTCCAAAGCACAGAGTTGTGTGCCTGAGGCCCACAGTTAGTGAACTGAGGAGCCAGGATCCCAGTCTGGGCGCTCTGGCTCCATGTCCATGTTTTAGCCACAACCTCCCACTGCTGCCTCTGGGAGCCCTAGGCGCCCTTGGCTCCCTTGCAGAAGGGTTCTTGCCTTCCTGTCTCCCCTGAATGCAGAACCCCTGCCCTGGCTCTCCACAGGGTGCTCCTTTCATCTTCACACAAACCAAGCCCCTTCTTTGGGTCAGGTGGGGAGTTAAGGGAGGTGGCAAAATGATGTAGGTCCTACCCAGAGAAGCAGAGGAAAGGGCAGGGAATTCTGCCTGATAGATCAGGGAGGCTTCAAGGAGGAGGTGGTCTATTGAATTGGGCTTGAAAGATGAGAAGGGCTTTGAAAGAAAGGTAAGATGGAAAAAGACTTGCAGGGGAGAGGACCTCATGAGTGGGAGACAGAGGGGCAGACCTTCTGAGAAAAACACAGGTGTGTGGAGTGTAAAAGGAAAGCAAGGGCAGGGAGTGAGGTGGGAGGATTGGGGAGGGGCTCAGATGCCGAGGTCCCTGATGGGGTCCTCACTCCCGCTGTGGGTCTGGTTGGGGCAAGGGCAGGGGTGTGTCTAGACCCAGGCCCCACAGCATCAGAAGGCTCTGTGAATTACAGGAGCCCAAGCAGATGGCAAGGGTTGGCTAGAAGAGCCACAGCAGCTGGGAGGTGGGTGGGCGGGTCCCCTGGTGCCTTGGAGCAGCAGGAGGGTATGGTGGTAGTGCTGGGAAGATGAGAGGGTCACAGGGGGAGGGGAAGCCCTGGGGTCGATGCCCTTGCAAAGTCTTCACCCCCTTTGTCAAGATAAGATTTACCTTCTGGCCTGGAATCCCTGGAGCTCCAGGTGGGCCAATTTGCCCAGGAAGACCAGGAGGCCCCTAGGAGAGAAAGGAAAGACACATGGAAGAACTGTCCCATGGAGGAGGGTAGCCTGTGCCCTGAGGGCTATATGTGGAGGCTGGCTTGTACAGATAAGTTGTTTACAGACCTTTCTCCAGTGATAGAGATGCATTTTTTGCAAAGAAAATAACATGGGGAACCCAAAATGCAAAACATATAAGCACCAAGTGTGACTGGGTTGAAGTGGAGGTGGGGTTCGGAGAGCCATGTCCAATACCCTCTCCTTCTCTCTAGGGCATCTCTGGTCGCCCTTTGGGCTCCAAGAAGCTAAGTCTGACCTTCCCCAATAATGACTTAAAAATATCTCCAGAAAACAACCCAAATGCCCATCAACAGGGGAATGCATGGTACATCCATACAATGAAATACTACTCAGCAGGGAAAAAGAACCAAGTGCTGATGACAAGGGTGCATCTCAAACACATTCTGCTGAGCAGAAGCATCCAGGCACAGATACTGTTTAATTCCATTTACATGAAGCTCTAGAAGAGACAAAAGACACACCTAATCTACAGTGACAGAAGTGACGCAGAGCAGTGGTGGCCTGGGGCTGGGAGTGTCTCCCAAGGTGCATGAAGAAACTTTCTAGAGTGATTGGGTGGTTGATACTTGGGTATATACACTTATCAAAACTCATCAAACTCTACACCTAAAATGAGTACCTTTTCTTATGTGTAAGTTACACCTCAAGGTTGATTTTAAAGGAAAAAAAATGTTTCTGGGAAGGTTTTATTTCCAATAGCTATTTCACATTATTATTATTAAGACAGAGTCTCACTCTGTCACCCAGGCTGGAGTGCAGTGGTGCAGTCTCGACTCACTGCAACCTCCGCCTCCCGGGTTCAAGTGATTCTCGTTCCTCAGCCTACTGAGTAGCTGGGATTATAGGCACCCGCCACCATGCCTGGCTAACTTTTGTATTTTTAGTAGAGACACCATGTTGGCCAAGCTGGTCTTGAACTCCTGACCTCAAGCGATCTGCCCACCTCAGTGTCTCAAAGTGCTGGGATTACAGGCATAAGCCACTGTGCCCTGCCAAATAATATATTTTAATGTCTCCAAATGAAGCTCATTGATTCCAGAACCATGTCGTTGATAGCAATTTCTGGGATTGGGACGTCACAGAAGTGGTGTTTGATTGTGAGTTTGTGCCATCCCTAAGTGTGTTCTGTGGCTCACAGCCATGAAAAAATATTAGGTGAATTGAAATTTCAGTAGTCAGAGAACTTCATGATCTCTCCTCCCATCCTCTACCTTAGAAGTTAAACTTGGTGGTAGTCATTTTAACTACAAATATTTACCAAGAGCCTGTCACCGGTAGGCACCTGTACAAAACCCAGACTTGAAATTCCCTGGTTTTCCAAGTGCAGATAATGAAACTGATTTCCAGGAAAGGGGGATACGTGGTAGGTTGCTACTAGTTTTTCAGGATTTAATTAGCTAAAAGTTGGGAAAAAAGAGAAACATTAAAAACATCCTCCTCAGTACTGCTATTTCCTTCACGCAGCTGTAAATAGAATCCAGCATTTGTATTGTCACCAGAGAGCACAGCTGTATTGGTGAAGAGCCTTTACACAGAGGACACCCATGACCCAGGGCACGGGCAGCTCTCGAGGCCCACCTACCAGTCCTGACTCATCACCTCCAGCTCAGATCATCATCTGCCCCAGCCCTGTTGGGTCAACCCTAATCTGCAGCCCAGTACCTGCTTTCTGGAGGGGAGAAATCAAATCCTTGCTTCCAGGCTGCCATCCCCAGCCCCCCCGTCCAGTGCCCAAGGAAAGCCAGGAGGAGCAAAACTTACCATCAAGGCCAGCGTCCGGATCTCCTAAAAAACCAACACCAGGCAATCAGTTGAAGAGCAAACCAAGAGCCAAGTGGAAGGTTCTCACTGCACAGTCATGGAAACATGGGAGCTAGGCCCCTCAAAGGAGCGTGGGTGGAGGGAGACGCTTGCAGGTGGGCTCCATGGCCCCCAGACTCACACCACCCCCACCCCACCTCTCGCTGAGGTTTGTAATCACTGGAGAGAGAATACGTAGCATCTCCTAAGCATGATTATACTCTGAGGCCGTCCTACAATGGACTCAGGCACACCCTAAATGGACTGCAACCTTTACTTCACTTTACTGAAGGGAAGGAAGCACCACCTCTTATTCTTTCTAGTCACCTTCTGAGGACCCTCCCTTGTTCTTTCCTCTTCTCCCAGAACCCAGATTTCAAAGTTGCCACGCACCTCCCTTTAAACAGACACAATATAGCAAAATATGGAACCACTCAAAAAATAGATCAGGGAGATGATTGTTGGCTTTAAAAGAGGATTTTACACCTTGTAAATGGAGTCACATACGGACACAGACTCCTTTGAAGAAGTGGTTCTTGAGCAGGGGCAATTTCTTCCCCCAAGGGATAACTGGTCATGTCTGGAGACATAGTTTGGTTGTCACAGCTGAGGCTCGGGTGCTACTGGCATCTAGCAGGTAGAGACTGGGGACGCTGCTGCACATCCTACAACACACAGGACCGACTCTCCCCCCACCACAAAGATTCTCTAGCCCCAAAAGTCAGTGCCAAGGCTGGGAAACCCTGCTTTAAAGGGTGGGGAGCGGGAGCTCATGAACTTGAAACAGGGTTAAACTGACACGAAAGGAGATGCGTTCCAGGAAGATTTGCTGCTGCATGAAAGGGGGTTATACATGCATTAAAGAAATGGGGCCCCAGCACCCTGCATGGGCCGTAACTTGTGGGGTGCCAGGATAATTCCACTATGGCACTCAGGGGCCCTGAGGCAGGATAACTGGCCAGCTGGGCCCAGACAGAGAGCCCCGGCCACCTGGATGCCAGTAATGGGGCCATTTCCCAGGAGGCTACACAGCGGGAGGTCAAAGGAGAGAAAGCGAGGAAGCAGCTCTCCTGGAAGCGCTGCCTGAGGGCCTGAGGGCAGGGCCCCTACTCGGCTGTGTGGAAGGGCCCCCTGATCAGGGCATGGTGCAGAGCCTGAGATCCATGAGGATCTTGGCCTCTGGGCTGGACCCTGCTCACCTGGAGAGCCTCATTGATGTTTCCATTGTAATCCACCATCTCTCCTTTCCCTGGTTCTCCCTTGGAGCCCTGGAAGGCAAATGAGATCTCAACCCACGGCCTGGACCGGGAGGGCCGGGAGGGCAACTGTGGCCTGCTCTCTATCAGCCCACACTGGCTGCACCTAGCTGCACATGGGTGGACCCAGAACAGCCAGCGGGGCCCTGGGGATTCTGAACACTCTCAGAGGATGCTCGGGGATTGCAGAACAAATCGAGAAGACTCCATGTGAGAAGTCTGGGCTAGGCCGACCTGGGAAGATTGGGTCCACCTGTGCTGCCAGTCAGACCTCCCACCTGAGGGCCAGAATGCTCTTCCCCTCCTGCCTCGTCAAGACCCCAAGGTCAAGCCTGTGAAAGGGACATAAAAACTTGGGACCCCAGTTCACTCTGCCAAAAGAAAAAAAGTTCAGCTGAAAGCTGAGTCATGCAAGAAGCTGCCTTTCCTTTTGTTCCTAATCAGACAGCTACAGATAAAAGGTTAAATATCCCCACAGGTAGCTGCTCCATGTTCACCACAGCTTACATAAAGTGCCGATTTACTGAGCGTGAGACTAATACATAATCAACTATTCCGCTACTTGCTCCTTTTCCCTTGCAGTGTGTGGATTACCATACCCTTCCTCTTTCCCCTCCAGCCTGCTTTTCCCCTTTAAATATTGAAGCCCTCAAAATCATCTTTGGCAAAAGGCACAGACCTGTCTCTTGGGCACGTGCCCTTAACCTTGGCAAAATAAACTTCTAAATATTAATTGAGACCTGTCTCAGATGCTTTTTTGATTTACCAGCCGCTTCACGCTGTGACTCCAGGAGGGAGAGGCACATACCTTGGGGCCATCTGGTCCCTGTTCTCCAGCTGCTCCACGCTCCCCCTGTTGCATGACAAAATTGGAGCAAAGTGGGGATAAAGTTGGTACAGAGAGCCTGATGTCCCTAGATGGGCCATGTGATAAGGGCCAGGAGGCTCATCTTAGCTCTTAGTCCATAGAAGTGCAGGTTCCACCCCTTCAGGAAACATCCAGGGAACACCCACCCACACTCCTGTCCCTCTGAGTCCCTCTGGGCTGCCTCCCACTTCAGACTCGGTGGCGTTCTTTCTGTTCTGTGTTCATTGTTAGGGACTCCCCTTTGTCTCTCTCACACCTTTTCCCCAGTCCCCTAAGTCAGTTGCCTCCATTGGAGCAGGGACGTTTGCTTCTCTTTAATTCCATCCTGCTCAGGTATCCAGGACTCAGCAGCTTTTTGCCAATTGTCTGGGTGTCAGTTGCCATCGAGAGCCCACACAGTTCTTTTGCTGCCTACTCTACTTGTGAAAGACCCAGAATGCCGAGTGAAATGTGGAGGGCCAGGAGGGTCTCAGGAGGACATGGGTGTATGAGCACCCACCTCCCAGAGTGGGCGGGTGGAAGGATTTGTTCCTGTTGCAAACAGGACAGAGCCATGGAGAATAAATGAAAAAGCAGTGTAACTTGTGAAAAACCAAGCGCAGTTTCAATTTTTCTGGGATAAAGACAATTGAAAAAAATCAAGATAGAAAGTAAAAATAAAGGAAACAGGAACACTTTGGTGTGACTCCTGATGAACCTGCTCACGGGACGTGGAGCCACTGCTGCCTCCAGGTAACCCACTCTCTTTCTCCTCCACTGCCACAACACTTTAGCCACTGTGAACTCATGAGGGACACAGCAGCCTTTCACAGGGAGTAGCTGGAGAGAAGCAAGAGCCCCTCGTTTACCAATGGCTCGGGAAGCTCTGTGTCACTCCCTGGTCAAATGTCCCATCCCTAGACTGGCTTTTGCATGACTGCTGTCTCAGTGCATGGCTCTCTAAAGCCCAAGCCAACCAGGAATTAGGGAAGCCAGTGGTCATGGCCGGTCAGCCTTGTGCCCTGAGGGATACCCCTAGGGTCGGCCGGGATGATTCTTGACCTCCCAAGCTGACCCTCATCTTGCAGCTCTGGGATGTGGGGGTCTCTGTACCTTGTCTCCTGGCTGCCCTGGGGGGCCAACCTGGCCATCGACACCTGCTTCTCCCTGGGGAAGAGGAGAGAGTTGGGATGAGGGCATGCTGGGCACCTGGACAGCTGCTTATGAGGGAAAAGATGGTCTTGCCGCTCATGCCTAGATGTTGCCTTGGACTTCTCTTTCCCTGATGGCTTCTGCACCTCCCACTCTTCCACCTCCCTGACTCCTACCCATGCTTGGGCCCAGCCTGGGTCTTGCTTCCTCTGGAAGCCCACTCCTGCTTTCCTTCCCTGCATTCTGTACCCTTTACTGGTGTCCACTCTGCCCTGCCAGGCCCTCCTAGGCCCACACAGAGCCCAGCCCATGGCAGGTGGATATGGGCGGAATGAATGAGTGTATTGCCCCAGATGATGTAGAGTAATTCATGCTTTCCTTCTGAGCTAAGAAACAGACCCCCTTCATTTCTCAGTGCTGCTAAAGTAAACCAAGCAACATAGGAGCCATCTGCTTTGGGGAACCCAAATCTTACCATTGCACTTTTCAAGCAGCAAAAGGAAAGTGAGGGCAGTTTCCATTTGCAGCTGCCTCCACTGCTGCCACCTACCAGATGTGCTGGTACCAGGTGGGGCCAGCTGATAGTTGACCTGCAACCTACTCAGAGCCAAGGTGGGGGGCCTCTTGCCTGTCCTAAGGCCCTGAAGCCATTGGTCCCTTGCTCAGTTACAGCATGGCCATCAAGGTCCTGCAGCCATCAATCCTTGACTCAGTTACAGCATAGCCATGAAGGTCCTGCAGCCATTGCGCCCTGACTCAGTTACATCAGAGTCATCTGAATCACTGGGACCATCCATCTGCCCCAGGGAAGACATCTCCTCTGAAAGGTCAAACTGTTATCTGCTTGCAAGCAGGAGCTGGGTCCAAATGGCCTTTTTGGAATCCATGGGGAAAACCACACATCTGGAGCAGGGGAAGGCTAGAGAAGGCGGGATGTCCGGGACGTAGAGTCCCCGAGAACAGGCTGAAGACAAAGTCCCCAGGTAAGCACCTCCCCAACACCAATTCCAGGGAACACTCACCTTTGGCCCTGGGGGCCCAGGGAGCCCTGGAGGGCCAGGTTCCCCTCTGCCTCCTCCAATGGAGTTGCCAGCATCGCCTTTCTCTCCCTGGGGGTGGAAGGTGGAGTTAGCATCCCTGGTGTGGAGGAAGGTCTAGGCTGAGCACTGGAGGGACACTATGGGGTGTGGGCCCCAGGATGTCTGGGGACCAGGGGCCTTCAGAATCCCAGATTTATCTGATCCAGCTGTGGGATTTGAAGAGAGATTGGAAGTGTTTACTGAAGGGCAGCAGGTTTAGAGCTGACACAAGGGATCCTTCAAAACTGGGTCTGGAGCCGTGTTTCTCAAAGTGTATTCCACGGAACACTGTTCAGTGGGTTGAGAATATTCAAAATGTGGAATAACATTATTATTGGTGGCCAAACTATGTAAGAAATGAAACATTAAATAAGCTTTGCAGACCCCATCACTGCAGGGTGCTCAGGCCTCTAACAGGCTGAGGAGCACTGTGACTTTCCAAGGGTCCCATCTTATTATGCATGTCTCCCCTTATTTTGGCCTCATCTTTTTTTTTTTAATTTTTAAATTAAATATCTTACAGAGTTCATGAACTGTGGGATGCATTTGCAGAGCTGGTACCAAGAAATCTGACCAGGTCATCACTACCGAATTCTTTACATTTCGGCATTTTATTTTTGCCAATCAGGGCCTGCCTATGGCACCTCTCCCTCGACAAACAGAATCTGGCTGTGTTCCAGCTGCCTTTCCTGCAGTCTGGGAGACAGACACGTCCAATGCTGGGGCCTGTGTGGATGTGCAGGGCCAGGTATGGGATGTGGGTGACGAAGGACTTGAACCCTCCATTCAGAGCAACACCTACCTTCTGCCCCAGGAGGCCAGGAAGCCCAGGGGAGCCTTCAGCCCCCTTCTCACCCTGCAGGGAGATGCAGACAGTGTGGGGGTTAGGAACTGTTTCTGCAGCAGGTTTGGGAAGCCACCAGCTCCACAGCTTAGGGCCTTGCCTTCCCTTGCTCCTGCCTCGGTGCCCCTGCCCCCAGCTGGCTTTCTGAAGGGCTCCACTTCCTCCCGGCCCCCATCCTGACTGGCTACTTCCATGGGTCACTTCGCGTTGGTGACACCTGCATGACTGCTTTCCTTATTCCCATGTGGCCCGGGCCCTTGTCATTCATGCTGGGGAGAAGTCACACTGGCCACAGATCATAACAAAGGCCAGAAGCATCTAGTCCATCCTGGCGGTCTCCTGGGAGAGGTGAGCAGTTCAGAACGCCAGTGGTTGGGCAAGCAATTCCTTTTGACCACTCTGTTCTTCAGATTCTTAATGCTTAGCAACTAAGGGCTCCCAGTCTTTTCTGGCACCCCCTTCTCCGCCTCTAGCTATAACCAGCTCACCTTATTTGGACATAGGGTCATTGCAAATGTAATGAGTTAGGATGAAGTCCCATGGGAGTAGGGTGAGCCCCTATCCAATGTGCTGATGTCCTTTTTATAAAAGGGAGAAATTTGGGCACAGACATGCACACAGGGAAATGCCATATGGAGATGGAGGCAGAGATTGGGGTGATACGTCTATAAGCCAAGGAATGCCAAAGATTGCCAGCAAGCACCAGAAGCCGGGAGAGAGGCTTGGAGCAGATTCTCCCCCTTGGCCCTCAGATGGAGCCCGCCCTGCTAACACCTTGCTTTTGGACTTCCAGCTTCCAGAACTGTGGGACAATGAATTTCTTCTGCTCAAGCCACCCAGCCTGTAGTACTTTGTTACCACAGCCCTAGCAAAATAATACACTTCCCTACCCAGCTTCTTCCACTACGGAAGAACTCTTTTTCCCCCATGACATGAATCAAAGAGCCCCTTAGAGATGCTGAACCCCATTCTCATTTCACAGATTTGGTGAGGGAAGCCCCAAGAGGTTACGTGACTGGTGGCCAACCCCTTACTGAGTCAGTGGCAGAGGCAGGTCGAGCCCGTCTCCCTGATGCTCTGCCTTCTTTTCACAGAGCAGCTGTATTGGTCAGCTCAGGCGGCCATAACAAAGTCTGGGTGGCTTTGACAGCAGAAATGTATTTTCTTACAGTTCTGGATGCTGGAAGTCTGAGATCAGGGTGCCAGTATGGCCAGGTTCTGGTGAGAGCCCTCTTCCTGCCTTGAATATGACAGCTTTCTTGCCGTGTTCTCACAAGGCAGAGAGGGAGAACGGTCTCTCAAAGGTCTCTCTCTTTCTTCCCCTTCTTCTAGGGCCACCAATCCTATTGGATTAGGGCCTCGACCTTATGGTCTCATTTAACCTTAATGACCTCCCCAAGGCCCTATCTAAATACAGCCACACTGGAGGTGAGGGCTTCAACATATGGGTCTGGGATGGACATATTCAGTGCACAGCAGTGTCCAATATCAGGTGAGTGTCCAAGAGCACCCCACCAGCAGGGCTGGGGTATCAGGTCAGCACAAGAAGCTTTGCTACCCATGGCCCTGGGGAGAGGCAGTTCTCATGTGTAATAATGTGAGCTGAGGGCTCTGGGCTTATAATTTGGTCAGATGTCTCAATGAACATTCATTCCAGTGGGAGCCACAGAAGGTGCCACACCAAGTCTTTTGGTGTCGTCTCCTTGGCACCTGCCCCAGGGTAGCAGCTGAACGGTAAAGTAGCCTGAGGCTGGCCAAGAGGGGTTGTGGAGGGCCAGGCAGAGGCCCTGGCAGTGGGAGGGAGCCCCTGCTGCCCTGTCCTGCCTGGGCTGCTCCTGCAGATGTGCTTAGTTTGGGTATCCTTCGGAAGCAGGCCATGTGGAGAAGGAAAGGATGTGGATCCTTGGGGAGCAGAGGTGGAAGGAGGCAAGTTCCTCCTTCTGCTAGGCTTTCTGCTGGGTAATCAAGGCTGCCCAGGAGAGTGGGTGTGCTCTTGAGTGTGGGTTTCTGAAGCTTGGCCAGGCCGTCCTGCCACTCCCCTCATCTCGGAACACATGCACCAACAGCACGCTGCAGGCGACACACCAGCCATGGAGGAAGGCCAGAGAGTAGGGGAATGGTGAGGCTAGGATGAAGGGGCACACACTCAAATACACGATATCCTACCCTCTGCCCCCTCTTTCCCAGCAAACCTGGGGGCCCCGGCTTCCCTTCTGCTCCTGGGTCTCCCTTTGGGGTAAGAAGAGAAAGTCACTGATAAGAAGATGGGGCAGGCAGTGAGGGGTAGGATGGGCAGTGATCATTGACCAGCATTTCCAGAATACTTGTCCCTTAAGCTTTTCCTCTTTAAAAAAGGGTGTTCTGGTCAAAAACGTTTTGAAAATGCCACATAAGATATTTCCTTTTGAGAGCTCCTCAATGCACATTTAGCAAATTAAAGGTTCTGAGAAGGTCTGCAGCAAAGAAACCTGTGTAATATTTCTAACCTAGCATTTCTCAAACTTTTTTTCTTGTCACATATCTTATTGTCACACCTCTTATTGTCACACAAGAGGGAAAGAGAACCCTGTGGGTGCAGGGGACAATAGTCACTGCCTGCTGCAGCTGGCATGCCTGCAGGCCAGGACCCAGGGAGGGGGAGGCATTTGCAGTGTGCTCCTGACCAGTGGGCCCTTCTCTGCTTAGCCAGGTCCCCAGTCCCAGGCCAGCCTCAGGGGGACCAAGAGCAAAACAGCAGCAGCCCCTCCCACCTCTGCCCATGACCGATGCTCTGTGCAGCCCGGAACATTCTCTCTGCATCAGTACCTTGGTTCCTGGGATCCCTGGCTCACCCTGTGTGGAAAAAGAGAAACAAATGTGAGAGACAGAAAAAGCAGAAACAAATGAGCAAGGCACCTGTTGGTGGAGGTGGGGTTGGGGGCAGTCAGGGTGGGGTTAGTGAAACATCTGGCCAGCCCCGGCTCTTCTCTGTTCAGGCATCAGGTCCCAGGCCAAAGGAGGCCTATCAGGCTACTGACCCTTAGAGGGTCCTATTCTTCCCCAGGTGAGGGGTGTGGCAGGTGGGAGCATAAGTGAGGCAGCCCAGGAGGAAAGAGAGGAAGGAATGGACATTTGGTTTGGACATGGTGCCCCCTGTAAGTGCACCTGCTGTGAAGATAGAATTTGAGCACTTGTTTTTCCAGGCTGTCCTCACATCTGCCTGCCAACCAAATGGGCAGTTAGGGTGGGGGTTCTGGAGATGAACTCCTGCTCTCTCTGAAGCTTTGGAAGCATATAGCTGCCCAATTACAGAGCATAAAGGAAAGATCTGGGCTGCCTTCCTGCTGCCTTGGTGCATTGGCAGGCTAGTGAGTTGAGGCAGGAAACCATTGCTACTTACTTGCAAGGCTTAGTTACACATCTGTGGCTCAAGGTTATGCACCTGGCACAAATGTTACTTTGAGAAAAATGTTTCCAAATCCTGTATGCCCCCTCATTGGTCTGGCAGCCACCCCACTGAGTCTAAGATTTCCAGCTCTGCCCGCTCTCTTCTCTCCCACCCTGTCCCTGATGTGTTGGTTACAACAGTCCACTGACCTTCATCCCAGCCACGGCAATTCCGGGCGCCCCCTGGCAGAGAGAGAAAAAAAAAGGTCTGAAGACATTCTGCAGCGAGGGGGCAGCAGGGGGCGGGGGGCAGTGGACAGCCTCCCCATGGTGTGATGAGAAGGAGGACCGCTCACTCCTCCCAACCCCGCAACCACCAACCCCACCTGGGAGGTGGGGGCGCTGAGCTGACGCCACGAGAATGGACCCTGAGGAAGGGGCTTTGTGTAGCTCAGTCTGCGGGGCTCCCTGGGCTTCCCAACCACCTGCATGGCTCCTGGCCTCTCCTGGGAGGCACAGTGGGGACTGTGGGGCACTAGATGGGGCTGGGAGGGGGTCCCTGGGGTGGAAGGGGGAGCTTCGTTGGAATATGAAAGGAGGAGGAGGAGGAGGAGATGGGAAGGGAGACGGCAGGAGAATGGAAAGCCACGGGAGAGGGGTGCAGAATAGATGACAAAGTAAAGGGGCTGATTTCACCAGGGACAGTCGCCCCCAGTGTTTGGTTGGCATTACCCTCACAGTCAGCTCTGTGCACCTCTGCCCTCATGGACTGGGGAGTGGCTGGAGTGAACCCTGTTTTCATATCAGCTTTGTGAAAGCTGATATGAAAACCCTGTTTTCACATCACCTGATATCATTTCACTTTGAGAGATAGATGATGCCCAAAGTGCCCCTTAGCAAATCTCAAGTGGAGGTGATTTTTGGGGGCCCCTACTCTCCACTTGGGTCTTAGGACTGCAGTGGAGCTAGTGGTACCTGAGATGGCTTTTTATGACCCAGGGATGCCCAGGAGGAGGCCGCCCGCATCAGGGGGCACTGATGAGAGACCACAATGCTGCAGCTGGGAGAACCAGGGCAGGCAGAAGGAGGCCCAAAGAGCTGGGACTCCAGAGTGTCCCCAGAGCTGAGGAGAGAGGGATGGGCACTGGGGGAGGGGCCTTGGGGCTGCCTGGGATGTGGGGAAGGGGGAGGTACCTTGGCTCCATGCTTGCCTGGCATCCCTGGCATGCCCCGTTCTCCCTGGAGGAAGAAATGAGAAAGCATGAGGAGAGGACCAGACTCGGGGCCTGTCAGCCTGCAAGGATGTCGGTGAGAATGTCTTGTCTGGAGGCTGGGATGGCTGTCCGGTTCATGTTGAGCTCTGAGGACCCTGCCCTGGTGGCAGCTGTGTGGGCCCCTGTCCTCAGCTATGTGAACTTGCAGGAGGGCCCCAATTACAGGTCACAGAGCAGGAAAGGCCCCCAGACAGAGAGGCTTACCTAGTGGAATGCAAGTTCAGCAAGAGAAGTGACTGGCCCAAGATCTACCTACCACCCTGTGGTTGAGCTGTACCTGGAACTTGGGCTGTGGGACGGGACCAGGGGCAGGAGCCACCCATTGGCTGCTTACCTACTGCACACCTTCCCTCTGGTCCCTGCCTGGGACTTCTTGCCTCATTTTCACTCCAGCAGCTTTGCTAGGATGATACCTTCTGGCTGAGCCAGACAGGAGCTCTCTTCTCTTTTCATCTGGGGTTCCTTTCCCTTCCAAGTCCTCTGGGTCTAACTCTCCCCAAGGGCATGTGTCCCTGCCCATTTATCTGCACCCCATTTCTGACCCTACTTGTCCAGAGGCACAGGTAGGGTCACCTGTCCATTGTTGCTCCTCTGGGACAGCATGGGGTCGCTCTACCATCGTGGCACTGCCCTATCTTTATGTTCAACATCTTTACTTCTCCAGAAAAATGCCAAGTCTATGACAGTAAGGTGAGATCAGGAAGAAGGACACACCACAAGGAGGTGGAGTTGGAGATGACAGCCAGGGACAAGTGGGAGGCCAAGAGCAGGTGAGTCAGGACTATCATCGGCTACATCAGGGGAGTGGGGAGGGCAGCTCCTGGCTCTGGGAGTTGAATCCTATGCAGTGCCTGAGCACGAAGCCCCAGCTGGGGCCCGGGATGGTGTCCAGCAACAGGTGACTGCAGCCAGCCTGCTGCCACTTCCTCCATCTGAAGGCCAGCGCTGTGGATGGGCAACACAGAGTGTGACAATCCTGCTCCCGGCCCAGCTGCCCCATTGGGTGTGACTGCTGTGGCTGCCAGGCCAGGCTGCAGTTCCCATAGGCTTAAAGGCAGAGGGGATCTGGTGTTCTCTGGCTTCCTTCTCAGCTGTCCACACTCTCCCTTTCCTGCCATCTTACAGGAGGTCCTCGTCCATCCTTCTCCTTACCAAGGCTAGAGGACTTCCACCCTCTTCCTCCGTGATGGGTCTTCCATGCAAGTGTCCAGTTAAGCTTCTTAACACACAGGCTGGATAGCGAGACCCCTGCCTTAAAACATCCTTGGCCTGCTGTTGACAGTAGGAAAAGGACCAGGTTCCTGAGCATGACGTTCTGACCCCTGCTTCCTTCCTAGCCTCATCACCTGATATCATGTCATGATATCACTAGTTTCTGTGTCCTGCTAGTTTCTGTGTCCCTGAAAACACTACCCATTTCCACGGTCTGTCTTTCTTCCATTTCAACTTAAAACCCTATTCATCATTTGGAGTCTTGGTTGATAGAGCACCCAGTTCTTGTCTGGTGCCCTGGGCTGAGCTGCCCTCGCACACTGACTCCTGCACCCCTATGGACCACAGACCTGAGGGCCTCTGAGTAGAGAGGGGCTCTGCCCTGTTTTCAGCCTGCAGAGGCTGTTTGATGGGAGTGGGGCCCTTTTATCTCTTCTATGAAGCTTTTTGCTATCCCCTATAACTCAGCGCTGCATCCTCAATGCGACAGGGACCACTTAGCGTTTGTAATCGGCACACACAAATTTATGTCTGCCTGAGATGGCTTCACTTTTATCCTCTTTGGGCCAAGTCTCTAAATTCTACAGAAGGCCTAGAATCTTTAGTTCCCAATGCCAGAGCCCTCTCTCAGCATGACCCCACCAGTGACCCCTGAACCATAGGTGGGATGGCAGAGCTAAATTCAGGAAGTTACCATGGCTGAAAATCTAGAGCCCAAGGCTTGCTCTAGACACTAACTTCCTTCTTGTGGGACTGAGAGAGAAGGGCACAGCCACTTACTGCAGCTGCCATGTGTCTGCACTGGACTGAAAAGCTTTACAACCTTCCTCTCTTCCATCTCCAACAATCCCTTCCAATGTGGGAGTGGACGTTATTCTTGCTTCACAAGTAAGCTAACTGCGGCTCACAGAGGACAGGTATGATTGCCAAGGTCATGCAGCCTAGGGCTTTGGATAGTCTGTTGTCTGTTATGCCAAGGTACTTATTTCTCTTGGCCAACCCAAGTATCAGATGGACTGATGTTCCGTCTGCTTCCACCAAACAGCCTTTGCAGGCTGAAAGCGGAGCAGAGCCCCTCTTTGCTTGGTGGGGGTCCTTAGGTCTGTGGCCCATCATAGGGGTGCAGGGGTCAGAGTGTGGGGGCCGCTCAGCGCAGGATGCCCAGAAAAGCTCACTGCCTGTGTGCACAGCCGCTCTGTGGCCAGCAGAGGGCGTGACAGTACCTCATCTGAAGTCTGGCTACTCCCGCCACAGCGGTCTCCAAGCCCTCTCAGTAGTACCAGCTGAGGGCTCCTGTCATTCTTTCCTTTGGAGGGTCCCCTGCTAGCATTCTGAATGACCAGACCAGTTTGACTCAGTACAGAGGCCCCCACAGTCCTCTGGTGTGGGTGCAGGTGGGAGGTCAGCTTGGGAGTCCTTGACTATTCAGAGGCCCCCGTCATCCCTCTCTTCTACTTTCTCTGTCTTTTCTCTTGCTTTCCCTCAATGCCTCTGCCCTCTTCTTCCCACCTCCATTTCGAGGAGCTGGGCTGGCAGTGCAGGTGACCACAGATAAGCCACTTTCTCCCACTGGTCCAGGGTTCTTGGTTGCAAAGTGCGGTTAGATCAGATACCTCCCATCCACTGGTGCTCCTGTCTCTTCCCACCCACCCCAGCCCTTTCTCTGCTCCCCTGCACAGCCCTTTGGAAGGAGAGAGGCCAAAGCTGGGGAGGTGCCATTTGGCTTGGTTGGCAGCTCCAGAAAAAGGCTCTGTGGGGTGGGGAGGGACTCTTAGCTTTGGTTAAAAATGCAGCTCTAGGAGGGGTCTCAGTGGGTCCCTGCTCTCCCTTCCTCCTGCCCAGAGGGGTGCTCCTGCAGGGAGGAGGTGGTGTCTGCTTCAAGCTTGTCTCTGGGCTTCTGTCTCCAATCCTGGAAGAAACTGTGCAGAGCAAAACCCCGGAGCGTGAGAGTCTCCAGGCTAATTGGGGTTGTCCTCAGCCCCTGTTGATGTGAGTGTGTAAAGACACAATCAGGTACTCAGGGGAAATCAGAGCCCCAGGAGCCTCCTCGGGAGGCAGCCCTCCTTGTTAGGGTGGCTGACCTTCGCCCCTTCCCTCCTCTCTGGGTCAATTCTCTTAATTTCGCAAGTGACCCGGGCTTCCTTGATCCCCATGGCAGGGCCTCCCTCCCTCCCACCCCCTTGCTTGGCAGGAAGCAGGGGCGCCCCCACTGGCCTCCCCCAGCTGACCTCGCTCTGCCGCTCACTCCACTCTCATTAGGCTCACTCCCTGGGGCTTGTCTCCAGGGACCTGCCCCTGCCTGACCTCTGAACTGGGGAATGGCTTCTCCTAAAGCCAAAAACATTGGTTCCTGGATGATGGGGAGGTGAGAGTCATTATCAAGGACTCCAGCGTCGTCGCTGTGGCTGGGGCCCATGTGCAGGAGGCAGGAGGCGGGGGAGGGGGAGGGCGTGGTTATTGCCCGAGGAGGACAGTGGCCCACCTCTGTTCAGAGGACTGTTCCTTGGGGCATGTCTTTGTGTGAGCCTGTCTAAGGGCTCCTTCTTTTCTAATTCCCCTCCTAGGTTTTCCTATTTAAAAAGTGTATTAGTAATTGTGCTCAGTTTCCATCCACTCACTCATCACTGTCTTGGTTTTTGGAGGGCCTGGCTCACTCAGTCCAGCAAAGCCCACAGGCCTCAATTCACCTCCTCTATCTCTGCCCCCTCTTGTCTCCCCAGAAGGGACTCAGAAGTTCCCCTGGGGGCTCTCAGCCGCCTTACTTGGGCTGGGGAAGTGGGTGCTCTGAGCCTTACAAAAGGTCTTGGCCACGTGCATGGTGTGATGGCAGAAGCTGTGACTCCTGGGCCAACATCCAGCCACCCCTCTGCAAGGCTGGCTTTTTAACCTCAGTGCCAAGAACCAATGCAGGAAGGGATGGATTGTAGTCATTGTGGCTGAGAAGGCTCTAGGGGAGCACAAGTGGGTAGAGAGGCGTTTGCTTTGAATGACCTTGAAGGCCTGTCCCATCCCTGATTTTGAGGCTGCCACTCAGACTCCCCAGCTGGGCACTGCACCTGAGCACCACACAGCATTGATAGGTCCTCTGTTCTGGTCCAAGATTCCAGGTGGGAGGATGCATCCTTTACAGAGATGATAGAATGGAAGTGAGCTCCTTGGAGCATAAACCAGCCAAGCTCTGCTCCTGTGGGAGTGGCCTCTTAATTGGCGATTTACTGTTTGTTGAACAAGCTGGGCAGGGACTTGGCAAGAAAGCACAGTCTAGAGGAAGGAAGGGGGCTTTACGGTCAGCTCCCAGCCAAGGTCAGGCCAGGGAAGCACGGGGAAGTAAATGAAGTTCTCTAAGATTAGGCCTGGTTTCTGCTGCAGCCAGGTCTGGGTTGGAAGGCCCTGAGCAAATGCATCTGGTGGCACAGGCTCTTTGTTCTCTGTAAGGGAGGAGGAAGGCCCGCCTGAGAGTGTGGGGAGTTTGCGGGGAGGGGTGGGGGTGGGGGGCGGTCGGTGGACAGCTCAAGCCTCAAGCCTGGACCAGGGTCTTTTCCCTAGGCCAGAAAAGCCAGGTGTGGAGGGCTAACGGTTTTCTCCCTATAAAGAGTTCCCAGGTCTTCCTTCCGGGAAAAAGGCAGCTCAGTTCCTGCTTCCCTGCTACAGCCATCTTCCACACCAGAGAGGACCGGAACCGCGGAAATCCTAGTTCCTCCTGTAATTAGGGCCGGCAGGAAGTGATCCGGGGAATTACCGGGGTCGGGTGCCCCATTGAAGGCCAGGGCTTTGGAAGGGCAGCTGGCTTATAATCTCAATTTGAGATCGGTTGATTTTGTAGTTAGTTCCAAAAAGAAAAGTCAGCTCTAATTAATCTTGGACTTTGGAGTGCATGAAAAACAAAGCCCAGAGTGCTCAGGGTGGGGGCTGGGGTCGCTTTAGTCTCCACAAGGTCTCAGATCAGAGGCCCAGATCTTAGTTTTCTTATCTTTAATGCGAATGGTCCCCACTAGGATTTCACAGCTTTCAAAGAAAATGCTGTCCCCGCACTAGCAGGCTCCTGCATCTAGGGCTTCCATCTGCACGGAGCACTCAGTGGGAGTGGGAACCGCATGGGCTACTCAGGTCCTACAGGAGCCGGAGGGGTGCAGGAAGGTTTCAGGAATAGCTGTCGTGGAAGGTTGGGGCAAGCTGCCTCCTCCAGGCTTTATTGGGAGTCCTGAAACCATCCCAACTCCCTGAGGGACTTATTTGGATGGAGTCAGTGCCAATGGGCAAAGCACTCCACTTCCTTAATTCTTTGGCAAGAGCAACACACCAAGTACTCCCTGTTCTCTGCTGCAGACTCTGCAGACATGCTCCCAGGGAGCCTGGAGACTCAGAGAAAGGCCTGAATCCAGCCTTCTCTTACAAGAACGAAAACAGCTCAGCTGCCACCTCCTTTCCTTCCATTCATGGAGGGGTATGGGGGAAGGTCTACTGGAAATCATCATGGGGTCCCCCAGGGCTGCTAAGAGGCAGATAGTAAAGCCATTCAGAGCAAGGCTTTGGGATCACACAGACCTGGCTTCTCTATTTCCTAGCTGTGGACCTCGGGGAAAATGGCCTCTGTGAACCTCAGTATGCTCATCCATAAGTTGGGAATTGAGTAAAACCTACCTCACAGGGTTGTTACAAGGATTCAATAAGTTGATGCATGCAAAGTGCCTAGTACACAGCCTGGCTTGTTGAAGAAGCCAGTAAGGTAGTTACAATTGCACGAGTTATCATTCTACAGAAGTGTGTCCACCACACGGGCCCTTGCTCTGGCTGGCAGATCAGAATCCTCATGCCCTTTGGCTGAAGCATTGAGAAGGGGCAAGGGGAAGGGCCAGCACAGCCACAGAATGAAGGCTGAGATGGCTGGGTGGGTGGGCTTCTGTCCCTGTGCCCTTCCCCAGCCCTCTAGCCATCTCATCATAGGGCCCATCCACTCTCCTCCCCAGGGCATTCCTGTTTCTGGGGAGCCCCACTGGCCTCCAGGAGGGGTAGCTGCAGTTGCAAACAGCTCTAGCCTGAAGCTCTCATTTCCTCCTCTGGTCTGAAACCCACAGCCTGAAAGAGGGGAATGTGTGTTTCAGCCATGGTCCTTCATGCAAACCATGAGGCTTAACATCCAGGCCACCACAGGCATCAAATGCGCCCCCAAAGTGAGACAGACAGACCAGTTCTGCGTACTTAAAAGATAAGCTCTCACCAGGTTTTGTGATCCACACACAATCTGACAATACTCGTCAACCCCCTTGAAAGAGAGCCAAGGTTGTAATGTTTTAAACACGCTTTGCATCTTGCAACATATTTAAAGTAGATCAGTGTCATAAATTTGGATCAAATAGATACCACATGGGTGCACAACAATACTCGCAGTGTCTAGGCAGGAGGGCTGGCCCTGACTGGGGCATGGGGGCAGCACAGGGGCTGCTGGCCACACTGGGCTTTGATCTCAAGGAACTGATGGAGAAGCCTGCCTTGCGGGTCTGGCTGGCTTTTAAGAGGATACCAGGCCCAGTCCAGCTGCTGGGGGTGGTGGTGGACATTAGCAAACTTCATAGACTGAGAGCCTGTGGTGTCAGAAAGGTGTCCCTCCAAGTGGGTCAGATCTCTGGGGTGAAGCAAGGAAGCTCATGTGGGGGGCCCATCAGTTACCCCACAGGTCCCGCTCACATCCTGACCTCAAGAGGCAGTCACATGGCCCCTGTCTCAGCTTGGCATCCCCAGCTGCTGGCACTGCTCCTCCCCAGGGTGGTAGGGGAGGCCAAACTCATCTTCCCAGCCCCTGAGACCAAGCCACCCTTCGTGTTAGTGCCTCCTCCGTAGGCCTTACTCCAAGCAGAGAGCAGAGCATGGAGGAGAGAATAAAAGAGAGGACTGATGGGCAATAGAAGGGAGGTAGGGGGACAGCCCTCCACATCCCAAAGAAACCATTAGTAGGTGGAGGTTGGGAGGGTTGGTCTGTGCAGTTAGCTTAGCCTGGGGTGAGTCCCCTGAGCAGATATTCAACTTCTGCACCAGGGTGCAAAGACAGACTGGCCACAGGGCTTGATGAGGCCTGGTTTCAAATTCCAGCATGGCTGTTTACTAGCTGTGCAACCTTGGGCAAAGTCTCTCTCATTTAGACAATCAGGATGAGTTCTAACCACTGAGCCATGGTAAGAACTGAATAAGGTGGAATAAATGAACTTTCTAAACTAGAGATGTGAAATATTGCTGCACTGCCCAAAGATGAAAAATCACTTCATCTCAAGATTCAGAGGGGAAATAAACTTCTGCCTGATCATGGTGATCACTGGGGGTCAAGATATCTGCTGTCCCAGTGAGGCTGGGGCAGTGGGATAGGCATTTATAGCCTCCCAAGGAATGACCTCAAGTCCTTCGTGGCAGGCTGCCTGCTGCTGGTCATAGTTCCCAGTGCCAGCCCTCTGACCTTTGGTGGACTTGGAGGCAGTGGAGAGTTAGTGGCAAGATAAGGGTCCCAGCAGAGTAAAGGCCAGAACAGAGGAAAGGGTGCCCAGACCAGCCATGGGCTGTTGGCTTTGCAAGGCTAGTGGCTCCAGTGGCACCTACTGAAAAGACTCAGTGACAGGTTGGGAGCAGTGGAAGCAATGGGAACCTTCCAGTGACCCAGAGAGGCGGTGATGGGGCATGATGGCCTCACAGCCCCTCCAGATTCCATGAGAAGAGGCTACCGGAGAAGAGCAGAGAGGGTGGTCTGGCAGAGACAGAAGGGTTGGGAGGCAAGAGTCCAGCATGAAGGGGAAGGGTCTTCTCCTCAGTGCCTCATGAGACCTAGGAGTGGGGATGCTTCTGACAAGCCCTGGATGTGGATGGAGAAAAGACATGGACGAAGGTTCAAAGAGACAGAGCCTCCTCTCAAGGCCAGGGATCAAGGCTCAGAGCTGCTCCTCTCTTAAGGCTATGGAGCCAACTCTGTCCCCATGAAGCTATGACTTCCCTGAGCTGGAAGGGATTTTCAGTGTCCCAGCTGATACAGAGACTTCTCTAAACACATCCCAGACCAGTCATTATCCAGCCTCTAATTGAACACCTCTGGTGACCAGAACTCCCTCCCTCCCTCCCAAGGCATCTGGCGATTAGGAAGCTCCCTCTTCTGGAGCTGGAATTACTCTTCTTGTAGAGTTTATTCATTGGCACTTGCTCTACTTCTAGTCATGCAAAAGAAAGTATGATCCTTCTTCCACACTAGAGCAGGGAGGCTCTGAGCAAATCTCCCGCTTCCTGGGGACCGGAAGTGCTCCCCCATCAGGAGGGCTACACTGGTCTTCTCTGCAAATTCAATGTAGCCTGGGTTACATGTTTCTTCCTACAATCTGAGTCTAGGATTGCCACTGTCCTGGGACCAGGCCCTCTAGCGTCAGGACACCCTAACCCCAAGCAGAGGATTCTCCGTACTCAGGACAGCAGACCCCATGCCCCTTCTGGATGAATCACTCTTCCAGTTTGCAGCAGAATGCAGACACCTGTCATGGTATGATGCCAGCCAAGGGCATCGCCGTGATGCCTGGAGACCCTCTGCTGCCCTGCAACTCCTTCACAGCTTGAAAGAGCTGGCCCTGCTGCTAATGAAAAACTGATCCCGCGTTGCACCAGGAGGCAGTAAATTTTATGAGTCTGTGTGAGTGGATAGAGGCAACTGCGGGGGCTGATTTCCACTTCCTGATACAATACAAATGTCTTAGTTTATGTAGAACTAATTAAAGATCTCTCAGGTCTTGCCATTTCATTCACCAGGCACCCATAAAGCCATGTGGTTATGGCAACCTCATGACTGCAGTGTGCGAGGAATGTGCTTTGGAGGGAGTGCTTCTTCCCTTCCCAACATTTCTGCCCCTCTCCTGCTGCTGCCTTTCCTTCCTGCCTCTTTTCTCCTCCTGGAAGGCTCTAGCAGCTTCCCAGCCAGGGTCTGGAGGGCAGGGTTGCACTCCTTACAGCAGGTGGTACCATGGGAAGGACCCAGACCTGGAACTGAACTCCTGCTCTGCCACTTATGAGCCAGGAGACTTTGGAGAGCTCCAGTGCTATGGTTTGAATGTGTCCCCCATAGCTCTTGTGTTGGAAACTTAATCCCCAATGCAACAGTGTTGAGAGGTGGGACCTTTAAGAGGTGATTAGATTATGATAGCTCTGCCCTCATGAATAAATTAATGTTGCTGTCGCGGGAGTGGGATAGTTATCACGGGTTAGTTATTGTGGGAGTGAATTAGTTATTGTAAGAGTGGGTTAGTTATTGTGGGAGTGGGTTAGTTATCATGGGTGTGGGTTTGTGATTGCAGGAGTGGGTTAGTTATCATGGGAGTGGTTTAGTTATTGTGAGAGTGGGTTAGTTATTGTGGGGGTGGGTTAGTCATCATGAGAGTGGGTTAGTTATTGTGGGAGTGGGTTAGTTATCATGGAAGTGGGTTAGTTATTGTGGGAGTGGGTTAGTTATCATGGAAGTGGGTTAGTTATTGTGGGAGTGGGTGTGTGATTGCGACAGTGGGTTTGTTATAACAGCAAGCCCAGCCTTCTCTTGCTCGTGTTCTCTCGCCCTCTCCTGCCCTTCCACTGTCCACCATGGGATGACACAAGAAGGTCCTCACCAGATATGGGCCCCTTGACTGTCGGCTTCCCAGCCTTCAAAATGGTAAGAAATAAATTTCTTGTCTTTATAAATGACCCAGTCTGTGGTATTCTGTTATAGCAACATGAAATGGACTAAGACACACAGTTTTCTCATTTTTTAAATAGGAGAATAGTCATACCAGCCTCACAGAGTGGTTTTAGGGCTAAAAATAATGCAGTTTCTGTTGAAAGATAGTGCCTAGACCATAGTATGTGTTCAGTAAGTAGTGACTACCATAAAATTATTATTGCTATTACAGTTATTATAATGACTGCTTCTGGGTCTTTGCTCAAATTGTTTACCTATCTAAAATATTGTTTCCATTCAGATTTTCTAGTGGAAGGCCCACAGTGGTAGATTAAAAATGGCCATAACTGGGCGCGGTGGCTCACGCCTGTAATCCCAGCACTTTGGGAGGCTGAGGTGGGCAGATCATGAGGTCAAGAGACCGAGACCATCCTGGCCAACATGGTGAAACCCCATCTCTACTAAAAACACAAAAACTGGCTGGGCATGGTGGTGTGCACCTGTAGTCCCAGCTACTCAGGAGGCTGAGGCAGGAGAATCACTTGAACCTGGGAGGCGGGGGTTGCAGTGAGCCGAGATCACGCCATTGCACTCCAGCCTGGTGACAGAGTTAGACTCTGTCTCAAAAAAAACAAAAACAAAAACAAAAAACAAACAAACAAACAAAAAGGCCACAAATGCTTTCTACTCCTCCAGTGAAGAAGTAGAGCCTAAGACTCTTCCCACACTGACTCACATGACTTGGTCATGTGACTTGCTTCAACCAATAAGACATTAGAAAATGTGATACAAGCAGATACGTGACAAGTCTTTATGCACTGGGACCTGCCCATTTTGAATGCTGCCCTGGACCTGCTGTGCTGTAAGGAAGTCTGTCTAGCTTCCTGGAGGATAAGAGGCCATGTGGAGAACAGGGCCCCCCAGCCCACAGCCAGCATTGACCACCAGACATGTGAATGGGGCCATCTTGTCCCCTCCCACCCTTCTATCTGTCATGTGGTGTGACTGCATGAGTGAGCCCAGGTGAGATTAGCAGAATTCCCAGACTGTCAATCCACAGAATTGTGACAGAGAGTCAGTAAACTTGGAATGGTTTGTTACACCGCAATAGATAACTGATACATCTGCCCATTCATCAAGGTTGAGTTCTCAGGCTGTCTTCTCCCAGAATATTTCCCAAACTTCTCTCAACCTGAAATTTGTCTCTCCACCTCCTGTAATCGTGCAGTGCCTTGTGACAGTAGCACTTAATAAAGTCTGCCTTCACTGGGGTTATTTGTGCAGGAGTGCTTCTGACTCTCTGGCCTGTAAGAGCTGGACCCCTCCATGTCCTACATCCTGGCTCAGCACAGAAAGAACTCTGCCTAGGTGGATCCCAGTAATTTGGCTCCCACTTATCAGGCCCTCGGGGGGCCAGTGAGAACCTGGCCTGCCTCACTACAGGCACAGCCACCTAGGTTGGAAGGGAGAGACCCTCTTGGGTCTGAGGTCCAGTAGGCCACTGATTTGTCCAAAGTCCTGCCCCACTTGGGTCCTCCCCCTCCATCTTACCTTCCGGCCGTGGTAGCCCTGGATCCCTGGGTCTCCCTGGGAAAACAAAGAGAAGGCCATTAAAGAGGTTTTCCCACTGCCAAACTTTGACTTGTGCTGTTCCCCACACAATACCATCCCTCTTCCTCTCGATGACTCCAAGTTCCACTGCCCCTTCAACACCCATCTCCAGCCTTCCCAGGAGCAATAGCTCTTAGCTTCCTCTGAGGACAACACAGATTGTTCTACTCTTGAGAACAGGCTCCACTTTGCAGAGGCTGAGGAATGGTGGGAAGAGTCACTTGGGTAGAGACCCAGGAGACCCAGGAGACCTGATTCTATTGAACATGGACAAGTCACTTTCCCACAGGGCTCTTAGCTTCTGCATTTATAAGATAGTTAGGCACAATCAGCACTGGGCATCTTCTTGTCCCCAGAGCCCCAGGGTCCCCAGCTTCAAAGGGAGAGCCTGTTTGACATTGTGGGCTTCTGGGTGAGGGTTCACAGGAGACTGGATTACCCTAGAGGTCTCTTCCCATTCTGACACCTTATAAAACACTATTTTATTGGGATATTGTGACGGTGTTCTGGGCATGAGCTTAGAGTTTCCAGCTAGACGCTATACTCCTTAGAGGGTGGACTGTGCCTTCAATGCCAGCCCGTAGCACTAGCTTCATTGGCGTGAGCACCCAAGAAGTGCAATTCTTGTTGGAATCAAGTTAGTTCCTGAGAAGGGTGGTGTTTTGTAAGTGGGTCAAGCTTGATCTGTCTCTCAGCTGAGATCCCTCTCTGCTCCTGCCTCAGTCACCTTCTGTGCTGCCTCCCCCTCCCTCCTGCAGGGAATTCTCCCACCTGTTCAACACATCACCCAGAAGGACACTCACCTTTGGTCCAGGAGGCCCAGGTAAGCCCTGTGGAAGCAAAAAAAAAAAAAAAAAGAAAAAAGAAAAGGTGAGTAGAGCTGGTTGGGGCTAGCCATACTTACAGTAGACCCTAGGGGCAGAGCAGCTCCCAATAGCTATGGCAAGAGAATAGGCATGCTATAGCCAACAGCTCTAGTGGATCCTAGAAGGGGATCTGAAACCTGCTGAGGGCACGTGGGGATAACAGGCTTATGTCCCTCTTTGCAGCCATGTGGGGGCCGCGGGCAATTCTGCTGTGCTCACCCATGGAAAGTAGGTCAGCAGCATCATGCTAAATTGACAGTGTGGTTTGGTCCAGATCCTCATTCACCCACCTCCTAATTGGAACCCCTCCCTAGAAAGCCGGCCTTGCCCAGCAAAGCCTCGGTTTTGCCCTTGGTCCTGCCTGCCAGTGGAGGAGCCCTCTGTCTCCTTCTGCCCATGGTGCTGTGGGCATGGCAGCTGGCCACAGTGAGGTGGTGTGAGCCGAGGGAGAGGCCAGGGAAGGCTGCTGGCTCCACCGCAGCCTTGGGTGTAGGTGTGGACAGCAAACGTGGGCTGGAGAAAGCCGTGATGCCTGAGTCTGGTCTATTGCAATTGGGTTAAGAAACATGCTCTCTGGTTTTCTTTTTTTGGTTGTCGTTGTTGTTATAAACAACCTAACAAAGAAAACCACCTGGCTTGGGTTCAGTGGATGAGAGCCCCAAGTGTTAGGAGGGGGGTGGGGTAGAAAGGGCAGCGGTCAGCAAAAAGTGAATTTGGAGCACTTTTTGGTTTTCTTGCCTTAGTTTGGTTCCGTTTCCTGAGTTTCCCTTCCTTTCAGGTTTTCCCATCTAAAAACTGGTGGAAATAAGACTAACCCCCCTCTCTGGGGTGCTGGGGCGAAATTGTGGAAAAATTTAAAATTCATTTCAGGGGTCAAGCATTGCAGGGGTCATTGTGCTGGCCTTCCCAGCCAAGGTGGATGCTGTGTTCGGCCATAGCTGTGGCCCGGCCCAGGAAGACCCTATAACAAGCTTTGAGATTGAAAGCTGGGCAGCCAAGGGGCCCAGACATGCAAACAGGCCATCTAGAATGTGGCCGTACACACAGGGTGCTAATTGTTGGGGACATCCTTGCCCAGTGATTCCACCTCTGGGACTCTATTCCAGCAAAACTATCAGAGATGCGCACAAACATTATGTTTCTTTGTCTATGTTCCATTCTTTTCACAATTAATTTATGGTGCTTTTGTCATAAGAAGGAAAAACAGGTTTTGTTTTGGTTTTTCTACCACATGGGAAAAACATTATTTAAAAAGCATTTTGCCCTTTACCTGCCTCTCCAATAACATTAGTCTTACGGGTGGGTGGAAGACCCGTTTTCTCTGAAGTCCAGGTACCCACTGAGTTATTCTGTCCTGGGGCTTTGTTGTATAAATTGGGCTGGGAAAGAGTGGAGTCTTAGCCAGGGCTTGAACATGGGTGACTTGGCGGCCGCTGGGCTTGACCTGTCACTTGAATGTGGTCCAGCCTGGAGAGGTGCCAGTTGGCCTCTCTGGAGTCCTCCAGGCAGTGACCCTGCAGGCCCCGCAGGCTTGATGCATCCTCAGGCTTGGCGCAGGGCTCTTGGCTGACTGGACCTTCAGCTCAGCTGGCAGGTGGCCCAGCAGTGTGAAACCTGCACACGCCCCTGGAAGGCATGTTCACTGGGGTGCCAGGTAGTTGGATGACCCCTCACTACCTCCTTCAGAACCCACTGCCTGACTCAGGTTTTGCTAAGGGGCTCAGGGATAGCCATCAGAGGTGCCCTTGGGAATTCTCTTTCCAAATTCCTCTCTGCTGGGGCTGGGAACGGGGCAGGCAGGCCATTGGCGGTCTCCTCCCTGGAAGGCAGGGAACATGGCCCAGGTTGTGTTTCAGAGCCAGAGTGCAACAGGTGGTGAGTGTGATGGGGATGAATAGCCCCTTGCATGGTTCACCCACATCCAATGGCCCTGCCAAGGCATTTCTGCTTTTTGTAGGGGACCCACTGCCTATTCAAGGTTTGGAGGTTTCCAGAGAGTTCTTGGGATAAGTCTTGAAGGAGAGAGGAAGGGAATACTTACAGGTGGCCCCATAGGCCCTGGCAGTCCTGGGTGCCCCAGAGGTCCACTTGGTCCAGGGGGGCCTGGGGGCCCTGGTGGACCTTGGATGCTGGCCTGGCTCTGTTCGCCCTGAGGTTCATGGAAACGAATGTTAGAGGGAAGGCCCCCAGAGCTGCAGACCGTCCCCCACCCTCAGGCCATGCACCCAGTGAAGGCCTGCTGTGATTTCTGCCGGGAAGGAGTGGTGATGGGGGGAGGAAGCGGTGGCATGATGGTGATGATGCTGTGGTAGTGGTGATGACATGCAGGGGCTGGTGGCAGTGAGAAGAACGCCAAGATGTTAGGTCCCTGAAGGTGGGGCTTCCAAAGAGGAGTTGCTGCGGAGAGACATTCTGCGGGGGGGCAGAGGCAGAGGAGTGGGTGGGAGACAGCCCCTGGCCCAACCAAAGGCCTGCTCCCAGCCTGGCCAGATGGCCTGAATCTTCAGCCTGGGCCTGCCTCTGTCACCCTCCCTGTGTGGCGAGGCACAGTTCTCCCTAAGCCCCAGTCTCTCAGCCATAGAATGGGAACAATAGCCCTCGTTTCCTGTCTCAGCTTTTTGCTGTCTTTATCTGACCCAGAGGATCAAATGGGATCCTTAGGTCAAAGCCCATGGAATTTTATTTGGCTCACTAAACAACTGAGCAAGAGACTTTACATATAAAATTTGAATTGGTGGCTTCTGATGAAACACTGGGAACCCTGGCTGAGCTGGGCCCACATTCCTACGTCCAAGGAGTGGCTGCCTGTTAAGTGGGGCCTGAGTTCTCTGGCTGCTTTTGTCCTCTCCCTCCTAGCCCTTCTCACACACAGCCTGCTTCTGTTACTTAAGGTGATCTGCCTGGCCTGGGAGGGCAATTGAGCCTGCAATCTTTGGTTTCATTGAAAGAGTTTGGAAGCTGTGTGGAAGTGCTTTATGCTGCGTGGGGAGGCTGTTATTATTCCCTTGTCTCCTCAGCCAGCTGCTCTGAGCCCGCCTTCCCACCATGCCTGTCCACGGGATGGACTGTGAGCCCAGGGAGGTAGCGATGGCATCATGCTCCCCCTGGAGGAGGAGATGGCCTGGTGCACGTGACCCAGATTTCAGGGCTGGGGCAACACAAAGTCATCTTAGATCTAAACCAAGTCTGGCTCCTTGGTTTGTTATTTTCTAAATGACCTCTCTGGGATCAATCTGGGCTTAGCTCTTGTGAGGAGGGGCCCATCCCTGCAGATGGGCTGAAGCAGAACCTCCTGGCAGGTGTGGGAGCTCTAGGGTGGAGGCTGGGGGATGCAGGCGGCTGGAGTTCCAGGCCGGCCCACCTTTCTCAGAGGATCTCAGCAAGCCCCTATGACACACCTGAGGGGTCTCCTGCTTCCCCATGCGAGGAAGGCAGCTGATGATGCTTGCTGCAAACTCTAGAGGGAAGTGGTGGTGATAAATAGGAGTGCACAACCTGGGAATGAGAAATGTAAGCTTTCAGCAAGACCTGCTTGCACCATCTTTTGGCTGGAAAACCTGTAGGCAGATGGCATCTAGCAGTGTCACTCTGGAGCCTGGGTCCTATCCTGCCACACCCTCTGAGAAGCCACTTTAGGGCTCAGGGTGTCCATGGCAGAGGAGCAGGTGTTGAAATCACTGTGGCAGCTGCCCTGACTGCAGGTCCCCCACCCGGCTGCATGTTGGTTGTTGATAAGTCTCAGGTGTCAGTGTTTCTTCTGAACCAAGAAAGGCTTCACTAAGCCTCAGGCCTTAAAAAGGGACCAGTGCAGCCTCCTTTTCAACCACATCAAATCTGATTCAGCTGCTTGGGTCCCGGAACCTCCTCAGAATCCTGTACTTTGTGTGTTTATATTTTTTGTGGGTTTCTACATTCACAAGATGGGGGAGGCTTAGTCTGAAGTAAACTCCCGAGCTCCTTTCTGGCTGTGAAATTCTAGAATCTTCATAACGTCACAAGTCCTATGTTACAGAAGAGAAAACTGAGGCTCCAAGAAGTTGAATTCTCTGATCAAAGTCACATGGGAATTCAGGGTGGCGCCAGGACCCAAAGTTGGAACTGCAGACTCTCCCTATTCTTTCCAAGTAAGCCCCCAGCAAAAAGGGCTCACCATCTACACTTTCTGCTCTTTGGAAATGACGTCCAACACCATCTGCTAAGCACATCATATTTCATATAAAGCTTCCTTTTTCAGTGAATCTTAGACCCAATGTTTAAGCGGCTTGTAGAGCCTGTAAAATCAATATTGGTTTATTGATAAGAAATGGACAAGCATTTTTATGTCCCATAGTGGCTGACAGCATAAAAAACCTGATTCTGGAGGCAGAATCTGCAGCAGGTAGCTCAGAGGTGCCTCGTCTTCTTTCTCTACTTTGGAAACCAGGTCAGGGTAGCACAGAAAGTTCTGGCTTCACCACCTCTTGCTCTTGAAAAGGGAGGCAGTAACATGCAGTGGCCTGGATGGAATCCTGCACCCCTCTTGAGTTCTTCCTTTGTAAAGCGGGGGATAGTGAGATGGCTGGTGTGGGGAATGCATGAGATAATTTGCATAGAATTCTCACAACAATGTCTGGAACCCAGTGAGGGCTCAAAAAAGAACAGCTGATACACCTAAGGCTGGGAGGTCGCTGTTGGGGCCCAGGAGAATGGCTATTCTGAGAGTGTGGACTCAGCTCTCCTGGAATGGGGTCCGGCACAGCCTGGGGTGGGTGACAGGGGTGGGCCTGGTACTTCTCTAAGCTGCCAGTGGGCCTCCTGAGTAGCCATGCTCTGGTGAGTGCTCGGGCACACGGAGGCTCTCGAGGATTTGGCCAGGCGTAATGAGATATGTGGCCTGCAGGCTTGGGTGGCACTGGAGTCACGTGTCCCTCTGTATTTTTAGCTGTTAATTGGAGGGATTTTTCAGCCTTGTTCAATCAGGTGCCTGAACATCTAGGCCCTTGGGCTCCTGACTCCTGAGTCAGGCCAGATTGTTGCTTGAGGCTCTGCGGTCAGGCTTGTAGAAAGCAGCTCAGAGCCCTGCCACTGCTAGCGTCCCTGTGCTGGGCGGGGTACCTGGTGCAGCATGAGAAAGGTGAGGAGCACAGGGGCAGCCATGGGCCAGCCAGCCTGGAATCAAGCTGTGATCTCTGAAGAGCAGAGGCCAGATGGCTTTGTTCTTTGTGATCTGCTCCTATCCAAGCCTCCTTGGGTTAGGAAGGCAGGAAGAAGAAGGAAGCACTTGCTCACAATGTGGGTTGTGGACTACATTCCCTCCACAAATTCCCTTGCTCCCCAAACTCAGGTTACGAGGGATCAGATGCTAAGCAGTCTGCATTTCTAAGTAGAGAGGAGGTAGGTCCAGCTGAGAGAGCCCTGGATGTGAGGTCTGAAGACCTGACTTCAATTTCAATTCTGCTTCAAGGCCAGTTTCAATTCTGCCTCTTACTGTTAGTATAACCTTGGGCAAATCAATTCACTTCTCTGAGCCTCAGTTACCTTATCTCCAAAATATGGATAATAGTAATAAAAACAGCTAACAATTATGTCTCTTAAACTGTGCCAGGAACTATTCCAAATGCTTTACATATCAACAACAACCCTGTGAAATAGACACTGTTATTATCCTTATTTTATAGATGAGAAGGCTGGGACACAGGTCAAGTAACTTGCCCCAAATGACACAGCTAGTAACAGGCAGAGAGACTGGGTACAAATCCCCACTCTGCAATGTACTGGCTGTGTGACCTTGGCAACTTGGTTAACCTCTCTGAGCCTCGATTTCCTCATCGTGAAATAAGGATGATCATGCCTAATTCATAAAACTGTTGGTGAATGAAATATAACCAGGCCTGTGAAATGGGTAACAGGGTGCCTGGCACACACTGACAGCTCTTGTTGATGGCTGTTTTGAGTAATCATTGTGTGGTGGTAGTTGTGGGTCTTCTGGGGCCTGTGTGTTGTGTATTTCCATGTCTATGGTATACGTGGGCCTATTTTTGTCTGATTTAATTTCACTGAATTAGAGAGAGGTTCTGGCTTTGTCTGCAGCCCCAGCAGGCTTGCCGGGCCCCTTGGGAAACCACACATGGTCTGGACAAACGGGAGGTGTCTACCTGGAACGTCCGCCTTTTTATGACCGGGGGTGGAGCCAGTCGCACTGAATTGAGGAGAGGCAGCAGCTGAGGAGAAAGATGAGTTGGAGGGCCAGAGGGCAAAGGCCAAAGATCACAGGTATTCAGATCGATGCCAAAAGTCACCAGGAGGGCAGGGCAACCAAGAGGGACCGGAGCAGAGGAAGAGAGAAGAGAGATTAGCGTGCACATGAGGAGTGGGAGGGAAGGAGTGGACAGGGCACTCTCACGGCTTGAGGATGCAGAGCGGAGCTTGCCCTTGGATGGCACAGCCGTCCCTTAGGAGGAGTTGTGGCCCTCAGTCCACACCCGGCCTCGGCCTCCAGGTCAGAGTTTGGGATGTTGACCAGCAGCCCCCGGAATGGGACAGTGGCTCCCACATGGCCAGGCTTGCCCTCCGTGGCCATGCTGGGCTGCAGAGGCTGCTGGACACACAGCCCAACGTTGCACTGCCAGCCCCACCCATCCCTGCTTGGGGGACAGAAGGGAGCCAACTCAGAGGCTCTGGCCAGGGAACCACCGGGCCCGTGAAATTGGTACTTGAAGTTGGGCTGGTGTGCGGCTGGTGGGTTCTTTTTTTGGTTGAGCAAGAAAGGCTGGTGTCAGCGCATCTGGGGAGGGTGGTCAAGGGCAGTGCCAAGCCCAGTTCCCCGGGGTTTGAGCTGGCTGAGGGTGAGGCCAGCGTGGGCACATGTTAAGTGCTGCTGAGGGCTCACCCTGGGGCTGCGGGGCCTGGAAGATAGAGGCTGGGCAAAGATATCTCCAGAAAGCTCAACCACGTTTTTGCGGGAGGCAACTTGCAGTCATATTATCTAATGTGATTTTCATTTCTGGAAATTGTTGCAGCTTCCAGTCCCTCTACCCATTGAAGCTGAGCAACCCGTGGCTTTAGGAGGCCATCAGAGCCCATGTGAAAACAAAGATGGCATATACTGTCATCAGCTGCTTGTTTTTGAAAGCGCTTAAATCACACGAGACTCCTGGGATGAGTGTTAAGAACCAGGAGCTGCTTGGGCTGCGAATGCGCCCAGCTGGGGATGGGGAGCCCAAGTGTGGCCTTTCCAGGTCACAGCTGCTGCCTTCTTGGACAGCAGTGGCACACAGAGCTCCACCCGCTCCCACTGCCGGGGCCTGGGGATGTGCAATGTTGGGCTGTATGTTCAGGAAGCCTCTCAGTGGAGAGGGGCCCGGAGACCTTCCAGAACCTACAAACCTTCAGGGCAATTATTTGGCTGGAGCGCAGAGCTGCTGGCATGCTGCTTAGGCACTCCTAGTTTGGGAGGGGATGGAGGTGGCAGAGACAGGGCGACAGGGACCGTGAGGGGAGAGCCCACAGACACCAGCTCCCCTGCTCCCCACCCCTCTCCTCTCCCTCCCTGGGGAAGCCACAGGCTGGAATGGAGGAGGGGCCACCTGGATTTCTTGGTGTCTTCCAGGCCCCGAGACCTGCCACCCCAACCCAACCCCTTGGAAAGCCAACAGATCTCTAGAAGGCCCCTGATTTTCTACCCTCTTCTAAATAAACTTGGTCTGCCCCTCAGCTGGAATCCCAAATCTATGCCCCCACCCCACGCTTGACATGTTCCCCAGAGTGCCACTGTCATGAGGTCAGGCTTCACTGCACCCTGTGGCCAGGGGTATTCTGCAGCCTTCTGTCACTGTGCTCTTCCCTTTCCTTATGTTGGGCTGAGGGGCAGAGAGCCCTGCCCCCACCCCACCCCAAGCACTTACTAAGAACGGGAGACACACTACCAAAGCGTCTGCAGTTGTGTTGTCTTTTGTGCTGGGGGATGTTGTCTTTCTTTCGGGTAACATAATAACCCCGTGAGCCCATCGTTTCAAATAAACACAGCTGACCTTCTATTATTGTATCAGGATCAGGCTGGCCGGAACAGCAGGGCCCCTGCATCCCTGGAGCACATGCCGCTGACAGGCTGTGGCTCTGACTGTGCTGCTGCTGGCCTGCCTTCCTCAGCCCGGGCCCAGCACCGCCGTAGCCTTAAACCCATCCCAGCCTCTCACGTACCAGGCTCACAGTGGTTCCCTGGCCCAGGAACCCAGACCTCAGGCCTGCCTTCCAGCTTCCTGAGGGTCTGGGCAGAGGCTAGGCCCTGCTAGCATTGCCCTCCTGACAGCCTTCTAGAGTCAAGCTGGCACTGAGCCTGGCTTATGTCTGTCTCCACTCCCAAAATCGCACCACCCGGACCTGCCTGGCAGGGGTGGGCAGCCAGGGAAGCTGAGCACCATGGGGCACATGACAGCGGGGAGAGATGCCTAAAGATGCTCATCTTCCATCCCTGCTGTCCAGGTCTGGGAGCAACGAGGCCAATCCACAAAATGAGGGGCATTTTTTTCTGGGTCCAGCTCACTGGGGCTCCTACTGGAGGAAGCTGTGCGTATCTTGCTCTCCCCTGTCCCAAGATCGACCCTGCTGCTGGGACACAAGTTTGAAGATTCCTAACAGGACAACAGCAGTCTTTTGGGTTCTGTGTCTTGGGGTGGAGCAAGGAAAAGGAAGGAGCAGGCGGGGGTGGGCAGAGGAACCATCTCAGCCTGAAATCCCCACCCTGCTTGGAGAAGGGTTTCCTCTGCTTTTAAAGAGGCCAAGGAGAGATTTTATCCTTGAATTGCTGCAGTCAGTCCCCGATTATCTCCCATCATCGAGGTTTGGATGTGAAACACCATCATCTGATACAGTGACTAATAGAAAAGTCCCACTGTTTTGGCCACGGCTAGGCTGCCAGACACCACCCCCCTACCGCCACACACACGCACACACATGCTTGTTGGGTGGGGAGTCAAACAGACTCACACAAGTCACGCTGCCACAGGGGGCCATGTGCAGAGCAGCCACAGAGCTCCAGACACACAGCAGGAGACTCCAACATACCGAGTCAGACGTACGTACAAAGGGGCGGATGTACAGACACGCACGGGTGATGAGCGGCTCCATATAGCACATGGCTGGAGAGACACATCAGCTGTTCCCACCAGACGCACCACCATCCCAAGCTCCCCTCTCTGACTGCTGAGTGCAGAGGGCAGTGGGTGCTCCTGCTCCCCCATGATCTGTTAGTAACTGGAGACCCCAGGGAGATGAGGCTGAGCTGGGCGCTGTGCCCCAGGGATGGATCAAAGTGCCCTGCTAAATTTTAGGGGTTCACTTACCCGGTGTGGGTACTCTCCACACTGACCCTGGGAAGGAGAGGGAAGGGAAAGGTGGTGTTAGGCACTTGTTGGGGGTACCTGTTTCTCAGGGCACCCCCAGCACTTCAGGACATGCCACACATGTCACCGCTCACCAGCCCTCCTGCTCTAGTTTTGGTCTGAGCCCTCTGAGGCAGAAGAACTAAGTCCCTCCCTTGCCCCTGGCTAGCAGCAGGGAAGAAACTTCCATGGCCTGCCTGGAAGTGGCCCCAGGGAGCCTAGGGGTGGGGCTTCGCCTTATACCACTTGCCATAATGGCAGAGTCGGGAGTTATGCCCCATGCCTGGCGAAAGGTTGACCCTCTAGGCAGGCCCACCAGACAGCCCTGAACAGGAGCCACCGGATGGGAGCAGCCGGCACCATGGGGGTCCCAAGCCACCTTCTCTGAGCTGGGAGCGCCAGGCCCCTGTACCAGCGGCCCAAGGGCAAGCACAGCAGTGTCTCTATCAGAAATTCAACAAGACAGAGAGGGCAGGAGGCCAGGCCAGTGGTTTACAGGTTGATGCCTCTCAGAATCCCAGAGGCTCATGGAGGTGTCAGGGAACACCATGGAGTGACAGCTGGGAGGGGCCCAGAAAGAGGCTGAAGAGGGCCAGGCTCCAGGAGGACCCCTGGAAAGGATGTCACCCGGACCAGCCTCCAGGAGGACCCCTCACTCCAAGAAAAGGATGTCCCCTGGAGCGGTGTCAACCGAATCTATTATGCGGCACCTCGGGGGCTTTCCTGGTTCTGTCAATTAAAACTGAAGTTTGAAAATAACCATAATTGACCCCTTTCTACCAACTGGGAGGCCATTTCCTGAGATGGAGACTCTAGGAAACCTCCACTGCTCTTACCTTTTCTCCTTTTTGTCCCTGGGGTCCCTACAAAGAGACGGAGATGAGAGAGTTAGAAACCAAAGCTAAGGTCACAGCCACCGGAAGCTTCTCTGCTGGGAAATAGATGGATGAGGTACCAACCGGCTGTCCTGGGGGACCCGTCAGACCCTGTGGGAAGCAAACACACACAGGTCAGTGGGCAGACAGAAGACAGGCAATCAGGGACACCTGCCTGGGTGGGGATTGGGGCTGAATCCCGAAGGCTGGGCTCTACCAGCCATGGCCAGGTCTTCCCATGCCCACCACATTCAAGATGTCTTATTCACAGAGTCTCAGCTGCTTCACCCCCCAGTGGGCAGGACTAGGGCTGTGATGAAGAACAGATGGCATCTTTCATCCATTCCTCCAACCACCAGCATCTCATGGGCCAGCTATGGAGGGGCTCTACCTAGAGGTCAGGGAGTTTTCTGCTCCATGGGACCCCCTACCTCACATGCATCAAGCCTCTGGGAGACACTAGCACATTCCACCTCCTGCCTCCCAGGCTGCAGTGAAGCCCACTGAACCAGAAGAACTTCTGGCCTGGGGGTGCTGGGCCGGTGCCTCAGACAATGGGGGCCTTAGAGAAACCTTCAGCAAAAGAGAGAAAGCAGGAAGTTGGCAACTGAAGCCATGTTCTGGACTTCTCCAAGGAATATGAGGGGTCTTGAAGTTTCCTTCAAGGTTGTCTTGTCCATGCAGGGCTAGGAAAGGAGCTGGGGTTGGGAGGGACCCTTGCTGTCTGGGGAGGGCCCCGCATGCTCTGGCTCTCTTAGGAGGCTGCACCAAGGCTGGTGGAGGGAAGAGGAGAAAACAAATGCCTTATGGGCTGAGGATCCACCCTGAGGCTGGCTCTTCAGGTATGTGTCTGTGAGGGAGATGCTTGTGTCCACTCCAGCTCCCGAGTGAGGTGACAGAGACAAGGCCCCATGGCTCAGTGAAAGGTGGCACTGGGACAGGAGCCCAGGTTTGTCTGACGGCCAAGGTCCAGCTGTTTCCACTGCCAAATGCTCAGAACTGGGCCAGACCTTGGGAGTCAGGGCTTCTAGACTTGGCTAGAGCCATAAGCAGGTCCCTTTGAGCCACCAGTCTCTTTGGGGCCTGAAGCACTGCAGATCCCCAAGGGTGGGTCCATCTGGGAGGTGGCCGCAGCATGCTGTGATGTGCCAGAGCCTTGTTCCTGCTCCCCGCTTGCCAACAGGGCCACCTCCAAACTGGGAAACTCCCAAGAGCATCACTGGAAGGGAGAAGTGGCCTTTGGGACCATCCATGTGGCACTCCCAGCCCATGTGGCTGGCCAAGTGTTTATTGGTCTTTTATTGTTTTATTGAGACAGGGTCTCGCTCTGTTGTCCAGAATGGAGTACAGTGGTGTGATCTCCGCTCACTGCAGCCTCTGCCTCCTGGGTTCAGGCAGTCCTCCCACCTCTGCCTCACAAATAGCTAGGTCTACAGGCACACACTACCGTGCTTGGCTAACTCTTGCATTTTTTTGTAGAGACAGGGTTTTGCCATGTTGCCCAGGCTGCTCTCAAACTCCCAGACTCAAGCAATCTGCCCGTGCTGGCCTCCCAGAGTTCTGGGATTACAGGTGTGAGCCACCGCGCTCGGCCTGGCAGAGTGCTTAGAATGAAGTTCTGCAGCACATGATTCATCCGGCAGGGAACCCGGGCCCAGACCACAGGTGACCAGGTCATCCTCTGTCAGGACAGAGATATAAGTGTGATGGGGGAGGGGCAGGCGGAGTTTCAGGACTGCAGAGACTTGGACAATTGAAACCAGACATCCCAAACGGTGGCCCAGGGGACAATCGTGGTCTTCATAGGGATTTTGTTTGTCCCACATGGTTTTATTTCAACTAGTTGCCAATACTTAAGAGAGCAAGCAGAGTGCAAATAAAAATTTGGATTTCAAGTTTCTCTTAATTATGTCGAGGTCCAACAACACATGGTACCAGTTATCTTCAGCCAGGCAGCACCTGCCCCTTTAAGGGCCATGGCCACCGGTGATGTGCTTAGCACTTGCCAGCAGGCCTGTGCTAACCGCCACTGAGGCATAGCTAAGGCGCCTGTCTGCTTCTCGGGTGCCAAGCATGTTCTGAGTGCCTGGCGCTCCTCACTCGACAGCCCTGTGGGTGGTGGGTGAGATTTGGACTCAGTCCAGGCCTTGCTTTACAGCCCTTATGTCATTCCTGAGTCTCAGACCCCCAATCTTGTCCACCCCCCAACTACACTATTATACAACTGTGTCCTCCCAACACTTCAACACCTTATTTCAGGTTCTTGGGAATAATGTGAAGTGGGGGGGTGGGGCAGAGGTGACTCCCTTTTGAGAGGTGAGGACACAGGTTAAACAATGAGGGTGAGTGCCAGTGCCCCAGTGGGACGCCAGTGGAGGGGACAGCATCTGGGGCAGGAGACAGACAGATGAAGAGCAGGGCAAGGTAATGATGCTGGACAGCGGTGGGCAACTAACAGCTCGGGTACCCATGCCAAGCCAAACAGGAATCAGATGCTCTGTGGCCTGCTGGATTTGATGAGGCAGACAGGGGATCTATCCCACTGATGTGGGCTCACGAGAGAGGGGGTGGGCCTGCCTTTTCTGTTGAGTTAGCTCTGATCCCTGGACAGGCGGTCAAGTGTGTGGGGCAGAGGGACGGTGTGGCAGAATGAGGGCAGGAAAAGCGGCCCCATGGAAGGGTCCCTTTCCTCCAGGACAAAGTGCTGGCTGCTGAGAGGAGGTGTGATCGAGGGGTAAGACTCCACTGCATGGGTCTGAATCTCAGCTGTTGTATTTAGGAGCTTTGTGGCCTCAGGCAATGTACTTAGCCACTCTGTGCCTCAATTTCCCCTCTCATGAAGTGGGGATGATAAGCTGTTATGAGGATGACAGAGTGCTGCCTAGAGGATGACCATTATTATTACTTCTGGGGGGCCATGGGCTGCCTTACGGTAGCATAAGGCTGCCAGAGAGGGAAAGAAGCTCAGGCTGAAGGGATGAGCACCCCAAGCCCTTTATGCCTCTATAACAATGTGGCATGGCAGTTTCTTCCTGCCTCGGTCTCCACTACTCCATGCATGTGCACAGCATGCCTGGGAATGGGGTAGGGGCGGGGGGAAATGCATTTGCAGCGGAGGCAGCTGTGATGGAGAGGAAACCTTGCTGGGGAACCTGGATTCCAGCGCCAGCTCTTCTGCCACTGCCTCCAGGGCCTTCTGCCTCCAGTGCCCTTCCTCCGGTTCTGCAGACATGTCAAGGATTTTCCTACCTCAGGACCTTTGCACGTGCTATTCTCCCATGTCCAGAAAGCACATTCCCATCCCCCTTTCTATTTTCTCTCGGTTGAATGCTCATTCTTCAGGCACTAGTTCAAAAGTCTCTTTCTCAGAAAAGCCGTCTCCGACCTTTGGCCTGGGTGAGGTTTTTGTTATACCAAGATTTCCAGGGCACTAAGGATTATCTTTTTATAGCACTCATTGCAAAGCAACTTGTTAGTTATGTGAGTGATCATTTAAAAGGATGTCTCCCTACTAGACTGTGAGCTACAGATGGCAAGAACAGTCTCTCTCTTGCTCCCGTCTGTATCCCTAGCACCTGAAGCAGTGCCCAGCACATTTTAGATACTCCATAAAAAATGCATTAAAAGAAGGAAGGTGGCAGGAAGGCTGACAAAGAGTGAGGGAAACAGAAAGGGAGGAAGGTAATAAAACCTTAATAAAAAAAGGGAGGGAAGGAATTTGAGAACTGTGTTTCGATCTTGTTTTGGACATTCAGCTGTGTGACTTCAGGCAAGTTAGTTAGACTCTCTGAGCCTTGGTTTCCACACCTGTCAAAGGGGATTCTAGCAAGACCTGGAGCACAGAGTTACGCTGAGGATTGAGACAGTCATGCAAAGTGCTTAGCCCAGTGCCAACCACGTGGCAAACCCTCAATAAATATTAGTTGGATCTGAGTCAAGAGGACAGGTTGGGGCCCAGAGGGAGCTGGCAAGTTAGGAAGAGCTAGGCTGGAGCCCAGGCCTTGCAGCCAACACTCCACCATCCCCCTTTCCACCCACATGATTACCTGCCTCCCTCCATGCCCTGGCAGTGCCCCAGTCATGGGTCAAGGGTTGTCTTCACACCAGCGCTTGGAGCAAGGCATGAGCCAGGCCCCCACTGAACAGGGACAGGGGGAGCCTGCTGCGTTGCTTTCACCACCCTGCACAAATTCCTGGCCCACCAACCTGTGGAGCAGGAGGTGGTCCCTCACAGTAGGTGCGACCTGGATCTTAGGAGGCAGAAATGCACCCCAGCCCAGGGCTGTTTTGTTTGTCTGTCTGTTTGTTTGTTTTTTTAAAGCAGGGATTTATTGAAAACCAAAATACACTCCACAGTGTGGGAGCAGGGGCCCATTAGCTCTTAATGGCCCATCAGTCCCTGCTGAGATCTGGCCCACCGTGAGAGTGCGCAGCCCCTCATTCCCTTCTGGAAGGGATGGTCTGTGGAGACAGAAAATTTATTTCCAAAGCTCTGCAGAAGGTAGGGGCCAGGAGAAAGCTGGGCCAAATGTTGTCTCTCCACCTTTTTGGGGCCTGAGGCACTCCAGGTACCCTGGGCAGATCCATCTGGGTGGTGGCCGCGGGATGCTGTGACATGGAAGAGAAGACCTTGCTCCTGCTCCTGACTTGCCAAGTGGCCCAACCTCCAAACAGAAACTCCCAGGAAGGGAGAGGGGAAGGGGCCTTTGGGATGATGCATGTGGCACCCCCAGCTGAGATGATCCACTGGGCACCACCAGCCCCAGTGGGGCAGGAACCCCTGGAGTCCTGGGGTGGCTCAGGGCACAGCCAGCACCCGGAAGGGGTTATGAGGCCTTGAGGGACCTCAGGCTCAGTAGAAATGGTGTCTCCTAGAGAAAGTGTCCCCTGTGAGTGCAGATGAAACCTTGTCTCCCAAGGCCCATGCGAGTGTGGTTTGAGAGCAGTAAGCTGGACACCGACCTCTGTGTGCTACCAGCCAGGTGTGCACTCTCTCTGGATCTCCCATCCTCATGCTTCAGATGGAGAAGCCCCTGCCCATTTCTCCTCCCTGCATATTGATGTGAGGATCCAGGGCATGTGGTTTACACAGCTGGGGAGTGACCAGCATGGACAGCCATTCCTGTTGTCCCTGTGGGACCCACTTTGCAGTGCTTGGCTGTGCCTGTGAGGCTGGGCCAACCCCCACCCATCTCGGGAAGGCAGGAAAGCTGGGCTCTTACCATGTCGCCCTTTGGTCCTGGGTGGCCCTGGAAGGAGAAGAGGGTGAGTACCAGGTGCACTGTTCGCAGCCCAGAAGTTCCACCCTCTGTCCTTCATGCTCCTCCCTGCCCCCTGTGCTCCTCCCTGCCCCCCGTGCTCCTCCCTGTCCCCTGTGCTCCATCTGCACCTTCTGGCTTGTGCACTCCTTCACCCAGTCCCTAAGGCAAGGTCATTTGCTCACTGCCCCTCGCTGGGCCTCACTAGCAGCTGCCTGCCCTTCAGAGAGCAGGGGTGGGGGTAGTCTCCCTAGACCCCAACGCTCATGCCATTCACATGTCCAGGGTAGCTTCGGGGGATGCCTGGTCCCGTGACATGAGTGGAAATGATTGCTGGCACCCCTGGGCTGCACTTAGCTCGCTGGCCTGCAGTTGGGGAGTAACTGGGTGGTGCTAGGGTCCCTCAACTGAGAGAGGCGAGTGGCGGGGCCAGGCATGGCTGTGAGTGGGGCTGCATTCCGTCCACCCTGAGGGCTTTGGATGGGTCATGCTCCCTTCCAGCTGACTTGCTCCTAGGACTGGGGAGGGGACTCCTTTCTCCCATGAACATTTGTGTCAGGGAACCAAGTCCAAAGGATTGAAATGAACGAAGAGAGGAGCTATGGTGGGAAGCAGTCTCCACGTGGACTTGAGCACACGTGTGGGGTCTCAATCGGGGAGGGAGACCCTGACCTCGAGGACAGGGCCATGGGAGACACAGGTGCTGGGGAGCAGGGGCAAGCGTGTGCATGAGTGGCCAGGCTCTTCAGACCAGCTATTTGACCTCCGTACCCTCCACTCTCCTCACTGCCTCCTGATCTCACCCCCACCCCACCCAGAATCACCCATTCTAGGGATGGCTCTCGCCTGGACTTCGAAAGCCAAGCTCAGCAGCTGGGGACCTGTGCCCTGGGGAAGGCCACTGGGGTCAGGGGTGACTCAAATGGCCCCCTCCACTTCCCACTAGTGACAACCTTCAGCCCCAGGACTTTTCTTTCTAAGTAAAGCATTTTCCAAGGATTCAATATCTTGCAGAATGACCAAGAGATCCAGGATCACTGACCTGCAGTGAGGGGAGAGAGCGGGTCCACTTACCGGTTTGCCGTCCAGCCCAATGGGACCCTGAAACCAGAAAGGCCAGATGTAAAGACTGAGCATCACAGGACTCCTGCCAAAGAGGCTGCCTGGGCAGTGGGGAAAAGCACAGATTCTGGATTCTGATAAGTTGGAGCTCAAGGCCCTGCTTGACCACGTACTTGTTAATGTGACTATGGGTAAGCCTAGGCCTCAACTTCCCATCCTGAAATGGGGTTGAGAATAATAGAATGTTGGATGCCAGGTGCACAGCGCAAGAGAGAACCCAATGGGTGGCCTCCCCATTAATGTCAAGGACCTCACCCTTGTCCTGAGTGCAGAGTAGGTGGTGTGTTCCTAGAAATCAGGGGCTGGCCTGCATTGAGGTTGGGAGAAAGGGGGAACTGCTCCCTCTGCTCTGCCTGTCAGAACCTGCCTTAGGCCCCATAAGCAGAGGTCAAGGACACCCAGATGGCCACCCCTCTGCCTCCCCCTCGCTGGATCTCCTCTCAAAGCTCAGGCACAGGCTGAGCTGCAGGGTGTTCTCCCACAGGGCATCGTCCATTCTATATTCCCAGGTCAATGCTGGGGTTTATCAGCCTGTGACTTCACTCACCTGGGGCCTGTCCTGCTGCCCCTTAATTTGTGTATTTGCTCCCCTGTATTTATTCCTTGCATCATGACCTGACTGCTGAGCTACTGTCCTGAGTTGGTGTCCATGAATGGCTGTAGAAGCAAGTCCTTAATGACCAGGGTTTGGGAGAGAAAGAGTGGAACCGGGGCTGACCTCAGATGAAGTTTAACCCAATCAGGCCTACAGACCACCTGGGACACAGCTAACTTCAGCCTTCTCCACTTACCGGAAATCCAGGGAAACCTCTAGTTCCTGGTTGACCCTGAAAAAAAAAAAACAAGAGACACATGAGATTGAGCAAGGAGGAGACAGAGCCAATCCCTAGGCCTCCAGTTCATCTTTGCTCCCATCCCTCTCACTTTGTGTGATCGTCCTTGGGGGACACTCACTGTGGTTAGTGGGTTGGGAGGGAAGATGGAGAAAGATGAAATGGAACATCATAGGAAATCTCCTGCAGGGGCTGGGGGTGGGAAAGGAACAGGAAGGGGCCAGCATCCTCTGGGTCTACTTCTGGGAAGTGGCTCCTGGAGAGCTCCTCACCGCTGTGGATGCATGGCTTGTAAACAAACGCATGGGACAGTGGGGCCAGCGGAGACTCAGCCCGCAGCACATGGAACTCCTGGACGGCGATCCTCTAAGCCCTTTTTTATTTACACAGTCATTGCTCATGGCCACTTATCTAAGGATGGCTTGGATATCAGAACCTGACCTTCAAAATGTGTGTTTTCAGGCTAGACTAGTCAGATTGCTCCTGTTCCTCTCACTCTAGCCAGCAGGCTTCTCCTAGCAGTTGGGCAATCTCTGAGCATCCCCTAATCTTTGTGGGATGCAGAGCAATCTATGCCTATTTTCCTGGAGGTGCAGAGTGCAACATAAATAAATATTTAGGACGGAGACTAGAAGCAGGTTCACTGACCACAGTGATTTATGATCCAGTGGTTTATGATCAAGATTCAGGACAAAGGGGATGTGATGAGATTAGAAGAAGCACAAGGCTGTGATGATGCAGGGCTGAGGAGGGATGGCCAGGTGGTCAGGGGTGATGGAGAGCTAAGAAACGTGAGTCTTGTCACTCTCCCTCTCAAGAACCAGCAAAGGCTCCTTTCTACCATGTTCAAGGCCATCCCTCAATCCCATCCCCATCAACCATATTAGTTTCCTTTCCTGCCACATCTTTCCATCTATTCCATGCTCAGACACACTGGCTCACCCGCCGTTCACCACCAAACAAACATGCCCAGTTCTCAGCCTGGGGTCTCCTTTGGCTGACACAGCCAGAATCTCTTCCCAGGCATGGGCTTTCTAGACTGGCAGACTAAATTCTAATCCTGCCTCCGACTATGACTGTGTGACCCTCAGCAAGTTGTCTAACCTCCCAGAGCCTCAGTTTCCTCATCTATAGAATAGAGGTAACAGTATAACCTCATAGGATCATCAAATTACATTTAATTATGTTTGTAAAGCCTATTGAAATGGTAGCTGCCATCATCAGACACTTGTTGAACTGAACTGAACAGGGAAGCTCCAGAATAGAGCAAGGTTGCTTTTGAGCCCAATATGTCTTGTGATCAATGAAAGTTTGTCCTTGTCAAGCAGCAGTTTTAGAATCAGATCCTCTCCAGAAGATTTCTCTGGATTCACATGCTATGACCCTAAAACATCTCCAGGCTGCTAGGGTCCTCCCTGAAGCCACGAATATAAGTGTCCAGTGGCCTGTGCTCAGGGAACACGTCAGCTGGGTAGGATGGGCACCCTGCCATCAGGGTGGGTGCGCTGGTTCAACAGGGAGTGAGTTGAAGTCTGCCACAGGCTTAGGATGGGCTTGTGGCAGCCAACCAAAAGGGCACGAGGGAGGAGATCCCACTCATCTATCGGAAGGGCCCCTGGCTTTTCTCCTCTCAAGGATAAGTGATGCTAAGAATAAAACAAGGAGAAAACCCGGAAACCACACAATGTCATCTCTGAAGCCTCCCAGTGTAAACTTTCTGTAAACTACTCTGCACACCAAGAGGCCTGAAGAAAAGGTCAGGAGGAGAGGATTCCAAGAAACATCTTCCATCCCGCTAGGGACAATGTTTACGTGGTAGGGATAATCACACAGTTTGTTAATTACAGAGCCTGCCCTGGTAGCAGGATGAATGTCTCCAACCAGGATCAAATCCAGGGCTAACCAAGGCTTTTTCAGAGATCTGGGGAAGAATGTTGTCACGGACCAAGTGGAAACTGGGACACCACTTTCTGGAGGGGCTGGGCCTGGGAAAGGCATGTGGTGAGACTTGGAACTGCACTTTAATTTATGTCTCTTCAATTATATCCTGAGGTTAGACATCTCTTCCAATATTTCTCTGCCTGTTTCTTTACCAATGTTTTCTAGTAGGTTGTTTTTTTCCTGCTGATTTGAGTGAAGCACTTTGTCAAGAAAAATAACTCTTTGATAGTCATATTTGTCATGATTATTCTTTCTAATTTGGCATTTGGCATTTATTTTGTTTCTGGTGTGTTTTATATTTCTACAGACAAACTTAATCTTCTCCTATGGCTTTTGGGTTTTGTGTCATGTTTAAAAGGGCCTTCCCCAGTTTCAGAATTATAAAATGTTCACTCATGCTTTGTCCTTGTATTTTACAGTTTCAGGTTTTATATCTAAGTATTTCGCTCGTTGGAATTTATTCCAATATAATGAATAAATTGGCTTTAATAATAAAAAAACCAAACAACTGTCTTTCATTTTACCTTTTACTAACTGGCTTATTGGTTGTCCCAGCGTCATTTCTTGAACAATTGAGCTTTCTCTTCCTATTGTGAAATGAAGCCTTGATCATGTACCAGATTGACACATGCATTTGGCTTTATTCCTGGCCTCCCCATTCTGTTCTGTTCATGTGTTTACTTAGATTGTCCTGTTTTTGTAATACATTTTGATATCTAGTAGAATTTCGTTGGATTTCCAACCTCATAAGACACGCACAGGGATTAGGATCACATTAAATGTATACAAAATAGATGTATTTGTACATTAATTCATGGATTAATATTACATCCTTCTGAACAAGAACAAGGGAAATAAGCTTTACATTGATCTCTGAAATCTTCTCCCTTAATTCAAGGTCAGAGTGAAAAGGGAGCCGAAGGAGGTCCCCACTTCTGAAAGCAGACCCCTATGTCTACTCCTCCCTGTCTTTCTCCTACTTGCAAATACACAGACAGAAGATTCTTGTTGGAAAAAGCCTACCAAGAAGTCTCCCTTCTCTTATTTGACCCTTGAGAGATGGTCAGTTGTGTCTCTGCCCAGGGGCAGCCTCATTCTGCCTCCCTCACCAACAAGACTCCTTGCCGGCAAATGTTTAACCATTAGCTGAGTGGGGGAGGGTGGAGAGGAGAGCCCTGCCTCATAGAGCACCTGCCAATGTCTGTGGTATAAATACACCCACCATAGCCGATTTCAAGCTACCAACATGAGGTCACTGAAAGCAGCTGGGAGGAGGTGAGGTGTGCATGGTCCACTCTTGCCAGCCGTCCAAGACAGCTCCAGCAGACCACATGCTCTGACTTCCAGCAGCAGATGACAGTTCCCATTGGACTTTACGGCATCTCTAACTCATCACACTCAAATTCAACTCATCTCCCCTGGCAAAATCTGCTCTTCCTTCTGGGAAAGAGTACTGTGTTACTCAAGTCAGAAATGTGGTGTCATCTTGAGTTCTTGCTTCTCCCTCAATCCTTATTTTTTATCATCACGAAATCCTTCAATTCCACCTCTAAAATAGCTTGCAAGTCTAGCCCTCCTGGCCAGCCCCACCGATTCTGCTCCAGTCCAGGCCTTGGTTGTTGCAAGTGCCTTCCAGCCAGCCTCCCACTGCAGTCTCTTCTAAACATGCTGCATGCTGGACCTTCTACAACCTTGTAAACTGCAAATCTGGTCATGTCCCACGTCAGCCTAACACAACCTACAGGCTCTTCACACCCTCAGGACAAAGCCCAACCCCTGACCATAATGTAAGGGCTTCTCATGGGTCCTTGACTGCAGTTATTATCCCCTCCTCCAGGAAACCTTCCCTGCCTGCCCTCCTTCCACAAGGCTGGTTCCTCCTCCTTGTCCCACAGCTCTCTAACCATCCCCTGGCTTAGCACTTGCTGTCTGCATTGTCATGGATTATGTGATCACTGGTGTCACCCACTAGATCATGTGCCCAGAGGGCAAGCTGACAGAGGTCAGGTTTCTACGCAGCACCTAGCAGGCACTGGGCTCTTAACAAATATGAATGGAGTGAATTGAGACACACTCAGTAGGTGTGTCTACCTGGTGTGGGGTGGCTCCTAGTGGATGAGGACTGGAAGTTCAGATATCTCCTCGCCCCAGAAGAGAAGCTGGAGAGCTCAGAGAGGGAATGGGCACACTTTGAGGTAGGGCATTTCCTAGGACTGGCAGATCCTCTGCCCAGGGCCTGCTGGGCCAGCCAGCATCTTGGAGGTCCAGGCTCCCCCTCGATTTACTGAGCCTCCCTTAAAGTCAACGTGCCCCAACACTGTATTCCAGCTCACTTCATTAGAAAGTGAACCCTCCTCCAAAGTGCTTGGAGGGTTCTCCCTTTGCTTGGACCATTTATCAAACTCCAAGAGGGGAGGCAGGTGGCCCCTAAGAGTGGCAAGGCTGGTTCTTATTAGCAGCATCTATGCTGGACCCTTCCTGGCTGAGTGGAAAGTTTCATGTTCTCCATCATCCCTGGCTGCCACCAAGGGTGCCCACTTGACTTCTACCCCTTAATGACAAATGGACCCTTTGTCTTCCCCCGTCCCTGCTCCCATTAGCTCAGGGCAGCTTCCTGGAAGGAGCTGAGGGGGCTGCCCGTGCTGTAGTGGGGACTCAGCAGGGATAGCTCGAGCCACTGGGTGATGGGGGCCAAAGTCAGAGGATGCTGGGCTTCGTTAAGACTCCTGGTATGATAAAACCTTTCCTGGTGCCAATGTAGGCACCCACCTGGAGGACTTTTTTCTCCTGAAGTAAATATCATTTTAAACGTAGCGTTTCAAACATGGAACAGGGTATTGAGGCAAGAATGCAGGCTTTGGGATGAGGATAACCTGGCCAAACCCAAGCTCCAGAACTTACTAGCTGGGTGACCACAGGCGAGTTAGGAAACTGTTCTCTCCTCTGTAAAATGGGCTGGTGGGGCCTGCCTCACAGCTGTGAAGGAGACCTATTATGTGACAGGTGCCTGGGAAACAGAAGCTGTCATTGCTACCTGAGCAGAAGGTGCTTTTCACTACTGGAGTCAAATCCAGTGCAGTAGATATGTTTCTGATTAGGTTATCCATGCTGGGCAGAGGCCGGGAGGAGCAGAGGCTCTACTGCCCTGAACACACCTACAGCAGTGGAGGTTTTCAATAACTTTTTGGTAGCCTGTTGACATAATTTGCTGAAAGGGTGTGAGAGGACCAGCAGGATCCACACAATAGAACATCAGTAGCCAGACCAGAAGGCAGACGGAGATGGCAGCATAGGGTAGGGCCTGTATGCTGTGTTACTCCCCTGTCCTCCTAACACACCGGGCTCAGTCCTCGATGTTAGAACCTGGGAGCCTGTCTTCTGTTTCTATGACCTTCCCATCACCACCTTCATCAGGACCAATTTGGCCAGGGCATTGGTGCTGCACCTCCTCCAGGACACAGGAGGCTTGAAGCCCATCGGGGCAGCCACCGTGTGAGCCCAGGAGCACATGCGACAGTGACATCAGGCCTGGCCCGTCTATGACTGCAGCAGGAACCAGAAGCAGACTGGAGCCAGATGGTCTGGCTGAATGATCAGCTACCAGTGTAGCCACGTGCCAGCCCTATGGCTCTGGGCAAGTCACTCAGCCTCTCTGTGCCTCAGTTTCCTCATCTGTAAAATGGAGGTGATCACAGTCCCTATGTCATGGAGTCCTTGTGAGGATTAAGTGAGTGAATACGTGTAAAAGTCTTAAGATAAGACCACCACAGAGGAAGTGTTAAGCGTGGTCATTATGGTCTGAACCCAGAAGAAAACCTTGCTGTAAAGGCCATGCTACTCAGCCCAGGGCCACTCAAGTTCTGCCTCCGACCCAGCCCCTGACATGTCTGCCAGCCTGGCTCTCCTGCCCCTGCTCTCCTTCTCAAACTGGCTCTACCTTTCAGCTCCCTGCACTCGCCACAACCCCTCGCTTGGCTGTTCATCTCACTGCAGGCCCCCTCCCTTGGATGTAAGTTAGCCATTCGTTCTCTGGCCCCTCTCCCTCTGCTGTGGGTCTCAGTCTCCCAGAGGCTAGCCCTCTGCTCCCACCCCTCACTGAGCACGGCGGGTCAGGAAAAGTGCAGAAGGTGGAGCCGGCGGCCTGCTGCTGTGGTGAGGCCGGGGCTCCTCGGTTCTAATCCTGCCCAGCCTCTACACGGGAGGGCGCTCCCCCTCTCTGAGCCTCAGTTTCCCCTTCTGAGAGGGCTGTGTTAGACCATCCCTGGGATCCTTTCCACCCTGACGTGTGGTGATTTTATTAAAGCCCCGTGGTTCAGGGCTCTGGGAAAATAACAAGCCCTTCCTCCCACAGCCTCGATATCTTGCTGGCTTCATCACCCACACCCCTGTTTTGGTCCTTAAGGAAGCACATGTGAGGGGAGCCTCGCTGGTTTTCTCAAGCTCCCAGCCACGGGGTGGAGGGTGCTAGTGAACACACAGGACCCAGCACTGCACACAGAGGCATCTGTGAGGGTGAGTGTGGGCTGGCCCTCCGGCAAGACCAGTAGTGCGTGCCTGGGTCAGTGAACCCGGACTCGTATCTGCTCCATGGGCTTCCAGAAACAAAGGCTGGTTCCCGGGAAAGCCGGATCACCCCATCCGGAGGAGAGCGAGCCCTTTCTCCCTTCTGTCTGTAAACAGCAGGGCCGCCTTGCAGCTGCTGTAGTTTCGTGGCTAGAGGGCAGGTCCCTCAGAACCCTCCCAAGGGACTGTAATTTAGGTATATTTAGCCAGGCCACTTTCCTTAACATCAACATCGGCACCCGAGGCCTGGCTGGGCTGACCACATCACATGCGGTGGCCTCCCCACCCAGGGGCACAGCCGCCCTCGCTGTCCCCTCATCCCCAGCCTAAAAGCCCTTTTCATCAACTCACCCATCCCCCCAACACCCCGAGGAAGAGCAAAAACAACTTACAGGGGGGCCGCGGGGACCAATGATGGACAGCCCAGCGTCTCCGGGGGACCCCTGCGGGGAGAGAGGAAGGGGGAGAGGGAGCGAGGGGCAGGGAGGTATGGAGAAGAGGAGCGGGAAAGAGAGGAACCAAAGGGAAGGAGCTGGCAGGGGGCCAGGAGCAGGAGGCCGGCCCCATGGGACAGGAGAGGGATGCCAGGGGACGTGGAGGGCCACGAGGGGATCAGCAGAGTCAACACAGAGGGCACAGGGGCAAGGAGGGAGCATTCAGAATGGGTTGGGAAGGGCAGGTAGTAGGGGGAAGCAGCAGGAGGGAAAGGAGAAGAGGTGTCAGTGAGAACACAGGACATGGGGTTCCGGGGAGACAGGGTGGTGGGACCCCAGGCCGGGGAAGCGAGAAGAACAGGATCCATTGGAGTGGCGGGAAACAGGGAGACACAGGGAGAGAGGGGAGACTTAGCAAGGCTGCCCAGGCCTGAGTCTCTCCCCGGCCCAGCCCAGGATGCTTTCCAGCTCCCCCTCCGCAAATACCCATCTGGCCGCACACCCTGCAACTGCTGAACAGTGACCTGCCCGAGAATGGGACTGTGAAAACAGAGGAGGGGGACACGAGCAACATGCGTGCTGTGTGAACTCAGCATCCCTGACCCTGAAAGGTTGAGCTGCCTCAAATTCCCTAGTCCCGGTTTCAGAATGACATGGAGGGGTGAAGGCCAGGGCAGAATGTCAGCTCTGAGAGGAAGGCAGATGCTGCTGAATGATGAGCTCAAAGTGCTGTCAAGGGTGGCTGAGCTAGCTAGACAAGTGCCATGTGTGCGTGTGTGTGTCCCTAAGTTCAAGGTCCTACTCTGCCAGGAAAAGTCACAAAACCTCTCTGAGCCCACATACCTCCTCTGGGAACAGGAATGCTGAGAGCGGCTCTGTTGCCCTTACGGGAAACGCATTTTGGAAAATGTCATACCTTACAGGCAGGCGAGGGATGATTTCAAGTTAGTAACTGTTTATGTCATGGCAATGATACAATAATTTTTATACAAGGCGGTGTAGTGTCATGGTTAAGAGCCAGAATGCTTGGGTCTGAAGATCAGCTCTGCTACCCACCAGCTGTGTGACCTTGGGCAAGCGACTTAATGTCCCCGTGCCTGTCTTCTCATCTGTAAGGATACAGATAGCGCCTGTCTCATAGGGTGGATGTGAAGATGTCATGTGATAATGTAAAGTACTTAAAACAATGCCTGGTCCATGGAAGGGGTCATGTGTCTTTCTCCTAGGCAGTTTAGCCTCATGCCAATGTGGAGCTGACAGTCTAGTTCCAATATGAGGACAGAATAGCATGGTAGCTAGGAGCCCCAGCCTTGGAGTCAGACACACTGGGGCACCTCTCCATCTCTGTCACATTCTAGCTGTGTGACCCGGGGCATGTGACTTGGCCTCTCTGTGCCTCGTGTAAATGAGAATATTAAAGCTTCCCTGAAAAGGTTATGTCAGTGCTAGTTGGGAAAACAGACAAAATACTTAAACCCGCACCTGACACAATTTGTGTTTAATACATGGCAACTGTATTATAATTGTTGAGATTGTTATTTTGGAGATGGGAAACTATTGCAGAAATACTGCATTACAGACAGGGAAGTACAGAGCCGGGCACCGGGAGGTCTGGCTTGGAGCCCCTGCTCATCACTATTGCTGTGCCATCTTGGGCCAGCCCTGCTCCTTCCTTGGGCATCAGATGAGTTTCCTCACCTGCAGAGTGAACTCTTTAGAAGTGTTGTGCTTGGCCAGGCATGGTGGCTCACACCTGTAATCCCAGCACTTTGGGAGGACAAGTGGGCGGATCACCTGAGGTCAGGAATTCGAGACCAGCCTGGCCAACATGGTAAAACCCTGTCTCTACTAAAACTGCAAAAATTAGCTGGGTGTGGTGGCACAGGCCTATAATCCCAGCTACTTGGGAGGCTGAGGTAGGAGAATTGCTTGAACCCAGGAGACGGAGGTTGCAGTGAGCCGAGATCTCGCCACTGCGCTCCAGCCTGGGTGACAGAGCGAGACTCAATCTCAAAAAAAAAAAAGAAGTGTTGCTCTCAGAAATCTCTCAAGAACCCCCCAGGGCTGATGTTCCAGGATGGCTTCTGGATTTCTGACTTCCCAGGGGGGCTCTATTCCATAGCCTCGGGGGTCCCCCTGGGCAGTTCCAGCTACACAAAATAGCGATTGGCCAGAGCGATGAGGCCTCATGCTGTCAGGGCAGGGCAAGGCAGGGAAGACCTCCTCAGCTGGGAAAGCTGGGACCGCCGCCCAGGAATCCCAAGACTGCTGCCCGATGTTATGGAAGCTGTTAGGAAACGGGGCCGTGAGAGGCAGTGAGGGCAGCAGGCCCAGCCAGCACCCTCTGCTGCGGCTTTCATGGGGGGGAGGGCTGAGAGCCTCCCATCAAGAGTCCACCTGGAGGAGGAGGCTGGGTGCAGGGCAGAAGGGGAAAGTGTGGACTCACCTTCTCGCCTGGTTGGCCCTTTACTCCCTGGGGCAGCCACATGCAACACAGGGTGCAGGAAGGGAAAGGAGGGGAGAGAAAAAAGAGGGGATGAGAAAGAGGCACCCACACGAGAATCCATGTTCATAGCACAACAACCAAACAGAAGAAATCACTGTGAAATAAGAAACAAAGCAAAACACAGATGTCGACACATGGCAGGTCCACGTCCAACAAGCACAGCATGTGGCATGTGGAAGGCGCTGCTGCAATGTGCAGCTGCTCCAGATAACTGAGAAACAGTGGCTGGGGCCGTAAGAGGCCCTCTTGAGGCACGTACGTGTGTGTGTGTGTGTGTGTGTGTGTGTGTGTGTGTGTGTGTGTGTGAGAGAGAGAGAGAGAGAGAGAGAGACAGAGAGAGAGAGAGAGAAAGCCAGACAATGGGAGAGAGACAGAGATAGAGAAAAGAGAACAAGATCCCACCTAAGTCAGGAAATCCTCCCCAGAAGCCATGGCCCCAGCTGGCCAGGACACTCTGAGGTTGGGGTGGGGATCGGGGGAATTGCCCCAGGACTGTGTTGTGATGCTGGTGTCTAGGAGGTTTGCAGGTCCAGCTGAACACCAAGAACAAAGCTTTGCCAAGCTAGACAAGCCTGGAGTCCTTGGACCTGGCCGGGCAAGGTGGAGGGAGGGGGCGTGGAGAATCACAGGAGGCCAGAAGGCAGGACACACACCTCTGGAAGAACGGAGCACAGGTCAGTGATGCAGAGGAGGCTGGTTAGGCGGCCAAGGGTCCCTTGTAACAACAGTGACCAGTAGATGGACAGTCCCAATCCACCCTGCTCTGGACAGGCCAGTGGGGCCACTTCTGGTCAACCCCAGGGATGACCCAGGCATGTCACACCTACTGGCCACCTCACTGCTTATCAGGTGGCTCATGCCAGGACCCCTAATGGGCAGCCAAATGGGCCCATTGTCTCATTTAAAATAGCACCAGCAGCCAGAGTAGCTTGAAAATAGACCTGCTAAGAAGGAAGTAGGGAGACCTCCTGCAGCTCCCCTCCTTCTACCCCCACTGCTATGGGAGGGAAGTGTGGACACTTCCTGGGAGGAGGTGTCCACAGGGCCCAAGAAGGAGGACAGGACGGACAGGACGGGAAGGCCCAGAGCTGCCACTTTGCATTTTGCAGCCTTCCCTGTGGGCCTGTCTCTGCACTCAGGGGAGAGGCTCCTGAAGCTTCCCTGGGAGCAGGGACTTTGGGGTCCCACAGTTGGCTTGGGCACAAAACCCAACTCCACCCTATTTTGGGTGCAGTGAGTCTCAACATCTTCATTTGGAAGACAGGGGCTCAGAGGGCTATGGTGACGCAGGTGACTGGCTCAGGTCCACATGCGCAGGCCCTTGGGAAAGGATGGTTGAATCACGTTTCCCTGCTCTGTACAGAGCCTGTGACGGCTTGGGAGGACTCAGGATCTGGAGTTAGAGAACGGAAGAAAACAGACAGGGCCGGGCAGCAATTCCACTGTGCTCTGCTCTGGGAAGTGGTGGGAGAGCTTCTCGTGGGGCGGCCCAGGGCTCCCAGCCTGCATGCCTCCATAGACAGGCCTTAGGTGGGCGCTGGGGAGAGCAAAGCTCTGTGACATGGAACACTTGTCCTGAACTCTGAAATATCCCAGGCCTCTGGGGCTTCATTCTAAGGATCAGACCCTCCTCAGAGCTGCAAGGCCAGTGGGGGTGGGTGGTTAGTGGGGAGTAGTAATATTGTCAGGATCAAGAGCGCAGGTTTGGAGTTGGGCTGTCTGAGTTCAGATTTCTGCTCAGCCACTTCCTGACTGTGCGACCTTGGGAAGGACAGTTAGCTTCTGAGCCTTGGTTTTCTCATCGGAAGAGTAGGGGTGGAAACCATGTCTACCTCATGCAGTTCTTGTGAAGTCTGAGTAAGCTAACATAAGGCTCTTAGCACAACGCCAGCAAGCAGTTAGCACTAGCAAGGGTCAGCTATCATTTGGATGCCTTTTCTCAACCTCTGAGCACCGGCAGACTCACACCAGGCAAGCAAATTCACACAAGGATGCTACACCCACTCCTACAGCCAATCCCATGAGATTCTGAGGCAAAGCTGAGAATGACATGGGGGTGGTCAGGGGTCCTGGGGAGCCAGGTGAGGCAGAGGTTGATGGGAAGTTAGGAGTCACATGGGGAGAGTGGCTGAGGCCACTGTCCTAGCCCAGGCTGGGGAGTGGTGAGGGTGGGGCATGGCCATCACTGCCTTAGACTACTGCCTTTATAGCCCTTTGTAGACACTCAGGGGCTGAGGCTGGCCTTCCCATTTCTGGGAAACACCCTCTCCATCAAACGTTCTCATCTCCCCTTCTCTATCTTCACTTTCCTGCAAGAAACAGGAATGTTTTAACTCTCAGCCTCCTCGTGAGGACTTGGAGGTGCCACCTGGGACCAAGCCCTGTCTTCACCATCTCTTAGTGCATCTCTGTCTACAGAGAAGGCCCCTGGGAACCCTGGCTCCACCGAGGGGTGGTTGCAGGAGCAGCTGTGAATCTAAGGGTGAGCTGCCAGCTTTGGGGGGCGGAGTGGCAGTCCTCCCAATGTCGAGGCTCAGTTTGTTCCTGCCGTTCCCAGCAGGTGACTGGCAAAGGGCTTTGTTCATGCAACTTTATTAGGTTTTTCCTTTGCTGTGGCAGCTCTCTGGAGAGTAGTGCCATACTGTGAGGTCTGAAGGACTGGAATACAACTTCCCTTCTCCTTTCTTCTCCCTCCCTAAAGCACACTGGGGCTTGGGGAAGGGAAAGTGCTGACCCCCTCCTTGGGCCTGGGATAGACAGCACATTGCCATGGTTTAGAGGACAGGCCAGCACGGAGAAGCAAGCAATGGCCACCTGAGCAGGTACAAACGGGCCAACTCACCACACGTCCAGGCATCCCAATGGCACCTTTGTCCCCCTGATGATGAAGGAGGCAGAAACAGTCAGATGTGGTTGGAACCAGGCTAGCATGTGAAGGACCCTATAGGCAAACTGTGCACCTGATTTAGGGCACAGCTAACCCAGTTTGCAGCGGGGACGACATCCCGTATGATGCCCAAGCATCATGTAGGTACACTCCCTATGCAGCTCCCAAGGACTATTCAGCAAGCAGCCACTGCTATGGCTATGTGTACTTAGGCATGAGTGTTGTGGAAAGAGCATGGAAGGAGGAGTCTGGTCCCAGCCTGGGCCTCAGTTTCCCTATGCCTTTCCAAGGCCCTTGCTCCCTTAGACTTCACTGTTGCATCAATTCCAGCCATGGCCAGGATGTGCCTCATCTTTATCAAACGCAACTTCAAGGCACAGAGCAGGGTGACTGGCAGCTCCCATGTGACAGATGGGTGAATCACTTTCCTCGGTCTGTCTCTGCCAGAGCTGGAGAGCAGTGCTCCTCCCCAGCCCCTGGTTTGAGAAAGCAACCTCTGGAGTCTTTCTCCACTCCTCCCTCCTCTCGGCCACCTCCAGTACTGACAGGAAGGACCACGAGCCATGTGGATTCAGCCGAATCACGAGTTGCAGATGCTCCAAGGGAAATGCTTTGTTTTGTAGCCAGGGGTTACATCTCACTCTGGAAATCTGCTTATTAAGTTTTGTTCCTCCCCCTTTTGGTAGAAAATATTTTTTTGCCATCATATGCATGCAGACATCATAAAACCTGGGGTGGGGCCTAGAGTTTGCTGGGAGCCTGGAAGGATGGAAAGCAATAGGGTGCGGAGAATCAGGTGGTTTGTCCAGCCTGCTGGACAGGAGGGGACTGCATGGGCATTTCTCGGGTGACTCTGCGTCTGCTAACCCCACTGAGGCACAATGCCTTGAGGAACAATGAGCATCCACCATGTATGTGGGGCACACCAGAGAGAAGCAATTATTTCTGAAATTAGGCTCTTAAAATTAACACATAAGGTCAAGACCAACGGTGGCTTTGAGTAAAATGTTTCACTTTTGCTAAAGAATGGCAGGGTAGCTGTGCAGATTAGAAGCACTGACTCTTCCCTTAACCTTTCTGAGCATCAGTTCTGTGGAGTGGGGGTGATAAGAGCTTCTTTCTCATGGAGTTGCTGGGAGGATGCCACATGATGCTGTCTCTGAGAAGCATGTGGCCAGTGCCTGGCCTTTGATGTTGAATAAATGGCATCTGCTTGTGTAAAGCCTAGCACAGCTGTGGGCAGGTGAATTTCATCAGCATGTTTGTACTCCACACCTTTTGCTTTGTACACCAGGGGCTCACATCCACAGTCTTTTTGAGTGTTACTCCTAGGACCCTTCACACGGAAGCATCAACAAGACCATGACCCGTGGATCCGAAATTGGCTCTGCCTGCGAAGGACCCCAGGCCAGGGCGGGTGGTCGGCTGTGGCAGCCCCACGGTCCACTCACTCTTGGGCTTTTGAATGATATTTCAGGATGTGTGTTTTGGTTTCTTTTTCATTTCTTTTTTAAAACTAATGCTCTTTGCAGTCCTGGCCATAAAATGCTTGGGTTAGGGATGGGTGTGGAATGGCCAGGGACTGGAAACTATGTGCAGCAGCCCTTGCTCTGTCAATTGCCCCCTAAATGCTTTTTAAAGGTGGATGTTGTAAGAAAGAAACAAAGTCTGCCCACATTCCCCTCGGTCATCTGATGTTTCCCCTCCTTGGATTTCATGGGACCGATTCACCCGTCCTCCTTTGTGCTGGGGCTCTTACTGGGAGAGTTTCCATTTGCAAGTCTGAACATTCCCCCACATGCATTTCATTAAGAAAGCCACTGCTAGGCATGAATTTTAGAAGCTGTTGGATTAGTCCAAAGGTTACAGTATAATCCATGTCTAAAAGGGGAGTCATTAGGTAAGAGGGAGGAACGTAAGGGTCTGGAATCTCATGGATGTGGCCTTTGGTACAGGGAGACAGGGCAGACTGGTGCCAGCCTCAGGCCAGGGTGCTCTCCATACCCGATTCCGGCCCCCTGACCGGCTGCAGCATCTTACCTGGGTCACTCCACATCTGAGGGCCCATGGTACACATACCCGGTACACATACCCACTACTCAACTCATCCATGCCCCAGGCTAGACTCCACAGAGCAAAGTCTTAAAAGACTTTAAAGGTGGGTTTTGAAGGTGGAGCACAGACCACAAGCAACAGCAGTATGGAATGGTGTGTGATGATACGGGCCTCTAACAGGTCCCCACCTGAAGCTTGGACAGATGGACAAACTATTTTACCTTCCTGACTCTCATGTATAAAACAGGTTTATAATCATACCCATTTCACTGAGGTATTGAACAAGCTGAATGTGTGAAACATGATAAATGCAGTACCTGGCTCTTCTTACGGTTTCAATAAGAGATGGCTATATTTTTTGTCCCAGAGTCCCCATGGTTACTTGGCACAGCCTCTCTAGAATTGGGACGTGGTAATTGAGAGAAAACAAAGTTTTTGAGTCCGCTCTCTTATCAGCAGGCATAGGAGGAACAGTGGTTTGAATGTCAGCTGGTATGCAGGGGGATAGTCAGTGTGCCAGTGGGCTGCCCATCCCTGCAGCTGCTCATGGTAGGGTCATCAGTCTGGAAGTCAGCTGCAGCTTTGGAAGGATCTGCATGCTGTAATTTGTCTGCCTGGGGCAAAGGCACACCAAGGGCTGTAGCTAAAGATGCCCCAGCAGGGTCCTCTCTAGATCTCAAAGGAGGAAGGAGCTGAGGTGACTTCACCCTAAGCTATAGATCAGGGACTCTGGAGAGTGGCCTGTCACCCAGATACACCTGGAGAAAAACCAGCCACCCAACCTAGCCAGTCCTCAGACTGAGAAAAGCACGTAAAAGAGATGCAAAGGAAAGAAGAAACAAAAGTGACTTACTGGGAGTCCGGGTCTTCCAGTGGGACCCTGAAATGAAGAGTGACGTTTACGTAGGTCAGGCAGGTATCGTAACACCTAACTGTTGAACACTGTCTCAACCAGCTGTGTGACCTTGGCATGCCACTTGGGTAAGCCTTTGTTATTTTATGAACAAAACGAAGGGGGAGCCTTGATCGCTAAGGCTTATAAAGCTTCCTTCCAGTTCTGGCTCTGAAGAAAGCCCACCTGTGTTCACCTCTTGGCTCTGCCACTTACTACTTGGGTAACCTTTAGCAAGTATCTTGGTCTCTCTGTGCCTCAGTGTTTTCATCTTGAAAATGGAAGAATAATCATTACCTATCTGTTAGGATCAAATGAGAGAATGTATGTAAAGCACTGAGCACAGCGGCTGGCATATAGCAAATCCTAAATAAATGCAGCTATTACTATGATTATTAGAAGAGAGGAGGACTGGCCAGAGACGGGCATGGGGCTGGCCTTGGTTTCTCCCTCCAGAGACCCTGCTGTCACATACAGTTTCTCTCCTTCCAGACATCCCACTGTTCCCATAAACCAAAGGCAGAACCAGGAGTAGGTCTTGGGGTGTTCCCTGGGAGACAAGTCCATCCCTGCAGGGCTGCTGAGAAAAGTTCAGGCAGCACCAGGAGTAAGTCAACCCTTCTAACGTTTGTTCCTGAGGACATCCCGTCAATGGTGGTGCAGTGACACCCACCAGTCGGTGGGGAGTCCTTGGGGAATGTGGGGCTACAGCGTTCATGGGGACAGGACTAGTTGCCATCCCGCCGTGTTGTTGGTTTTGCCCCATAGCACTAAAATGTGAGCTCCTGAGGTAGGGACTTTCCTGTTTCATTCACGAATGTGTCCCCAGTGCCTCAGCAATGTGGACCTCTCAGTAATCCTCAAGACACATTTACGAATGAATGAATCTGCCTGCGGATACCAGGAACCTGGCAACACTCCTGCTTTCCCAGGCCCCCACAAGGACAGCCCAGGCACTGCGTCCCTTAAACCAGAGCTTTAGTGCTCAACCAATGCCCTCTTCCTCTTGCTTCTAAACTTCCTGTCCCCTAATGTCACAGAGTGGGCTGAGAAGTGGGGTAGTGACCTCCCATCCCAGGGAAGGGAACGCGCCAGGGTGAGGAGGGTCCAACCTCATGCAGTGGGTCTACTCTGAATAGGAACAGAAGGGGCAATTTGCTTACTGTGTCCTTACAACCGACATCATCCACATCGTGCCACCCTTACGAGGACACATGAGGGAAACTTATTTCAGGCCCCATTCTCAGGAAAAACTGTGCTTCGCCCAAGCATCAGGCGTGCTCCTACCTCACTGCAGCCCGACCCTTGCCAAAGCTCTGTTTTCCTCTTTGCTCTGACCACCGAGAAGCTCAGAGCCAAGTGTGTGGCTCATGTGCACAGGATGTTGCAGTGCCATGGCTCCGGATTCCCTTTGCTTTCCTGCCTCTGTTCTCCACCCCTCACCTTCTGTTTCCTTATGTAGCTTGTCAATCCCCCTAAAATGTTTCTTGGAATGAGATGGGGTAGAAATAAATAAAACAATAAAATTCATTAATAAAAATGCACAAAATCATAATTTCTTCCTTAAAATGTAAGGTTTACCCAGCCACTTGGGAGACTGAGGCAGGAGGATGGCTTGAGGTCAGGAGTTCATGACCAGCCTGGGCAATATAGCAAAACCCCGTCTCTAAAAAAAAAAAAAAATTAAAAAAATTAGCCAGGTGTGGGGGCATACGCCTGTAGTCCTAGCTACTTGGGAGGCTGAGGCAGGAGGGCCACTTGAGCCCATGAGATTGAGGCTTCAGTGAGCTTTGATCGCACCACTGCTCCCCAGCCTGGGTGAGAGAGTGAGACCCTGCCTCTCACTCTCTCACCCAAAAAAGTTTTTTCTTTTCTTTTCTAAAAAAGAAAAAAAAATTAAAGGTTTGCAAAACACCTTTGGGCATCATCTAGGGAAGCCTTATGCTTTTAGGATTAAATGAATTAATATATCCTAAGTAAAAAAAATATATATATACAGTACACACACATACACACATATACCTTACAACATCCATATGAAGCAGACACCATTACTGTTCTAATTTTACAGATGAGGGGACTGAGGCAGAGAGAGGTTAAGTGACTTGCTAAGGTTACACAGCAAAAAGTGGCAGTGCCAGGATTTGATTGCAGTTGGTCTGGCCCCAGAGCCCATGCTCATAATCACTATGTTACACTGCCTCCATAAAAACATAACAGTGTCTAACACACAGTAAGTGTTAGCTACTATTTCAGCAAGGATCATATTCAGCAAGGCCTGGCAGCTGCTGGCAAATATTTCCCTATATTCCTTCAGAGAAAGATACATCCCTACTTCCCTTGGTCATCTGTTTTCAGTCTCATAGTTCCCAGTATTAGGAAATTCTCCCTTAAATTGAATCCAGGGATGGCCAATAGATGTCAGCTTGAGCACTGATGCCAATGGATTGGGAGTAACTGACTAATGCATTATGTTAAAAAGCCTCCTAATTGATTAGCAATGTCTGCCAGGGGCATGATGGGTGGGGCAGTGGTAGCTGAAAATTTACTTCCACCTAAATGGTTCCTGCTGCAGCTTTAATCCATCCTGCACAGTTATGTTCTTCAGGCACTGGCCGACCTTGTGCCCGCAGAAATCTGGGTCTTCCTGTTGGAGGACAGAGCCAGCCCCCAGGATACACCCAGACGGCATCAGACAGGCATCTCAGAGCCCCTCTCTCTGGCCACCAGCATTCTTCTTTTGCAGGAAGCAGAGATAACAGGGCTGAGGAGGTGATTCCTGCCCTGGCCAGCTTCCCATTTCCTCCTCCTCCTGCCTTGTGGTTTCAGCCAGCACTGGGCAAAGGTTCAGGGCTCCTCTTCTGAGCTGGGCTCAGAATGTGGGGAAAGCTACCTGGGCCTTTCTTCTTCACTCTGTGGGCAGAGACTGAGTGAAGACTCATCCCCTCCACCTCATGGGCTCCTTCAGCACAGACCCAAAGGGGTCTGGGAACAGTCCCTGGGTCGGGCCAGCACAAGCTCTCAGAATGCAAAATTCCTACTGAGGAAAGGACCCTCAAGTCAGGCAGGGACTCAGAGCTGTCCTGGCATCCTGGCCCTGGGGGTGAGGTGTGTGCAGGAGGCTGCAGCATCCTGCCCCTGGGGGTGAGGTGTGTGCAGGAGGCCCCAAGGCAGGGTGGGGGCAGTTGAGGGCTCTTGTGGCTTCCTCAGAATGAGACAGGGAAAAGCAGCACATTTCCCACAGGTGAAAGCTCTATATGGCAGAGTTTATTTTGGAAGATGGATGATAGGAATTAAGATCTGACACACCAAACGTGCCATAATACATTATCCTTCCTTTCAAGTAATGACATGACAGGTCCTGCCTCACTGTGATGTGTCAGGGGCCATGGGATCCTCAGTGTGGGTGCAAGGGCCTTTCAGGGCACAAATGGAGTCTTCGATAATGGCCTTTACTAAAAATGAAGCAGGCGGCTCCCACAGGTACACATCAAGAGGAAAACAACTATGGAAATGACTTCTCCAAGGAAGGGATGATGATAGGGTTGATTTCAGCAACCTTGAGAAAGATCTGATGCGAGGGCTGGGCCCTTTCAATTCCTATCTCCAGCTCCCCCAGCGCCCTCTGGTCTTTTGTTGGGATATCAAAGGCAGGTGCTCCTGTTCTCTGGATCCATTACTTGAGGGAGGCAGTCTCCTTGGGCTCTTCTCAGGTTCTCTGGAAGTGGCTCCACTCCCTGCCCCACCCTGGGCTTCCTAGCAAGGCCAGGAAGGAGTGCGGCATGATGCCTATAATTTATGTGCTGTCTCCCAGTCTAACCGGCTGACACCGCTCTCTCTTACATAACCATTGCCGCCGCCACCACCACCACCTGCCCAAAGTGGCCAGAATGGAGCTGCCCCACTCAGGGGTGTGGATGTGAGTCCCCTGGAGCAGACCATGCTTGCAGCCAGCTCGATGACCTGTTTTCTGGGACCTTTCAAGGGGCAGAACTGAGGAGAGATGATTTCTTTTCTTCTAATACCTGGTGCTTTTTTTTTTTTTTTTTTTTGACTCCAATAGCTTCTTTGGGGACAAAGGAACTGAGCTAATTAGAGGGAAAGCCACTCTTTCATATTGAAATTTGGGGCCTGCTTTGCCCTGGGGGCAGCCATTGTCTTGCCCTGGAGGGGTGCAGAAGTGGGTGAAAAGCAAAATGGTAGCCTCCTCCCCACAAGAGGCATTCTGGAGGGACCCCTCAGGAGCCTGCATAGGCCCCCAACAAGACAGCAGGGGCCCAGCTTTCAGTGCCCCCACCCAGAACCCCGTTACCAGCAGGTGACACAGGCCTTTCAGATGCACGAGACCCTCGGCTTGAGTACTTACAGGAGGTCCTGAAAGAGAGAGAGAAAATGCCTGGGTCAGTGTCATTGCTGTAGGGGGCGGTGGGGAGGCCGCCTTGGAAGCAGTGTCCAAGGATTCATCAGCGGAGGGGTTTCCATCTGGTCTTCGAAGTTTGTCTTTTCCTGGCCTACTTTCACCAATATAATCTCTTCCCCCTTTATTTCATCTCCATATTTTCATAATTGGATGAGAAATCCAGAGGTCTAGGCCCCAGGCTCAGCCCTGCTGGGGACCTGCCGGTGGCCCTTCTGCCTCAGTTTCCCACCCCACAAAACGGGCTCTACGGGACCTGCCTGAACTTGTGTACAAGGCTGCTTTGCAGAACACGGGACAGTGGGCAGCGAGGCACACTGAGAAAGGCGGAAATAACAGATCCCGTAGAGATGAGGACCGTTAGCATGCCCGTGTCCTCACTGTGCACGTCAGGGAGGGCCAGCAGGCAGGCAGGGGCGGGCGTGGATGGCCACTGTGCACCCTGCCTGAGGCCCATTGGCCCGTCCTGGTTTCTGTTTAGCAGTGAGTTAGGCACTTCACCCCTCCAGGGTCTGCCACCCACAGCCTCTTTCTCAAAGCCCCCTCTCGGGCTCCGGCCCCACCCTCCTCCATGCCTCTCTCTGTTCCTTTCTCTTTCTGGTGTCCACTCCCCACCTCCCTCCCACGGCCGCAGCAGCAGCCCTATCTCATTACTGGCAACAGCCAAGAATGACAAATTCAAGTGTTCCGAGAGGGAGAAAAAAGGAATAGGGGTGGGGAGCGGGAGGGAAGGTTTAGAAAAGCAGTCCCAGAAAGATAGGGAAGGAAAGGCGCTTCTGCGGAACATGAGCCACGAAACCCCACCCTCCCGGTGATTCCCAGCTGGGCCTGGTGTGTCTGCCCGGCCCCTAGTGCCCTGGCCACGTTAACTCAGCTGCGACTCCTGTTGCTTCTTTTATGCTCGGCCAATAAAGGCTCCTATGTTTCCCCGTGCTCCTCCCATTCCCAGAGCCGGCTTCCTTCTCTCCTCCTTTATCTGTCGGCTTCTCTGCCCTGGTCACCATCCAGGAGGAAACAGCCTCTTTCATGCTGGCCTCTGTCAAGCCATCACGTTAAGGAGGAACACAGTGTTTTAGATTAAAAGCAACAGAAAAAGTCAAGAGGTGTAGAGCCTGGGTGAGCAAGCCCCAGGCCCGGGCCTTGCATGCAGGGCCCAGAACAAGCGGGAGGGAGCACAGAGCAGGGGGAGCATCTGGGAGCCATTAGGCTGAGTGGCAGAGGAATGTCACCCAGAATCTGAAAATATCCCCTGAGCGCAGCCTGCCAGAGGGGCCAGCTTAGCTGGGAAATCTGTGCCTCCTGGCTGGGGGAGATGTCCTCTGCATGAGAAGCAGGCTGGTGACAAAATTCAGCCTGTGGCAATTTTGGGATGCTTCAGCCACATGGAGGGCAGATGCCTTGCGCCTGCCAGGCCTGACGGGGCCCTGGCTCCCACTGTGGCAGGCTCTGGTGATGCCCCCAGTGACACAGGCTAGAGCTCTGAGATGTCCCCAGTGACACAGACTGGAGCTCTGAGGGCAGCCCGGCCTGTTGTTAGCACTCTCGGCTGCATAGGTGTCACCAGATGCAGCCAGGTAGCTGGCACAAGACTCAAGGCTCAGCTGGGTAGCAGGAGGAGCAGTTTGCTGGGTGCACCCCTGGAGGATATAAATTCTACTGAAGATTTTGAGGGTTTTTACATCACCACCACTGCCACCACCATTGTCACTGCATACACCTCTATGGTCCTTATTAGGTGCCAGGCACAATTCGAGGGGTTTTCCATTATGCAATAGGTTCTATCATTCCCGCCTTGCGGATGAAGAAACTGAGGCATGGGAAGGTTGAGCGACTCCCCAGGGCCATGCAGCTAGTAAATGGTAGAGCTCTGGACCCTTCTCTACAGTGCCTCTCTCTCTGTCTCTCATTCAGAAAGCAACCTACCCCCCACCCTGCAATTGCCTGCAGACCAAGTCCTCTCCAGACCTGCCCCTGGGATGCCTGTTATGGTCAGCCTCCAGCCCCCTTCTCTAGACTCAACCCTCTCATCTGTCTTTTACAGGCACCTTTGTCTTATGCAAGGGAATTTGGCTCTTCCAAGCTCAGCCAGGCTGCCACTACCCATACCTGTCCCCTACAGGGATTTCAGAAACAGGAAAATCCTCTTTGTGAGCTAATGCTGTGCCATAGAAGGGGAAGAGCTATACAGGTGCTATAAAAGAAGACTTTCTCTCTCACACACCTTTTTTCCCCTGTTAGGGATGGTCTTCATGAGACCCACTGGAAAATCTTCAGGTGCCTTGGAAAACCCAACTCCCGTCCTGCCCCTGCCAATTTTCATCAAACAGGCCTGCATTGGGACAGCCCTGGGTTTCCAAGCAGATGCTTCCCCTGATGCTGTGTTCAATGCCTGGCAGCTCTAAGATGCTGGGGAGCTGATGGCTTTGCAAAATCTAGCAGTGCCTTGATGTCACTAGTTGCTCTCCCATGTGGGCCACTTGGCTGTGCCCATTACCCTGGCCAGGCACCAAAGGATGGAGTCACTCCAAGGCATTACCAAGTCCCCACAGTACAGATGGAGAGAGAGAGGCCCAGGGAGATTCATGACCATCCAGGGCCATGTTGTGGGCAGGTGATGGCGGTGAGACCGGCATTCAGTCTCCTGACTCCCCATCCTGGGGTCTTCCTAACAGAGCACACCATATCTCATGCTGATCCTGCTGAGGTACTGCCCGTACTACCACATTTTGAGAGAGGAGGAAGACACCTGGACTCCGCCCATGCACCTGCTGCTTCCTCAGGAGGAACCTGTTTCTTGCAGCAGGGAGAACTATGAAGATTGTCCCAGCCCCCTCAGGTGGGCTAAGCAGCCCGCAAGCAGGGCTGTCAGGAGAGGGTCACAACAGCCATCCAGGGTGGGGACATTCTGCCTGAGACCTCCCTGCTGATGTCTGTCACGCACTGCCTCAGCTTCCTGCTGAGGCCACTACCGTTCTCCGCCGGGGTTTGACCCACCTCTTCCGAGCAAGGCGGCCATGCTTCCCCAAAATGGACACATAGGGATGGACCCCCATGAAGAATTCTGGGGTAGCATTCTGGGTCGTGCCCTTTTTCAACCACTTTTTGTATGTTCGTTCATTCAACAAACACTTAACAATGCCTACTGTGTGAGTCACTGTGCTGGGCTGTGGCTCTCTAAAGATGAATAAAGTATACTCATTGTCCTCTGAGGAAGGAAAACTTCATTTTTTTAAGCATTTATTATCTACCAGGCCTGATGCAAAGCTCTGATGATACAGAGATGAATAACTCATTTCCTCCCGCTGAGAAGCCAACAGTTTCCTATGTTAGAAAGCTGGAGAAATTCCAGTGATGAGAACTAAAACAAACATGAGGGTTTAAGGGAGAAAGGTTTGCTGTAGGAGGATTCATTTTTTCATTCCTTCATTCATTCAATCGACATTTACTGAGTGCTCATTATGCGGCAGACATAGACACAGTGCTAAGCATGGTAACTATAACACCGCACTTTGTCTTTATAACAACCTTGTGAAGTTGGCATTATCACCCCTTCCATAGACTTGGAACCTGAGGCTTAGAGGTTAAGCAACCTGCCTAAGGTGGTCACCTTGCTCTTAGATGATGGCATCTGATTCTTAAGGTTAAAAAATTTTAATTTAATTTAATTTAATTTATTATTATTTTTTGAGATAGTATCTCACTCCGTTGCCCAGGCTGGAGTACAGTGGTGCAATCACGGCTCACTACAGCCTCAGCCTCCCTGGGCTCAGGCAATCTTCCCACCTCAGCCTCCCGAGTAGCTGAGACCACACACCACACCTGGCTAATTTCTGTATTTTTTGTAAGGATGGAGTTTCACTATGTTGCCCAGGCTGGTCTCAAACTCCTGAGCTCAAGCTATCTGCCTGCCTCGGGCTCCCAAAGTGCTGGGATTATACACATGAGTCACCATGCCTGGCTTAAGTTGATTGTTTAACTTTTATTTCCATATGGTAGGGCCTGGATTTGAATTTGGTCTCTCTTGCTGCAAAGCCTGTGTTCTCCTGGCTGGAGGTCATGAAGTTCTCAGGGGTGGAAGGGGCGGCTGGGCCCTCAGCCCCTTCTAAAGTGGTCAGGTAAGTCCCCTCCCCCTCGACCCTGGACTTGGTGCCACCCAGTCGCTGGATCCAGTCCTGGTCCTGGACAGGGGGCATCAAGAGTGGCAGGGTGCTCCCAAGTTCAGTGTCATCTGAACCATCTTCTGACCCTGCTTGACCGCTGGGCTCCTAGAAGCTGGGGTCCTAGCCCCCACCCATGCCTCCTGGTGCCTGCAGCTGACCACCTGCCACCAGCTCTGCCACATGCCCGACCCACCCATCTCTGCCAGGACAGGTGCTGTGCATCACGGGCTCCCCTCAGACCTTGGGTGACTAATGATATTGGTTACACTCTGCCTGCTGGAGCAGGGGTTCTCAGCTCGGGGGAATTTGGCTCCCCAGAGGATAGTTGACAATGTCTGGAGACATTTTGATTTCACGACTGGGAAGTTTCTACTGGTCTGTAGTGGGTACGGGCCAGGGATGCTGCTGAAAAGACAATGCACAGAGCCTCCTGCCACAGAGACTCATCTAGTCCACGTGTGAATCGTGCTAAGGATGAGAAACCCCATGCTGGACTAATGGCACCAGACCTGCCTCGGGGCTCCTCCCGTGCCTCAGTCCCTAGGACGCACGCCCTTACCCGTGGCCCAGGCCTCACCGACCTGTGGTTTGCCAACTCTTGGGATCCCATTCTTCTACAGTTTGGCCTGTTCCACCTCCACCCAAGACCTCATTCGGACAAATAGTAATTTGTCTGTTATTCATCTACAGAGTATGTACTCTGTGCCTGACGCTATGCTAAGACCCTTATTTCACTCGGTCTGCCCAATGACCCAGTGAAGTATTGTTGGTTATTGTTCCCACTCTACAGATGAAAAACCTGAGGCCCAGAGAGTTTATGGTGCGTTCAAGGCTGCAGAACACATGCATCACTGGGCTGGTACTTGGCCCCAGGTCTGCCTGCCTCCCGGGACCATGGGCCCCCGAAGCTTGAAGGAGGCACATGGAGAAATAAAAGGAACAGCCTCTGCCTCAAAGAGCAGTGAAGAAGGGAAACATGAGTAACTTTAAAAACCATGAAAAGCAATTTGTGAAGGGACACTGGTGAGCTTTAAGGCAGTCCCTTCACTGGCCTGTGAAGGGACACCGGTGAGCTTTAAGGCAGCCTGTGTCTTCTGGGGTTAACTTCAAAGAGAACACTCAAGCCCTGTCACGTACAGCCCTATGGCCCAAACCCTGAGTTTCTAGGGAAGCCTGAGGCAGATTTCTGGGTAGACCAACTGAATTTATTTGATGTCCCGGGAGCATGGTTGACAAATCATGCTTTGTGACTGATAAAGCACTTCCTTATATCACAGTTCACCACAACCCAACTCCCATTTTATAGATGAGAAAACTGAGGCTCTGAGAAGGGTGCAACTTGCCTATTATTCATGGCTGGTAAATGATCCTGAATCCTGGTCTAGTGCTATTCACAGAACAGCCCACCATTAGCAAAGCTTTGAGAAGCTTTACATTTCTTAGGAAAAATGTCTGACTACTCAGAGCCAACTTGTGCAGTCTTGCAAGAGCCAACTGTGGGCATCTCTTCCTAACTTGGCGCCCAGTGACTTCACACTGGCAGCTGGAAATTGGCCATGGTGGGAGTATTCACACCACAGAAATTGGCAAAAGCTACAAAGCAGCCCCACCTTACCCCAAGAGCCACTTCTTAAGCGTTTGCCAGCACGCCACAGCTCACATCTGTCCTATGATGACATCTCTCGGCCACAAGACACCCCCAGACCTTTCCAGCCCAGGTTGATGGGGTATAACAGGTCCTGGGAGAAGTGGGCAGCAGTTTAAATCACACACACCTACAGTCTCTGTGCCTGCACTCATGGCTGACACTGATAATCAATCACAGCTCCTTAATGAGCCTAGACAAGGTTTCACAATTCTTTGCAACACAGCCACTATCAATCAGCAGAAATTGGCACATGATATGGAACCTATTAGTCATCCTGGAAACTAGAGCCACCTGGAGGTGAGACTCAGGGGAAGCAAGTAGACGAAGCAGGAGGACCCTTTTCTAACTAATCAGGCAGGACTGAGTCTAGCCTTGGGGAGTGGCAGAGACGGAGGTGGAGAGGCTGGGTGTCCTGGACTCCCCAGACACATCTCATACCAGGCATGGGGACTAGCATTGATTGCAGCTCTCTATCCCATCCCCATTCAGCTGTTAAGGTTGGCAGAGAGACTGGAATGTACGAGCAAGGAAGGGACAGGAGCCAGTAAGATCCCCTCCAGCTTAGTTCATGCCCTGGCCCCAGGAGGTCCCCAGAGGACTCCATACTACTAGCTATGCCACTGCCACCCCTGGAGCCACCTGACAGCAACCTGAGTGGCCACCTTCCTGTAAACTCCATGGAAGTGGACTTCACACCTGGCAGCCTGGCGGGGCACTTGGTCTGGCTCCAGGGGCTTCTTGACACTCTGCCCTTGGCTAACCCCTGCTTTCAATCTGGAGGTGCCCCCTTCACTTCCTTGCTCCTTGCATTGTTTGGCAAGTGCCTGAGGGCTGGTGGGACGGGGGAGGCTCAGATGCCCAGCAGCCGGGGTTACTCCTCTCTGTGGACGCAGGAGGGTGTGCCTAAGTAGCAGACTTTCTTGGTTACCTCCTCTGCGTCCATTCTCCCTTTCTCCTCCCAACAAAACCTTAAAGTTCCTCCAGCCTCCTCTCCTTCCCGATGCAGTCCTGTGTTTCCAGGGAAGCCGTTCGCCAGCCTAGCTAGCAATGGGTAAGGGTATATGCCTGGGGCCTGGAGCCCTCGTGGAGATGGCTCTGGTGAGACAGTTTGAGCAGGCAGAGGGACAGGAGATCCCCTTACCATCCCTGCAGCTCCCTTGATGCCAGAGTCCCACATCCCTTGGAATGGGGGATAGCAGCCTGGGGCTCAGGAAAATGGCCGCAGAAGGCCACAGGCAAGGAGGGCATGGGGGACCTGGCTGCAGGTTCTGCCCAGGGGGATGGAGGGTGATGCCCAGCCCCTGGCAAGAGGAACGACAACCCGACAGAAGATGGCGCCAGGCCACCCCCGTGCCCCTCCCCCACCCAGCTGTAATTCTGGGTGAATGAAAGGGAGAGAGGGAAATGGTGTCTCGACAGCTGATGAGAACCTGAAAGGCTAAGGGTTGAGCAGGAAGTGGCTGAGTTCCTCAGAATTATTTTTCTCATTCTTCAGCAGAAGGCAGGTGCTTGGAAGCACGGCTCAGTGCGGTATGAGGGGGTAAAGAAGATTGTATCTTGGCACACTGGAGCTGTGTCTCCCTCATGCCCGCTTTCAACACCTGCTCAACACCAGCTATGCATGGCTGCTGTGCAGAAGGCTGTAAAGGTCACCCGCTGTCCCTGACCTTGAGGGCTTCTTTTCTAGCTCAGGAGACCGCCCCATCCAAGTACCCTGACACTTCGTCCTGAGGCTGGGGGCTGTGGCAGCTTTTCCCTGGAGCAGGGCTCATCTGCTGGTCACTGCGTCTACTGCTTCCTGCAGACTGAGGCCGGGAACCCCAGAGTGAGACTGCAGCCCCCACGCTGCCCACCAGGTACAGACCCCCTGACTCTGCCTTCCGTCCAGCTTAGAGGTGGGTGTCCCGCTGGTCCTGGGGTGAGGCTGGCCCCACGTTGGTCTCTACTCAGAAGCAAGCTCCTGTCTGGGGGCACTCTGTGGCTGACATTCAGTCCTTCTTCCTTCTCAGGGCTTTGTTTTACCTTTTCCCATTTGAGCCACAAAACAGCCCTGAAAGGCTGGAGTAGGAGTCAGCAGCCCCATTTTCTGAGTGAGGGACTGAGATGCAGAAAGGAAATGTGCTGTCTGGAAGCTCGCACAGAATTCCCAAACTCCAGTCTCCTCCGGCTGCAGCCCTCTGGGCAGCTCCCCTGCCTGTGGCTCTGGGCCTTGTGACCTGCGACTGGACTGGGAGGGGCAAGTGGTCCTGACGAGACCCTTGACCTCCAGCCCCAGCCCTTGAGTCCCAAGCCAGGGCTGCTTTCTTCCATTGAGGGGTCACTCAGGTCCCTGAAGGAAGACAAGTCTCTGGGCATCACACCTATGACCTGGGACTTCTTCCTGACACCGGATCTCGCCAGTGTTCCTGTGCAAGGCCCTGCCTGGGGAAGCTCAAACGTCACATCATGGCTCTGCTGGCCAGTGCCCTGCCCGGCGACTGCCGGAGGAGCAGAGAAGAGGGGCTGGGGAAGGGTCACAGCTCAGGTCAGACTCATGTCGAATGCCACCCCTCAGAGGCCTGGGAGGGGCTGCAGGCTTCATAGGTCTTGCTTTGACAACCAGGCCTGTATCTCTGAATGATGAGCTTTTTGATTTTAAAGTCACATTTATTATGTTGGTACAAAAGTAATTGTGGTTTTTGCCATTAAAAGGAATGGCAAAACCCGCAATTACTTTTGCATCAACCTAATATTAATAACCCATTTTGGTCTGGCATCATGCTAACCTCTTACCAGCGCCAAGCACCTTACACATATCATTTCCTCTTCACAGTAGCCCCATAAGGTAACTATACAAGGTGTGCTATTGTCCACACCTAACAGTGGAGGAAACTGAGCCACAGAGAGGTCAAAGTTCTGGCCCATAGTCGTACAACTGAAATCCAGGCATGCCCTTAGCCCCAAAGACATGCATCATCTAACTGCCCTGACAGGCAGTCTCGGTACTATTATGCGCCGTTTTGCAGGTGGGGCTCTTGTGGCTGTGCAGAGAAGTTAAGTAATTTGTCCAATGTCACACAGCTGGTAAATTGGCAGAGCCTTTGGAATCAGCTACACCCTAAAGCTTTCTTTCTTAACCTTTACATTTATTGCTTCAGCTGCAAAAGCAAATTAAGAGTCAACAAGACTTAGTGGTGGGGGGAGATGGTTAGACTGCTGAGAATGAAAACCTTCAATGAGCCCTTCCAAGTTCCTTTGAGGACCATGTGGCCTCATTCCTGGGCTAAGTTCAGACCATGCTCGTCTCTTGCCTGAAGTTGGCTCCCAGAGTCCCCCAGTGAGGACTGATCACGAACTCCATCCAGACACTGCCCATCTTAGGAGGAACTTCAACTAGACACATGCACACAGTGTCGTAGTTTCACTGTTCTTCCTTTTACTTAGAAGGAATGGGGAACTGCCCAGAATCCTGGACAAGAGCATAGGCTTTGGAGCCAAACAGCCACAGGTTCAAATTTCTACTTTACTACTTACTAGCTGTGTGACCTTGGGCAAGCTGCTTAACCTCTCTGAGCCCAGTATCCTCTATAAAATGGGGGTAATAAGAGTATCTACCTCACTGGATTTGGGTGGTAAATGAGAGAATACAAGTAAGATATTTAGCACTGTCCCTGGCTTAGAGTAAGCACTCAATAAATATAGCTATGACAATTGTTATGGTTATGAAGTCAGAAATAATGGCATCCAATCCCAGAAGCATATGATACTGCCCACTGTGTTCTAACCAGAAGAATGGCTAATAAGAGCTCTTCTCATGTGCCAGGCACCAATCTTTTTTTTTTTTTTTTTTTTGAGACGGAGTCTCGCTCTGTCACCCAGGCTGGAGTGCAGTGGCACGATCTCGGCTCACTGCAACCTCTGCCTCCCGGGTTCAAGCAATTCTTCTACCTCAGCCTCTTGAGTAGCTGGGACTACAGGCATGCGCCACCATGCCTGGCTATTTTTTGTATTTTTAGTAGAGACAGGGTTTCACCATATTGGCCAGGCTGGTCTCGAACTCCTGACCTCGTGATCTGCCTGCCTTGGCTTCCCAAAGTGCTGGGATTACAGGCACGAGCCACCGCGCCCAGCCAACCAGGCGCCAGTCTTAATGCTTCACAGGTATTACCATGTTTAACCCTTATAAGCCTTTTAAGGTGGACTTCAGGAGGCTGAGACAGAGAGAGGCAGCACCTCCTGCCTTGCATCCCAAGCTGGTGAGGGGCAGGCTGATTCTAGGGCAGCAGTCCCTAACCTTTTTGGCACCAGGGACTGGTTTCCTAGAAGACAATTTTTCGGGGTGGGAGGGATGGGTTCAGGATAAAACTGTTCCGCCTTGGCCCATAAGGAGTGTGCAACGTAGATCCCTCACATGCACAGTTCACAATAGTGTTCTCACTCCTGTGAAGATCTAATGCCACCACTGATCTGATGGGGAGCAGAGCTCAGGTCATAATGTGAGCAGTGGGGGAGCAGCTGTCAATTCAGAGGACACTTCGCTTGCTCTGAACCAGTACCAGGCCCTTAATCACGCTGTTGCCCTGCCTCTCAGATGAGCCCTTAAAATCCTGGAACCCACGCAGGGCTCAGGGTGAGCTGAGCTAAGCAGAGCAGGCTGGACAGGGCTGGGTGACCTTTTGAGTGAAATAGTACAGATTTAAGCCATCAGCTTTGAACTGTTGGGACAAATTGCACATTTTCTTACTTCCGTGGGCCCCTGTCGCTTCCAGGTTGGGGTCAGAATCGTAAGTCCTGAGTGAGGAAACCTTGGGGGTAGGTCTTGCTGGTAGAGACTGGAGTCCCAATTTTACAGATTCAGGCCAAGGGCAGGCACTGTTCTCAGGCTGAACAGTTTCCTGGCCAGGCCTCCAGCACGGGTCAGAGGGGCTGGGCTGCCACACACAGATAGGGACAGTGGGCCCAGGGAAGGTGGAAAAGTTCTCTATCAAGTCAGCCCTTGTGTGGGCGAGGTGGAAATCAATCAGGGATGAGCCTTGCCCGTTGCACTTTGCTGGCTCTGACCCCTCAGCTCTATTTTGATAACAATCTGGAGTCTCCACACTTGAACTTGTCACCCTTGACTGAGTCTCCCAGAAACAGTGAGATCCTCCCACAGGACCTAGAGATATCTTCTCAAGGGGAGGGACTTCCTGCTCCACCCCCAGCCCCTCACCTTGGGCCCTTCCCAGGAAATCATCTGTTGTGCAAGCCTTGCTCCCTTCTCCACATCCAAAAGGCATCGACAGTTCTCCAGCAGAGGTTGCAGTACGCACATCACGGCTTCACATCCTCTCCTTCACGCAGCTGGCTTTGATTTACCACAACCCCACGACATCAAAATATTCAGTGAATTATTCTCATTTCTATGTGTGGATCTCAGTTCCATGTTCCATGTCCATGTTTTTCTACCTTGTCTTTTGTTAGGTTGTAAGATTTATGATGGGCACAGTCCTTAATTCTTTAATCACTACTCTAAGAAGAGTTGAGGGAGATTAGGTGTCACAAACTCCAATGCCTACAAGGAGCCAGGCAGGTCACATAAATAAATGAAGTAGGCCAGGTGTCATGTGATAGGGCATGGTGGAGACTGTGGCAAAGTGCTAAGGGCTTGCCTGTGTGCCTAAAATGGACTGGATACCCCTCAGCTGCAACCAAGTATTGCCAGTTGAGGTTGCAGACCTACTATTGGCAGATCTTGAAACTATTCAAGAAAAGCTGAGAATCAGATATTTTCTGCAAAATCTTCTCATTTCTAAATGCTGCTACTAATTTAAGAACACTTAAAAACCACTCTGCAGGCCAAACAAAACCTGTGAAAGAGCTACATTTGGTCCTCAAGCTGCTAATTCGCAATACACAGTCTCTGGGCACCTTCCAGGCCTGAACTGCTCCAATTCCACAGCCCAGAACTTCTGGCCCAGAGTGTGGGCTCAGTCAATCCTTGCTGAATATGCATGAATGAGTAATTAAATGAATGGATGGGTGGGCCCACTGGCTATCATCTGACTACAGATCTGTGAAGGAGCAATGTCATAACAGTGTTTGGACATTGAACTTGTACGTGAGAGTTAGTTTGACCAAGAGTGGAACTGTTTGGGTACACTAAACAATGACAAGTGTGCTTGCATCCCTCCCTCTTGCATCCCTCCCCCCTTCTACTGGGCATGGAGCCCAGAGCTGAAGACAAGCCCCACATAAGTCCCCGGCCCCAGGATGCCAGGTGAGTTAGGAGGCTGCTTTCCTCAGGCCCGGAAGTAAAGCAGGACTCCGTGAAGCAGGGACAGGGAATAATTAACAATTAGTAAGGTACTTAATCACCCCTGGATATCTATTTTTCTTAAATCTTACTTTAAATTGCACACAATTAACAACATATACAGCAATTAGTAATTAGCTAATTACTAATTATTAGTTATTAGTTCATTATAATATGGAGTGTTATTATAATATGTTATTAGTTCGTTATAATATGGAGTGTTTTAACTTACAATAGCACAATCAAGTGAAACATCATTTTTGTCCCTGTCTCTCAATGAATCCTGTCTCAAGCAGCTCTGTCATTAGTCCAGGAGGGCATGGTGAAGGCGTGCATGTGTAACTGTGGGCCAGGAAGAAATAAAGAAACACACAGTCTCATGGGTGGCAGCCTGGCAGCCCCATGGCCTGCTTCCATGCCATCTGGCTGAACGGCACCACCAACCCCTCTGAATGTCACAGGTGGCCAGGAAAACAGCTACCCTAACACTTACTGTGTGCCAGCAGTAGACTGGGCACTGTGTCTATTTACTATTTCTAATCTTTATAACTCAGCCTATCTGAGTTCTAACTTACAGGTGTAAACACCCAGGCTCCATAGGTTACACGGATTGCCCAAGGTCAAATCACAAGTAAACGGTGGAGCTAGGATTCTTGCCTGGGTCTATGAGACTGCAAAGTCCATCCTCTTTCCACACCAGCACACAGCCTGGAGAACGGGGAGCCTCCGATTTCCTTACACACATGACAAAGCTGTACAGTACCCAAGGTTCTCCAGGGAAGCACTGGCAGGGTTGAGATGAAAGCCCAGATGTCCAAGCCCTGCGCTGAGTACCTGTCTATTCTGGAATTGCAAATACCACAGGACATATACCATTCCTCTATCTAGGACCCATGGCAGACATAACTGATCTATTTCAGCACTGTTTCTTGTACTTCTTGGCAACCACAACCAATCAATCACAGCTCGTCCCTGTGAGGAAACGTACTTGGCATCCTTGGCAGGTCTCAGTACAACTGCAAGTGAAAGAATTTTCATAACTGAGGATGTAGAACCTCTAACCAGAGTCTGGTGACAAGCAGAAATGACAGGAACCACTTTTTTTTTTTGAGACAGGGTCTCAAAAGACTGGAGGGCAGTCGTGTGATCTTGGTTCCCTGCAGCCACAACCTCCCAGGCTCAAGCGACCCTACCACCTCAGCCTCCCGAGTAGCTGGGACTGCTGGCGCACACCACCATGCCTGGCTAATTTATTGTTTTAAAATTTTTTGTAGAGATGGGGTTTCGCCGTGTTGCCTAGGCTGGTCTTGAACTCCTGAACTCCAGCGATCTACCAGCCTTGATCTCCCAGAGTGCTGGGATTACAAGTGTGAGCCACAGCACCCGGCTGAAACCACTGTCTTTTGAATAGAAAGGGCCTTAAGCATGTGGCACGAGAAGGGGCAAAGGGAAAAGGAAAGGATGAAGCCAAGTTCTGACATCTCACACACCATACCATGTAGGCTGAAGATTGAGGCCCGGGCTGCACAGTGAGCTGTATGGCCTCCAGTGTACGTGCCAGGGATGTGGGGTTCTCGGGAGGCCGAGGAGTCCAGGAACTGGATGCATCTGAACTGAGAAGAGTGGCAACACTTTGGATTTTACATTTGGCTTTGCTTTAAAATTTTTTTTAGTTTGTTTTTCTGACATATATTTATTGTTCAAACAGCTCTGTAAGAACATTAAAGGACATTTTGTGAAAGAAAAGCCATCATCCATAATCCCCCATGCCCACTCTCAACTGTTTCCATTTTCTCTTCCCCTCTCTGATCCTCGTCCACACGCATACCTACGTTCACAGAGCAGAAATCGGTGTGCACGGAATATGGTCCACTGCTTCCTTCACTTACCATGACAAGGCAGACACATTCCTGCATCAGGGCAGCCTTGGAAACGACATCTTTAACATGGCTGCGTTTAAAGATCATATAACGTGATTTATCTTTGAGTTGGTTACTAGATCACGAAGTTTCTGTGTTTTTTATATTCTATGCTGCAGTGAATATCTTTGTACATCTAGCAGTTTTCCTTTTATACATTGTTTTCTGAGCCTAAGGGAGGGAGCCTGTGTGAAACCTTTGTGTGAACATCGTTATGGTTCTTTATACTTGCGTTGACCTCATATGTATAAAGTCTTGAAAGTTTTGAGAGCATCGTGCTTCCCTAGATCCTATGGCAATCGTAGAGGGGCACATGTGTTCCCTCACAGGAATGAGGAATCGGAGGCTGGAAGGTTAAGAAGCTGAGTCGAGGTCACTCAGCAGATAAGAGGCCTCATTGGAAATGGCAGTTGTGTTTCAGGCTCCTTGTGCGAAGCTCTCTCACACCTAGAAGCCTGGGGTGCCAGGTGGGGGATGGGACGGGGGGTGGGTGCAGTATCCATAGGAAATGGAAACAGCAGGACCAAGAAGAGGGTGAGGCGTCTCTGGTGGCTTCCCCTCCTCATGGAATGTCCCTTCCAGACAGAAGGCTCTGACTTTTTAATTAAGAGAAGATGCTTTTTAGAGGGGGCAGGGGCACCCTGGGGAGACCAGGCTGTGTTATCAGATGCTGATCGCTAGGAAGATATCTCCCCACTGCTGGGCTGCACAGAGCCCCCTCCCCATACCTCCCCCCGCTCCCCCGCCCCAGCTGGACAGCCCCAGGCAAGGGCTTTGCTGGGGAGGCCAGGCGGATGTCAGAGCTCTCTGCAGACAAAAAGTCTGGGTGGTCTCCATAGCTCTGGTCCCTTTCTGTCAAGGCACTGGGAAAGCCGCAGCCCCAGGCCCAGCAATGGGCCGAGTCCACCTTGGCCACTAGCATCATTCACTGCCCAGGAGAAGGGTTTGCCAGTTTTGCCCAGCGAGGTCCATTCCTCTCCCCTCCCAGCCCACTGGGGTCTCCCAAAATGGGACAAGTGACCTGCAGGCCACTCTTGGCGCCACCCTTGTACTTGCCCCCAGCCCACCATCCCAACCAGGGGTTCCGTGGGGCTGCAAGGCTCGTCAGAGGACTTCCTGGGTCCACACCAGCCCAGTCACCCCACCCTGCTGAGTCTCAGCCAGACAGGCAGTCAAGGGCCACGTACTGAGCCATTGCTCGATATATCTGGCACTGCTCTATGTTGGTGCTGGCACTATAGAGGTAGAAAAGACATCTTCTAGCAGTCGAGCTTGGGCAAGTCCACCTCTGAGCTTTAGTGTCCTTCTCTGCAAAATGGGGACAAAGCAGCACTTTTCTCACAGGAGAGTTGAAGGAATTAGATGAGATAACATATGTGAAATGATAAATCAGTACCTGACACATAATAAGCACCATACAAGTATTGGCTTATTATTATTATTATCTCTAGCCGCAGGTGATAGACAACAAACAGAAATAAATAAATGGGAAAAATTTACACACTGATGACTGCTATGAGAAGTTACAATATGCAAATATAGTAGACGGGGCTGGAATTTGGGAAAATGCTTTAGCTTGGATGACTGAGGAAGGCCTTTCTGAGGAGGTGGTGTTGGAGTCGAAACCTAGATAATGAAGAGGCGGCACGAGAGAGTCCAAGGGATGGTCACTGCACACCAGCACAGCAAGTGCAAAGGCCCTGGGGTGGGAAACAGAAAAAAATCCTCTGTGGTTGGAGCTGTGATGTCTATTACAGCAGCTGTCAGCCACCTGTGGCCATTAAACTAAAATTGAAATAGGCCAGGAGCGGTGGCTCACACCTGTAATCCCAGCACTTTGGGAGGCTGAGGCGGGTGGATCACCTGAGGTCAGAAGTTCTAGACCAGCCTGGCCAACGTGGCAAAACCCCACCTCTACTAAAAATACAAAAACTAGCTGGGGATGGTGGTGCAAGCCTGCAATCTCACCTACTTGGGAGGCTGAGACAGGAGAATCACTTGAATCAGGGAGGTGGAGGTTGCCGTGAGCTGAGATCGCACTGCTGCACTCCAGCCTGGACAACAGAGTGAGACTCCATCTCAAAAAAACAAAACAAAACAAACAAAACAAAAAACCACAATAAAATGGAAATAAAATAAAAAATTCAGTTCAGTTCCTCAGCCTCACTAGCCACATTTTAAGTGTTGAATAGCCACATGTAGCTGTGGCTACTGTATTAGACAGCGCAGGGAGAAAATATTTCATCCTGGCAGGAAGTTCTATTAAGCAGCTCTGCCCTGGAGTTTCAGGAGAAGAAAATAAATGGACATGAAATGAAGCAGGAAAGGAAGGCAGGGGCCAGAACTCAAGGGATCTTGAAGGCCAGGGCAGGGAGGAGTTTGGCATTTTCCCCCAGGGCACTGGGAAACCTTTGGGGTGTCCAGACTTTGGCAAAATTGTTTTGGCTCAGGGTGGAAGGGGAGCTCCCTTCCTGATTTCCCTGATTCTCTCACTTCTCTGAACCTGAGAAATCTTCAGAAATCAGAGCCAAAGCTGAACAGATGTATTCATTGAGCCCAACACCCTGTTTTCTCGAATCTACAGTTGTGAAGCATACGCAGGAATGCCACAGAATCTCCCAGGACCTCGATTCTCCTGAGGGGTGCATGGTTCCCCTTAGTGAAGGCGGAGATGGAGCCCTGCTCTCAGGACCCCTGGCCCATGTGCTGGCCCCTGTAGAAAGGCCCCTGTAGTGCCTGCTGTGCTGTGCCATCCAGATTCCCCTTTAGGGAATGAAGGACTTGTCCCTTCAGATGCTAGGGTGCTGCCTGCAGATAGCTCTCAGATGTCAGTCCTCTGCAGGAGTGCCTTGGCTAAAGAGAGCCACCTTGTCCAAGAACCCCCTTCATGGCCTGGCCCCCTTGGGGCAACTCTGAGGGGCCATCCCCGTTCCAGAACTACCTGGGTGGGCTGAGGCCATCACTGAGAGTTGGCACAGCTCATCATCTTCCTTTGCCCGGTCTGTTGCCTTTCCCTTCTCTCTCTTCCCCTCCCCTTTCAATGGTGTGTATGTAGAGTCTGCTGGCTGACAGTCAGCTTCCCAGGGAACCTGATCTGCCTCAGCCCCCCTCAGCATCACAAGGACAACAGCCCGCCCTTTGCCCATTGGTAAAAGACAGCACTAAGAAAAGCAGTACCCTGAGCAGGCTGGCAGAGACCTCTCAGTAGGTGGCTTCCTCCAGACGCAGGAGGCCGCTGGAAGGCCCCTGCATTAGACATGTGCCATGGGGTAAGAAACCCTCTTTCTCGAGTGTCACCCCATGCCAGGCAGTTTAACGTGTGGCTCCAGGTCCTCTCCTGATGTCTCTTAAGAGGATTGTTATCCTCATCCCACTAGAGACAGGGCCGAGGCTTTGAAAGAACCCAACTTCCTGAAGCTTCTTGATGCCAGAGCTGGGATTTGAACCCAGATCTTGTGGAGTCCAGAATCTGCCTTTTGCCCTGTATCGTACTGTGTCGCACAGTCTAAACTTACCTAGAGTTCCAAACTCAGTGATTTAATGAGTTAATGCACAAATTCATTTTACAAATGTGGACATTTAGATCTCATCCATGGACATTTGGATCTCGTCTGCCTTTGCTGTAGTTGAGAACCAAAGTGATCAGCGCCTCCCTCCACCTCCAGCTCACCCAGTGGGAGTTTTATGGCTCCAGGGCAGCCACCAGCTAATGTCTGTCACCGTCACTATGTGTTCAGGCTCTGCAAATCCCGCTTTGATGTGCTAACAGCTCCTAATGGGAACAGTGGCTAATAAATCATTAAGAGGAGCCCAGGATGACCAACTCGTCCTACTCTCCTGACCTCTGACCTTACTCGGGAGCTGGCCGTGGGGCCCAGTTTCAGCCCCATCCCATAAGGTGCTTGGTTCAAGGAAGCTGGAATCACCTGGGCAGGCCACACCGGGTGGGGAGGCCTGGAAAGTGGCTGGGGACATTTTGACTTCTGCAGATGAGAAAAAACACCTGTAAAGGAGTCACTAAGGGAATCACAGCAGAGGTCTGCGCTGGGCACAGGTCGAGGCAGGCTGGGAAGACAGTGGGAGCCGCCATCCTTGTCTTCAGCCCCCAAACACAACAGAAGGCTACACACAGTTGTTCCCACATGCTAGGAGGGTCAGGGAGTCCCACAGAATTGAGGCCAGGGCTAAGATAAAAAGGAGATGTGAAAAAGAAGGAAACAATATCCTCTCTTGTTCTTAAAAATAAATAAAAATAAAAACGTGCCATTGTGTGGGCATCATACCACCACTCTCCCCAGAGACAGAGCAGAGGGGCTGCTGAGCCGGTTGGTGACTGCGGACCATGGGCCTCCATGATAGGGCAGTGGGAAGTGATCAGGGGGCACTGCTGCGGAAGCGCCCCCCACCCCCGCTCCCCATCCCCTGCACCAGGCTAGGCAGCTGGGCCTCTATGACAGCCCCCAGGCCCCTCCTGGAGGAAGCAGGAAAGGGATTGAAGGGGAGGGCAGCCACTTCTGTCTCTGATGGGACAGAATAATGGATTTGAGATCTGGAAGTGACCTTCTACCAGTTTAGGGTCAGAAACCCGTTCTCTGTAAGCACTGTGATATCAGAACCTTTGAAAATTCTAAGACATTTAAAAAAATGGTTTAAACACTTCTCTTTGGGTTTGGTAAAATCGTTAAGAGAATTCCAGCCTGTCTGAGCCAGAGGGGAGGTGGAGATGAATTGCCCACATGGGTCAGGTGGTGCAGGGGGGTGTCAAGGCACCCTGGGTGTCTGAGTACAGAGGCAGCGGCAGGAAATCCCATGGGGACAGCACCACAGAAGCAAAGGCAGGCTGTAGGCTGCAGCCGTTGGCTATGCAAATGTCCATGCTAGGTAGCACCTGAGCCACAAAGAGAAGGTGAGTTGTGGAGGGGACTCTTAGGCCCTCACTTGTCCTTAAGTGACCCCCTTGGCACCAGCTGGCTCTTCTGTGGGGAATGCTTCCATTGTTTTCATAAGGGGAGGGCATCTCTTTCTGATCCAAGAAGCATCCTTGTCCCTTTGCCTCCAGAAAGACACAGCAGAAGTGTGGCGTGGGGAAGGCAGGTGAGTCAGGCGACAGGTGAGAGGACGGTGCGTGGGTCCACACCTGTTGGCTGTTCTTGCTCTCACTCAGTAGTGTTTTTCTTACACGGTGAGTGATCTTCTGTATCGAAGGTTTTCTCAGGGGTATCCTCGGGGATGAGCTTTGGAGCCAAACAGACCTAGGTTCAGATCCCAGCAACTCTTAATAGCTCCAGAGCCCCAGGCAAGTTTCTTTTAATTTCTCTGAGCCTCAGTCTCTTTATAAAGTGGAACTAATAGTACCAGTTTGCAAGGTTGTTGGAGACATATACACATATGTAAGGGTCTTGCACTTAATAAGTCCTTGGGAAGTGGCAGCTTTGCTTCTTATTACTAAGCCATCCAGGAGGTATAGGATGATTTTAATTCAGCTCAGGCCGGTAGCTTGCTCACACTTCGCCAGCAACCTCAGTTGGACTGCTTTGTGACACTTGGATCAGATGCGGCCATCTGATCCATCTTCCTGGCAGCCTCTGCAATTGTCCTGACCCCTCCCCCAGAGCCCCTCAGTCTCAGCTGGTCCCAGTGGCTTCTTCACCTCCGTGACTCAGAGGTCTTGAGCAAATGACTGGAGACTCCATCTGGCCAGACAACCCCCATTCTAGGGACCTAGACAAGCTGGGAAGAGGAAGGAGGTGGGCCAGGGGGCAAGAAGGGCAGTTTCCTGCCTGTGTTCCAAGCATGCTAGGTCTCAGAAGGGTCTCTTATGCCTTCGGGTCAGGGTCCAGCCCTTTGCAGGAAGGGGAACTCCTCCCTCCCAGACCAGCCCCACATCCACTGAGGACCTTGACGGCAAAGTTGTTAGGTTTTCTTTAGGTTTCTTTGCTGTTTCTGTGGGGCCACAGATGGAAAGGAGAAAGAGAGTGAATCAGAGCCTTCCCCTGCTGCTTTGGAGGGAGGCCCTTGTCCCTTCCTCCCAGGGCTCCTAATCCCTCCGCCAGCAAACGCCATTCCTCCCAAGCTGAGATGCTGCAGAGCCGGAGGCTTATATACAGACCCTGTTATTTATTGGGAGGCTTAGGGCCAGGACAAGGTCTGTAGGCCATAGCCACATTCTCTTCTGTCCTGGCTCTTCTCACCTGTGTCATAAGCCTGGAGGCAAGGAGAAAGAGCAGGAGGAGAGAGACAGAGTAGGGAGAGAGATGAGGGGATGGGAGGAAGGAAGGGGTACTCGTGCTGAGGGCCTACTATGTGCCTGGTCCTGCAAGAGATGTTTACAGGGTGACCTCATTTAATAGATTGCAGTAGGTCACTTTTATCTAATTTGTGTACCTGTGTGAGCAGTTCAGAAATGTGTGTTTTGGAGACAGAATGGTATGGCGGTCAACAGCAACAGTTTGGACAGTGGTCCACACCCCAGCCCTGACTCATATGGGATTACCTTATATACACAGACACATCATTTCACTTCTCTGAGCCTCAATTTTCTCATCAGTAAAATGAGCATAAGAATTTCTAGCTGTTAGGGTTCTGAAGGAGCTGGGGTCAGGCCCTAAGCATGCGGTCCGGCACCCTGTAAAGTAGATGGAAGCTATGATGAGGAGGAAGAGAAGGAAGAGGCTAAAGAGAGACACAATAGAGAAGATGAAGAAGCAGGCGAGGGTCAAGAAAGAGTGTCCCTCTGCTGGGCACGACCTGGGATTTGGCTAACTTCAGTTTTCTAGCAGCACCCTGGGGTGAGCCCCTAATGAGGGCCGTGGCTCCCGCTGGGAAGCACCCCCACTTGAATCAGCGGGTTCTAAGCTGCCAAGCCTCAGGCTTGGCTGCAGCTGCAGTCACTGCTCCTGCCCCACGTGTCTGCACACCCCGGCTCACCAGCAGCCACGGCAGAGGAGGGACCTCCAGGGAAACTTCCTCTGCCCCTGTGGGGATTTGGTCCCTCCCGGTGCTCCCCTCTGAGGATCAAAAAAGCACCCTGTGTGTTTAAGGAGGCGCCTATTGGGAGCACTGGAGGGAGGAAGGTTAAGACGATTAGCTGGTGCTAACAAATTTAGGATGTGGAAGAAGTCTTTTCTTGGCTGTCCATCAAAGGAAGGATTGAATGTCCCTAAGCTTGGAAAGAGCAGAAGAAGGGGAGGGCAGGGTGGGGGAAGAAAGCAGAAGGGTGTTCTGAGCTCACCAGCTGAGCCTTCTCCCTGGATGCACCTTCCCGGGGCAGTGGGGGTGTACAAGAGTTGGGCGGGCAGGTGTGCTGGGCTGGCCGTCTGTCGCAGTGCTGGCCTCCCCGTCAGCCTGTCTGTCACCGCCCCTCCCCCCAACCCCAACCCCAGCTCGGGTTATGTCCAAGCAGCTGGGCTGAAAAGTGATCCTGGAGGCAGAGGCCCTTCCTGTTGATTAGGAACCAGGACACTCTCCCCCAGCCCCTCCAGTGCCACCAGACCCTTCTTCATCCAGGACCCTGTCTTGGGACCACCCCCAGCCCCTTGTTACCGAGGGCTGGGCTGCTCTTCTTCTAGGTTCCTCTCTTGGTTAAGAGAGACATGCATGGCCTCCCAGAGAGATCACAGACTACTCACAAAAGCCTTCATAAAAGTTTATTTCCGGCATGGGCTGGAAGGAGGGAGGGCACGGGAACCGTGTCATGTCCAGGAATGGTTCATTCAGGACTGCCTGGGCACTGGCCTTGCGCCAGGCCTTGGGGAAACAGACAGCAAGGCACTATCCCTGTCCCTGCCTCCAGGAAACCCTTGTCCAGTGGAGGGAAAAAGATGCAAACAAAAAGATACGCTACAGTGAAATTTAGCAGTTCAGTGACTTTCTGAACTCATTGAGCAAAAGGATTACCTGGATTGCTAAATGCAGATTTCCAGACCACAGGATTGGAGATTCTGATGTTGTAGGTCTGACCTGGGCATCTGCATTTTTAGCTGACTAGGTGATTCTGCTGCAGGTGAGGTCAGAATTGATTTGGAAAAAGGGTGAAATGTCTTTTTCCAAATCAGGGAGCAGGGTTACTGCTAAGAGGGATGCAGGGACCTTGTGGGAGGCAAGAAATGTTTCCCAGGGAGGCACCTGAAGCTGGTTCCCATTGGGGAGGGGCTGCAGGCTGAGGGAGGGGAAGGAGTGACACAGGCTAGTGGGTTGGGGATGCCTACTTTGGTGTAGCTGCAGGGGTGGGGGTATTTAGAGGGTGTAAGAAAAGAGGAAGAGGGCTGGTGCGGTGGCTCACACCTGTAATCCCAGCACTTTGGCAGGCTGAGGTGGGTGGATCACCTGAGGTCAAGAGTTCAAGACCAGCCTGGCCAACATGGTGAATCCCTGTCTCTACTAAAAATACAAAAATTAGCCAGGCGTGGTGGTGGGTGCCTGTAATCCCAGTTACTTGGGAGGCTGAGGCAGGAGAATCACTTGAACCTGGGAGGCGGAGGTTGCAGTGAGTGGAGATCACGCCACTGCACTCCAGCCTGGGTGACAGAGTAAGACTCTGTCTCAGAAAAAAAAAAAAAGAAAAAGAAAAGAAAAGAAAAAGAGAAAAGAAAAGAGGATGAGGCTCAGCAAGAAAGCACAGTGAAGTCTTGGAGGCATCTTGAGGGTGTCAGATGTCAAGCAAGGCAGGTCTGGATGGGTTTTGTTTGTCTCTATAGGATAGAGAATCCTATAACTAGTTAAGTACAGGACCTTAACATAGTATGGTTCTCTTGCTGGCCTTTCCAGCAAGCTCCTACTCATCTCTCAAGATCCTTAGGAAAAGTCACCTCCTGGATTTCCCAAAACAGAGCCCAGGCTCTCCAGAGCAAAACCACTGCAGACAGTAAATCAGCTCAGGAGCAAAGCTCAATCCCATCTGCTTCCCCATTGCTGCTATAATTGACAGTCTGGGGCACCACCCTCTCCAGTTTGCATTCACCTGGCATATGTACTTTACGGTCTCAAAAATCCTTTAAGGCAGGTGAGGTATGACGGGCCAACATGATTTTAGGAACTTTTAAGTCCTACTCAAACACTTCAGCCAACACTTCCCTTCTCCATGACAAAAGCAAGGATATCTCTTGTCGCTATGCCAACATTGCTAGTTAACCCTTCTCTAGGGTCACTTTGTGCTTGCTACTGTTCTAAACATGCCACTGTATTAACTCTTTTAATCCTTACAATGGCCCAAGGAAGTGGCTAATATTATTACCCTATTTTACAGGTGGGAAACTGAGGCACAAAGTTAGACCACCTTATGTTTGCGATGGAAGCATGTTCTCGTCTCATCTCTCTGTATCTCCACAGGCTTACTGGGGGCTGGGGTGAGAAGCTGGTGAAGTGTGAGCAGGCAGGAGGCATAGGCAGGTCAGATAACTTGCCCAGAATCACAGTTATGAGCTTCATTCCACTTGCTGATCCCACAAATACTTAGGGAGTGTCTGGCATTTGCTGAGCACTGTGCCTATGGCCCATCCTCCCTGGACAGCCACACTGAGCTGGCCATCATTCAAGCACAGATAACTTTTCAGGCCCCTCCTGACAGCCCATGCTGTTCCCTTTGTTTGGAATGTCCTCCTGCCCTCTCCGACTCAAATCCTACACCTCCTTCAAGACCTAGAGCAAATGCCGCCTCTTCCGGGAAGCCCTCAGGGCTTGCTATTCCTTTTCTTTTTCTTCTGACTCTCTTGGGTATTTTCTATGCTTTACTGGTGGGCATCTCTCCTGGACGATAAAGACTATGTCTTGTTTGACTTTGTGACATATCACAAACCTACCACGGCACCTGCCCACAGCATATGATAACAGCGCCTGGCCCACAGCAGATGTTCAACACCTTCGTATTGATAAATAAATCCAGGTGCACAACTGCCTAACTCTAGCACCTTTTTATTGGGCTGTAGCACCTCTGGTCGTGGACACAGCAGGACACTGAAAATGTACACAGAAGCAAATGGACTTCACCAACCCCATGACCACCATCACCGTCATGGCAAACATTAGCTGAGCACCTAATATATGTTGGGTGCTATACCAGCTTGCTTTATATACATTATCTCATTTAATCCTCACCACGATCCATAGAACAAGCCTTCTCATTATCCTCATTTTATAGATCAAAGCTGTTGGATAGAAAACATTTTGCAATAATGGAAATGTTCTGTGCGTGTGCTGTCCAATACAGTAGCCACTAGCCACAGGAACACTTGAAATATGGCTGGGGAAACTGATGAATTGCATTTTAAATTTTATTTAATTCGAATTAATTTAAATATACAGTCATGTGTGGTTAGTGGCAGTCATAATGGACACCGCAGTGTAGATGAAAAAAGACCCTAGAGGTTGAAAAATTTGCCCAAGAGGCCACAGCTGACAAGTGACAAAGGCAGGATTTGAACCCATGGTTGCCAGGATCTGAAACCCAGATTCTGCACTCTCACCCTTTAACTCCTCCTCCTCTTCTCGCTCCTAGGCCGTGGGTTGAGGGGGAAGAGTTTAACATCATCACACCAGCTATCATGTGGGCCGATGGCCTCCACGTGGAGGCTGAATCTTCTGACCACTTGAGCAACACGACATGGTGAGAATCTCACCTCTCTGGGCCCCCTCTCCTGCTGTGACGTGGGTGCTGGAAGAGATAACCCCCACCCTCCAGCACTGACAGCCTAGGAGCCATGATTTCTTTGCAGAAGGCCTTTAGGCTCAGCAGCCGGAGAACATAAACAGTTTACTCTCAGTGTTTCTGCAGCCCAGGCAACCTGGAGGATTAACCTTACTGCGTCCTGACACCAACTTCCACGAGTGTAGACCGGAGGCATGTAAAGGCTGCTGCTCTGGCATAAATGCTGCTGCTGGGTCACTGCCGGGACCCCGTCTGAAACCCTCACACAGCGGAACCCAGCAGGCCTGGCAGGGAGCTGGGCTCTCTGCTCCTCAAAGGAGCAAACTCTGGGTGAAACAGTCCTCATCTGTTGGGTGCTGGTGCTGACTCTGGCCCCTGACAGCACACTGAGGCCAGCATCTGGGCATGCACAGCCTGTCCTGGCTACTGGAGACAAGAGTGTAGTGTACACTACAGCCTCATGGAGCACAGTTGTACCAAATGCCCAGGAAAGCTAGCACTGAAGCCCAGCCCCTGCGTTTGGGTGGGGATGATGTTAGTGCCGGAATGAGCATGGACAGACCAATGCTTTGGAGTAGGGGAGGTCCTTGGACATGTAGTGACCTGGGGTAGGGAGCAGGGCTACAGAGGCTACAGAGCATGGACATCCTATAAGGGCTTAGTGTCAGGGCACTTGGTTATTTTTCCTGCTCTGTACAGAAGCCAGTGTAATAGTCCGTTTTTACCGCTTCTGATAAAGGCATACCTGAGACTGAATAATTTATAAAGAAAAAGAGGTTTAACAAGGTTCTAAATGGTTGGGGAGGCCCCACAACCCTGGCAGAAGGTGAAAGGCACGTCTTAATGTGGCGGCAGGCGAGAGAGAAATGAGAATCAAGTGAAAGGGGTTTCCCCTTATGAAAGCTTCAGATCTCACGAGACTTATTCATTACCACGAGAGCAGTATGGGGGAAACCACCCCCATGAGTCAATCATCTCCCACCAGGTCCCTCTCACAACACGTGGGAATTATGGGAGCTACAATTCAAGATGAGATTTGAGTGGGGACACAGTGAAACCATATCAGCTAGTCTGAGCTTTCATAATACCAGTCTGGTTAGGTCATGGTCCTGCTCAATACTTTTTGGTGGCTCCCCACTGCTCTTAGGATAAAGATGAAAGCCTTAACGTGGTCCATAAAGCCCTGCATATTCCAGCTGAATCTCATCTCATACCAGTCTCTGTCCCGAAGCTCCCTGCCCAGGCCACACTGCTCCTGCCTCAGTTCCTCATCCTCCCTTCCCACTGCAGGGTCTCTGCCCTTGCTGTTCCCTTGCCTGGAACACTTTCCCTGCCCTTTACCTGGTCAATTCCTACTCCCTTGCCAGATCTCTCTGCTCAAGGACGCTTGAGGATTTTTTTTCTAGTTTCTCATGAAACCTTGCATTGCCTTTTGGTGGAGCTGATCGCTATTGCAATTTTATATTTGCTGGGGCAATTGGTGGAGGCTGCCTCCCTGACTGAACCGTAAGTCATGTCTTGCTCACCCTCGGGTTACCAGCACCTAGCAAAGGCATGGCATGGAGTGAGTGCTCAGTAATATGTGTTGAATGATACATGAATGATGCTGTGATTTTGTGCATGGCAATTCCATTCTCTGAGCCTGACACCTTAAATGATTATTGAAGAGCATTTATTCCGTGCCAGGTGCTGGGAAGACACAGAGCTAACTGTCCAGAGGGGAGACAGATGTGAAACTAGTCCCTGATGATGCAGTGGGATAGGTTTATGCTTGGAGGCTGGGCTGGCTCTAAGGAAGCTTTCGGCAGTGGCAGGTGACCTGAAATTGGGGAGGTGGGGGCAGGGGTGGGAATCAGGGATGGCTATCTAGGAGTTTACAACTAAGGCCAAATCGGAAGGGTAAGGGAGAGTTAACAGGCAAAGGTGGAGATGAGGGGGTTCCTGGCAGAGGGAAGAGCAGGGGCAGAGGCCTGGTGATGAGAGCCCTGCTCCTAAGCCCCAGGCTGGCTGTGCTGCAGGGAGTCCAGGGAAGTGGGGCAGGGGGGCAGTGGGGAGGGATGGGGCCCGATGGGGTGTGCTGGACATGGTCGTGAAGGCACTGGCGCCACTGCAGGGTTTCAGGCGGAGGGGTGACAGAGGAGTGTCCTCCTGAGTGACAGAAAAGGACTAGATGGGGCAGAGCCTGGGGCCCCTTCCAGCTCTGGCGCCCGGGGTTCTGAGAGCCAGGGGGCAGGGGAACGCTGGGTTGGATTAGGATGGTTCCCGACTCTGTTGCCAGCAGAAGCCTCAAGAGACCAGTTTTCCTCCCTGACGTCAACTTAAAGGTCACACAGATCCCAGGTTTCCTCTCAGGGGCCTTTGAGGGCCCCTCATTTTGTTCTTTTACCCAGATCCCTCAGGAATCCCATGACATTCCCAGCCTGGACCACCTCTCAGGGTAATGAGTCCCCTGAGGTCCTAAGTTGCTGTGAGAAGCAGGACTTCCTTTAATTTGTCCTAAACTTACCTCACTCAAGTTTCAAAGGGGGCCCCATCATCCCAGTATTTCAGGATTTAGTGAGCAAGGAAATGCACTGTGAAGCTGCTGAGGTGGGGAGGGGAACTCAGGACATCTGACTCCAGAGGGCCCCCCTCAGCCAGGCAGACAGGCCACAGGCTCTGCCTCCTCCATCCAGCCCCTCTTGCTCCTAAGCTGGTGAAGTGGAAGGGGAACCAGCAATTCAACAAACTGCTCACTCTAGCAAGTGGACTCCACGCTGGGGGACACGCAACTTAAAGGACCCCGAGTCACCGAGTCACCGGGCTCCTTCGATGCCGCTGTCTGTCCCTCCAGCCCTGTCCCCATCTCTCCAGGAAACCTGCCCCTGACCCCCAGCACCTGGGCTAAGCATTCTGCAGCTCCAGCAGCTTCACAGCCCAGCCCAGTCAACAGCTCAAGTCAAGAAGCCTTCAGCTCTGCCTGGTTTCTCTCCATCTCTCACCCGACAGCCAGCCCATCAGCAAGGCCTGCTAGCGTCACCTCTAGCACATACCCAAAATCTGCACACTCTCCCCATTTCCTCTGTCACCACTGCCTCTCACCTGGACACCGCAATTGTCCAGGACACCTATTGGCTCCTCTCCACTCTGCCTTTGTAATCCATTCTCTGCCGGTGCCAAGAGGACTGGAAAATGTAGCCCAGAGCCGGTGGCTCCCCCTCCTAAAACCTTCCTGTGGCTTCCTGGCTCATTGAGGGTGAAATGTACAAATACCACAGGCCAGAGTCACACGAGGCGCCACAGGACTGGCCCGCGCCCTCCCTGAGCTCTCTCTCTGCTCTCTCCCTGTCACTCATTTCACCTGGCCACACTCTGACCTTTCTCTTCTTCAGACACACCAAGCTCATTCCGACCTCAGGGATTTTGCACCGGCTTTTGCTGCTAACCAGCATGCTCATTCCCCAACCTCTGATTTAATTCTTTAATCAATTTATCTCATGGACACTCTTCTAGTGCTTTATGCTGTGACAAGTTCAGGCACAGCACTTCTCATGCTCAGGATCATCTGTTAGCTCTGCGTGGTGGGCTCCCCTTGTCATTCAGATGTCACCTTCTCACAGATAACACTGCCCCCCACAATGCCCTATCGAAAATATCCCCTGGATCACATGGTCAGCCTTAAATATATACAGTTTTTAATTGTCAATTATACCTCAGTAAAGTGGGCCGTGGGGGGAATCCTTTAAAATTGTCTTAATTTATTTTCTTCATAACAATCAGTGGATATTTTCTTGTTAATTTCCTTATGTGCTTATTTTGTTGATTTCTCTCATTACACTGGAAGCAGGAAGAGGTCAAGACCTCTGTCAGGTTGGTCCTCATATCACTAGAGCTCGGTGCCACTGCACATGGCAAGCGCTTCACAAGTATTTGTTGAACGAACGAACGAACGAATGAATGAATGAATGGGTCACCTCTCCCCTGGAGGCTTCCAAGACCATCGCATTCTCCAAATACCATAGCTGACACATCCAGATTGCAGGATATAACTGGTGAAATATTTCCTGTGGACACTGTTCAGAGGCCCAATCAGGGGATGGGTTTCTAGAGACAGGGTCAGGTCTTGTCCATTATTGTGTAAATGCAAAAATAACAACTGGCACGTGTGTAGCAAATAGCAATCCACTTCGCACTTTCAATGGGGCTTCACACGCAGGAACTCACTGGCTTCGCCAAGCTACTCAGTGAGGCTGTCTCAGGCTCATTTTACAAAATGGGAGCTGAGGCCCAGAGACTCAGGGCCACACAGTGTGCACAGAAGCCACGCCTCACCCCATTTCCCAAGGTGGATCTGAACCCTTTGTACAAAGGCCTGTATATACCTGCATGCCTGGCGCTCTGTATACAGCAGGGGCTTAGTGGAGGTAGCAGCATTTGCTGCAGTCAAAAAGCAGCTTAGAGGAGCCCCTGTCTGAATAAATTCCTCTGGCAAGGGCCGGTCCCCAAGGTAGTGGTGTTTCAGAGGCTCAGGAGGAAGGGCAATGTGGGTGGTCAAGAGAGTCCTGGCCTGCGGTTCAGGAGAGCTGAGTACCAGCAGCTCAATACCACTGATTAAACTCCTCCCCATGCCAGGTACTGTACCACGTGCTTTACATACATCTCCTTCATCTCAGGACAGCATGGAGGTAGAGGTTGTCATGATCCCTATCTTAGAGGTAAGAAAGCTGCAGCTCAGAGATGTCAAGTCACTTGCCCATTGTAACACAGTTGGATCCCAGAACTCAGCCAGCAGATAATCCTGCCACTTTGTTAGTCTAGGTGTTTCCAGCATTGGCTGGGTGACCCTAGAAGAACCCCTTGCCTTCTCTCGGCCTTAGGCTCTGTCTCTAAAGCCCAGGCTCCTACCAGATCCTGTCTAGGCCTGTATAGCTTTGACACAAGTGGGACCGGGAAGGCACAAGGCTGTGGCTGCTGCTGTCTCCTGTGGCCCCTTGAGGAGGGGGCTGCCTGGATGCCTTGGAGCAGGCGCAGACCTTGCCCTGCCCAAGGCACTGTGGGTGGAATGTCCAGGGGTGACCAACCCACAGGGCCCTGGCCTCCTGTGTTCACTGGGTGACAAGACCAGGATGGCCACAGCACTGGAGAAGGGCTGGGAGATCTTGGAGCTTCCCAAGATTGAGAAAGTGGCTCGTCACATCACAGGGGGCTTTTAAGGTGGGCAAATGCTCTGAGGAACATCCAGCCCCACTACAGTGCCACTAAAATGAACATCAGAAATTGGCCCCAGCTTCAGCTTCCTTTGGATAATGAAATCTGTCTTCTTCTCTGCGTTTATTTATTTATTTGGCAGGATCGCCGTTCCACGGGAACATGATCCCACTGCCTTAAGGGGCCACTCCACAAGGGGGACAACATGGAGGATGATGAAGCAGGAGGGTCAAGGCCCACTTCCAGCTCCCCAGGGATTCTGCCACCCTCCACAGAAGTGAGGAGAAGAGGCAGTGGGAAAATGTACCAGGGTAAGCGCAGAAGAGGCTGGATCTGACTTCATCCCTAGAAATAGTTGTGTGGTGGGTGGTGGCTTCAGGGTCCAATCAGTTTCTGTGGCAGCATCTTTTGCTGTCTTTTAATGAACAGCAGGGGTGTCACCTGTCAGGAAGGACAGGCTGTCTAATGGACAGATGAATCCGGAACCAGGTGCCCAGCTTGGCTGTAGCTCTTGGCCTCAGAAGGCGTCAGGAGTCTGTGGCATTGGCTGACACACCAGTGCCTCTGAGTGCCAATGAGCAAAGAATGATACAGCTGGAGCTGATGTGGTCAAGCATTTGGAACTAGAACCGTACAGAGACCCACCAATCAGAACCGACACCAGCCAGGATCATTGGTAAGGTCCCCCATGGGATGCTGATGGGGCCTCATTGTCCAGATTCCCGAACACCCCGAGGGAAAGTAAGTTCTTTGTTGAGAAGGACTCACATCCAGGTTCTAAGCCTATAGGAAAATGAAGAGGACATTCAGGCTGTCAAAGCTCTTGGGCCCTGGGCACCCTGGAGCCGGAGCCCTGGCATGGAGACCCCTCCATGACCACAAACAGGCAGGTCTCGGGAACACACGGCACAGCTGCCCAGTACCTGCTGCCCCTGGGAGGTTGGGACCCGCCCCACCCTCCCTCCGGCCTGTCATGGTATGCCAGGTCACCCCGTGACAGCTCACATAACTACATGGGAAGCTGGCATCCACTTATACCCCCACCGCCTGCTGGGCATCTTTCTGTGGCAGGCATTTCCTCCCCAGTTGGGGTTTAAAGAGGAAGGCAGGCACTGAGGGAGCCTCTGCCCATACTTGGTCCTCATTCTAGCTCCAGGAGGCTCCCCAGGGTCTCCATGAGGCTGAGGAGCCAGCCTGCCAAGGATGTAGCTCTGTGTGCCCCAGGTTTGCCCATCTCCAGCTCTTGTCAGCCACACACCTTGCCTACTGGAGACATTCCAACAGTGCCCTGCCTGGTGTACCTGCCACACAGACAGATGGCAAAGGCTGGAGGGGTGGGAGGAAGTGAGTTTGTGAAGTGAGCTGGAAAGAGAATGAGCAGCTGGAGCTCTGACCCTCCCCTCCCTCCCCTGCTTATATGTGCATAGCCAGCTCCCCTTTGCATGGTAGGAGGGCCTCTCACCAGGAAGCCGAGTCAGCTGAGCTCTGGGGTCCCTTCTGAGTCCCAGATCTGATGTCTCAGGGCCAAATGCCAGCTGCACAAGCCACCAACAGTGTGGTTCTAGACCTGTGTCCCTGCCTTGGCCCCGCCTTGATTGGGGCCGGCCTCCCAGGGCTGGAATCCTGGAGGATGCGGCCCTGGGACTGTAGCCCACACTGGGCACCGCCTAGCCCCACCGGAGCCCTGGGTCTCTGCAGCAGCCACTGAGTTACCCGTGTGTTTCCCCTTCCTGGACTGTGGGCTCTTCTCTGTCTCCTGAGGATGGGGCATGGCACAGAACCAGTGCTCAAAAACTGTTTGGTGGGGAGTGAGGGAGTGAGAGAGAGAGATAGCTAGAGGTTGGCAGGGGGAGCTTCTGATGCTGCTCTGGTTTGCCCAGACTCAGACTACTTAAATTCTGGCTTCAACACACACTAGCTCTGTGGCCTTGGCCCCGTTACAGAACTTCTTTGGGCCCCAGTCTTCTATGGAAATGGAGATAATAATAGTACCTGCCACATAAAGTAATTATGAGGATCAAATGAGACAATGCAATAAAGTGCTTATCACAGTGCCAGGCGCAGAGTAAGCCCTTAATAGATGTTGTTGTTATCATTACTAATTAATGTCCTCCAGCCTTATCTGACTCCATGCTCCCTGGACAAGCATCACGGCCACTGCCGAGTCCTCGGTTTCCCACTGTGCTCCAGGGTAGCACTTGGGTCCCTGGGGGGCATTTGCCTTCTGATGTTTCAGAGCTTATTTCCAGTCCCAACCCTGCCACTGCCTAACCCTGTATCCTCGAGCAAAGAATTCTGAGCTTCAGGGTCCTCATCAGGAGAATAGGGCAGTGTGAGTCGTAACCTGGAGAGCTGGTGGGAGGGTGCAGTGAAGAGGGCCAGGTGTGTGGGGACAAGAGTGCCACTGCCAGCAGAGGCCACCCAAGTCGCCTTAGTGGCTGAACAGGAACTTGCCAGGGAGTAACAGGGGAGAGGCTGGCTGGGTTATGACAAGAGTGGGGGTAGTCATCGAGGGAGTGGGCAGCCTGGGTGGGTCCAGGAGGAAGAGCCAGGGACTGCATCCATGGGTCTGGCATGTCCCACCTTCTAGTCTCTTATAACTGCCCAAGCAGAGGTCGCGGGCTCTTCCCACTTGCTGCTCCTTTCCTCCAAAGGAGCATCTGGCATTCCTTTAGCGTCACTGTGGCAGAACCTTCTCCTTCAGGGCAGAGCAGGTGGTGGCAAGATCAAGGGACCCTCCACTGGGTCTAGGGCAGGGAGCTCATCTGCCCCCAGCAGCCTGGGACAAGCTGCACAGCACCCATGTGTGCTGCGGGCAGGATTGTGAGTCCTGGGTGAAGGGGCACAGGGCCCTGGGCTCTGGGCATGTCCTGGGGCAGAAAGTCTCCCACCTCAGTGCTTCTAGCCAGCTCTCCAGCAAGATGCACTCCTGTTCTCTCTCTTCTGTGAGTAGTGTTGCTGGCAGGTGGCTACAGGTAAGGCCACTTCCCTGAGCATTGTCCCCAGACGATGGCTACAGGTAAGGTCTTTCTTCTCTAAGTCCACAAGCTCAGAATGGGCTTCTAGCCCCTCTCCCTCTGGACGAACTGTTCCAGGGCCCTCAGCATTTCCATGAGGCATCCTGCATCCCCCACCTCCCAACCTCCAGCTTGTCCCAAACAGAACTTTGACCCTTCCTCTCCAACCTACCCCCCTTCTGCTCTGCCTTGTCCGGAGGGCAAAGGCGCTGGCATTGAAAGTCCTGGGTTCAAGTCCTGCCTCTGTCCCTTATCCGTGGACCTCAGGCAAACCCTGAACATCTCTGAGCCTCAGTTTCTTCATTTTTGAAATGTGGATAGCCATAGCCTTACATCATAGGGTGCTTGATCAGAATGTAAGTGATATTGTATTTAAAGCACAAGGCCCAAGGTCATCTGTTGAATATATGCCATGGTTATTATTAGTTACCTGGGCTCAGAGGCTCATAATTGCCTCAACCCCTCCTTGGCCCACACCTAGTAGGTAGCTAGAACTTGCTAATGTTACCTCTGCAACCTCCCTCTCGTTACTCCCCTCACCTGCTTCCTCTGCTTCTCTGTGTCTTCTCTTAGAGCGGGGGTCCCCAAGCACTGGGCCATAGATCTGGACTGGACTGTGACCTGTTAAGAACCAGGCCTCACAGCAGGAGGTCAGCGGTGGCAATAGATTCTCACAGGACCCCAAACCCTATTGCAGACTGCGCATGCGAGGGATCTAGGTTGCAGGTTCCTTGTGAGAATTGAACTAATGTCTGCTGATCTGAGGTGGAACAATTTCATCCTGAAGTCATCCCCCCATCCCCATACATGGAAAAACTGGCCACTGGTCCCAAAAAGACTGGGGACTGCTGCCTTAGAGAGATCATTGCTGCCCATTCCCAGCTTCTCTCCTGCCCCTAATTCACCCTCTACACTGAGCTATACACAGCTGGATACATCACATCCCTCTGAGAAACCTTCCGTGGTTTCCTGCTACCCACCAAATAGAAGCTGGCTTTCAGGGTGGTGTCCAACTCCCTCCACGGTCTGCCTCCCCAACCCCCAACTTTTCTTTCCAGCCGTACCTCCTACTCCATCCCTCCGCAGGAGCTTACTACAACCGCTCCAGATCATTCCTCATTTCCCAGAGTGGGGTGTGGGGTGTGGGGGTGTGTGTGGAAAAAACACAGTTGTTCAGGTCTCTATTCTTTATTATGTTGTTTCATTGTTTTAAAATGTCCTCATGCACATTCTCATTTACTGAAATCTTACTTGCCATTCAGGGATTCCTTCAAATGCCACTTCTTCCATGCAGCCATTTCTGATTCCTCCCTTCAGGAGTAGTCACTCCTTTTCTTGCATTTCCCAAACTAGATGCCTATGCTTCTGTTTAGCACTTGCCCAGCCCTGAACCAAGGAACTTTGCCTGATCACCTTGCATCCCACGGCACTGAACACAGGGCCTGGAGCAGCCCTCTACCCGCAGGTGGACCCAGGCTGCTTGTTGATGTAGTTCATGTTCATCCTGGAGCCCTAAAGAGCACGTAGGCAGTCCAGAAGTCTGGCTGCTGATTCCTGGCCTGGGCTGAGGTGAGGAGTGGAGAGGTGGGGGTGCTCAATCTAGTTACTGTAACTTCCAGTTATTGTAACTGCCCAGAAGGGCAGTCCTTCTTCACTTAACTCCTCTGGCTGCAGTTTCCACCCTCACAGGGCAGGTGCTAAGGGAAAGGCTTCTGATGGGTGAGGGTGTGATACAAACACATGGAATCATTGTGGGAGTGAATGACGCCCCTGGGAGCTGGAACAGGATGGTGTCTTTCTTCCTCAGGACTCTTCCACTGGTCTCTCTGAGACAGGCAGCCTGGCAGACAGGGAGAGGTGACCAGGCAGTGCGTGCTGCGGTCTACCTTCGAGGCACTTGCAGTTGCCCCTCGTTCTCCTACTGACTGTCCCTGGAGAGTTCCTTGGACAATGGATTTCCTGCAAAATCCAGAATCACTTCCAACCCAACTACAGCTGCTACAAATGTAGCCCATTCCCTCTCAGGATGTGGAGAGAGGATGCCCGACTCTGTCTGGAGAAGGGGCACAAACACAGCCTTTAAGGCAAGTCCTGCTCTCCAGAAGCTCCTGCTCCGCATGGTGGCTGGATGGAGTGGGGCGAAGGAGGGCGAGTCTTTCTTCATAAACCGGGGGTTCCAAGGCCCTCCAACACTAAGTATCACCAGCAAGTTCCAGTGTCTCCTCCAAGGAATCAATGGTCACCTGCACTTGTAATTCACCCTTCCCCTGCCCTGTCCACAGCCCTTTATTTATATCCCACAGCACTCAACAAGGTCTACCTTCTACAAAATAACTGGATTGTGCACCAGTCCAACTCCCCTCCCATAATATCCTCCATCTGGAGTCAGACGCACTACCATTGTGCCACGAGGTCCGCCAAATATTCTCCATTTGTATCTCCATGGTTGACCAAGAACTTTCATAATAACCCTGTAAGATCCTTATTTACATGTAAGAGATGAGCAAGTGAAAATTCAGAGAGGGTAGGTGGCTTTTGCTGTGCTGGAGAGCTAGACAGAGAGCTGGGATTCCAACTAAGGCCCCTAAACCTGTGACAAATCCCACATCACATCTTTAAGGGTGGGTATACCTTTCACCCATCTCTTGCAGTGCCTTAGCACAGTGTCTCATAAATAGAACATCCAGCATTTTTCATAGCATTGGAAGGGCCTAGCCTTCCACAGGGCAGATCAGGGAAGTAGGAGTAGGCCAACGCTTTGAGCAGCCATACCACATTACCTCCTTGCATTCAGTGGCAAGCGTGCCATTGCCTTCGGGACCTCACATGGCTGAATGCAACTGGGCAAAGACTATGACCTCTCCTCACAGCCCCATGTCACCTGAAGCCCTTTTCCACTCATGTCGTCATCACCATCATCGTGGCAACTAACAATCATTTCCCGCCAAGTGTGTGTCGGGCCCCACATTGAGCCCATCAGTCCAACAAGGTAGGTGCTGTCATTCCCATTTTATGTGAGGTCAAGAGAGTAACCCATCCACAGTACCATGACTAACAAGGAGTAGAACTGGGACTACTGGGATTTACTGGGAAGTCAGAGCCCACACCTGTAACTGCTGGGTTAGCCTGCCTCTCCCAGGGCAGTGGGTATTGCAAGTCCTGAAGCCAGTCCATTGCTCCTTCCTGCAGACAGCACAGCTCGTGCCCAGGACAATCTTCATGTCCAGTGAGTGAGTCAGAGGCATAAAAGCAAATCCTTCACCACCCCTGAAAAATTTCATACATAACTTATCTCCCTATCACCTCGAGTCTATCAGGCAAGCACCAACATCTTCATTTTCCTAGGGTGAGGACTGATGCTCAGAAGCTTGAGAAGCTTGCAGGGCTGTAAGCGTGGCTGCTGCTCTCTCACCAGGGGACCAAATAGCCACCCCATGGTGAGTTAGTTTTCTAGCTCTAGGAACTGAGAAAAAGGGCCCCCAGCTGTGTCTGGGAGATTCAACGGAGACATCTCAGAGGAAGTGACACTGAGCACAGGCAGAGGAAGAGCAAGGGCGCTTCAGAGCACCACAGAGGGGGTCAGGTGTCAGAGTCCAGCTGAGCAGGGCTTGACCCCCTGGGTCTGGGTCCTGGCAGGGTTAGAACCATTGCTGCCAGCCCACAGGTGGCTGAGGGTGCACACACACGGGATTTAGGCAGCAAGCAATGATACATCCTTGCTGGTAAAGACCGCCAATTAGGTTTAGAGGCAGACATGAAGGATTCCTTCAACATCCTCTAATTCAACAACATCCGTTCATTAACTTTATGATTTAAATATGTTTTATCTTGAAATATTTCAGACATTCAGAGAGGCTTAAAAGCAATATAATGTATTATTTGGCAATAAAAAGGAATGAAGTACTGATACATGCTACAACATGGATAAACCTTGAAAACATTATGCTAAATCCATAAAGATGGAGAGTAGATTAACGCTTGCCTGGGGCTGGGGGTCGGAGGGCGGGCGAAAATGGAGGATGGCTGCCAAAAGGAATGGGGTTTCTTTTTTGGGACGATAAAATGTCCTAGAACTGATTGTGGTGATGGTTTCACAACTCTGTGAATGTAAGAAAGCCCATCAAATTGTACACTTTAAATCGACCAATTGTATATGGGAATTACATCGCAATAAAGTTATTACAAAAAATATGTACTGAACCTGGCGTACCCACCACCCAGCCTAATAGCTACCCATGTAGCTGAACCTCCCTAAGCACCCCAGTCTCTACCCAGTCCCTCCTCCCTGCTGAATTTGATGTTTACCATTTCCATCATTTCTTTACGTGTTTACTATCTATGCATATAGTTGTTGAAGATTGTATTGTGTTGTCTTTATGTTTTTAACTTTAGATAAATGACTTATATTGTAAATATTCTCTTGTCGTTTGCTTTTTTCCCTCCAGAGGAGGAGATCCAGCCCTGGAATTGCTGAGTCTGAAGGTCTCGTTTATCCTGTTTACTGTGTGTGCATTTTCATTGATGAAAGTACTGCAATTTAATACTGCACAACATATCTCTGCACACTCCTGCTGACAAATATTTAGGCTTTTCTTTTCTTTTCCTTTTTTCTTACTACAGTAGTGTTGCAGTGAGCATCTCTTCTTCTTTTACGCACAGACGAGCATTTCTCTCAGAAGTGCCTAGGAAGGGAGCTGCTTTATTGGACACGATTCTTTACTTTACCAGATACTGCCAAATGATTTTTCAGTCATTCACCTTTTTATATCAGCGAGGAAACCAAAGCCCAGAGAGAGGAGAGTAATCTGCTCAGAGTCCTTCAAGGTCTGGGACTGATTCCCAGTCCAGGGCTCTTCTGGCCTTTCCGGAACCCTCCATTTCCTTATTTTTATTTCCCTACAAATCTCAGCCGACCACCCCAGTGTTATCAGAGCGGATCTAGGAGAAACACATTATCAGCAGCGTCCAGGAGGGCTGGGGATCTGGAAGTGCTTTTGGGAGGAAATGGGGAAGAAATGAACTTTGGAGAATTCCCCAGGAATTTCTGAAACGCAGAGCCAGAGGGCCTTGAGAGAAAAGGCTCTTCCAGGGGCAGATGGTGGAGCATTTTAGCAGCCGCGCAGCACCTGGTCTCCCAGCAGCTGTGGTCATTTTGGCCTCACCCACGCCAGTTACCTGACCCTCCACCCCATGAGGGGCATAGAGAGCTATGGCTGTGGGGGGTGGGGGTGCTCCTTAAACCCAGGGCCCTCTCCAAGGTGATGGTCAACCTTCCTTGTGGAGCAGGCCAGTTGCCTGAAATGGGGCTGCAACAGCCAAGGAAGGGCCTTCGTTTGGAGCCAAGAGTCCAAGCTTTATGGACTGGCTGATTTCTAAAGCATAACGTTCTGTCTGGCTTGGCCAGGGCTCCCGTCAGCCATAGTCTGTTACTCCAAATGTGGTCAGACAACCAGCAGCACCAGTGCTGCCAGGGGGCCTGCTGGGAATGCAGAAGGGATCATGGCGAGGGGGGTCAGAGCAGGTAACAAGCTGTGTTAGGGATTTAGGGCTTTATCCTAAGGGTGATGGAAAGTACTGAAGTGCTTTGGTTATCTGGAGTTATACATCAATGTTAAAAATACCATTCTGGCTTCTGTGTAAAGAAGGGTTTGGAGGAGGTCAGGTGGCAGCACCCTGAACAAGGGTGATGACGGTGGAGGTGGAGGAAATTGACAGAGTGGGATGAATGAGACTTGGTGATTGACGGGGTGTGAGGGAAATGGTGGTGTTCAGCCTGAAGCCCAGGTCATGGCTTAGATGCTGGGAGAGGTCGAGAATGTTGGAAAGGGCCAGGTGGGGGGAAGGTGCTGGCTTTCATTGTGTGCCGTTTGAGGATCCAGGCGGAGATGGCAAGGAAGCTGCCCAGTGTGGTTTGTAGGTGGGAAGGCTCTCCCTGGCTGGAAACCCACAAAAGCTACTCTTGCTGTGTAAGAGACTCATACTACATGCTGCTCTCAAGCACCTACACCATCTAAAGCAAATGGTTAATGCTAGCAGTCAGGGAGAAACCTCTGCAGGTGTATACATCTTGGTCTGTTTGCACTTCTCATTTTAGGACAAATTACTTGTCCCAGTGGGTGGTTTTGCCTGGATTGTACATCGAGCATACACCAGGCATTACGTTAACATACTCATCAAACAGCAGAACTCATGGCCGAGGCCAAGTGGGGAGGAGAGGATGGAAGGAGCTGCAGGGATGATGTAGCTGACATGGAGGGGTGAAGAGTTCACTAGGTAGAAACTGAGAACAAAGATACCAGAATAGCATGAGTTGTGTGCAAGTGGGACACTGTAAGTTCTGGCAGGGGAGCAGCCCAGTTTTACTGAAAGAAAAGCAGGACAGCGGAAGACTGGTCAGAGATCAGGCTAGAGAGACAAAGTGGGCTTATCTTTGGGATGGGGGGTATGAGCACTGAGGAGCCATGGATGGTTTTTGAGCAGAGGAGTGGAGTTGACAGAACCTGGCTGATGGAGTGCAGTGGGTGAAGGCGAAGGGGGCACTGATGTTGCTATTGTGGGTTTGCACCTGGGTGTCTGGGAGGCCAGATGGGACATGCGGTGGGGCTGCAAAGTCAGGAGGAAGAGATGGGGGTGGGGAGGACTGAGGCTAACATCGCAGGGGAAAGCACACCACTCTGGCTGCAGCAGAACAAGGGGGAGTCTGAATATTGACGAGAACAGCAATCGAACAGGAGGATCTCTTAGTAGGCTGGCCCCAGGGGATCTGCTTTAAGAAATAGCAAGAATGACCCCGAAGTAGCCCATCAATTATTTGCATGTAAAGCAGGGTTTTGGAGCTACCTGAAACAGTATACCTTTAGTTTAAATATTCTCCCTAAAATAACCATCAACTCTTGAATCTTTTCTTCATTGATAGAAACAAAGGACGCTTTGGTCTGCAGATTCCTAAGATCTGAAATAAATCAAGTCTGAAATAAGAAGGACCACAAAGAAGCGGGGCTCGGGGTCTGCGCTGCTGCAGCACAGGGGAGGTAAGAGGAGCCTGGTTTGTGACCAAAGCTCTGGCTACAGGTCCTGCCCATGTAAATGTCATGAGGCTGTTGGGGGCAAAGTCTGGTGCCAGGGAAAATAAGGCAAGGCTAGCTAGAGAGTAGGGTTTAGGATGTGTGGGCATCAGCTCTCATCAGCTGTGGAAAAACAACCAAGGCTGGAGAGGCCATTACAACCCAAAGGTAAATAGCAGCTCATAAGAAAATAAAGCCCTATTCGTAGGATCGCAGACTCTTGTTGCTGGAAGGGGCTGCTCTCCCCTCCAGGCCAGCCTCCACATCACTGCTAGTTATTGTTCTAGAATACAAATTGTATCAGGTGACATCCCTGCTCCCCAAACCTTCTCTGATGCCACATCATCTCCTGTGAGGACAGCACAGCCAGGGCAGAGGCACTGCTCCCCCACCACTCCTGTATCCAGAGCAGACATCAATAAGCAATTACCACATTTTCTGCTGAACCTGGATACAGCCTCAGAAGCTGACTCAGCACAGCCCCCCAATCAATCAGGCAGCCATTACCAATCAATCACCCTCTGGATGAAATCATTTGCCTCCTACTGGACAGAGGGAGCCGGGCAGCCTCAGCCTGACTCTTTGTAGTCTTGACATCTCCTCCCACCCTCATTTCTCATTACTGCTCTGAGCTCCAGATTTCTTCAACTGCATGTCATCCCGAAACTTACTGCCTTTTTCTTGCTCCTCCGAGTTTTTGTCCATGACAGTCCCTCAGCCAGCCTGGAATGTCCTCTGTGCAGTATGCTAGTTGTTCTTTGATATCTGTTTTCCCACCTACCATCGTAATAAAGTTCTATCTGGGCATATCGCCACCCATGAAAAATACTGCCTGGCCTCCCTTGAATCTGGGGGTAACCACGTGACTAAGTTCTGGCCAATGGGTTGTGAGCAGAAGTGATCTGTGTCTCTTTTTTCAAGTTTTGCTCTTGAGGGTTTGAGCACATACTCCACTTGTCCCATTCCCCTTTTGTGTTGGTCATGGGGTGGCAAGAACCGAAGCATCTGCCAGAGAAGGATGCCACAAGATGAAGATGGCAGAGCCAGCTCCCAGCCCTGGCCTGCTAGGGAAGGGAGACCTCCACCTCCACCTTGTCTAAGTCCTTGTATTTGGGGGGTCTCCTGTTATGGTGTCTATGTGGACACCATATGGAGTCTATGATGCCCTAACAATATGCCTTCCTACTTGCTTATTTGTTCCTTTTGAACAACCTCCAAGGCCTCTCCTTGGTGAAGTTTTCCCAGAGCCCCAGCTCCTTTGGCTCCTGGGCACTTCATGCACCCCTCACCAGCACACTGACCCGGAAGGCAGCTGTGGCTTCTCCCATTAGGCTGGCTGAAGGCGACTTCTCCGCTTTCATCCGTCCTCTTTGCAGTGCTGGTCATGGCGCTAGTGCACAAGCCTGACCACATCACCCCCATGCCACCACTGCTGCAGTCCAAAGCCCTTTGGCCTGGCAGTCAGGGCATGACTCTGGCCTACCCTTTCCCTTGGAGATGAGGCTCCGACAGCGAAGTGATTTCCTTCAGCAGCTGAGCTAGCCATTCTTCCCTCTGGGTGAAAAACGTGTCATCCTTCACACTGCCTGCCCCACCCTGGACTTGACACAGGCCAGCCCCACCCAGCCCCAGCGTGGCGGGCCTGAAGTAGCTGTTTCCTCGCTGGCTAGACTATAATGTCCTGCTCCTCATTTGTTAATAAGAAAAGGGACAGATAATGGGAAAGTTTCCTTGGTCTTTGTATTTTTCTCAAGTGGCCTAGGAAGTCTCATGGTATGTATATCTGTTCCCAAGACCATTCTCCTATCCCACCAGGCCATATGCTGTGCAAATGGCCCACACCTATTCCTCTGAACTTCTGGCAGCCATGACCCTCCTAACTGAGGGTTGACCTTTGGCATCCTTCTCAGGCCTGCAAGCCCATCACTCCCTTGGCAAACAGCGCATGCAGCCCAGAAGCAGGATGCAGCCAGATCTCAGCCAGTAGATGGCTATTTTGGGACAGGGAGGATCCCAGGAGGATGCTGGGAAGGTCAGATAGAAAGGGAAAGAGGCAGGTTTTCTGCCCATGATTATGTGTCCCAGGCCTTCTGGGTGCCGCCCAGGGCCCCAAGGCTGCCACAAGGAAGAACACACCCACCGCAGGACTCCGGCTTGGCCTAGCTGGCCACAGAGGGCAGGCACCACTTTGAGGATCGAGGCTTCCATCTCAGCAACCGCAGTGGGCAGGAAGAGTGTGTTTGTTTTGTCCCAATAGCAGTAAATTCAGCATCAGGCAAGATTTGGGGTGGGGTGAGGGATAAGGTGTCTGAAACCAATCAGATGGCAGAGGGAGAACACGAGGAAGCAGCCAGTCATCAGCAATGACTACTGATACTCATTTATTGAACATTCACAGAGCATCTACTATGTATGGGGTACAGTATTAGGTGCTGCAAGACAAAAGTAAATCAAGCTTTGAATTTGTATGTGGCACTTGACAATTGTATGAGTCCTTCTGCAAGGATCAGGAGCCTTAAAGTTGTTTATAAACTCCGACCCTCAGGAGATAATCGGAAATGCATGATGTAAGGGCAAGAATGACAGTGATGTTCTCTTTGCGAATTTGAGGATGTTCAGACATTCCAGAGTGTTAGAACTGAATTCCCTTCTACCTACTTTTAGTATTTTGAGGAAGGTTACCAATGCACATAAAGTGCTCAGTCCTGTGCCTGGCACATAGTAGGTGCTCAAGTGGGACACAGTGGCAGTAACTGCTATTATTTATAATAGGTTGGGTTTGCTGTTGAGGAGGTTACTGTACCAAGGCATGAGAAGCCTCAGGTCAGTCAGAGAGAGGCAGGGCAGGGGACCCAGCAGGACCCAGCCCATCCTAGGAGATTTTGCTGTGATTCCATGATGTGAAATGCTTCCGTGTGGCCATTCCAGTCCTTCCCTGACTCAGTTACGAAAGGCCGGAACAGCATCTTAGTTCCCTCTGATTTTGCCTGAGTTTGGGGCCTTCTCTTTAAATTCTTCAGGCATTGCCCACTGGCTCTGATGTATGCTTTGGGCCAAACTGCCTTTTTAGAAATTCTCAACATGCAGGGGTATCCCTTCCAGGAGCCCCTGCCCACTCTTCCTCTATGCCTGGCCAACTCAGCCCTTGCTGCTGTCCCTTCCCCGCAGAGGACCAAGGTCAAGCCCTTTCTTCTCCCCATGGTGTTTCCTCCTCCCCTGACCCTCTGAGCTGCTTCATGGTCTTCTCCTCACTGCCCAGGACCAGTGGGTTCCACACAGACTCCCAGCAGGCAGGGAGAAGAGAAGCACTCTTCCAAGTCCTTCCCCCTCCTGCCACATTCCTCCCCAGCTCCCAGCCTCCCAGGACTACCTGAGCCTGACTTTCTGAGGCACAATATTGAAACCTCTTGAGAACCACCCACTCTGATGATGGACTTGAAGGCCATCAGACAACTGATGTGCTTTCCCCAATAAGGCAGGGAAGGGAGAAAGGCAAGTCTCTGCCTGGCCACAAATGTGCCCCCAACACTAGGACATGGCATTTGATAAGGATTTCTCTGCATCTTTGAAGTGCGAGAGGCAGTTGAGAAAATAATCATAATCATGCTTACTAGGAATCAGAGAAGATGCTAAGCAGTTCCCAGGATTATCTCGAGGAATCTCTACCTTGCTGGTGTCTATTGTCCCTGTTTTTCAGACAAGGCAACTGAGGCACAAGGAGGTTAAATAACTCTCTGAAGGTCATAAGACTGGTCCATGTTGGAGATGGAATTCAAACCTACATCCTCTGTGGCTTCAAATATCCTGCCCTTGACCAGCATTCTATACGCTGAGCAAAAATCGGTTGTCATTGCCCAAGAGTTATAAGGGCAACAGACATGATCCTTGGAAACATGGGCTGTCCCATGAGCCCTGATGCGAACGGTCTCTCTGCCCAGGCCCCATCACCCAACCCTTGCCTCCACCCCATCTCATTAATCTTGGCACTCCTCTCCTGAAAGCTTTCCCAGACCCCCGGGCCCTATCTTCTGGGCCCAGAGGGAGGGAGGGAGCTTCCCAGGGCTTCTGGACACCCTTTTAATTAACCCGGACGACCCTCTTCTCACCGGGTCCAGCTGAATCTTTTCACGGTCTCCTTGTCTCCCAGGGCAGCATCCTGGAACTGTGACTCCCACCCCAGCCCATTCACTCTCCAGCAAATGCGGTCCTTCGTTTCCCATATGCTTAACATCTGTCAGCCTCTCTTCCCTGGCTTGGGGACCTGGGTGAGTGTTACTTGGGTCCCTCGGCTTCTGAGGCCAGAGGAGGGCCAGCCAGAGAGCCCAGTGAGCACCCTGCTAGTGCCACCTGCCACCGTGGGTATCGAGGAGGCCACACGCTGAGCTGGCAGAGGCCAGTAGCGGACCAAAACTCTCTGCCATTACTTAAATGTGATACCTTGTCTCCTGCAACTCTTCTTTAGGCCTTCCTTCCCCACCTCTAAAGAGGTACAGTGCATTCTAGTTCCTCAGGGAAACAGTGAAACTTCCTCATCTGTCACTCTCATGGCTTAACAATAACAGGCACCTAGAAAAGTAACAGGCACCTAGAAAATTTCTCATAAGCTGTAACTTATCACTTGCATTCATGGTGGACAATGCACTTGAACCCGACACACTGCATGGTGCCCAGCAGGTCCTTAGTACGCAGCTGTTACACAGGTGAATAGACACAGTTGAGGAACAGGCCCAAGGATACAGAGGAAAGCACTAGAATAGACAGGTCAGGGCTCCACCCATACAGAGCTAGTAAGTGGCGAAAGCAGATTTTTGTTCTAGATTAGACCAGTTCACTGTATTACACAGTATCACCTTGCGACCTTTGGCTTGTGCCTTCATTCCTTGCATGTAAGCATGTGTGTGTTGCATGTAGCCTAGAGGCCATATAGTGAACACACATTGCCCTAATCCAGCTAGCTATAGAAAATAAGGTCTTACAATTATAGGGTCATTCATTCAGGTAACAAACATTTTTGTATACCTGGGAAGCTGGGGACACAATGATGAACACAGCAAGCAAGGTGCCTCCCCTTGGGGGGCTGATGGTCCCTTTGACGCTGCATAGCACTTCATAACTTTCAAAACAGTCATGCCCATCATCTTATCCGACTTCACCACAACCTGGTTCAAAGAGTATCAGGCCCATAAAATACTCTATGAACAAATGAATGGTGGGTGGACTGATGGATGCGGGGCAGGCAGGCCAATCTGTGAGCAGATGGAAGGCAACCACAGATATTGTCACTCCTGTCTTTCAAATGAAAAGTGACGGCCTGAGTGAGGTGTGGCTAGAGCATGGCCACCAGGAAGAGCCTCTGGTCTCAGTCTTAGGAACATCCGCGGTCACCTATTTGCAGGGCTGCTTACCTGGTGGGCAGTTACATCCTGGAGATGTCTTTGGGGCCTCCCGGCGCCTCCTTGAGTGGAGCTTCCATTTCTGTACAAGGAGACAGACAAGAGGAGTCACCAGGAGCTCGTAGACACCAAGCCCTGGAAAGCAGCTGTGGGCTGACGAGGAGGGCAGGAAGAGGGGGAAACCGGCAGAACTCTTCCTGGATCAAAGACAGGCAGTTAATGGCCTTCCACTGGCCACCGGGCATCTGGGTAATAACAAGCAGACAAGAAAGCCCATCCCGGTAATCACAGCGTCTGATGTCTTTGGAGCACTCTTAAAGAAATTAACCCCAAACACAGGATCCTATAAACCAGTTGCATCTTCCTGCACCTCATGCTCATGTGCACAATGACATGCTTTTCTCAGCTCTCTGCTAATTGTTTTCTGCCTTGGACTGGGCTCCTGATGGACCCCTGGGCAGGGACAGTGCCTTCTGTTCTTCTGGTGTCCCTTACAAAGCTAGCATTTGCAAGCTGGGCAGGGGTGCAGCAGTAGGGGGATGGCAAGGCTCTCTGCACCCCTCCACCAAATATCTTCCTCACTTCCCTTCAAATCACTGAGCCTACCTGGAAGGTCCCAAAGAGGTGGGAGCATCAGAGAGGTAGAACACCCCGACCCTCGAGGAGTTGTCATGTTCATGGTGGCAAGTGGAGAAGAGCAAGCGTAATGACCATGCATGCAGGATTCCCCTGTGTGTCAACTCTGCAGGCTTACACTGCACAGGGCAATGTGACAAGGGTCTCATAAGGACTCTTACTTGATTCTTGCAACAAAGTTGGCCAGACTAGCCATTAACAGGGATATTTCTAGAGCCAGGCTGACTGGACTAACACACAGTTCTCAGACTCTGGGCTAATAAGAGTCCTCACTTCATTGGATTACTGCGAAGTTAGAAAGATTAATGCATAGAAAGAATGGCACCTGATACCCAGGAAGTTCTCAATGAATGTTAGCTATTACCATGTTCATGTCACAGGTAAGGGACTTGAAGCACAGAGAGGAGACTGCACCTGGCCAAGGTCAAGGCTGAAGTAAGGTACAGAGCTGGGATTCAAACCCACACTGTGATGCTCATGCAGCCATAGGAAGCTGGTAGCCCCAGGGCCAAATAGGCCTTTCAGTGTATTTTATTTGGTTCCCACAGTGAGCTTTAAATCATTATTATTATTGAATTTGTTGCCAATATTTTGAAGTGGGTGGTTTCATGTGCAAATCTGCATTTGTAATTTCTCTTGAAAAACTAACTGAAAGACCTGGCCACATGAAGCCTGTGCTCTGGCTGGCCAGGACTGACTGCACCTGATGTACTGTAGTCCCTACCCTGACAAGGTTGACGAGTTAGGATGACAGCCAGAGCTATTTGCTTCCTCACTACTGTGAAATTTTGCCACTCAGTGTGGGCCACAAGAGAGGTGAAGAAAGTAATATGGGAGGTGTCATAAGGGTGGTATCGCCTCTGGTTTGGGGGTGGGGAGGGAAGGTCAGAAAGCTTCACAAGGATTCAGAGCAAGTAGAGTGATTTGCTGAGGGTCACACAGCCAGGATGTAGTGGATCTGAGGTGTGAACTCACGCCTCCTGGCACAAAGCCCGCTCCACCTGCTGGAGGAAGGTGAGTGCAAATGCCTGGGGAGGGAACACAGTGACAGATGGGATGGGGGGCTCTGAGGGCAGAAGGGGGCCGAGATCAAGGTAGACCAGAAGAGGGGAAACACCCCAAAGTGGGGACCCTCACTTAGAAAGGGGAGGCTGAGTAACAATTAGGAGGATGAATGTTGAGGCCAAGGTACAGGTGGGCACAGAGCGGCCGCTGGGCAAACAAATGAGCCCCCAGGCCAAAGTCTGGTGATAGCCCCTCTGGTGATAGCCAGCTCTGAGCCTGGCTCATGAATGCTGCTTTCCTGTAAGGGACTGTACGAACCTGCCTCCACATCCCTCCCCACCAATCACCTGGGGGCCTGGCACCCAGAAGGCACATGACACAGGTCGGCTAAATGACTGACAAGCCAAGACCAGAGGAGTTGGCAGCATTTTGGCTAAAGGTTGTAACCATCGGAGTTGTCACCCACTCAGCAGCAGCACTGAGCAAGCTGCCATCACAGGGTTGGGCTGGAGACAGAATTTGTGGCATGAGTGGGTGGTGCCCCTGCTCCATCCTCATGGGGCACACCCCTAGAGGGGCATAACTTCTTGTGGAAGAAAAAAATCAATAGAAAAACAAAAAATGTGTAACAGGCAGTGATAAATGCTGGGAGAAAAATAAAGTAAAGCAAGGGGACAGAGAATGATGGAAGGTGGTTTTTTTATACCAGGAGGTCAGGGAAGGTCCTCTTTTTGAGGGGACTTTGAGCAAAAACCCAGAGGAAGGTAAGAAAATGAGTCATGCGGTATTTGGAGGAAGTAAGAAAATGAATCCTTTGATGTCTGGAGGAAGTGTGTTCCAGTCAGAGGGAACAGCAGAGGCGAAGGCTCAGAGACAGGATTGTTCATGGAGCATCTGAGGAACAGGAAGGGGTGAAGTGTGGCTGGAGTGATCTGAGTGAGGACATGGGATAGGAATGTGGGGGGCAGGAAGGCAGGTCATTAAGGCAGGGGCAGAGACTTTGAATGTGTAACATGGATCCCTGCCACTGGTTCTGGGGCTTGTTGACAGCCATAAAGCACCACAGCTCATGGGTGCTGTGGTGGGCCATCCAGGCTCCCAGGATTAGACCAGTGGTTTAGCTGTTGGGAGTGTTGGCTGCTGATGGCTGAGCCTCTTTCTGGGAGCTGCTCTCAGCTCAAGGAAGCAGCCTTGATCAGGGTCACACTCTCCCCCAAAGGCAACCCATATTCAATTACTGATAGACAGGAGGAATGCAGACCTGGCCCCTCTGCCTCAAATTGGACTGACTCTAGGGCCACCCCAGCTACGGAGCTCCCACAGGACCAGCTGGGGCCTCTGTCATGACTGTATCACAGCTCAGCCCCTCCTCTGCCCAACTGCTTCCCTCACTCCCCCTCCTATGTTGATGCCAATAAGTCAAATAAGTAAGTCATCTACTCATAGACCTCCACTTTGGAGACTGTTCCCTTGGGAACCCAACCTAAGGTAGACCTCCATGTGACTTTCACATTTCCTGAGACTTCACCTGACCCTCATCACTGACCCGTGCAACAGGCAGGCTAGAAATCAGCCCCATTGTATAATCCAGGAAACTAAGTCCCAGAAAGGGAAAGGGAATTGCCTTGAACAAGTAAACCCCAGAGGGCTTAAATTCTGGGTCCTCTAACTTCAAGTTCAATGCTTTTATTCAATAGATCCTATGTTTATTTTCTACTAATTGTGAGACTGCAAAATAGAGAATGAGTCACAGTCCATCAGCAAACAGCTGAGCTTGGTGTGGGAGAAGCATACTCAGATGTGTGCAGGTGACTGTAGACTTCAGAGGGCCTGGGTGTTGAGTCGGGAGTGGGAGCTGTGAGGGTTAATTTTATCTGTTAACTTGCCTGGGCTAAGGATGCCCAGATAGCTGGGAAAACATTCTTTCTAGGTATGTCGATTAGCACTGGAATTAGTAGACTCAGGAAAGAACAGTGTCCTCACCATAGGGGGTGGGCATTATCTGATCTGTTGAGGGCCTGAGTAGAACAAGGTAGAGGAAGGGAGACTCTGCTCTCTCTGCTTGAGCTGGACCATCCATCTTCTCCTGCCCTTGAACATTGACTCCCCCTGCACCACAACTGGTTCTTGGCCCTTCAGGCTTGGACTGGAATTTACACCATTGGCTCTCCTGGCTCTCAGGCCTTCAGGTTTAAGTGGAGCTACACCACTGGCTTTCCTGGGCCTCTTTCTTGCAGATGGCAGATTAAGGGACTTCTCATCTCCATAATCACATGAGCCAATCTCTTTTGATAACTCGCTTTCTGTGCATCTATATACAGCCTATTGCTTCTGTTTCTCTGGAGAACCATGACTAATAACCAGGCCTTGTGTGCCCAGGTAAGGATTCTAGCATGGAGGAACCATTCAAAGGTTTTAAGCAAGGAGGTCATGTGGTCAAATTTGGGTGGTATAAAGGGCACTCCAGCAGCCCGTTGAGTATAGACCAGTGAGACCGCTTGGGCTGAGGTCCTCTCTGGAGGATGTCATGGTCATCACCCAGTGGAGAGATGTGGGAGGAAGAAGGAACTGGGCACTGGATGGATTTGGGGTGGTTGTGGGAGCCAGGCCCTGCCTTGGGCAGCCAAGATGCCACCCCTAGGACATAACAGCGGCAAGAGCACGTTGTGGGAAGATGGCGAGTTTGTGGAACCCAGCAGGGTAGGCATGGGCAGCTCTGGAGTTTGGGAGAGAAGGCAGGTGGGAAAGGTGGACCCGGAAATCGGGAGCCTTGATTGGAGGGGATGGAGGCATCTGAGCAGGCAAAGCTACCACAGGCACAGCTAGAAAACCAGGTCAGTTCAGGGTGTAAGTGTTTTCTTGGCCTGCCCAGAGTTTATTTTGAAAGAGTATTAAATCTCAACAGCACCATGACCCATCCACAGCCTAGGCTTCAACACTCTGCCCACAGATCTCCATTTCCCAAGGACCTAACACCCCGGCCCCAGGGACCCTCGAATCCCACAGGGCCTTCAACCTGCGGGTCCTACCAACTTTTTACTGTCCATCACTACCATGTGTCACTTCCCTCCGTGCCCGGCTCAAATTCTGTGGCCAGTGATTATCACCACCCCCTGTCTGCACCCTCCACTGCCTTGACACCCGCCCTGTTCACTAAGCCACGAGCCTGGCTAGATCCAACGTCTCCTCCTACCCCACCCCTGCACACAGGCAGCAGGGTAAAGCGGGAGAAACACACAACCTCGCCGACTGATCTTACTTTAAATTCATGATCCAGATCTCAAACGGAAGCCCAGCAATCATTCTGTGGTTCCCTCAACCCTTCACCATTGCACTGTCCTGGGAGTTTTCACACTTCCTCTCCCCAAACCACCAACGTCCCCTCCCCCAACTTCATTGTCAACTGATGACCTTGAGAAGAAAAGCAAGCAGAAGAGGGCTTCCAGAGGCAGCCACCACTACACGTGCCGTCCATCTGCATCTGCGCCTGCCAGCACCCTTCTCTCCTCCTAAGCTCCCCATCTGTGCTTCCACGAGGGCCAACCCCTCCTGTCGCCAGCAAGTCCCCTGCCTTCCTGCCTCATCAATCCCCTCCTCTAGATTGGATCATTTACATCAGGGGCCGGCAAACATAAATATTTGAGGCTGTGTGAGACACATGATCTCTGCCACACCTACTCCACTCTTCCATCGCAGGCCAAAGCAGCCATAGTTTGGAAACAAATCAGTGTGGCTGTGCTCCCATAAAAAATATATATTTACAAAAATGGGCTGCAAGCTGGATTTAGCTGTAGTTAGCCCACCCTCACGGAATCATTATGCAAATATGCTGTTGTTATTCCCAGCATAAAAACGGAAAAGAGAATAATCCTCTTTTGACTCTGGTTAGCTCTTTCCCTAGAAAAACTCCTGGATGACAATCTTCGCTGCCTCCTACGTCTCTCCTGGACCACTCCTACCTGGCTCTTCCCCTACTGTCCCCTAAGAACTGTCCTGCAGGTTGCCAGTGACCTCCGGGTTGCCAAATCTGGTGGGCAGTCCTCATGCTTCCTCTTAGCCAGGCTGCAGCCTTTGCTCACCCCCCTTCTTCCTCGGGGCACTTCCTGCCCTTGGCTCCCAGGACACGCACTCTCCCCATTTCCCTTCCACCACCCTGGCTGTGCCCTCTCAGTCTTGTGCTGATTCCTTCTTATCTACTTGATGTCTAAATGTTGGAAGTCACAGGGTCCACATCCAGGGTCTCACTTCTTTCTCTAGACACTGGCTCCCTAGGGTACCTCATCCAGTCTGATGGCTTCAAAGCCATCTATGCAGAATGACGCCCTCCAACCTATACCTTTCTTCAAAACTTCAGATGCATCTATCTGGCTGCTGGCTTGATATGGCCCTTCATAGGCATCTCAGAATTAGCCTGGCAAAACTGAGCTTCTGATAGACTCTCCCAACTCCTCCTTGGACCTGCCCCTACCATCAGCTTCCCCATCCCACCAGTTGCTCAAAACCTCACAATTATCATTGATGTCTATTTCTCTCACCCTACACCCATTCCATTAGCAATTCCTGTTCTTTACCTGCCAGACGCATCCGAGATCTGACCCCTTCTCACCACCTCCATGACTACCACCTGGCCTAATTACTGTGATAACCTTCTAACGAATGCCCGACTTCTGCCCGTGCCCCTGCAGACCTTTCTCAACACGGCAGCCAGGGTAATCACACAGGCCTCTGAAGCTCTCATACATGCTGGGCTTTCTCTACCTCAGGGCCTTCACACTTACTGGGCTCTCTGCCTGGGTGTTCTCTTCCCAGCTACCTACCTGGCTTGCTGTTAGGCCTTCCTCACCTCCTGCACCCCTTCCTCCAAAATTCTTCCTCCCCCAGCACACCACTTTGTTTTATTTCCTCCTTAGGATTTTTTTTTTGCTTATTTTTCTTACTTATTGTCTCTTTGTAGCACTGGAATGTAAGTTCGACAAGGACCTGGATACTTTTTTCTGTTCTGTTCTATTCACTGCGCCTAAAACAGGGCTTGGCACATAGTAGGTGCTCAATAAATATTGGTTGTTCACACATCAGGAGATTTCACATCCAGTTCTGGTCTCTCTTGCACAATGGGAGACCTGTCAACACTGAGCATGTACAATCAGGTGGTGCTGTGTGGTGGTTGCCCCTTTCAGATGGATGTGTGCCATCTAGGCTACCAAAGTACTCTCTCTCCAAAGCCAGCTTCACCTACTTAGGCCACCAGCCTGGCCCCCTTGACATCTGACTTTGAGACCCATGGTGAGACACCCCCAAGATGAGGCCCTAGGGTGGACCCTCAGCTACCCTCGGCAGAGAAGCCTTCCTGTTTTGCCCCTGCTGGCAGCCGGGGCCTCCTGGAATGCCCTATGTGGCCAGAGCTGAAACATCACCCGCCTGATCGGTTGCAGCTATTAAAATGCCTGTATCAGTATCAAAGGGAAAATGCCAGGCAGCTACTCACTCCCCCCAGAGAATGTGGCTCCAGCCTGGTCTTGGGTTTAGGGAACACTCCCTCCCTGTGTCTCAGCCTCAGGGCTCTTAAAACGTCCTAGCTCAACCTGGGCCTCTGCAATACATGGGGTGGGTCCAAGCTGTGGCATAGACACAGCCCAGAGGGAGAAGCCAGGTGAGACCTGCAGCTGTGACCTTGAGCCTGGCACGTCCCTTCAGGGGGAATCTACAAAATAGGGATATGACCCACCACCCCCTGCCAGCTTCCTGAGTGCCAATGTGGAGACCGAATGAGATAACGCAGAGGCAAGTGCCTGGGAAACCACGGAGCATCTATCAATTTTGGGTTGAATTATTAAACAAGAGTTAATATTAATTATAACAGCTATGCACATTGAACACCATATATCAGCCACTGTGCTAAGCACTTTAGGTGGAAAATATCATTTAATAATTGATTTTTGACATTATTAGTGCATGCCTCCTATTCCCTTGGAGGCTGGAGTGGGACTTTCTTTTGGGTTGGCACAGATGGCCCCCAAACTCCAGTGAAGAATCTATTGTAGGCAGAGCTTGGCAGTGTTGAAATCATATCATATCAGCTTGACTACACTTGGGAGTGCCAGAGCCTTGGGGTCTAGTCCCAACTCTCCTACTAACTGTGTATTAAGCAAAATCTATAACCCCTCTGGACCTTGATATTCTCATCCATAAAATGGAGATAATCTAAGTGATCTGCTAGACTACGCAAGACAGCTGGCAGGATAAAATGAGATGAGGCAAAAAAATAAACAGAGGTATCCAGATGTGAGGAGGGTGAGCACCTGTTTTGCCAGCTTGTTTTGTTTGGTGGCCAGGTGAAGGCCACTTCTCTCTTGAGCCAGTGCCAGGCCTGCCTCCTCCCACCTGCTGTAATAAGGCTGGCCTGACCCCTGCTGCCCTGGCTCCATGGCATACACCTCTGCGACAAGTGGTCAAGTTTCCTGCACTTGCCATGTCCCTCCTCCTCCTCCTGGGAAACTCAGAGCCCCTCTTCTGGAAAGGGAGGGTGAGTGAGGAGGGTCTGACCTGCAGCCCTGCCTTTTGACCCTGAGAACTAGGAGTTGAAGGAAGAGGAGGTGCCCACTGGAATGACCACAGCAGACGAAGCTCCGGCCCCTGTGCCAGCACTCTGATCACAATGCCTGGCACAGGGCAGGGACTTGATCCCATCTGCTAGAGGCCTTTTGATCATCCTGCAGCATAACTGCTGCTGGGCTGGCTGCCCCGTTGCAGACTGAGCTGGCCCTCAGATGTCAGGGTCCCGGGTCAGATGTCTCAATCCACACTCCAACCGAATTACTTACTTTTAGGTCAGCCCTCTAGGACTCATCCTTGTGGTCCCAGGAGGAGGTGGGCTTTGGCAGAATTGGGATAAATGGGCATGGGGGAGGGAGGGCATTTCCGTGAGGAGGTACAGAGGCAGGACCTGGCTGCTCAGTGCTGGCCCCATGGGCTACATCCCAGGGACTGCAGGAGAGGGCTGGCTCCACCAAAGGGGTTAAAGGGACAGGCCCACTCGTAGCCACATGCCCCAGGGCACAGGCAGCTTGGCAGGGTGAAATCAAAGTGGAGGAAATCAAGACATCCAACCCACACCCACCAGAACTGGACTTGCATGGGCTGCTGCAGGGGCCTGTGTGCTGGGGACAGGGAGGGGGTGCCACGGGGGTGCCTTAGGAGCTGTCTTCTCCCTACCTCAACAGTTCTCTTCGTGCAGTGGACTTGGCACCTGATCACAGACTCCCAGGGCCATGAAACAGGGGCCTGCGGGTCCTCCAGATACCACATACTGCCTCTGTCTCCCTCTGCCTCCCTGTCTCACCAGAACCACACACAGATGTGGCCCCAGGCTCTATGGTTCAGGAAAAAAGTCAGGGACAGGAGGCACATACCCCTATGTGAGCTTTGCAGCATTCGTATGACGAAGTCCTTCCTTCTAGCTAACCCAAGGCCCTGCTACTGCCGCAAGGAGTCAAGGAACCGGGCCCCAGAACTGATGGTGTGCATGGGAGGCAGATTGGCAAGGGGCCCAGGACCTCAAGGATCTCAGGGGTCCAGGGGTCATCTCTAGGCCTGGTGCAGGATAAGGCAGGGGCCCCCCACCACAAAGAAGTCCTGGGGTGAATGTTGGGGACCTCTTTCCTCCTTTCCTGCCTTTCACAAATGGGTATTGACTATCTACAATGTTCTAGGGGTTAATGTTGGGAACCTTGTTATGCAAAGCAGACTGAGGCTGCTCCCATGAAGTTGATACTCTAGGGAGGGAAACAGAAGAGCCTACAAACCACACATCAATGTGGGGCAGCCATTGTCATCAGAGCTGTGGCCAAAAGGGGCAAGGAGCTGAGAGCCAGCCGGGGCATGGACTAGTCTGGCTCATGGCAGAAAAGTGAGACATGAGCCAAGATCTGAAGCTGAGCAGTAACTCACCAGGTGAGGGGCCCAGGCACAGGGGAGAGGCTGAAAGCTAACCCAATAATGCACTTCTTAGGAGCCAGGCAAGGATCTTGCATGGAGTAGGTTGGTGCAAAAGTAATTGCAGTTTTTGCCATTACTTTCAATGGCAATTAAAAGTAATTACTTTTGCACCAGCTTAATGTTAATTCCTCCAGCACTCACTGCAACCCATTACATGAGCGAGGAAACTAAGACAGAGAGGGGCCAAGTAACCTGCAAGACAGCACACAGCCTGGAAAGACAGAGGCAGAATTTGAACCCGGGAAGCCTGGCTCAGAGCCCACACCTTGACTCTATGCCTGTGAGAGGTGAAACTTGGCTCTTTCAAGGAGATTGGATGATCTATTACTGGAGTACCAGTCACTACTCAAAGCACTTTATATCTTAACTTTTTTTTAATCCTAAAAACAACCCTCATAAAAGTACTCTTATTATCATTACCCTTATTTTACAGAGGTATAACCTAAGGCACAGAGAGCTTGAATAACTTGCCCAAGGTCACATAGGCAGTAACTGGCAGAGCTGGTCTTGAACCCAGCAATCGGGTTCCAGAGTCTGTGCTCCTAGCCTTGACAGCGTGCCACCATGTAGCTGGACTCCAGAAGCAAGGGCAGGTGAGCCATGAGGCTGGAGAGAGTGACAAGGGCTGCACCTGAAGGCCATATGGGTCACATTTAGCAATGCGGTCTCTAGCCTGAGAGCAATAGGGAGTTACTGAAGAGTTTAATCAGGAGACGGCGTGATTACACTTAGTTTTTTAAAAGGTCCCCTCTGGCTACTGTGTGGATAAGAGAGTCAGGACAGCATGGGTGAGAGCAGAAGAGTTAGGGGGGCAGCTCGGGCTGGGGAGGGCAGGCAGGGATGGAGAGGAGAGGACAGGTCTGCAGAGGCTGAGAAGGTGTGGGCAGGAGAGCTGGGGTGGGTGTGGCTGGAGGTCATTGTGCTCACATATGAAGGGATGCTGGTGAGGGGTGGATTTCCTGCTCAGTTTAGACACGTAGAGTTTGAGGTGCTTTCAAGACATGCTGGAGTTGTGGGTTGGTGGGTGTAGAGATTGGCTGGGCCTCTGACGACATTAAGAGCCAGAGATGTCCTACCAGGGAACAGTCAGCAATATAAGGTAGTGAGCTCCCCGTCACTGAGGTGTGTAAGCTTGAGGACCAAGGCTGCTGTAGGAAATTCCTAGAGCAGCACCTGACTTATGAAGGCCCTTCCTGATTCTATGGAGTCGGGTGAGGCTGGAGGTGTCCGGAGCACCCTCTGACCTCCCATGTCACAGAGCTTCCCCCAACTCCAGGAAACCTCAAGTGCCAGTTCAGGGGGAGGTGGATGAAGCTATTCCTGGAAGAGCCCTGGCAAATGCCCCTTTAACCCAGCCCCCTTTCTTCATCCCTGTCCCGAGAGGTCACCCTTTCTGACCTGCCCTACAGGCCACCTTATCAGAGCATGACCTGGTGCTAAAGAGGTGCCTTCGCAGAGCATCTGCAGCCTGACAGAGGGCAGCGGGTGCAAAGTCCCTCTATGGCAGAAGCTCAGGACCCACAACAGCCTTTAGGGGCAGCAAGGTTCTCCTGCTGCAACCCAAAGAGCGGATAAAAAACCGAAGCGCCTGAAGGGAGGGGGTGGTGGGCAGGAGGAAGGAGCGTGTGGGCAGAGGGAAATGCCTGGACGAATGCTCAAAGGAGAATGACCCAGACTTGAGGAGGCAGGCAAGGCTGGGGTGGGAGTGAGGATGGGAAAGGGCCAAGGAGGCAGAGGCCCAGCCTACGTGGGCCCCAGCCATGTGGGGTTTCAGGAAAACCTACAATAGCCGCCAGGCAGGGAGACAGGGGCCCAGTGTCCCCTCAAAGGCCATGCCCAGCCTCTCTGGCAGGCAGTTCTGCCCCTTTGTGCTTGGCTGGCCCTTGCTCTTTGAAGGACCAGGAGAGCACCCCCTGCCAGCAGGCCCACCCCTTCCGCCACAGACAGCATCTCTGCAAGGAGGCCCCACACCCAGGGCTGTGGCTGGGAGAGCGGGAGTGTCAGCAGGGGCTGCTGCTGGGGCCTGCCAGTGGCCCAGACAACACCCAGCGCAGCTGGTGACCCCATCCACCCTAGTCTCCCCAGACCCAGGCCTCAGTTTCCCTTGGAGAAGCCTGCTGATTTCCCTCTGACTGAGGGCTCAATAGACTGTTTCTGGGAGGGGCAGAACCCAACCCAAAGAGGTGGGAGAAGGACTTCTGAGGCTTCCTGGAGGGCAAACCTCAGTTGATTTTGTTTTTGGAAAACAACAGCAAAAAGCCTGCTGCTTGCCCTTCTTCAAACCTCCCAGTGCACACGGAGACTTTTGTTGACATCTCACCGTGAGCTTCATCACTGCCCCTCAGCCCCTTGAGCACTGCTTGGGACCCGGGTAAGGGGGTCTGGGTTTCACTGTACAGGGAGCTCCAGGCACTGGGCCACACAGACTCTCTGTCTCTCTCTCTCTCTCTCTCTCTCTCTCTCTCTCATTCTCAGGGCCTGCCAGGTCCAGCCGCAGAACACGATCACCCGAGGAGCTCGTTAGACACTTACAGCCAGGCCCTACCCACAGACATCTGCAGCAGGTATTGGGAACAATTGGCCTGGCGTGTTTTGAAAGCTCCCCAGGCGATTCTAATGCAACCAGCATCACCCGTACAAGGGCAAGCCTTTGAGGACATCTGGATCAGTGAGAAGGAGGGGAGAGTAACTTTAAAATGTTTAGTTACTTCAGATCTTTTACCCCTCTCTGGCTCTAAAAGGGAGCATTCAGGCAGCTGATACAAACAGACAGACAGACAGTATACAGTAAGGTAGAAGAACAGCAAAGGCAGAGTGATCAAATAGGATCTGGGATCAAGGCTCATACAAAAGCCTTTGCCACTGGCTGAACCCTAGATTTGCTGCTATGCTTCCTAGTGGCCAGTTCAGAGTCCGAGAGACAAGAACAAACCCATCCACCCTGGGAAGCCCAAGCATTCCAGAGGCCAAGACTGGACAAGGGCTTCCCTCAGAGTACTCATCACCAAGGCCTGATGTAATTAGCAACTCTCATAATGTCTTTCTTACAACAAAGATGGTGGCACGGCCCTGACGCCAAGGCAGTTCAGTAAACACTGCCTCTGGGAGCCAAACCAAACTGAACAGATCCCCAGCCCCTGGCTGGTTTGACTGGCCTCAGCAGAGTTAGAGAGGTATGGTACTTCATACAGACAAGTACATCCTAGTGGCTGAGGATGCCAGCTCTGGGCCACACTGCCTGATTTCAAGGCCTAGCTATGCTACTCACTTACTGTGTGACCATGGGAAATTTGCTTAACTTCTCTGTGCCTCTATTCTCTCTTCTGTAAGAAGGGAATAGTAACAATAGTAACCACTTCATAGGATTATTGTGAGGATTTAGTGAATCAATAGATGTAAAGGTCTTTGAATAGTCCCTGGTACACAGTGTAAGTGTAAGCTCAATACACAGCGTAAACTCAATAAATATCAGCTACTAATAAAAGTTGTAGACAAGGTGCATGAAGCCCCATATTACCTCCTCCAATGATGAGCGAGGTGGCAATGGTTACAGTTGCCATTAGCCAAATGATTTCATTTAATCCTACAACAACCCTGTAAGGAGGATGTCATCATCTCCATTTTTCAGATTAGGGTACTGAGGCTCAGGTCACACAGTTAGTGGCAGGGGTTCAAATGCTATGGTGTTGCCTGCTTCACCATTTTGCCACCCCCCGACTCTGTAAAGAAAAACCTTGGCAGCCAGCTGGGGCAGGTAAAAATGAAGCTCCTGACCTTGGGAGTAGAGGATGGGAGGGGGTGGGTGCCCCCAGCTTCTCTGCCCAGTGGGGAACACATCACTGAGCCTTTCCTGCTCTCCCAGCCAGGACAAGGCATGCAGCCTGGACACACAGAAGTCAATCATCTCATCCTCTGCTGGTTGCTGAGAAACACCCCCTGAGCAAATGCTGAGCCTATTGCTGGGTCCAGGGCCGGGGACGCTGCGAGGAGAGCTGACTAATAAACCTTCCCCAGCCTCTAACAGGGGGACCTTACATCAACAGCTAATTTGTGAGAGCTGCGTATTATGTGCAAAGTCCTGGGCTAGAATTAATAAGGGACCCAAGACAGCATGCCTCTATCGCTGTCATCGGGTCATGTGTGGTCACATGGAGAGACCGTTGTACAATGTGGTTGGGTTGAACCATGAATGGCAAATGGATTTCCTCTTGTGCACTGACTCTAATGGACGGGAGCGGCAGCCTGGGTTGCTGTTCTCCGTGCCACTGGAGGACTGTGTCGAGAAGGATTCCGAGGCCTACCTAGGCTGAATGGGAAAGAGTGTATTGAGCGATGAGTAGTATCTGCTACCGTTTGGGATAAGGAAAGCCAACAACACATGCTATGTCTATTTTCCTTCTCTGAGCTAAATGTCTGGCACAACCTAGGAAGAGCAACAGGAAGTTGGAGCAGGGAGAGAGCCCACATTGGGTTGGAGTGGTTCGAGGAGGCTTTCCAGAGAGCAGTGGGGCAAGTCTAGAGTGATTAAGAAGAAGGGGAAAAGACATCTTTCTGGGAGTTATCAAACCGTAAAGCTGTGCTTAGGGCAGATGGAATGGTGTTTGAGATGCTTTTGGTTTTCCCCACCACCTTCCTATGAGGGTTGGCTGCCTCCTGAGGTCCTCAGTCTGTTCAGAGCTATCTGCTAGTTCGAAGACCTTTGGAGAAGCGGCAGAGCTCTAGTAATTCTCCCTGCCTTTATAGTAAGCACCTGTTATTAAAAAAACAAAATCTAGAGTTATGAAATAGCTTTTCGTCTTGAACACCAACCGTCACTAGTAAGTAGCAGCTTCCTGAACACTGTTGAAAAGGATTCTGAGGCTGCATGTAAGCTCCATGGGAAAGTGTGCAGCAATTGATTAATAATGTCTGCTGAGGGCCCTGGAATGGAGAGCAGGGCACACCCAAGCCATGTATGGGCCACTGCTGACCTAGTTAATTGTCTGGAAAGGGGAAGGTGTGGTGAAGGAGAGATGCCTGCTGGGGTCTGGATCCCACCCCTGACTCCTCTGGTACCACCTTGTGCTGGCTGCATTTGAGGAAACCTGGATCCAGAGTCTGTCCATATACTGAGGTCCAGTCAGCTGTGGTCAGCACAGGACACTGTGCACAGGTTACCCACCCTAGCACACATGTACATCCCCTTTAAGAGTCTCTTCCCATCCTCATCCCAGCATTTCAGTCCTAAAGGACCCCATCCACAGCCCCAATCTTTCAGCTGCTGCTTTGATCCCTCCCCTATATCTGTCCCCTACATCTCTTTGCCATTACTTTCAATGGCAAAAACTGAAATTACTTTTGCACCAAAATCACACACCGTATAAACATGAGACATGTTATTATAATTGTTGTTATTTTTAGGGATGAAGGAGTCTGCCTGGGGTTCCTTAACATTTTAGCTTGGAAGTTTCAACCACTTCCTCTCCCAGGAGATTCCTTAACATCCAAAGGAATGAATCACAGATAGTGGGAGGGAGGTACAGTGACATCAGTCTTCTCATCTGTAAAAGGGGGTGGTGTGAATGTCAGTCCCTTAGGGAAGTTGTGAGGATTGAAAGAGATATAGTGGTGACACGCATAGCATTGGCCCCTGTATGCACCCTATAACTACAGGACATTTCTATTACAGTTTCTGATGTTATTACTGGGGTTAGGGAGTCTACCTGGCATCTCTCAAAACTCACCTTAAAGGTGGCTGCTGAGACCCTCCTCTGCTTCCCCTTGGGCCTAGAAGATGGACTTGGCTCTTTATTTTAATTTTTATTTTTTGAGACGGAGTCTTGCTCTGTCGCCCAGGCTGGAGTGCAATGGCTCGATCTCAGCTCACTGCAAACTTCGCCTCCCAGTTCAAGCAATTCTCCTGCCTTAGCCTCCCGAGTAGCTGGGATTATAGGCACCCACCACCATGCCCGGCTAATTTTTGTATTTTTTAGTAGAGATGGGTTTTCACCATGTTGGTCAGGCTGGTCTTGAATTCCTGACCTCAGGTGATCCACCAACCTTGGCCTCCCAAAGTGCTGGGATTACAGGCATGAGCCACTGCACCCGGCCCAGCATTTGGCTCTTTTAAATTCCACTCCCTTCTCATTCACTGCACACGGCTGCCCAGTCCTAGGTGTCATCTGATTTTCTCCATTTGGGACATTCCAGCTTCTTTCTTCACAGCAAGCAAATCAAATAACAGGCAGCTGGAGTGCTCGTTAAGGGTCCCAGACCAGGAGAGAGGCGCTGATGGGGGAAGAGCTGGGGCCTGAGGTCTGGAAAGCACACTCCTGGTTCCCCACAGAGCTGGCTCCCGCCATCCTCCAATCCCGGCTCTGCACAACCCCCGTCATGGGCTGGTCCCCTCAGATCTGCCTCTGGCTCCCCTCTCAGGCCTCCTGTCCTCCTGGGTCCCCTTGGCCGGCCCTCCCTGCAGCTCCCTCTCCCTTCTGCCTCATACACGCAGTCTCTGCCCCCTCACCTGCTTTCCCCATTGGCATGGGAGTCCCACCCCCAGGCCATTGCACAGGCCGTGTGCCTCACCAGGCTTGCCCTCCCCAGTGTCCTTCTCCCATTCTTCAGGAAGTGGCCCAGTCCTGCCTGCTGCAAAGATTGCCTGCCCCAGATCCCTAAGGGCCCTCCCTGAGCACTCATCTGGTCTTGTGCATGGCCTTTGGTGATGGCACCTTTTAGTGAAGTCTCCGATCTGCCTCCAATCCCAGGAGGGAGGCAGGGCCTAGATTTAATGGAAGATGAACCTGAAGTGCAGGGGTGTAGCATGGCTTGCCTAAGGCCACAAGACTGGCAAAGCCCAGCTAGAATCCTGGTCTTGGCCTCCAAACTCACCAGATGCCTGTGTGTGCCCCATGAGGACAGGGACCTTCTGCACCTCCATTTTGGAGAATTGTTTTGTAACAAAACCATTTCCCCTCTCTTGTCTCTGAATTCTCCTGTCCTGTGGCAGGTTTTTGCCTGTCCCAATTTTCTGCCTTACCCATTGCTCTCCTCTGCCCTTTGCTCAGACCTTTGCTCAGACCTGGGAGAACACACCTACACAGGGAAAGGCCCAGGATGGTCCCCTCAAGTTGCTTTGCAGGCCCAGAAGCTGCTCGTAGCACAGCGCTGGCCAATAGAACTTTCTGCGAGGATGTACAAGTTCTTTCTCTCTACTGTCCAGCTCCATAGTCCCTAGCTGCAGTGTCCACTGAGCACTTGAAACCAGGCTGTTGCAACAGACAAGCTAAAATTTAAATTTTATTTAATTTTAGTTAGTTTAAATATAATGAGTTGCATATGACTAGCAGTTACTGTATTGGACAGCCCAACCCTAGGGTGTCCCTCCAGGAGCACAGACAAGGCCCCCACAGATAAGGCCACTCACGCCATCCACCTGTGGGACAGCTCCCTTCCTCTGGCTCCAGCATCTTCCCCTATTGACCTCAGCCACCATTTCCAGTCACCCCTCTCTGACCCTACTTTTACCCCCATTCATTGTCCCCTCTGGCCTGCAGCAGCCTTCTGTTTTTGGCCTTACTGCTTTGCCAGCCGTAAGCACTCACTCTAGGGGCATAACTGCCTTCCTGAAAACCCTTCAATGGCTCCCCATTACTCTTATTTAGATCTAACTTTCTCTAAGGCCCCTCTTGACCTGGGCTGCCCGTCTCTCTCCAGCCACATCTCCTACTTCCTCACACTCCCAGTCCTCCGGGGTCCTGGACTTCCCCCAGTTCTCCCAATTCCCTCTGGCCCCCAGCCTCAAAGGCTGTTCCGTTTGTCCCCTTAGAACAAGGCTTCACACTCGCCCGCTTTTGCCTGGCAAACTCCTATTCATCCTTCAGCTCTTCATTTGAAAATCATTTCCCTAAGGAAGCCTGCCATGACTGCCACCACCATCAGACAATGTTGCATGTAATGCATTCCCCAGGCCCCTCTCTTTTTTCACTATTGTAGCTTTTTTTTTTTTTTTTTTTTTTTTTTTTTTTTTGCACACGACATGGTCACTGCCCATTTTCTTCTTTGTGCACTACTTCCCTGTATGTAAGTTTAGGAGGGCAAAAGTGTCTCCCACAATGCCTGACCCGCAGCAGGCTCTCAGTAAACATTTTCTGAATGAATGAATGAGAATAGGCCAAAAAAAAAAAAAGGTGGCAGGATACAGCGCAAAGAACATTGTATACAGGGCCAGGAGGCTGAGGTTCTAGTCCTGGGCCTCGCCATGTGACTCTGGGCTCAACTTCCCCATCTGAAAAATGGGGTTCAGTTCAGATGCTCTCTGGGATAACTTTCATATCTAGCAGTTGAAAAGATTGTATTCAGTAGGGTAAATATGGAGCTGCAGCTTGGAGGGAAGGAGTGAGCATGTCGGATACAATAGTTAGCCCCAAGGCCCCTAGAGTATGCGACTTGGCATGTCTAAGTCTGAAGCAGTGGAAGCAAGAAGCTAGAAAAGGCCAGGGCATGGTCAGGCCAGCAGGAAGGTCTGGGAAGGGGAAAGCATGGAGAGAGGGGCTGTGCTAAACCCTGAAAATCAGATGCTTATCCCTCAGCAGCCAGGACCCCCGAGATACCTGGAGGAGCTCTCACTGCCCTGACACCTTCTTCACCACCCAGCCAGTCTGGGCTCATTCTGCCTGAGCCCAGAGATGCTGCACCTCCACCCCAGGCCCAGGGAACCATGGACGGCCCGATGGAGTTCTCCGGATTCCCTGGAGCCTGGCAGGGCGTGGGAATGAGCTGACAGCAGCAGTCATGGGTGCACCACTAGCACCAGTACGCTTGCCCTGTGACCGCTCTCTCTGCTCTGGCCCTGCAATCTCCTCCTTGGCCACCCTGGAGAACTGCTCCAGCAGGTGCCAGCCTGGCAGGGGCAGCTGAGAAGAGCCTGGCTATAGGGAATAGGTACATCTTGCCAAAATGCTCACAGCACCCCACCCACCACAGTTAGAGCTGTGCTCCAGTGTTTGCTACATCAGCACTGTTTCGCATGTTCAGAGGGGTTGGAGCGTTTGTCCCAAGCTTCCAAGTAGCAGAGTGGGGATAAAAACCCAGGGTTGCTGGCCTCTACCACCGTGATCTTTACTGCTGCACACTCCCTCCAGCTAAGTAAGATATCCTCTCCCATTTCTTCCCCATGGAAACCTTCCATGGCCAGGACCTTCCATGGCCAGGACCTGCTCCAGGACCTCTTCCCAGACTGCTGCGGCCCCCACCTGCCTGTCCTCCTCTCTATCTGGGCCCTGAATCCCCTGTGCTGTCCAGATTCCCACAGATCATCAAGCCTCACCCTGTCAAGGCCCAGCCTTTCCTCTGGTGGCACAAAGAGGCTGCATGTCCCTCCTTCCTGGGGAGGGGACAGCCTTTTCCTGTATTCCGAAGATTGCCATAGCTACCTGACACGCTAGTAGTGTTTAATCTACTTGGATCAAAAAAATTTGGAGAATGGAAGAAAGCATCCTTTCTCCAGAAAAATAAGAAACCTGGTTTAGGAAAAAGAAGGTGTGGACTAATTTGTGGCCAAGGACAGCAGAGCCAGGCGACCCACACTTGGACCCTAGCGGCCTGGGCCAGTGAGCAGAGACCAGGGCACCACCCCCTGCAAGAACTGTCCCCTCTCCCCGCACCCCCCGGGTCCTTAAGGGGTGGAGGGGGAGGGCCATGGGGGCTCAGTAAGCCTCGGCCTGGGCCTCTGGGCGCGCTTGCCGCTGCGCGGGCGCGGGGCGGCTGTCACACCACCCTGGCCGGGTCCCGAAAGGGAGGAGTGGAGCTTGCCCGCCTCCGCGAGCCTCCGCGCGCCCAGCCTTCCTCCACCTGCCCGGCGTGCCCAGGGCGCTCCCAGCGCTGGAAGCCGGGGGCGCTTGCCCGAGGCGGGAGTCGCTGGGTCATGCTCTTGCCCACCAGGTCCTCCGAATCCCTGGTAGGGCAGCGTCTGTCCGTGTCCCCGACCCCTCCCGCAGGCAACTCGCGCGAACCTGGGGCTCGCAGAGAGCGAGCGCCCGCGGACACCGGCTGAACAGTCTGGAGGCTGCGCGAGGGGGCGCCGCGGGGAGGGATAAAAGCCAGCAACAAAGAGCACAGACCTCGTCCAGCAGTTGATTGACTCGTCCCAAAATAGCCGTCTCCATTTGCTGCTCCCCGCGCTCCGCTTCCAGGCGCAGCACCCGGGCCTGCAGCTCGGCCGTCCGAAAGTGGGCGAGCAGGCTGAGTGCCAGCGAGCAGAGGGCCAGCGTCAGCAGCCCGCACGACCCTGGACTCGGCAGCCGTGCGCCGCGCTCCGCCCGCGCCGCCACCAGAGCCACCGTCCCGGGCGCGCCCAACTCCCCAGGGCCGCGGGCACCGGTGGCTGCCGCTTTGTGGGTGCGCTCCGCTACCATCCTCTCGCGTCTTGAGAACCAATAAATAAATAAATAGAATAAATAAAGGCGACAGCCGCTGCCAAAAGGCTCTATCCAAACTGCGGGGCAGGGGGAAAGGGCTTGTATCGCTGGAAAACGTCCCTTTCCGCTGCTCCCGGCAAAGAGGACGGAAAAATTAGCAGTAGGAGAGGAAGTGCCGAAAAAGCACAACCAGCGGTAATTGGGGTACACCTAGGTGAGAAAAAAGTTATTTCGAAGAACGTTCCAAGTCCAGGAAAGTTAGGGGAATCTGACCGGCTCTCCTTCTCTCCGCCCAGTCTTTCCCTTCAAGTGTCTGCAGAGCAGTTGGTGCCGCGCTGTCAGTCCTTCTGGGCGCCTCGTGTCTCCCGGGCCAGTCAGTTTCAGTCCCCGGGCGAAGGGGCGCACACGGAGGGCCCCATGGGCAGAGGTGGGTCGTGGCGGCTGGCGAGGAGCGCAGGGGCCGATTCCGGCGCCTCTGTAACTTGACACACTCCCTGCGGCGGCACGGATCGGATGAGCAATCCGTGCTACTTCCCAAACTAATCTCTCCCTCCCCCCTCCCTCCTCCTCCTCCTCCTCGTCACTCCTCCTCCACCTCCCGCGGGGCCGACGGCTTGGATTTGTTTATTTATGCAAACTCGCCCAGGGTGGGGGGCGTGGTGAGCAGGTCCGGCGGCCCCAGCCCGCCGGCCCGGGAGCCCCTCTGCCGCGCTCCCCGTCCTCTTTGAAGTGACACTTGGGGTTATTTATAGGCAGGAAGGGGGTGTGGAGTGGAGCTGGCGCTGCACTTCCCTCTCTTTCTCCGGATTCACACCGAGGGCTCGTTTGGCCTTCCACGGAGGCGGTGAGGCGGGCACCACCTTCCATGGACGCGTTGGGGCAGGCACCACTCCACCTTTCCCAGCCCTTGAGACCCTCCAGGAACTCGACTGAGTTATTGTCAGGGCTTGTGGGTGGATCTCCACGTCCTGATCAGGACTACCTGATCCCTTCAGCCACCGCTCCTCTACTCCCAAGCCCCCAACCTCTTTCCCCTTCCTTCTCCCCCGACAACCGACTCCCCGGGGGCTCTGTACCTCCTGAGATCTGCAGCTCCTCCAGTGCCGGGCGGCCAACCACATCTTTACTCTGGGGTGAAAAGTCAGCCCTCCAGGGGGCAGCAGAGCTGGCAGCCCTTCCTCTCAGGACCAAGACCTGAGGTAGTATGAGACACTGAAAACGGAGGAGATCTTATTCCAGGTATCTGAGAGGTGGCTCATTGGGGCCGCCTGCCAGTCCTGACATCTCCCCTTCTTGCCTGCCATTAATCTGAGACCCATGCCATCTATCCCTGTGTGGTGAGACCAGCCTGCCTCAATCATCCCAGTCATCAAAGGTGAGCAATTCCTACACAAACTCAGGTTCCATCCCTGCGGGAGGCTTAGGGCTAACCAGGCTCTCTCCTGTTGTCATTTCCTATATTCCACTAGAGAAAAACTGGTGGCCTGAAGGGCATTTGGTAGTTTTCTCTCTTCTCTTGTCACCTCCTCCACCCCCCACATTAAGTAGCATTTGTATCCCAAGAGACTTTATCTCCTTGTGCCTGTTGACATTCCTGTGAATGAGGTGGTGGGACTGAGTTTTTGGGAGAAAGCCTGTCTTCCTGGAACAGCGGGCAGAGGAGAGTAGACTGGGTTTTCAAATATGCAGTGGAGGTGGGGGCAGCAGTGGTGCTGGGATTCCATTTCAAAATAACAAGGCATGCCAGTACAAACTTCCCATTTTCTATATTGACCTGATGGAACTTGATATATAATACAGTGTCACTGCACTTCTAATAAAGTGTGGCACACTTAATAGTGCATATTGGACTTGTAACATAGTAAGTACTGAGATCATATGTAATAAAGGTAACATTGACTGCTGGGCCAGTCAGCCACTATGGAGGACAACAGGAATAGAAGGCGATGCTGCTGAAAGAGCCCGTGGCCAGGAGCTCTGGGTTCCAGTTCCAGTTCTAGGATTCTCCTGATGGCTTCAGTGGCAAGGGCACTCTGTTTTCTCCATCCCTGTGATGGGATGTCCCAGTCCACTCTACAGAGGAATGAATCCTTGGGAGACTTGGATGGTATTGAAGAACACCAGGGGGCGTTGGAGAGTTTCTGCACTGGGAGGTACAGGCCAGGAAATTCAGGGACTTTGGACTTCCCCCACTCCCCTCCCAGGCTAGTCTGAATGGAGGAACTGAGGTGGGGAGTTAGTTTCATTCCCTCCTTATTCTGCAAACTGATCTTTTCCCTTTCAGGACTTTGGAGGCCCTCAGGAATGCTCAGGCAGTGAAATCTAAACAGTTTGGAGCTGGAGCATCCTTGTGATTGGGAACTGAAAGAGGAGGGTGTTGCGCTAGCCTGACCTGGCCCCAGCATTGCAAACCCTGGAGCTTCCAGGGGGACTCTGGAGTCAGAGAAACCTGGGTGTAAATCTCCCTTTTGTCAATGTGGAAGCTGCTGAACATCTCGGAGGCTCAGTTTTCTCATTTGTAAGATGGGCTGATAATAAAAGTATCTACCCGTCTGGAAGGACTGAATGAGGTAATGTATGTAAAGCAGTGAACACAGTGCTGGCACAGGGCAGGCACTCAATAAAGGGCATCGGCTCCTTCTTTGGAATTCATGGCTGCTAGGGCCATCTCAGACACAGCTAGCTCTGGGCTCCCAGTTGTGAAACAGGAAGAAGTTTCCATCCCAGAGAAAGCAAATGGATCACAGTTAACCTCCATTTTTTCCCTACCTGACAGCTGAGAGTAGCAGCTTGTGAGCAGCAGGAGTTAGCTTGTGTTGAGGGGCCTGATCCCCAGGTATCCCTCTTCTTCTTCCCACACTGCTTAGAATTCTTGCCCTGGGAGATTTTTCTTTCAGGTAGAGCATTGTCTACCCCAGGCACAAGTTACAGCCTCATGTGGCTTATCTTGAACCCTTCTTTCTTCATAGGTGGGGGCCAGGACCTGGGGACACTGAGGTGAAAAGAGTGCCTTCCAGGAGCTTTAAAAACAGTTGATTAAGGAAGACAAGTCATGTTCACATAAAACCGCCACAAAAGGCAGAATAGCGAAAATCCACAAAACATGTAAAGACCACAAAAGGTGCTTCAGGGCTCCCAGAAGAAAGGGGGGGGATTCAGATGCCTCAAGAAAAACACCAGGAAATAGATTTTCTTGTTTGCAGTAAGAAGAAAGAGGGCCTCCAATGCTAACCCAAAGACTTTGATTTTAAACTGTGGTCTTGGTTACACACCTAGACAAAAATGAAGAAAAAATGCCCCAGGCATACAGCCTCTACTGTTCTTCAAGTCTTTTCTGTGTTTTTCCACTTTTTTGCTCCTGCTAGACCCTCTGCCAGGAAGGCCACCCTTCTCTCTCCTGTTTTCTACACCTTAAAATCCTGTCATTTGCTCCCAGCCCGTTTTTATTGAGCAAACCCCACTTCTCTTCCTCCACTGTGGCTTTGACAGCATCAAAATCCTTCCTGAAACCAAAACTACCAGCGTGGCATCTCTGAGGCCCCACTGTGCTGTCTCCCACTGCCTCTTCCACTGCCTCTCCCACCAGCTTTTCAGGCTTCCCCAAAGACTCAGCTTCTGCTCCCCATGACAAAAGCGAAGGTCAGCCCTCCTCCAGAAGGCCGCAGGTCCTCTGTCCTCTACTTGGCTCTTCTGCCCATGGCTCTTGACCTGCCTCTCCCATTTCTTCCCCATGGAAAGCTTCCATGGCCAGGACCTGCTCCAGGTCCCCTGTAGAGGCCACAGGGGAGCCAACACCTGTCATTTTATTTGCCCTGAGCCTAGTCCCCCTATTCCTAGTAACTGTGACTCAATTTCCTTTGGGGAACTTTCTTCTCCCCAGGACATATGGCTCTGGTGGAGTTAACTCCATACCTGGCATATGAATAGGAAGTAACCTCACCAGTTGTCCTCTCTCATCTCCCCTGGCTACTGTGACTAGGTCAGAGAGGACATGTGGCCCAGTTCAGGCCAGTGAGAGTTGGGCTGGAGTGACTGGGAGCTACAGCTATTTCCTTGGAAGGGCTTTCTAAAGGGATGAGCTGGAGCTGCCGCAGGTGTCTTGCCACTGTTGATAAATGAGGATGAAGCCAACACGGAGGCAAACAGAGGTGGAGAGTGACTGAGTCCTGAAGACATCACCGAAACCCTTCAATCAAATTGTGCCAGAAGCCCGGTGACAGGAGTCCTTTCAGCTCCAGCCAGTTTGAGTTGGGTTTCCTTTCTTGTAAGTGTAAGAGCCCAGTCACATATAGGGCCTCAGGCTACCTTTCTGAGTCAGAATCTCTTTGTGGTTGGTAGGAAGAGATGGCAGGGAAGTCCAGGTTCCTGTCTGCTTCTAAAAACTTCCCAAGGGATTGGGAGGTCCATCCAGGGAAGAGACTGGACTGAGCGCTCGCCTTGGGAGAACTTGTCCATCGTAGGCTCCAGTTTCTATCTCTCTGTGGACAACTCTCCCACTCAAACACACAGTTCATGTCCCACGCACAGCTTGCTCGTGGTAGCTCTTGGAACACCCCTCCCCTCCACCTCACACTCAGCTTCCTCACACCCTCCCTGCCCTTTGTTCCCTCGGTGCCAGGTATGGCATCACCCTGTGCTCAGCCGGGATGTTTGCTTTCTCCCCTGCCCTCCCTTCCCTCACTCACTTGAGTAGGGACTAGTCCTGGAGATTCCACCTCCTTCCCTTTTTTTTGGATCTGTTCCTCCTCTCTGACCTCTCTGCTTCTGTTGTCTGCCCCAAGCCTAAGGTTTTTCTTGTTTTTTGTTTGCTTGTTTGTTTTGAGATGGAGTCTTGCTCTGTCATCCAGGCTGGAGTGCAGTGGTGCAATCTCGGCTCACTGAGGCCTCCACCTCCTGGGTTCAAGCGATTCTCCTTCCTCAGCCTCTCGAGTAGCTGGGATTACAGGCATGTGCGACCATGCCCGGCTAATTTTTGTATTTTTAGTAGAGATGGGGTTTCACCATGTTGGTCAGGCTGGTCTTGAGTTTTGATCCACCTACCTCGGCCTCCCAAAGTGTTGGGATTACAGGCTTAAGCCACTGTGCCCAGTCCAAGCCTAGGTCTTTAAACAAACCCAACTTTCCCATATCGTAGCTAGAACAGGCAAAACCACGGAGGTGTGGACGGGGACCTGCCAGAGCCTCCCCAAGGAGCTCCAGACTTTCTGTTTCTTACTTCTGTCCCAGGCTTTATGATCCCTGGCATGACACTCAGTTTTCTAGCTCTGCTTCTGACTCCTGCATCAAGCAACAAGACAGAAGGGTACCTGGGCCCCTGACGGCTTCGTGGAGTCAAGTTGCCAAACAAGCCTAGACTTTCACATAAATGAGAAATAATTGAGTTCATTTGAGCCGCTGTTATTCTGGGTCTGTCTTCTGTAGCATAAGCCACATGTGACTGTGACTTGCATCTGTCCCCTCCTGAGCTGTGAGTTCCCAGGGGGCAGGGATGACTGTACTCATCCCCATATCCTCAGCATTCAGCACAGCATAGATGCCCAAGGAATGGTGGAGTGAAGGAATGAGTGAGCGAATGATGGAATGAATGGATGGATTCTAGCTCTGGCTCTCTCCTAGCTCTGTTACCTAAGGTGTGCATCTACTCATCTACTTCTTCTTATATAACATGTAGAGATTGATGGGCAAGGGAGGAAAGGAGAAGTGGAATGGCTAAGGGCCTTCCCAGCTCAAAAATCCATTCATTCAACAAGTATTTACGGAGTGCTGTCTAGTGCCAGGCTCTGTGCTGGTGTTGGAGACACAATCGTAAATGAGACAAGGCTGGTGGTGAGGGCCAACCCTGAGAAGCACTACCATGCAGGAAATAGTGGGAGCGTAGAAGAGTAGCCCCTACTAGGCTTGGGACATAAGACCTGAAGGGTGAGTAGAGTGGCCAGGTGAATGGGGTATAGGGAAGGCATGCCAAACAGGGGAACCTACCTGTGCAAAGGCCTGTAGGTGAGAAAGTGCATAGTGCTTTGGGGAAGCCAAGTGGTTCACCAAGGCTGAAATGTGGAGTGCAGAGGAAAAGGACTGAGGGCTTCTTCACTCTCCTGTTTTCTGCACCTTTGGGTGCTTATGGTTTCAGGCCGTGAGTGACCATGTTCACGCGTGTGTGTGTGACTCCCATCTGCCATCAATGTAAGATTTTGGGGTGTGTACATGCCTTTTCTGCTCTTGTGTTTTGCGACACAGAAGATCGTGCACATTTCTGCACACACAGTCAAGCAGGCATATGTAGGGGAGTGCAAATGCTGTGGGTTACCAGGGCTGCCTCAAGGTACACATGAGTTGGCTCCAAGCCATTCCCTGTGTGTGTGTATGAGTGTTTGTGTGCGTTGGCAGAAAGGGAAGTGTGCTAAGCTCTATGTATGTAATCTACTTTGGTTGAGATGCATATACAAGAGCATGTAGGTGCTTCTGAATGGTCAGGACTCCAACCATGTCTAGGAATGATGGTAGCCATAACTAGGGACAATATATCAGTCATCTATAGCTGCATAACAAACTGCTCCAAAACTTAGTGATTTAAACAATGATTTATTATTTCTTATGATTCTGTGTATTGACAGGGCTCAGCTAAAAGGTTCTTCTGCTTCAGGTAGTATGGCTATAGTCTATCCTGAGCCAGCATGGTCAGGACCCCAACCATGTCTAAGAATGATGGTAGCCATAACTAGGGACAGTATGTCAGTCATCTCTAGCTGCATAACAAACTGCTCCAAAACTTAGTGGTTTAAACAGTGATTTATTATTTTTTATGATTATGTGTATTGACAGGGCTCAGCCAAAAGGTTCTTCTGCTCTAGGCAATATGGCTATAGTTTATCCTGAGCCAGCATGGGGGCTGGCTTTCATGAGGAGTGTTCCAAGACTGCTTATCATGCCTCTGCTTGTGCGACAATTGCTAATGTCTCATTGGCCAAAACAAGTCACATGGCCAAGCCCAGAGTCATGTGGGAAGAAACTAATCAATGTCATGAATACCAGGATGTAAGGTCCACAAATGTAAGTGTTTACCTGAGCAAGAATGAATGCCTGGTAGGGTGGGCTACTGGATCTGTCTAGAGGATTATTTGACCCTGAAAAGTAGGATTTGGGGAATGTTGTGGTTAGCAAAGCCCATGCCCAGCTGTCAACCCCAGTGCCCAGATGCTGCCCAGACCCACTGTCTTTTGTTGACTTCTTCCAGGAGCAGCTGGAGGTACTAAGCAGCCCATATCCCTCTGGACCTGGATGGTTTGAGAGTAATTCAGCAGAAATCTCCTACCTGGCACCTACCTTGCCTTATTCCAAGGCCAGGTGTAGATGGCTCTGAAACTAATTTTCTATTCACTTGGAGGCTATTTCAGGTAGTTTCAGGTTCTGGCTCCATTGTGTGCTCCCTATGTGACTTTGCAAATTATGTGGCCTCTCTGCATCTGTTTTTTAAAGCATGAACTATAAGGAGAAGAATTCCTATCTCCTAGAGTTATTGTGAGGATTGGATGCAATAGTGGATGCAAAGTGCTGAGTCAGGACTAGGTTCATGGAAGCCAACCTTGACATTGTAATAACTGTAGAGACTGGGCATGTACAATAAAAACCAAACAGGGGTTCTTGCCTCCTCTCAAGCCCTGTGTTCTGGCAGTGGAGAGGAGGGCTACTGCTTGCCCATTTGCACGGTCTAGGTCATTGATATAAATTAGTCTGCATTTATTATTGAGCCTCCTAGTGGGAGCAAAACCCAGAGTTAGGTACTCACAGAACTCACAGTCCTGAGGGGCATCTGTGGGGACTTATGTGTGCAGAAGAAAGAACAGCAGTGCCAGGCAGCATAAGCTGAAGGCCAAACAAGTAGGCAGATGATTAGTGCCTTGGGACTCAGAGAAGGGAAGTGGGTGGAGACTTAGAGTTGAAGTGAAGGTTCAGGAAGGCTTCCTGGAAGAGGTGAATTCTAAGCTGGTCCTTGGAGCATGGCAGGATCCAGACAAAGAAAGGGACTGGGAGAATAGAGCAGAAGTTCCAAGGTTATGTGGTCCATCCTTGCCTGGGTGCATCATGTGACCTCCTGAACCCCAATAACCCCAAACACCTGACCTTCCATTCTTCTTAAGTGGTATGGTCTGGTCGTGTTTCACACACATGCCAATACTTCCCATGCCACTGGCAGACATCACTAATCAACTACAGAACACCACTCCCACCATACACACACACACACACACACACACACACACACACGCACACACACACACAATCCCTTATGCCCCTCAAAGCAGAAAGCTATTATCAATCTAGTGAGATTAGTACTTGAGATGAAACCATTTTGCTGATTCAGTTTGAGTTGAAACAAAGCACCAGAAGCTTTGCTTCTTTATCTACAAATTGTGTGCCTTTTGGTAAATGCCTTAACCTCTCTGGAACCTTCTCCTGCCCAGGCAGGGGAAGATGAATTCTTACTTAGGGGAATGCTGGAAGACTCAAATGAGATCATGTGTGCAAAGCCCTAATCAAGTGCAAAATACAGAAGAGATGTTGGTGATGGTCGTGCTGCAACCAGGCATCAGAAACCACAAGCAAATGCAGCCATTAGGGCCTGATTTGCAGCTTGCTGGAGAAAGAACAATCGGTTAAGGAGTGAGAGTGAAACACAGACCCTCAGAGCTGTCAGTCCATGGAAACAAGGGCTCAGAATCTAGGCCTCAGAGTTAGTGGAAGGGCGCCCCAATTATGTGCTCGGAGAAGGACGCAGGACTTGAGCTCTCCCTGACAGGCAGGAAGAGCTGTCGGAAAGGTGGGCAACTGCAGTTTAAGAGACAGATGTTTCTGGTTGATGACCGATGGATAATGAAGAGCCCAATTAGTTTACTGATCCAGATCCCCGCTTACCAGAATTTGAGGTATGCAAGTTATAGCATTGTGTCTCTGCTCTCTTTCCTGTCCCCCAACCCTCTGCCCGCCCCCACCACTGTGGAACTCTTGGTCTTGACCACAGAACTCAGTAGTCAGATCTTATCTTAGGGGCTACTCTCCTGGTTTGAAGTGTGGGGCACCCCCACCCCTTGCCCAGAAGGACCTTTGTCAATCCTCCAAGGCTCCACTAGTATGTGGCATCTGCAGAAACTGAATACAGAGAGGTCAGAATGTGGTCCAAGGTTACCCAGCATACTAGTGGCAGAACCAGACCTGCCACTCAGGGCAGGTCTTTTCCCTGCCAGGCAACTCACAGCCCCCAGGTTCAGGCTCAGCCCATTGTCTGGACTGTGGCCAAGGGCCAGTTAATCCACAGGAGGTTTTGCACTCATGACTGAGCTCTTCTCCCTCCAGCTCTTTCCCCAGCAGTAGCTGTGAAGGCAGAACCACCTGAAACATTTGTTCCCATAAACCTCATTACAAAGGCCATTTTTTTCTTTTCTCTTTTTCCTAAAAGCTGTTGCTTTGTTAAGGTCATTTCTGAAATGGGGAGGGATGCCCTGTTTATCTTTCCCGTACACTCCACCCCCATCAGGAAACGAGGGGTCTTGCTTTCCTTGAGTGCTCTGTTCCTGACATTAGCTAGCTGCTGACAGGCAGGTCTATGGATATATTAACTTGGGCCTTTCCGAGACTTTATTAGGCTCTAGGACAACGTCTAGAAACAGATGTTTGCTCAGAGGTGGAGCAGGAGTAGGGGGAATAGAGCCAAAAGCAAGTCCCAGCCCCCGAGGGAACAGGGCAGATGTGCTGAGGGCTCTGGTAGAGCACAGGGCAGTGGGCTGGGGTGGGAACTTTGTGAGTATGAAGGAATGGCTCCAGTTCCTGGCTGGGCACAGGCAGCTATTTGCCAAGTGGCCTGGCCATCACAGCACAGGCTTGTTAGCTTCCAAGGACTCTGGGTCTGTTCAGGGCTTAGGGCCAGTGCTGAAGAGGTGCCAGATGCTGCCCCTACAGCTTCCCTCTTTGCTCCCATCCTGTGGCCAAGGACTAGAAGTCTAGCTCCTTGAACAAGTCAACTTTCTTGTTTCCAGAGACAGTAAATTCCTGCAGGGCTGGAGATTTCTTCAAACTCATATTTGTGTAGTTCAAATGTGAAGTTCAAGGCTGGGCACATTATAGTTCTCAGAAAAAGAGTGATGATGGTGGCGGTGGTGGTGGTGGTGGTTATAGTGGTGGTGATGGTGGTGGTGATGGCAGTAGTGGTGATAATGATGCTGGTGGTGGTGGTAGTGGTGGTGATGCAGTGGTGGTGGTGACGGTGGGTGGTGGTGATGGTGACGGCAGTGGCAGTGATGGTGGGTGGTGGTGGTGGTGGTGATAGTGATGATGATAGTAATGATAGTAGTGGTAATGGTGGTGGAGGCGGTGATGGCAGTAGTGGAGATAATGGTGGTGGTGATGGTGGTAGTGGTGGTGATGGTGGTGGAGATGGTGGTGACGGTGGTGGTGGTGGTGATGATAGTGATGATGATGGTAATGGTGGTAGTGATGATGGTGGTGGTAGCAGTGATGGCAACAGTGGAGATAATGGTGGTGGTGGTGATGGTGGTAGTGGTGATAATGGTGAGGTGGTGATGGCAGTGGCAGTGAGGGCGGTGGTGGTGATGGCAGCGGTGCTGGTGGTGGTGCTGGTGATGGTGGTGAATGGGATGTATGTCAACGTAAAGTAGAGTACTCACCTGTTCACCAAGTTTCCCCCAGTTGCCATGTTTTTACTAGGCACACGACCAAGCAGGGTCAATCACAGAACCACACATTTCTAGCCACTATGATTGGCCCAAAGGATGGCCAAGTGAAACCAACCAGGGACTTCCATTAGAATTTTTCAATCAGAGCTTGGGAGATAGAAATTCTTTTGCTTTTGAGTCACTATGCAGCTGTGTATAAATCCATGAAGCTCACATAGACAAGAGTTTGTCTGCAGAAGAGAATAAAATTGACTCTGGAGAGAAGTGGAGATGAGAGATGGAGAAAATGAAAGCTTTCTGTTGGTGTTTGAGTCCCTTGGGCACAGTCATCCCTCGGACAGTCTCACCCTTTCTAGTTTAGATCTGTGAACTACAATCCTTTCCATCTCTTTTCTTAAGTCAGTGGACTTGGATTTCCGTTACTTACTACCAAAGGGTTCTGTCTGGCCCTGAGCATAGGTGATCTTGAAAGTGCAAAGATGATCATGTAAGAGAGATCCTAACAGTGACAATGGCTGAGAGGAAGATGAAAAAGGTGAAGGCAACATCAGTGATGGAGGTGGTTGTGGGATGGGATGGTGTTGCTGCTAACAGAAGTGATGGTAATCATGGTTTAGATTAAATGGTGGCATTGATGGATGACATTGGTGATGATGTCACATTGGTGGTGTGATTGGTAGTGAGGATCATGAAGATGCCAAGGCTTTGCCAGCCTAGAAACACAGGCCCAAACGACCCAAGAAAGGACCACCTAGAAAGAGAGAACAAATTCTTCCAAGATGGCAGGTGCTGGTTCTTTTTTAAGCTGGGTAACTCCTAGCTAAACCTGGACCTGGAGGGGTAGAAGGACCACAGGTGGTATCCCATAGAGCTTCAGAATTATATTGAAACCTTCCGGAACAGAGAGACCTGGGGTCCCTAACCCCATCAGGTCCTTTTGAGAATTCCAAGTGCCTCTAGTCAAGAGGAGTAGCCAGGTTCAAACAACAGGCAAGATGAACTTGGGTGTAGGGGTTGCATTTTTGGTCAGTGGGAGAACAATCATAAAAAAGCACTGTGTCTTATGTCTGACCATTTACACTTCAGCTGTGTATATCTGTGAATATTTGTTCACCGTGGTCTACTTGGTGAAAATGAGTCACTTCTGGAGAATAATAATAACTAATTTTTGTTAAGCGTTACTATGGACTGTTCTAAGTGCTTTACTATACACATCATCTCGCAAGATGAAATCTGCACGAGAGTAGGTATTTCTATTTCCCCATTTAACAGATGAGAAAAACCAGGTACAGAGAGGTTAGGTAACTCACCTAAGGTTACACTGTTAGGAAGGGAGGGTGGGAAGCGAAGTGGCCTGGGCCCTGGATCCCACCTCCAAGTCACCACAGTTATGGGAAACTGCCTCCGCCACCCCCACAGCAAGGCTTTTGATCCAACCCCTTGCTCAGGGGCCTCCTCTTTTATACCCTGCTACCCAAAAGAGCATTTTCCATAGGAAAGCTTGCGGCCAAGAGGGAGGAAGAAAACTTCTGTGCATCCCACCAAAGAAGCTAGGGGGTGGACTGGTCCTAGCATCCCTCATGTGGAGAGAAGAAAGGCCCCCTGCCTCTTCCTTGGGGTACAGTCTGTCCTCCCACACAGTGGGCTCCTGCTGACAGTAGTGACCACAGAGGTCCAAGATTCTGCCACAATAGAAGACTATAGTTATGACTTTGCAGTCAGTCAAGCCTGTGCGTAATTCTTGCTTTACCAGCCTGGACTGGTAACTACTTCTCTGAGACTGGATTTTCTCACCTGTAAAATAGAGACAATGAAAGCTATTTCCTTGGGCTATCATAGAATACTTTGCACAGTATTCAATTTGCAAAGCTCCTAGCCCAGTGCCTGGTGCAGGGTAAGTGCCTGATAAATGTCAGTCACTCTTATTGTAGTAATATTTTAATTATCTGGAATTCAGCTCTCCTCTTCGTCATTCTCCTTCACATCCACGAGCAAGATTTCTGTTCTGCTTAAAGGAAAGAGGCCTAGGAGGGAAGAATCAAATGGCAAAAGAAACCCAGACCCAGCTTTCACAGTAGGAGGGTCAGTATTGGCCCTTGAGCTTTCTCCCTCCCCCAGAAGTTATATATCCCTGTGGCTGGATTTTTAAAAATAAACACATGCCATTTCCACAATGGAAAGTTTTCTTTAAAAAAAAAAAAAAGAAAGAAAGTAAAACATTCCCCTGTTGTCTCCCTTGGCCAAAGAGAATTACAAAAGATAAATTAAGCCTTTTACACAGACGCACCAAGTTCCAGCTCTGGGGTTCCACCCTGTCACAGTTCTGGCTTTGTTGGAGGCTCCTGCAGCCCCTGGAGCCCCCTTCTCCACTGCCCGTGGGAGACCCATGGGGGATCCACTGTGGGAATATTGTCTTCTGTTAGAGGAGGGGTGTCCTAACTCCCCAATTTTAGGGCTTTTCTTCTCAGTGGTGCCCCCTTCAGGCAACCAGAGCAACTGCACTTGCTAACCCTGTCCATTTTCATAGCGCCCAACAGATTGCGCATAGACCCCACAGCCTTCCCCACACAGAGGCCCCAGTCAGGAGAAAATACTTGTCTAAGATCAACCAGTAAGTAAATGGCAGAACCAGGACGAGAGGGAGGGTCCCATTTTCTGGCCTAGGAACTTTCTTCCATATCTGCCACCCTCTTCCCCATTGAAGAACACGCTCAGAAAAGCTGACATCAACTTGGTGGTCTGGGGTGTGATGAGGAAAGCTCTGAACTTGCAGTCAGAAGCTCTGTCTGCTTGCTGTTTGCCCTCTGTGTTAACTCCACGGTTCTGAGTGTCTCAAGTCTCATTGGCAAAATGGGAATAATGAGGTCTACCTCATGGGGTTGTTGGGAGCCTGAATGGCCTAGGAAGTAGGAAGGACTCCATACATAGTTTCAAATTCAAATGCACAAAGTCATCATTGTGTTTCATGGAAGGATGTGTTTTGGTGTCTTTTAATTACATGATTAATTTACTTGGCTTTTTGGAATTTTCCAGTTTTTTTTTCTCAATGAGCATACATTGTTTCTTTAATAATAGAAAGTTCTTTTAATTTTAAATAAAGTATAAACAAGCCCGGCGCGGTGGTTTGCACCGGTAATCCCAGCACTTTGGGAGGCCAAGGCAGGTGGATCGCCTGAGGTTGGGAGTTTGAGACCAGCCTGGCCAGAATGGTGAAACCCCATCTCTATTAAAAATACAAAAGTTAGCTGGGTGTGGTGGCAGATGCCTGTTATCTCAGCTACTTGGGAAACTGAGGCAGGAGAATCGCTTGAACCAGGGAGGCGGAGGTTGCAGTGAGCCGAGGTCACACCACTGCACTTCAGCCTGGGCAACAGAGCGAGACTCCGTCTCAAAAACAAAAAACAAAACAAAAAAACCCCAAAAAACATAAACAAGAGGGTCTGTGCTTCTCAACTCCTTCTTTAGCACTATTCCCGTCAGTGCAGGAAAAGAAGTGATTGGGATCCAGTCTCTCATATCGGGCCGCACAGACACCACCTGCCTCACCTGGTGCCATGGCTTGGACTCTTGAGGAGGCGGACTCTGGGACAGAGATTTGCATGCAGGGGATATACTGGGGAACATGGGAAGGCCTGGGCAGAGGATGAAGTTTAATTGTAGTGCGGTAGCAAGAGAGGTCTCAGCCAACCCTGAGGGGAGCTTGTAGCTGGGATGCCCTTCAGAGTTGGCCTGGATTGAGCTCAACTCTGGCTCTCTGTGTAAACACTGGCTGTCTGTGTCTATACCCCAGCATGAGTCCTAAGGTGCAGGCTACCCCAGGGGGGAGCGTGGTCTTGTGTGCAGCTGATCCCTTTAGCTATGTGTGAGCCATCAGCAGCTGTCACCCTACCGCAGAGGGACTCTGGGTGGTACATTCCAGCACCCACTATACCGAGATTCAAGCTGGCCCTGCAGGAGGCAGCAGGAGCAGAAGCTGACTCTTGACGAAAAGGCCCCAGTCCCTGCCCGAGCTCTGACCCATGTGCACACACCTGACTTCTTGCTGTCACATAGGTGGCCACAGAAACCAGGAAACTTAGAAACGAGGCATTTCACCAGCTGCATCTAAGCTCTTCCCTTCCCCACTTTCCCCATCAGAGCCCAGACACTTCATCCACAGGGCACCTGGGGAGGCAGGCACACAGCTACCCACCTGAGGAAATCTAACCCTCTTGCCACAGGACCTTAAAAGAGATGTATGTTGAGCATCTTCTCAAATGCTCAGGAGCACTGCATCTCTACAGGAAAGTCTGCCTCTCCACACCTCTGGCTCCTTCCAGGAACTCTGTGGGGAGTAGCCCTCCACCTTCTATCTGTCACACCTGGGGCAGGCATCTCTCTATACAGCCATTTTCATGGGCTGCCTAGACTTGGAAGTAGCTCACAAGTATTTTGAGTGAATCAGTTAGAATGTTTTGGATTACAAGTAATAGAAAGCCTGACCCAAACTAGTTGCTGAATTGGATTTTTTGTTTTATTTTGTTTTTAGCAATGGGGTCTCACTGTGTTGCCCAGGCTTGACAAACTCCTAGGTTCAAGTGATTCTCCCACATCACTCTCTCAAGTATCTGGAACTATATGCCTGTACCTCCTAGGACTTCAGCCTGGCTTGCTGAATTTGACCCTGGGAGGTATAGCCTGGAGCTGCTGACAGCCATCTTACCCCAACTTGAAAATGAAGACAACAGGAAGAGAGTAGGGCTGAGAAATGGACCAAGACTGCTCCCTAGTGACAATTTGAAATCCTGGAACAAGCTGCACCTGAAGCTAGAGCTATGTTGGGCTTTTTAGGAGTATGGTCTAATGAATTCTCTTTTGGCTCAAGCCTGATGAGTTGGGTTTTCAGTCACTGGCAACCCCAAGAGTCCTAACAATAGGGTGGGCAGTCGACTTACCTCCACCCCCACCTTGCCTGACCTAAAAACTCCTGATGTGTTTTGTGTGAGGCTCGGACTTTCAACGAGAAAGCTGTTTCCCTGCCAAATGCTTCTGCTTGGGGGTGCTGAAACATGGGGCCTGTTAAGAAGGAAAAACCAGTTGTCCATAATGGGTCAAAGTCATACTGTCAGGCAATCTCTTCCTCCTAGGTAGGAACATGGTCATTACCATGAAATGCTGGAGAAGGAGGTGCTCCAAAGGGAGGCAGAAGAGAACGGCAGGCAAGGTCCCCCCTTATGAAGGCATCAGCGGGGAGCTATGTATGGGTCATTCCCTGGGGAAACTGGCCTGGCTGTTGGGAATGTTTCCCAGGAGAATGCACAGCTCTGCTGCACATTCCCACTCAGGCCCTTCCTCAAATGGCTAAATAAACCGAAGGGCTTTGCTACGTATTTTTCATTCCACATACTATTTGCTCTGCCTGCCTGCCCCAGACAGCCAAGTTTAACCCAACAGAGACGTTCTTCTTACAGAATTCAAATGTATCCCGTAACTCGAGGCACCACATGTCAACTGTCACACTGTGTAGCTTTGTGCCCAATTCAGCAGATATTTCTGAACATCTTCAGCCAGGCCCAGGTTTGGTCAGGCCCTCTGTGAGCAATGATGTGAGTTAGATGCAGCTCCTGTTTCTCAAGGAGCTCAGAGTTGGGGGAAGTAGGATGTGAAAGAAACGAACTGTTACACAAGGTGGAGAGAAGTAAGGGCAAGTGAGAATTGGGGTGGGAGCCCTGTGTTTTCAGAATCTCGGGGAAAGGGGTGTGTGGGGAGGTAGGGCTGACAGGATTCACGGTGAGGGGTGGCTTGGGGCTTACCCTTCGAGGGTGAGAGTTTCACTCTGGGGAGAGGGTGGAAGACTTCTGGGCTGAGAGGCAGTGGGAGCTGAGACGCAGAATGATCCAAAGCCACATGTTCATCCCTTCTTCCATCTTCCTCTGGCCATGTTTCCACCACTGGGTTTCTGCCTCTCAAACTCAAAGGGGATTGTGAAAACATCATACTCAAGGGGCGAAGGGTTGAAACTGAGCCTTCATGGGTCACATTATGGCCCTTCTCCCTAATTAAGTTCTTGTGTTTTTGGTTAGGGTTCTTCTTTCTTTGAGCCAATCTGACAAGCTCAAAGCGAAGCCAAGAATTACATACCTTTATAGTAGCATGATTTATAATCCTTTGGGTATATACCCAGTAATGGGATCGCTGGGTAAAATGGTATTTCTAGTTCTAGATCCTTGAGGAATCGCCACACTGTCTTCCACAGTGGTTGAACTAGTTTACATTTCCAATGACAGTGTAAAAGTGTTCCTATTTCTCCACATCCTCTCCAGCATCTGTTGTTTCCTGACTTTTTAATGATCGCCATTCTAACTGGGGTGAGATGGTATCTCATTGTGGTTTTGATTTGCATTTCTCTGATTGCCAGTGATGATGAGCATTTTTTCATGTGTCTCTTGGCTGCATAAATGTCTTCTTTTGAGAAGTGTCTCTTCATATCCTTTGCCCACTTTTTGATGGGATTGTTTGATTTTTTCTTGTAAATTTGTTTAAGTTCTTTGTAGATTCTGGATATTAGCCATTTGTCAGATGGGTAGACTGCAAAAATTTTCTCCCATTCTGTAGGTTGCCTGTTCCCTCTGATGGTAGTTTCTTTTGCTGCGCAGAAGCTCTTTGGTTTAAGTAGACCCAATTAGTCTATTTTGGCTTTTGTTGCCATTGCTTTTGGTGTTTTAGTCATGAAGTCCTTGCCCATGCCTATGTCCTGAATGGTATTGCCTAGGTTTTCTTCTGGGGTTTTTATGGTTTTAGGTCTAACATTTAAGTCTTTAATCCATCTTGAATTAATTTTTGTATAGGGTATAAGGAAGGGATCAGTTTCAGCTTTCTACATATGGCTAGCCAGTTTTCCCAACACCATTTATTAAATAGGGAATCCTTTCCCCATTGCTTGCTTTTGTGGGGTAGATTGCATTGTTGTAGATGTGTGGTATTATTTCTGAGGGCTCTGTTCTGTTCCGTTGGTCTATATCTCTGTTTTGATACCAGTACCATGCTGTTTTGGTTACTGTAGCCTTGTAGTATAGTTTGAAGTCAAGTAGCGTGATGCCTCCAGCTTTGCTCTTTTGGCTTAGGATTATGGCAATGCTAGCAAACCTGCTAGCAAATATTACAGCTACCAAGTCTACCTGTCACAAATTGGCCACGTTGGATGACATTAGGCACAAGTTGTGATCATTACCATCTCCACATTGTATGTGGTTAGGTTTTGAGCACAAAGGATTTGAGAAGAGGGGAGAAATAAACCTGTTTCCAAAAGAGGTGATGATGGTGGGGACATAGGAGCATGGGCTAAGTGAAGGTATGGTCTAAAAAGGAGAGAGGTCGGTGAAGAGATGAAGCAGATATAGGAACTCTATATAAGAACATAGAAGCTGAATATTGTATTGAAGCTCTGCTGTGTGACCTGGGACCACCACCCAACTTCTCTGTTCTTTATTTAGGAGGGATAAAAACATTGGAAGCTCTGATAGTGGGTGATGATGAATTAGTGATCAAATACTGCATAAGAAATCCCCCAAAACTTTGTGATTTAAAACAAAAATAATCATTCATGATCTTTCACAATTTCTATGCATCAGAAATTATTTGTGACTTGGCTGAAGTTCTAGCTTGGGTCTCATGTGAGGCTGCAGTCAGAGGTCAGTCCAGGCTATACTTATCTAAAGGCTTGACTGGGGCTTGAGGATCCACTTCTAAGGTGGCTCAATGGTGTTTCGTGGCAGGACTCAGTTCCTCTCCATGTGGACTCCAAGGCTTCTTGAGTATCCCCAACACATGGCTGCTGTCTATCCCCAATGCTAGGTATCCAAGAGACCAAGGTGGAGGCTGCAATGTCTTTTATGGTCTGCCCTTGGATGCCACACAATCTCATTTCTGCTGCGTTCCATTGGTCACACAAGTCAGTCCTGATTTAATGTGGGAGGGGACTACCAAAGGCATGAATATCAGAATATGAAGATCACTGGAGGCTAACTACTGTAGTGCTCCCTCTAGCTGCAATGATGCAAGACCCTCCCACGTGCAAAATATACTCACCCCTTCCTAAGCTCCTCAAAAGTCTCATCCCATTATGGCATCAACTCAAAGTCCACAATCTCATCTTCTACAGCAAGTCCAGGTGTGGATAAAGCTGCTCAGGGGCAGGTGGCAGGCTGCCACCATGGTAAAAACATAATCACTGTCAATATGGAGTCTCTCTTCTTTTCCGTAGTGGCATCTAACTTCCTGGAGGCTCAAGGGGCGTCCAGGCACCTAGTCTTCAATGTCATTTGTGATGCCCATCACTGTGCCTGTCCTTGTTCATTGGTCCCTGCAGGTTGTCCGTTTGCAGGGCCCTTGCTGATCTGCTCTTCTTGTCCAGTCCCATGCTGCTCTTACGAGCAATGAGGTCATTCTGTTTTCCAGGTCCATGCTAGTGTTTGGGAAAGCTCTGCCAGGCTGACTAGGACTTTGCTGCTGGAACAGTCCATGAAGCTATTTCTCTTGCCTGGGGTCTTGCCACCTCCCAGTGCTCTCTGGATAATGGGACCCAGGTCTCGTCTCCTCTCAGGTCCTCCAGTTCTCTCTGGTACCCTCTTCTGGAAACCACCATTATCTATACTCTTGTGACTCCTGACCTCTCTCAACTTTCCACTCCACCCCCAAGATGGGAGCCCCTTTACAAATCTGAGAGATGGAAGCATTGCCTTGCTCATGTTTTCTTCCAAATTTTGCTGGTATGGGGATTTTCTTCTGCCTCACTGGCCCAAGACTTTTCAACTCAAAGTCAAGAGACTCCTTGCTCTGCTTTCTGGGGTCACACCTCTTCTCTGAGACAATGAGCACAGGACAGAATTTGGGTGATGGTGAGAAGGAAAGGGGCAAAGTGTGAAAAGGAGAAATGCCAGAGGGATAAAACATTGGTTAATATTTCCAAACACTAACCTCTGTCAAGGTTTCCCCTGAAACTCAGACAAGACCTGTGAAAGTAATGCTGCTAGTCACAGACAGATCCAAAATGAGAATCTGGAGCCTCTTTCTGCACGCTCAAATACAGTCTTTGATCACCTATTTGACTTATGCTTAGGAATGGGTCTGGGCACAGAAATGTATTTGAGCACATGGTCTGGGATGAACCCCTCATTTGGGTAGGCTGTCGACAGCAAAGATGCCAAGGGAACCTGACATCTGGACAGAGAATGATGAGAAGACCTGCAAGACCACCAGTCTGATCAAACCATCCTGGGAGAGGAAGAATTTCAAATAAGTTTCCATCAATTACACATGAACATTGGGTGGCTGCGAATTGCCAGGCAAGCACTTTGGGGAGCTCGGAGGAAGGCAGGTGAGCCAGGTCATGGCTGAATCTTGAGGACCAATATTGGCCTGGAGGAAATCTTGGGGAGAAGGCAGATCTGGTGAGGGGTCAGGAAATCTTATGAGATAAGGGAGGGTGGGAACAACGGAACATTTATTCTAGGGGAGAGACTAAGATCTCTGAAGGGCTTCCAGGTAGTACTTGCTCTAGGATTCCCTGTAGGACCTTAGGGAATCAGAGAGTGAGACTTCACTATTGAAGGAAAAGCTTAAGGATTTGAAAATGTTTGGAAATGGAAAGACTTCCTTAAAGGTAGCGAGTTCACTGTCAGTGGGATGATGACGCAGAGGATGGATGAACTATTGATGGTGAGACAGACCCTTGGATGGAATATCGCATGAGAACTCAGAGGTCTCTGCCTTGCTAAGATGTCATGATTCTTCACATCCACTGAGTTCTGATACCTCCCACCTCATTCATTTCCATTCCACTAACCCATATCTTGTGGTAACTCACGTGCTGTCTGAAGACATCACTGATGGTGAAAAATGAGTTTGCTGAGAGATAGAAAGTATATATGAGATCACAAGGGAAGGGCTCGCCCTGCTGATGAGAACAGACTGTTTCTGAACCTTCCTTCATGTGTAAGCAATCACCACGGTAATTGACATCATTGTTCACTCTCAACTCACTACAACCTTGCCTCCTCCTCTTTCCAAGAAAGTTGAGGTCATCAGATATGAATTCTCAATTCCCAGGCATCCTCACCATCAAGTCTTGCCCTAGCCAGACTCACCCTGCCTCCCTCCCTGCAGCCTCAGAGGATGAGGTGTCTCTCTGTTCAAAGCCAACCAGCCCACCTGTGTCTTTGACCTCCAATTCTCCTGCCTCCTCCAACAGGCTACCTCATCAGTCATCCTTCCCTCTCCTGGATCTTCCAGGACTGGACTCTCCCAGTCCACTGGCTGCTTCCCCTCTGCCTAAAAATATACTCGAGCTCTCACATCCAAAAAATGAAATCTTCCCCTGTCTTCCTCTAGCTTTTATCCAAATATCCCTTCTCCCCGTCTCATCCAGCCCTCTTAAAAAAGTATGGTTGACCCTTGAACTATGTGGTGCTTAGGAGTGCTTACCTACTGTGCAGTAAAAAATATGCATATAAGTTTGACTCCCCCTAAATTTAACTACTAATAGGTTACTGTTGCCTAGAAGCTCCATCTAAAACATAAATGGTTGATGAACACATATTTTTGTATGTTATATTTATTATATACTGTATCTTTATAATAAAGTAAGCTAGAGAGAAGAAAATGTTAAGAAAATCATAAAGATGAGAAAACATATTTATTATTCATTAAGTGGAAGAGGATCATCATAAAGGTCTTCATCCTCATTGTCTTCACTTTGAGTAGGCTGAGGAGGAGGAAGAGGAGGAGGAGGAGGAAGGAAAAGCATGGGTCTTGCTGTCTGAGGGGTGGCAGAGGTGGAAGAAAATCTGCTTATAAGTGGACCCACGCAGTTCAAACCCATGTTCTTCAAGGGTTGCCTGTAGTCTACACCTGCAGTTCTCCACTTGCCCAGCATTTACTCAAACCTCAGTCCACAGCAAACTGGTCAACTGGAGTTGCTCATAACTGCTCTGAATGTAATGACCCTGATTGACAAATCCAATGAGTATTTCTCAATGCTTAGCTTCTGGTTCTCACTTTTAATTTTAAAAAGTATTGAATGCTTCTCTTCTGGAACTCTCCTCTCTGTGGTCTTTGATAACAGGCTCTTTAGGCTCACCTGAGGTCTCTTGCTGTCTTCCCTGTCTCCTTCAAGGGCTCTGTGGTAGCCAGTTTCCAAGATGGTCACCAAAGACGCCCACCTTCTGGAGTTCACCTTGCATAGCCACCTCCCCCATTGTACCAGTTGGACAATGTGACCAATAGAATCTGACTGAAGTAATGGTATGTCATGTCCAAGATTAGCTTATAAAAGACAGTGTGGTTTCCATTTGGTCTTTCTCTCATTCTGTCTCATGGATCACTTACTCTGGGAGAAGCCAGCTGCCGTACATTGAGGACACTCAGGCTTTCAAGTGTCTCGAGAGGCCCACTTGGCACGGAACTGAGTCTTCCAGCCAATAGCCAGTGACGAATGAAGGACTCCAACTAGCAGCCATATGAGTGAGCCCTCTTGGAAGTGGAGCCTCCCCCAGTTGAGATGACTGCAGCGCTGCCCATCAGCTTGACTGCAGCCTCACAAGAGAGCTTGAGTCAGAACCATCCAGCTAAGCTGTGCCCAGATTCCTAAACCTCAGAAATGGTGACAAAATAAATGCTTATTGCTTTAAACTACTAACGTTTTGGGGCAACTTGTTACTAGGAACTAGTAAGACTGCCTTTTCTATACGTGAAGTTCCATGAATGTTGGTGAAATACTGTCATACGATCTAATTTCCGCCAATGGGACCTGAGGAGTAGCCTGCCAGGTGTTATTGATTTTTGTGTTTTTGTTGTTGTTGTTGTTGCTGTCAATAAGTTTACAGTCTTTATCTGAAAATTTCTCATACAAAATTGGGTTAGCTCTCAGCAGCCCGCTCTTGAGCTCTGAAAAAGCTTGCCTTCTTTTGAGCTACCTGATCTTTATTCTGAACAAGGGACATTTTGGGGCAGTACCACCTCTTCTTTTTAACTTCTTTCTTGGGCTTCTTCTCCCAGGCTGGATTCTCTTATATAGCAGCATGAGCTTTCTTATACATCTCTTCCATCATGTCTGGGGTTACGCCGTTCTTTATGTATTGACAGAACTATTCCTTTTGAGCATCTTCATCTTCCTCCATTAAGTAGCAAGAGTAATCTGCAACATTCTGGCCCATGATATGCTTCTGGTGTACTTCTGCATTAAATTCCTTGCTTTCAGAATCATAACTAGGGAGGCATTTGGTACTGTGAGGGATAGACAAGCCTCCATCCACACCTCCCTTCAGTGCCCCCAAAACTTTATTGCGGTTCTAGCAAGGCCTGCATCCAAATAGCAGGTAAAGGCACCTGGCTGACCATCAATGCCTTCCACATTGTATTCATCTCCAGTCACCGCCACTTGGTGTTCACAGATCTTTTCCATGCCAAACTTATTGAGAAGCCTGTGGGCCAGCAGCAGGACAGTACAATACATTGCAGCATCATTTGTCAGGCCAAACTTCATGCCATATTTTGGCAGTTCATGTGCATATGCTGTGCAGACTATCATATCCCCTTCTAGATGGGAGTAAGCAATCTGACAAATGATATCTCTATTTGTTACACAAACTATCATCCTGTATTTGGCTGTGTCATGTTTATTTTTATCCTGTATCACCAGTGTTTCTGAGCATAATAATCAGTTTTACCCTATCATCTTCTTCTAAATTTCACTTGGTACCTCTTAAAGTAGGACTTATTCTTAACAACTTTAACAAACTCTATCCTGTGGGACAGAGGCTCGACAGAGACCTGCAGGCCCAGCAGCACTCCTGGGTGTTTTGAGAAAGGTTTCTCTCTGATAAAAAGAGGGAGATGAGTGAAAGACTCTCCTTCTGCCTTCCAGCTTTTAAGTGTCATCATGCAGGCGTGATTTTTGGAGCTACACAATTTGCCATTCTGGAAAGTACATTTTCCCCCCATTATCCTCCTGGGATAAGGTAAGCATGGAAAATATGCCCTTCTTGGGGGCTGAGTAGTTTTCTCAAACTGTAGAATTTTGCAAGCCCAAGAGTTAAACCTTGAACAACGGTTTAAGTCTAAGCGCCTGATTTTTGCGGGGAGGGGAAAGGTGCAATATAACTAACTTTAAAATGTAACAGTCTTCTTATCTATTTGATTCTGGAAAATTCCATATACCAGTAGCCTCATCCATAGTTTTAATTTTAAACATACATTTAAAATTTTCTGAACCTCTCTCTTGTCCACATTGACCTCCAGTTTCTTTCTTTCTTTCTTTTTTTTTTTTTTTTTTGAGACAGTCTCGCTCTGTTGCCCAGGCTAGAGAGCAGTGGTGCAATCTTGGCACACTGCAAGCTCCGCCTCCCGGGTTCACGCCATTCTCCTGCCTCAGCCTCCCAAGTAGCTGGGACTACAGGTGCCTGCCACCACGCCCGGCTAATTTTTGTATTTTTTAGTAGAGATGGGGTTTCACTGTGTTAGCCAGGATGGTCTCGATCTCCTGACCTCGTGATCCACCCGCCTCGGCCTCCCAAAGTGCTGGGAACTCTACTTTCTTTAAGCCAGTAAGTTTTGGCATACTTTATTGTAAGTAACTTAAACCTATCAGACTTAGGTGTGAGCACATTTCCTCCAGTCTCTTTGCCTGAGTCAGCATGTCTAATAAAAAAGATTCATCTCTTAGTCCATTCGCAATTTTCAATAATGGATATGACAATGATATCATCAATTTGATCCTTGCCACCAGGCTAAGATTTTTCTCTGGCTGCATTTCAAGTTTTTTGCTTCATCATTTGTTTTTAGCATTTTTACTTGATGTGCCTTGGTGTAGTTTTCTTTGTGTTTATCCTGACTGAAATTCATTGAGTGTCTTGGATCTATGGGTTTATAGTTTTCATCAAATTTGGAAAATGTTTGGCCATTATTTTTTCAAAGATATAGTTTTTTGAGAGAGGGTCTTCCTCTGTTGCCCAAGCTGGAGTGCAGTGGCACGATATTGGCTCACTGCCACCTCCGCCTCCTAGGTTCAAGCAATTCTCCTGCCTCAGCCTCCTGAGTAGCTGGGATTACAGGCGCCCACCACAACGCCTGGATAAGTTTTGTATTTTTAGTAGAGACGGGGTTTTGCCATGTTGGCCAGGCTGGTCTCGAACTCCTGACTTCAGGCCTGCCTCGGCCCACCTCGGCCTCCCAAAGTGCTGGGATTACAGGTGTAAGCCACCACACCCAGCCTGTTATCTTTCTTTAAAGAGTGTTGAGTTTTATTCCAGCAACTTATTTGAAGATTGGCTTGGTCCTTTCAAGACTTGTCTTTAAACTTAAGATGGGTCTAGGATAGCCTTCACTCTAGGATGGAGGCTTGTTAGTTTAGCTCTACTCCTACGGTGCAGCCTTTCTGAGTTTTCCACTAAATATTCTGAGGGCTCAATGAGGTCTCTCCACTCTGGTTGGCCCGAACTTGAACATCTCCCAACTCTGAGCACAGAATATTGTTCAGCTTACAACTCCCAAATAAGTACTCTTTCTCCAATATTTGTTCTTTGTCCAACCTCATGGAATCTCATCCTACTCATGCACACCTAATTTTTAGCCAAAGACTCAAAGTGCCTCCTATGCAGTTTCTGAAGCTCTTTCTCTGCATATGTCTCTTCAGTATTCTGCTCCACAAATTCCAGCTGCACAGCTCTTGGAATTGTGATCTCTGACCCCTCAAAACAGTGAGGCTTCTGTGCTCTGCTCTCCTTCCTCGTCCTAGACCCATGGTCTGCTAAATGCCTCTGGCCAAAAAGTCAGGTTGATCACGGAGTTCATCTTATTTGTTCACTTTCTCTCAGGGAACACAGTCCCATTCTGAGGGTTAGTCAGTGTCTGAAAACAGCTGTTTCATATATTTTATCCAGTGTTCTACTTGTTTATGGTGGGTGACGGCTAGGCCCAGTATCTGTTATTCCATCATTGTCCACAGCAGAAGTCCACACAGGATAAGTTTAAATCAGCCTTAGGGTTAGGAAGCAGTTGCCTCTTCCAACCCCACAAGCACTAACTAGTGGACATTTAATTCCCTTTTCAATTCTGCTTCTTAACAGGCCAATTATTTTCTGAGCCTATTCCTTTCTTGTATCCTACTAAACACAGCCAAAGACAGGCATTTCATCTGTGAACAAATTGTTTCCTAATCTCTTCCCCTGGGGCTACCCATCCTTTGGGTATGTCATCTGCCTTCTATGTTATCACAAGGCATATGCTTACGGATGAACTGAGGTGGCAGAGCTGAAATAGGTAAAGATTTGGGTCCCCAATATCATATTGAGATGACGAAGAAGCTACTTCCAAATGGATTAAGCACCTACTTCCAAATGTATTCAAATGAAATAAATAAATAAATGATCTTATTGTTTGAGCAACTTTTGAGTGTGTTCTGTTCCTCACAACCTACATCACCTTGATGAACGCATAGGTGGGCCCCTCCCCTTCTGTGCTTCCTAAAGCTCATGCCCCTCAGGTCTTAACTCCAGCCTGCATCTTCCTCCATAGGGGTGAGTCCAGATATTCACCTGCTGGCTGGTCATTGCCACTGGAAGTCCCACCCGCAGCTTCCTCCAACCCCACATCCAAAATGGATCCTAGTTTTCCCCTCCTAAACTTCCTTCACCCAGAATACTTCATCTCAGTCAAGGGTAGCACCTTCCACTCATGCTGTAAGTCTGGCTTTCATCCTAAGATTCTCCCTCTTTCTTCTGTCCTTGTATCTGAAAACCACCAAGACCTACTATTTTAGCTCCCTAAGTGTTTCTCAAATACATCCCCTTCTCTCCATTCCCCCAACCACTTCTCTAGGACAGTCTCCTGACATTTCTCTCCTACTCCCAGCTGATCCCCCAGCTTCCATGCATCCTTCATACCACTTCTGCACCAGCACCTTTTCTAAAACACAAAATTATCTATATCTCTCCCCTGCTTGGAACCTTTCACGTTTACATGATGAAGTCCAAACTCTTACCAAGGCTTACAGGCCTCCAGGGTCTGGCTTCTGCTGACCGCTCCAGACCCAACATTTGCCACTACCCGTCTTCACGTTACATCCCATCAACTCCAATTTGGGAGTGTTTTCTTGGTTAATCCCACTTTTCCTCCCCTTTGGGCCTTTCTGCATGTTATGACTCTTGCACAGGTTATCTCTCAGCCGGCTCCATCCTACCGGCCCCGCTTTTCTCCTGTAAGTATCTATTATTCCTCCAAAAGCATGAGCTCCCATTTTCCTCCTCCTAGAAGCCTTCCCTGGTGACCCCACCCTCCAACCTTGTTCAGTTCTCCTCTTCTGTGTTCTGGTAATACTCCATGCACAGGGCTCTTGCTGTAGTGACCACTCTGCTTGATACTCATGGGAATGTGTCTATCTCCCTCTCAGACTGAGCTCCTTAAGGGCAGACACTGAGACTGACTTAACCTTGTACCCCAGCCTCTGGCCATTGGTGGCTGCCCAGTAAAATGTTGAATGACTGAATGAATCCGCAATCAATCTCTTCCAGCAGGTCCCCTACAAACCATTGCTGTGGAGTGCCTCGTGGTTAGTTCACTCGAGTAAGTGGATTAACTTAAAAATAATAAAAACTGTGTTTCGGTAAAATCATTTTTCCACCAGCCCTTTCCTTCAATTAGTACCATCAGGGAAGGGAGTGTATTTGTGGTGAGGTTTCCATAGCACTTCTCTCAGAAGGGGGATTATATTTCCAGAAGCAGAAACCATGGCTTTAGGAGGAAAAAATGTGGAAAGAGCATGACATGGACCTGAGAATTTGCTGAAACATGTGTCCAGGCCATGACCATCAGCAGGGACCAGAACCACACAGGGGGGTGACTGTGGATGTGGGTGGCATGGTTGGTATCTGATAGGCCCTTCTCCTCTAGTTGCCATACTTATCAAAATGTCACCATTAGAGGGCACTCCTTTTAACCACCCATCACCCTTTCCTGTGGAACTCTTGCAAGCCAAATTTCCTGTGGAAGGAAGTCCCTCTCTCCTTCCAGGGATTGCGTTCTACTGCCTGGAAAGCATCCACCTCCCCCTCTGTCTACCCCAGTTTTTCCTGTTCTTTCAAATGTAGGTGAAATCCCTTCCCGCCCATGAAGCCTCCCTGGAGCTCTCTTTTAAGATGGTGGGTATCTCGGAAGCAGAAACCACATCTCATTCAACACTGGCTCCGGGTGCTCTCACAGAGCCTGGCCTGAGGTAGGTGTTGAACAAATAACCCGAAGGAGCTCCATGCGCCGCCGATTCTCTGTCCTCACATTCCGATGCTTCCATTAATGCTGGTGATCACTTATGCCTTGTGAAGGTCTTTGGTTGCTCTAAGGAGACATTTCCTCTGATGTGGCTTTTTGATGCTTCCTGAACATAGGCTAGGTTTCCCATCTGGGTAGAGGACTCTGAGCAGGCAAGGGCCATGCCTTAGCCTTCTTGGACTGCCCCTGTAGGTGGGGGACTGGGAGGCCCCTTGGAGACAGATGTTTCCCAGCTTGAATCAGATGGTGAGGAGAAAACTTCTAGCATATGGCATGTGGGACCCCATTTGTATGCTTATCCTAGACCCCACCGGTGATGGGGCAGACGTCCTCCTATGTACCTTGGGGGTAGGTGATGGGATTTTCATCAGCCATCAGCTCAGCAAAGCCCAGTGGCCTGGGGGGTTGTTTCTCTCTGGACTGATGATCAGTTCATAAGGGACTCAAGCAAAGTCATGGGTCAATCATTGTTGGCCTGCACCAGAGTGATGGGAATTCCCTGTTTTTAGGTTGTCAGGTGTGTCTCAGGGCCCATGTGGCTCCTGGACCCCCAAACATTATTTCTCAGTGAAGCCTCCTGCCAAGTCAGCTCACTTGACTCTTCTTGGGCAACCTTCCCAAAATTGGGTTCCAAACTTTCCCCAACCTCTGATCTTAGACTCTGGGGAAATCCCTCCCTATTTTAAACCCTCTCTTCACTTCTATCACCTGACAACCTTCCCAGACATTGAAAAACTCATTTCTTTTGCTTGATGATAAGGAGGGCCTAATACTCAACTCTGGAAGACTCAAATGAGGAAGTGAGGGGACATATTTGTATTACATCTCTTCCAGTGTAACAAAGAAATAAAAAAGGAAAGGAAAATCTGACTTCCATATCAAAGAGGCTGAATCATTTTCATGCAGTAGATTGGATGACCGGCACCGATCTTCACTGGCCCCGCCAGCCAGGCCTTGCCACGGCATCGTCATGGTGGAGCCTGTGTCTCTGCTTCTTGACTCTGGGCAGAAGTGAAAATTTACTGGCTCCTTGGGAAGCTTCCTGTGTGCCTGCTTTCCTCTTCTGCTTTTATAGCTGCCATGAGAGGAGCATGTCCTAGCTACTTCCTTGTCCTGGGAGGATGAGAGACACAGTGTCTCTGGGAGCAGAACGTCCCCAGCTGACCCAGAGACCTGCAACAAGAAGCAGCCTAGGGCCTAGCCCCTTGGCCAAGCCCAGCCTGGATTAGTTGAGCCACAGCCAGCCTCCTTGAGAATAACTGATTTTTGTGTTAAGCCACTGAGTTTGGGATCATTTGTTATGCAGCATTATTGAGGCACTAGCTAGCTGATATACCTATCCTGCCAGAAGACCAGGGTAAAGCAGTTAGTAGGTACACAGCGTGGGTTGAGGGCTTAGTATTTGGTTATCAGTTGAGGCTTCCTGGCAGGCGTCATTAAAGAATACTAGAGTATTGGCCCTGGAGGAGCCTCTAAATGAATTTTGGCTGCAGAGACAATCCCAGAGTTGAGCTTTGACTTGTCCTAGGCCACATGGGGGATTTGTGCAGAGCCTACACTAGCACTCAGGGCTAGTGGCTCCTCAAGACAGTAAGCTGACTCTCCACTTCCTATGGACCAGGCTGATGATAACCATGTCTCCCTCTGCTTCCTCCTTGGCCATATGTGTGAGTTTCATGTCATCAAGCTGGAATTTTGACAAATATGAGGTGGTGGCAAGGGAGAAGGAGCAGGAAAAAGGTTTGGCCAGAGACAAGACTCCAGGTGCAAGAAGGGATGTTTTGTCTGTACCCACATTTCCCTTGGGTGCCAAATGCCCCGTGATGGGACCCCCAGCCCAGAGCCCAGGCTTCAGGCCAGCTTCCGCAGTCTCATCTTGGGAGGGAAGCTTGTGCTCAGGTGCCAGAGGCACAATGACTGCCTCACCTGTCACCATTAATGTCTGGCTTCCTTTCATCTCCCAGAAGCCTAGCACAGACAGCCATGGGGATGGACCAGAGGTAGGCTGGGAGAGGTGGGGACTAGAGCTCCAGGAAGGGAGCTGCTGCTCCTTGATGTTTGTGCCTTGCTGATGTCACTCCTGGCTTCAGGGCCTGGAGAGACACCTTTGCACACTCCAGACTTCCTTGGCTCAGAGTGGAATCAGCTTCTGAGGCTCTTACCAGGGGAAGAGGGGGCACAGCCCACCAATCTCCCCACTGTGCTGGGAGCTGGAGAAGAAGGGGGGCCTGGGATATGGATTTAAGGGGTTCTTTGAGTCCACTCTACCAACTCTGGGCAAAAGAGAGTGAAAAAGGCACCAACTGGGGAGTCAGCAGACTGGGATTTTGACCCTAATGTTGCATTTTATTAGCAACTCATGTGACCTTTGGCAGGCAGCTTCCCATATCTGGGCGTCAGTCTTCCATTTTGTAGAATGGCCATAATGGAATAACTGCTCTGGAGGGTGCCTTCAGGCCTGATATCCAGTGATGGCATTGGGGCCGGAATATTTCCTCTATTCCGATGGGAAAATAATAGCTCCTATTTATCCAGCCCTCAATATGTGCCAGGTACTGAACTAAGCCCTTGCACATATTAGCTCTGTTCAGGCTCACAGCAATTCTATGAGGGAAGTATTCTTATTGTCCTCATTTTACAGATGAGGAGACTAAGACTCAGCAAGGCTCAGTAACTCACTTATGGCCACACAGCCTGATGAGAAGCCATGGTTTCAGACAAGGCTGTCTGACTCCACAGCCTGCCCTCCTAACCTCTCTGTTGTGCTCTAGTGAGAAAGCTCTTTCTCTGGTCTCTTCCTTCCAAGATCCCATGCTCCTTCCAAGACCCCCCCCCTCCCTGTGCACTTCCACAGTCAAAAAAACCTCCAGGCTTTAGGCTGGAAGAACTCAAGATGTCTGAAAGAAATCCCTTCAACAATGGAGATAAATGCAATCTAACCCATCATCCTTTCTATACTGGCCTCCCCCATGAGGCCAGTCCCGCCCCAGTGCATGATGCTAGGAGAGATGGAAGGTGGTCCCTGCCATCAGGATGATATGCTGATAGCCTGGCTGGGAACCTAAGACTGACCCTGGGCAGTCTGGTTCCTCACCCAGCTTTGGACCTGGGGGGCCCACTACAGTGCCTGACATGCAGTAGGTGCCCAGTGAGTGCTTGTTGATTGCACTTTGGTGAGATGGAATAAGCAGCTATGGGCTACGGCTGGCAAAGGTGCAGCATTGCTCTCTCTAGGCTGGAAACCTTTGCTTTGCCCCTCTGAGCTGCCATAGCTCAGGAAACAGGGAGGCACCAACACCCTGAAGAGGAAGTGCCTCTGGGCATCCAACTCACTGAAGTTGAGCCACAAGTGCGAGAGGAGATCTTCTCACCAGCACCCCTTTCCTGGAAAACCCTCTACTTTCTCCCTTGAGGTCAACAGGCTGTTTGCACCCATGATCCCTTAATGAGCTGGCCATGAAGTCTGAAGGTCTGGGTGAACAACGCTAAAATGCTGCTTGGAAAGGGGAGGCACGCCGTGGAGAAACGGGTGGATGTCCAAGCCCTTCTTCCTGAATCAGGCTTGACTGTCCTTTAGGGTCAAGAAAACCCCTTTGATTTCATAGTCCAGGCATGGTGGGGACAGGGTCACAGAGACCAACCACTGTTTGGTATGATTGGCTAGAGATGGGGACACAGCACCAACCTCACCACCACTAATGAGCTGCATGACCTTTCCTGCCCATCAGGAACAGGAAGTCAAGGCCCTACGTCGCTCTGGAGGCTGTGAACTCAAATGTGACAAAATAGGAGAATTGCTAGGAGAAGAAGCCAAGTGCTGTATAGAGGCTGGGCAGGACTGGGACAGCTGGTTCTGAGGAGGCTTGCCCTGAGAATCCCAAACATATGCCCTCGGGTCAGACATGGAACCTCCCTGAGCCTCTGTTCCCATTTCTTCATTTGTTGGTTCATTCATTCATTCAATAGCAAGTCACTAGTGACTCAGACAAGGGCATGCTTGCTATACCAATCTGGGCAGCAGTGAGGCTGTGGGGTGCCCATGTGGTATTTTGCTGTGTGATCTTGGTCAGGTCATTTCCCATCTCTAAGCCTTACAACCTCCAGCCTTGCAGGGTCATAAGACCCTGGAATCAGCCCACCTGTGCTGCAAACAACCTGGTTCCAGAGGCTGCGTAGTGTGGTGGGAAAGCAAGCTCTCCAGAAGCGGCAGGTGCGGATCCCTCTCCCAGCGCTGCCTCTTGCTCCAACCGGTTCTGAGTGTCCATTCTCTCTCTGGGGGTTGTGAGAATTCCTTTACTGCAGGAACAGCACTTGGGAGGTACCTGGTACCTAGTCAGTGCTTGATAAGACTTAGCTCTGTCTTTCACAGAATTCGCTCTTCATGAGAAAATAAACTTGCTGAGCTCTGGTTTATGTTGGTCTTGCAAAGCCTTGGTTTCATTCAGGGCGGTGTTGGCCCACCCTGAGTCTGAGGATGCCGTGTCCAGCTCCTCCTCTGCCTTTTCTGGATCTTCCCCCTCATGCAACCCCCAACCTCCACGAAAGGTCCATGCCTTCCTTGGGGTCCCTTGCTCTGTGAAATGCAGCGTCCTCATGCTCTGTTTCTTCTTCTCATTCAAACCTGCCATTGGAAAAGGGCTGGATGACTCATTTATATCAAAGAGTAAATGATTGATATGGCTGGGGCTTTTTCCTTGCAGGGGGCTACGTTTTGGAAGAAAACAAAGCCATAAATGGGCTGAGTGATTATGACAGTCCTTTGGGCATCGATGTGCAAAGGAGAGCTCTTTGTGGGTTGGAGGAACCTATCTGGAGGGGGCCCAAGAGTCCTGGGACACCAAGGCTGTTGCTGCAAATCGGCACAGCAGGGCGTCCTGGCAGTGACTCACCCTGGCAGGAATGCAGTGAGCTCCAGGCAGCCTCAGCCCTCCCCTCTGGCCTCTCTTGGACCTTCCTTCTGGTAGTACATCTGGACCCCAAAAGGCAGCTGTTTTGGGGGCTCCGCGGAACCCACAGACCTTCCCTGACTCAGCCCAGTTCCCACCCCCACTGGCCTTGCAGCTCCGTTTGTCCCTTTGCTCAGATCCCAGCTTCTAGGAGTTTCCTGGGATTTGGGAACAAGATGGCCTGATTTGTTCTAAGAGCGTTTTTGTTTATATTCCCTGGTTCTTTCTACTCTTGGGGGAAAGGAAGAAAATAAAAGAAAAAAAAGGGAGGGAGGGAGGAAGGGAAGAAAGGGAGGAGAGAAACTTGTGCTTTGACCAAAGAATTGAAATGGGATTTTCCCCTTTTTCCTTCTTCTTCATTTTTCTCCCCAGCAGCAAACTACCAGACTCAGAAATGGAAGAGTGGGGATGCCTTTGGCTTCCGGACGAGCCAAGGATGGCAGCTCTGCCTGGTAGGAGCGAGGGCCACCAGACCTCAGGGGCAAGACCTGGGCTTCCTGTCCTTCATCCCAGGGGAGTGTCTTGGGGGACAAGCTGACAAGGCCAGGAAGCGTCAGCATGTGGGTCTTCCCGGACCCCTCACCCACCACGCCGAAGTGTTTCATCACCCCCTTGCTCTCATACCTCACTTTTCATTCCATGCTGCACTCCCAAAATCAGAGAAGAGGAGGAAGAAGAAAAGGACAGGATGCCCACCACAGCCCCCATTCCATTTTCTTCTCACCCTGCATTATTCTCTGACATCGTGTTGTTGGTTTATTTGTGTATTCCTGTCTCCCCTCACCAGAACGTGACCCCAAGAGGGAGAGATGGGGTCTTTCTCATGCATTGGGTCGCCACGGCACCCATGGCCCAACTCTGGGACTCAGTGGATGCCAGGAGAGCAAGAGGAGGTGAGCTTACTCATCACCCTCAGCCTGCTGCAGCCACCAGCAGCCCTGGAAGCTCCAGTCTCCAGATTCCCTGCCCACACATGCACCATATGCACTCATGTGCATACATCCACATCCTTGTGTGCACATTCACACACACACATGCGCATTCACACACATGCATGTGTGCCCTCACACATACATTCACATGCACACACATACACACATGTCCACGTGTACACTCCATGCACACGCTCACAGGACCATGTTGAGAGGGGCTCTATGTCTCAGAGCCTCTGAGATGAGCGAGGGAACCCGAGGCCAGAGCCCTCAGCCCCCAGCCTTTGCCTGAAGAAGAGGAGAGTGACTCAGTTCTGCCTTCGTTGGGGTCCCTTAGCTCAAGGACAGAAGGTGCAGAGCCACCTGAGCTGCCAGGCCCCTCCCGAGAGTCTGACCAGCTGGAGGCTGAGGACGTGAGAGGCGGTGGTGGTGTAACTCTGTTTCTGCCTTACAGACCTTTGGCAGCCAGACCAGACTGGGGGATGTACCCCAACATGGAGGGCTGGGCTGGGCAGGGCAGGGGAGCCAGGAAGCCTCCCTGGTGCTGTCAGCTTCCTGGCCCACCTCTTGCTGCCCTTGGCTGGGAGAACAACATTGTTTGGAGGAGAAAGTGGGGCCTCTGCCAGAGCTTGTCTGGCTGAGCTGGGCTCGGCCTGGGTCCTCAGGAGCCCCTGGCCAAGAGGAGTCTGAGCAGTGGCCAGCTCCCTCAACAAGGGTGTGAGAGAGACTGAAAGAGCCCTGATACCTGCTACCTGCTCCTTCCCAGCCATCCTCTGCATAGCTCACGTTTCCTTTCCAGACTGAGCTGACCACACCCGCTTCAATGTCCTTGCTTCAATGGCTCCATTGTAGCTCCCAACTCGCTGAGTGTCCAACGCTTCCCATGAGTTATTGCAAATCCTTGCAAGGGGTTGTTTTACAGGTAGGGAAACTGAGGCTTAGAGATGTTATGTCATGTGTCCAGAGTTGCACAGCTAGTGAATGGTGGATCTGGGATTCAAAATGGAGTTGGTGATGCCCCTGGGTTTATTCTCCCTGCTTTGTATCAATGCCTCCTCCCCTGGGAAACTTTGTGCCTGGCACTAACTGGAGACTTTGCCACCTTGCCCTGTGCTACCCCCTCTCCCAGCACAAGCTGAGAAGAGAGTGTGGGAGAAGCACCCACTTCATGCCCCATCACAGCCACACTGGGCCCAGAAGGCAGGCGTGCTCCTGGGGTCCCAGAAAGCATCCCTATATTGTCTCTTATCCAACTGGACAGCAAGTCCTGAAAGATCATCTTTTCAGATTTCTCTTAGGTTTCCTGGGCCTAGGAAACACTGCTACTTAAGTAAACACAGCCCACCATTGCCAAAGGGCCTCCTGCCTGGACGCCACTAATCCCCTCCTCGTATTATAAAAATTAGTGGACATAGTCCATGGCAAGCTCGCAGACACTGTCCAGCACACAATGCCCTCTAAGCAAATGCTCCTCATCACTTTCATCAAATGACAAGGTGGGGCAGTGGAAAGAAGGCCAGCTTCCAACCCCAGATTTCTCAGTTAGTGGCTGGGCCTCAGGTTCCTCCTTTTAAAATAAGGTGGATGCTCCTGAACACCCGTTCAGCCGTGTGCTTCAGTGTCCTCTGAGGTGACCAAGGCCTGAACCCTCAGATAACATGTGTTCCAGCCTCTGTGAGCATCTGCTTTCCCATGTCAATGTTTTTCACACATGCTTTCCTCATCTCCACAAAGGAGGAGGGAAAGCAGGGACCAGAAGTTCCCACTGACAAGCAATGACAAACACCCAGAGAGGTTATGTGACCTGCCCAAAGCCACACAGCAGACTCAACACTGGAGCCCAGCCTTCCTTTCATTGTCTTCCAAAGGCCACAGTGGCTCAAGCTGGACAGTGGGAGCAGAAGCCATGGGGGAGCAGAGTGGAACAAAGCTAGGGATGGGAGCAATGTTGGACAGCTGAACATCATCCCTGCCCCCTTCCCCACAGGGCTGTGGGGGTTTGCCAGCTATTCCAGTGATTGAGAGAAAGGCGGGCAGCAGAAGAGGCCCTGGATCTGAAGCCGGCCTTTCACCACGAGCAGTAAGCAGAGAGTGCCTAATGACTCCAAGCTGTCCTGGAACGTTCTCTTGGCCCTGGGGAGCTGCTGGGGGAGTCTGGCTGCTGTGCACAGCAGCTGTGTGAGCTGCCTGCCGGCAGCAAGCCCAGCCACCAGAGACCACCAGTGGCCACAACCAGGGGCCGCCGGCAGATGGGGCCAGGAGAGGGCAGCTCCTTCTTTTCTCGGCTTGGGATCTAGGGTCAGCCGGGTTAGCAAGGAGCAGGGCTGTGTGGCCAAGCGGGCTCAGGCCCTGGCTCTTCCTCCCTTCCTGTGAGCTGATAGAAAGGGCCCAGGTTAGGGCCAGGACACTGAGCATACTTCTCCCCACCACCACCGGGCAGAGCTCGGGACCCATGCAGGACCAGCCCAGGCCACAATGAGCCAGACTTCTGTCTGTGAATGCCTCTCCCCACCCCTACCTCCCATCAGCAGCTGAGCACTTAGGCCTAGGTGCTCAATCCAAGCTCTGCCTTTATGAACTGTGAGATCTTAAGCAACTTATTTAACCTTTCTGTGCATGTTACTTAACCTCTGAAGCAAATACCTACCTCATAGGGTTATTGTGAGGATTAAATGAGTAAAGCCTCAACCAAACCCAGCATAAGGTACCAGAAAAATGATGGCTGTTGTTGATCTTAGGTTAATTGAAATCGAAGCCTTTGCCTGTGTGGATGTGTGGAGGGCCACCAGGGTGCCATGACAGAGCCATTCTCCTACTGGCCTCAGCAGTTTCTTTTTTTTTTGAGATGGAGTTTCGCTCTTGTTGCCCAGGCTGGAGTGCAATGGTGTGATCTCAGCTCACTGCAATCTCCACCTTCCGAGTTCAAGTGATTCTCCTGCCTCAGCCTCCCAAGTAGCTGGGATTACAGGCGTGCGCCACCACGTCTGGCTATATTTTGTATTTTTAGTAGAGATTGGGTTTCACCATGTTGGTCAGGCTGGTCTCAAACTGCTGACTCAGCTGATCCACCCGCCTCGGCCCCCCACGTGCTTGGATTACAGGTGTGAGCCACCGTGCCCGGCCAGCAGTCTCCTTATGCTGTGTGGCATTGGGGCCCCATGAAAAGCCAATAGAAGCCCCTGCAGCCCAGACTTGGCCAAACTGCTCTTTGAAGTCTAATTACATGAAACATGATGATCATAACACCAGTTAGCAATCATCAGGTGTCCTCTGTGACCCCCTTGTGCTGAAAGTTTTATGTGCATTAATTTAAATGAATTCAAAACAACCCTAAGATGTTGCTACATTTATAATTCCCACTTTACAGTTGAGGAAACTGAGCCCTAGAGAGGCTAAGTAACTTGTTCTAAACTAGAGGCAGACTTGGGAGTCCAATCCTGGCCATCTGTCGCCAGAACCACAAACATTTCCTTAGGCTCATTTATAATGATATCTGTTATTATAGGCTTGCATCATGTTTCATAAATATCTGTTTACCCCATTAGGTTACAAGTTCCCTGTGTGTGGACACCTGGTCGACTTTTCTCACTGCTGTGTCTCCATGAGCCTGGTACACACAGGTACCTGTGGCAGATGCTGCTGGTGTCCGGCTCCCCAGAGCTTCCAGCAACTTGTCTCTTTGCCTGAGGGTTCTCTGTGACTGCTGGAGCCTGCCCTGCCCATGTGGCAGCCCAGAAGTGCCAGGGAATCAATTCCCCCACAGAAGTAACCCTCAAACCATGACTGTTGGGAATTGGCAGATAAACACCCCAGGTCCCTTGTCCCTTGGGAAAGATAACTATGAGGCGTGCTATGAAATTGTGAAATAATAAGAAATATATATTTTGGGCTTCTGGACAGAGCTCCTAAAACCTTTGTAATTTCTTAAGTGATAGGGGTGCTAGGAACATTTTTTATTCTAATAATCTAGAAGCATCTTTTATTCTAATATTTATTAGAATATACTAATAAAATATTTTATTCTAATATTCTAATCTGTGTCAGTTCCTGACACAGAGCTCCTAAATCCTTCAGAATTTCCTGGGGCTAGAAGCATTTTTGTTCCAATGAGGCCATTCTTGATGGGCTCCTGGATAACTTCAGGATGGGGGGTGGTCACCAGAAAGGCACAGCTGTGATTAGATCTTGGAACTTTCTTTTTTTTTTTTTTTTTTTTTTGAGGCAGAGTCTCACTCTGTCTCCCGGGCTGGAGTGCAGTGGCATGATCTCAGCTCACCGCAAGCTCTGCCTCCTGGGTTCACGCCGTTCTCCTGCCTCAGCCTCCCTAGTAGCTGGGACTACAGGCACCCGCCACCACGTGCAGCTGATTTTTGTATTTTTAGTAGAGATGGGGTTTCACCATGTTAGCCAGGATGGTCTCGATCTCCTGACCTCGTGATCTGCCTGCTGCAGCCTCCCCAAGTGCTGGGATTACAGGCGTGAGCCACCGCGCCCAGCAGAATCTTGGAACTTTCATGCCCACCTTCCCTCCTCCTGGGAGGGGAGAGAGGCTGGAGGTTGAGTTCATATATCATGCCTACGTGATAAGGTCTCTGTAAAAATCCCTAAAGTATGGGGTTTGGAGAGCTTCCAAGATACTGAACACATCCATGTGCCAGGGGAGTGGTGCTCCCCAAATCCATGGGGACAGAAGCTCCTGTGCTCAGGACTCTTCTGGAACTCACCCTACGGATCCCTTCATTTGGCTATTCATCTGTAACTGTTATTATATCCTTTATAATAAAGTGTAAATGCATTTCCCTGAACACTTTCTGTGAGTCACAGTGGCTCTGGGAGCCACAATAGCAAATTACGGAATCCAAGGAGTGGGTCACAGGAACCCCTGATTTGGAGCCAAGTGGGACAGAAGTACGGGTTACCTGAGGACCACCTTGCGATTGGCGTCTGAAGTGGGGGGAAATCTTGTAGGACTGAACCCTTAAACCATGGGCTCTGCACTAACTCTGGGTAGCTAGTGCCATAATTGAATTGCGAGACTCAGCTGGTGTACTGAAAGTTGGAGAACTGGTTGGTATGGGGAAAAAAACCCCAGATATCTGGCATCACAGGTGCTGAGAATATAGAAGGAAAAACTGTTTTCCTCATACGTGTGTGTTCTGTGCTGCCTCCCAGAGCTCCCAGTTAGATTGAGCCCCGGTTGCCTGCAGTGGTCACCTGTTGGAAACACACTCTTTGTTGGGCAACTTCCATTCCCCGTCCCACTTCCCCACTCAACTACCAGTCAATGATTTCAAATAAACCTCACGAATACATGACTTGCACTCAAATTCTCATCTCAGAGGCGGCTTCTTGGGGAGCCCACTCTAAGACAGAACTTCAGGTTTGTGGAATGATTGTCCTACCTTATATGGTGGAGTTAAAGAAAGGAAAACCACTAGCCTAGTGGTTCTGTACACTTTTTATTTTTTATTTATTTATTTATTTATTTATTTTTTTGAGATGGAGTCTTGCTCTGTGGCCCAGACTGGAGTGCAGCCAGACTTGATCTCGGCTCACTACAACTTCCGCCTGCCAGGTTCAAACGATTCTTCTGCCTCAGCCTCCCGAGTAGCTGAGATTACAGGCATGCACCACCACACCCAGCTAATTTTTGTATTTTTCGTAGAGATGGGGTTTCACTATGTTGGCCAGGCTGGTCTTGAACTCCTGATCTCAGGTGATCTGCCCACCTTGGCCTCCCAAAGTGTTGGGATTACAGGTATGGAGCCACCGCGGCTGGCCCACTTTTTATTTTTATAATAAACACACTTTTCTTTTGCCATTGCATTGAAAAATATTTATTTAGAAAGAGGTAAACCCACATTGGAAAGACAAGCCCTGGCCACAAAGGAGAATTCCCTTTCTCCCGAGCGCCTTGTGATTAAGATCACCAGGGAGATCCAGACAGGAAGGTCCCATAAGTGAGTGCAGGGGAAAGAGAAGGGTGAATGCCTGGGAGTCACCAGAGTGGTCAGGGAGGGCTTCTTGGAGGTGGCAAGGGAGCTGGGCCTTGAAGATGAGTTGGAATGAAATAGATGATGAGTGGGTCTCTCAGGGGTTAGTGAGGGCATGAGCTCCCCCTCCAGGTGGGAGCAAAGGAAGGGTAAATCTTTGGGACTCTTAGGAAGGCAGCTGTGCTGCTCACTGGCTGGGTGATTTGGGGCAATTACTCAGCCTCTCTGAGCCTTACCGCCTCATCTGTAACTTTACAACCATACCTGCCTCAGAGTTGCTGTGAGGATTAGACAAGACCACATGGGCAAAGAGCCTGGCATGGAGCGTGTGACCAAGGCTCAGCAGCAACCATGGGTGGTATATGTGGGTACACTGAGTGGTTCAGTCTGACTTACCATCTGCAACTTGGTCCTCAGCTTGGTAGTTGCTGGGATGGCACCTGGCAGGGCAAGATGCTACCCCTCTACTCAGTTCCAGTCTCCAGGAAGTCATCTCACCTCTGTGAGCTCCAGGTCTCTCATCTGTAAGATGAGACTCGAATCTCAACTCCACCTGCACCCAAGGCTGTCGGGCAGACCAGATGAGAAAACAGATGGAAATATAGTGTGTAGACTGTTGCATGCTGGCGCTTTGCAGGGGTGACGGTGATGGCCACAGTGACTCAAATTCAAGATGAGAGTGCTCAGAGCAGAGATATTATTATGAGGCAGGAATTCCTAGATGCGTCAGGCTGAAAAGGACTCTGAATAGAGCACTCAAGTTGAACCAGCCCCTGCACGGCCCGTTTTACAGATGCTCAAACCAAGACCCAGAAAAGAAGCAGGATTTCCCCAAGGCCAACAGCTGGCAAGATGCAGAGCAGGGAATTGAATGGAGGACTCTGGTGGCCAGCTGGTCCAGGGCACCCTCCTCTCCTCCATAGTTGCTGCCAGGAGCACAGGCCACCTTCTATGCTGCTCCCCGACCCCCCACCTCACTTTTGCCCTTCACTTTGCCTTTCTGTCTGGCTTCACTCTCTCCTGCCTCCACCTTCAACCCACTTACACTCTGCACCCACCCACTCCCTCCATTCCCACCTAGTGAGTTGACTCTGATGTATTTATCTCGGAGAAGCTGCGTTGGCATGAGCCTCTGTTTGTAAGACACCCCACCTCTGTTTACTGGTGTTTATCCGGTTGGGTCCTGTCTACCCTTCTAGCCTGGAAGGCAGAACAGCTCATCCTGCCTCCTGGGTACCATCACCCATCCCCTGTGGGCTCAGACCTCTGCACACAGCAGGCACTGAGACAGCCACCAACCAACTGACAGGGCGCCCAGGCTTGCACAGGGCTCAGGGGCTCACATGGGTGGGGGATGAGAGGATCCCCCCACCAAGAGGAAAGGGACCTGTATTTCTGGAATTAACAATCATCAGGATATTAACAATCATCACCATTATATTCACAATAATTATAATGATAATCATAATAAAAATGTCAATTTCCATGTACTCCCATTTACTATATGCAGGGACTATACTAAGTGCTTTTCGTATATCATCATGGTTAAACCTTACAATAGCTCTGTGCCTTACAATAGCTCTGATGTGGTCATTGCTGCTCTGCTTTTTCAGATAAAATGATTCACAGAAGTCACATTTGTTGGAGATGGTTCATGGGTGATGCAGCCAGGATGCAAACACAAATCTGTTTGGCTCCAAATCCTCTGCTTTTACCCACTCTGTCTAATCACTGTATTGATTGCCACTTCTATGATCCATGTACAAGCAACAGTCATCCCCACCCAACACACTGCTGCAGAGGGGCCTGCTCATTCCACAGCCCCAGCTGACTTCTCCGCAGGGAAGTGGGTCCCAGCCATCTCACAGCAACCTACCAGGAAGCTCTGGACCCAGTCAACTGGCAGAACTGCTGCCCCAAACTCTGATGTGCAATTAGTGAGACCTAAGTTAATTCAGCCTTTTAGAGAGCAATTTGGCAAAGCTAGCCACAATTGAAAAATGTCACCCTCTTTGATGCAGCCGCTCCTCTTCCAGAAAGTAATCACCAGCAGGCACTCAGTCCACATAAGAGATGTTCTTTGCAGACGACCTATGGCCATGATGACAGAGACACCCAGATGTTCACTTATGGATGAGCTGTGTGTTCACCAGTGGGGGAATGGTGATATAAGCCCACATGCATCCACAGGCGGCTAGGAGGCAGCCATTAAAATGAATGAGGCAGACTTATATGAACTGAAGAGGGAAGACTTCCAAGACATATGGTAAGCAGAAAACAGCAAGCTGCAGAACACTATGTGAGGTGTGTATATAAAACGCCCAAAACAAATCCAAATGATATATGTGCGTAAATAAACGCCAAGAAAATGGACTGCAATGATACATACTCAGTTGTAAACAGTAGTTACCCCAGGGAGGGAATAGGCTTGAAAGGGCAGAGGTAAAGTCGAATTTTCACTGTTCACTCTGTGTACTTGTGTATTTTTTTTCTAATGAGAATGTGTTCATGATTCACTTGTGTAGTTAAAAAACAAATCCAACCCGGGCTCAGGTGGCTGTCAGTGGAGAGGAGGCAGGAGGTCACAAAGATGGATTTTGCTGAGGAGATGGTCCAGGGGTCAGCCTGAGCCCTTGGGAGACCCCTCTGGTGCGTCTCCTGTTGCTTCCCCAGGGCAGTTGCCTAATCCCCCTGCAGTGGTCCGTGGCACCCCGTGCTTAACGGGCCCACTGACATCCATGACCTTGTGTGGTCTGTGCAAGAGTCTTGCGAAGTTAAGAGGCCTGTTTTGTGGATGAGCTCATTCAAAATTGTAGCCAACAGGGTGGGAGCAGGGGGAGTCTGGGAGCACATAATCCCACAGAGGGGAAAAGGAGGTAAGTCTCAGGCATAATTAGGGGTGGTGGTCCCTGTAGGAGGAGAGAAAGGGGCAGACATGTGATGGAAGGTGGCGGAGGTTCGGGCTTAACAGAGGAACCCTCCACTGTGATCTGGATGGGGTGTCCTCCCCTGTCCCAAAGAGACCGCCTTCCTTGCTCCACTGTTTTACCAGCTTGAAGTCCCCCAGAGTCAGTCAGACAAGGTTTGAATCTGCCTCTTACCAGCTTCGCAGGCATAAGCAAGTCACTTTCCTTCCTGAGCCTCCATTTCCCCATCTGTAGAACAAGATCACAGAGGCCGGAAACAGTGGCTCATGCCCGTAATCCCAGCACTTTGGGAGGCTGAGGTGGGTGGATCACTTGAGCTCAGGAGTTCAAGACCAGCCTGGGCAACATGGTGAAACCCCGTCTCTACAAAAAATGTACAAAATGGGGCATGCCTGTAATCCCAGCTACTCAGGAGGCTGAGGCACGAGAATCCCTTGAACCTGGGAGGTGAATGTTGCAATGGGCCGAGATCGTGCCACTGCACTCCAGCTTGAATGACAGAGTAAGACTCTGTCTCAAAAGAAAAATCATAGAAACACCTCCCAGGGCTGTTGTGAGATCACAACAAACAATAATTATGAAGCATCATCACAACATCTGATGCACAGTCAGTGCTTGATAAATGGTGCTATTAATTATTCCTGAGTTGATCCCAGCTGACATGTGAGCAGGACAGGGTGGTGGCTTTTAAGAAAGGCTTCAAATCTGGCCCAACTCTAGACATTCTACTTTTCTTAACCTCCTAAAACAACAAATAGATTTCCCTTCATTTCCAAGAACAGGTTATCAGCTCCCTATTTAAACCCTCGTGGCTGGATGTGTTTTAGCTTTCAGAACTTTAGAAATCGAGATGTGCTGTAGAGAAACACATCCCTCCCCTACCAAGGTCTCATCAAACATTGTAATATTTTTGCAGCAAAACATGAATATTTACACCAAGGGGGATAATTACATGCAATAAATAGCTTCATGTCAGTTTAGCTCAGGTTTTGCTGCCAACTGAGTTACAAAAAGCTTTGGTTCTCAGAGCTTTGAGGGCTTTGGTATTGTGGGCTAGGGACTGTGGCTTTGCTTTGTAACTCCCTTATACCCTCAGACTGGTTTTCCCCTCCCAAAAGTACCTTTGCTACACTGCAGCAACTCCAAGAAGAAGGCATTTTATCGCCACTTTACAGATGAGGCTCAGAGAAGTGATGTGACTTACCTGAAGTCACACAGCCAGTGAGTGTCAGGGCCAGTACTGGTATCTGGGATCCTAAGTTTTTTTGAATGGCCATGAAAAATAGGGATCTGAGGCTGGAGGAGCTTCTGTCCCTCCCCCTGCTCTCCCACAAGCTAGTTGAACTTGGCTGTGTGCCAGCAGCCAGCAGGCCGTGTGCATACTGCCCATGGCTGGTCCAGGCTGCACTTCCTGCACACACAGTGCCAGACACTGGGCTCAGAAGTCTCCCTCTGCATCTGCAAGTTTCCGGGGATGGCAGTAATGAAGCTGTAACAGAGAAGGATTTTCATCCTACCCATGTGTTTTCACTTCAGCCATACAACCAAGATATTTCCTGGCATCTGGGTTCAATTGCAGGCAGACAGGGGTGCTGGTGGCGGTGGAGGAAGAGGAAGAAGACTGAAAGCCTAGGCTGAGGCTCCCCAGTCCCGCTGTGGATGTGTCCTCTCCCTGTCCTGTCACCGCAGACAAGACCAGGAGGAAAGCGACTTGGCCTGAGGCCAGCCAGATGATATGGATAACTGGGGTGGCGGGGGTGTAAATAAATAATTCAGGACATGGATCCAGGGTGAGTTCACTAGGCCACGCTGGTCTGTGTGGGATGGCTGTCTCAGGGGAGGGGTGCTTTTTCAGCAGAGGCAGCTGGATCCTGACCTGGAGTCTCCTGGGTAGACGGACTCCTTCCTGGAATGAACCCTCCTCTGAGCCTCTGAGCCACAGGAGGGTTGTCTTTGAGTCTCTTTCTAGAGGCTGGGCAGCCTGGCTCAGCCAGACCTTCACTCCCTGTGGGAAACTCCAGGAGGCTCAGACGCTGTGTTGAATGAATTGAAAGCACCTATGCTGCCCCAGAGGGCAGCTGAGCCTGGGCCCTGTGCCTGCCCTCTCCCCAGCACAGGGAGCGTAGCTGTTGGGCTGCCCACTAGCTACACAGACACTCGGGGTCAGGCCAGGCTCTCTCTGGGAGGACATATCTGGCTTGCTTTACTGTGTAGAATAGGAGCTGGTGACCCTGGCTGAGGTTCTTACCGGCCCAAGCACAGCCTGTCTTCTGCATTCTGGCCTGTGCCTACTCAGGGCCACTGACTTGTGCTCTGGTGATCAGGAGCTGATGGCGGCATGGTGGCTAAATGCATGGGCTACTCTGACCCAAGTTCCGGCCCTGATGGTGTCTTGCACTCCTGTATGACTTTGAAGTCATCCAATTCACTGTGCCTGAGTTTCCTATCTTCAAAATGGGAGTGGACCAGCACACACTCATAAGCATGTGGGAGTTAAATGGCTAATTTACAGTAAGTTTACTCTAATGTATAGATTATATAATAGTAGCTACTTCAGAGGAGCCAAAGCTGGAAGAGCTTCTGGAAATGAACTGGGCATTCCCCTCACCCTGAGGTGAGTCTCCTTGAGACCAGACAGGGGAAGCAAAGCAAACCTTGTTAGCAACAGAATGTGTAAGGTCTGGGCCTGCTCCCCAGGCCTGCCTCTTCTCCCTTACTCCCTAGGTTAAGTCTGCAGGCCCGGGTTTCACCATCCCACAGAGCAGTGTCTACTGACCATTCAGTGAATGCAAGCAAAGAAACAAACGACCCTCTCTGAAAAAGTGACACCATCTTTAAAAGAAAGTAGATGTATAGATGGATATTAGATGTGTCTGCATATGCTAAGTGAAAAGCCTAGAAGGAAATAAGCCCAATTCAACAGAGAAGGAATACTCAGGTTTTACTCTATGTTGTTTTGTCATGGTGAATCTTTCCCCCTGCTTGGGCCAGCTTTATAAGATAGATAGGTAGATATTAGAGGATACTAGTAGACAAATAACAGAAAGATAGATGATAGGTAATAGATAGATTGTTGATAGATAAATGATAGGTAATAGAAAGGCAGATGATAGATACATAATAGATAGATGAAGATAGATAGATAGATAGATAGATAGATAGATAGATAGATAGATAGATAGATAGGGGGCATACTTTGAGAAAGCATCCAGGGAGTTGGTCACAGAATGCCCAAGTTGCCAGCTTGGCCCAGCAGCTGCAAGCTAGGGTGTGGGCTTTTGCTCCAGACGGGCCTATGTCAGGGTAACTAGGATGAGAGAGGCAGAGAAGAGGGACACAATAGGCATGAGTCTGGGAGAGGGACAGCAATGCCCTTTGCTCAGCCTTTCCCCTCTGGGGGAAGAATGCCCATCTTTACTCTCCAGGGCCTTTAGGACAATGTGATCTGGTGCCCTGGTCTCTGGCTTCGAGCCTGTTGGATGTATTTGCAGGGCTGACTTAACCTGTCCACTGATGGATTCAGGGGTCACACGTTCCCATAACAGGTTTTGGAAGGCACAGCTAGACCCTGAGGAGCCTGGTGAGGGGTTTACTCTCCCTTGTCATCCTGCTTTTGACTTCCAAGCCCCATCATATGACTCGGCTCTTCTCTCTTGGGGTAGGATGGAGTATGTGTATGTGGGCAAGTTATTGGGTGCTGAGAATGGAATCATTCCAGTGTCAGCAAGACATGCCTCAGAGCAAAATGTAATTGTATTCCTAGGATCCAAGCTTAGGAGAAGGATTCTGAAGCATCAGCTAAGCCAACCCAACAAGCCATTGGTGTTACTCTGCCCATAGTTGAATGCCTCCTTTGGCTGGATTCTCACCTCTACCTGAAGTGGCCTGTTCTGTGCTGATTTGATCAAGGTCTTCCACTTTCCTAGAAATGACTCTCCTTTGCTAGGAAAGGACAAGTGAGTCCAAGGTATTGGGCATACCATGAACCCCAGACTTTTTCAACATGGTGCAGCTTGCCAATGGCCTGAGAGGAAAAGGCCAGGTCTAGGTACCACCCAATGGTGTGGTTTAGAAGTCCTCTAAAGTCATCTGCTCAAAGGCACGTCCCTACTCAATGTCATGGGATCTGATGTTTCCCCCCACTGGAAAGGGTCCCCTCTGGTTTGTGATCTGTGTTTTTATTTTATTTAGCTGTCTTCTGAAACTAAAAAGTTAAAATTGAGCTATAATTTACATATCACACCATTCACTCATTTAAAGTGTATAATTCAATGGTATTTACTGTATTCACAGAGTTATGAAATCATCACCGTGATTAGCTTTAAAATACTTTCATCACCCCAGAAAGAAACCCTATACCCTATTGCCCCCAGCCCACTACCCACCTGTCCTCGCCCCCCGGTCTTGGCAGTCCCTAACCTACTTTGTGTTTCTATATATTTGCCAATTCTGGACCTTTTATATAAATCACATTATACAATATGTGGTCTTTCATGACTGGCTTCTTTCACACAGCATAATGTCTTCAAAGTTCATCCATGTTGTAGCAGATATTAACTCTTCATTCTTCTCCATTGCCAAATAATATATTGTATAATAAGCCACATTTTGTTTATCCATTCATCAATTGATGGGCATTTGGGTTGTTTCCACTTTGGGGCTGTGACAAATAATGCTGCTTTATATATTTTTGTACAAGTTTTGTGTGGACCTATGTTTTCATTTCTCTTTGGTATATCCCCAGGAGTGGAATTGCTGGATCATGTATTAACTCTGTGTTTAACCCTTTGAGTGTTTTCCAGACTGTTTTCAAAAATGGCCTCATCATTTCACATACCCACCAGAAGTGTATGGGAGGGTTCCAATTTCTCCACATCCTGGCTAATACTCGTTATTATCTGTCTTTTTGATGATAGCCATCCTGGTGGGTGTGAAGTGGTAACATATTGTGATTTTGATTTGCATTTTCTCGAAGGCCAACGATATTGAGCACCTTTTTATGTACTTGTTGGCTGTTTGTGTAGTTTTTTTTTTCCTGAGAAGTGTTCAGATCTTTTAGGGCTTTTTTAATTTTTGAGTTGTAATGGTTATTTTATAGTCTAGATACAATCTAGACTATGTAATATATATTATATTATACAATATAATCATATATCTTTATCAGATGTATGATTTACAAACAATTTCTCCCATACTGTGGGTTGTCTTTTTATTTTCTTGATGATGTTCTTTGAAGCGCAAATTTTTTAACTTTGATAAAGTCCAATTTATCTGGTTTTTTTTTCTTTTATTGCTTATGCTTTTGGAGTCACATCTAAGAAACCATTGTCTAATCCAAGGTTGCAAAGATTTACACCTATGTTTTCCTCTAGGAATTTATAGTTTTAGTTCTTTAGGTCTTTGATTCATTGAGTCAATTTCTGCATCTGGTGTGGGTTCGGGGTTCAACATTATTTATTTGCATGTAGATAACCAGTTGCCTGTCTTTTGATGAACATTCTTAGTTTTAATGTGCTTGACTTAATCTGTCTTTTATCTTAACATTAGTACTTTTAAGGCCTTATTTTAAAATTCATTCCATACTCTTCAAGATCAGAAAGATATTCACTTATATTTTTATTTAAAAATGCAAATTTTTATTTTTGACATTTAACTTTTTAAGCCACTTGGAGTAGTTTTGTTTACTGTGTAAGGTAGAAATTACATTTTATTCCCCTTCCCTACTCATGAATCTTAGTTATTCCTGCATCATTTAGAGAAAATGCTATACTTTCCCCACTGTTCTGCCATACCACCTGTATCATGGATCAGAAAGGGCTTTGGATGCAGGTTCAAACTCTGCCTTTTCCACTCCAGTGTGTGACTGTTGGCAAGTCTTTTAACCTCTCTGAGCCTCAGCTTTTCCCTCCTGTAGATAGAAGTAATATTCTCTGCTTATCTGCTTCATTGGGTTGTTTGAAACTAAAGTTATTAAGTTTTTTTGTTTTTGTTTTTGTTTTTTGAGACAGAGTCTTGCTCTGTCACCCAAGCTGGAATGCAGTGGCATGATCTCGGCTCACTTCAACCTCTGCCTCCTGGTTTCTCCTGCCTCAGCCTCCTGAGTAACCAAGATTACAGGTGCACACCACCATGCCCAGCTAATTTTTGTATTTTTAGTAGAGATGGGATTTCACCATGTTGGCCAGGCTGGTCTTGAACTCCTGGCCTCAAGTGATTCACCCTCCTCGGCCTCCCAAAGTGCTGGGATTACAGGCGTGAGCCATTGCACCTGGCCAAGAAGTCTTATAAAGCAAAACATCATGATGACGATGACAATGACAACAAAGATGATTGAGAGTGGTCAGGCGTGAAGGTTTCATCCATTGTCGGCCTTCAGGAGGAGTGACTGTTTCAGGTGAGTTTCTAGTGAATCAGAAAAAAACCTGAAGGATTGTGCAGACTGAGGGAAGGAAGATCTACAGAGGGGAAGTCCCAGAGCGCACATGCTACTGTGAACAAAGGAGGCTGGGGTGGGGAGTCCTGGGTAACTAGGGACAAAGGGGCCCTGGTGTCTAGGATGGGACCCCTGAAGTGGGCAAGAATACCCACCTTGAATCTTTAGGTGGGCCATACAGGGGGTAAGAGTCCAGGCCAGCTCACCCAAACCTGGAAGGAGTCCACAGACTAGCTGGGCAGTCCTCCACTTTCCAAGGGCCGAGCCTACCCTGGGTTCTCTTGCCAGCTCTTGAACGATGATTGGTTCATCCAGACTGCCCCACTCTGTACTGTGGGAAGTTTTTACTGAAGCTGGGCTCTCCCACCAGCCAGGGAGCTTCCTGAGGGCAGGAAGCATAAGGCTCAGCACACAGTGAGAACTCTGATGAGTAAAGGAAAGAATGAATGAATGAATGAAGAGCTGGTCTGAGCCACATGGCATGGGGACCAGGCTGACTCCGCCTCACGTGGCTGCAGCACAATTGCGTCCTGGGTCAGAGGGAGGCTTTGCTTCTTCCGGTAACACGAGCCTTCTGCAGCACTTCTCCCCCGCCATTCCAATGGCACTGCCTTTCTCCCAAAGCCTGTGTCCATCCTCCCTGACTCTCTCCTGGAATCACTCTTTCTCTCGCCTGCTCTCTGAAACAGTCTTCTCTCCTTCATGCTTCTCATCCAGAATCTCAGACTCCCTCCTTTCTCCAGAAGCATCCAGCTCTCCCATTATCTCCCTCCTCCTCCCTCCCAGAATTCTTCCGAATTGACCCTTCACTCGTCATCTATATACTCAGTTGTGAGTTTGGCCATGAACCAGATCCTTCTATTTCCCTCTTTCTGCTGGGGTGGGGGTGTCATTTGCTCATTGATCTTTTCTTCACAGGGAGAAGAAAGGCCTAAAAACCTCCTCCAATTCCCCACCTGAACCCTTCTCTCGCACTAAGTCAAAACCCCAGAAATCTTCACAGTATACTGTTTCCAGATAAATCTTAGCAGCCCCCACATGAGGCCAGCATTCCAAACTGTGAAGAACAATTTTCATCCTCATGAGCCACAAACCCACCCCCATTGCACCCACCACACACGCCACACAGACAGAGCCAAGGGATGGTGCGGCCCAGGATACACCCCGTCCTCTGACTGCTGGAAACTGAGAAGGGTGAAGTGGAAAAGATGGGGGAGACTGGAGGTGATGGAATCAGGGAGGGCGGGAAAGAGAAACAGAAACACATTGTGGTCCAAACTTGCAAATAGCAAAACCATGGCCAAAGCTGCCTGTCTTCACTCTGTCTGCCTTCCTTTGGCTCCCGGGCTAGGTTGGCTCTATGCACAGATTTTCCTCACACGATAGTAAGTCCTGAAGGAGTTCTCTTTTCCTCATGGAGCCTGGACTGCTAGGTGCTGCAAAGTTCTTTTCCATGTCCACAACTTCCTGCTCTGGTCTTCGTGTTTATAGATGTACCCCAAATGTAGAAACACAATGAACAGAAATGTGCTTTTGTGTTATTGTTCATCTAGAGGCTGGTTCTAAATACAAAACCTAGAGATCTGCCTTCTATAGGATATTCCTTGAGCCCCCCTCTCCCTTCCTGCCTGCAGCCACACATCCCTTTATGAGCTCTGTCTGCAGAGCTGCTCCCCTGCCCCATCACCTGTGCTGCCTGTGGACCCACTGCCTGACTGCTAATTTGACACCTCCACCTGACTTTGCTTAGAGAAACTTGGATGACATCTATGGAGGCAGCAGCTCTCAGCGTGCCCTGAAATGCAACCCACACAGCCAAGAAACGCAGCGATGTCTGCTGCTGTAGGAAACTGAGAAAAAGAGGTTTATGAGCCTAGTGTTCTGCTCAATTAAGCTGTCACTGGATGTTTTGAAACTCTGGGCCAAACACACTTGTAATCGCTTTGTGTTTATGCTTGGAAATCTATTTTGAATATTACCATTATCACCTTGGAAAATATTTTCTCTTAAAATATGCAATTTAGCTATTTTTTTTTAAAGTCATTTCATTACATCTTACATTTTGGAGGTCAAAATTTCCCCTCCAGAGGAATCTGGAGTGGCATCCAGATGAATGAATGAATGAAAGTGAATGAAAAATTAGGATTCAATATGCAGAAACTTATCTTAAAGTTCATTTCCCTTCCTGCTAAAGTCTGTTGCGATCTTCCCTCCACCTCATCAATCTCCAGGCCCTTTGGCATTTAGGGTCACTGCCAGTTGCTTTCTGTAGCTCTCACAGACAGCCGTGAAATCCCGAGCTTGACTCCTGAGAGAAAAAAGGCCTGGGGCAGACCTCAGAGTTCACAGTACTTTAAATACAGCCATATTCCCAAAACACAGATGTGAGAGCCTGGAATTATCGGGCTCAGGGCTGGAAGAGTCCTAGAAGCTCATCCACCTCTAAATAGACAATAATTTGTCTTCCAGAACATCCATCTTTCTATCCTCTTTTTAAAAGTGTTGCAGGTGTAAAAACTCCATGGGTACCTGTTCTAGAGTTTGTGGGTGAGGAGTCCTCCTCTACAACTTACTGCAACCTCACCAGCTTTAGCCTCCTGACCAGGGTTGCCAGACTTAGTCAAAACAAAAAATAACTTGATGCCAGTTCAATTTTAATTTCAGATGGACAACAGTTTGGCAATCCTACACATGACTGTGTCTCAAGCTGATGCTGGCTGGCCACAGATTGTGAGATCATAACCTGTGCCCATCTCAGGACGAGCCTTGAAGATGTCCCCCTGTCCCACAGGAGAGGAGGTGTTTAGGATATCACCTCCCAGCCTGGAGCACAGTCCACACTGGGATCAGTAGTTGAATCCAGTGTGAAAGATCAGGATGACTAATTGCCATCACCTGTCAGGAGGGGACGGGAGAGGGTGTCTCCACAAACAGGCGGTCCCAGCAGCCGGAATGGAACATGAGGCTCTCCTTGCCTGCACTGGCGAGGATGCCACGCAGAATGCGCTGACAGGCCTTCGAAAGCCAGAGCAGAGGCTGCCAAGATGGGGCCAGGCAGGAAGCAGGGAGGGACAGACCCCACAGAGGGAGACGAGAGGAGGTCAAGGAGGCGGGGAAAGAAGCAGAGAGGAGGGGGCAGGACCAGAGCAGACACAGACTTGGGGAGCTTGGTGAGTGTGAGGAATTTCTGAGGCAGTGTGTGGACGCTGCATGTGAGATGGTCAAAGTGGACTGCAGAACTGGTGGGCTTCCCACAGAAAGAATGGATCACCTACGGCAGGATGAGGCAGAACTGGGTAGGTTGGAGTCCTACACTTAGGAAATCAGTGTCCAAACCAATGATGGCCGGCTGACGGCCCTCTTCCCTTCCAGTCTGTCTGGAACAGGTTCATGGGAGAGGTGCGCTGGCCCTTCCCCAGCCAGTGAATGCAGAGGGTCTAACGAGGTGCACAGCATGGAGGGTGCCCCCCGACCCCCCGACCCCCGACCAGAAAGGCAGGGAGGCTGTCTGCAGACCAGGGGGGGCCAAAGAGGCCCAAAAGGGAGAAGTTCTCCTTTTTTTTTTCTTTAGCACTTTTTATGTTTTGGCCACTGAATGAGTCAGGATTCCCAACTGCCAATGAAAGAAACTCATTCCCAACTGGCTGACACCATGAGGAGAATTCACTGGCTTTGAGAGGCTGAAAAGTCTGGGAGTAGAGGTTGCTTTAGGTCCATCTAGATGGAGAGGCCCAGGCAAGGTCCGAGCCTCCCACTCCCTCGTCTCCTGCACCCCGTTTGTAGCAAGCCTGCTCTCCAAATGATAGCTTCCGAGGCTCCAAGCTCATCCGTCAACTCAGCAGCCCCAGTAGCAGTGCCGGCAGCAGTCCCATGACTCAGTCTTGTCTGTCTGATTTGTTTAGTGTGCTCCTCAGGTCGGAAGGGTAGAGAATGCTGATTTGCCAAGCATGGGCCGAGTATGTGACTCTGGGGAATGGAGGGGTGGGGGGCCAGCCACAGCCACTTCAGGGACTGACTTTGAGAGAAGTGGTTCCCCAAAGGAAAACTGGGGACCATGAGCAGAAAAGGAGAACGGGAAAGAACGGATGCTGGTCAGGTGAAAACGCTGATGTCCAAGACAGTAGACTTTTACATCACAGCTGATTTCATCTGATCCTTGCAGTGAGGGGTGTTGGGTGGAGAATATTAAGTTATTTTACAGAAAGGTAAACAGAGGCTTAGAGATGTTGTGACTTGTCTAATGTCACAGAGTGTGGTGGAGGCACAGTAGGCATAGAACTCAGGTTACTGGGTCCTGAGCCAGCCTCAGCAGATGCCCTCCTACTGGAAACACAGGGCCTGGTTCCTGTTAGCCAAGGGCTTTACCAGCCAGCGCCAGGCCACACCCAGCCACTCTGAGAAGACCAAGAAAGAAAGAGAGTTGCTTCAGGGTGAGCCAAGTATGTGGAATGGGGTAAGGAGAGGGAGCTGCAGGCCTCACAGAACAGTGAGGAACTTCAGCCAAGTGTTCACCATAGCAAGAGTGTTTAGCAGGAGCTGCAAATGAACAGGACTCACCTAACTGGGGACCCAGGAGCAGGGCTGGGTAAATAAGCAGCTCCCACGTGGAAACGGGGCAGGAAGAGCTTCTGTAACCCCTGCACCCTTCAGGGCATGTGTGAGGCCTGGAGCCCAATAACCAGGGAAGCAGCTTGAAGCCACTTCGGGCCTCAGGTGCCTGGGGCTCTGTCCCCAGAGGATTGCATGGCCCTGTGCAAGCCATACGCATGCCTAGGCCTCAGTCTTCCCATCTGTGAAATGAAGCACACAGACCAAATCAGTGTCTTTCCTTTTTTTGGTGGGATGGGGCGTGCTGCAATTCACAGTGAGAAACACCTTCGCCACTGACTGGGTACAAACATAGATACACAAATTTCACAAAATGATATGGACCTTGACTATATGCAGTACATTCTGATATTTTCTAGTTTATTAATTTCATTTTTTAAAGCTGGTTTCTATCCATCCATTCCTGGAAATCCACACCAGATTCATTGATTTCCAAGGACCTTCTTAGATGTTAAATCTTTCCGGCAGGACCTTGGGCTTGGGATAGCAGTTAGGTGCTGTGGTCATAAGGAGGAAGCGACAGAAGTGGGCTTTGGAGGGGCTGATCCCCAAGAACTCCACTACCCTCTGGTTCTCTCATTTCCCTTTCCAGCTTTCCCAGGAAGCGCTGCCCTATGGGCTGGCAGCTACTCTGAGAGCCTCCATGCTGTGTGCACTTGGGCAATCCCCTTCCCTGAACCTCTGTTTCCTGACCTGTAAGATGGGGTAATAGGAAGCACAAGGCTGGATTGTGGCAATGAGCGGACTGCACTGTGCTTTGTCTGGCATGGATCTCCCCACATCCAGGTGGCCCCAGTGACTCCAAGTGCCCCAGGGAGCTCTTTCATGGCTCTGCTGAGCCTGTGCAGCCAGTGCCCCATCAATCCCGGCCACCCCTTGCACCCCTGGCCACCCCTTGCACCCCTGAGTGCCTTGTAAGCAGTTTTAAGGACACCAGCTGCATTTGTGGGTAGTTGACAGGTGGTTTAATCAGAGACTGCAGTTTCTGTTTGAAGAACAAGGGAAAATCCCAGAAGGAGGCCTGAGAATTTGCAAGGAAATACTGGCGGGCTGACTTTCTGTCTGTCAAAGACAGTCCCGAAAGGACTGCTCAGCCTTGCATGATTGGCTCCCAACTTTTTTCGTAGAGCCAAGAGTCATTCAGGCAATTTCCTCCTTCCTCTCCAGGCTCCCCTACCCAGTTGAACTTTTTGGAGTACCAAGTCTTTGCTTCTGCAGTGTTGGGCTCTGTTGGGATTGGGCCAAATCTGGGGATGCCAAAGCCAGTCACTGACAGAACTTTTAGAAACTGACTTTTAGTTACCCAAGTGATACATGAATACAGCCTCCCTTTTAAAAATGAAAGAATCGCTGATAAAACCAAAGGCCCTTTGAGCACCACACGCAAGCCCTTTCCCCACTCCCACCTCTTCACTGCCACCGCCTCCTTCTGTGATAACCTTTGTATGTACTTGATAAAAAAAATAGGTAATGTTGTACACATGGGTGTGTTTTCTTTTCCACATAAATTGTATCTGTGGCAGACACTATCCCTTACCCACCCAACAGCCAGGGCACCCTTTTCTTCCATGCTAACAGAAACTGATATTCAAGTAGTGGGCAGAACTCTCTTGCTATAGGGAAGGGTAGGTCCCTCTTCTAATTTCTAGAGAATGAATCACGACTGATGTAAATGAATTTTGATAATCTCCCCCCTTTAACAGAATGGTCCAAAGGTTGGCTGATGACCCAGTTCTTGCTAATGAGATGTAAGGAGAATTCTCTGGGAAGGGCTTCCCTCACCCAAGACCTAAAGCTTTGTAAAGAGAAAACCCTGGGCCGGGCGTGGTGGCTCACGCCTGTAATCCCAACACTTTGGGAGGCCAAGGCAGCTGGATCACGAGGTCAGGAGATGGAGACCATCTTGGCTAACATGGTGAAACTCCGTCTCTACTAAAAATACAAAAAATTAGCTGGGTGTGGTGGCGGGCGCCTGTAGTCCCAGCTACTTGGGAGGCTGAGGCAGGAGAATCACTTGAACCTGGGAGGCGGAGGTTGCAGTGAGCTGAGATCATGCCACTGCACTCCAGCCTGGGCAACAGAGCGAGACTCCACCTCAAAAAAAAAAAAAAGAGAGAAAACCCTTTCACTTTACCCTTCTTCCGCATTGGATACAAATGTGATGTCTGAAGTTGCAGTAGCCATTTCACGACTATGTAGCAATGAGCACAAGAGAAAAGCCAGAGAATCACAGATATATGAGAGAGCCGCTGACCCAAATTTAGCCATTGCTACTTCTGGACTCCATGTTATTTGAGAAAAATAAATGCCTCTTCGTTTATGCTATAGTAGGTTGGCTGTTTAGTTACTTAAAGTACAAAGGAATCCTGACTTGGGATTATATTACATCTACTTATACAGTAGTCACCCCTTAGCCAGGGGGATCCTCTCCAAGACCCCCAGTGGATGCCTGAAACCATGTCAAATCCTAGATATACTATGTTTTTTTCCTATAACACATACCTATGATAAAGCTTAATGTATAAATTAGATACAGTGAGAGATTGCTAACAACAAAATTAGTAATAAAATAGAACAATTATGACAGCATACTACAGTAAAAGTTATGTGAATGTATTCTCTCTCTCTTCCTCAAAATATCTTATGGTACTGTACTCACCTATTTTCACACTGTAATTGACCATGAGTAGTTGAAACTGCAGAAAGTGAAACCACAGAGAAGAGGGGAATGACTGTATTTTTTTCCCACTCAACAGTGATTTTGAGATCTATCTATGTAGGTACAAAAGGATCATCTTTTAACTAGTGAATCGTGTTCCATTGTGGAATAGGTCACATTTCAGCTAGCTATTTCCTCCTGGGAATATTTCGCTTTCCATTTTTATTTTACCATCAATATTGTAATGAAAACCCCATACACGTGCTAGTGTTTCTTCAGGGTAGGTACCTAGAATAGGTTCCGAGAAGTGTGATTGCTGGGTCATGGGCTATGCCCATTTTCAGGTTTAATAGATTACAGCAAAGTTGCCATAGGAAGTGACTGTACCAATTTATACTTCCGCTCACAGGTGTGTGGGTCCCTACCCCACACCCTTGTCTACTTTTCTTTGACCACAATTAAGTTTGCTCTTTTGCCGATCTGATGAAAATTACTATTGCATTTAAATTTCCCTGGTTACTAATGAGGGAGAGCTTGCTTCTGTGTATGTGTTGATCATTTGTGTTTCTTCATGTTATCTGCTCAGAGCATTTGCCTGCTTTTTTATTGTGTCATTTGTCCTTTATTGACTTATGATTCCATATCGATTGTGGATCTGGTCCTTTTTCTGTATGAGTTTCGAGGCTCTTTTCTCAGCATGTTACTTGGCTTCCAATCCTAGCCCTGCAGCAGTGATCCCTGCTTACTCTAGGTGTGTCCCAGGACATGGAGCACATAAATAGCAGAGCAAAGACTCACAGCCAGGTCATCAAACATCAAGTTTCATTCTCTTTCTTTGATGTTCTGCTGCCTCCCCGGTGTTCAGTTATAACGTAATCAAGTACCCCCATTTTTCTAAGAGATAGTTTAATTATTTTTTCCTCTCTCTTCTTTTTTCTTTCCTCCTTTCTCCCACTTCTTACTCTGTCCTTTAGAAATGCAATGACAGCCTTTTACCTCCTCTTCACCAGACATTCCTTACAGGGCAAGTTCATCTAACTATGTGCTTAGAAGCTCCAGAGCCCAACTCTCACCCACCAGGAGGTTGCCTCAAGAGATAACAGTTGAGTTACAACCCAAAGTATGCCCGCTGAAGTTTTGAGCCACTTTTACAACTTACTTGCACCCATGAAGACACCAGCTTGACTGCCTGGTAGATAAGGCACTGATGTGGGCATGCAGACCCCATGCCTGCTCACTTCTGCCCCTGCGTCGCACCCCCGCCCCATCTTGGAAGCAGAGAGCACACCCCTCACCAGACACTGAATCTACTCGTAGCTTGATCTCAGACTTCCAGCCTCCACAACTGTAAGCCATACATTTCTGTCATTTATAAATTACCCAGTCTGTGGTATTTTGTTATAACAGCTCAAACGCACAAAGACGGGCATTAAAAGAGTCAGTATTTCCAGAGATGACCTTGGATTCCCCAGGGAAGGAGGAAAAGGCATCAAAGCTCATGTTTTGAGGGGCTCCTGTCTCTCTAGGATCACAAGGATCTGGAAAGTGTCCTCATTATCCAACTCCCATGACCCATTGAAGGTGGCTGCTTCATTCGTTTCCAGGAGTCTCTGGTGGCAGCTCTCGGGGCAGTGGTTCCTAATGTGCACTCTTCCTGCCTCCCCAGGAAGAGGAAGAAAGCCCAATCTCAGGCAGGGCCCCTGAGAGATTTTAGGGGTCTCTCAGAGGCCCTGCATGACAGTGGGCTTTGGTCTCCACAGTCTCAGGTTCCACAAACACCCTTCTCTTCCCAGCCTGGGGATGAAGGAGGGGGGCCTCTCCAAATATGTTCCTCAACAAGTGCTCCCACCTTTTGCTCTGTTCTCCCCCGAGTCCCACCACGCTTCCCACCCCACAAGACAATCAGCACAATGACCCATTAAGAGCCTGGGCTTTGCAAATAAAAGCCCCAAAACTTGTCTTGCGGGTAGCCAATACCTTCTGCTTTGGGTGCTGCCACCCGTTGCTGCCCATTAGGCCCCCTCAATGGCTTTTCCTCCTTGGCTCTGTTCTCAGTCCCCTCTGACAAGATTAGGGCCAAGGCTCCAGCATTCACAGCTCTGGAAACCCTCCATGCCATCTGCCCTCGGCCTCAGCTCTGCTATGTGCCCTTGGTGGGCTCACTGACCTTTCTCAATCTCTAGCCTTCCCCTCTGGAAAGTGAGGTTTCTGGTCTTCACCACCCAGGAGGGGCCACCCTCCCTTGGCGGCCAAATATCTGGAAATGGAAGCCTTGGAACAAGAGCCTGCAGGGTGAACTGCTACTCCTGAGCCCACCATGCTGCTTCTGTGCAGTGGGAGTTTTCTAGGTTAGCCTGACACCTAGGGCCATCAGCGGCCTGGTGTCTGCTCCTGGATCAGACCTTAGTTCTTAGTCCTTCCTCTGACCCCCTCCCTTTCTTGATGTCCCAAGGATGCTGGAGTCTCTACAGTAGCTCCTGGCCTGACTCTCAGCCTCAGAAGAGGGCCAGGTTGGAAGCCTCCCAGCCCTCTCCTGCAGGAAATCCTCCCACTGTCGCCCTCTGCTGTTGGGCCTGGCTGGCTTCAAATCCCCTCACGCTGCAGCCTGACAACGTCTTCAGCCTCATCTCTGTGGTGAAGCTCATATACCAGCCACACCAAACCTTCCCCCATTGTCAAGACATGCCATCTTTCTCCACATCTCCATGTCTTTTTAAGGCTGTTTCCTCTTCCCCAAATATCCTTCCAACCTACTGTGTCTACCTGGCAAGCTCCTACTCACCCTTCAGTACCTCAGTCCCCTTGAGATCCTAAGGTTATGGCTGGGCTTAGTGTTAAAGTGTACTGTGGCTGATTAGTGATGTCTGCCATGGTGGCAGGAGTGGGGAGGGATAATACAGGACGATGGAGTGGTCATCCTTGTACCAAAGCGTGCCCAACCCCAGTTAGTCTCTCTTTCCTCAGTTCTCCAGATCTGTGTGTGGAATCACAGCCCCAGCCACATTGTATTTTACTATTTGCTGATCTATATGTAGACTTTAAGCTCAAGGGCAGAGGTGGTGACATGCTCATGTTTGTACCCCATTGGCACAATAAATCTCAATACATGTTTATAGAAAGAAAGAGAAAGAAATACATAATTTTCCAAAACCTTCGTGAAGTGGGTAATATTTTCCCCAGTTTCTGAAGGGGGAGAGTGAGTCTCGTGGATTAAGCCATGTGTCTAAGCTCCTACAACTTGAGGGTGGTAGGGACAAGATTTGGGTCTGGGCAGCCCTGACGCCAGAGCCTAGACACTTGTGCAGAGTGCCCTATTACTCCTACAGGGCAGCCTTCTGTAGACTTCAGGCCCATGCCATCTCCAGGTTTCTATTCAGATGGCAGACATGATGAATGTGCAGCTGGTCTTGAAAGGCTGTGTGACCCAAGATGAGTCACTTAACCTCTCTGGGCCAGCTTCCACATAGGCAGAGCAGCAGTAACAGTCTTTCATGGCCTTTCTCATAGGGCCTTATATGCTTCACATCAGCTACAGGATGGGAGAGGGCTTTAAAGTCTGCAGAGCTAGATTCCTATGTGAGATTCTAGTTCATAAACACATAGAGCAGAGGCCCCACCAAGCCCATACTCCATTTCCCCTCGGGGGAAGCCACCTCCTCTGTCCTCATCTGTCTGCCTTGGAAAGAAGCAGGCCAGTGGAGCCTAGCCAGTGGAGGCTGGCGAGCAGCCTCCCTCCCCAGCCTCCTTTCCCTCCATTAATGCACAGGTGTTGTCACATTGTGGGAGCAGCCTCAGGTCCCAGACACCCCAGAGGTTTCCACAGTCAGCCTGAATCCCTGGTTATCTAGCAAGTGAGTGAGAAGGGAGAAGGTGCCAAACAGACATGCTCCACCTTGTTAAGGCCAAGAAGGAAGGAAAGATGCTTGAACGAGGCCTGGGGTGCGGGTGGGGTGTATTTGACTGCAGTTATCTGCACCAGGGGCCTTGGATCTGCCTTCTGAAGAGTTGTCTGTTTGTAGGCTGGGCTGACTTATTCCAGAAAGGAGCAAGCAGACATGGCCGCCTGCCCTGGTAGGTGACTGCCCAGCTGGGCAGGGATATGAAGATGCATTCATTTATCTAACAAGGATTTAAGAATAGGCAGTGGGTGCCAGGCTGTGTGTTGGGCACTGGGGACAGACATAGTCTTTGCACATAAACTGCTCCTGGCCCTTTGGCTTAATTCTCAAGGATATTTGAAGAAGGAAGCACCCTCCTGCCCTATCAGCTGCTCTCCATGCTTATAGGCTTAGGGAAAAACTCTGCACTTGGACCTGATTTTAGAGCATGTTTCCCTCACCCAATTACAATCTTGTTTTTATTCTCTGTGCAACCCTGTGAGGAAGGCATAATGGGGGCTAGTCCCCACTTGGTAGTTGTTGGAAACACTGGAGTGCTGGGTTCAAAGAGATCCTGAGGTCATGTCTGGGCTCAGTGTTAAAGCATGCTGTGGTTGATTAGTGATGTCTGCAATGGCAGCAGGAGTGGGGAGGGATAATACAGGTGCAATGGAGTGCTTATCCCTGTACCTCCTCAAAGGCATAGGTTGAGTCTTGTTCACTAATGTACCCACGATGCCTGGCATGGCACCTGGTACAAAGTAGTTGCTCAGTAACTATGCATTATATATAAAAGAACAAAGAACAGTGAGAATGCTGAGACCTAGAAGTGAGGAGTGCAACCTATCCAAGGACACATGGTGAATCCAGGTCTCCTAACTACCCACCCTCTGCTGTCTTGTCAAAGCCCATACTCTCCCCACCCCTGTACTTCCATCTCAGAGCAATGACTCAAAGCCTCCATCATTCATTTGAAACATGCCTTTGAAAACCAAAGTTGCAGGTGGCCCAGGCTATGAAAGAATCTGGCTGGGAGAGAGGGTCATGATGCCATCCCCTTTCAGGGGTGGGTACTGGGATTCCATGTCGGCTCTGCTCTGGGCCAGAGTGAGACAAGAGACCTCAGAGTGGCCTCCCCAGCCCCTGAGCTCAGCATTCAGAAGGACTAGAGAAGGTAATGTCATTCTCCTGGGTGTGCGTGTGGCGGTGGAGGTGGGTGCATGGCTAGGGGAGAGACAGTTCTGGGGGCACCACTGGCCCCTAGGCAGGAAGGAGCCAGATCCTCTCCTTGCACAGATCACCAATCACCAACAAATATCTCAGGTTGCATCCAGGCCCAGATCTGGCCCAAACAATCCCAAAACAGAAAGTTCAAGGATTTCTAATAAGAATCCTTCCCAGCAGCCAAGGGTAGAGCTATTTCCATCCCCCAATATCGTGCTAATGAGCATCTCTTGATAGGATTCTTTACTCTAGTCAAAGTGCTGTCATAACCACACTCTGAGCTCAAAGGGAATCACAGGATGTCAATGCTTGCTTAAAGGGGCCTTAGAGATCCTTGGAAACTGAGGCCCACAGAGGGAAAGTGACTCGCCCAAGGTCACACAGAGGTGGACAGAGCTGGGCTGATTCCCGGCAGAGGCCCTTTGCTCTCTTCACAGAAGTGGCCAGATGACAGTGCTGCAGGATTCAGGCCTCTCCCAGAAGGTGGGAACAACAGGGATGTGTAACCAGAAGGGGAGGAGGTGGGGGAAGAGTCTTGGGCTGGGGCTCCAGGGTACTCAAGCATTTAATCCCAGGGTAATGCATTGATGGCTGCCCCCATCTGCCCTAGGTCCTGTCTATGCCACCCACAAACGATTCCTTATTCATTTATTTATTTTTAAATATTTTAGGGTTTGTTTTCCATTCTTTGTGTTTACAAGGAAAGCTACATAAACAATCCCAGAAAGAGGCCACCAGCTCTGACCAGCTGCTTGGGTTCAAGGTCGAAGTCAATATTTTTGGGAAATGGGTCTCTTCTCCTCCCCTTCCCCTCCCCATCTGGCCTAGTGGAGACCCTGTTGTTTAGCATATCGCCAGGGCAGGAAGAACGGGGCAGGCGCTGAGTGGTGTGCTTTACATGCACTGTGCTTCCTTGTCCCCAGAATAACCCAAGACCCCCGTTTTGCCTATGAGGAAACTCACTTGCTTGAGGCCACATGGCCAGTCACTCAAACCCAGGAAGTTTCAGTCCTTGCTACTGTACTAAAGGGGCCTCCAAAAATGGAGGTGGACTGCAGGCTGTAGGAGGAGACTGTGATGTGGGGGAGGAGTGGGAAGGGCAGGGCAGACGCTTCCTTTTAAGGAAGGGTCTGCCAGCCGGAAACCCCCACACCCCGCCTGCCCATGCTGCTGGGGAATACTGTGCAGTGTGTATATGCATTCAGACAAGCGCACACATGCACACACATGTAAACACACAAATTCCTCATAGGCACCTGCATGTGCTCACTCACACATAAATGGACCCCACTGTAACAATGCGAGAGGTGTCCTGCCAGGCCAAGTCCTCAGGATGCATTCTTCATCTGGAGACTTGAGCTGGGACCAGCTCAGTTGCAGCCCCTGGATGCTGGCCAGGTTTCCTTGAAGCCTCAGCCTGATTCCTCTGCCCCCAGTTTGGTTCTGGGTGGGAAGCGGCACTCATGTTATCAAGGCCAGGAAGTGTCCTGCTTGCCCTTTGCTTTGGCATTGCCTCCCTTTTCCTTCTCATGCTGTCCACTGGCCACGTGCAGGTGAGGAAACGAAAAGTCCACATCCATGCAGTGAGTCCCTGATGGGCCTTGGCCCTACAGAGATGGCTCCTTTCATCATGTCTCCAGACTTTCCTAGCATGAGATCCTCCCTGGCCTCGTTGAGAAGGGTGAACAGAGACTCCCCTGGCAGTGGGGGTGAGATGGGGCCCCTGTGAATGTTTGCTGCATGAAAGAGCGAATGAGTGAATGAATGAATGAATGGGTGAATGATTTTGGAGTGAGTGAATGAGGCAGGAAGGGAGGAGCAAATGAAGGATGAGTAACACACAACCTTCTCCATGGCAAGCAATTCATTCAGTTGAAAACAACAAGACTGCCCTCGTGGAGCTTTCATTTTCACCAAAAAAAAAACACCCTATAATTTTTTTAAAGTGTAAAAACACAAAAAGGGTCCACAAAGGGCCACACTCCACAGTATCTTTGCATCTTTTTGGGAAGATCGCGCTATCTCCTAACTGGCATCTGATCTAGGAGTACACTCACTGTTCTCCTTTAATTTCCATAGCACAACTGAGAGAAGACACGTTCAAATAAGACTGAACTGTAGGCTTGGGGATAACACTAGGAAAGAAACCCAGAGGCTAGCCTGGCCCTTCCTCAGGACTCCCAAGTTCCTGGCATTCACGCCCCTTTCGCTATTCAGGTGCCTATGCAGACATCACTAGATGACCTTGGCACTTTCTCACTGAGCCTAGGATTCTTCTCAGAACTGTGCCCCAGGCAGCTACTGGCAGTCAGTGGGTGCAGACACATGAAATAAAGCCTATTTGCCCTCCCTGGGCTAGAGAATCTGGCCGTGGTGATGTTGCTGATTGCGTCCTCATCTCTGGAAATTCGTGGGGAGGCCTCCCTTCCTGCTCAGCCACAGAGGATCATGCAGGAACCAGGTACAGGCAGGGCTTGGTCAGTGGGTGAAGCAGGAACCCCGTGGTTGTAACCAGAATGCCCAAGGCAGAGAGGACCAGAAGCCTGGCCAAGCTCCTGGCAAGGACTCCCCAGTCCAGGGCCAGCAGCAGGGTTGTGCCTGGGAAGGTTAGAGATCCTCTCAGTCAACACTCTTGTATTCAAGAGCCTCAGAGAGGCCTGGTGACTTGCCCAAAACCACACAGTGAGTGTCTAAACCCAGAAACCTGGACTTTCACAGCCCAGGGCCCAGGCTCACCCATGAGCGGGGCCCAGGAGAGGCCTCCAGGCCTCCTGATCTTGCCCTGCACCCTTCTATCGCTCCCTTCTGCCTTCCTTTCTCTGGCATGTTCAGTGCTGGAAGTGCTGCCTATCTCGCTAGGGCCTCTGGAACTTCATCTGCTGGGGACCCCTTCAGCCTGGCTCCTAGTTTTGGAAACTTACTGTCTTTCCAACAGTTTTGCGGTAGAAGGGGTTAGGAGGTACAGGAAGCTACCTCGTCTTCTCCCAGAGGGGCAGGTCTGGAGCCACCAGGGGCACAGAGGCACACTCTCTCAAGTGCCCCCACCCCGTCTGCTCTGCTCTCCCCTGACCCGAGGATAAAATATCTCCATCCAAGTCTGAAGCCTCTAAAATAATTCTTGGATAGTCCTGGAAGAGCTGGCAAGCCTGCCTTTCTTGGAGCTTGGATGGAGTCGGATCTGGAAAAAGCGGCTCTGGTTTATGAAGTGGGGATGTGGGCAGGCTGGGCACAGGGTGGGCGGGCTGGCACTTGGCTGATGTCGCAGGTGAGTAGTCAGGGACCCGGGGCAGTTAGGGGCTGAATTCATGGTGGGGAGGTCCCTGGGTACCGAGTGGGCTCACCAGCGAGTGGGTGGGTAGGCTGGGGGCTAGATAGGAGTAGGCCTGCTGACTGGGGTGTGGGTGCAGACTAGAGATCGCCAGGAAGGGTGTTTATGTGGGGTAGGCCAGGAGGTTGTAGTGGAGTGGGGTAAGTGTACTGGGTCAGGCTGGGGGTTGGGGAGCACGCTGAGTGCTGGGTAGGCTGGGTATTGGCTGGGTGAGTTGGTGGTGGGATGGGAGGGATGGGAGGCTGGCAGGTTGGGGGTGTGGCTGGTGACCAGCTGTTGAGTGGCAGGGTCGGGCCAGAGAGTCTCCATGCTCCACTCCATCTTCTCTTTGGCACTGGATACCTGGCAGCTGCTGTGTCAAATGCCTGGCTCCTCCGTTGCCTCCTTCGGGACAGACCAGCCTCCAGGCCTCCACTGCTTCCCACCCACCAATTAGCCTGCTCTGTGCTGAGGGAGTGGACCCAGGGCAGGACAGTAGCTATTCAAAGCGGTGGTCAGGGCCCAACCTACTTGAGCCAGGCCAGAGTGACCTCTGGAGGCTTTCTGGAAACCTCTGGCAAGTCCTTTCCCTTCTCACATCGCACAGGCTCAGCTGTTTGGGGAGGATGCAGAGCAGGGGGAAGACTCAGAGTAGGGGGAGGAATCAGCGGGTGGCTTTCCACAGGGAGGGCATAATTGTGAGCCCCACAGAGCTAGGCTGGCTGTGGGTGCCATGGCTCCAGTGGGGGATGCAGGGCTGGGGCCTGGGAGAGGGAGGGCTGGGGAGCAGGGGCGCAGCAGGGGAAGACAGCAAAAGCCTAAAAGGAGCCACTGTGTAGATCCTTTACAAAAGAGCTCTGATGTGAATTGATGCTGGCATGGGCTTTAAAAAAAATTTTTTTTTTTTATGTTTAAGACAGGGCCTTGCTCTGTCACCCAGCTGCAGGGCAGTGGCACTATCATAGTTGACTGCAGCCTGGAACTCCTAGGTGCAATCTTCCTGCCTCTAGCAATCTTCCTGCCTCTGCCTCCCTAGTAGCTAGGAATATGGGCACACAGCACCATGCCCAACTAAGTTTTTATATTTTTTTGTAGAAGACAGGGTCTCGCTATGTTAGCTAGGCTGGTCTTGAACTCCTGGACTGGGCTCAAGTGATCCTCCCTCCTTGGCCTCCCAAAGTGCTGGGATTACAGGTGTGACCCACGGTGCCCAGCTTGGCATGGGCTTTTGTACCATCCAGGAAGAGTATGTGAAGCCAAATAAGGATTCAACAGGATCACAATGCAGCTGTTGAACCATCTGAGTCCAGAGACGGTCTGCATAAGTGCTTAAAAGCAAGGGCTATGGAGCCAGCCTCCTGGTATCCAAACCCCTGGCTGTGTGACCTCAGGCAAAGCTCGTAACATCTCTGTGCCTTGTTTTCCTCATCCATCAAATGGGAATTAATATGATAATACCTACCTTATAGGGTTACGAGGATTAAATGTATTAATATGTGAGAGGTGCTAAGAAGAGTGTTTTGCAAAGGGTAAGTGGTGTATGAATGAGTTATTGTTGTGATGACATTGTTAATATTATGGAGACAGACTGGCCAACCACTTCTCATCACCCAGCCACTTACCTGTGTTTGTCTCCAGAGTGACAGATCATTGTTTTAAAGGGGAGTCCCAGGGACAGCCATGGGCAGCTTTGCTGTTATCAAGTCCTGCCACTGCAGATCCTTGAAAGCAATAGAAGTGCACGAATGAATTTAGGTATTTTAGGCAGCAAGTATTTCCTCAGGCCCTCGTCTGCATCAGGAACAGTGCCTCCATTCCCAATATCTACTTCAAATCAAGGGGCAATGTGGCGGGGAGACAGGAAGAGAATGACGGTGCTTAGTGGAGGGGACTCTTCCTACCTTAGGAGAGGCTGAGGAAGGGAGAAGGCCCTGCCCAGGCCCCTGCAGGCATTCCAGGGAACAGGTGTGGGACCACAGGCCACTGTGGATTGTCTGCAGAGGGAGATGAGATGGCAGTTGAATGGCCTAATCACTGGGCTCTCTCTCCCTGCAAAGGCCTGGTCATCAGCTGTCCGGTCAAGAGTGCCCTCTGTGGAAGGGGCTGGCTGCTGGAGAGGAAGCCCGGGGCATGCCAGTCTGCCTCCCAGGGCCAGGTCTGGGCTAAGGCCAGCTCTCAGGCCACAGCTGCTCTGCTGGCTCGCCCCCCACCCCCACCAGGAACTGTCAAGTTCATAGTCACCCAGTTAGGGGCCAGTTGCTCACTCTCAAGTCCCACTCTGCTTCCAGCCACTTCCTGCTCCTGGTCTTGGCCTCTTTTCTGTTCCTAGCTTGGTCTCAGACACAGCCTGGGTCATAATGAGCCACCTCCAGGGCTTCTCAACAGAGGTGTGTGTGTGTCACGGGGCAGCCAAGTAGGGGAAGGGCCCTCGATGCGTTGTCCCCTCCCTAAAACCAACTGTGGAACCACGGACAAGTGAATTCACCTCTCCAGGCCTCCTTGACCTTGGCTCTAAACTTATGGATGGGCTTCTCTGGTTAGGAGGAGTGGGTTGGAAGAAGATATTAGTAGTGTCTAAAAAAAGTGAAATTGAGATGATTACCGGAACCGCAAAGCCACAACTTTTATCTCCATTACAACCACAAACTCAGCCACCTTCATGGCTGATGCAACAGTCATACACTGCCTCTGCACAGATGTACCCAGTTCTGTGACTTAGCACCAGGAACTCCTAACCTGGAGCCTCTTCTTGGGTCTCAGTTTCAAAGTCTAACTGAATTGGCAAAATTGGAGTGGAAGGAAAAGCAGACTGTGTGTGTGCGTGTGTTCGTGCATGCCTGTGTGTGTGTACATGTTCATGCATGCCTGCGTGTGTGTGCATGCGTTGGTGTATGCCTCTGTGTGTGCTTGCGTGTATTGGTGCATGCCTCTGTGTGTGTGTGCATGTTCACACACGCCTCTGTGTGTACATATGTGTGTGTATGTTGGTGCATGCTTCTGTGTGTGAGTGTGTGTGCATGTGTTGGTGCCTGCCTCTGTGTGTGTGTGTGTGAGTGTGCATGCTGCATGCACTCATGCAGTCGTGTTTGTATTTGGTCTCAAAGGCAGATCCGAGAGCTTTGGATTTATCTGTCTGTCCTGCACCCTTTGTAGCACCCAATTGTTTGCATAATAACAAAGAGACAACAGGAACGCCCATCATTTATTTCACCTTCCCTTTGACTGGGAAGATGAAGGAAGAGAAAAACATGACTTTTTCTTGCAATTTTCCTGAGAAGAAACCCGGGCACAGAGAGATTATGTGAGCTGTCTAAAGTCAGCCAGTGAGTCAGAACTAAATCTAGCCCTGGAAGCCAAATGTCTGGAGTCCCTACTGGGCAGTTCCCAACAGAGGGTGGGGTTCAAAGTTTGCTGTTGGCCCCTCCCTGTAGCTCTCTCTCCTGCTCCTGGGCGTCCCAAGGGCTGTCCTCCCTCTCTGCTTCTCAGGGGGTTCTAGGAAGAGGGGGATTGGCCAGCAAGCTGGGGGCTGCTCCGTGTCCTCTGCAATGAGCTGCCCTGCAGGACCTCACAGAGCGGGAATGTTCCACAGCCCTCAGCCTTCCTGAGAAGGCCAATAGGCCTGACTGGTGACCTGGTCCCTTAAAAGGACAGCTGATATCCCTGGAAGCCAGACCACAGTCCCCAGGGCAGGGCACCCAGGGGATCCTGGATCTTTCCTTCCAGAAAAGGTCACACCCCTGCTACCCAGTGTGCTCTAGAGCAGTGGTCCCCAACCTTTTGGCACCAGGGATCAGTTTCATGTAAGACAATTTTTCCATAGACGGGGTGGGGGGTTGGGGGGTGATGGTTTCCGGATGAAACTGTTCTACCTCAGATCATCAGGCATTAGATTCTCTCTGGGCCTCAGTTGAGAGTCCTCTTCTCCAGAAAACACAGTGCCCAGAAGGAGAGATGAGCCCCAGGCATGAGGGGAGACACCTTCCCTCAACCACATTCTGTGCCTCAGTTTCCCTCTCTGGAAACAGAGCTGCTTTTTCTTGACATTTTCCTGGTGGAGAGGCTGAATGCTCTGGAAATGAATCATGGCAGAGCCTGGAGATCTGTCTCTGTCTCCAACTACACCCCAGCCACACTGCCTTTCAGTTCCTCCAACTCACCAAGCTCTTGCCCACCTCGGGGCTTTGACCATGCTGTTCCTCCTGCCAAAATGCTCTGTTCTTCTTCTCCTAGCTAAGTCCTGCTCATCCCTCAGGTGTCCCCGAGGGAAAAAGTATTGTGGAGAGGCAAAGCCTGGAATGAGCTCCCAGCCCCAACGTGAGATGGGAGGGATGAGGAGGATGGGACAAACAAGAGCAAGAAGGAAGACAGTCTGGGAGGGCAGGTCCTGGGTCCATGGGAAGGAGGCAGCCCAGACGGCAGGGAGAGCACTTGAATCTAGATATCCTGGATCCTCCATGACCACCACCCCAGGCCAGAAGATGACCTTGAGGCCCAGGGCCGGCATCGGGAAGGAGCGGGGCTGTGGCATCTGTCTGTGCCTGTCACACTGTGAACTCTACCTCTGGGCCTTTGTTCAGCCTGTTCCTCCCTGGAATGCCACCACCTTGTCTCTACTTGTAAATCCAGCACATTGCTCAGGGCCAGACCCCGAGTTCCTCTGTCCCCAGTCACCCTGGCACGGCTGCCTCAGGCCAAGGCTGGCTGCCCTAGTCCTGCCTTTCTGTGGGTGGGGACACGATTTCATTCAGCTCCTTATTCCCCCCCGCCCCAACAGGCCCTCTATCCCTCCCCTCTGCCGCCCTCTCCCTGCCAACCCCAGGCCTGGCACAGAGCAGGTGTTTAGTTGATAGTTGCTGACCAGAATGAGAAGGTCATCGCCGCGCAGCTGAGCCAGGCTTGGACTCTGATGCCTCAAGTGGCAGAACCATGCCCATGGCCTGAATGAGCAGACGGGCACAGGTGGGGTCCAGAGAGAGGAGGGCCCTGGTTCTCTCTCCATCCACATCCCTTCCCTAAGTCCCCTCTGGAGGGAGAGAACATCTCTGCAGTCTGCTCTCCTGTCCGCCCCGGCCTGTCTCACCTTGTCTCACTCTCAGTCCTCCTGGGGGACTTCCCTGCCCCTCCCCTCACTCCTGTGGATTTCCTTCTTAACTAGCATTGCAATGCTGTCACTCCCTTGTCCCAAGCGCTCCGCGGTTCCTGATGGCCTCTGTCTGGGGACATTCAGGCCCCAGGTGCGCTGGCCCCACCCACCTCTCTGGCCACACACCTGGGTGGCCTCCTGCGTGCTCTGCCGTCTCTCCCTCAGCTGCACCATGGGTTTGGGAGCCTCCTTCTTCCTGCATGCACTGAAGCTCCCTTTCTCCAACGGAGAAGTCACCCACCCTTGTAGAGTCACTCAATGTCACCCGCTCAGAGAAACCACCTCCCTCAGGGCCTCCAGGCATTTCTATCAAGACACCTGTGTGAGGGGTCCTGGGGTTACGCGTGTGCGTCCCTCTCCCCTGCTCCTCTCAGGAAGGAAACCTCGTCTTCTTCCCCTGTGTCTGCGGCCCTGCCCCAGAGCATGGCTGCTCTAGGCCTCAAAACATGCCTGTGGAGGGGGCGGGCCAGGGCCTGCTCCTCTGGGGGCTCAGAGCTGGGGAAGGTTCCCCACTCCCATTCCTGGCAGGGTGGGGGCTGGCTGGTGAGTGTTCTCACGGGCTGGGTGGCTGATGTCTGGCTGCTCTGGAGAGCCAGCTGGGCTGAAGGAAGGGGAGAGCTCAGAGCCTGGATACCTGCTATGGGTGAGGGGGCACGGAAAGTGAGGCTCCAGGCTCTGAGGACTTCCACAGGATCTGGGGAGAAAGGGTGGGAAGCAGGGGAGGCAGTGGCTAGGCCTGGTCATCATCACAGCCAGAGCCCTGAGTGCAGAGTCTCCCAGTGGCCCTGTAGTTCCAGGCCCCAGAGCTTCCCCACCACACCCCCTCCACCATCACTACCACCACTGGCTCTGGGGGTCCCTGGCTCAGCCTGCAAGGCCCAGGATGGAGGGAGGGAGGGAGGGCACCAGGCAGGGACACCAAGCCCAACTCCTTCTACTGCCTATGTAAACAGATGACTTAAAGGCTTAGGAACAGAAAAATAAATAGCCCTGCTGGCCACAGCTGGCCTCAGCCACAGGGAGCTCACTTTTCCTTCAGGAAGCAGCCTCTGGTCTCAGAAGCCCTGGGAGACTTGGCAGCAGCTGCCCACCGGCCCGGGAGGAGGGCCTGGCTTGCCTTCCTAGTGGATCCTTTCCCCAAGTTCCAAACACAGGAAAAGGGACGCTGCCCAGAAACCCATTTTCTCTATGCAAAATGCCCCCATATGCAAATGTAATATTTGAAAGAAGGGCATGGTGGGGTTGGTCCCAAAAACCACTGGGGGTCACTCATGGGATGGAGCGGGGCTGTTCAGAGGTGACCTGCATGGGCTTCTGTGTGAGCCTGGCACTGCCACCGGCTTGCTGGGTGAGACTGGGCCATGACATCACCTCCCTGTGCTTCAGTGGCCTGGAGAAGGGGGACGGTAATGGTACCTGCCCCACAGGGTTGTTGTCAGGGTTAAATGAGATAATACATGCAAAATGCAGAACAGCACCTGGCATGTGGTGAGTGCTCAACAAGTGGTAGCTATCGTGTGAACGTTACCTGGCTGCCGCCCTGGGGATCTGACTCCCACTTAAGGAGGCCAACCAGCTGGGGGAGTGAAGTCCCCAGGCCACACTCCCACCCCCAGCTTTGTGCCAACACCGCCCTGAATCACTGGCCGCAATCTACCCTGCCCTTTAGCATGAGCCCCGGCCATCCACCCAGATGTCTATTCTCTGCTGACACCCGGCATCAGCTTTGAAAACATCTGCATAGCGCATCTTGGCTCTCTCTGCACAGTCCAGATGTTTGGGCAGCGTGAGGACTTGCCTTTCCGGCCTCCCCCAGGAGTAGGGTGGGGGCGCTCAGCATGTTGGGGCAAACATCTGTGACTGCAGGGAGCCCAGCCTTCACCTTCCCTAAAGCAGGCCTCCCGAGCAGGGGCCCTCTGCGTGGGAAGGGAGCTGAAGACAGTCACCCAGCCTCTGTTCCAGAGGACTGCTGGCTGCAGGCTAGCCCTGGCCCTGGTCCTGCTGGGCACTGCAGAACATGAAAGCCAGCTGACCTTACTGGGAGGCAGGCCAGGGGGACACTCAAGGCTGGTGGGGACAGGGAAGGACATGGGGATCTCTGCAGACCTGAAGCCTGGGGTTGGGCAGTGAGGAGTCCTGGGTCCTAGTCCTGGCTGGCCTAGGCAACTGCTGTGTGACCTTGGACAGGCCACTCTCCCTCTCTCAGCCTCAGTTACTGAATTGGAACAGTAAGGGGGTTGGACTAGATCAGGTTACAAAGTCTATCCAGCGTCAGAACCGCTAGAGAGTCTGCTAGATCTCAGTCCCCCACCTCAGTTGCCATCATCACAGAGATTCTGATTTACCAAGTCTGGGGTGGGACATGATAATTTTTCACAAAGGCCCCTAAGGCATGCCTCAAGGTGTGGGAGCCACTGGCCCAGATGATGTGTAAGAACCTGCTGACCTTCTGGTGGCCTCTGTGTGATGTCCCCTGGCCCTGCTTCTCACAGTCACTCCGGAAGGCTAACGTCAGCCTGCTCTGGCCTTCAGACAAACCCAGGAGTGAGCCGAGAGCTTCAGACACAGTTAGGTTAGGTGGTATCAGCAGGACGTGTGCATGCAAAGGGAGGCACGTGTGTCCGAGTGGCCTTGGGTGTGTGGCAGCTAAGGGGCGTGTGCTTCTCTGCATGGGTGGGGAGTATGAGTGCCTCTGTCTAGGAGTGTGTCTCCTAAAAAGCGACAGTTGCTGAAATGGCCCAGGAAGTCCCTCTTGCCTGTCCTGCCCTCCTGGTGAAGGAGTGGATGCTCATACCTGCCTGGGAGCTGCAGAACCAGGCTCCGGCTGGGAACATACTGCAGTGAGTGGCTGGGAAGGGGGCCCGGGCTGGGCCAAGTGAGGGACAGGGCGACAGCCAGGCCCAGCCACTCAGCTCACCCCTCACTGAGGTCTTGACAAAGCTGAGGCCTGACAGGAGGCAGCAGATCCACGGAGGTGCCCCTCCCACAGGACTTCCAGAACATTTGGGTGGCCTTGAGCCTGGGCAGAAGCCCCAGGACCCTTCAATTCTGCCTATTTCCACTCAGCCCAGGCTTGGAGCCTAAGAGACCCGGTGAACTGGGACAAGAGGGGACAGCCTGGAGCTGAGAATTGGAAGCTCTTCCCTGATCATCCGGCTCCATCACTCTTCTGCCCACTTCCCCCACCGGAGCCTGCTGTACCGGCTCAGGGCTCCGGCCTCTCTGGGCTGCTTGTCCTGGGCCCTGGTTCGCCAGAAGAGGAGCTGCCAGGACAGGGGTGGGCAGAGCAAAGTGTAATGGGGGCTCAGCTGGCTCCTGCGCCCGAGGTGGAGGCCAAGGCAGCCCCAGTGGCTCTGTGGTCTTCTCAGCCATGGAAACTGCCCACCCCAGATGGGGCTGCCTTTAGCCATTTTGGGTGGACCTGTTTGCCCTTTTTTTTCCTAGAAAGAGTGTCTCATCCAGCTACAGATACACACACACATCCCTTTGCTGGGAGGGCCAAGCCCAGGATCTCCTGCTTTTAAGCCCCCATCTCAGCCCCAGGCTGCCTCCTGCTAGGGGTGTCATGAAGCCCCAGCCTGCCAAGGCTCTGAGTCAGGAGGCCAGCTCTCTGCTCCCTGCACAGCCTTGACCTTTCTCGGGGGCCCTGGGCCAAACATGGGCCAGGTTCAATGGTAGGCAGCTCCCAAGATCCTCCATGGAGATTAAGCCAATGAGAAAAACAATGACAATTAGGATCTTATCAAACGTTTTCTGTGTGCCCAGCACTCTTGGAAGCACTTTACATGCAATGACTAATTTGATCTTCACCAGGGCCCTATGAGGTAGGGACTATTCTTATTCCTATTTCACAGGAAGCAACTAGCCCAAGGTCACACAGGGAGTGAGCAGCAGAGACAGGATGCAGAGGCTGCACGTATATGCTGCACTGCTGACTCAGGTTCCTTCCCAACACCTTTCAGTGACTGAGCACTAACAGTGCCCCAGGCTCTGTGCTGGGAGCTTCCCAAGCATTCACTGATTTCACAGAGGTCCTGCCTCTTTAAGAACCAGGACTGGAGGAAGGGGAAGCAGGAAGGGACGAGATGAGTAGCTTGGGAAAAAAGCCACAAGAAAGCTAAGGAGGGAAGCTCAGAGCTTGGCAGCAATGGGTAAACTTTTCCTATATAGGCCAGGTACTAAAATGTTAGGCGGTCTCTTCGATGACTACGCAACTCTTCTCTTGAAGCACGAAGCAGCAATAGACAACATGCAAATGAATGAATATGAATGCATTCCAATGAAACAGTATTTATGGACACTGAAACTTGAATTTCATATAATTTTCATATGCCACAGAATATTCTTCTTTTGATTTTTTTCCAATCATCTAAAAATGTAAAAAGAATTCTTAGCTTGTGGACTGTACGAAAACAAGAGGTGGGCTGGATTTGGCCCTTGGGTGGTAACATGCCAATTCCTGCCTAGGTTCAGCTCATGAGTTCTGTGCTTTGTGACTACGCTGATTCCTACAGTGCTTCAGCCAAGATCTAGCTCCCGTCTCGGGATGCTAATCCTAGAGTTCTGGAGGACAGTCCAACAACGGCTAGTCTTGATCCTGAGCCGGGATCCGGATCTAAGTTGGGAACTCCGTTAGGGGTTTGAGTTTTTGGCATCACCATTTCCTGGCTGATCTTGAGCGAGTTTCTTAAACTCCCCGAACTAGTCAGGATTCCCTTCAAGAATCCTGCAAGAGGCCAGGCGCGGTGGCTCACACCTGTAATCCCAGCACTTTGGGAGGTTGAGGTGGGTGGATCGCCTGAGGTCAGGAGTTCAGGACCAGCCTGGCCAACATGGTGAAACCCCGTCTCTACTAAAAATACAAAAATCAGCCAGGTGTGGTGGTGGGTTCCTGTAATCCCAGCTATTTGGGAGGCTGAGGAAGGAAAATCGCTTGAGCCTGGGAGATGGAGGTTGCAGTGAGCTAAGTTTGCAGTGAGCCAAGATTGCACCATGGCACTCCAGCCTGGGCAATAGAGTGAGACTCTGTCCAAAAAAAAAAAAAAAAAATCCTGCAAGAGAGAGAACTTCAACTCAGTTGCTTAAGCTAAGAAGGAGATCTACTGGCTTCTGTAATTGAAAAGTCCAAGAGCATATCTAGTAGCTTCACAGGTAAATCCAGGTGCTCAGGTGACATTGTTTGGAGTCTATCTTTTCACCTCTTGGTTTCATGTCTCTAGGTTGGCTTCTTGCTCAGTTTCAGTTATCCTAAGGGGTGGTAGAAGTGGCTACCAGCAGCTGAAGGTTCACATTCTATTTGCTTAGCAATCCCAGTTGAAAGCTAACTCCACTTCCCCAAACTCTTGGCAAATTTCCAAAAGGTGCTCATAGGCTCTGGTTGGTCAGGTTTGGGTCATGAAACTCCTACTAAACCAAGCACCATGTCCAAGGAAAATGAAATATCTGGTTTGCCCCTGGAGCCAAGGAGTGTGGGCAGCCCCCAGTGCCTCAGCGTACATTGCGAGTAGAGGAGTGGCTCCCCAATGGAAAATTGAGAAGCTGTAACCAGGGGGAGGGAGAATGGAGGCTGGACAGACAGACCAGCAGCTGCCCGTCTTAGACTCTGGGGCTCAGTGTCGTTTTCTGTAAAGGGGGTATAATGACACCACCTCAAAGTCAGTGTGACAATGGGTAGCAAGAGCATTATGACAACCCTAAGCTACTGTGAGGATGAAGGAAGGAAACTAGGGGCACCTGGTGCTTCATTTGGGGGACATCTGACATTCACAACACACCTGCTCCTTAAGAGAAAGCCCCACAGAGCTGGGGGTGATGGTACATAACTGTAGTATCAGGAGGCCAAGGCAGGAAGATTGCTTGAGCCCAGGAGTTCAAGGCTGCAGTGAGGTAGTATCACACCACTGCACTTCAGCCTGGGTGACAGAGTGAGACCCTGTGTCTAAAAAAGAAAGAAAGCCCTATGGAATGTAAAATGGCACAGCCACTTTGGAAAACAGGATGGAGGTTCCTTAAAAAAATTAAACGTCGAATTACCATATGGTCCAGCCATGCTACTTCTGGATCTATAGAAGTAAAAGAATTGGAAGCAGGGACTCAAACAGATCTGTGTACACCCATGTTCATAGCAGCATTACTCACAGCAGCCAAAAGGTGGAAGGAACCCAACCACCCATCAAACATAAATGGATAAACAAAATGTGGGCTATCCATACAATGGAATCCTATCCAGCCTTAAAAAGCAAGGAAATTCTGACACATGCTAAAACACGGATGAACCTGGAGGACATTACGCTAAGTGAAATAAGCCAGTCACAAATAGAAAAAATACTGTATGATTCCATTTACGTGAGGTAACTAGAGGAGCCAAATTCACAGAGATAGAAAGCAGAATGGTGGTTACCAGGGGCTGGAGGGGAAGGAGGAATGGGAGTGTTCATGTTTAATGGGTAGAGGGTTTCGGTTTTACAAGTTGGAAAAGTTCTGGAGATAGATGGTAGCGATGGCTACACAACAATGTCATTGTGTTTAATGTCACTAAACTGTATACCTAAAAATTATTAAAATGGTAAGTTTTAGTCTATGTATATTTTATCATTATTTAATAAAGCTTTTAAAAAGAAGCAAAGAAAGCCCCACAGAAGACATGCTGAACTCAAAACTTTCCTTTCAGAAGCCATGGCTGCCCCGAAGCCCTCAAATCATGCCAAGGGCACAGCTGGGTTTTGCTTTCCTTCCCCTCTGCCTTATTTTTCTCCCTCCTCACTCTTGCTGCTGGGGGTTGCACCCCACAATAAAACATTAGCACATAAATTTGACCACAGGCTGTGTTTCCAGGGGAACCTAGGATAAAGTACTTACCTTTGCAAAGCCAGCACAATACCTAGCAAAAATAAGTGCTAGGGAATATTTGTTGGATGGATGGATTGGATGGATGGATGGATTGGATGGATGGATGGAGGGATGGATGGATGGATGGATGGATGGATGGATGGATGGATGGATGGATGGGCTTTGCTAGTAGAATGCAGTAAGGAACTCTCTCTTGATTAGAGAAGCAAATGTAGATACCTACATATTCAAGCTCAAAACACTGGTCCACACAGTCAGGAAAACACTGTCCCGCATAGGCTGCCCCATTCTCCCACATACCAGAAACTCCCATCAGGCACTCCCCTGACCTGTCTATAGCTCTGTCTCTTCCAGATCAAGACTTCTGTGAATGAGCCAAGGCTGTGTTTGTAGAGGTGGAAAAGAGATTGCTGACGAATGGAAGACAACTCTGCAGTGGACAGAAACCCTCCTGGAAAATGACGTCGGAGCAAACACACGTGTTTTGTGCACCAAATGCTGCCCTGAGCACTGTGTGGGTAAACTCTCCTAGTCCTCACAGCACCCCTATTACAAATGAGGAAACTGAGACAGAGGTGAAGTTGCCTCCTCAAAGTCACCCAGCCAGTAAGAAGCTGAGACAGGGTTCGAACTCATGGCCACCTGCTCCAACAGGGTGCTCCCACCACCATTCTTGTGGACAGTGGAGGCAATTTTGTTCTTTGTCAGCCTGATCTAGTGATCCTGGTTATCCCACCATCCCAGTCAGGGCAGCCTTTGAGTAAGCTGGGCTTCCCCTCTCCTGGGTGGCCTTCACAAATCCCTGTAACATTTGGCTTGACAGAGGAGATCCACCCCAAACATCTACTCAGGAGAGAGACCTGAACGACTCCTTTCTCTCTGCTGGGATCTGTAGGAAGGGGAAGGATGGAGGAGAGGCTCCAGTCTGGGTGGAGATTTCTGAGCCCCCTCTTGCAAAGGCTTCTCCGTTATCTGAATGGAAGGCCTCTGGGGATTTTTCCTCAGGTGGAGGAAAGTGGAGAAGACAGGGCAAGGAGTGAGGAAGAGAGGCCAAGAGCACGAGGTGGCTTCACCCCTTCCCTGCCAGGCCCGATGTGAGGAGACCCGAGAGGACTTTGCCCCCACATACACTTGGCTGGCTCCTTCTTGTCATTCAGGTGACAATTCAAATATCACCTCCCCCAGGAAGCCTTCCTTTATCACAGTCTAAAGCAACCCCTCACGCCATCCTGCCCAGGACCATCAGTCATTGTCTACATGGCACTTAACACTCTTGTACGTTGGCTTCCTATTTGTTTGCGTGTTTCTGGTCTGCCTCCTGGAACTATAATGCATGTGCCATGAGACGAGGGACTCCATGCTTAGCTGTGTCCAGCACCTCCACCGTGCCCAGCACACTGTGAGTGCTTGGGAAATATTTGCAAAATGAATGACTGGGAATGTCAACAAGCACTTGCTAAGTCTCAGGCAAAAGAAACCAACCATAAAACAATCTTCTAAATGTAATGGATGATACAAAGGGGGAAGATCAGATAAATGTGTTCTGTTTGCTATTTCTAGTTGATGCTGAATTTTTTTTCTACTTTGCATAAACTCAGGAGATGGACACAAGAGACTACCTTCTGATCAGGTAGATCAGAAACAGACTGGATTATGCAGTTGAACAAGTTGTGCCACCCACGCTGCAGTCTTGAAGAAGGGCACTCCCTGGAGTTGTGCAGTGCACAACCTGTGCTCTGGAGCAGGCAGCCCTGATAACTGTGTGTGAAAGAGAAAGACAACAGGAAAGGAAAGAAAGAGATATTTTGGTTTGTAGAAGGAAGGATTGGAACAGACCTAGGTAACCATCTACTTTAACTGCTCTCCTCATTTTTTTCCAAATTAAAAAATTACAATAAGCTGGGCATGATGGCTCACGCCTGTAATCCCAGCACTTTGGGAGGCCAAGGTGGGCGGATCACTAGGTCAAGAGATCGAGACCAGCCTGGCCAACATGGTGAAACCCCATCTCTACTAAAAATACAAAAATTAGCTGGGTGTGGTGGCATGCGCCTGTAATTCCAGCTACTTGGGAAGCTGAGCCAGGAGAATCGCTTGAACCTGGGAGGCAGAGGTTGCAGTGAGCTGAGATCATGCCACTGTACTCCAGCCTGGGCAACAGATCGAGACTCCATCTCAAAAAAAAAAAAAAAAAAAAACAGTAAAATGCATATAATAAAATTTACCAATTTAACTATTTAGGTATACAGTTCAGTGGTATTGAACACACTCATAATGTGCATCCGTCACCACTATCTCCACAATTCTTTACATTTGCAAAACTGAAACTCTATCCCCACTAAACAAAAACTCCCCTCTCCTCCTTCCCCCAGGCCCCAGCTACCACCAGTCTACCTTCTGTCTCTCTGAATTTGACTATTCTGGTTACCATCCACAAGTGAAATCATACAGTATTTGTCTCTCTGGGACTGGTTTACTTCATTTGGCATCATGTCCTCCAGGTTCCTCCGTGTCGTAGCATGTGCCAGAGTTTCCTTCCTTGTCAAGGCCGAATAATATCCCACTGTATGTATTCTCCCTCTCATTTTACAAGTGAGAAAAATGAGACCCGGAGATGTGAAACAACTTCACAGAGCAAAAAAGAAACAAAGCCAGCCAGAGCTCCACAAAGTGCTAATAACATCAACACCTTCGTGTCTCTGATTAGTTTGTCACCTTGTAGTGGTAAAGAAGACCTTTCACTCCATGTGTTTCCAGGACCCTGGTCCAAAGTTGTGGTTGAAAACTTACACTGCTCAAAGGCGGCAACCAGGTCTCCAACTGAGTAAACTACAAAAGGTCAGAGACAGTACCTGTCTCATTCACCACCGAAGCCCCTGCCCCCGGGGGACCCAAGCTCAAGGGTGGTATGCAGTAGGCACTCAGATAATGACAGCAAACCTTTCCTCAGCCCTTCCTACCTGCCAAGTGCTGTTTTAAGCACGTTACCACTTTATATCCAGTATTAACTCATTGAATCCTCTCAGCGCCCTTATGAAGCAAGTTTTAGTGACATCTCCATGGGGAAACTGAGGCACAGAGTGGTTACGTAGCTCATGCACGATACACAGCAGTAATGAATAAACAAGTAAACAAATGAACCTGTTATGTTGTCATTGAGACCTTCTAAAATATCCCCCCCAGGACCTCAGAGTCTCGTCCCTCCCATGGCTGAGGAGCTGCCTAGCGCTGTTAACAGCGCTCATAGTTTGGGGAGGAGCCTTGATAGAGTCTCAAGATGAGGAGCGCAGCAGGCCTGCGGAGGAAGTGTATTTTGTTTGCTATTCTGGAGGCGCTAAGTGGGAAGGTGGCAGGGCCCTGTCCACACACTCACACACACACCGTGTCTCAGCTGACAGGAAGAGGAAATGCCTTGCATTTTCCAGCCCCTTGTCCCCAGGCCAAACCTAAATGCCAGCCTAAAAATACAGCCTGGAAGCAGAGCTGTGATAACAGCTCTCTCCTGTCTCTGTCACCACCTCCCCTTCCCTTACCCCCTCAGGTTTATTTTCGAATGAGGACACCGCATAGAAGTAACTTGATGCTGGTGAAACCTGAGTGCTTTCCTTTCATGTCTCCTTCCATTCAGGTTTCTGGAGGGGAAGAGAAGGAAAGGAGGGAAGCATGGCTGCCTTTGTCCAGGAGGAAAGCAAAGGGGATGGGGTGGACAGCAGTACAAACAGGCCCTTTCGGCCTGATTTAGTGACCTGGTTGGCAATGAGAATTTGTCATGCTGAGTGCCATGCCAGGCACGGTGTAGAGAGCTGGAGTCAAATATACCATCCCTGTCCCCAAGGCACTTTCACGCTCAACAGGGCTTGCACCAAAACACTGGAAAGAAGAGCGCAATGCCCTGGGGCAAACATTGGGGTCCTCCAACCAGTTATAAAAGGTCACCCCTGCCAGGGCCAATAAAAGCCAAGGAGGAGTAAATGCTTGAAAACTTCCCTGCTACCCATTACTGGAAACAAGGCAAGGATGTCCACTTTTGCCATTCCTACTTAACATTGCACTGGGGTTGCAGCCAGTGTAATAAGGCAAGAAAAAGAAATTTAAAACATCCAGATTTGAAAGGAAGAAGTAAACTGTCTTTATTTGCAGATAACATAAATGTCTACATAGAAAATCCTATAGGTGCCTGTAATCCCAGCTACTTGGGAGGCTGAGGCAGGAGGCAGAGGTTGCAGTGAGCTGAGACTGCCCCACTGCACACCAGCCTGGGCAACAAGAATGAAACTTTGTCTCAAAGAAAAAAAAAAGAAAATCATATAAAACTTACAAAAAAGGTACTAGAATTAATAAGTGAGTAGGAAGATTATAGAATTTAAGATCATTATACAAAAATCAATTGTATTTCGAATATACTAGCAACCAAGAATCAGAAATTGAAATTTAAAATACTACCATAGGCTGGGCTTGGTGGCTCATGCCTGTAATCCCAGCACTTTGGGAGGCCAAGGTGGGTGGATCACCTGAGGTCAGGAGTTCAAGATCAGCCTGGCCAACATGGTGAAACAAAGTCTCTATTAAAAATACAAAAAATTAGCCAGGCATGATGATGGGCACCTGTAATCCCAGCTACTTGGGAGGCTGAGGCAGGAGAATCTTTCGAACCCGGGAGGTGGAGGTTCTAGTGAGTCGAGATGGCACCATTGCGCTCCAGCCTGGGCAACAAGAGCAAAACTCTGTCTCAAATAAAATAAAATAAAATAAAATAAAATAAAATAAAATAAAATACTACCATTTACAATAGAATGAAAAAATATGAAATACTTAGGGATAAATCTGGCAAAAGATGTGTAAGACCTTACACTGAGAACTACAAAGCACTGCTGAGTGAAATTATAAAGCTAAATAAATTGAGAGATATACTGTGTTCTTGGATTGGAAGACAATATTATAAGACAATATTTCCACCGAATTGATATATAGAATCAATAAAATCCCCATTAAATCAATAAAATCCCCGTTAAAATCCCAGTAGGGTTTTTGTAGACATTGACAAACTGATTCTAAAGTTATATGGAAATACAAAGGATGTAGAACAGCCAAAACAACTTTGAAAAAGAACAATATTGAAAGACTTACTCTATGTGATTGTATGACTTATTAAAAACTATAGTAATCAAGACAATAGGGTATTGGTATGAAGATAGACAATAGATCAATAGTGGACATTTAGTCTGGAACGAGAGATAGGGGTCATTCTTACAGAGTCAGAAGGCAGCCCAGGTACACAGTCCAATCACCAGGTAAGCACCAGCGGACAGGTCCATCTTAGTAAAGGCTATGGCCAAACATCCACCCACAGAGAAGGAGATCTGTACCTGGGAGAAAGTAATAGAGTCTAAAAGTAGACCCACTTGTATGTGATCAACTGATTTTTGACAGAGGTGCCGGGTAATGCGTAAAAGATAATCTTTTCAACAAATGGTGCTGGAACAATTAGACAATTAGATACCCACATGCAAAAATAAATAAATAAATAGGAACTTGAATTCATAAATAACTTAGATTCATAACTTGCACCATATATAAAAGTTAGCTCAAAAGAACATAGACCTAAATGTAAGAGCTAAATTTACAAAATTAGAAGAAAACATAGGAGGAACCCTAGTGACTTGGATTTGGAAAAGGTTTTATAAATGTAATGCAAAAAGCACAAACTATTAAAAATAAATACATTGGGCTTCAAAATTTTAAAAGTTTGCTCTTCAAAAATATATGCTTATGAAAATGAAATGGCAAACCACACACTGGGAAAAATATTTGCAACAAATTTATCCAGCAAAGGCCTTATATCTAGACTATATATAAAGAATTCTTACAACTCAATCAAACAGCAAACAACCCCATTTTTAATTATTTATTTATTTATTTTAATTTTTTTTTTTTTGAGATGAAGTCTCTCTCTGTCGCCCAAACTGGAGTGCAAAGGTATGATCTCAGCTCACTGCAACCTCCACCTCCCGGGTTCAAGTGATTCTCCCGCCTCAGCCTCCCGGGTAGCTGGGATTACAGGCACCAGCCATCATGCCCAGCTAATTTTTGTATTTTTGGAGAGACAGAGTTTCATCATGATGGCCAGGCTGGTCTTGAACTCCTGACCTCAGGTGATCCATCTGCCTCAGCCTTCCAAAGTGCTGGGATTACAGTTGTGAGCCACTGCGCCTGGCCGAACCCAATTTTTTAAGTGGGCAAAATATTTGAACTGACATTTCACCAAAGAAGATATGTGGATAACAAATAAGCATGTGAAAAGATGCTCAATACCATTAGTCATTAGGAAAATGCAAATTGAACACCCACTAGAGTGGCTAAAAATAGCTTAAAAAGACTAACTTTAGTGAGTGTTGGCCAGCACATGGAGCAACTGGAACTCACACACGCTGCTGCAGAGAATGTAAGATGACATTCCATTACAGAAAACAGTTTAACAACTTCTTTCCACCCAAGAAAAATGAAAGCATTTGCCCATGTGTGCATGAATGCTCATAGCAGCTTTCTTTGTAATAGCCAAAAACTGGGAACAACTCAAACGTCCATCAGCAGATGAATGGAAATACAAATTGTGGTCCTTCCACACAATGGAACACCACTCAGTGATAAAGAGCCATGAACTGCTGACACACACAGTAATGTGGATGGCCACCAAATTAATTAGGCAGAATAAAAGAAATTGGACCCAAGAAAGTATACACTGTATGCATCCATTAATAGAACATTCTAGAAAAATTCAAATTCATCTATAGTGACAGAAAGCAGATCAACTTTTGAGGGTGATAAGGATGTTCACTGTCTTGATTGTGGTGATCGTTTCACAATGTATACATATGTCAACATTTTTTATTAAGTTGAACACTTTAAATATAGGCAATTCATGCTCTATCAGTTATACCTCGATAAAGCTATTTTTAAAGTGTTTTTTTAAAAAGATAAGGGCGAGGTGCAGTGGCTCATGCCTGTAATCCCAGCAATTTGAGAGACCCAGGTGGGAAGATTGCTTGAGCCCAGGAGTTCAAGACCAGCCTGGGCAACATGGTGAAGCCCCATTTCTACGAAATAGTACAAAAATTAACGGGTGTGGAAGTGCGTATCTGTGGTCCCAGCTACTCAGGTGGCTGAGGTGGGAGGATCAATTGAGCCTGGAAGGTCGAGGCTGCAGTGAGCCGTGATTGTGCCACTGTACTCTAGCCTGGGCAACAAACAAGACCCTGTCTCCAAGTAAATAAATAAAGGGAAGAATAGGCCTAGGCAAGGATTCTAAACTAATTTTTGGTTATGGTCCTTTGAGAATCTGATGGAAAACCACATAAAATTGGACACACACAAATCCCACACAATTCCAGGTGGGTTTGTGGACCCTCAGTGGCCTGCGGCGCCCACCCTCAGGCCCCAGGTTTCACGCCCCTGGTCTACAGTAGCATCAATGACCACACGTGTTCACATGCTGACTCTCCACCCTAAAATAATGCTGGACCCCTTCCCCTCGGTATAGCTCACCCTCCCCTGGGCCAAGAACATGCATTTATGACAAAGTTGATAGATATTACAGTAAGACACTGCACCCTGAGAGAGAGCCACAGGGTGGGCCCACCATGGAGTCAAGCCCAGAGGGCTGGCCATTGGTGCACTGCGTGCTGACCCCTGAACTACGGGCCCATAGCATCATGAAAGCTCAGAGCAGCCATCCTGGGGGAGCTGGAGGAAACAGGGACATGTTCTGCTTTCTCGGTCTTCTTCTTCTGCCTTGGTCTCCCAGACACGGGCCTCCTTCACTGTGGCCAGAGGCTTGGCCATAGCCTTTAGTGAGCCGGACCTACCTGCTGGTGCTTACCTGGTGATTGGACTCTGGATGCAGTCTGATCCCTGACTTTGTAAGAATGCCCGTTGGTCCTAGCCCCAGACTGAATTCTAACTCTCATCACCACTGCTCCTAACACTGACCCCACATTGACTCAAGTGCGTTACAAACCACAAGGGAGTCCAGATCAGGAACTGTGGGTGCTCAGAGCAGCTGAGCCTTCTTGGAGACACAGAACAAAAGCTGTGTTTTCAATCCTGTTGCCTCGAAGCCTGAGCCAGTGCAGGTGGATCGGTGCTGACGGTGATGATAACGAGAAGGAAAAGGTGAAACGGGCAGAAAGAGCCTCAGTGTGATTTGGCTGCGTGAGCAAATCCGTCCCACCCTTCAGAGTCTCAACCTGCGATCCTTCGTCTAAACTGGATTTTGGCTCTGCAGACCCTGAAATAGGAAGACAAAGAAGAGACACAGAACAGCCCTCCCTGCCCTCCCCTGATTTACCCCATTCTACCTGAGTCCCTGGGGAGAAATGCTCAAACCCAAACCTCCCAGCAGAGGGCGCCCTGTGCCTTCTAACTCGGCACAGTGGCGGTTTCCTGGGTGCCAGGAGGGGAGTCCTTGGTTCCCAGGTGCCCAGCCAGGCCGAATGGCAGGAGGAGGGAGCTTCTGGCCAAACCGCTCCTGAGACTCCCCTCCTGGTCCCTCCTGAGTTGTCAACTGTCTGTGCCTTGTGGTGGATGGTGTCGGTGGGTTCAGAGATGCCTTTGGCTGGGACCGTGCAGGGAGGATGCTCTCTCTCTATCCCCTCAAAGTTCCCTAGTGGTTAGTGGGCACCCACCCACAAAAACACTGTAGGGCTCTGGCTGCCCCAGCCTGCCCCATGCCTAAGGAACTAGCTTCCTGCCCTCCAACAGGGTCTAATCTGAGAATCCTGGACCACATAAAAACGCACACCTGTTGGGGTGAGGGACGGTGCCAGCTCAGTGGCTCTATCCTAGCTGCCCATCACAGTCACCTGAAAAGCTCTGTAAACACACCAGTACCTGGTTCGCTCTCCACCAATAAGCAGAGATTCTGGAGGTAGGGCCCAGGAGAAGTATTTTTCTCAGGTCCCAGGGCTGAGAACCAAGGGACAGAGGCTCTGCCGGATGGCTCAGCCCTTGTGCTCCAAGTGTGGCCCCAGGACACAGCATCGCCTGGGAGCTTGTTAGAAATGCGGGGTCTTGGGCCCCACCTCACGCCTCCTCACCCGGGAGCTGCAGCTTCACAAGATCTCCAGGTGATTCACGGCACATAAAAGTTTGGGAAGTGCTGACTCCTGACACCAAGAGGTTGATTTTGTGATTGGGCTGTGGGAAGCAGACCAAAAATAGTTGCCACATGGCACGTGAACAAGTGTTAGCAGAACAGAGAGAGCTGCAGGACATTTAAAAATGGGAGCCCTCTGAGTGCCGGAGTATTCAGAAGGCTTCTTGGTGGAGGCAGAATTTCAGCAGCCTTGAAGTCAGGTCAGTGAAGAGGGTGAGGAGATATTTCAGGAGGGGTCATGGCTCAGTGAGGGCCCCGGGGAGGAAAGCACATGGCGCATCGGGACACAGCGAAGAGGCAGCCTGGGGGAGAAGGACCTCCTTAGAGAGCAGGCAGAAGTCCACCTGGACAGGGAGTTTGGAGCCAGCCAAGGGGACCCGTGACTGTTGGGCAGAGGAGTTAGAGTTTTCTCTGTAGGCAAAGGGGAGCAATTGAAGATTCTTGAGCAGCAAAATAGCCTGTAAATAAGAGCTTTGAAAAATATACCAGAAAAAAAATGGGAGGAGAGATGGAACAGAATGGCCCGCTTTCCCCATAGTCCCAGACAGGGTGATTAATAAAGAAAACAAGAAAAGGAATAGCTACATTTTTCTGGTGCTTACTATATTCCCAGCATGATTCCAAGTGCTTGCTTTGGTTACAAGTAGAGTTGACGTTCAGCCGGTGCACACCAGCAAGCTTCTGGGTGGCATCTTAACTGAGGGGTCAGAGTCTCCAAAGCCCCTATTGTGAAACATGTTGAATGTCATCCCTGGTTAAATCTAGGCCTCTGTCCAACAGACCACGTGCAACCCCCAGCACAGTCAAGTAGCACAACCACAAGGAGCCTTGATTTCTCCTGTGTTAAATGGAGTTAGCAGTAACTGCACCCCATGGAGTTTCAGTGAAGATTGAAGAAGGCCATTTATGTAACACGCTTAGCAAAATGTCTGGCGCAAAATGTGTGGATAAATGGAGCTATTGTCATTCGGCAGAGCCTCGTGTGAGGGAGTGATGCTGGAGACTGGAGGCTGAGTGTCTCATCTGTGCCTACTTCAGACTTCTGGACCACCTGCTTCCCTTGCAGGCTGTGGGTAAGGGCTCCATTCCCAAACCCCATCCCATCCTCTTAGCTATGGCCAAGTAGACCCAGCTCCTGGAAGACAGCGTGCTGCTTCAGGATGAAGCCTTCTCACGTCTTTCAGCTTGAACCCCCTTCCTTTGGGCTGACCCCCATTTGCCCGTGAATACCTAGTTCAGTGAACAAAAGAGAAACTGAGTCCAGGGCACAGTCCCTGAGCGCTGAGACTGGATTGGAAGCCCCTACCAACACCCTGTGGCCATTGTCCCCAGCACTACCATCACTGCCATCTTCGGTGTCCTGGCTGCCTCCCCACCATGCTGTGTAAGGACTCTTTGGGTCCCGGAATTCCCAGGCTCAGCGCTGTGGCCTGAAGGCTTGGCCCAGCAATTGGCAGGGCGCAGGCAAGCAATAATATTGAGTGAATGAATGAATGAGCATTCTCTCCTAGAGTTCCTGCATCTGGGGGAAGGTAGTGTGACTTCATGGTTGAGAGCTGTCAGACAACCTGGATTTAAATCCTGGATCTCCCATTTACTAGCTGTGTGACTTGGAGCAAGCTACTTAACCTCTCTGTGCCTCCATCTCTGCGCCTATAAGATGGGCTAATACAGTTGTGATGAATTAATTAATTAATATGCATAAAGCACTCAGCACAGGTTCTGGCAGGGGTAATCTCTCAATAAATCATACCTGGAATTATCATTATGGTGATTATCGTTAACTCTTAGCTCCCTGGGCTTGCAAACAAGCCTGGCTCTTCAGAATAGAGACATCTAGGGTGCAGGAGCCCCCACCACCCTGTCCTTGGCAGGCGGGAGAGGATTTCAGGACAGGCAGCGGCCTGGCCTGCAGGCTGGAAAGGTGTGCTGGGAGGATTCCTCCAGCTGCTTCCTCCCTGTACCCCTCTAACCCAAACTTCCTCTGGGAGTGGATTGAGCTGCAAGGTGACTTCCTTTGCCTGTGATCCTAAGTCCCTCACCTCATTGCATCTGGGACAGAGCCCCGGACTCCATGACCCCCACCTCATTTCCAAAAAGATTAGACCAAGCAGGTTCCCCCACACTTTCCCTTCTTCCCCAACCTCTCCCACCAAGTCATAGGTCAGCATCCCCCAAAATGTGCTCTTTAAGACACAAGTCCTGAGGGGAGCTCCCCAGTCAAGTGCTTCATGTCACAGTTGTTTTTTTGTTTGTTTGTTTGTTTGTTTTGAGACGGAGTCTTGCTCTGTCGCCCAGGCTAGAGTGCAGTGGCGCGATCTCAGCTTACTGCCAGCTCCGCCTCCCGGGTTCATGCCATTCTCCTGCCTCAGCCTTCTGAGTAGCTGGGACTACAGGCGCCCGCCACCACGCCCCGCTAATTTTTTGTATTTTTAATAGAGACAGGGTTTCACCATGTTGGCCAGGATGGTCTCGATCTCCTGACCTCGTGATCCGCCCGCCTTGGCCTCTCAAAGTGCTGGGATTACAGGTGTGAGCCACTGCGACTGGCCCATGTCACAGTTTTATGCTGCAGCCCTAGTGCTTCCTAATGCACATTTGTTACTAAAGGCCCTGACAAGTCCTGCAGCATACAACATTGTTTCTCTCTTGTATCAGCTTCCTAGGGCTGCCATAACATATTACCACAAATGTGATGGCCTAAAAACAACAGAAATTTATCTCTCACCATTCTGGAGGCCACAGATCTGAAATCAAGGAATGGGTAGGACTGTCCTTCCTCAAAAGGCCCTAGAGGAGAATCCTCCCTTGTCTCTTCCAGCTCCTGATGGCTCCAGGCATCTTTTGGTTTGGGGCTGCATGACTCCAGTCTCTGCCTCACTCCTTACGTGCCCCTCTACCCTGCAGGTCTCCCTCACCTTTTACTCATCATTGGATTGGGGCCCGCCCTAAATCCAGGGTAATCTCATCTTGAGACCCTGGATTACATCTGCCGAGTACACTCTTTCCAAATAAGGTCACTTTCACAAGTTCCTGGGGTTAAGACATGGACATACCTTTTGGGGAGCACCATTCAACTCACGACACCTCTGTTCAAGCTAGAGTTTTCCAAACTTTGGTTATGGAATTGTCTCTGACTTTTTAATAAATGTTTATTAATTTATAAGACACGGCCAGGCATGGTGGCTCACACTTGTAATGCCAGCACTTTGGGAGGCTGAGGCGGGCAGATCACGAGATCAGGAGATTGAGACTATCCTGGCCAACACAGTGAAACTCCGTCTCTACTAAAAATACAAAAAAAATTTAGCCAGGCACGATGGCAGGCACCTGTAATCCCAGCTACTCGGGAGGCTGAGGCAGGAGAATCGCTTGAACCCAGGCAGCAGAGGTTGCAGTGAGCCACACTGCACTCCAGAGCCTGGGCGACAGAGTGAGACTCCGTCTCAAAAAAAAAAAAAAAAAAAAAAAGCACACATTTATAAGACATAGTTTGGGAAGCACTTGTCACACATCTGGGAGCACTGGAAGCTACAACCTGGATCGTCCTATCTAGTTACTGCTCCTTGTCTAACATCACCCAGGGAGTCACTGGCAGGGTCCAGGCTGGGACTCTGAAGTCCTGACAACCAGAACACTGCCCCTACTGCCATGCTAATTCCTGAAAGGTCACAGCACTCCTAGGCCCCAGACAAGCTGCCCGTGGCCCATCTGACCCGACAGTCCCAAGACCCACCAACAATGGTCCTCTCTGAGAAGGACGCCAGCCAGGGCCATCCACACACCAGGACAGCTGCCGGCTGAGCATCAGGGAGACCTGGAAAATAAATGATGAGATGGGCTGGGGGCCTGGCTCCCGGGGCTGGAGATTGATGCGGCCACAGCCAAAGCGACATAATGGGCCTTGCGGGCCAGCCGGGCGGGAGATAAAAGGCAAGGGACATAAATAACCCAGGAAAGAAAGGGCGAAAAGCCGGCCCACAGGAATAAATCCCTGGTCCCTGACAGGCTCAGTGTGGGAGTCAGGGCAGTGTCTCTGGGCAGGGGTGGGTGAGAGGGTAGGGGGGCTGCGTGATGGGCTGCCAACCGCCCTCCGCTGCCCTCCCAGGGCTCTTGGTCACACTTGCCCCCACACACCACACTCATGGGGGCAGTAGGGGACGGGATAAAGCCCAGACAGGAAGTCGCCCTCTCTGCCTCAGTTTCCTCCTTGGTAAAATGAGGTGAGGTGCTAGGTCAGTGTTTCTTCAGAGGGGCTTAAGGACCACCTGCATCAACATGACCTGGGAAGCTTGTTTAACATGTGAATTCCTGGGTCCCTCACAGATTTATAAAATAAGAACTTCTGAGGGAGGGTCTAGGACCAGCCCAGCTAACAAGCTTCCCAGGTGGGAAACCTGCTGGAACAGATGAACCCTAATATCCCTGCCATCATATGGATTGGATGGATGGTTGGTTGGATGGATGGATGGATGGATGGATGGATGGATGGATGGATGGATGGATGGATGGATGATGGATGGATGAATGGATGTCTGGTTGAAGAGATGGATGGATGGATGGATGGATGGATAAAGAGATGAGTGGACAGAGAGATGGACAGGCAGAGAGGTAGACGGGCAGATAGGCAAATTGTCAATATGTGGTTAAGTGAATAGATGAATGGATAATAGATGTTTGCTACCATTTATTAACTTCCTATGTGTTAACTTCCTATGTGTTTGCTACCATTTATTAACTTCCTATGTGTGCTTCCTATGTGTTAGGCTGAATGCTTTGCTTGTGTTTATCTACTATAATTCAATTTTTACTCTAATACTCCAAATTCGCAGAAGATTAAACTGACTCAGAAGTTCCATGACCCACCTAGGGTGAGTGCAGCGCCAAAATTCAGCCCAGTCCTGTGCTATCCAGAGCCAGTGCCCCTGACCACCACAGTGTGCTATGCAAGACAGAAGGGACACCGGGACATCCTCCAGTCAATGAGCATGACCAGTGTGTTGTCTTTATGACCCTGACATCTCTTAAGGTAGAATCTGACCCCAAAATTCCCCATCCCATCCCCACTTGGCCCTTACTGTCTCTGTGCCCAGGGGTCTGGGTGAGAGCAAGAAGAGCTTGCAGTCCTCCCAGCTGGAGGCAGTAGGCACTCATTTTTCCTGGTGGCTCATGCACTCCTCCTGTTCTTTTTAGGTGTTCCCAAACCTTCCTACTTCCCCAGTTCTCCAGGGAGCCAGCACTCCTCTAATGTCCCCCACACCACCCCAGCCTTTTGCTCTCCCCTCTGGTGAGGGCCCCACCTGCCTCCCAAGGACCATGGGGAAGACTGGGCCAAGGGTCCCTGAGAAAGGAATTTTGCTGCATTGAGGACTGGGGTCAGGGTGGGGGCTGAACCTGGCCTCTGGACATGATTTTTCAGGAGATTCAAAGAGGAAGGCTCTGCTCAATGGGGCCTGCTGCAGAAGAAAATGGAAACCAGATGTGTGTGCCGTGGGGGGAAAATCTACTCAAGACGGGGGCATTAGCACCTCATTCCCACTATTCTCAGCCATGGCTTCGGATCACTGGAGGGGAGAAGGGCAGGGGGCCTCCCAGCTGCCTTTTTCACTCAGAAGAGAAGAGAGGGGAAGAGAACCTTCCAGATCAGTAGAAAGCTCCAAGCCCTCTGGGAATTCTGGGCTGAACAGACAGAACAAAACAGGAGTTGTGCTGGTCAGGGCCAAGACACGGAGGCCCAAGGCATGAAATTGCTGAGACAAGATCACATAGCATGGCCATTTCGGCAAGATGCGGCCAGTCCTTTGTTCTCCCCCTGGAGTTCCGCCATTGTCATTCCTTCCAAGCAAAACTCCCCTCCCAACCCTTGGTGAATATGAAGCTGCTCCTGGGAAGAGCACAATGTTAAGTCATTTCCAGCCATCCCACTGTGACAGCAAATTAGGTGGTCACAGATCTCTAATTTTAAAGTGGAGAATGATCTCCCATAATCTAGCCTAGTGGTTCTCAATCCTGGCTGCATATTCAAACCACCTGGGGTAGATAGGGAGTGGGGCATTAAAAAAGAAAACACACAGGTGTCCCGGTGCAAGCACAGAGTCTGCTTCAATTGATTGGGGTGGGGCCAGACAATATCTTAAAGCATTCCAAGTGACTCTGTGGTGCAGCTCCACCCAGCCTCTCTCAAGTGCCCCTTTAGCCCTGCTGCTTACAGCCTCTGGCCCCGCAGCATGGGCAACACCTGGGAGCCTCTTAGGAAAGCAGAATCTCAGGCCCCACACTAGACCTCCCAAATCAGAATCTGCACCTGAGTAAGACCTCCAGGTGATTCCCATGCACGTTTAAGTTTGAAAAGTACTGACTTTCCAAGGAAATACTGACCTTGGTTCCCACCTTATCCCGCAGGCCTCTGGACAGAGCAAGCTTCATATTATCTCTCTTCCTTTACCACCCCAACAATCTCCCCCACTGTTCCACCTCCCCGCAAATCCTTTTCAACTGCAGAGGCCGCTTGTCTGCTGGTGGGAAGAAGCAGAGCATGTTTGTACCGGGAGCCCTCTGTCTGCCCAGCCCAGGAGGTCCCAGACCTCTCCCTTCAGAGAGAGCATGTGAGTGATTTACTGCCACAGAAACTGGGACGGAGGGGTGGGGGTGCCAGGGATAGGGCATGGGCTGGCAGCCAGCCTGACCAAACACTACACAGAGGCCACCACTGGGACCCTCGAGAAGTCACACAGCTTCAAACATGCATTAACCATACGCAGAGAAGGATGGGCTGTTTTGTTTTCCTCTTTTAACAAGCGAGGCTTGTTCCAGAGACTGGGACCATATGTTGTCAGGGCTGTTCTGGACCAGGCTGCACCTGCTGATTCTGTTCTCAAGACCCAAACATCCCAGCATGTCCCCACCCTGGTGCTACCCACCCCTGGCTCTGTGCCCTTCCCCACAACCCCATTAGAGTGACCCTGGGCCCATGAACTCCAGGTCATAGGGTCACAATCACAGGGTGAAGCCAGCAGGGCACTTTCTTGTTGCTGAAAGCTCCTCCAACACTGGTCCTGAGATGCCAGGATAAAGCATGGCCATGCAGGAGGTGAGGGCTGGCAAGTGAGGAAGGACATTTTTAGGGAGGGTCAGTGTGTTAGAGATGTTTTCTCAACTGTGTCAGTCCTGAAAGGGAATGATCTTCTGTTTTCTCTGAAACATTAAAGAACTGGGGACAACAGAGGTGACTAAAGGAGAATGAGTAAGGAATACAGAGAAAAATCAGTGACAGATGGATGAAAGGATGGATAGAGAGTGGATGACTAGGACTTCTAACTCCAACATTATGGCAAACTAGATATTTAGAAAGGCCCTCTTGCTAAAGAACTAGAGCCTGGATATGTGATAACACATATTTTAAAACACATTTCTGAGCTTGCAGAATGTTAGGGAAATATTCAAAAAAGGAAAGAACTCACAAGGAGCTGAAACCCAAAGGTGATGAGATGGGAGAGTTCCCTTGACCCCCTTGTGGGACTTGTGAGAGGGGTGGCTCATTTACTTGGACACCACCCTCAAACGCCTTGCAGTTGGGGAAGTACACAGGTGAGTGGGTGCAGGAGCCAGGGCAAGTGCCTTTGGGCACTGGCAGGAACAAACCCCATACCAGCTCCCGGCAGTGTCTAGGGGTTGCCCTCAACCTCTGGAGTCCCAGAGGGTATGTGTTACAAACAATGCTCTTAGCTTTGCCGTCCGTGGACTGCTTAAGTGTTAAACAGCTCAGTGAAGAGTCAGTGTGACAGCCTTTTTGGGTTCCGCACCCAGTGCATCCCAAATTCTTGTCTGGCATCCAGGAAGAATCAGGCCACAGGAACAGACTGAAGGGTGGTGTGTGCAGAGGATTTTATTGAGTGATGGAAGTGGCTCTCAATGGGACGGGGAGCTGGAAAGGGGATGGAATGGGAAGATAATCTTCCTTCTCCGAACATCCCCAGCTGAACTCCTCTCCAACCGTAGTCTCCAATGTCTAGCCGCCTCTTCTCTCAACATTCAGACACTTCTCTTCTGTCCTCTGCCACACCACTCTGCTCCTCTTCCAGTGGAGTTTGGTGTTTTTATGGGTACGGAGTTGGGGGCGTGGCAGGCCAGAGTGGTTTTGGAAAAGGCAACATTCGGGTGGGAAAACAGGAATGCATCGTCTCATTTAGGGCTGCAGGTCCAGGCTTGAGGATGGAGCCCTCACCAGGGACCCCACACTCTTATACCCACTATTTCCCTGCCTTCTGTCCATATCAGTGATATTGACCTGAGGGTAAATACATTTATTGGCAATAGCAGAGAGCCACCTGCAAGTTGGAGGAGCTGAAATGGATACTCCTAAATAAAGTCTGGGACAGAGGTTCCAGGTCAGAAGTACTTCTCTGACTCTCAGCCAAACAAGCAAAAATCACCTCTAGAGGAAGGCATTCCCACCTGAGAGACTTGTGATGCCCAAAGACTAAGTCACAATCACAAATTAGCAAACACGTAAGGATACAAGTCACCACAGATTTAAATCCTTAAAGACTACAAATGTTGGAATTCTCAGATATAGACAATTAAATAACTGTTTGAAATATTTAAAGAAATACAAGATGGAACTGTGAAAGGAAAGCATCTTGGGCCCCCAAAATCACTAAGGAAAACTCATGCTGGAAACTGCTTAGGGCAAATCTGCCTCCCATTCTATTCGAAGTCACTCCTCTGCTCACGGAGATAGATGCATGTCTGATTTGCCTCCTTTGGAATGGCTAATCAGAAACTCAAAAGAGTGTGTTTGTCTATCACCTATCTGTGACCTGGAAGCTCCTTCCCCCACATTGAGTCTTCCTGCCTTTGCTTCAAGTTGTCCCACCTTTCCAGACGGAACCAATGTACTTCTTACATATATTGATTGATGTTTCATGTCTCCCTAAAATGCATAAAACCAAGCTGTGCCCTGACCACCTTGGGCGCATGTCGTCAGGACCTCCTGAGGCTGTGTCATGGGCGCATCCTCAACTCTGACAAAATAAACTTTCTAAATTACCTGAGGCCTGTCTCAGATTTTCTGGGTTCGCAGAACCAAAAAAAAAAAAAAAAATGAGCAAAGAATAGGAGACTAACAAAAATGACCATGCCATGAGAAGGTAGCAAGGTCTAGACTTTTTCTCCCTTAGTAAACAACTAGAAAACTGGGGTGGAAATGTATAGAACAACTGTTTTAAGATGTAGGTTAATAGAAAACCCAGCACTTGAAAGAATACAAACAGATCAGATCAACCTTACCCCAATTTTCTGCATGGAGGCAATTTCTGGAATGCAAAACAGGGTGGGAGAATTCAGAGTTCAGTGGTCTCACTGAGCTGAAGAGATTGAAATGTAAGTCTGGGGAGGCTGAGATGCCTGCAATTTGCAGGGCAGAGTACCAGAGAAAAGGAGGTTATGCAGAGAAAGGGCTCCAAGAGTCTGCATGGAATCCCCTCAAATCCTTGGCTAAATTCCAGTCTGTGCAGCATCCCAAGGCTGAGCAAAGAACACCAGGAGAAGGAACAATTACCAGGAGATGTAAGCTGAAAAAATCCCAATGCTCACACAGGGCTAGGAATCATTGAGGCTTTTGTGGGTTTTTTGTGTTTGTTTGTTTCTTTACCTATTTGTTTTCATACAGCTATCCTATTATTTTGGCATCTTTTACTGAAAAATATGTCTCCCATCATTATTTCTGTTCAACATTTTGCAGGAAGTCTTAGCCTCTGCAATAAGTTAAGAATAAAAGCATCCAGATCAGAAAAGAAGAAGTATAACTGTCTTTATTTCAAACATTGCAATTGCGTACTTTGGAAATCTCAAGAAACATATAAAGAAGTTACTAAAATGATAGGTGAGGTGAGCAAGGTTGCAGGATACAAGGTTACTATATAGAAATCAATTACATTTCTATATACTAGCAATGAATAACTGGAAGTTGAAGTGGAAAAATGCCGCTTACAATAGTATCCAAACATACTTAGAAATAAATGGAATGAAATATGTGTAAGACCTACACACTGAAAACTACCAAACAAATGGAAACTATTTTGTGCTCATAGATCAGAAGATTCAATACTGTAAACATGTCAATTATTCCCTATTCTACAGATTTAATGTGTGAACCCCAAATATCTGACACAGATCTCAGTCAATTTAGGAAGTTTATTTTGCCAAAGTTAAGGATGCGCGCCCAGGAGACAGCCTCAGGAAGTCCTGGTGACAAGTGCCCCAGGTGGTTGGGGAACAGTTTGGTTTTATACATTTTAGGGAGACATGAGACACCAATCAATATATGTAAGGTGTACATTTGTTCCATCCAGAAAGGCAGGACACTTGAAGTGGGGAGGGAGCTTCCAGGTCACAGGTAGATAAGAGACAGATGGTTGCATCTTTTGAGTTTCTGATTAGCCTTTCCAAAGGAGGCAATCAGATATGCATTTATCTCAGTGAGCAAAGGGATGACTTCGAATAGAATGGGAGGCAGGTTTGCACTAAGCAGTTCCCAGCTTGACTTTTCCTTTCAGCTTAGTGATTTGGGGTCCCCAAGATTTATTTTTTCCTTTCACAAATGTAAACCTAATAAAATCCCAGAAGGCTTTTTTTGGGTAGAAATTAACAAGCTGATTCTAAAATTTATATGGAAATACAAAGAATCTGTAATAGCCAAAAGAGTATTGAAAAGAAGAGCAAAGTTAGAAATTTAAACTGATTTCAAGTCTTATTTTAAGCTAAGGTAACCATGATCATATAATCTTAGCATAAGAATAGGCATATTTATAGATCAATAGAACAGAATAGAAAATCCAGATATAAATTCACATGCATCTGGTAATAAATTGATTTGACAAAGATTCTAAGACACTTTAATGTGGAAAGAATTTCCTTTTCAACAAATGGTGCTGCAGCAATTGGATAGCCATAGAGGAAAAAAAAAAATCCAACTTCGGCCTCATTGCTTCACACCACGCATAAAAATACTCAAAATGGACACAGACCAAAGCACAAAAACTAAAACTTCTAGAAGAATATATAGGAGACAGTTTTTTTGCCCTTAAGGTAGGACACAAAAGAGCATAAACCATGAAATAAAAAAATTCATAAGTTGGACTTAATTAAAATGGATTTTTTCTGCTCTTGGAAAGATATCTTAAGAAAATGTAAAGATCCAGCCTGGGCAACATAGGGAGACCCCATCTCTACAGAACACTTAAAAAAATTAGCCAGGTGTGGTGGCATGTGCCTGTGGTTCCAGCAACTTAGGAGGTTGAGGGGAAAGGGTTTCTTGGGCAACCTTCCAGTCTGTGCAGCATCCCAAGGCTGAGCAAGGAACACCAGGAGAAGGAACAATTACCAGGAGCTGTAAGCTGGGAGGTCTGGGCTTCAATGAGCCATGATTGTGCCACTGCACTCCAGCCTAGGTGACAGACCTAGACCCTGTGAAAAAAAAAAAAAAAAAAAAAAGAAAGAAAATGAAAAGGCAAGCCACCCACAGGGAAAAAATACAATATGTATAGCCAACAAAAGGCTTACCTTCACAATATATCAAGAACTCTCAAAACTCATAATAAGAAAAGCAACCCAATAAAACATGGGTAAAAATGTTGAATAGACACTTCATGGAAGTGTTGGAAGTAAATGCTCGGTGCCACAAAGTGAAAATAGCACTCAGGCAAAAGTTTTCTCAGCAAGGCAATTTACTTCTATTGGGTAAATTGGAGCAATGGCAAGAGCACACCAGACAAGAGAGGGGAAAGGGGTTCTTATCCTAATGCAGCTAGTCCCTATTGCTGTGTCTTTCCCCTATTGGTTAGGGTTGGACCACACAGTCTAAGCTAATTCCGACTGGCTGTTTTAAAGAGAGCAGGGATATGAGCCAGAGTGGCAGGGTGAGTAGTTTCGGTGGGAAGGACAGTTACAGAGCAGGTGACTAAGGGTGCCTAAGGACAAAACAGGTGATAGAGGCTAGGAAGGGGTTGTTTACTAAAACTAGGGGCAAGGAGGGTAAAGAACAAGGAAGTTAAATTTTAAAATGGAGAACAAAGAACAGGGAAGCTGAACATACTGACATATTGGTTCTTTGAAGAGGAACTCAGAACTCATTGTACTTAACAGTTTTTCTCCCTCTTGAATTTTAAAGGAAGTTAACAGGCTAAACTTTGAAGAGGAATTTACTGTATCCTACAGAAGAAAATAGGCAAATGGACAACAAACACATGAAAAGTTGCTCAACTTGATTAGTCGTAGGAGAAATACGAATTAAAACCACAACAAGTTAAGTTCCCACCACAGACTTACCCAGATGGTTAAAATGGAAAGATTGACAATACCAAGCATTGATGAGGATGTGAAGCAACTGGAACTCTCTCTTAAGTTGCTGGTAGGAATGTAAAGTACTACAACCACTTTGCGGGAAAGTTTGACAATTTCTTAAAGAGTTAAATGTACATACTCCACAACCCAGTCATTCCATTCCTGGGAATTTACTCAAGAGAAATGTAAACATGTGTCCACATGAAGACTTGCGCCTCAATGTTCAGGACAGCTTCGTTCATAACAGGCCAAAACCTAATAGGCCATAACAGGAAACTGCTCATGTGTTCACAACGAGTGAATGGATAAACAAATTGTGGTATATACATGCTGTGCAACGCTACTTATCCATAAAAAGTAACAAACTACATGTACACACAGGGGCGTGAATGAATCTCACATGTTATGCTGAGTGTTTTGAATTGTGTCCCCCTATAAGATATGTTGAAATCCTAACCCCTGGTACTTGTACACGTGACCTTATCTGGAAATAGTCTTTGCAGATGTAATCAGGTTAAGATGAAGTTATGCTAAATTCCTGAAAGGCACATGGGAATAGAGAAGAACACCATGAGAAAATGGAGACAGGGATTAGGGTTACACAGCCACAGACCAAACCGTTCCAAGAATTGCCAGCAACCACTAGAAACCGGAAGACAGGCATGGGATGGAGTCTCCCTCAGAGCCCCCAGAAGGAACCAACTCTACTGACAACATAATTTCAGACTTCTGGCCTCCTGAACTGTGAGAGAATACATTTCTGTTGTTTTAAGCCACCCAGTCTGTAGTACTTTGTTAAAGCAGCCTAGGAAATTAATACAGTGAACAAATGAAGCCAGGCACAAAAGAATACATATGTACCATTCTGATTTTAATGAAATTCTAGAAAAGACAAATCTAATCTATAGTGATGTAAGACAATGATTGGGGCTGGGGTGAGGATTTATTGGAAAATGGCATAACGGATCCTTTGAGGGCGATAGAAATGCTCTCTCTCTTGATTGTGGTGGTGACAGTTACACGGTGTATATACGTTTGTCAAAACTCAACAGATGGTACACTTAAAATGGGTGACAGACTACAAATGAACCCAATTGAACTGTTGGAGAAAAAATGTATGATTGTCCAAATTAAGAACTCAATGTATGTTGGGTTGGAGTCTGAGATATCAGTATGAACTTATATTTATTTTGATAGAGAAAGAGAGAGAGAGAAATAGTGTCTCAGTCTGTTTTCTGTTGCTATCTGTTCTGAATACCTGAGACTGCAAAATTTATAAAGAAAAGAAATGTATTTCTTACAGTTCTGGAGGCTGGGAGGTCCAGGGTCTAGGGGCCACATTTGGTGAGAGCCTCCTTGCTGGTGGGCTCTCTGCAGAGTCCTGAGGCTGTGCACAGCATGATAGCTCAGGTCTCTCTTCCTATTCTTATAAAACCACCAGACCTGCTCCCATGATAACCCATTAATCCGGTAATCCATGAGTGAATTAATCTATCATGAGGGCAGCCCTCATGAGCCAATCTCCTCTGAGAGGGTTCACCTCTCAATACTGCCACATTGGGGATTAAGCTTCAACATGAGTTTTGAAGAAGACAAACATTCGGATCCTAGTAGATAGATAGAAAGCTACCTGGTAGATGGAGGTATGTGTTTACATGGATTAGTATATATGCATAATTTTCTAGCTCTGTCCACTGAGAGGAACTAGAAGCAATGACACCCAGGGGCAATAAGGACACTTCATGCCCAGGTATTGGTTTCTAATTGCCAATGTCCAATAAAAGGAACCTCAATAAAATGTGTGATGCTATGTCAAGGGCAGAAAAAATATGAGATGGACCTAAAGCACCTTGTGCCAGAAAGTAAGGAAGTACTTTATGTTAAAAAAAATCAAAAGGCACAAGAGCCACACTGAATGAGCTTCCTATAGCCAAAGCTGTAACAATTTGAGCAACAAAAAAAATCTGATATAAATAAATGATTTAATAATAAATAAATGCTAGAGAAGAGAGAACCCTGTTTTTGATTTTTGGTTTTTTTCTTTTTTAGACAGGTTCTCGCTCTGTTGTCCAGGCTGGAGTGCAGTGGTGCGATCTTGGCTTACTGCAACCTCTCCCTCCCAGGTTCAAGTGGGTCTCGTTCCTTAGCCTCCACAGTAGCTAGGACTACACGTGTGAGCCACCATGCCTGACTAATTTTTGTATTTTGAGTAGAGATGGGGTTTTGCCATGTTGCCTAGGCTGATCTTGAACTCCTGGTCTCAAATGATCTGTACGCCTCAGCTTCCCAAAGTGCTGGGATAACAGGCATGAGCCACCGCACCTGGCCAAGAGAACCCTTTTTTTAATAGAAGAATTCTGATTAGTGAATGAGGACAATAGAGAATTAGAAGATGACAGTAATGACGTCTGCAGTCAAGATACATTGACTAATGCTAAAATTAGTGGGCAAACTACAGAAAGAGGATATTTGCATAGCTTCAAATTATCACCCTTCAAACACTTATTAATTACTGTGGGGGCTTTAACATATGTCCACAAATTCTTTGATGCACCTCTGTACGGGAGTTTAGCTTAGCTCTCCTCTCCTTGAGGGGGGCTGGATTTATGTCTCCCTTCTAAGTAATAGCTAGGGAAAGGGAAAAATAGTAACACTGATCACGGAGAAACCTGGCAGATGCCATCTTAACCAAGTGATCAAGGTTAACATCATTAGTGATAAGACATTGATATCATGTACTCTCTAGTGGGATGCTATAAGAAGGGCATATTACCTCTGTGGTATTCTTCCTCCAGATGTCCATAACTCCAGTCAAACCATAAGAAAACATCAGAGAAATCCAACTTGGGGGCTGTTTTACAAAACATCGGACCAGCATTCCTCAAAATCATCCAGACCATGAAAGACAAAGAAAGGCTGCAAAACTATCACAAACTGGGGACCTAAGGAGACATGACAGTTAAATGCAATGTAATGTCATTGATTGGATCCTGAAACAGAAAAACAAAAAGACATTAGTGGAAAACAGAAAATCCAAATAAACTCTGTAGTTTAGTTAATGGTATTTTACCAACCTTAATGTCTTAGTTTTGACAATATAGCTATGTAAGATACTAATATTACCAGAAGCTGGAAGAATGGTACAGAGAATTCTCCATACTGTCTTTTCAACTCTTCTATAAATCTAGAAATTATTTCAAAATAAAAAGCTTTTAGACATAAGGTATAGCTCTTAAATACGTATATAGAGGAGGCATCAGTATGAAATTATGTACCAGGTAGCTCATATTCAGGTAAATGTGGATGCTCTATCACATATATTCCAGCATTCTCTATCAGCTCTCCCAGGGAGAGAGTGAATAGATGGAGAGAAATGCCATAGCTCATATTTTAATTACATTAAGAAAGCTGCTGTTTCTTTACCCTAAGCTAGAGTACCCTGTGGCATTTATTCTACATGGATCTCAAACTTTTGTTTAATGCTTTGTTTTTTTTAACTTTCAGATTTTTATATTGTTTTCCCAAATAGACTTTAAACTCCCTGATGACTGGAGATTGTGTTTTGTTTTATTTATTTATTTATGAGACAGAGTCTCACTCTGTCACCCAGGCTGGACTGCAGTGGTGCGATTTCGGCTCACTGCAACCTCCACCTCCTGAGTTCAAGCAATTCTCCTGCCTCAGCCTCCTGAGTAGCTCGGATTACAGGCACGCACCACCACACTCTGCTAATTTTTGTATTTTTAGTAGAGATGGGGTTTCACCATGTTGGCCAGGCTGGTCTCGAACTCCTGACCTTGTGATCCACCCACCTCCGCCTCCCAAAGTGCTGGGATTACAGGAGTGAGCCACTGTGCCAGGCCTGGAGATTATGCTTTAAATTCAGTGCCTTCTCCTATTTACTTATCTATTTATTTAAGAATGGAGCTCTAGGTCTACACCTTCATAGGTGGTTTATAATCTTGCATGTATCATATACCAAAATTTGCCTTCTGATTTGCATTATGCCATGAACTGAATTGTGTCTCCCCCTACAAACTCATATGTTGAAGCCCTAACCTCCAGTGTGACTGTATTTGGAGATGAGCTTTTAGGAACTCATTAAGGTTAAATGAGGTCATGTGGGTGGGGCACTATCTAATAGGACGGCAGCTTTCTAGGAAGAGGAGGACAGAGAGATCTCTTTGCCATGAGAAGACACAGTGAGAAGCTGGTCCTCATTTTCTCACCAGGAAAGAGCCCTCACGGGGAACTAAATTGCTGCACCTTGATCTTGGACTTTCCAGTGTCCAGAACTGCAAGAAATAAATCTGTTGTGAAGCCATTCACTGCATGGTATTCGCTATGGCAGTCTGAGCTAACACATTTTGGGTTGAACTTAGTGTTTATTTTCCCTCAAATTGTTTTCAGCCAAGGGTGGTACTTCTTGCCTTCCCCCTGCCTCATGTTATTTGGAAAGGTCTGGGGCATTAATTGAACTTGGACTTTTAGTTGGGGAAACTAAAGGATGATAAAAGTCTCATAATTTATAAGACAGCCCTTCAAAACAAAGCATTTCTCACTCAAAATGACAATTGCACCCTCAGTATTGGAAGCAAACAAACAAGAGAAAACAGTAAATGGCTAAGCAGCAGATTAGACAAAGTTGAAAAGATAATTCATGAACTAGAAGATAGAGCTAAAGAAATAACCCTGGCTGGGCACAGTGGCTCACACCTGTAATGCCAGCATTTTGGGAGGCCGAGGCAGGTGGATCACTTGAGGTCAGGAGTTTGAGACCAGCCTGGCCAACATGGCGAAACCCTGTCTCTACTAAAAATATAAAAATTGGCCAGGTGTGGTGGCACCCACCTGTAGTCCCAGCTACTCAGGAGGCTGAGGCAGGAGAATTGCTTGAACCCTGGAGGTGGAGGTTGCCGTGAGCTGAGATCATGCCACTGCACTCCAGCCTGGGCAACAGAGCAAAACTCTGTCTCAAAAAAAAAAAAAAAAAAGGAAAGAAAGAAAGAAATAACCCTGAAAACAACAGAGAGAGAGAAACAGTATACTTGAAAGGTTCAGAGATGTAGACAATAGAATAAAGTATATGACACAGATGTAATCAGAGTCCTGAAAGGAGACAATAGAAAGAATAGAAGAGAGGGATCATTTTGAAAGAGTGCTTGAGAATTAGATACACAGATCTACAGATAAAGGAAGACACATTTCATTTTTGTTTGTTTGTTTTATACTTTAAGTTCTAGGGTACATGTGCACAACGTGCAGGTTTGGTACATAGGTATACATGTGCCATGATGGTTTGCTGCACCCATTAACTCGTCATTTACATTAGGTATTTCTCCTAATGCTATCTGTCCCCCAGCCCACCACCCCACGACAGGCACCAGTGTGTGACGTTCCCCACCCTGTGTCCAAGTGTTCTCATTGTTCAATTCCCACCTATGAGTGAGAACATTCGGTGTTTGGTTTTCTGTCCTTGTGATAGTTTGCTCAGAATGATGGTTTCCAGCTTCATCCATGTCACTGCAAAGGACATGAACTCATCCTTTTCTATGGCTGCATAGTATTCCATGGTGTATACATGCCACATTTTCTTAATCCAGTCTATCATTGATGGACATTTGGGTTGGTTCCAAGTCTTTGCTATTGTGAATAGTGCCGCAATAAACACACGTGTGCATGTGTCTTTATAGTAGCATGATTTGTAATCCTTTGGGTATATACCCACTAATGGGATGGCTGGGTCAAATGGTATTTCTAGTTCTAGATCCTTGAGGAATCACCACACTGAAAGGAAGACACATTTCTAATGTATATGCATCATACATCCAACAGAATGGATAAAAAGAAATCCACACCAGGTCCTACTGAAGGGAGATTTTATATCACCAAAGATAAAGAGAAAATCTTGAAAGCAGCCAGACAGAAAAGACCACTCATCTACCGAAAAATTACAATTAGATTGCCAGCTATCAGCCATGGGAGAGGCCAAAAGATAGGGGGAAATACCTTCCAAATGCTGAGGAAAAAATTAATCATCAGCCCAAAGTTTTATATGCAGCAAAACTATCTTCCAAAACTATCGTTTCAAAAAATATATATTTCAGGTAAATAAAAACTTAGGGTTTTCCACTAACCTTCATGAAAGGAACTCTTAAGGAGGCTGTACTTTAGGAGCATCATGAATCTTGTTTCCTTTAGTAATGGAAATAGCCCCAAAGCAGGAGACAGAAGAGCCAGTTCCTAGCCTTGCCTCCTGCATTAAAGCAGGGTAAGATCTTCACAACATCATGTCATTTTCAGAGCCTTCAGTTTCCTCAGCTGTTACATGAAGGTGAGGAAAGCTTTCTCGGCTTATTTAAACCATTGCTGAAAGGTGATGATTCTCGAAGTATGGTCTAAGGTCCCCTGGCCATTTCAGGGGGTCCCACAAGGTCTTCCCTTTTCCAACCACATATCCATATGAGACCAGATTTTCTTCCAAAAACAGCCCGCAGGAACAGTTTGAAGGCAGAAACAGGTACGGGAACCTCAGCGTGTCGTATTAAGCCAGACATAAAGGAGGTTTTCCACAATGTAAAACGATGCAGCAAATGACTTGATCCACCTGGCTGAAAGGACAGGCATAGATAGCACCAATAGGAGAAATGTCACATTTGAGAGTCCCTGTGCTCACTGTCGAGTCAGAGGATATAACACAAACCAGTGGTCTCCCGCTGCCTCAGCTCACATCCCACTGCAAAGGAAGTTCTCCTGACAGCATGTCTGCTGGGTTCCCAGAGCCTGGCTTTCTACCTGCACCAACAAGGAAGCCAGCCAGCAGAATGGCAAACAGGTTTTTCTTCCAGGGAGAGGTGGAATGTGAGAGTGGTGGGTTAAATGCTCTGATACAGGTGTGTTTCCCTGGGAAGCAGGCAGCCAGTTGGTGTGGATAGCTGGGTGGGCGGGTGCAGGGCTGGGTGGATGCAAGTCTGAGAGCCTGGCTGCTGGGACGCCCTACAGCATCCCAGCTCATAGATCTTGTCCTTGCCTTATCCCATCCAACTTCCCTGAGGGGTTTGGGGTTTAAAAAATATACAAATCTTACATTTTTCTCTGATATATTTTTTTTTTTTTTGAGATGGAGTCTCACTCTGTTGCCCAGGCTGGAGTGCAGTGGCTCAATCTTGGCTCACTGCAACCTCCGCCTCCTGGGTTCAAGCGATTCTCCTGCCTCAGCCTCCCAAGTAGCTGGGACTACAGGCACGCACCACCACACCCAGCTAATTTTTGTATATTTAGTAGACACGGGGTTTCACCATGTTGGCCAGGATGGTCTCAATCTCCTGACCTTGTGATCCGCCCACCTCGGCCTCCCAAAGTGCTGGAATTACAGGCATGAGCCACCACACCTGGCCTCTCTGATTTTTTAAAATAGCTTTTTTGTGGTAGAAGACACATGACAAAAAATTTATCATTAGCGACATTAAAATACACTCACAATGTTGTACAACCATCTCTCTGATTTGGCTCTTATTTAAGTATTATTACATGCTTGTTATGTAAGGGACGAGGAAAAAGTAGAAAGAAAGAAGTAAAGATTATCCAAAAGTTTACTCTCTGAATACAGCCATAGTTAATACCTGAGGCCACTGCTCCCAAACCTTGCACTGAGGCCCCTGGGGGCACCATCGCCAATTCACAGAGTGGCTGCAGGGATATTTTAAATTTTGTGGGAAGTACAGTGACACCTGCCGGATGCTCCGCACACTACCAGTTTCAGCTTTAGGGCCCACTACATTCCTTTCAGTGACATCATATCTTTGCGAAGTGTTTTGGTGGTTGCTGTGATAAAAAGCAAATACCATGTGCAAATCATTGTGGACCAGGAAATGAGGTGATGGCATCCGATATGATTCCAAGGTTTGAGAAACCATGCAGTACCCAACATATTATACATCCCATTAGTAAATAACTGTGGTTAAGAATGGAATAAAAATATCTTTTCCTTTATGTGTATTTTTAGATGGCTACAAAGTTGTTAGGACAGACATACACATTGATTTATTTAGACCTAACTACTTAATAATGGATCTCTTTGGTGTTTCTTTTGGTCTTGGGGGCACATAAGTAATAAAAAAATTACTGTGACACTAAGGGTGCTATGGAAAGAGGAAGTTTGGGAGTCTCCATTCCAAGGCATTTACATCTAACTTTCCGGTGTGTCCAAAAATGACTATATTAATATCTTAATTAAGCTCATGTGTGGATACAATTTTATAGTGAATATTACCATCAATCAGTTGAAGAAACTGGGCTCCAGAAAGGAGCAGTCACACAGCTAGCCGGGTCCCTGTTTGTCACACCTTGCTGATTCACTCTTTAAAAGCCCCAAGATGGCAGATCTCAAGAGCCAGCCTCACCAATCAACATTTACGAGGCTTAGAATCACCCTGTCTTACTTTAGGCTGTTGGCATGGTGCAGCCCCTGATTCACTGATAAATCAGAAATGCCCCAATCTTCCCTCATTACCCTGGAAGTTCATCCACCCTTCGACATAAGATTCTCATAAATATATAGCAGATGACTCTGGAAAAATAAATCCATTGAGCTATTATCAACCACGGATACCTCCATGTGAACAAGCTTATCAGAGCCTTTCCTGAGAGAAGTTTTGATAAGAAAAAAATTAGGTCTCTGAGAAAGTGGGTAGGCTGCGTGTTTCACATGAGACTCTTTGGAAATACTGATGCAGAGATTTGTGCAGAAAGAACCAGTCCTGCCTCGCTTGGGTTCCTTAGGCCTTCTGGAGGTGCTCCCTGCAAAAGGAGCCAAGCAAGGCAGGACTGGGAAAGGAAGGAGGTGAATCATGATGAGGTTGCACCTGAGGCCTCAGCCATCCTATGGGGGGGCTCTGCAGCTGAGATGGTCCTCCAGCATGGTCCCAAATTGAGGCACGGGGTGGGCCTTCATATCCTAATATCAGATTGTCATTGGTTGTAGTCTCCCATGGCAGCAGATATGACCCAGAAGGAGGCAGTCTCCAGAATGCAGCTGTGAGCCATCCACAGCTAAGAGTCCCAGCAGCTGGAGGATGGATGATCAGCCTTGCAGAGCAGACCTGGCTAGAGTCTCTCACTATTCAGTTCAGGGCCATCTTCAGAAAGGAGAGGAGATGCTCTCAAGACAGAGCTGTGAGCTGGGGCCTCTGACTCAGGACTGCAGGGGCCAAGGGGAATCTGGTAGGAAAGGAAAAGTTGTTCAGTTGTTTTGGGGACAAGGAGAAGTCATCCCCAGATCTTAGAATCAGAACAGAGGGTCAAATATAGCCTCAAGATGGATTTTGTCTGGCTCATAAGTAGCCAACACTTGAAAATTAGGAAATTTTGGCTGGGTGCGGAGGCTCACACCTATAATCCCAGCACTTTGGGAGGCCAAGGCAGGCGAATCACCTGAGGTCAGGAGTTCAAGACCAGCCTGGCCAAGATGGTGAAACCCCATCTCTACTAAAAATACAAAAATTAGCCAGGCATGGTGGCACACGCCTGTAGTCCCAGCTACAAGGGAGGCTGAGGCAGGAGTATCACTTGAACCTGGGAGGCAGAGGTTGCAGTGAGCCAAGATAGTGCTACTGAACTCCAGCCTGGGCAACAGAGCGAGACTCTGTCTCAACCAAAAAAAAAAAGAAAAAAAGAAAATGAATTAGATTTTATATAAAAATTCGTATTTCCTGCTTCTCTTTAAAAAGCTAAATATCTAGACAGTCTCAGGTTTACATCTCTCCAGGGCCTGAGGTGACCCCTTTAAATTGGGTCTGTTCCCTCCAATTTGCCATAGTCCCCACCAGTCCCTGTAGCCTCTCTGATAACCATGTGTCCTTGCCACAGTTCTTTACCCTCATTTTTAGGCACCTGGGTTTCCCACTTACCCATGTTCCAAGCCTGGCCCCTATGGGCACTGGGTTGGCCACTCTGACTTTAGAAGTTCCCACCTACTGGTTGGGCAGTGACTCAGGAACAAACCAGAGACAAGGAGGTAGTTGTCCCTCTCTGGGCTAAAGAAAACCAGGGACTTCTATGGCAACCAGTCCATGCCAGTCTGGTGGTTTGATCAGCTCTGGGCAGGAAGGGTGATGAGGGAGGATAAGGCCAATCATTTTCCACCTCCCACTCTCTTCTCCGAGGGCCCTAAGAAGTGGCTGGAGAGGGGACATCCGGGACCTGGGGTGGTTCCAGGATGGAGGCTTCTGGCTGCTATAGTTGCCCTGGGGTTGGCTGGAGCCAGGACCTCTCTGGAGAGGCACAGAGGGAACTTCAGAAGATGTCAGTCCATCCCCATCACCCCATTGCCACCTTAGAATCTCACCTTCACAAGGTTGGAAAGATTGTTCCAGGGTCTATACTCACTCCACACCAGAAACTCAGGTTCCTTCTTAAGTGTTTCCACATACAGTCACTCAGCCTCAGCTTGCACTCCTCCAGTGACAGGGAGCTCACTACTCCCTAAAGCAACATATTCATTTAGTTCTTGGCCAACTCTACTAGAAAGATCTTCCAAATGCAAAGCCATATGCTGTTTCCCTGTAACTTCTGCCATCTTCAAGGCACCCGTTAGAATGGGTGGGCCAAAATGCCCATCCATCATTTACCACATACTTAGAAATACCTACTGTGTCCCTGTCATTGGGCTGGTAATGTCATGGCGAATCAGGCAGACATGGCTACTGTCCTCTTCAAAAAGGAATGATAGACACTAAATAAAGAGTTACAACTGAGCGTAGGCCCTGAAGGAGAAATTGAAGGAGTATACACGATAAGGGGAGGAGCAAATATCCTCATCTGGTCTAGACAGGGGCTGGGGGAGGAATGTCAAGGAGGGCGTCTCACAAAGAGTGACTTTCACCTGAGGCCTGAAGCTTGAGAAGGAGTTGCAGAAGGTAAAGGGTCGGGGGAGAGCAACAGTGTGCAAAGGCCCTGAGGCAGAAGGAGCATCAAGGAGGGGTCTGGAGCTGAGCTCACGGCACAGGGGCCCTCACATGCCAAGGCAGGTATGCTGCCTGGTCAGGCGGGGTGGGCCTGTAGGATTGGAGACCTTATCCTCAAGGCAATAGAAGCCACTGACCAGGGAGTTAAGCAACATGACCAGATCTCTCATTTCCTCTCTGGGATCCTTCCTACCCCTTTGATGATCAGCCTAACTGATTTCACCTGGATGTAAATGTGGTTTCCCCTGAAGTTCCCTCTGTGCCTCTCCAGAGAGGTCCTGGCTCCAGCCAACCCCAGGGCAACCATGGCAGCCGGAAGCCTCCGTCCTGGAACCACCCCAGGTCCTGGATGTCCCCTGTCCAGCCACTTCTTAGGGCACTCAGAAAAGAGAGTGGGAGGTGGAAAATGATTGGCCTTATCCTCCCTCATCACCCTTCCTGCCCAGAGCTGACCAAGCCACCCCTTCTAAAAAGAACCCCATAGGGGAAGAGAGGAGGGAAGTGAATAATCCATCCCTTTGCTCAGCTCCCCCAGAGGAAACAGGGCAGAACAAACTAGCAGCACTCAAAGGCCTCAGCTGGGAAACCACTCAGGGTTTCCAGGATCTGACCTGACAGCAGCTCTGAGAGGGCCTGAGCAACCAAGGAAACACCGGCGACGGGGCCTCCGTCTGATGTCTGTCTGCCTCCATGGGAACTTCTCCCGGAAGCCTGGTGGGGGCTGGAATCAAATCTGCTCACATCCCAGCCTGCTCATGCCTGCAGAGGTGGCTGGTCACCCTGTGCAAAGCAACCACACCCACCGCAAACTGATCACTATTATTTTAAAACACCCCAAACAAACCAATTAAATCTTACAATTGCTTTGACTATTTTTCTTTCTGATTCATTAGGATGATGCCATTTAATCATTCCTTTAACCAAGGCAACCATTTAAACCAGCCAACACATGGATTCAGTCCTCAGAAAATAATCAGCCAAGGCCAGGCACAGTGGCTTATGCCTGTAATTCCAGCACTTTGGGAGGCCGAGGTGGGTGGATCACTCGAGGCCAGGAGTTCCAGACCAGCATGGCCAACATAGTGAAATCCTATCTGTACTAAAAATAAAAAAAAATTAGCTAGGCTTGGTGGTATACACCTGTAATCCCAGCTACTCAGGAGGCTGAGGCACGGGAATCATTCAGACCCAGGAGGTGGAGGCTGAAGTGAGCTGAGATCATGCCAGTGTACTCCAGCCTGGGCAGCAGAGGGAGATGCAGTCTCAAAAAAAAAAAAAAAAAAAAAAAAATCAGCCAAGACACAGTGGCCCAATGAATGACATTTATTTATTTAGCACTTCTTATATGCCAGGCACTATTCTCAGTACTTAACAGACATTTGCCCATTTGATCCTCACAACAATTCTGCAAGGCAGATAACATTATTTTCCCATTGTAAAGATGAGGAAATTGAGGCACAGGGAAGTTGGCAAAAATTGTTGGGGCCACTGTTGATGAGTGGCAGACTTGGAATCTGAATGAGAGTGTGGTTCATGGTGCTTGACCCAGGCCCAGAGGCACCCTTGGGGCTCTGAGTAGGATGGAGGGTGGACATCACCTACCCCTTGGATACACTGGGTTTTTTCTCCAGCATAAAGATTTTTGGAATAAAACGTTCCAAGGCTTCAAATAAATTTGTAAATCTCTGGCAACAGAGCTTTATCTGAAGGGGCAGGGGCTGTGCACTTTCTTCTCTGAAATTCTGATTTTAAGGTCTGAATTGGGACCCAAGGAAACACACCAGGAGATTCCCACCTTCGGCCAAGTTTAGGGGAAAAAAAATAACTTGTTTTGAGTTCCAGCTCCTCTCTGTCGGTGTTAGGCCATTTTTGCATTGTTGTAAAGAACTACCAGAGACTGGGTAATTTATAAAGAAAAGACGTTTAATTGGCTTACAGTTCTGCAGGCTGTACAGGAAGTATCGTATCAGCATTTTCTCAGCTTCTGGGAGGCCTCAGGGAGCTTTTACTCACTGTGGAAGGTGAAGTGGGAGCAGACATGTCTTACCTGGTGCCAGCAGAAGCAAGAGGGTAGAGGAGGTGCCACACACTTTTAAACAACCAGATCTCATGTGAACTCAGAGCGAGAACTCACTCATCACCAAGAGGATGGTGCTGAGCCATTCATGAGGATCCATCCCCAAGATCCAATCACCTCCCACCAGGTCCCACCTCCAACACTGCGAATCACATTTCAACATGAGATTTGGAGTGGACAAACATCCAAACCATATTACTTTCCTCGATGGGGCCTAGGTCAAGCCCTGAACCCCAGCATTTTTGTCTATAAAATGGGCACGAATCCTGCCCTACCTCCTAGAGCTACACTGTGGTGCAATGAAATCAACACTGTGCTGTGGAATTGCGGGGACTGTTGTGACATCAGTGATGGCTGTGCTCCTTCCAAATCATAGCTGTAGTGGTGTGGATCTGCTCCCAAGCCTGTGATGAGGGCAAAAAGACAGATGAGGAGGGATACCTTGGGGCTGGGCTTTTGGAGAATCCAAACATTGACGGTACAGAGAAAACACAGGCTGGAGCACATGTTTTTGACAAAGGCATGCATAGACCCACTGGCTAACCACCAACACTGTGGCTAAGATGTTTAAATTCACTTCGTATCCTTCTAAGTGGAGCGGTGCAGGGAGGGACAGAGAGGAGCATGGACTTGGGAGTCAAACAGACACAGGCTTGCATCTGGACCACTTCCTCATACCAATTCTGCAACCCTGGGAAAGCTGCTAGGTGCCTCTGTGGCTCAGTTTCTTTTTTTTTTTTTTTTTTTTTTTTTTTTTTTTTTTTTTTGAGACGGAGTCTCGCTCTCGCCGAAGCTGGAGTGCAGTGGCGCGATCTCGGCTCACTGCAAGCTCTGCCTCCTGGGTTCACGCCATTCTCCTGCCTCAGCCTCCCGAGTAGCTGGGACTACAGGCACCGGCTACCATGCCCGGCTAATTTTTTTGTATTTTTAGTAGAGACGGGGTTTCACCATGTTAGCCAGGATGGTCTCGATCTCCTGACCTCGTGATCCACCCGCCTTGGCCTCCCAAAGTGCTGGGATTACAGGCGTGAGCCACCGCGCCCAGCGGGCTCAGTTTCTTGTCTGTAAAATGGGAAGAATCACAGCATGTACCCCCTGAAGCTAATGATGAGGATCAAAGAACACGCTGCCCAGGACCTGTCAGTGTTAGTGCAGTGGGTTCCATGCTTGAGCTGTAACTCAGCCATGCAAGGCAAAATAATTTACCTTTCTATAGCAATTTAATGGCTGGCTTGAGCTCCCCACTCAGTTGTGGCAGTAGACACAATCTCATTGAATTTGGGGCAAACTCCCAGTTTTCCCCAAGGGGAGTCTGAGTTATGGGGGCTTTTGTATAACCCCAGGTTCTGAGAGATGTTGGCGTCTCCCTGAAGCATTCGCCCCACAAAGTCATGCCTCAGTGGACATATCCTGAAACTCATCACCAAACTGACCCTCATACCTGCCTTCCCCTGCCTCTTGTCCGCAAGGTGCCAGGGCCCAGGAGCTATTTCTCAGATCTGGGCCTCACCTGGGTATGGGAAGCCAGGCAGGCTGTCTGCCTGAACTTGCTACCCAGCCCTTCCCTCTTACAATCTTGCTGCCTCCTGGAACTCTCCAGGGAAGCCCCTCTTCAATGTTCACTGCCTGCTGCCATTCCAGACCTTGCTCCCACATTTCCAATAAGCCCTTACAACCTCTCATGTCTGCTAAGGTCTGGGGTTAGCAGGGTACAAAGCCAGGAAGACTCCATTGTTTCCACCCACCATCTGTCCTGCCCCTCTTCCTAATCCAGGCTCAGTGGCTGGAATGGGGAGTGCAGAGCAAACCCCCAGGAGAAAAATACCTGTTAACATCTCAATCAAGTGTATCCCACCTTGTTCACTGTGACTATTAGGATCAGAGTGATAGCAGAGGAATGCAATGTCTCAAGAAAACGATGTGAAGGGCAGAGAACCAAAGTCTTTCAGCAGAGTTTGAGCAGAGCTGGAAGAACAGGGATGTCCCTGGAAAGACATCTTGGGGGAGAAACCAATGATCAGAGCCCAGATATGAGAGGGTGGAAGGAGAATTCAGAGTTGCCCACTGACCTGGAACATCTGGATATGGACTGTTGAAAGGGCTTCCAGATGTCTGTAAGGGATGTTGGGCTCGATGGACAAGGCAGTGCAAAGCTAGGCTAGGTGCACAGCGTCCCTTATCATCCCCCACCCCCCAACATATGCAAGGAGTTGGCTGGGGCCATGACTGCTCCTTCCTCAGCCCCAGACTTCCAAACAGCACCCCCAGAGGAGAAACAAAATCAGCTTCCATTCTCTCCCTGTGCATAGCAATAGCTTTAACAGCTAAAGAGAGAGTGAGAGGAAGGAAGTTGTCTTAGTCCATTTTCTGTTGCTTGACTGAATGTCTGAGACTGGGTAATTTATAAATAAAAGGAAATTATTTCTTACAGTTCTGAAGGCTGGGAAGTCCAAGGTTGAGGGGCTGCATCTGGTGAGGGCCTTCTTGCTGTGTCATGACATGGTGGAAGGAATCATGTGGTGAGAGGGCAAGAGTGTGTCAAAATGGCTTTTATAATGGACCTACTCTCCTGATAACTAACCCAGCCCCATGATAACCCATTAATCCATTAACACCTTTATCCATGAATGGATTCATGAAGGCAGAGCCTTCATGACACAATCACCTCTTAAAGGCCCCACCTCTCAATCCTGTTACATTGGGGATCAAGTTTCAACATGAGTTTCAGAAGGGACAAACATTCAAACCATAGCAGGAGTAGACGGGCAAGGAGGTGGGACTGAGGCTCTTTGAGCTCCTTTATCGGGTCCCTTATCCGCACCAATGTTGCAAAATGTTTCACAGATCAGGCTTCCTTCATGCCCTTGAAACTGCCCTGCAACCTCTTGCAGGTCCACCTGAGGCACCATGATGTCCCGGCACCCCATGTAGATGCGGAGAAGTGGCCAAGGCATGGGCATGGGCAGGACTACTAAGCCATTAGACAACAATCTCCAAAGTCTTTTCCTTCCTCCACCCATAGCTTGTTCTAGGAGAAGAAGGGAAAGTCTGTCTTAGCTGAGTCTCCTTGTCCACTTTTTCCCTTTCTCCTGGTGAAATTCCAGGAGCTGTGGACACTGGGGTTCCAGTCCCAGCCAGCCTCCTCTCTGGGTCTCCATGAGAAAATGAGACTGCCAGAATGGAGATCCCTGAGGGCCTTCCAGAGCTGAGATCCTAAATCACCACCTGCTGAAGCCGGATGTCATCACTGAAAATGGACGTGGAGCCTGCTTTGATCTTCCAAGGCATGTGGGATAGGCTCCCAGAGCTGGGCCAATGGTGTGGCTGGCTGGGCAGGAGGATAGTCTGGTAGGGAGACAGTTTAAATGGAAGCCTTCCAAATGTTCAGAGCCCCAGTCATGCCAGCCAGCTCCCAGGCACAAGTCTGGGACAGGATGGAGGAGGGATAAGAGTTAAGAAGCCCCAGGACATGGTTCAGCCAGGGGCTCAGAAGTGGATCAGCTGTGCCTCTGGACTAGTCTCTGGGCTGGACATGGTGGGGCTGGGGCAGGAGGACAAGGGCAGGCAAAGTGCAAGAGTGGGCAAGTGCTTCTGGGTTTTCTGGGCACTTAGAAGGTCTGGGAGCCCAGAGAGTTCACGCAGACAGGCAGACACACACACATTCACATGTTTGTGTGTGTGCATGTCTTCAGGTTTCACGGTCAACAAAAGCCTTTCCAGGGAAGAAGCCAGAGCTAGAGCAGAGATGGGCTCTAACCTAAGGCTAAGGTTCAGCGGGGGCCACCAGGACCACCAAGCTGGCTGTTAAAATATTCAAATACTTCAGTACCAGGGGTAGATAGCTGCAGTCCCAAGCTCCTGGAGCATCCCCTACTCTCACCACACCCTATTACTCTGCTCCCAGCATCCCAAGGCTTTCCCACAGCCCTGCTACCAAAGGGCAGGCACCAGGCTCAGCAGGGATGGCTGCCCCAGGACCCCATTCCAATGCCATGTCTGAATTTCTGCTGACTGTCCAGGGCCTGAGTGTTACCGGAGGGTACAACATGTGGGAGCCTCCCTGCTCCCCCCAGGGCTTCTCCCATCCCAGCTGTCCCTTTCTTTGCTTTCATCACACCCCTCTTAGCTGCAGGAGGAATTCTGGGTACAAGGAGAGAAGTAGAGAGGCCCAGAAGGCTGTCTGTTCCCACTGAAGTCTTGAGGTCCTGTTGCCAAGGTCAGACACTCAGGAGCTTCTCCAGAGGCTGCAGCTGGGCTGCAGGGGCCAACAGGTCTCTCCTGTGCTCAAGCCATGTGTTCCCCTCCATGCCCCCTCACCCAACTGCCCAAGAAATCCATCCCCCTCCAGCTAACATTTGATGAGTATTCCACACCGGCTCAGCCCCAACAGCAGCGTGGCAGCCCCTCCCTGCCACTGCTGGGAAACCAGGAAAGGGTTTTAATCTCAGAAACAGTCAAGGTGGGGAAGGGGAGTGGGGGGCAGCCGGGAGGGCCATATGGAACCTGTTTGAGGAGCTGGGTCAGAGCCCAGCTACACCTCCACGCACCAGGGCACCAGGCCAGCTGTTGGCTTTGCCTGCTCAGCTCTGGCCAGAAAGGGAAAGGAGCGTGGGAGAACAGACAGGCAGGCCGTGTGGGGACAAGCGTGTGCTACGTGTGTGCACAGAGCTGCTGTCCTTTAGGCCAAAACATGCTGGCTGGCTGCCCAGTGGCTGGACAGGGGGTAGGCGTCAGAAGGCTGGCAGCTCAGCAATGTGCTGGGGTTGTAGGGGTCAACAGAGTAGCATTTCAGGTCTCCTCAAGGAAGTGGCAGGGACATGTCTGGGAGCACCACGCACTACTCTTGGTCAGCCTCACAATTTCCCCAGCTGGGCTCCTGCTGGAGGTGGTTCTGGAAACCCCCAGAAACTACCATTCAGTCTCCACTTTGGCTCCCAGGCCTGCGCACACTGCCAATCCTCTGCCTGTCTGTCTGCCCATCACATACCCAGTCCCACACCCGATGGCCTACCCAACCCCAAATGGTCGGGGTGACGTCATGATGAATCTGGCTAAATATTTGACTACACCGCTCGGACTTCACCTTGCCGCACTAAACTTGGGACTGATCCAGAGTTTAGATTGACCTTGCTGGATTTTGGACCGACCTCACCAAATTTCCGACCAACCACCCCAGTACATGCGAAGCCTGAACTTCTGTCTAGACTCCCAGGACTTTGAGATGAACTGACGGAGTTTCTGATTGATTTTGCAGAAGTTTTCACAGAACTTAACTGAAAATAATGTGGCCTGGCTTTCCTGAATTTTCATCTCACCTGACAGGTTTGACTGAAAAGTTGTAACCTATTTTACTGATTGTTATTTTAAAAACTAAGCTTCTTGGCCAGACGCAGTGACTCATGCCCGTCATCCCACCACTTTGTGAGGCCGAGACAGGAAAATTGTGTGAGCACAGGAGTTTGAGACCAGCCTGAGCAACATAGTGAGACCCTGTCTCTACAAAAAAAAAAAAATTAGCTTGTGTGGTGGTGCACGCCTGTGGTCCCAGCTACTCAGGAAGCTAAGGTGGGAGGATCATTTGGGCTCAGGAGTTTGAGGCCACAATGAGCAGTGATGGTGATTGTGCCACTGCACTCCAGCCTGGGTGACACAGCAAGACCCTTTCTCAAAACCAAACAAAACAAAACAAAAAACTAAATTTCTTGAGTGTTTGAGCTTTCCAAATTCTTTTACCCTGAATTGGCCAGATGAGGAGGTGCCCTCAGACCCAGACTAAATCAGGAAATCGTCAAGGAGGCTGAAGGGCTGTCCCTAGGCACAGGGCTGAACGGTCAGCACTGAGCCCCTGTCTGACATAAAGTCTCACACAGAGCCAGCACTTCTCACCTGGAGAGGGGATGGGGCGAGACAGAGGTGCGATTGGTTCCTTATCCCTCTTATGACACCTTCCAATATTCTTGCATCTATTTATTCCTTGCTGCCTCCACAAGCATTCTCTGCCTTCCTTCTCCTTGTTTCCAGCATTCCCCCAGCTCTTGGACTCAGGAGTTCCAGGAAACAATGCTCTTGAGTCAGTCCGCCCTGAGTAGCTTCCTGCTAAGGAGTCATATAAAACAGCTTCAAAGCGAGGGCTCTGGGCTCAGCCTGCCTGGACTTGGAGCTCAGCCCTGCCTGTTCCCCTGTTCCAGCTGTATGATCCTGGACATGTTAATGAATTTTTCTGAACTTTGGTCTCTTCACCCCCAACACGGGCAGAATTCCACTGCTTAGCTCTGGGGTTAGTTTTCATGTTTTCAGCAAGAATACTAACGACACTTAAAGCTTGTTGAGCACTCACTCTGAGCCAGGCACTGTCCTGGGCTGTACACAGCCTGAGACCCTCACTGAATCCCCGTCACAGCTCACAGGCTAGGAAGGGGCAGGCCCAGGCTATTCCAACAGGGCAGAGGCCTTGCCCTCAGCCACTCTGCACTCCTGCCTCCTGGGCTTACCCCTGATAGAGGCCGGGGCGGGGAGGGGAGTGGTTGGCTAGCATTCCCTTCCTCGTCATCATAATTATAATACTGTCATGACTGGCCTGTTTCTTGTTGGAAGAACTGGGCTGATCTCTGGGTTGTGTTTTGATGAGGCATTTGTTATTTGATAGTGTGACTTTATCTTCTTTTAGGAACACTGGAAAGCAAGGGCTATCCCCCGGAGCCCTGGATATTTTCTTTTCTTTTTTTTTTTTTTCGCTCTGTCGCCCGGGCTGGAGTACAGTGGTGCAATCTCAGCTCACTGCAAGCTCCGCCTCCCAGGTTCAAGAGATTCTCCAGCCTCAGCCTCCCGAGTAGCTGGGATTACAGGCACCCGCCACTGCAACTGGCTAATTTGTATATGTTTAGGAGAGACGGGGTTTCACCATCTTGGCCAGACTGGTCTCAAACTCCTGACTTCGTTATCCACCTGCCTCAGCCTCCCAAAGTGCTGGGATTACAGGTGTGAGCCACTGCACCTGGCCATCGCTGGATATTTTCAAACCCACGAGGGGTATCAGAGCCATGGGGCTAGTTCAGTTCTTTGGGACTTTTGTCAATCTGCTCACATCTAGTCTGACTTTGCCACATGAACCTCTTGGGTTTTTTTACTGGCAACTTAATGGGAACCAGATTTGCAAAGCATTCATCAGTCCATGGCACTGGTATTTGCCAGGCTGTAGGCTGTAAGCTAAGGACAATGACAGCAGAGAAACCAGGTCCTATTCCTGGTTTCTTTGAGCAACTCCTTTGAGCAACCTTGAGCAACTCCTGTGGCAGCACTGGTCTTGCTTGTCTTCCCCAGGGAGGGAGAAAAGGCAGGCATTTGGGAGGATGTTTGAGGTAAGAGCAATAGCTGTTTATTCCTCTCTGTAAGGTAAGGTCTTTCATGGGAGAGTTGGTAAGCGGTGCTGTGGGCTGCCATTTTCAGCAGCATCTGACTTATGTCCCTGCATTGTTCTATTTGTGTCCTGCCTCGGCAAATGCCTCCACTCCCCTTCATCTTCCCTCTTCCTTGCCTTTGCTCACTCCACTCTCTGCCCAGCATGTCTTCCTTTTCTCTTTCATACTTATTCAGCATTTATTGAAAGTCTTCTATATGTTAGACATGATTCAGAAGCTAGGGGCACAAACACTCAGTCTCTGCCCTCAGTGGCTCACAGTGGCAGAGACATGCAAAGTGTCAAGGAATCAGAAGCCCTGGACACCTAGGCCAGGTGGGTGGGGAAGGGGAAAGGATCAGGAAAGACTTCCTGTTGGAGGCAACATCTAACTAGATTTCTGTCTAGCCCACCTGGAGGACTCTTACTCACCCTTCAACACCCAGTTCTATCAGCACCTCTTTCTTGAAGCACTCCCAGATTCTCATAAGCAGATTAAATGTCTCTCTCTCAAACCCCCTGGGCTTTGCACATAGAAGAGATAGCACCAACACCTCATTGTTTGAGTCAGTTTCCCCCACCTCACCCCAAACTGCAAACTCCCTGAGGACAGAACTGGACTCATTTTTGTAGTGTCAGGGCCCTATAGGAGTATAATAAATGTTTATTCAAAGTCTGTATAGTTACACGTACTGTATCAACAAATACATGCATGTGTGTTTATGAGCTTATGTCTATGAGCCAAGGGCGTGGTAGTCTTGGTGGGGGAAGTTCTTACATCCCCTTCCTTAATATATTTGCCTTGTTATAGTCTCTTAGCTCCTCCCCCGTGACTCTCTCCTGTCTCCATGTGGACAGGAGTGACAGTGGCTCCCTGGTGTTTGAAAGTTGAAAGTTTGATGCAGGGGCAGGGATGGGAGAAACCTCTATCAGTGCCTCCCCCACAGCCAGCTCTGCCTGCCCCCCAGGGCTTGGGGAGCACACCAAGAGACAACCAGCACACCACAGCCAAAATGATCCTCCTCTTGCCCCCTTCACCTGCACTCCTGCCAAACCTGTCCACTGTTCCAACCTGCAGCTAGAGCTGGCTGGAAGGGTACCAAGGGGCCCCGGTGTCCTGACCGCTGAATATTCTGAACGGAGACCTAAGTTTGGATCACAGTTTAACTCCTCTCTAGTAAGTCATTTTCCAGCAGGGTCCTTCCCACTCTTGGATAAAGGTCAGTTGCATGGGTTCCCAAGTCCAGGCTGGACACCAACATGAGATGCAAAGAAGGCTGGGAGAAGGTCTCCCAGGGGCAGAAACCACCACAGCTTACCCAAAAGTGCCCCCATTGCCTGGGTATGATAACAACAGCCCTTGCTTCTATGTGGCCCTTTGTAATGGCCGAAGTCCCTCCCGTATATGGTCCATTCTATTAAGGTTTACTGAGCCTTCGTGTGCCTGGCCTTGTGCCTTGCTAATAATCACATGAACAGGCTCCGTGCTGAGCTCTTCACATGCATCACCATTTGACCCTCACAATGACCCCTTTGTAAAGGTGAAGACAATGAGACTCAGAGTTTATCCATTTCTCAAGGACACACCGCATTATGTGGTAGCACCAGGATCTGAATTCACCTCACTCAGGTGCTCAGGTGAGCCAGAACCCCCGCCCCCAACTCCACTCCCCCATCTCCAGGCCTTTTCACCTGCTCCCAATAGCTGAGAAACTTTCATGTCCCGTCTTAAAGATGAGAAAAACTGACACTTGGTGGCTTTAGGAGACTTTCCAGAGATCTCACAGAGGCCAGGCAGGGGTGTCTGGCCTTCCATGCTCCAACTTCCATGCTGCCCAAAAGAGAACACCTGTCCCATATCTGCATCATGGAGCTAGCTGAGCCCAGTTCCGCACCCATACTGCCTGGTTTTGCGACTCCAGCTCAGTGGGTGACCTGTGGGGTCGCCCCCACCCTCTACTGACACTCTCCCGCCACCCCTGGTTTGTGAGGCATCTGCGTTGGTAGCTAGATGGGCCCCAGAGGGAGCCGGCCAACTGCAGGGTAGGGATGACATACACTCCTGGTGGCAGAGGTTTGGAAGCATTCTCCCTGAAATTCTGCCACCTAACCCCTCCCCACCTGGCCAGTGCCTTTGGGCTCCATGACAAGGTCAATAGTTGCCCAAATGTCATCAGACCAAATCTATTTTCTGCTTTCTGACTGGCTATCACAAATGGGGGCTCTTTCTCTTCCATCTCTTCCCAGTGACTCTATGTCAACCTCCTCGCCAAAGATGCCCATGCCTCTCACTCAAAGCGAAGGAATCTTGCATTATTTTGAGAGCTACTCAGAGGGTAAACTGCTCCCAAAGCAGGATGTGAAGTTCCAGGAGGCAAACACAAGGCAGCGTTTGCAGACCCTTGGATTTCTCTCCCAAGTTGTGAGGAGGTGGGGCAAGTCCTGGGGAATCCCCAGGGCCGTGGGTCCTTGCCCCTTTTCCACTGGGGGTCCCATCTTCCAGGCTGGTCTCCTTGAGGTCAACTTCTCTTAAGGCTTAGAAGTTTGGAAACTAATTATTCAAAAGCTTGGCAGAGCATAGAAGAAGAACACTTGCTGTGAGAGAACTTCAAGCCCCAGCTCTGGCCACTCATTAGCTATAGGCATCAGTTTGTCTGATGTTTTAATGAGAAGTTGGTCTTTGTCTCTGAATGGGATTCCAGCTTTGGAAATGGTCACATTCTCTAACACGACCAATCTAGGAAAATCGTTGTGATGAGGAGGTTTTTGTTTTCCAGGCATTGCCCTATCATCTGATCTACTCTCCCGTTATCTTGACAGCACATGGAATGAATTAGCCACATGCTACTGAGAATAAGAGGAACAGAAGATATGAGGGTGCTCATGATGTGCCAACCCCCTTCAGACTGTTTTCTATGTACTAACTCATGTAATCCTCCAACAATCCTATAGGACAGGTGGTATTATTTCCCCCAAAACGCACACCCCCACTTTGCAGATGAGCAACAAGAGGCTCCACAGGATAACGTAATGTGCCAAGTTAATGTGGCTAAAAAGCAGCAGAGCCAGGCTTTGAAGCTGGGAGGGCTGTCTCCAGAGCACACCTGTGTAACGACCATTCCACACGGCCCTCAGCGAGATGAAAGAGGCACCACTGGAATTTACAGCCCAGAAGGGAAGCTACAGCTTGTATATAAATTATCCTAATACAGGTTGGGGAAGTGATAAGTGACCAAGAGAGAAACAGATAATATCCCCTGGGAGTATAGATGAGGAGAAAATTGCTTCCAGCTGGAAGAAGATGGGAAGTTTTATGGAATAGGTGACATTTTAGCTGAGCCTCAATGGACAGGTGGGATTTGGAGCTATGGAGATTTGGGGAGAGGGAGCAGTGGGGATTGTATTTAGGGAGAGCAGCTTGTTCTGCTGGGAAATGACAAGCAACAGAGGAAGGAGACTAGAGAAGAGGACATCTGAGCCAAGTGCAGAGGGTTATGAGCGGCCCTCTGCACACGCTGCCCCTTTCACACTGACTGCAGCAATGGAGAGGCAATGGTGTCTGGGCATGGGAGAGACGCAGTCAGGACTGTGCTTTGAGAATTGTGCATGGCGTCAGCAGAAGCAGGGGACAGCATGTACACTGGGGATTCTGGCAGGAAATAGTCTGACTTAGGGGGCTCAATCCATGGATGATAAAGCTATTGCTCATGGAGGGTGGGTGGGACCGGTGAGGGATGAAAAGGCCCCCAGAGCCCCAAAGCAGTGGGTGAAGGCAGGAAATTGCATCACTGCGCCAGGTGAGAGCTGGAGGCACCATCGGCAGGAGCTGCAGACCTTTGAGGATGCAGCCACGACTGGAAACATGATCCGGGGCAGGAATGGTGCAAAAAACAGCCCCTAGGTCTTCTTTTGGGGCTTTCCATGGGCAATAGCCAGAACTGGCTGCTGGCTGTGAAGGAGTCTGCAGGGGTTCAGTCTGGGGACACAGAACAGGGCAGAGAAGAATGAAGAGAGAATGAGAGGGAGAGAGGCAAACAGAGAAGACTCACCACCCCAGACCACACTAGAAGTGGTTACAGTATTTGGGAAAGAGACAGTGAGAGACTGAGCCAGGGCAGTTGCAGAAGCAAAGGTGGTGTTGGAGACAAATGTGGAGCTTAAGGAAGCAAGATGGACAAGAGTTGGTGAGCACGAAGGAAGAACTTGGGTATCTGCTAAGTGCCAGGTGTATGTGTAGTAGACCTTCAAAGTTAATTTAAAAGTCAACTACCACAAGGATCAGCTCTGGCATGTTTTTGTTTGTTTGTTTGTTTTGTTTTGTTTTGTTTTTGTTTTGCTGAGACAGAGTTTTCACTCTTGTCACCCAGGCTGCAGTGCAATGGCACAATCTTGGCTCACTGCAACCTCTGCCTCCTGGGTTCAAGTGATTCTCCAGCCTCAACCTCCCGAGTAGCTGGGATTTACAGGTGCCCACCACCACTCCCGGCTATTTTTTTTTTTGTACTTTTAGTAGAGATGGGGTTTTGCCATGTTGGCCAGGCTGGTCTCAAACTCCTGACCTCAAGTGATCCGCCTGCCTCAGCCTCCCAAAGTGCTGGGATTACAGGCATGAGCCACCACGCCTGGCCCATGTTTTTAATTTGAAAGGCTTCACATACACCCTCAGAGATGAATGACAAGCTGGATAGGATTATTATGAAAGGGGCCAAGACATCAGGGTCTTCTCACTGTGGCCCCCACTCACCTGGCATGCATCCTTGCATGTGGATGTTCTTGGGTCAATCTTCCTGTTCTGCAGAGTTGGGAAGTGAGGCCCAGGGAATTCCAGTGGTCTGGGAAGGTTGCAAAGGGAGACTGCCATAGAGCTGGAACTAGAAGCTGCCACAGTGCCCCTGCTCTCACCCCTCCTAGCTGGTGTGATATGAAAGACAGCAGTGCAGCCCAGTTCAGCTGGGGGAATCAACAGACAGGCTTCCACCTACCCTCTGCCTGGGATGGGCTTCGTCTCTTCCACACCCACTCTTTATCCAGCTTCTTTGCCACCAGGGCTCCAAGGTGAATATATCTTTGCCTTAGAAAAGACACAGGAACTAATCAAAGATGGTGCCTGGGAGGCATCTCCCCCGAAACGAACTTCCAGCTCCGTGTTTCTGCGGCATTCAACAGGTTACTGAGGCCGTCGATTGCAATGACAGATTGTGAAATAAATGATACCACCCAAAGCACTTTCATTATCCTGCCACAGATTTTTGGCAATTCCTCAAGTCTGGTTCGTTTTATGTCTAATTACATATCACCATTCATGTCCCCCGTATGTTATGTTTCACATAATAAATACATGGAAAATCTTTCTCTTTTTCCATCAGCCGCTGCCCAGAAATGAACGGATTCCTGGTGTGTGCGTACGCAATAAAGAAGCAGTTGTTTCAGACACGGTGACACTTCATAACCTGGACTTTATGGGCCCCTGTCGCTCTGATTCGGAGGGCTAAAAGGAGGATTTTCTGCAGGCTGTTCCTGCTCTGGAAGCAAAAGGCGATTGTCGGGAGCAATGTCCTGGGATGGCTAGAACGGCAGCCCGAGCCCCACTCTGGGGAGACAAAGGGGCTGTCAGGCTATTGGAGGGTAATTTGCTTGACTTCTGGAGATGAGGCCTGACTGCAAAAGTTTTCCTGTACCTCCCGGTGTTAATAGAAAGGCCAGGGTCATTGATCAATCATGGGATACCTCACCTAGCAATGAATCTACAGGCATTATTTAAGCACCTACTATGTGCCCAGGCCTGTTCTAGATGCTGAGTGGGGGAGGGGAGGGATGAAGAGTGGGAGAACACTAAAGAGTAGAGGTGTGGAAATAGTTGATGTCATGGTAACAAGAGCGGGTTTTGGAATTGAACCAGGCTTCTCTGCCTACCAGCTGTGAGATGGAACTGAAAACCTCTTTGAACCTCAATTTACACATCCCTAAAGTGGGGATGCCAACATATGGCCCTCCTCATGGGGTCGTTGTGAGAATTAAAATAAATAATTCATGTAGGCCGGGTGCAGTGGCTCACACCTGTCATCCCAGCACTCTGGGAGGTCGAAGTGGGTGGATCGCTTGAGCCCAGGAGTTTGAGACCAGCCTGACCAACATGGTGAAACCCCATCTCTACAAAAAATACAAAACGTAGACCGGCATGATGAGGCATACCTGTAATCCCAGGTACTCAGGAGGCTAAGGCAGGAAGATGGCAGAGGTTGCAGTGAACTGAGATGGTGCCACTGTACTCCAGCCTGGGAGACAGAACAAGACTCCATCTCAAAAACAAACAAACAGAAAGAAAGGAATAAGTCATGGAATGGAAAGGGTTCTGCGTGGGCTCAGATGGCTCATTATTATGATCACTATTATTATTATCATTGTTCTCGCATCATGTACCCTGAGGGCAGGCAGTAGGGTGTTGAGAACAAATGAAATAAAAGATGAGGCCCCTAAATTCATGGCCCTGGATTTCAAGCCCAGCTCATGACTGGCCGAGGAGGTGAGCGGCATACATGGGGGACAATTAGGAAAGGATCTGGCACTGGACTGGAACCCGCTGTTGTCACGACGGAAGGGCTGGCTGCTGTGGGCTGGTGTCCCTGAAGTCTTCCTGGGAATGTGGTACTTGGACAAAAGACACAGCAAGAAGATAGGAGAAGGATAAAGGGGGATATGACCAAAAGCAGGAAGACAAGAAAGCATGATGTTTTTGTGAGACAATAAAAGCATTTGCTATCCGTTCCTCAAATACCTACGGAGTGTCTCCTGTTACTGGCACTTATTAAGTGCCAGGCAGCCTTCAAGGCATGAGACACAGAGCTCCAATGGTCCTGGCTCCCACACACAGGAAGCTACAGCACAGTCACCTCAATAAGTCAGCCTTGAGCAAGGTTTGGCTATGCAGAGGGTGGGATGCACCATGGGCTGGTCAGGAAAAGGGGGCATGGGGCGGGGGCAGCCTTTTGTCCTGGCCCCATTGGTGGTGAGAATGTTCACTGGGGACAGAGGGAGACCAGGCTGGGTATTTACTCCAAACTCAAAGGCCATCCCAACACATTCAACAGAAATGTGTCACACGTACACTGCATGCGGGCTGTGATGCAAGAACATTAGTTAGTAGGACATCGATGTTCAGAACCATGTGCTGTGTGGATGAATTAATGGTAATGGGATCCTGCACCTTCTGTTCCCCTTCCAGGTCCTCTGTCCTTCCCACTCCACCTTGCTCTCTGCCCAGGAGACAAATGGGTGTGAACCACCTCAGTAGGCTCCCCTGCCCTGGCTGTGCTTGGGTTTGGCCAATTGTGAGCCCAGGCAGGAGACCAAAAGAAGGGAAGAGAGTGAGACCCAGCTAGTTGGCTCCCTCCCTGCAGCATTGCCTCTGCTGGCCGGGACCCTCCACAGAAATCTTCTCCTGAGGCAGCCTCTACTACACAAATATCGTCTCTCTTGAGTGCTTGTAATGGATCTGTGATGGTCAATTTTATGTATCAACCTGAGTAGCCCAGGAAGTGCCCAGACTAAGCATTGTTTCTGGATGTGTCCATGAGAGGGTTTCCAGATGAGATTAGCATTTGAATATGTGGACTCAGTAGGTTGTCCTTCCCAGTGTGGGTGGGCACCGTCCAATCTGCAGATAGCTTGAATAGAACAAAAGGTGGAGGAAGGAGGAATTAATTGGCCCCCTTTCTTTTCTTCCTACTTGCCTGCTGGAGCTGGGACATCAGTTCCTGCCCTTGGACTGGGATTAGTACCATCAGCATCCCTGGTTCTCAGGTCTTTGGACTCAGGACTGAATTATGCCACTGGCTTTCCTGGGTCTCCAGCTGACAGACAGCAGCTCCAACTTCTCAGCCTTGAGTAAGTAAATTCCTCATAATAAATCTCTTCCTGTATATACATCCTATTGGCTCTGTTTCTCTAGAGAACCCTAATACACTCTCCCTCTTGTAAGCAAGCCTAGGATGGTAACCCCTGTTTTTAGCCCAGGCTTCTGTACCAGCCATTATGATTCCCCTCTACCCTGGCCACATTCTATAAATATTCCTTTGTAAATTAAACCTCCTTGAATTATCCTAATTTAGTGCACCATCTGTTTCTTTTTGGGACTCTGATTTACATATTCCCCAATTTCAAATGTTCTTATAGCAAAAATCTAATACGGTGCTGTCCTTTTCATCTCAATTCTGGGAGCTGGTAGAAGACATCAAAGTCTAATGGACTCTTGGCCAAACCTAACCTCCCTGATCAAATCTTCTTTCCTACTCCACAAATACTACAGAACAGGACTCCTAGTGCCCCAAACACAGACCTTACAAAGAGAATTCAAGTGAGTGAAAACTCTCAACAATGCCAATTTTGAATCTTTTCCTTTCCCCTCTGTTTCACTGATTGCCCCAGTGGACAACCACTGGCCACACAAATGGCAGCAGAAATCAAAGAACGTAGAATGGTGGACCTGAGAGGAACCTAGAGACCATCTAGGCCAACCCTCCTTGACCACTGTCTCTCTGTCCATTTCCATCCCCTCTACCACCACTACCATCACCATCACGACCACCATCACCACAACCATTTCATTCCACAACCATCATCACCATGTCCACCACCATCACAGCCATCAGAACCATGCTTACCACCACCACCTCCATTATATCCTACACCACCAGCAACAACACCTCCATCACAACACAAGCCAACACCAACACCATCATCACTACAGCAAACCAACCACCATCATGACCACTACCACAACCACTACACCACACACCACCATTGTGTAGGACAGAAGTATATGATGCCCAGGGAGACATGTCATTTACAAAAGGTAGGACACTTAGTTGGTGGTGTAATTAAACTAGAACTCAAGCCTTTTAACTTTTAGTCGAAGAGGCTGATTCTCAAGTAAACAAGTGACTTCAACTGCAACTTAAAATTGAAAATAAAATAAAGTATGAGGAGGACAGTGTGGTATCAGAAGACAATATTGATTTTTTCATTGATTTGCCACCAACCCATCTTTAACACAAAGACAAAATTGATGTTAAAAACTAGAATCCTTTGGGAGGCCAAGGCAGGCAGATCACTTGAGGCCAGGAGTTCCGGACCAGCCTAGCCAACATGGTGAAACCCCATCTCCACTAAAAATTCAAAAATTAGCTGGGTGTGCTCACATGCACCTGTAGTCCTAGCTACTCAGGAGGTTGAGGCACGAGAATCACTTGAACCTGGTAGGCAGAAGTTGCAGTGAGCCAAGATCATGCCACTGCACTCCAGCCTGGGCGACAGAGTAAGACTCTGTCTCAAAAACAAGACAAAACAAAACAAAAGTAGAATCCTGTATTTCAGTTTTGTGTCTGGTGAGCTTTTAAAGAAATCACAGCTTGGTACATTCTCCTATTTATGCCCCAATTTCCAAATTTAAGCTTTGGTTTTTTTGAAATTCAGTTTTCTGCCTTGATCACAGGTGTTAGCTTGCAAGTCAATAAAGTGTTCTCCTTTGGGTTGAAGTGTGAGCTGTAAAATTCACATGCAAGTTCCCATCAAAAATGATCACAGTCATAAACCTGATAGGTGAATTGTGCTTGACTTGATGTGTAATTGGAAGAAAATTCAATTATTTGCCAAGTAATAATAATGCTAGCTTACTCTTGTATTTTTCAAAAGGGTTGTATATCCATTATTTTGGTCCTCGAAATAACCCCAAGAGGATGGTGTCATTGTCATCCTTTTACAGGCAAGGAAACTGGGATGAGAATGTTTCAGAGTCACAATGTGAACAGATGTCAGAAGCAAGCTTAGAGCAGGACAATGACAATAACAACACTGGCTGACGTCCGCTGATTTCATCTGCTGTGCTAAGCTCTTCATATGCCTGATCACATTTAATGAGAACTGGGTGTCTTTTTCAATTTCCCTGAACCCATATAACAAATGTGATCATCTGCTAGTCATTCTGTTATGTCAGGCTCAGCCAAACATCTTTGGGTCCTATGAAAATAAGCTACAAAGAGCTCATGAGTGGAAAGCAGGAAAGTAATAGAAGAGGGGTTAACATTGCTGCTTCTTTGTTTTTGTTTTGTTTGTTTGTTTGAGACAGGGTCTCACTCTGCCACCCAGGCTAACGTGCAGTGGCGCGATCTCAGCTCACTGCAAATTTTGCCTCCTGGGCTCAAGCAATCCTCCCATGTAAGCCTCCCTAGTAGCTGGTATTACAGGTGTGCACCACCATGCCCAGCTAATTTTTGTATACTTTGTAGGGACAGGATTTTGCCATGTTGCCCAGGCTGGTCTTGAACTCCTGGGCTCAAGTGACCTGCCTGCCTCGGCCTCCCAAAGTTCTGGGATTACAGGTGTGAGCCATTGTGCCGGGCCAACATTGCTTCTTAAATGTGTCTTGACAGCCCTTTGCCTAAAGACTTGTCTGCTGGTTCCTCTCAAAGGAGCACTGGAGCAAGAGTCAAAGACTTCTCTGCCACATACTAGCCATGTGACAAAGGAAGGCATTAACCTTCTTGGTGCTCTGTTTCAGTCCCTATAGCGAAGGGGTTGGAGGAGAGCAAGCGTTTCCAACTGTGCTCTGAGGAAGCCTAGAATCACCCTAGAAGAGCCCTGGGGTCAGAGAAAGGGGAGGCCAGAGGGAGTTGCTCAGCACACCTACCCTCCGCTCCTCCAGCCTCCAGATCCAGGGCACCCTCTTTCTCCAGGCATACATTGGGCTTCCACAGATTTTATGAGGAAGGAGCTTCATGGATAAAATTGTCTGAGGTCCATGGAAAAAAAGACTAGCATTTACAACTTGGGATGGACATAAATTGTAATTTCTTGAACAGCAGTGTTCGTGGTTGTGCTGAAGTTTGTAGCCACAGCCTCCTCTGCTGGCTCCAAGTCATGGTTCAGAAGGTGTTAGAAACAGACAGTCCGAAGATATCCCTTTGATAAAGGCTTCTTATTAACAATTTGTGAGAATGGTGACAGCCTTACACCCATTTCACTCTAGAACAATGCGGACAATGCTAAACCAACATCTGCAGGCATGTTGGTTGGGCAGGTGTAATACCAAGGTGTGTCATCGTCATCATGGTTTGAAGCACATGGAAGTACAAGAGGGCCATCCTACTAGCAGGGCTAAGTCTCAAGAATCTATCCTTCATCCATTTCTCTGTATATCATGCTGAGTGAAACCAATTTTAAATGTGTTGGTTTGCAGTAAATCAGCTTAATACACTCTGGGTCAAGTTGTCTGTCATTTAACCAAAAACACCTAAGTGGATATGAAAAAGGGCATAGAAATTGAAATCAGAAGAAGTAATGTGAATTTTAGTTCTGCTCCTTACCATCCAGGCCACCTTAGATAAGTCATTTGGTGTCTCTCAGTGCTATGTATCCCTGACAATTCACATGTTGAAATCCTGGCACCTAATGTGATGGTATTTGGAGATGGGGCTTTTGGTGATTAGGTCATGAGGGTGGACCCCTCAAGAATGGATTAGTGCCCTCATAAAAGGGACCCCAGAGAGTTGCCCTGCCCCTTCTACCTTGTGAAGGCACAGTGAGAAGACGGCCATCTGTGAGGAAGCAGGTCCTCACCAGACACCGAAACTACCAGTGCCTTATCTTGGAATTCCCAGCCTCCAGCACTGTGAGAAGTAAATTTCTGTTGTGTATCATCCACCTGGTCTATGGCATTCTCTTTTTTTATTATTATAATACTTTAAGTTCTGGGATACGTGTGCAGAACGTGCAGGTTTGTTACATAGGTATACACATGCCATGGTGGCTTGCTGCACCCTTAAATCTGTCATCTACATTGGGTATTTCTCCTAATGCTATCCCTCCCCTAGCCCCTCACCCCATGACAGGCCACAGTGTGTGATGTTCCCCTCCCTGTGTCCATGAGTTCTCATTGCTCAACTCCCTCTTATGAGTGAGAGCATGTGGTGTTTGGTTTTCTGTTCCTGAGTTAGTTTGCTGAGAATGATGGTTTCCAGCTTCATCCACGTCCCTGCAAAGGACATGAACTCATCCTTTTTTATGGCTGCATAGTATTCCATGGTGTATATGTGCCACATTTTCTTTATCCAGTCAATCATTGATGGGCATTTGGGTTGGTTCCAAGTCTTTGCTATTGTGAACAGTGCCGCAATAAACATATGTGTGCATGTGTCTTTATAGTAGAATGATTTATAATCATTTGGGTATATACCCAGTAATGGAATGGCTGGGTCAAATGGTATTTCTGGTTCTAGATCCTTGAGGAATTGCCACACTGTATTCTACAATGGTTGAACTAATTTACACTCCCACCAATAGTGTAAAAGCATTTATGTTTCTCCATATCCTCTCCAGCATCTGTTGTTTCCTGACTCTTTAATGATCACCATTCTGACTGGCGTGAGATGGTGTCTCAACGATTTGCATTTCTCTAATGACTAGTGATGATGAGCTTTTTTTCATATGTTTGTTGGCTACATAAATGTCTTCTTTTGAGAAGTGTCTCTTCATAGCCTTTGCCCACTTAAGTTCTTTATAGATTCTGGATATTAGCCCTTTGTCAGATGGATAGATTGAAAAAATTTTCTCCCATTCTGTAGGTTGCCTGTTCACTCTGATGATAGTTTCTTTTGCTTTGCAGAAGCTCTTTAGTTTAATTAGATCCCATTTGTCCATTTTGGCTTCTGTTGCCATTGCTTTTGGTGTTTTAGTCATGAAGTCCTTGCCCATGCCTATGTCCTGAATGGTATTGCCTAGGTTTTCTTTTAGGGTTTTATGGTTTTAAGTCTTACATTTAAGTCTTTAATCCATCTTGAGTTAATTTTTGTATAAGGTGTAAGGAAGGGGTCCAGTTTCAGTTTTCTGCATATGGCTAGCCAGTTTTCCCAACACCATTTATTAAATAGGGAATCCTTTCCCCATTGCTTGTTTTTGTCAAGTTTGTCAACGATCAGATGGTTGTAGATGTGTGGCGTTATTTCTGAGGGCATTCTCTTATAGCAGCTCAAATGAACTAAGACACTCTGCCTCAGTGGTCCCATCTGTAAAATGAGGATAAAAATAACTAGGTCAAAGAGTTATCAAGAAAATTTTAAAAGAAACTATCTGAAAAGCCTAAATAGCATCTGACATTCCTTCATGCCACCATTCACTCAAAATATAGATGTAGGCACTACTTTGCACCATATGCCATCGTGGAACCTGGGATTCTGGAGGAGCAAAAGTAGACCTGATCCCACCTCAGGGAGCTCCTATCTGGTGCAAGGGACAAATAAAAATGTAACTTTACCTTGGGATGAGTGCTCTGAAGGAGAAGAGCCAGATGCTTTGTGAGAGAATAACTGAGTGGGGGACTATCACAGATTGAGGATTCTGGAGGGCCTCTTTGATACCTAAAAGAGAGGGAGCCAGCAAGGGATCAAGCTGGGGAAGAATGTTCCAGGCGGGAGGGAGAAGGTTGATGAGGCAGGATCACAGTGAGAGTGACAGGTGCCATTATTTGCCCATCCAATACCCGTCCCCTTCCTTGCTCCAACACAAACACTTCTTGCTAGCACAGCCTCTGTTTCATTGAGTTATTGGGTAGCCATGTTCTTCCATGGTGGGCACATAGCCCCTGTGCAGTCCCATGGATGAACTTGAGCGGTCTAGGCTAATCACAGAGCTTCCCTCCTGGCTCGGGCACGTGCTGCAATTCAGACCAATGAGCCAGAGCAGTACTCTGAGGGAGGCTTCTGGAAGAGGTTTCATTACTGATAGAAAGAGACCATGGAGGAAATGCTTTCTTCTGCCTCTGGATGTTGTCATCTGCAGGTGGCCTTGGGATTGTGGCAGCCTAAGAGGCCATCTCTATGGGCTGAGGATGACAGAGGAAAGAGTGGCAACACCGGGATCTTTGATGCTGTGGAGTCTGAGCTAAGCAACCCTGGCACTGCCCTGCCTCCAGATGTCTTGCTCCAGGAGATCACACGGTCTCCTTGGTGATAAAGCTGGTTGAGTCCGCCTCTCTGTCACTTGCAGTCTCAAACATGCTGAGTGACATGGTGAGTGAGGGGGAGTGTTAGAGATGGGAACAGAGGCCAGGACTGGGTCACTTGGGCCAGGCTGATGTGTGTGAACTCCATGCTAAAAAGCTTTGGAAACCAGTGGAAGAAGATCAAGTGAAGGCAGAAAGCCCACGCTGGCTGCTCTGCCGACAGTGGATTGTGAGGCCAGGAGTAAAGGCAGGGAAGGCAGTTAGGAGAGTGTGGCATGAGTCTTGGTGAGAGAGCGTCTAGATGGAGCAAACCAGGCAGGCTGGGGGAGACTCGGAATATGCAGCTGGCAAGTGTCTCCAGTGCTGGTTGTGAACCCCAGTGTATATAATTCCAACCAAATTGGCCTGACTCTCCACTGGTCACCACTGTGCAGAGAGAGCCCTGAGTGTGGCTCAGGAAAGCTCTGAAATTGGAAATCAAACGCTTGGGCAATGATTCCTGTTTTGACCTTTCTGTTCGACTTTGGGCAAGTTCTCCTCTTGTCCCCACCCCCATCCCCAGCCTCAGTTTCCTCCCTAGTAAAATGGTAGAGCAGTTGTCAAGATCACGTGAAAGGACACGTGAATGTCTGTTAGAAGCTCTGGAGACAGCCTGGTGGGGGAAGTGGGGAACAGTATGCACTTCTCACGCTCCCATCCCTTTCCCCCACCCTTCCTCTGAGATGACTCAGACTAGTTCCTGCTGGGTCCTTTCTGCTCTGTCTCTGATGCTCAACCCCGCAGCAAGGGCCCTCTCCTCTCCCCATCCCCTCACAAGTCATGGGTATCAAATCAGCTGCTCTTATGGTCTTCCCCCACACTGCTGCTGCTCTAAGGCTCCAGAGTGTGCTGAAGAGATGTCCAAAGGGCAGACTCACTCCTCCACACTTGGGTGAGATGGTGGGACAAAATCAAAGATCTCCCATTCCACCCCATGCTTTTCCCTCCCATCACTGCTTCCCATACCCATTAAATAAAGGTCTGTGCTCTTCATGGTTCCATGATGTCTGGTGACACTTTGATGCCCATCTTTGGGTTCTCGTGAAATCTCTGCATGTTTTTACAATAAATTCCCCTTATTTGAGATGGCTTGGGTGGGTTTCCATACCCACCAACCAAACTGGATGAATGAATGAATGACTGTGATGGTTGATTTTATGTGTCAACTTGGCTGGGCCACAGTGCCCAGATATATGGTCAAACATTCTTCTGGATGTTTCTCTGAGGGTGTATTTGAATGGGTGTATTTGAACATTTAAATTGATAGACTTTGAGTAAAGCAAATTGCCCTCCCTAATGGGGGTCGGCCTCATTCCATCAGGTAAAGACTGATCTCTCTGAGCAAGAGAGATTTCTGTAGCAGTCGGCTTTCAAACTGAAGCTGCAACGCCGACTCTACCCTGGCAGCCTTAGGACGTGAACTGCAGCAGTAGCAGCAGCAACTCTTTCCTGATCACTCCCCATATAGATGTTGGACTTGCCAGCCTCCATAGTCACAGGAGCCTCTTCCCTAAAAGAAACCTCCTTCTATATACGCACACATCCTATTGGCTCTGTGTCTCTGGAAAGCCCTGACTAATATGACGACATTTCAGGCAGATCAGCTCCATGAAGGAGAATAAAGCCTGGATTCTCAGGTGAGGACCCTCAGGTGGGGTCCAGGTGGGTACAGAAAACTCCATATTCAATCCCCAGCAGCTTTTTTAGAGGCTTTGGCCAGAGTTCTGTTCTGGGAGATTCTCTGTTGACCCTGATTGGGCTACCCCTTCCCAGATAAGATGGATGCCTGCTGGCTGTGGCCATTGCCTCCTAGGACTCCAGAGTGAGAGCAGGGTGAGCTAAGGCCCCTTCCAGAAGCAGAAATGGTACTCGCCTGGGCTGGCTCCTCCCCATGGCTCTGATGAGCTCAGTCTGCGCTGTCTTCAGAGATCTCTGTGTTTTCCAGGCTAGGGCAGGAAACAACTGAGGCCCATCTTCCCAGAGAATGCTCCATGATCACTGCATCTGAGGTTGTGCCAAATGTCAGGCTGAAAGCTCCAGGTCTCAGGGTCTAGGGAGATGGAGAGAGATGCTTGTGAAGGCGGGTGGGAGAAGGAGAGGATGGTCACATTCAGATCTCAGGCAGCTTGGGAAGCACCAGAAGCTGAGTGGCCACTCAGACACCCTTTCAGAAGGACAGCCACTCACCTGATGCCCTCAGCAGGGAAGGTGACCAGCCACCTGATAGAGTCCCAGCTCGGCATCTCATCCAGCTCTGGGCCCACCACAGCATCCCAACCACATGGACACAGCAGCCAGAGCCTGGTGGTGCCCGGCATTGTGCTAACTCCTTTGTGTGAATTTGTAAGCAACACAAATCTCAGTTCATAAATTCAACTGTGCAAGACATAGGACTGTCTTCATTTTCTGTTACTCAGCCTTATTTTCATTTTGAATCCCCTGCCAGTAGTGGGCGAATCTTCATCTCAGACAACTCAACTTCTGGCCATTTTCCCCAGGAGGATGTCTGAGTTCCTGTGGGTAGTCATGGGGTTGTCAGAGTGACAAGGTATTGAGTGAGACCTCAATGTCGTGAGTCCACTTGGTAGCCATTGAGCTGCCCTGTGATCCTGTCTCAGGAACCCTCTAGTCTGGGGGGCGTGGGGGGTTCTTTCCATTTCTTCTGGGCCATGGTTGCATCAGGACCCATCTGCTGCTTTCACAGTCTGGTGGGGGAGGAAAGCCCATAATGAGGCTCTCTAAGGTCCGTGACCTCATCACACTGCCCAGCCCTTTCCCTTCTCTGGGCCTGGCTGCCTCCTCAGGGATCTCACCAGGACAGGAGGCATGAGTGCCCTCTGCTCCCACACGTAGCCCTCAGGTGGGACTGCAGCCCTTCCCCAGGCTCCAGCCGTGAGCCGGTTCTCCCCCATATCCCCGCTACCCTCCTCCCCCTTGGGGAGCGCTTTTTTAGCTGGTTGGGCAGGAGGGCTGCTCTTACTCATTCAGGATGTTTTTTCTCAATTTGCCGCCCTACAGCTTCCCCTAAAGCCAAGGCTTTTGCACACAAAATTCAGGAAGAGGCTCCTTCCATTTGCCTTTGCCCTCTTCTGCCACGTCCTTTCCCAGAAGGGAGGAACACCACCGCTGAGGAGCCTGGCTGCAGACCCCGAGAAGGGTGGGGAAGGAAATCCAGAGGGGAAAATACCAGTTGATCTTTCAAAATGTTATACGTCAGATGGCATCTCATTGAGCAGCACCACAGTGCTGTGCCATAAATGCCACTATCATGCCCATTTTATAGATGAGGAAACCAAGGCCTGGAAAGAGTGAGCAACATGCCCGAGGTCTGTGTGGGGCGTGGCTGGTGTTCGAACCCTGGTGCTCCTACCAGCTGGTGCCCGAACCCCGTGCTGTGCTTCTCTCCTGCCTCCTTCAGGCTGTTTGTGGGCCGTGCGTGGGCATGGAGCAGGTCTGCAGGGTCTCCGGTCCCCACATCCGCTGGATCCCCCAGCCTCAGCTGCACTCCTGGTGCGGGTCCTCTGGAGGCCCCAGGGTCGCACCTGGCTCAGCAGTGTTCAACACACAGGCACTAACACACCATTTTTCTTAAGGAGCAGATGTTTGATATGACTGGGACTTCCTGCCTGGTTCATGGCCAGTAATCAATAAAACAAATATTGGCTGCCATTATTTATAATCTCCTTTGAGCCTCACAACAACCTAGTGAGAAAACTATTCTGATGTTCCTCGTTGGACAAAGGTTAAACTACTTGCCAGGGGTCACAGGCAGGAGGGCAGCTGAAATCCTCTGGGGAGGTCCCCAGAGGGTGGCCTGTCTTCCACTCCATCATTGCCCAGAACTGGAGCCACTCAGGGTCATCCCTCCTAATGATTAAGGCCACGAAGCTGCTCCCTCGATGGCTGTGGGTAACTGTATTCCACACCCACACCCACACTCTATGCAGCAGAGGCCCTCTTCCTCTCTTCCAGAGCGTTGCTTTCCAAGGCTTTCCAGCAAGAACAGGTGCTTAGGACACAGGACTGTGGTTCCTCTGGGTCAGAAGAGAGAGTCCCTTTCAGCCCTAACAGAGGATCGTCTCCCGCTCCCCAATCAAACTACAGCATCCTGGGGCACTCCGCAAACTGCCCTGAGGCTCAGTCCTCACCCCCGCCCAGCCACCTGCAGCTACAGAAAACCTGGGTTCAGGCTCTGCCAAAGGAGACTCTGTGAAGTTGTTGGCGGCGGGATGGAGAGATGGGGAAGGCAGCAGCTGACTTGGCCTTGGATGTGCTCCTGACAGGGCTTCCTCGCCACCCTGGGGCCTTAGTGATCACAGCTCCTGGTCTGAGCCCTGACACTGGAGGAAGACTCCCCCTCCTCCTCCTCCAGCCTCTAATCAGGCCGGAGTTTAGGAGCTCAGCACTTTGGGGAAAGCTGTCCCCTTCCCAAAAAAAGCCTTTGACCCCCGCAGTCCTTACCCTCCTGAATGAGGTGGGTGGGGGTAGGGATCTCATAAGTCCCTACAGAGGTGAATTCCCCTGGCCTAGCTGTGAAGGCACTTGCCTTTGCCACCCTAGTCATCAGGCACACACCCACCCCCAACCATCACTTACCCAGGCCAGCCTTCCCCAGAAGACAGACCCCACAGAGCATCCATGAGGACTGTCCCCACCCAAAGCATCAGTTCCAGGGTCACAGCCTCACTGGCTCCAGTGCCAGGCAAGTGACCAAAGTGAGGGCAGTGAGCTGGAGGAAGGGATGCTGATGGGCGAGGAGTTCCAGAGGGTCACCTGCCACTCAGTTCCAGCCTAGGTCTCCTGATTTTTCCAGAGAAACTGGAAATCCAGATTTGTATGTAAAAGATTCTCAAATTTAAGTGCCAACAGCGAACTCAAAATTCAAAACAAAAGCACACAGCAAAAACAAAACAAAACAAACAAAAAGCCCCACGCTGCATGGGCCTATTAAAAACCATTTTGTCCCACAGGCTATTGGTTTGGAAGTCCCACTCTTGATGCCCCTGAACCACCAGCTTGGCCAAAGCACCAGCCTTGTATCCCTCCTAATGGCCTAAGCCACTTCTCTTTAGAAAGCCCAGTGGGATCTGAGAGACAGAGCCCAGCCTGCCTGCATTCCTCTCCCGTGTACCCCATGGGGCCCTGTGGGTTACCCTTGTCAAGGAAGGGCTTACCCTTGGCAGAAAAGGAAAGCAAGCTACTTCCCACCTGCTTGAGGCACTGGTTCAGGGGACGGCAGATCCCACCAAGCATGCTGGCAGATCCTGCCACCATCCTTGTCCCTTCATGGAATCCAGGGTTGGATTAGAACCCATAGCCAGGGTTCTGCATCTGCCTGGCTTCCCATTATGAACACAGGGCCATCAGGACATGCAGTCCCTGCTGGCCACATATCTGAGAGGCATTCTCTTAGGTCAGGTCACTGCGCTGGAGAGTGGGATAAGAAGAAGCCTAGGGGCAGAGGTGGGAGGTTAGACTCCAGCCCAGCCTTCCTTCAACACATAGAATTCTGTCCATCAGCGTAGGTTGGGCGCCATCCCTATAGCCAGGGGCCTGAAGCTAACTCTGTCTCACCCCCAGCTTGCACCCTACCTGCGCAGAGAGGTGTAATGGTCGGAAGGGTCAAGACCGACCTCATTGTCCCAGCTCACCTGGACCCCCAGGAGAGCCCGAGACCGGAGGACCAGGGTCCTGGCACATAGGACATTTGTCTATTTTCAGGCAAACTGGCAGCTCAGGATGACATGTGGACACACAGCAGGACCCAGCAATTCCTTATATTAACCTTCATCCTGCAGGGGGCAGGGTCGAGGGCAGAGGGTGGAGGGCAGCTGGAGCTCTTCCAGCAGAGCCAGGCTGAAGCTAGCCTCTGACAACCAAACCTGTCTGCTGAGATTCACAAGCAGGCTCCAGGAGGACACAGAGACACTTTGGAGAGCAGACTTTAAGCACTCTGACCCACTAAGGAAGGCTCAGGTTACCTTCCCACGACATTTATTCGTAAGATGCTAATGACAGCCATTCTCTATTCCTTAGGGCAGGTCCTGGAGGGACTTCTAGTGTCTCGTTTGAATATGCTTTTCATGCATTCTCTCTCCAAAGTAGACTCTAATTCAGACTGGCTTCCCTTTCTGCTACTCGGTCAATAGATATTTAGGAAGCCTCTCCAGCTGGCGGGGCAGGCTAGTCTACTTGGCAGTGGTGTGGTGGCCTAGCCACCCCTAGCACCCACTTCCCCCAGAGCTTTCCATTCCCCTACTGAGAAGACACCTGTGTCAGCAGGAGCCCACAGGCAGGCCTCCCCCTTCTGCAGGCCCCATAAAGCTTCAGAATCCCCACCCTCCAGCCAAGAGAGGCAGCTGAGAGGGTCAGTGAGTGGTTCTGGAACTATGGCTGTGTGGAGCCAGATAGAGGGAGTGCCCATCCTGGTGGCAGCGCCCCCACCGCTGGGTCCTAGGCATGGCCCCTTAAGCCCTAGGGCTGCTGCCTGCACCTGGTCTGTGGACAGCCCTCCCCGTGCCTGCTCCCTGGTCCAGCTCTTGGCTGGTCTGGCACGGGCCCGGTCCCTGGTCCCTCGAATATCTTTATGTCCCTGGAGTTTGCTTCCCATCCAGGCCCGAAGCCTGATAAAGAGCCCTCCAACCCTTACAGTGCCAAGCCCTAATCCTCATTTGGCAAGGCAAGAGTTGGTCTGGAGTCTGTCTCCTCTCAAGAACCTGCCTCCACTCACCAAGGTTCTATTATGGACCTCAAGAGCTGACTTGAGGAATCTGGAAAAGCTTCCTCCAAGAGCCTTAAGGGGATGCATTCATTTGAGGAATCACGGGACCAGCAGAAATGGCCCAGGGGCTTGGGTGGGGTGAAAGGGCCACATGGCATCCAAGCCCCAAGGCTACAGTGTGGAAGCGGGTTTCAGCAAGACAAGCCATGGGCATGGAGCCAAAAGGAACAGACGCCACCAAGATGCTAACGGGTCTTCTGCAGCATCCAAGATTTCTCTCAGCTTCCTCCTCTGTAAATGGGATCAAGTCCGGAACAGTGGATCAGACCTAGGTACACAGCCAGACAGGTCTGGTCTTTTATCTTGGGTGAGTTCCTTAATCTGCCCAATCTGCAGGTACATGGTCTGTAAAAGGGTCATGTTTACCCTTTGTGGCTGTTGACAGGGCTACAGGAAATGTACATAAAGTACCTGGCATCCAGCAGGGCTCCGTATGTGGGAGCGAACTATGACTTCATAGGCCGGGTTTGAGCACTAAATCAAATGAGATAACATATATGCGGGGGCTTGGTGAATTACAGTGCACAAATGGTAGCAATTAACCACTTACCGGTGTGTCCCCCTCTCCCGGGGCCTCATGGCTCTCTCCTTCTTTCTTTCTCACTCTAGTTTATCTTTTCTTCTCTGACTTAGCCTCATTTTGGCTTCTCTTTTTCTAGCCTCTTCTTTCTCTACCCATTCCCATATCCTTTAGAGCCATCATCCAACACCAGTTTCATCTGCCCTCACTCCAGAACCTACAATGGTTCCCTATTGTCCTGCATTCCAAACTCAGCAGCAGCAGCACCACCCACCCCCCAAGCCACCAGCTTTCCTTCCTGTCCCTCCCCAAAGCAGAGGCTTCCCACTGGTGAGCAGCTCTCCTTCCTGCCTCCCCTACGCCCACGCATGGCCTCCCCTCTGTCTTCTCTCATGCTGGCCCCCAGCCTGGAGAGCTCATTGTTGCTCGTTGCTGTCTCAACAAATGCAATCCCACCCATCCTTGAAGACTCAATTAAGTTCAATTTTGGAGTCAACAAATATGTTTCAAGCAGCTACTCTGGGGCAGGGTCTTTTGAAAGGGTTCTCTTTTTTGGGGAAATCACCTTAAAATTATAGTCAGAATGTTCTAGCTGTGTGACCTCAAGAAACTTACCTACCCTCTCTGAGCCTACCTTGTACAGTGCTTGTGAGGATTAAGTAGTTTGTAAAGTTTCCAGTCCAGTGCTCAGTGCATAGAAAATGGTTAATAAATAATAGCTACTTTTGTTATCCTGGTTCTTTGACATAGAAAATGAAGCCACACAGACCAGCTGGGAGTGTTGGGCTTTCACTGTGCAAGTAGTTAAAATCAAATATCCTCTCACTCGAGTGCTCAGCCAGGCCTCCAAACTCCATGCCACTGAGCATCCTTGGAGACCCCATCATTTGACACTCATTTGTAGTCAGCTTGCCTGTGCAGGTAGTTACGCTAGGCATGGAGGTGGGGGTGGCATATGAGGCTGGCATGTCCAGAACAGCTTCACAAAAAGAGGAGTGGAAGCAGGTAATAAGGATACGGGATCACCATGCCAACTGGAACATCCCTGGCAGACTGGACACGGCCCCAGCTTTATCTACAGGGCCCACCCTATCCGCCCCCAGGACCTGTCTCTTCTCCAGGCCCCAGCTCATTCTCCCTCCCCCGACTCTCTCTGCCCCTGCCATCTGACCTCCCTTCTGTCCTTTCAACATGGACAGTTCTGTCCTTGCTCAGTTTCCAAACACGCTCCTCTTCCTGTCCCAGACACTCCTTCAGCCCACGCACCTCCAAAGACGTGCACACTTCTCTTAGAGCCAGTCTCTGTCCATCCTTGTCAGATGCCCTGCTTTCTTTCAGGATGTTATCAAAAGAGCATGGGCTGGGTTTGAATCCCACTCTCCCACCCTCCAGCTGACGTCCAGCAAACCACAGCTCCTCTGGGACCTCATGTCCCTCACCAGCACCATGGAGCACCATGACTGCAGATGTAAGGGTCTCCCACACATGCTGGTGGCTCAGAAGCAACAGCTGACAGTAAAAGATGGAAACACCCTTTGCAGCCGCTGGATCAAATGGCTTCAGCGCCAGGCCAAAGATCCAGCTTTTAGCCCAAGCCAGGAAAGCAGAGTAGAGAAGGGTTAGCTGGAATCTGCAAGGTGGACCGCCGGTAGAGAGCAGCAGGACCTCAGGTCCAGGCCTCTAACCACCCCCTGTCTACCCTAGGGCCTGTGGCTGGGCCTTGATCAACTGTATCAAGTCAAGGGCTCCTGCAGAGCAGAGTCTGAGCCCCGTGCCTGTGAACTCCTCATGCTTCTGAGTTCCCGACGCAGGGCTGGTACACAGGAGGCCACAATATAGATCTTTCACCCTGAGGCTTTTTTGTGTGGCTCTCAGGAGGCCACTTGGCACAGGCTTTCTGACATCTCTGTCTCCTGCCTAGCAGCCTTCCCAGTTAAAAAGAGGCAGGGTTTCACTATGTTGGCCAGCCTCGTCTTGAATTCCTGAACTTGTGATCCGTCCGCCTCAGCCTCCCAAAGTATTGGGATTACAAGTGTGAGCCACCACACCCGGCTACTAAAATTACAAAAATTAGCTAGGCATGGGCATGGTGGTGCATGCCTGTAGTCCCAGCTACTCGGGAGGCTGAGACAGGAGAATCACTTGAACCCAGGAGGTGGAGGTTGCAGTGAGTCGAGATCACGTCACTGCACTCCAGCTTGGGCAACAGAGTGAGACTTTGTCTCAAAAAAAAAAAAGAAAAAAAAAGAGGATCCTTGCTCCCCACAACGCCACCCCTCCTCTCCTCTCAATTAGATGATGTCTATAAAGCCCCCTGGAGCCAGAAGCATTATAAATCCAAGACATTACTGTTAGATCCAGGTCGGGGAAGCTTCAAGGAGTTGAGCACTGGGGGAGGGGCCCTGGGGGATCTGCACCAGCTGAACTGAACAAGGTTTCTCCTGACCCAGATGCTTTAAGTCACAACGGATGGCTGCTGCTGGCTCCTCGAGTTACAAGGAACCCGGGAGGGCAGAGCTGGCCGAGTTTCATGCTTGTTGAGTGCTTCAGATTATTTGTCTAGTGTTTGTGGTTGGGGCAAGTTCAGCTGAATCTCTTAAAATTTATCTTTTGGCCCATGTGAATTTAAGGGCTGGGGGATTCTCCTGGTTCTCACTTGTTTGCACCAATGGTGGCCTGTTCTCAGAGCCCCTTCCTGCTGTCCCTGAGGAGGAACTGAGATGTGTTGGCACTACAAGCTGGAATTGGAGCCCCAGAGCCGGGCAGCGTGGGGTCTCTGGATGCTCTTGAGTGCGTTTCTCACCCCGTTGCCTCCTTTGATGACTTCTCCCAGGGAGGTAACGGGAGCTGCAAGCCTCAGCATCCTTCTCTCCCTTTACCAGCTGTTGAACATTAACTGCAGGTTTTAATTCCTGCTGGTCTGGTTTACCCACTATGGGGCACACAGCACACGGGAACAGGACATAAGCTAGGCGTTTAACCCATCTTTGGTCTTTAGATGAACATGTTGGCCAGGAGATCTCACCAGCTGATCACCGATAGATCCTAGTCTGACCTGGTGGAACTCCCAATTGATCCCTCCTTTAGCAGAGCATCACTGATGCAGCCACACCTCTGTCCACCCCATCGCTGCCATCAACCTCCCACCCCACCACAATCTCCCCATCACTTTGTCTGCCATCCACCCTCACCTCAACACCCTCCCCCTAATCTGCCACCCTCAAGGAATACTTAAGATGCTGATGCAGTCAAAAGGAACCCCTTGACAGGAACACTTCAAGGAAGGGCCATTTAAACCAGGATCACAGCTGGGCACAGTGGCTTATGCCTGTAATTCCAGCACTTTGAGAGGCTGAGGTGGGCAGATCACCTGAGGTCAGGAGTTCGAGACCAGCATGGCCAACATGGCAAAACCTCGTCTCTATTGAAAATACAAAAAAAAAAAAAAAATAGCCTGGCATGGTGGCGGTGCCTGTAATCCCAGCTACTCGGGAGGCTGAGTCAGGAGGATTGCTTGAATCCAGAAGGCGGAGGTTACAGTGAGCCAAGATCGCACCATTGCACTCCAGCCTGAGCGACAAGAGTGAAACTCCATCTCAAAAAATAAAATAAAATAATAAATAAACAAACCAGAATCACAATCTGTGAGCAGAAGATCCCAAAGAAATTAGGAGTTCCAGTGGGATATGCAAAGGGCACTAGGCTTGTAGCGAGCCTGGCCTGTGGCTAGAACCTTGTGCCTCATGCTACATGTCCCTGACTGCCCAAAGGACCACAAAGCCTGGCGTGATTGATCAATGAACACCCACTTGAAGTGTATCTGGATTTAGAGTGGTCCTTGTCATCTAAGAGGAAGAGCTATGAAATTTTCCTGGTGTGCACAGAAGGACATATCCCTGTCCTCAAGGGGCTCACAGTATCTTTGAAGACACAGAGTAAAAAAGCAAAACAAAATGAAAACCTATGGGCATAAGGATAAACTTGGACCCGTGATAAGTGCAATGAAGGAAACTTCCGTGGTGCTGTGGGAGACCCAGAGGAGCATGTTCTGACCTCACCGGGTGGTCCTGGGAGGCTTCTCTGAGGAGGCGTCCGAGCTGCCTGCTCCAGGCCTCCTCTCCCATCCTCCTTGCATGACCCTTGTCTGAATGAGCTGCGCCACATCCCTTCTCCATGGCGGTCACTCCTATGGGTACCACATGCTAATAAAACGCCCACAAATGAAGAAGCTGTCCCCAGCCCCAGCATCTGGACATCACGCTCATTAGACCTGACAACTGAGACCTCAGCGGCCACCTGCGTGTGATGCACACCTGGCACCAAAACCCCCAGGTGCTGACTTGTCCAGGCAGAAGCTCCTGGCATTGTGGTAACTCTGTTACTAATGTAACTTCTCAGAGCCTCAGTGCTTTCCACTGTAAAATGGGCCTGCCTCACACGATTACAAGGAGGATCAGCCAAGACAAAGGCAGGGAGTGTCCCTTGTGAGCTAGGGAGCTGGCGGCATTGGGGATAGACTGTTTCTGAGATCCAAAGGTGGCAGATGGAGGCTGGGATGGTTTTCTTTCAGACAACTCCGCCCCCAGAGATGCTGGTTCTGCTCAGTGACACTGACTTTTCTATCTCCGACTCAGAAGTGACCTACCTCAGAGGCGTGAGGCTGCTCAGCGGATCTGGGGAGGAAGGAGTTTGCAGCCGTCCTGGGAGAGGCTTGTCTGATTGTCCATCAGTAACAGCTTCAGGGTGCAGACAGCTGGAGACAGTGAGGTGGGGGCGGCTGGGAGACCAGGGAACCCAGACAGAGGGACAGGAAGGTGAGGGCTAAGACGGGAGGGAGAGGAGCCAGGGAGGGGGGTGAGCATGTGGTCCCCCAGGCTGGCCCCGTGTTAAATATAGCCCCAGCCCATTGTTCCTCAAGTAATTGTATTTCGGCTTTTTCCCTCTTGAGAGGCACCTAATTGAGGAACTGGCCAAGACAGGGGCTGCCTGGAAGTTCCAAGAACACAATTGTCTTCACGATGAAAATTAAAATTGTATATTTTTAAGTTTAAAAAAGCAAACAGTCCAAGGTCATACACTGGCCCTGTGCCTCCTGAAATCCGGCTTGTTTGCTATTCTTCCTCAAGGTGCCTGGGTCTGGGGGCCCAGAAGCCAGGGTCAGCCGAGGGCCATCCCTGGAAAGATGGCAGAGAAGAAGACCCAGTGGAACATTAGGTCATCCTGGCCAGCTGAGCTCCAGACGGCTTGTCAGCACCAAGTGGGGCTTTGAGAGCAAGCTCAGTAGAGGTATTCAGCTGGGAGCCCCCCAGCAGGTGCCAGACTCCCTCCCTCATCTCGATGTGAGCTAACCAGCCTAAAAGCAATGCTTGCTGGCCTGGGGGGACCACACCCAGGAATAGGAGGAGGAAGTACCTCCACTTCTAGGCACCAGGTCCAGAGCTTCCCCTCCTGAAGCCAGCATGCTTGTGAGGATGGGATAAATAACCTGAGTAGACACACATCTGTGTTGGCCCCTGCTTGTCTGTGTTCATGCCCCTCCCTCCCTGTCTCTCTGTTTTTGTTTCTCTCTCTCTCTCTCCCCACCGCCCCCTGACACTTTCTCTCTCTCTCTCTCTCTCATATTTTTGCTCATCAGAGAATCTCTGTGGCATTCAGGAGTCTTCATCCCATTTGGCAGAGGGGCAAGAGCACCTCAGAGGGATGGCTGAGGACTGGCCAGGGATCAGCCAGTGGGCAGAGCAGGGCTAGGAGTCCAGGGTTTGGAGTCCACCTGGTGGCCTCCACTCCCCACCTCTCCCCTCTCACAGCTCTCCCTGGCACTGCCCCTCCCGGCACCACTGCCCCAGGGAAGAGGGCAGCCCCAGCCTTCCCCTCCGCTCCCCTACCCAGGCCCTCAGATGACCCTGGGGGCCTTCCCACCTCCACACTCCAGGGAGAGTTGTTGAGGGGTCAGACCATCGGGTTCACGAGGCCAGGCTTCCTGGCAACCACTCCCGGAGCAGGGGAGTGGATTCTGCTCCACCAACCCTGGCTCACGCTGGCCTGCTCTTGACGGAAGAGAAGGTGAGAGGGCGCTGGGTGGGGCTGGGTCCCAGGACCCAGCTTGGCCTCTAAACATGACCACTCTCCTGTGCCTAGCAGGCAGCTGGAGCCTGCGGGGGGCAGGTGAGGAGGCCCAGATGTGAACTGGGAAGGTGGAGACAAATATTCACCTTCATAACAATAACAAACCCTCGTGTAACCTGACTATGGGCCAGGCACTGTGCTGAGAGATTTACATGCTGACTCACCAAATACCCACAATGGCCCTGTTGCTATCCCCATCTTACAAAGGAACTCGTGCTCTGAGAGGTTAAATCCCAGAGGTTAAATCCCAAGATCTTGGGATTCAAACCCAGTCTGGCTCCAGAGACTTGGGCTCCTAAGCACTTCTCCATGCCAGCTCCTGAAGAGTCCAACAAGCAGCCGGAGCCCTTCCCCACGCGTACACTGCACAAACAGGGCAGGCTTCATGGGTGTGACTGCGGTCGACCCGGCCCCATTCTGGGTTTAATGCTTTGCCATGGCCATTTTGACAAAGGGGGCCGCATCTTGCATTTGCACCGGGCCCTGCGGATCACACAGTCAGTGCTGGGAGCCAAAGGCGTGGCAGACAAGGTCATTCTCAGGAGGGAAAGCCGGCTGCTCACCCGTCTGCCCGCCACTTTTCATTCACTAGTCTCTGCCTGGTCTTTCTCCAGCTCTGTCTGGGCATCTACTGGGGGTCACCCAGGCTCTAAATTTGTATCTTTCTCGGAACAGTACCACATGAGAAATGTGAAACACTTCATCCCCCTGCCAGCACGGCAAGGCCCTGGCCAGCACGGCAGGGAGGTGAAGCTTCTGGAGCCCTTCCTCCCTCACCTCCTGGTGATGGATGTGCATACACATGACCCTCCCAACCTGAAGTAGGCTGCACAGCTGCAACCTTGAGCTCAGCTGCAGAACCCCACCTGCTCAGAGCCAAGCAGTGGGCTAAGCTCGCCCCCTTCAGGAGTTCCCCCGCCCCCACCCTGCCATCTGTGGAAAGTGATCAGCAGGGTCAGGGCCTGGCACACTGGGCTCTGCGCAGCCTTCACCACAGTTCCAGCAGGCCCAGAAAGGCCGACCTCTCCTCAGAGAGGAGGACAGCTTCATGCCGAGATGCTGGAAGGGACAAGAACAGGTGCTGGGCATGGTGGGTGGGGGGCAGGGCAGGCGGGCACTGGCATTCTTTCCCAGCTCTGCCCTCCTTCCAGGAGGAATTGTGCATGCCACCCAGCCCATCTGGACCTCTGCTTTCTCGCCAGTAACATGAGTGGGCCAGACCCGAAGAGTTGGAGGTCCCTTCTTGCTCCCAGATTCAGCAGTTCTGGGACTCATGTAGACGGGCACATCACAACCTCCAGCAGCAATTTTTTTTGTTTCTTTCAGAGCCACCACACAAAGACCTGAGTTCCTCTGGTTGGGAGGAAGCCCTAAGATGACCCCAGCAGCTACGAACATCCTATCATCCCACCAACCCCAAGACTCCAGCCAAGGCCCAGATGACACTTTCATTCGTCTGGCTTGGGGTCGGGGCAATCCTGGAGTCAGTCCCTGTGCCAGACAGAAGGAATGCTCTGATTGCCCAGGCCTGGTTCCACTGAGTGAGAGCTGGCAGTGGGGGAGGGACAGCTCTTGGAGGAAAGCCTGGGGAGGGGAGTCAATATGGCCCAGGCCATCCTCACTGACTCCCCCGCAGAGGGGGCACCCCCTCCTCTCTGGGCCACCAAGCCTTCCATGCGTCCCTGTAGCAGTGACAGGCATACCCATCTGGATCCCCTGTAAGGCATGAGCTTCTCCAGTAGGGACCATAGGACAACATCTCATTGATCTGTGTATCCCAGCATTCTGCTGAGAACAGGGCATACAGTCACTGCTCAGCGAAGATGTATTGGATGAGGGCTTAAATCAGAGGGCTGCAGAAAAGAATGCTTTGGAGCATTCTAGAGCACATGCTTCAAGATCCATCTCAAGTGCCAGCTTGGTCATGGAGCAGGAGCCCACTTCATTTAGGTGTCTGTGTTCAAAACAACAGCAGCAGCAACAACAAAAGCTATCTCAGAGTGGTTTAAATAAAAAAAGGAATGTATTGTTCACATAAGCAGGGAAATTCAGAGGTAAAGTGAATGTCAGGACTGGTTTTGTTACAGGATCCTTGGGGTGTTGCTTTTCTGGCTGAAAACTTCTGTGGCTGGTGGTGCCTTTGCCCCAGTTTTGCTCAGGCCCACTGGGCTTGTTCTGCCCACTCAGCCTGGCAGTCTGCACTCAGTTTACACTACCAGCCTGGATCCCACACCTCCCAGGGAGACTGCGAGTCAGGTGTGGAGTAGTGAGGGGTATGTAAGCAAGTGTGGGGTCCAGCCACTGTGCACAGTCAGACACACGAGCTGCCGCTGTGGGGTGGGCAGCTCCAGGTGCCAGCAGGCACAGGTGCCGGCTCTCTGGGAGGCTGTGGCTGGACCAGGTGTACCACAAGCCGCTTCCCCAGCTGACACTGCAGAATGTGGTGGTGCCTAGAAGCTTGGAGATGCCAGGAACCGCAGGGCCCCAAAGAGGGAGTCACAGCCCTGGCTCAGGGAGCTCCCAGGTTTGGGGTCCCCAAAGGGCTGCAGCTGTTCTCTTCTTCTCTTCACCCACAACTTGGAGAGCAAGGGGCATGTTTCAGCCCTGTTTGTGTTACAGGTCTTTTAGCCTTGCCATTTGGGAAGTCCTCAGTTCTTGCCCTGTGTCCAGGAAGAATGAGGTACACAGACACGTGGAGGGTGAGCAAGATGAAGAGGAGCTTTACTGAGCAATGGAACAGCTCAGAGGAGACCCACAGTGAGCAACTCCCCTCTGTAGCCAGGGTGTCCATACAAGTGTTCAGCTCTCAGCAGAGAGGGTAGCTTCTCTCTACAGCTGTAATGCTGGTTGTCCCAACGTCTCTTCAGCTCTCAGCAGAGAGGATAGCTCCTCTCTGCAGCTGATTGTCCCATCCTCTCTCCATCTTCTAGTTGAGTCTCGCTGAGTCTGGGGTTTTTATGGGCTTGAGAAGGGAGGAAATGTGTGCTGATAGATCCATGCGCAGCCATGGGCAGGCCCAAGGAAAAGCACCACAAGTTTGCCCCTCTGGTTCACAGGACTGGTGGCCCAGCCCCCCGGCTTCAGGACCTCCCCAGCTTGAAGGTGTGTCTTCATCGGGGACCCACCCTCTTTTGCCCAGGAGCCTGTCTGCCTCCTGCCCCTGCTGAGGGCACCCAGGCCATTCATACCAAGGGGTGCCTGCAGGCCAGTGCTGAGCTGTCCTCACACCCTCTCAGCCTCTTTCTTGTGCTTGTCAGTGCCCAAAGTCCAGAGAGGGCTGAGGAGGCAGGGGGCTGGCACGTCAGCACTACCCTGAGTGTGTGCACACCCAGCTGGGCTGTGACAGCGCCGGGCTTGGTCCCATCCTTACTCTGAGATCGGAGTGGGTGCTGGTAGTGGGGAGAGGCCAGGCAGTGGAAGCAGACACCTTCAAGCCTGCAGGGATAAGGGGGGGCCTTCCTAGGCACCAGAGACTGCAGAGATGCCTGGGTCCACAGTCACAGCTGGGCGACTGCAGCTGTGCCCAGGAGGGCAGGACTCTTGCCTGCTCCTGGCCCCCAAAAGCATGGGGAGGCCAGGTCCACAGCAACAACTTGGGCAGCTGCAGCCACGCCCGGCTCCTGCCAGCTCTACCCTGGGCCCAGGTCTGCCTCAGGGCCCCTCTCTGCTGGCCCCTCTGCCTCTAACTGTGCTGCTCCCCCACCATCAGGTGACTCTGCCCGGCCCCATTGCAGTGGCCCCCAGGGCAGCGGACTCTGGGAGGCTCCCAGGGGCAGGCTCCAGGGACTGTCTGCCTCCTCCCTGCAGCAGAAGTGGGCGACAGTGGCAATGTAGAGGCAGAGTCCAGAGCGGCGGAGGCTCCAGGCCTGGCAGTGGGTCCCACTCAGCCACACAACTGTGAGAAAGGTGCAGTCAGCTGCCTCGGGTATGGGGGGCACAGGGGATGCAGGGCACAGGGATCCCACTGCCACCACTGCCACTCCCACATCTGCTCTTGTGGCCACCGCCTGCACCCCACTGCTGCAGCCAGTGCAATGGCAGCAGCCGCTCCGAGCAGCCCGCCGCTGCTAATCAGCTTGACCCAGGGGCTCAAAAATGTCACCAAGGACCTAGTTTCATTGTTTCACCTCTGCTTCTCATGGCTTTATCTTTATCATAAGGCTGACTTCCTGTGTGATCTCAAGGTGACTTTTAGAATCTCCCTTGACTACATGCTCATCTCTCACATCAGAGACAGAGACAAGAGACAAGAGAGAGAGAACCTCTCAGCAGGCAAAGCAGATGTCCCGAGATTCACTCTGATTGAACCACATGTCCACCCAGGAGCCAGTGGCCGAGGCCAAGAATGGAATATGCTGGCTGGTGTGAACCCAGCGGGATCCATTTCTACCAGAAGCTGGAGCAGAGTTCGCTGCGTCCGCAGCATAAGGGCTTTGTGCAGGACAGGTGGATCCTCAGGGAATAACAGGGCCCTGGGACGAAAGCAGAGGAGCAGGTCGTGGCAGCCAGAAAAGCCCAGTGTACCTTCCCCAGTCCCCAGGGTGCAGGCTGCTCACCCTGACTCTGAGCCCCCAGGAGCCCTGTTTCCTGCTTTCCCTGCACTGTTGTCACACGCACATTAGACTATGAACATGGTGACAGCAAGAACCACCACTTATTGACCTCTATATGCCCCAGTCTCAGGACTTTTCTCAGGCCTCGTACTTGACAGGCATTCGGCCAATGCTTGTTCAATGGCAAAACCCAGACAAAGCTGCCCATGCAGGACTCCCATGACATAGACGTCCCTCTGCCCAAAGTGGCCATAACAACTTCCTGTTTGTTTTAAAACATGGATGCTTATTCTTTTCCTTGCGTGATTTCTTAATTTGGGAAATGAAGTATGACTCCAGGAAGCGGGTTTGTAGGTGCCTCACTGCCTGTGCTTCCTGCTCCCGGCAGAGGTGGGACGGAGGTTTGCAGCTTCCTCCAGATGCCCACATCCCCCCGGGGTGGCGGATGACATAAATGTGGTTACTCCCAAGCCCAATCACGGCATCCATGCAGCAGAGACATTGGGGCAGCCCCAGGAAACCCAGCGTTGGGCACATCACAAGCTTGGACTCTGGGACTAAAAACAGCCTCAGGCAAGGATCAAAGAGTTCTTCCCACCGTGGAAGAAACCCCAGGGGACGTGAGCTCATCACATACTCTCCAGATGGGGGGTCTCCAGATGGGGGACGGGCTGGCTGGCCAAATGTCACTGTCTCCTTTGCTACATTCTTTATCTAGTCCACAGGGTTCCAATAGTGGCCGAAGACCCACAGCTTCGCCCCTACCCCACCAGCCTCATCAGGCCTGTCCTAGGGCCATGAGGGAAGAAAGGACCCGAGACTGGCTCCTAGGCCTCAGCCAGTCCATCAACCAAGGAAGTGCTCAGTCACATGCCCAAGGGGACCTGGAGACTGTAGTGGGCTACCCCCCAGACCTCCCTGCACAGACCAGCTGTGTAACCCCTTGCTCCTATTCCTCAACCTACCCTCCCCACTGCACCCCCACCCCCCAGGGCTGGCCAGTAGAAATAGGGCCAGAACATAAGAAATTGTTAGGAATTGAGTAGCATGCAGCCCCAAGACACACTCCTGCTCTTCTTCAAGGCAGCTGTAGACACCACTTACTCTTCAACCAATCTTTGTCTTGCCGCTTGAAAAGTGTAAACAAGGAGGGACAAGGCAGTCATAGCCCCAAGGAAGGGGCCGCAAGCTAGCACTGGTATCCTAGGAGCCAGGCAGCTGGAATTTGAGGAGAAAGCTGCAGGATGTCCGGCAGGTGGCCTCACTCCTCTGCACTTTCTAGGCATTGCCAAGGGCAAGAGCCGCAGGGAGATGTGGAAGGAGAGGGAAGCATTTTGCACTCCAGGCAGGGTTCAGGGCAAAGTGAACAGGAGTAAGGTCCATGTTCCTGACTTTGAGTGGAGGGTGGGGCAGAGGGGTGACACTCAGACACCCACTGCCACTGAGCCACCCTCACCCCTCAAAGACTTGTCTAAGATGCAGCAGCTCAGCTTCTGTCTGCTTTACTCATGGGGCTTCTGAACAAGAAGGCGAGGGGGATTCAAAGGGGTACACTGCACACGCTTTTGATGAGCATCTCTGGGGCTCCAGGGCTCCTACCGTGGCTGGGGAGGAAACTCAGGCTGGAGGGGAGTCATTGGAGGGCAGTGGGGGCAGTCAGGCAGAACTTCAAGAACCTCAGAGGGACATCTCCCCCTCAACCCTGTCCTCGCCCACAGGAAAGCACGGCACTGGGCAACAGCCAATGAGAGTGAAGGGCATGGGCTGCATTCCCTGGGGCTGTGTACAAATCCCACTTTTCAAAACCAGTTTCAGTTCCAGGCTTTGTCCTGTGGGGTGGTGGTGTGTCGGGGCTTTGGCCCGAGGGGAGCCAGCTGAAGGCACCTGGTGGGGTCAGGCTTCCTGCTGAGCCCCTCATCCAAGCAGGCCTGGGTCCCCCTTCAGAAGCCACCACAGCCAGGCCTGTTGGGGCTTTCATTTTTCTTTGGAAAATTCTTTAGGCTACTTTGCATTTATCCCCATAGACTGCTCCCCTCAACACACACACAAACACACACACAAACACACACATACTCATAAAACACAAGCAACCCACAAGGCCTTTCTATGCTACTGTGGATTCCCACCCATCCTTCTCAGTGTATGCACATTCCTTTGGGATAATTTTATGTATTGTGGATAAAAATTATGTGTGTATTTTTATCTTGCTCTGTCCACTGGATATATCACCTACATATTTTAATATGTAAACACTGAGTGATAGCACTGGCTATTTTAAAAAAGAAAACCTCGCCGGGCATGGTGGCTCACGCCTGTAATCCCAGCACTTTGGGAGGCCAAGGCGGGCAGATCATGAGGTCAAAAGATCGAGACCATCCTGGCCAACATGGTGAAACCCCGTCTCTACTAAAAATACAAAAATTAGCTGAGCATGGTGGTGCGCACCTGTAGTCCCAGCTACTCGGGAGGCTGAGGCAGGAGAATCGCTTGAACCTGGGAGGTGGAGGTTGCAGTGAGCTGAGATAGTGCCACTGCTCTCCAGCCTGGGCAACAGAGCAAGAATCCATCTCAAAAGAAAACAGAAAAAGAAAAAGAAAACAACTGGAGAAGGTGATGCCTTAACCCCAAATGATTCTTAAATGGGATTATTCAAGGCACTGCAGCCTGAGGGCCGGGGGTAGAGGAAGAGAAGAGAGGGTTGAAAATGCTAGTTCTGAAAAGCTCTAAGCACAGGGTGCGCCGGGTGTCCAAGGAGAAACAGCTGGCCCTGGTCCTGGGCCTAGGGCCTGTTCTGTCTGCCTCCTGGCCCCACCTCTCCTAGGTGAGGGAAATGGTGACACCTGGAAGCAGCCCCAGAAGCCTCCAGGGTGGGGCCTCAGCCAATCCCACCCCGAGGACGTCCCCTTGAGCACCATTCAGCCACAGAGGAGAAGACAGGCTCAGCAGACAGGGGCAGAGCCCAGATCCCTGCTGAAGGGTGGAGGGCCCAGGTTCCATAAAAAGGAAATGCAGGGCCCAGCACGGTGGCTCACACCTGTAATCCCAGCACTTTGGGAAGCCAAGACAGGTGGGCTACTTGAGCTCAGGAGTTCAAGACCAGCCTGGGCAACATGGCAAAATGCCATCCCTACAAAAAATACAAAAATTAGCTGGGTGTGGTGGCATATACCTGTGGTCCCAGCTACTCAAGAGGCTGAGGTAGGAGGATCACTTGAGCCCAGGATGTCGAGGCTGCAGTGAGCTGAGATCACACCACTGCACTCCAGTCTGGGCAACAGAGAGAGGCCTGTCTCTGGAAAAGAAAAAAAAAAACAAAAAAGAAATTCAGAAACTCAAAAGCAAAATTAGGCATAAAAGTGAAAACTTGTTTAGAATGAGAGAAGTCCAAACAAATAACAAGATTTAAGGAGCTGAGAAATTCCACAAACTTCGCGAAATTCAAAACAATATTCCAGACCCTGAATCTGCCTCTGCACCTTCCCAGCCACATGCTCCTCCATGCCCCACCTGCCACACTCCCCACCAGCAAAAGGGCCTGCTCAGGTCAACCCCAAACACTGCACCTTCTTGCCTAGCACAATAGGCAGGAAGAATGTGCCTGGAAGCCATTCCCACCCCACGATGGCCTTGACCTTGACCTTGACCATACATGGCAGTGCCACGAGCATGTAAATACATCTCCCTAAACCCAAATAGACTCCCCAACTCAGCATTCCCTTAGCCAGGTCCCAGTGGTTCCCTACCTGGCCACTTGTCAGTGCTCTTAACTGATTTCAGTTAAAGTACTTTATACAATTTTTACAAAAACATGTGACCATGTGGACCCATTATTGCTAGGGCCACCCCCAGAGCCTTGTGAGGCTCCAGTGCACCGAAGGGCCCCCAGGCTGAAGCTTCATCAGCTTCCGACGGCTCCACCCCTGCTGGGGACCATCACTCTTCACTGCACACTTTGTCTGGCTGGCTTCTGCTGCAGTGTAAATGTCACCTCCTCCTGACCCCTAGCCTAAAGTAGGCATATGCTGTTCTCTATCAAAGAACCTAGGTTTTGCCTGCGTGGTATTTTTCACAATTTGTAGCTATATCCTTGTGTATTTATTGTTTGATGTCTGTCTCTCCCACCAGACTGTTGTTCCCCAGAAGGCAGGGACCACATCTGTCTTGTCCACCATGGGTTTCCAAAACCTAGTGCCTATTAAGCCCCCATCCATAATGACAGGGTGAGTAAAAGGTGCGCCGCTTCATGATTCTGAGTTACACTTTGTAAGTGGCAGAGTAGGTGCTGGATGAGCTGCTCCCTCATCACCCGCCTCTGCTGAGCCATCTCCTCTCAACAGGAAAAGCTAACTGCCTGCTAAGTCCACGCACGCACAAAGATACAAAAACCTAAAATAAAACAACAGAAAGGAGGAAACGATACCAGGGATATCATGGGGAATCATCTATGGAACACCATCCCTTTATAATGTTTATTAGAAATATGAAAAATATCATACAAAATAGAGAAACATAAGAGCAGTGCTTCTGAACAAATCAATCGGGAAGTTCTGGAAGGCTCAAAAGTAAGCAAGACGGAGACACAGGGTGGAATGGGTTAAACCCACTATGCACACATGAAACACACTACATGATATAAACATTTCTTAGAAATATGAAATTCAGCTGGAAAATAGATTGGCCAAAGGCATAAGAAAGAGGAAGAAAGAGAGTGAAAGAGAGGGAGAGTGAAAGGGAGAAAGCAATCATTAAGAACTCAAAATTTAGCAAAATGAGAAAAGTTACCTAAAAGACTCATGATTCTCAGCCTGAGCTCATACCAGTCTGTCCTGTCTGCAGTGTGGCACATGTGAGGAACAGAACTTTCAGGCTTGTCATCAGCCTGACAATGCTCGTGTGGAGTTGGTTTTGGGCCTGGCACGGGAGTGGGGAGGCCACCAACCCTCATGCCACTCCACAGAAAGGCCTCCTGGGGCCTCAACTCTGCTCACTGGGAACTCTCACTCCCAGAGGGGAATCCAGGAGTCCAGGAGCAGAGAGCTGATATTCCTCCTGTCCCCAGGCCTGTTTCCATGGTGACAGCGACCCTCACGCTGTGAACACCAAGAAGGGAAGCCAGATCACAGGTCCTTGGAAGCAGAGCAAGCTCTCCCTCCTGGGGGCCTCCTTGCCAGCTCCTCTCAGCCCCAGCCCCCAGCCCCCAGCCCCCAGCACGGAAGTCCTTTGTCTCTAGCTGTGTCTGTAACTGCCTTGCTGCCCCTCGGCCTCCCCTCCAGCCCCCCTTCTCTGTCTGCCGAGTAGCACATGTTCTCCCGCCTCCTGATTGATCTACTCAGGGAGAATGGGGGGAAACGACTCTTTAATTAATCTCCTGCCTTAATTAATTATTGTAATGGCTTTCAACTTGGGGGGAACGAGGGCCACAATGTACTTAACATGTTTTTATGTCGACGAACACATTTTCTACTTTGCAGAGAAAGAAGAGGCCTGTTTTGGGTTTGGGGCTGCGGAGTGATTTATAAAGGGCATTAACACCAGAGGACTCCTGCTGCGGACTCATGGGTTGGCTTTCTCTGGTGACCAACTTTCACCCTCCACCTCTCCCTCTCCCTTCGAGCTCCCCCAGTCTGCCCACCTCTCATTCCTCCCTTTCCGGTACTTCTCCCTCTTCTAACCTACCTCTTTTGCCTGGATTCACTTTGCTCGTTATTCCCACCTCACCCTCTCACTCTCACTCTTTCTCCAAAGACCCTTAAGGAAAATGGCCGCCGAGCAGAAGCTCTGAGGGTTGGCGTGCATTGGCGGCATGGAACAAGTCAGGGGCCTGGAAGGACACTGTGGGCAGAAAAGGTGGGCACCGGGTCAGCTTTGGCCTGTTTCTCTGTGGTGACCACTCACGCACCCTATGAAAGGCGGAGAAGGTTACCAGGAATACCTCGTATAAATAAAATGCTTTCCAGGCCTCAGTGGCCCTGGGTGTGAAGCCCTTTGGAGAAGGCTTCAGGTTCGCCGTGAGTGGGGAAAACGCTGTCTGGGCTAGCGGAATTTCTGGAGAGAAGAAGAAGAAGTAAAGAAGAAAAACAGTCCCACAAATCACTCCTCAGTGAGGTGAGAGTATCCACGGCAACCCGCCCAGGGCTGAGCACCAAGGAGGCAGGAGATGTACCGTCACCATGGAAACCACATCCTAGAAACTCACTGGTATTGGTCCCTGTTTGCCTCTGCAGATGAGGTGCTGGGGGTGGGGGCTAGACCTGCAGGGTCCCTGGAGGAACTGGGACGAGGTGAGCGTGAGGAAAGAGATAAGAAGGGGCAGGAGAGATGAGCGAGGGGAGAGGACAGGAAGGAGAGATGGAGAGAGCGCAGGAAAGGTGAAGGGAGGAGGGGAAGTTCCCAGGAATGAGACAGCCTCTCTCAGGGGCATCCTGAGCTCTCTGGCCCTTCCCCAGCAGGGGACGAAGTGCCCTGTGCCAAGCGAGGGGGTGTGCCGGGGAGCTGAGCCAGGTGAAAAGGCCTGAGCTGAGGCCCAGGCTGAGTCTTGCTGTTGGAGAGAGGCACCCACCCATCCTGGCTGCTTTTATTCCATCTCTGGTTATCATCTAGTCAAGATGAGTAAATGGAGCACACCTGGGCGCCCATTCACTGCCCACACTGCAACCTTCCAAAGGGTCTGGGACCAGAGGAACCCAATGTGCGGTCTCCAGTCCCTCCCCTGCCCCTGGGTGCCCACGCACAAGCATGCCCGGGCGGGAGGGTGATTGGAAGCTGAGCTCCAAAGCTGGCCTCTTGCCCTAATTACACCCAGATCCCGGGTTGCCATTCTCTTTTTCTGGAAATTAAGTGGCAGCTGGGTGCCTAGCGCCACCTTCTGGCAGCCATGATCAGAAATGGCTGGTCCCAGCAGGACCTCCACAGCAGAGCCAGGGATCCGCTCTTCAAGCCAGGCGTCAAACTAGGACCCTCCACCAAACGCCCTTCGGATGGCCTGTGGGCCAGATGAACTGTTCAGTCAAAGAAGCCACAGAGCGCATCCAGTTTAGAGAACCAGCACCAGCTCTGACACTGATGGGCTGTGTGATCTTGGCAAGCCCGTTGCCTCACTGGCCTTCAGTGTCCCATCTGTGCAACAGAGGCTTGGGCCAAATTGCCCAGCAGAGGTCTGAGTGCCTTGACTCCAGCCAGAATCTAGTCCCTACCTGGGGTATTCTGTGGAGTCTGAGGGGAGAAGCTAGAACCCCTCCTCCAGTGTCCCTCAGAACCGCTCCATGGCCCGGGGGCTCTGTAAGCCCCACATGGTTCAAGGGGGCCCAGCACAGGCGGGTATCAGTTTCCTATCACCTTCCCCTTATCAGGCAGGCCCCGCCAAGAAGCGGGCAGAAATGGAAGCCGCAGGACACACAGCACCCACTGCAAGGCATGCCCCTGCCCTCCTCCTAGACCACGGCAGCCCCACCTGCCCTCCTCTGTAGTCTGAAAGAACCCCTGGACCACAAGGCTCCTAGAAATCGGCTAGAGGAGGAGGAGCACTGGAGAACTGGCATTCTCCCAGTTGATGCTGGCACCTCCTGCCCTTCCTCCATTTTCTGCAGGTGAAGCCCCACTTCAGGACAAGGGGCCAAGTGTACGATGCTTCCTCAGCACCTGTGACTGAGCACACGGCTACTGAGCTGCCTGCTGGCAATCAAGGGAGCCAGCCAGGGCTGCAGGAGGGGGGTCTAGAGGGGACTGTGGTCACCCTGGTGTCCTGGAAAGTCACTAGGTAAGTGAATAGAGGTTCTGAGTTGGAGAGCCAAGTTCAAATCACAGCTTTCCGTTAGTAGTTCCACAATCTCATGATGTCTTCTCATCTGCTAGTTGAAGAAAATGGCAGAATCTTCCTCTCAGCGTTCTGCTGAGGATTAAGCAAGGTCATGTATGTACAGCCCTTAGCAGCACTCATCGTCACAGACTCCAATTCAGAAGATTCCAGATTTGGGCCAGGCCAACTCTGACTCATCCCAATATTAAGAGCATGTTTAAAGTACAATCTTGAGTGTTCCTTCCATCAGTAACTACTTATTGAGCACCTACTACATGCCAAGCACTGCGGTGGACCGCAGGACTAGAACAACAAAGAAGACAGACACGAGGCCAGATTTCATGGAGCTTCTCACCTGGTGGGAGGCAAGGGAGAGTCGTGAATAAACATCAAACAAGGACACAAAGAATGAGTTTCTCTGCATTGTGATGAGGAAGCAAAGACGCCAAGGGAGCATATGACCAGGAAGCTGACCTCGTCTGGGTGGTCACGGATGATTTGTCTTCACCTCTTTCTTCTTCCTGCTGATGGGAATGACAGCACGATGGCTGGAGCTTTGCAGCCATCTTGAACGATGAGGCACAGGTGCTGGATGAGGGGCCTGCATTCCTGATAACCTTGTGAAGGTACCTAAGCCCCCTCTGTATTCTCTACTCCTAACTTACAGGGAGAAAATGACTTTTATATTGTCTAAAGATGGTGTTGTTTTCACTGAACTGCTGAAGTGGAGTTAGTGTTGCACACACCGCCTCTTCATTAGACTGTAAGAACCTTGGGGGAAGATGGAGGGCAGCACCCAGCACAGGGCCTTCCTATAGAAGGGAGTCTCAGTGGCTATTTGTGGAATTCGCTGATTAAGCAGGAAGGAGTTGAGAGGAGACAGAAGAATCACTGGACAGACAAATCAAGGGACAAGAAGCTTGAACCATTTCTAGAGACGTCTGAGGACGGAGCCGAAAGAAGGTGAGACAGAGACTCAGCAGCCAAGGACAGGGCCTGATTGAACAAGTTAAAGGACTTGAACCCAGGGAGATAAGTGACTTCTGAAACAAGTACCTTAAGGTGTTGGAGGGCTCCTCAGGGACAGCTTGATGCTGACTGTGGCCTTGAGTGTAATGTCCAAGGAAGACCCAAGAAATGGGGAGCAGAGGGACCTGGGTTTAAATCCTGCCACTTAACAGCTGAGTGAGTTCAGGTAAGTTCCCTGCCTCTCTGAGTCTTAAGTTTATCAATACAACAACTTAAATAGATGGGATAATATGTGTGAAATCCTCTACACCCTGCCTGGTACATGGTAGGCACCCAATCAATTGTAATCGTGGCCATCAAGCTATCAGGTGCTATGGTTGATGGACTTAAGGTGACCCCATGATCCCAGCCTCCTGGTGTTCATGCGTTTCTGTGATCCCCTCCCCTGGTGAGTGGGACCTGTGACTGGCTTCCAACCAACAGAACACGGCAAAGGGGAGGGGATGTCCAGAGCTAGCTTTGGAGTCTCTCTCCGTTGCTGGCTGTGAAGAAACAAGTTGCAGTGAGTCCTATACCTGCAAGAAAGCGCAGCTTATTCTTTCTAGGAAGCTTGGAAGTGGACCCTTCCCAGTCGAGCCTCCAGATGAGAATCCAGCTCTGACTGGCACTGTTGGCAGCTCTGCAGAGGACCTGCTAAGCCATGCCCAGGAACTGTGAGATACTAAATGTGTGTTGTTTTAAGCTGCTAAGTTTTTGGTGACTTGTGACATGGCATAGAAAACAAATAGAGGTGCTATATCAAGAATATGTTATGGAATACATAAGGAATATAAAACTTCCCCTTTTCCTGCACGTCAACCCCAAGAGGGGGCATTATTTCCCCCATTTATAGAGAAAACTGAGGCTTAGCAGAGCAGCTAAATTCCCTGAGACCACGCAGCTCCTGGGGGAGGAGGAGCCAGAACACAGACCCCAGGGCCTGCTGTGAGCCAGGAGGAGCACCAATATCCCTGCTGCAGTGGTGGCAGCCTTACCCCGCAACGTGCTGTGCAGCGCGATGAAGCCTTTAGCGGGGTCTGCCCCGCCCAGTCCTCCACAGACCGCACCCCTCCCTGGTGCCTGGGACCCAGCTGCTTCTCACGGTTCTCTGGCACCTATCTGGTCCCTGAGGGCATTTCAGTTTCTAACTCCTGCATAACTAGGGCACTGGTAGTTAGATCCCAAGTAGATCCAGCCCTGGTTTCTCAAGGGCTTGGGAGCAAAAGGCAAGAGTCTAACTCCCCTGGAATAAGGCAGAGGCAAGGAGACAGCACATGCACCCCCTTCCTGAGCTGTGAGGCCACAATGAGTCACTCCCACAACATCCATGTGTCCCAGGGTCACTGCACCCTCTGCACCCTGGGCTGGGCCTGACCTGTCACTTGACTCCAAGGAAAAGCAAGTGCAGCAGAGGAGGGAGAGAGAAGCGCGAATGCCACAGTCTTGAGAGAAACCCTCCCCAGGCTTCTGGAGTGGGCAGCAGTTCCCACCTGGTGGGTCTTCAAGGAAGGCTGCTTCTTCATTTAAAGAGAGGCTGGGATACAGGCAGATGTCACAGGGAGCCTTGGGACCCCCGGCTCAGAGCTACATTTATACTATTGACCTAGGTTCTTTCATTCCTCCCTCCCTCCCTGCCTCCCTCCTTTCTTTCTTCCTTCCTTCTTCATCCCACACGTGCTGCGGGGTAGAGCTACCTGCACTTACAACTTGAGAATAATGTCCCTGAGTACACAGGTGACAGAGAAGTCACCAGGATCCAACCCAGTCAAGGCAGGAAGAATGGGCTCTGTTTTTGGGGTCCCCTCCTCCCTTTAGTTGGGCTAGTGCCTCATGCCTTCTCATGCAGTTTGCAGAGCAGTCCCCAAGTTTTGACAAAGGGCCAGGGCCCCTGTCTGGGACTGGGAATACAAAAAAGAGCTGAGCATGATCCCTGCCCTCAGAAACTCAGTCTGCCATGTGAGAGGGAAGGAGCCACAAACCCTGCTCCCCGGGGACAGGGCAGCTCCCACCTGGAGGAAGGCTGGCTCATGGCTCTGGAACTGGAACCCAGGCTGCATGTTTTAAAGCTGCCCAGATGAACTGGTGGTGTTGCTAGGTTGAGAACAACTATCACAGGAAAAGGAACACGCTGTTGGAGGCACTTGTGGTTGGCTTGTATGTTCCCTTGCTGACAGCGTCCAGATTTTAGCCACTTCATCAGAAGAAAGTGATTTCTCAGGATTAGCTGAGCTCAAAGCTGCAAAAAAGAAAAAACAAACACACCCCCTCATAGACTGACAAGCGTGCTCACACAGGCCCATGCCTCAGAGGCAGATGTCTTCACTGCATGATACTGGTAAGCAGACATATTGGGAAATTTTTCTATTTTTTTTTCCTCCCAGAATTTCGAAAGCAAATTGCATTTTACATTTTCTTGACTGAGGGCAGACAATTTTCACTAATGGGCCCTGTAGGAGGTGATCTGATACAAACCCTCATCCATGGCACACCGCTACACCCCAGGCACTGCATACACGTCTTCCAATTGCAGCTCAACACCGCCCTAGATGACACGTCATCCCCATTTCACAGATGAGGCACAGTAAGGAACTTGCCCAAAGCTACCAAATGGGGAGCCTGTCTGACTCGCCTGCTTCTTGCCTCCAGTGAAAAAGACAAGAGCTAGGCAATGGGCCCCATGTCACAAATATCACGTTCATTGAGGGGAACCACCTGGCGCCAGGCTCTGAGTAAGGACAGGCAAGTGTGAGGCGTTGGTGGGTGCTGCACTGGGTAAGGCTGGGCTAGACATAGCCACCCCCACCTAGAGAGAGTGCAGCCTTAAACAGTAAGCAAGCCCCTTCCACTAACATGATCACAGCAACCCTGGGCCACCAAGTCTAAAACTTCTCACTCTGTCTCCTAGGCTGAAAACTCAAATACTGGAAGGTCTGGTTCAAGACTAGACCCCGGCGACAAACCCTCTCCCTGGGGGTTCCACAGCCACCTTCCACCCTCCCTAGGGCTCCCAGATTCAGTTTGCTGGAGGCTGGCGAGGCAGGCTCCAGATCTGCTGCCTGCCAACTTTGTGGCCACATATAAATTCCTTTACTCTGGGAAAAAGGAAGGACATATATTTTTCTTTGCTTGGGAGAGGATGAAATGAAACAAAACTTATGAATGTTCCCGGCACTAGGCTCAACCCAGGACGAAACCACAGTGAATGAGAAATTATAATGGAATTGTGCATGCTCTCCACCAGAAACCTTTCCAAAATACAAGGTAATACCAAGCCTGGGCTGGCTGAGGTGAGCACTAACCGGGAGCAGGAGAGCAGATGAATCCATTTGTAGTATATTTGCAGGAGGGAGTTCCTGCTCCTGTCCAAAAATTCCACCAGGTGGCGCCATGAGACAACTTTCACAACCTTTCCAGTCTACACACCAAGGTGGTGGGGGTCCCTCAGGTCCCTGCAAAAGGGCATTGAGAGTTCATTACCCAGTTCAGAGCAAGAAAGCTGGGGTCTTGGTCTCTCCTCAAGGCTTTTCTTAACTTCCTTAATCCAGATGTTCATGAAAATGGGGTGTTACTGGACACATAAAAGGGAACAACACACATTGGGGCCTTTCAGAGGGTGGAGTATGAGAGGAGGGAGAGGATCAGGAAAAATAATGAGTGGGTACTAGGCTGAATACCCGGGTGATGAAATAATCTGTACAACAAACCCCCATGACACAAGTTTACCTATACAATAAACCTGCACATGTACCCCTGAACTGAAAAGTTAATTTTTTTTAAAAAAGAAAGAAAATGGGGTGTTAGAGGAAGTGGGGACAGCAACGTGTTGGACAATGACGTTGGCAATGCCAGGCCAGGCAGCAGCAAAGTCCATCAAGCGTCTACTAAGGGCAAGGCCCTCTGTGGTAGGTGTCGGTCTCAGAGCTGAAAGGGGCCTTCGTGGAAGTCTAGCCCAGCCTGTTTGTTTTTCCAGAATGAGGGAGGCCAGGCGGGGGTCACTCCCTGCCTGTCAGAGGTTGTGGGGAGTCCCTCTCAGCTCGTCTCAGGGTGCAGTGTGACCCAGGAGGCAGTGTTCAGGTGAGGCCACTGCGCCTTTTCAAGGAGCCAGATGAGGGCAGAAATTGCACCCTATCCAACTGCAAAGGAGACTGAGAAACCCTATAAGGTTGTGATATCTCCCCTTGGGCCCTGGAGAAAGGGAGACAGTTCTGTCAAGATCCCCACATTTCAGGGAAAAACCCCATGGGTTGGTTCAGGGTCAGAGCTGCAAGGCCCTGAGGGTCAACTGAGTCAATCCCCCATGGTACAGGTGAGCCCAAGACAGGGTCGACAACTCAAACACCAAAATACTGCAGGATGAAAATGCTCTTCATGTACTCATATAAAATGTGCCAAGATACACTGCTAAGTGAAAAATGCAAAAGGCAGAGAAAAACGTGTCAAATTTTTCTATTATTTGTATAAAAAAAGAAAAAATAGTATATTCATGTTTGCTCATATTTGCATAACTAAATTCTGGAAGTATTTAGAAGACACTAAGAACAGTAGTTATAGTGGAGTGGAGGAGGGATGGATGGATGGGGACAGAGGAGGGAGAAAGGCTTTTCTCTATATACATTTGTACATTATATCATCTGAACCACACGAATGCATTACTTTACAAAGAGTAAGACTTTTAAAATAGCTTGCTCAAGATCATACCATGTTTCCCGCAGTTGTGGGGTACTCTTACCCGCCAGGGAGTGAAATGATTTGGGGTGGTGCACAAGATGATTATAAGCAATTTACAAACACAGCACCGAATCGGATGGTGAGGAAGTCATTCCTCTTTGTTTCTCTTCAGTCCTCTGAATCCATCGAGGAGAATGTCTCAGTGAGGGGCCAGTGAGGCTTCTGCACCACTCCCAATCTTCATAAACTGACTTTTTTAACAAAGAAAGCAGGCATCAGGCTAAGGGCTTGGACAATGGCAGTGACTAGCTAAAATGGAATATCATTCGTTTTGTCCTGGATTCATTTGTACGAATACCTACTGTGAATGGCAAGTAGTATTGGCTTTCCATTTACAATAGTAATATGAAGCTTCCTTTTAAAAAATTAATTTAAGATGTGAGCTGCTGTTAAAAAAAAAAATGTTAAGTGAGTCCTAATACCATTTCTCTGTGAATACAGTAACATTGAGCACTAACTTGTGCCAGAAACGGCTAAGTGCTTCCCATGAATTAATGTACTTGATCCTCTCACTGTGGGAGGTGCAGATGAGGACACGGAGGTTTAGGGAGATGCTGGGTTGTGCCAAGGCCTCTGGTTAACAGAGCTGAAGCCGGGAATGGGAAGCAGGCATTCAGCCCCCAGCAGGGCCCCCGCCCACCAGAGGGACTGGAGCTGGCCGCTGGGCCAATGCAGACCAGCCCTGGCTCCCAGCCCTGTGCCCCACCTGCCTGGGCACTTGGGGCAGTGGCCCTCCAGCTTCATCTCAAGTAGCTCCAACCTTCTCCTTCCAAACTCTGAGTCCCTAAAGCCATTTGGTTTCAGCCCTGCCCCCAGCCTCAAACCAGAGGCTCAGAGGCACACACATACACCCCTCCATACACACCCCCTTTGTAATTCTTTGAAGCTCTCACTCTACCTGCTTCTTGAACTTTCTCTTGCTGCTCTTTTGGGCACTGGGTGGCAGCACCAGGCGGGGTAGGCTTGCTTGTCCTACTGGCTGGGCAGGCTGCAGGTTCTCTATCTAGTTTTGGCAGCAGAGCTCTGCTGCCTCCCTCCCCTGCCCCCACTTAACCCTTTGAGAGATCACTGGATTTGTCACTTTGCAATGAAAATATGCATTCGGGAATGCAGGGAAGAGAGCTAAATCTCCATGACTGTGACCCAGGACTGGGAAGCCACTGAGGCCACCCAGCTGGGCAGCTGCAGCCAGCACCCTTGCACCAACTTCTGTGCCCTCTGCCCCCACACAGCTGATCTCATGGGGCTGCAGGCAGGTCTTAGCAGGTAGTACAGCTGGGCATCTGTATCTGCAGGTTTCTAGGCGATGCTGATGCAGGTACGGCCAGAGGTAAAAGAGAGGAGTGGTCAAGAGCAAGGGCTGTAGGTCTCTGAATCCTAGCTCCACCCAGCTCGCTCTGGGTCCTACAGCAAGTTATAAACCCTCTGCCATGTCCTCTGTCGTGAAATAAAGATGACAGTGACAATATTTATGTCATAAGGTGCTAGTGACAATTAAATGACATAACGTGCTTAGCACAGGGCCAGGCACTCCATACACTCTCAACAAACAGCATCCAGTCCTGACATTCAACACCAGCAACAAGCCCCTCAGCTTTCAGGAGCACAGCGAAGTGGCTGTGTTTCTTCTCTAACAGCTGCGGGAGGGGCAACTCTGCTCTTAAAAGCCCAGCACCGCCCCAGCCAGGGATCCCAGGTGCCTTGGACAAGGCAGCCACTCTGGAGCCAAAGCTGCCAGTACAGAAGCTGTGGGCCATGGTGCAGCACCTGCAGAGGCAGCTCAGGGGCAGGCGCAGTCCCCCTCTCCACGGCCCTCTGCCCACCTCCTACCCACCATGCTTTCAGTGATCCCCTGAAAGGCTCTGAGAGGCGGGCAGGTCCCAGATCATCATCCCTTCACAGGGATGAGGAAACCAAGGCTCAAGAGGCTGAGTGAACTGTCCACAAAGAGCAGAGCCAGGCCTGCAAACAGGCCTCCTGTGCCACCCGGTGAGCCAGAGCGCAGGGGCGGCTTTCCTCCCCTGTCCTCAGGTTCAGGCATCCAAGTGGACAGACGCCTTGACCACTGCCTCAGGGCTTCCCCCTCAGACCCATGGAGCTAGAAAGGCCCCAGAGAGGGAGCCCAACATCCCCAGCCCTCACCTATGCTAAAAGGCCCCGTCACAGGGAGGCAGGAGCTGAGAGACAGCTGCTCGGGGGAACTGGCAAAACCAGAGTCACTGTTTCACCTGATCTCAGGCTTGGTGTCTCCTTCAGGGAGATGATGGTTTAGTCCCCACTTCCAGGACTAGCTGGAGGGTGGAGAGGGAGGGGCTTAGGGAGCCAAGGGCTTGGAATTTGTGGAGGGCACCAGGAGGGCAGCTGGTCCCCAGAGATTGAGCAGAACAGACAAGTCAGACCCCAGCAGTTCTACTCACCGGGTGGCCCCGCAGAGGCAGTGGAGGCCTAGTGGGATCTGAGCTGGTGGCTCACGTGGGTGGGAGTAGGAGCAGCTCTCCCCAGGCAGCCAGGCTGGAAATCCAGCCTGCCACGGAGACACAGGGCTTTGAGGATCAGCAGAAACCTCCCTGGAAATCTGCCCTCTTGGGCAGGATTGGAACGAGTCAGGCAGCTCATTCTGGGGGTCCTGTCACATAGCAGGCAGAGTTGGTGGTGGGCAGAGAAGGAAGATCCCACCCCCTCAGTGAGCTTCTGATTAGGATGCTGAGTAGACCGAGGCAGAGGCTCACTCAGGCCCCTCAGCTCTGATCTGGCCTCCCAGAGGACCTAGACTCTGCCTGTGCAGGGTGCAGCCGCCCGGTGAGGCCTGGGTCAGTAGGTGCAGGTGAGAGACCTGCTGGGGGAATTCAGGCAGGCTGGAAGCACATGGCCCCAGGCCACTCCCAGCTGCAGGCTGCAGGACCCCAGCGGGGTCTCCCCACACTAAGCTGCCTCTGTCTCCAGCACCTTTCAGACACTGGGCTTAGGAAGTGAGGCAGAGAAGACAGGTAGCTCAGAAAAAGGCCAAGAGTCCAATCCAACCACAGCAGCTCTATGGGGCCTGGAGCTCAGTCAACAAACAGGGCAAGACTTCACCTCCTCTTGGTCCCCACCAACTGACTTCCAGCCCCCAGCCCTGCCTCTTAGGCCGGCTAAGCACCAAGCAAGCCTCAGGAAAAGCCATCTCTGCCCACTGTGGCCCCTGCCCACTTCCGCCATCCTGCCTAAAGCCAGGCAGGCCTCTCTCCTCCCGCTCTTTCTAGTCAGGCGCAGAGGGAAGCCCTGCTCACCCCTGCCTTCTCTAACGGACCCTAATTCTCAAAGGGCTTGGACGTTGGGAATGGAAACTGAGTTCTAGAAAAAGGTATTGTTATCAGCCCTGAATTTGAGGACTCAGATTCATATCCCCTCAAGGTATTTTATATATTGGGGTTTTCCACTCATAATTTATTTTTTCAGAGTTCTGCAGCTTTGCAAGGGGAAAATGAAAGGGAAAACCCACCCCTAAGAGAAGCTGAGAGAAAAGAGAATTAGGAGAGTGGGGTATGGCCAGGAACTTCCCTGCGGCTGGCGGGCTGGAGCTGTAGGGGCTTGGAGCCAGGCAAGTGGGTAGGCCGAAGTGTCAGGACAGAAGGAGATGCCACGGGGGCCAGCTGGGACATCAGCAGGGCTGAGCCCCCACCTCTCTTTGTCCAGGCCCCAGGTGAGAAGCTCCTGTTCCAGACAGCATGGCAGGCTCTCAGATGGAGGGGTGGCCTCAAGCTCCTTCTAGCGCCCATCCTCCCCGAGACCTAGCAACTCCAAAACATGCCTTCCTCCCTGCAAACAACCAAACCCAGCGGATCCCAAGAAAAGGATGAGAAACCTGGTGCCAGGACAGGCAAGTCCTTGACTCACCCAGCCTCCCTCCAACCCATAAATAACCCTCCTCCCTCTGTGGCCCAGAGCCTCAGCCACCCAGTGCCTCCCCAGGCAGGGCCTCCACGCAGACCCAGGGCTCACATGTCAAAACGCAAGGCCTCCTCTCCAGAGAAGCAGGGCATCCTCATTCCACATGCACCATTTTCTAAGGAGAATGCACTGCAGCCAGGGGTGACAGAAGCCTCTGGAGGGTGAAAGAGGCTGAGCAGCCTCTGGTCAGGAAGGTCTCCTTAAGCAAGGGAGACCTCGGACCTGCACCCCAGCTCTCCCGACCCTGCAGCCTCACCAGCCATTCTGGCCAGAGGAACCCTCCCCACAAAGCTGACCATCATGCCTGGCATCTCAGAGTGAGGCTGGAAGTTATCCACACATCAGGCAAGGGGTCCAAGCCAGATCTCATCTAGACCTTCTCTCCTAGTTCTGCGTTCCTACTGAGAAAATCTTAGAAACCACCCTCTGAGGTCAAATGCTCGCTGCTGCCTGTTCCCCGAACCCAATCCCTCTTTACCATGTTTTCCGGATCTGCATGCAGGTGTACGATTATTCATACATTTCTTTATATGGACTCATTTTTACTTAAATCTATTTATTGAAAAGGTCACAATAAATAGAATGCCACTACCACTTGTCCTAAACAATAAAGTAGCCAATAAAAATATACCATTAAAACAAAAACAGTGCTAAAAAAGTCTGGAATTTTTTCCACCTGCCCTAAGCCCAAGTCCTGCTCCCTAGGCAGAGGAGACGTCGGCATGTCTTCCACAGGCATCGGAACATGTTGGCATCCAGCTGAGATCTTCTCGGCATAAAAGGATTGAGAGAATTGGGAAGGGCATCGCTTTCTTGCTCTGATTTTGTGCCACTTAATGCAGGCCCCATACCACCTAAAAGTATCTTGGGAACCAACGGACCCACCCACACTTTGGAAATGCTGGACTAACGTCTCCCTCTGCCTCACGCTTAACACAAAGGGGAAACACACACCTGTGGTCCCCTCTCTGATCATACCTTCAAGGCACCACCAGATCCCCTCCAAATATGCCTGCTCTCACACCAAGGCCCAGCAAGTCCCTCTCAACAAACCCACCCCTATCAGCCCTCAGAGGTCACCGCTGACTCAGGTGGGACACCAGGTAGACAAGGCCAACCAGGAGGAGGCCACGAACACCAAGCATCATGAGCAGGAAGAGGAGCAGGATGGAGGTCACCGGCTCCACAGCATGGTTGCCAAGATGCCACTGCGGAAAGCCCATGTTCACCAGCTGCCGGTTGAGGTCATTGAAGGGGGACTGAGCAGCACCCAGCCTGGCACCTGCCTGCTGCTGGCGGGGGCCAGGACCCCCTGGGGGAGCACCATGGCCCCTGTTGAAGAAGCTCTGGAATGTGAAGACAGAGAGAGATGAATGAATCATTGGGTTGACGCACCAGCCAGGAATCAACCTCTCTAGGCTGCATCCTGCCCTTCCTACAGCCACCCAGGGTCACACCCTCCTTTCTCAGCAATCCCCCATGCCACCCATAAGAATCCCAACAACCAAGTCACAAGCTCTCAGAGCACAGAACATGCCAGTCTATATTCCTCACATCAGGCCCAGGACAGAGGAGAGAGGAAGTGGTTGAGGCAGGTTGGACTACAGGGCATGGCTCTAGGGCCAGCATTTTTAATACTCATCATCACTCCTTTCTTTTTTTTTTTTTTTTTTTTTTTGAGACGGAGTCTCGCTCTGTCACCCAGGCTGGAGTGCAATGGCGCGATCTCAGCTCACTGCAACCTCCGCCTCCCAGGTTCAAGCGATTCTCCTGCCTCAGCCTCCTGAGTAGCTGGGATTACAGGCATGCACCACCACACCTGGCTAATTTTGTATTTTTAGTAGAGATGGGGTTTCATCATGTTGGTCAGGCTGGTCTCAAACTCCTGGCCTCCTGATCCGCCCACCTCAGCCTCCCAAAGTGCTGGGATTACAGGTGTGAGCCACCGCGCCCAGCCACCCCTTTAAAATGATTATTCTGTGCCCAGGGCTCATCTCCTCCACTTCCTCTCCAGCTTCTGTCATCCAACCCACTCTTAAAAGAAAGACGCTAGCTCCAGTGAGGTTTGCTAACCAAGTTAAAGGAGAGAGAGCTCTTGGCTGTGAAGTCTGGGGAGGCGCCTGGAGAAAGGAGATCTGGGGAGGTAGACAATAAGCCACTGCATCTTCCCCAGCTCTCTGCAAAGAGGGCTTCAGGCTAGAAAAGGTTAGTGACCAGCAAGAGAGACTTCTGGAAGCTAGGAGTAGCCAGTACACAGGAGGCCATCTGTCCCACTCCACAGGAAATGAGTACCTACCTGTCGAGGAATGCTACCTCTTGGTGGCTGGGTAGTGGTCCTCACTCGGGGGTCGTCATCCTGCACGATTTCCCCATTGGCCAAGATCCGCACCATCCTCCCAGGCGCTGTGGGTCCCTGATGGGCTGCACCTGCATTGTGTGGTCAGGGTGGGCAGGCTAATGGAAGCCAAGTGGCACAGAAGTTCTCCCCACCACAAAACCTTTAGCTGTTAGTGATCTGGGACCAGACTCGTGAAGATCTGTGGAGGATTTTCCCCCTGACCTCAAAAAGCTTGAAGGAAAAAATTTACCAGAAATTGAGGGAGGCTTGCAGTCAGTGATGTTCACAGAGGTGACCCACGCTGAGTAGATGCTGTGTCTGATTAACAAAAAGGGGAGAAATAAAGGCAAGTTGTTTGCCAGGCAAAAAGATTTCAGACATTGAGTCCACCAGGAAAACTATCAAAAAGATCCTTGGCAAAGGAAGTTTTACTGCCAATCACTACACTGCCAACAGCACAACTGGGACTAGAGCCTCTGCTGTGGCCCACGCCCCGTGGAAGGCCCATCCTGCAAGGCTCACCTCACTCAAGCCTCACAACACTCCCCCGAGGAGGGTACTAGCGCGGCCATTGCACAGGCGGAGGCACAGGGAGACTTAAGTGGCCTGCCCGGGATCACACCTACGGACAGCAGAGAAGGAACACGAGGCCAGAAGCTCTGGTTCTAGGGCCCTCCCTGGGTACTAAACTGGGAGTCCAGGGCACCAGCATCCCCAGTGGGGTTCCAATTCCCTTCCACTAAAAAATGGGTCGAGTGTGTTGCTCCCCCAGGGAGTCAATGTCACCACCTGGGCCTTCCCCAGGAACACCCAGGGAGATGAGGGTCACTTCGGGGTTACTTTACAACCACTGCCTGGTAGCGGCAGACCATCCTAGCCATCATGCGCCTCGGAAGAGCACACCTTTGCTGCAGAGGGCACGCCCCTCACCTGTCCCTCACTTCGCAGGGAACACCAGTCCAACCTTGGCTAACGGGCGCAGGGCCCAGCCTTCCCAAAATATGGGAGGGGGTTGCTGCGGTGGCCCTCGAAAGGCTCCACTCCGCGGACCCCTGGACTGCGGGGCCCCTCCACGCCTCCCCTTGAGTCTGGGTAAAGGCCATTCATTCTCAGGAGATGAGCCTCAGTGTCCACCTACATTCCAGATAGCACTGGTGACATGTATGCCGAAAAAGGTCAGGAGCCCTGTGGTCTTGCCCGTAGCCTGGAGCCCGGGACAGGCGCGTCCCCCTCCTGAAGCCCGCTGGCCCTGGCGCAGGCCGAGCGGATGGTGGTCGCGCGCAGTCCCTTTGTGCTTTGTCATCGCGCCCCCGCCCGGTGGGCCACCCGCGCGCCCGGCCCGCGGCGCACCTGACATTCCGGGCCGGGGGCGGGAGGGACGCTGCCCCGGCCGCCAGCCCCAGCCTCTGGAGCCCGACACCGGCTCCAAGTCCCGGCCCGGGCTGCAGCGAGGGATGCGCTCCCTCCCCGGCGCGGCGACTCACCTGCAGGCGCGACTCCGGGCCTCGGCGGCGTCCACTCCCGGCGGCTCCAGGCGGTTTCCTCCCACCTGACCTCACAGGAAGCGCGCGCCGGAGGGGCGCGGCCCAGTGGCGGCGCACATCGCCCTCTGTAGGCCGCCTGAGGAATTGCACCTGCCCGGCCCAGGGTTGGGGGCGGCGCGGGGTGCTGGGGGTCGGGGAGATGGGGCGTGGGAAGGAGTGGGAGGTGGGGATGGAGAGAAAAGAGGATGGGAGGAGAAGACACGTGGAAAAGAAGGAGAAGAAGGAGGAGGGAGAAAAGAAGGAAAAGGAAGCGGCGTCCACGGAGGAAAAACCCAGGGGGTGGGGGCGCCCTGGCCTGGGAGGAAGGGCGGGCGCAGGCTCAGATGACCAGTGTTATGTTTGCTGACCCAGCTCCGTGGATGCCCCTTGAGTAGGACCCAACCCTGCCCTCTAGGAGTTCCAAGTTCAGTGGGGAAGATGAGGCAGGAACGGGGCAGAACCCTCTGTAGGCTTCCAGGAGAAGATGCGTTTGAGCTGGGGCAGGAGGGTAGGTAAGGATAGAGAAGGTCACTCTTGGCAGAAGGAACCACCTGCAGGGAGTGAATGATCCACCTCTGCCTCCTTCCTGATGTTTTAAAATCCACTTCTCCCCCACCACCTTCATAAGCTGCTCCCTGTGGACCTGCTCACCAGTGGGGGAGAATGAGCTGTGCAGTCCCACAGTCTGGGTTCAGGTTCTGGACTCTAGCAAGTTACTTAGCTGCTCAGTGTCACAAAGCAGGTGTAATCATAGCCTTACAGGACTTCTGTGAAGATTAAGTATGATGTCTCTGGCACATTGGCAATGTTGATAAACGTTAGCTATGATTATCATTTAATAAATGTTTGTGGGAGTGGCAGATATTTGTTGAGCATTTATTAGAACCCAGATTCTGCTAGCTGCTGGGCAGAAGGAACAAAACTAAGAGAGAGATTTAGACCTGGCCTGGAGGACTCATAGTCGGCCACCATAGTCTGATTATTTGATCATGAAACCTTATCAGCAAAAAATGTTTCACGGGTCGCTCTGGTATCTGTATCTTATTTATATGTTACTATTTTTGTTTGTTTCTAAATTACACATGTGTACTGTGAGAACAGATTGGCATGATGGATAAAAGGTGGCTGCTGGAGCCATCCTGTGTTTGAATGTTGGTGTGACTGCTTTCTGGCACTTTCGTGTCAAGTGCTTGGATGAGAGCCTGGCTGCAGTACATGCTCAACGGCTGCTGACTGTTATGATCATTACCTCTTCTACTATCAAGTCGATTGTAAAGCATGCACATTTTAAAAGCATAGGATGTAAAGTAAATATAAACCAAAATCCTAGTGCTTTCTCCCCACACCCCAGTGTGTTCCAGGTATGCCAAGTGCACGCATGAAAGCAGTAATCACAAGGCAGGATGCCCGATTGTCAGAGGTGGCCTGTGATCCCAAATCGCAATGTGCACATTGGAATTACCTGGAATGTTTAGAAACCATCCCAATACCTAGGTTCCACCCCAGAGATCACAATGTCGTTGATCTGGGTTACAATCTGTGCATGGAGACATTTTAAAAACCAGTCTTCTAATGAGCAGCTAGGGCCGAGAAACACTGCCTTCCATGAACAGAACCCCATAAGTAGGTCACGGAACTCAGGAGCCCCAAGAGGGAGGTAACCTCTGTGGGCTGGGAAACCAGGGGATACAGGCAGAAAATCATGGATGTTTTCAGGAAGATTTGAGCTGGTATAACTGCTGCCAGAGAGATACACTCCAGCTGGAGAGAACCGTAAGAGTCGAGAGGAAGAAGCAAGTCCCTACAGAAAAGTCAAGAACAGCTTTGGGGTGGGAAGTGATAGTGCTTGACTGGACTTAGAAATAGCCTATTATTACCAACTAAAATAGCCTAAGGAGGCAACATACCACTTTTGCTATCTCTCCACCTTCTTCAGGTGTCTCTCCTGCTCAAGAACCTGCAATGGTCCCTACTGTCTGCTCCAACAAGCCCCAACTCATTGGCAAGGCTTTGACAACCCTCCAACTCTAGCCCCAGCACACTGTCAGCAACTCCTTCCCTCAGCTCTGCCCACCTGGCCTCTTTGCTTTCCCTGAAGTAGATCACCCAAAGGCCTGCTTTGCTTGGGCCTGAATATCTGCTGGAAGGCCAGCTCCACCCAATCTAAATCCCTTCATCCACAAACGTGATTGTTTCATGTAATAATAATAATAACCCCTATATGTGCAGAGTCCTTACTTCCAAAGTGTTTTCCCAGAGACCACTTCATTCTTTTTTGGATTATGAAATAGAAAGAGTAGGTGTTATTATTCCTCTTTTACCAAGGTGAAATTGAGGCTCAGAGACAAGGTAGATGATGAGCCCAAGGTCAGTGACAGAGCCAGCGTTCAAATGAAGGCAGGTCCCCGGGCTCTGCATTCCAGGCTTTTGCATCCACCAAACAGACTCCCCTGAGTTCATCTCAGCTCTGCAGCCTCTTTACAATTGTGCCCCCACCTTCCCCAGTGCCATCAGCACAAGATTGGGCATTGGGTCATGCCTTAACCCCAACATGTGGTCAATAAAAATGTGCTTTTGGTTTTCTGTTCATAGCAGAGGTCATAATTTTTAAGTCAGGTGTCCTGGCCTGTTCTCTGACTCTGCAGGTGGGAACAACTGTTTCTGCCTCAAAAGAGAATGGCATGATGATAATGGTGATGTCATTTTAAATATATTAATCTATCTATCTCTTTCTCCTGCTATTTCCCCCTGTCTCTTTCCCCTACTCTGGCAGACACTATGCCTGTGTTTATTACTCAGAGAATGGTGTGGGAGAAAGGCAGCACTAGCTTGCCAGTGCCCACTGTTGGTGCCTCCTTAGGCCTGTGGCCATGGAAGACAGTATGACAGGGGCCTCTTCAGAGAAAACACTGGGAAAGGAGGAAATGATGGGAGCATAGGTGTTGTGTGCTGGATCTCAAAGGTGGGCATGAGGCTTGGGAAAGGGAATGGCCAGATAGTGAGTATGACAGGTAGGGCCTTATATGGCCTTGTGGAAATCCTTGGGTCCATTGTGTCTGAGGTGTGGTGGAAGGATTCTTGTGCTCCAGCAATGACAAGGGAGTAGTAAGTAGTAGTAGTAGTAGTAGTAGTAGTAGTAGTAGTAGTAGTAGTGGGAAAATTGCTGGACTTGAAAGGGTCAGGTAGACAGGTATGAAGGGTGGTTCAGTGATGGCCCTCATCCATGGACAGATGATGGGGGACCAGAGGATTGATGGAGGCCTCAGAAAACACCTTACATAGTCAGAAGACTGGAGTGGCCCCACAATATCTTGGTTATATGTAAGTATGTAAGTCCCCTAAGACATAAACCCACCTAGGTGTAATATATTAGCTTGAGTACAGGCTATGCTGCTGGAACAAAAAAAATATACAGTGACTCAATCAAGTAGATGGGCAGCTCTGCTTCACAAGGCCAGCCAAGGACATCCACTCTTCCTAGCTTATTGCTCCCCTACACCCTAGGATGCCACCCTTATTTGCGTCGTCAAAACTGCCTCACCAACTTCTTCGCCATATGCAGCTCATGGAAAGGTGAGACAGAAGAAATGAGGGCTAGTGATTTCTTTTAAAGAAAAGTATTGTAGGTGTAGCACATATTACTTCCCTCACATTCCATTGTGAAGAACGAGTCACATGGCTACAGGGCAGGCACTGATATCCCTGTGTCATTCCGGATATTGGTACTTGTGTCTTCTATCTTGTGTCTTTCACTTTTGCTAGAGGTTTATCAATCTTATTGACTGATCTTTTCAAAGAACCAGCGCTGCTTCACTGAGTCTTCTGTTTCTATTTTTCTGTTTTCAATTTCATTGATTTCTGCTCTTATCTTTATTATTTCCTTCCTTCTGTTTGCTTTGGGTTTATTTTGTTCTTCTGTTTCTAAGTTCTTGAGTCGGGAGTTTAGATTATTGATTTGAGATGTTTCAATGTAAACATTTAGTGCTATAAATTTCCCTGTTAGCACTTTTAGCTGTGCCCCACACATTTTGACGTGTATTTTCATTTTCATTTAGTTATATGTATTTTTAAATTTCTTTTGCTACTTCCCCTTTGGTCCATGGATTATGTTAAAGGATCATTTAGTCTACAAGTGTTGGAGATTTCCTGTTATCTTTCCATTATTGGTTCTAGTAATTACATTGTGGTCAGAGAACACACTCTGTATGAGTTCAATTCTTTTAAGTTTGTTGAGGTTTGTTCTAGGGCCCAGGATATGGTCTATCTTGATGAATGTTTCATAGAAGGTTGAAAAGAATATCCATTCTGCTGGTTTTGGATGGAATGTTCCATAAATCTTTCTTTTTCTTTACTTTTCTTTTCTTTTTTTTTTTTTTGTGACAGGTTCTGGCTCTGTCATCAAGGCTGGAGTGCAGTGGCGTAATCACAGCTCTCTGCAGCCTTGACCTCCTGCCTTAGCTTCCCAAGTAGCTGGGACTACAGGTATGTGCCCAGCTAATTTTTAAAATTTTTTATATAGATGGGTTCTTGCTATGTTGCACAGGCTGGTCTTGAACTCCTGGGCTCAAGCAATCCTCTTGCCTCAGCCTCCCAAAGTGCTGGGATCACAAGTGTGAGTTGCCATGCCCAGCCTATGAATGTTGTTTACATGCTGTTGTTTGATGGTGTTGTATATTTTTTATGATTTTCTGACTAATTGTTCTATCAACTGTTGAAAGAGACATATTGATATCTCTAACAATAATTATACATTTGTCTATTTCTCCTGCCAGTTTTTGCGTCACATGTTTTGCAGCTCTGTTGTTTGGTACGTACACATTTAGTTTTGATATGTCTTCTTGGTGGATTGATTGTTTCATCATACATAATGTCTCTTTCCATCTCTGGTAATTTTTCTTGCTCTGAAGTCCTGCTTTTCTTTAATTCATGTTTGCATAATATACCTTTTTCCATCATTTTACTTTCAACTTGCCTAAATTGTTATATTTGAAGAGAATTTCTTATACACAGAATATAGGTGGATCATGTTTTTAATCCACTCTGCCAGACTGCCTTTTATTTGGATTATTTAGACCATTACATTTAATGTAATTAGTGACACATTAGGGCTTAAATTGCCAATTTATTTTTTGTTTCTGTTTGTTCTGTTTGTCATTTCTCTGTTTTTGTTTTTGTTTTTTTTCATTCCTGTAATCCTGTGGGTTACTTGAACACTTTTTAAAATTCCATTTTGATTTATCGATAGTATTTTATTATGTATATCTCTTTGTATAGCTTATTTAGTAGTTACTCTGGATATAATATATGTACAACTTATCACAGTCCACTGGGGTCAACATTTTATTCATTTGGGTGAAATGTAAGAACCTGCTTCCCTTTATGTTCCTTTACTCGCCCCGTTATACTGTAATTGACTGAAAGATTCTCTCTACATGTGTTTTGAGCCACATCAGTGTTATAATTTTTGCTTTAACAGACAAATATAATTTATAAAATTCAAAAGTAAAAGGAAAGTTTATTGTACTTCCTCATATTTTTGCTTACCATGTTATTTTTTTCTTTCCTACTATTCTAAGTTTCTTTCTTATATTGTTTCCTTTCTATTTGGAGAACTTCCTCTAGCCTTTTTGTTTTAGGGTAGGTCTGGTAACAAATTACTTTCGTTTTCTTTCATCTGTGATTGTCTTGATATACTCTGCATTCACGAAGAATATTTTCACTAGAGAGAGAGTTCTAGTGTTGACTAGATATTTTCACTAGTGTTGACAGTTCTTTCTTTCAACACCTGAAAAATATTGTACCATTTCCCTCTAGCCTCCATGGTATCTAATGAAAAATCTGCTGTTATTTGAATTGTTTTCCCCTAAGGATAAGGTGTCATTTTTTCCCTTGGCTGCTTTCAAGGTATTTTCTTTGTCTTTGATTTTTCAGAAGTTTAATTATGATGTGTTTCAGATGGATTTCCTTGGAATTTTCCTATTTGGGATTCACTCTGTTCTTGAATCAGTAGATTTATATCTGTTGCCAAATTTGGAAAGTTTTTAGCCATTATTTATTTGACTACTTTTTAGCCTCACTCTCCTCCTCTCCTTCTGTGTCTTCAGTGACACAAATGTTAAATCTTTTGTTGTAGTCCTACAGGTCCCTGAGGCTCTGGGTTTTCCTGTTTGTTTGTTTGGTTTTAGTCTATTTTCTGCCTATTTGTTCAGACTGGGCAATTTGTATTGTTCTATTAAATATCTTCCAGCTCACTGATTCCATTCTGCTGTTGAGCCCATCTGCTCAGCCTTTTATTTGAATTATTATACTTTTCCATTTCTCCTTTCCATTAGTTCTTTTTTATGTCTTCTACTCTATTGTTGAGGCTTTCTATTTTGTCACTACTTCAAGCGTGTTCATAATTGCCCAATAAAACATTTATATTTTGGTTGCTTTAAAATCTTTGTCAGATAATTCTAACACCTCTGTCTTTCAGTGTTGCCATCTACTAATGTCTTTTTCATTCAATTTGATGCCTTCCTAGTTCTTAGTTTTGACAAGTGATTTTCTAATAAAATCTGGATTTTTTGCATTATATTATGAGACTCTGGCTCTTATTAAACTTTCTGTTTTAGCTAGCTTTTTCTGTCAGTGCTCCATCAGGGAAAGGAGAGGCACTGCATCATTCATGATCTGTGGAGGTAGAAGCCAAGGTTTCCCACTCAGCCTCATAGACACCCAAGTTATGGGGAGGGAGTGCTCCTCATTACTGCTAAGGGGTATGGGGTTTCCTATTCCCCAGATTGTCTCCACTGACATCATGGTGGGGGAGAGATACATTACCAGATAAGGAAGACTAAGGTACTGACTTCCTATTCAGCCTCTAACACCATTCCAGCAGGGGTTCTGGATGGCTTGTTATGGCCTTAAAAAGGTGTAAGTCTAGGCTTGCCACTTGGTCTTTGCAGGTGTGAGTTTTTCCTGTGGTGTTTGGCTAAAGTAAAGCAGCTATTGGCTAAAAACTTTTAGTCTTTCTAGGTACCTTTCCTAGTACTTTGGCTAGAAAGAGGTGGCTTTTAGGGGGCTTTTGTTATCTATACACTTGGCTGCTTCCAGGTTGCTAGCTTCTTCAGCTGCTAATCCGGGACATATGAGCCAGAAGGCAAACTCACGGAATTCACCCCGTGTTGTGTCTTTCTTCAGATTCCAAAGCCCCCAAACTGCCTGCCTTCTTCTGTCCATCTTTCAAAGTCTTCTTATGTTTGTTTTACACCTAACGTTCAGAGTTTTTAGTTGTACTGAGGAGGAATATAAAAAAGTATATTTTCTCCATCTTCCTGGAAGCAGACATTCAATCTTAAGGTTATAGAAATTAAGAGATTAAGACACTATGACCTAGGTACAGGAATAACAAAATGACCAATCAGTAGATAGAGTCTAGAAACAAACCCATAAACTGGGATTTATGGCAAAGTGGAAGTGCAGAACATAGGAAAAGGAATCTTTTAAATAAATGGTGCTGTGATAATTGGGTATTCCTGTAAGAAAAAAAATGAAATTGGACCCCTACCTAATATATTTGTACATATACCAAAAATAAATTCTTGTATCATTGACCTAAATATGAAAGGCAAAACACAAAGGATTTAGAATATAAATCATATGTATAAATATAAATATAGATATTCTAGACCTCAGAGTAGGAGAAATTTTCTGAACACATTATAAGAAATGCCAACCATAAAGAAAATGATTGATAAATTTTATTACATTAAATTTACATTAAGAACTCATTGATCAAGACTTTTTTTAAGTAAAAAGGCAGCTCCGTGCCCAAGAAAAGGTTTTTTGCAATACATAGAGCCACAAATGATTCATATCCAGAATATACAGAGAGCCTCTAAAATGAATAAGAAAATAGACAATCCGTAAAAAAGTGGGCAAAAGATTTGATCAGGTACATTACAAAAGAAAGAAACCCAAATGGCCAATAAAGTTTTGAAAAAGTGCCCAGCATCATTAACAATCAGAGAAATACAAATTAAAACCTTCACAAGATACTTCCACACATTCATCAGATAGATAGAATAGATAGACTCTAATTACCAAGTCTGACAACACCAAGTATTGGTGCTGAGTTACAGCAATGAGAGTTTCCATACGCTGCCAGTGGATGTGTAAGTTGGTACAACCACTTTGAAAAACCATTTGGAATTGCCTAGGAAGGGGGAATATTTGCATTCTTCATGACCCAGGACACAAAAGTGAATGGTCATGTGCACCATGTCATATATACAAGCATTTTTCATAATAGAAGCTGGAAAACAATTCAAATGTCTGTCAGAGTAAAATCGATAAATTATAGTATACAATATAATACTATAGAGTAGTAAAGGCTATGAACACCAACTATATGCAATACTATAGTTGAATAGAAAAATATTATATTGAACAAAAGAAGCCAAAAGCAAAATAAATTTTACTGCATGGTTTCATTTATATAAAGATCAAAGGAGAGTAAAATTGAATTATATTGTCTAAGGATGCATACTGGGGTGCTAAAAGTACAAAGAAATGCAATGAAATTATTACTGAAAATGTAATGGTTAGCTCTAGGGTACAGGAGAAGCTGTGCCCAGAAAAAGGCTTGCACACGATGGGCAGGGAGACTGAGGTGCTGGCGGTGCTCAATTTCCTGACCTGGCTAGTGGTTTCACAGACTTTCACTTTATAATAATTTGTGGAACTGCACAGAGAATTCAGAGGAACAGAACTGAGGAAGGAGTCAGTTTATCTGGTGGTGGTCAAATGGGTCTGTTCTTCCATTAGAAGCAGCCTAGGCAGGTATTAAGTGTATGGCCTCTGAGGCCAGTTCGCTTGGATTCAAATCCTCTACTTGCTGTGTGATCTTGTGCAGTTTGCTTAATCTCTCTGTCCCTTGATGGTCTCATGTGCAAAATAGGGATGATAATACCTAATGTGAGGATTAATAGGTCTTAGGCATCCAGTACACAGTACATGAGCTTTGTTAAATAAGTAAAAATTCATATATTTATTCAACATAAAAATTCCTTGCACCCCTGTGCCATGCTTGGGCCTTTTGACGACCCTTCACAGGCCAGTAGACCTGGACCCAAGGGTGCAGCTACAGAGCCCTCAGAACTGGGGCTCCACCTTAAAGTCAGTGCAGCCACCTGTTGCAGAATCTTCCTCCAAAATCCAGATCAGATTGCAGACCTGGGCCAGGCTGACCCCACAACTTAGCCAGAGGGTCCCAGCCCAGGGAGGGCAGCCCTGCAAGCACTGGAAGCCAGGCAGTCTCTCACTGCCTGCCTGTTTCTGCAGCTGGGCGCCCGAACCCAGGCAGCCTCCTCTCCTACTTCAGGGCTTAGAAGAGTGGAGGGAGGGCAGACTGGAAGAAAAGAGGACCAGGGAGTATGGAAGAGCCCGGGTGTCTCGAATGCCTTTCATCCTTTCCACAGAGGAAGTGGCAGAAACAGAAGAGCGGGGGTGGGGTGGGTGAAAAAGCAACCAAAAGCAGAGAATAAGGCCAGCCCAGAAGGGCTTTTTGTGGGGTCTTAATTAAGCCTGGAGGCTTGCTTCATTGTTCCTTTCAGGGTGGAACATATGTTCAGGGTCTGGCTGAGGTTTGGGACTGAAATTTCAATGGTGCTGGGACCTATGGTCTGCAGGGGAAAGGCAGGAGGAGGGGGTCAGCAGTCCCTATGCCATATAGGAACCAATAGTGTCTCTGGCGCATCCTCTCCCAGGTCACTTTCTGCTGGAGCAGGAAATAAAATGACCAGGAAAGGTAGCAAAGCCCCCACCCCGGTGTAAGGCAAGTCCGTGGGATACGACAGAGCTACCTCTACCTCCCGGCTCGGTGCTTAGGCAGTGTGACCTTCAGTGGGCCTCAGTTTCCCCATGCATGCCATTCAGATGGAGCTGTCTGGAAGAGTAGACAGTCACCAGTACCTGCCACCACCATGAGCAGGAGCCACCCATGTGACCAGACAGCCCAATATTAAGGGCTTGAGTTCAGGGTCAGTCACACTGCCATTCAGATGCTTGCTCTGCAGCTCACAAACTGGGTCACCTTGGGCAAGTAACTCAATCCCTCTGAGCCTGTTTCCTCATCTGTAACATGGCGGTGATCATTCCCATCCTCTATGTTTGCAATGGAATTGATGAAGACAATAGTATCAAGCACATGAAGCCTGATCCAGTTTGCTGTTATCTTCAACCCGTTGTTATTACTAGTGACCCTTCCCCTCCTAGAGCCCTGGTGGTGCAAGGACAGAAACACAATCCCATAAGGACATTCAGAGTCAAGTAAAAATTTAGACAGTCAGAGAGGACCACAGCACAGGCCCATCTAGGCTGCAGGAGCTCAAGATGAAGAGTGAGCTCCGGAGATGAGAAAGTCTTGCGAAACCCAAGTAAGTCAAAGGCGGAGTGCCCTTTCAGGCGATGGAATTGGCATTGGCAGAGGTGTGAGGCTGGGACTCTAAATGACATGTTCGATGACAGAGGCTGACCTGGAAAGATGGAGATCATCTTGGGGGGTGTTGGAAGAGGAGGCTTGGAAAATTATTTGGGTGCTATGGTTTCAATGTTTGTGTCCCTGAAAATGCGTACATTGAAATCTAATCCCCAAGACGATGGTATTTGGAGCTGGAGACTTTGGGAGGTGATTAGGTCATTAGGTGAAACTTTTATGAATGGGATTAGTGCCCTTATAAGAGAGGCACAAGGGAGCTCATTTACCCCTTCCACCATGTGAAGATGCAGCAGGAAGGTGTCCTGTATAAGACAGGAAGATGCCTCTCACTAGACACCCAATCTGCTGGTGCTTTCTTTCCTCTTGGATTTCCCAGCCTCTAGAACTGTTCGAAATACATTTCTGTTGTTTATTTGCCACCCAATTTATTGTGTTGTATTATAGCAGCTGAATGGACTAAGACATTGTTCAGAATATGAAACATAAATACATAGTAAAGCCAGGACTCTGGGCACCTCTTTCCTTAGCTGCCCAAAGACACCCCTGGACTCAGAGATTTCCAAGATCACCCCAGCTCTTACATTCTTAGTCTGTGACTTGCACTGTAGGCCATAGGAAGCCATGGAAGTTTTGGAGCCTGCAGGTACTGTGGGGACAGCAGGACTCCAGTCAGTGACCTAAGCTACACAGGATCTGCCTCTGAGGCTTAGGATGGAGGAAAGTCAGGGAGGATGGAGGCCTGTGATAAGGCACTGATCACAGAAACAAGTGTGGAATCCTCAACAGAGCAAAGTCCCATGCCTGCACCATGCCTGTGACACCAAGGCTGACTGCAGAAACAAGTGTGTGAATCTCCAACAGCACAAGGTCCCACCTTGGCCCTGCCTGGGAAGCCACAGAAGCGAAGCCAGCCCTGGGGGTCGAATGAGGCCTCAGGCCAGATGGTAGGCACCATGTGCTCCCCAGGGAACCTCTGCCCTTCTGAGCCTGACCCTTCCCCAGAGTGCTGCCACCTGCCCAGACTTCTGCCTTCCAGGTGGTCTGAGTGCCACCATGAGTCAGGGTGGGAGAAGGTGGCCTCTCCCTCCCTCCAAAGCGAAGTCAATCAATCATCTTGTGTTTCCTGAACCCTTTCTGTCTGCCACAACCAAGGGCCAAAAGGGTCTCCCTGCTGAATAGCAAGTGGGCAATGCTATGTGTTCACCACACCATTTCTTATTCCTGGGCACAAAGGAAAACCATATTTGCCTTAAAATAAGATCAGGGCCATGTTACTGAGTTCTGCCCAATAGAAAAAAGATGGCAGAGGCATGAGCCACTTCCAGACTTTGTCTTTAAAAATATCCCCTATGACCCCGGCTCTCTCTTTTCCTGATATAGTGACCATGGAGGTCATGTGTTCTAGACAATAGAGCCACAAGAAGAAAGGCCCACCCAGCTCACATCAGAAAGCAGTGCATGGAAAATAGCCCTGTGTGCCAAATACCTCAGGTTGAGCATTTTTTGTGTTTGTTGCAGCAGCATGGCCTAGCTAGCTGGACTAATATATTACCATTTACTGAGCATTTACTATGTGCTAGGCCCCAGACTAAACATCACACACACACCTCTCTCCAATCCTTACCATATTCTGCAAAACTGATGGTGTTAATATACCCATTTTATGACAAGGTTCAAAGTACACAGTTAGGTGACTTGCCCAGAAACTCTCACAGCTAGAAAGAGGCAGAGCCAGGGGGTTTGTCTCTAAACACATGCCCTTAACCACACATTGTGCTTGAAGATGTTGAGTGTCCATCTGGAAGCATGGGATGCTGCCCGCAGCAGGGGAAGGCCGCCTGTCAGCCCCAGGAGTCAAGAGGAAGAGAGGAACTGGAATCTTTCCAACAGGAAAATGTTGGGCCACAATAAATGCTTAGAAATAGTTTTTGCAACAGAGCAGCCCACAGTTCCAGGTCTTGGTGGCTAACAAAGGCACCAGAGCTAAGAATCTCTGTTTTAACAGTTACTATGGGCTGTGGAATGAGCCACTTTGTCTTTCCCACCTGCAATATGGGAAAATAACTCAAATGCTACATTCAGAACACAACTCATTAGAAAGACAACAGAACATGAAATCCCAGCACTTTGGAAGGCCTAGGTGGGTGGATCACTTGAGGTCAGGATTTCGAGACCATCCTGGCCAACATGGTGAAACCCCATCTGTACTGAAAATACAAAAATTAGCCAGGCGTGGTGGCACGCGCCTGTATTCCCAGCTACTTGGCAGGCTGAGGCAGGAAAATAGCTTAAACCCAGAAGGCGGAGGTTGCAGTGAGCCGAGATCACGCTACTGCACTCCAGTCTGGGCAACAAAGCGAGGCTCCATCTCAAAAAATAAAAATAAAAAATAAAATGAAATTACAGCTTTTCTTTCACCTCAGAATTTTGGCAGCGGCCCCAGAGGCCCAGAACAAAGTGATAGAAGCCCATATTCCCCACTTCTAAAGTGGGATGCTAGACAACTTCTATAGGACATGTGTGATCATAATGCCAAAACTGGGTCTGCCAGCACTGGTCCATCACCCACCTCCATGCCATAAAAACAAAGACAAAAAAAAATGTTTGAAGATGTGGAAGAGTCCAGTGAAGAAGCATTTTTGGAGAGATTTGGCAGCGTGCTGGGCATTCTGGCACCTCCAGCCAAATTAAAGAGTTTCAGGAAAACCACATAGAGAGTTTGACACATGTTCCTTAGCATTTGAAGGATGTAGATGTGTGAATTGGATGTGTCCAATTCACATTCGAAAAGTCTAAGAGAGTCTGCATTGCAGCTGCCCTAGGTTGGCAGAGGGAAGAGAAGCAGCTACCTGAGAGCAGCTACTGCTTCCAGAATCTGGATGGGCAAAGGATCCCTGAGTTCCTGGCTCACATGTGGAGCCTGAAGAAGGAAGCGAGGCTGGGTCACCTTGAGAGTGTGAAGGGACCAGGTGTCTCCCCAGATACGAAGGGGCTAAGTGGTGACTTACATGGGAAGAGCAAGTGGGATAATATCTGTGCCTAGGGAACTGTAGGTGAGCGATCCTTAGTGATAAAATGGTCTCCAAAGACCCCAGGAAGCTACCTCTAGAGTGAGACAATCAGCATTTGGAATGGCCACACCCAGAGAGCACCAGCACCCAGTGACAACTAGAGCAGCCAAGCAAGAACTATCCTGTGTCTTCCCACTCTGAAGAATAACCAGCAGCTGGGAGGGTGGGCAGGCGAAGGAAAAGAAGAGAGCAGTTGATAACGCCTCCCACCCACACACTTGTCCCACTGCAGGGTACTCATTCTGCTGTCGTTCTGAGCTGAGGGAGAGGGAAAGCTCTAAATAAAGTTGGAGTTTTGATATCACACTGGACTGAACATTCTAATGTTTGGGGAAAGATGCTATTCACTTGTTAGCTGTTGGTGATTGGGATAACCTGAGAACGGCCAGAGATTTCACCCAGGGGCAACAAAGAATAAAAGAAGAGCTGGTTTGGAGGGGAAGTGGGGAGAACCAATATAGCTGCTTCCTATTTGCATCCTGATAGGTGCAGTTCACCCAGAATCCAGTTACAGATACACAACTATGGAATGAGAGTCGACAAGGGAAAAAAAAGCAAAATACAGAACGGTATACAGCACGGTGCCTTTTATCTAAGAAAGGGAGAATTTAAGTACAAACAAGAAGAAATAAATGAATAAATTTGCTTATATTTTTAACAAAGAAAGGATAAACCAAAAACTAATGAAAATGGTTTCCAATAACAGGACAGAGGAGACAGGATTGGAAATTAATCTTCTCTGAAAATATCTTGTTGTAGTTTTGACTTTGGAGCCATCCTACATAATTATAAAACAAAATTAAATGTTAAAATTAAAAGTAACATCAAAAATAAAAGACACAATGAATTCTATAAACTTTACTGCTATGGTTTGAATATCTGCCTCCTCCAAAACTCATGCTGAACTTTAATCCCCAGTGTGGCAGTATTGAGCAGTGGGGCCTTTAAGAAGTGATTGGGTCTTGAAGGTTCTGTTTTCATCAATGGAATTAATCAGTTCATGGATTAATGGATTAGTAGGTTAATGAATTAATGGGTTATTGTGGAAGTGGAACTGGTGGCTTTATAAGAGAAAGACCTGAGATGGCACACTCAACCGCTTGCCGTGTAACACCCCATGCTGCCTTGTGACTCTGTAGAGAGTCCCTGCCAGCAAGAAGAACCTCAGAAGATGCCTCTCACTGACCTTGGACTCCTCGGCCTCCAGAACTGTAAGAAATAAATTCCTTGACTTTACAAATTACCCAGTTTAGGTATTCTGTTATAAGCTACAGAAAACAGACTGAGACTACTGCATATCAAGGTTGGGGCTTAACCACAGAGAATTAGCTGAAGTGATTTTAAAACACATTAATATGTTATAAAGATTTTTAAAACTTCAAAAATATCTTAAATTGTATTTAGTAAGTCTATTTTAGTAATAATATTGGTTTGTTAGTTTGAAATTATTATGCATAGTGAGATAAAACAAATAAGTAACTGCTAATATAGTTAGTAGTCAAAATTTTTGCAGAAGAGAAAAGAAATACAAATATAAATTCAAAGAATTTAACTAAAACGCATGGAATGCTAAATTTAAACTGGAATTATCAGTAGAGGCTTATGATGTATTTTTCTTTTTAAAAACTATAACAATAAATAATTATAAAAAGCAGCCTCTGTTCTTATACTAACTGAAAAGGCCTAGAAGTAACAACCAACTCTGGCAACAAACACCCTGAACCCCTAGACTGTGACCTCTAATTACCATTGCCTCCTAAGAGGAATGAGGGCTCTGTGGAGAAAAAGCTAGCTGTACACATGGACAAGAAATATACAAGGTGAGTCTGAGTAGCAGGGAAGCTACTCTGAGGGCTGTGCCAAAAGGACAGAGAAACCAACCTGAAAGGACTTCCACTGGCCAAAAATGGAAAAATGTGGACATTAGAAACAATAATTACTGCATTGGGTTGAAACTCATCCGTGAGTACATATCTGAGTCTGGTTCTGAAGATTGCTTTGTCTTTTCAAATTACGTTTTTTTCTTGCCTTTTAGCATGCTTTGTCGTTTTTTGTTTGTTTCTTTGTTTGTTTTGAAAACCAATGTGATGTATCAAGTCATAGGAAGGGAGAGAAATAGGCCTTTGGAGCGAGGAGTTATGTTAATTTAGCTAGGAGCTGAACCAAGTTTACTGTTTGCTCTACCTGTAGGCGCCATAAGCTTCCATTTCCTGTAGTGTCTTTGTTGGATTTTCCCCCTCCCCTGTTATCTTTGGATTTCCCTAAGAACTCCTTCTTAAATAGAGCCTGTGTCTTATAACTCTGGCAGTTATAATCCACTGTTACTAGAGTCCTGTTGACGTAAAGTTGGAGGAGAGGAAGCAATCTGTAACCTCATGCAAATGTCTTCTACTGGGCAAAAGTCACTGGCCTGTGACTGCCAGAAGTGTTTCTTAGCTTTTTGTTTTTTCTCCCCTTAGGTGAGACAGGAAGGCTAGAGGAGGCTGGATTTGCCCTGAGGTACATAAGGCTCTCCCCTAAAGGGCAGGCCTTAGTTATGGAGAACACTCTGGACAGAAGGGGATTTCTCTTAGATCTTCACCTTGAGAACCTGGTGAGGTTACTGAAAATAAAACCATGAAAGTGTGGAGACCCCCCTATGCCTGAGCCCCCAGGAAAGTATCTCACTCTCAAACTAATACACATTCAGCCTCCAACATTTCATCAAAACTACCGTGTAAGTGTACCTACCATTGCTCCAGGAGCTTCTGCTCAGGTAAGCTGATTCTGCTTGTTCCTCTCTATGCACCAGTCTCTCCAGGGTGGTGGTTTGCACTGTGACCTCGATTCTCTGATGGATCTAAGAAAAGCCACTGATTTTTCAGTTTAGCTTTTTTCTTGTTTTAAGTATAGAACATTGACTTCCAAGTCCCTTGCATGTTAATGCTGAAATTGGAAGTCTCATCTGTAAGTAAATAAGCTATTTTTTTTTAAAGTAAGTCACTGATTACTTTGGAAGTTGCTAGGGGTATCTTCTAGAGTCATCAGAGAGGGATAACCACCAGGAGATATTTAAAATGAAGGATTTATCATAGGGTTTTGACCTTACTCAAATGTGAGAGCTGGTTATACCATCTGTGTGAAGCTGTTGCTTCTAAGTCAGCTGCCAGCGCCTGAGGACAAACACAGGCAGGAATGTAAGATGGACATGAAGTTGGGGGAGCAAAGACAAATTGGAACCTGTGAAAAGGAGCAGGAGCCTACATCAGTCTCTCACCAACTCTAAGCCTCCATCAACACCAATGATGTTGATGACATGCACCTTTATTGTGGAATTAAACACACTCTAACCATGAAGTCAGAGAAGCTGAAGTACCTGCAGGCCTAGCTTCTATCCCACATGGACAATTAGCCAACAGATATCAACAATGTGCATAAGCTGCACAGTGCCTGGCCTTGATCTTCTGAGCATACACAATTATATGTGGCTGCTGCTTCACTTCTGCCTTCCAAGTCTTGTGCAAAATATCTACCATGATGGACACTAACCTGGAACTCTGCAGGGAAGGAAATTCTGGAAAACATAGTTCCAGCTTAGCTAAGTTAGCCCAATACACATACACCATACTAGGGTAATAATTCATTTTTCTGAGCACTGGTAAATAAATGAGTTGAGCATTTAACCTGCCTTTCCCACACAGTTTATTTCAGGGTTATCCACCAATTGAAGCTAACTCACTCACATCTCTGGAAGTTTGCAGGCAGTTGGCCAGGGTGCTTTGTTTCTCCTCCACATGAACTCCAGCAGACTAGTTCAGGCCTGTGCACATTGTAGTCTCAGAGTTCTAAGTTCAGCCAAAACAGCAACTCCTAATGAATAAGTGCTTTCTTCAAAATAGACTTTATTTTTCAGAGCAGCTTTAGTTGCCTAGCAAAATTGAGCAGAAGGTCCTGAGATTTCCCATATACTCCCTTCCCCCACACATACATAGCCTCCCCCATTACCAACATCTCGCACATTTGTTACAGTTGATGAGCCTACATTGGCACATTGTTATTACCCAGAGTCCATACTTTACATTAGGGTTCACTCTTAGGGTTGTACATTCTATGGGTAGGGACAAATATGTAATGATGTGTACGTATCATTGTAGCATCGTGCAAGAGCAGTTACACTGTTCTCAAAATCCTCTGGGCTCCACTTATTCATCCTGCACCGCCCCCATTCCTGGAAACCACTAATCTTTTTTTTTTTTTTTTTGAGATGGAGTCTTGCTCTGTTGCAGTGCAGTGTGAGTGCAGTGGCGTGATCTCAGCTCACCATAACTTCCGCCTCCTGGGTTCAAGCAATTCTCCTGCCTCAGCCTCCTGGGTAGCTGGGATTATAGGTGCCCACCACCATGCCCGGCTAATTTTTGTATTTTTAGTAGAGATGGGGTTTCACCATGGTGGCCAGGCTGGTCTCAAACTCCTGACCTCAAGTGATCTGCTCACCTCAGCCTCCCAAAGTGCTGGGATTACAGGCGTGAGCCAGTGTGCCCAGCCACCACTAATCTTTTTACTGTCTCCACAGTTTTGTCTTTTCCAGAATGTCATATAATTGGAATCATACAGTATGTAGCATTTTCAGTTTGGCTTCTTTCATATTTTATTAGAAATATGCATTCAAGTTTCCTCCATGTCTTTTCATGGCTTGATAACACCCTTCCTTCCTTCCTTCCTTCCCTCCTTGCTTCCTTCCTTTATTCCCTTTCTTTCTTTTTTTTGTAGAAGAGGTCTCACTACATTGCCCAGGCTGGTCTAGAACTCCTGGCTTCAAGTGATCCTCCTGCCTCGGCCTTCCAAACTGCTAGAATTAAAGGCACAAGCCACCACATCTGGCCGATAACTCATTTCTTTTTAGCACAGAATAATATTCGATTGTCTGAATGTACCACAGTTTATTTATCCATTCACCTACTGAAGTACATCTTGGTTGCTTCCAAATTTTGGCAAGTATGAATAAAACTTCTGTAAACATCCACATGCAGGCTTCTGTGTGGACACAAGTTTTTGACATTTTTGAATAAATACCAAGGAGTGTGCTTGCTAGATTGTATGTTAAGTGTATGTTTAGTTTTGCAAGAAACTGACAAGCTGTTTTCTAAAGTGGCTGTACTATTTTGCATTCTCACCAGTGATGAATGAGAATCCCTGTTGTTCCAATTCTTCCTTGCCAGTATTTAGAGTTGTCAGTTTTCTGGATTTTGACCATTCTAATAGATGTATAGCAGTATCTCATTGTTGTTTTAATTTGCATGTCACTGATGATGTGATGTGGAGCATATTTTCATGTGCTTCTTTGCCATCTGTGTATCTTTGGTGAGGTATGTGTTAAGGTCTTTGGCCCATTTCTAAATTGAATTGTTTTTCTTATTGTGGAGTTTCAAGAGTTCTTTGTATATTTTGGATAACAGTCCTTTATCAAATACATCTTTTGCAAATGTTTGGTCCCAGTCTGTGGCATATCTTTTCATTCTCTTGATAGCATCTTTCATGGAGCAAAATTTTTTAATTTTAAAGAAGTCAAGCTTATCAATTCTTTCTTTCATGGATCACGCCTTAGTGTTGCATCTAAAAAAGTCATCTTCAAATCCAAGTTCATCTAGATTTTCTCCTATGTTATCTTCTAGTATTTTTATTATTTTGTGTTTTGCATTTAGGTCTATGATCCATTTTGAGTTAATTTTTATGAAGGGTGTAAGATTTGCATCAAGTTTTTTTTTTGTTTGTTTGTTTGTTCATTTGTTTTTTTTGGCCTAGGGATGTCTGGTTGTTCTAGCACCATTTGTTGAAAAGACTCTCTTTTCTCTGTTGTACTGCTTTTTCTCTGTTGTCAAAGATCAGTTGATTATACTTATGTGGGTCTATTTCTGCACTCTTTATTCTGTTTCATTGATCTACTTGTCTATTCTTTCACAAATACCACACTGTCTTGATTACTGCAGTTTTATAGTAAGTCTTGGAGTCAGGTAATGTTAGTCCTTGAACTTTTTAATTCCCCTTCAATATTGTGTTGGCTATTCTGAGACTTTTGCCTACCCATGTAAACTTTAGAATCAGTTTGTCAATAACCACAAAACAACTTGCTGGGATTTACATTGAGATTGTGTTGAATCAAATTGGGAAGAGCTGATATCTTGATAATATTGAGTCTTCCTATCCATGAACATGGGATATCTCTCAATTTATTTAGTTCTTCTTTGATTTCTTTCACAAGAGTTTTGTAGTTTTCCTCGTGTAGATCTTATACATATTTTGTTAGATTTACACCTGAATATTTTATTTTGGGGGATGCTAATGTACTTGATGTTGTGCTTTTAATTTTAAATTCCACTTATTCATTGCTGGTATATAGGAGAGTGATTGAATTTTGTATATTGACCTTGTATCCTACAACCTTGCTATAATGGCTTATTATTTCCAGGAGGGGTTTTTTGGTCAGTTCTTTCAGATTTCTTTCAGATTTCAGATGAAACAAGGAGTTTTCTTTCTTAATTCATAATCTGTACACCTTTTTTCCTTTTCTTATTGCATTAGCTAGGACTTCCAGTATGATGTTGAAAAGCAGTGGTGAGACGGGACATCCTTTCCTTGTTTCTGAAGAAGTGCTTTTAAAACTTATGCTTGAATTGTGTTTGTTCATGTCCCATTGGTCAATACACATCAGTTTCTTTTTTTAAATTTTTTTTAAAAAATTGTAGAAATTGGGTCTTGCTCTGTCACCCAGGCTGATCTCAAACTCCTAGCCTCAAGCAATCCTCCCACCTGAGCCTCCCAAAGTGCTGGGATTACAGTACAAGCTACTGCACCTGGCTCATATTCATTTCCAGAGATGGAGAAATAAACTCTTCATCCCACTTCAAGGGATGCATCTCTCAGTGGCAGGTACAGCTATGTCACACTGTAGAAGGATATGCATGGGATGAATTTGTAGTCATCTTACAGTTTACCATAACTACCTTGCTGGTTCCCTAATAAATTCAAGCAGATGTTGTGTTTTTAAATTAAGTTTTACATTTTAAGATAACTTTATATTTATATTTTATTTTAAGAAATAATACATAGCAATCCATCACACTCTTTACACAGTTTCTTCCAGTGGTAACATTTTGCAGAACTGCAGTACAATATCCCACCAGAGTACTGACATTGACACCATCAGGATAAAGAACACTTTCATCACCACAGTGCTTCTCATATTGCCTTTTTATAGCCACAGCTCATCTTTAATCCTTGTCAACAATGAATCTGTTTTCCATTTCTATAATTTTACTATTGCAAGAGTATGATATAAATGGAATCATATAGTATGTAACCATTTGGAGTTGGCTTTTGTACCCAGTATAATTCTATGCAATTCTATTCATTTAGGTTGTTGTGCCTATCAGTAGTTTATTCCTTTTCACTGCTAAGTAGTATTTCATGATATGGACATACCACGGTTTAACCATTTATACATTATATAACAATTGTGCTGTTTCCAGTTTGGGCTATTAGGAATAAAGCTATTATAAAGATTCATGTACAAGTTTTTGTGTGAATCTAAGTCTTCATTTTCTAATTGAATTGTTTGGGTTTTTACTGTTTAGTTTTGAGAGTTCTGTATATATTCTAGATATTAGTCCTCTGTTGGATATAGGCTTTGCAAGTACTTTCCCCACTCCATATCTTGTCTTTTCATCCTTTTAGCAGAGTCTTTGACAGAGAACAGGTTTTGAATTCTGATAAAGTCCAATTTATCCATTTTTTTTCTCTTATAGTTCTTGCTTTTGGCACCATGTCTAAAAGCTCTTTATCCCTACATCCTGAAGAATTTTTATAATTTTTTCTACAAGTTTTATAATGTTATGTTTACACTTAAGTCTAGAATCTGTTGATTTAATTTCTGCATAAGTGATGAGTTTCTTTTCTTTCCTTTCCTTTTTCCTATGAACATCCACTGGCTTCAACACCACTTCTTGAAATGGCTACCTTTTCTTCATTTAATTGCATTTGTACCTTTATTTTTAAAAATCACTTCGAGCTGGGAGTGGTGGCTCATGCCTGCAATCCCAGCACTTTGGGAGGTCAAGGCAGGCAGATCACTTGAGCCTAGGAATTTGAGAGCAGCATGGGGAACATGGCAAAATCTCATCTCTACTAAAAATACAAAAATTAGCTGGGCATGGTGGCATACACCTAGAGTCCCAGCTACTCAGGAGGCTGAGGTGGGAGGCTCGTTTGAGGCCAGGAGACAGAGGTTGCAGTGAGCCAAGATCATGCCACTGCACTCCAGCCTATCACCCTGTCTCAAAAAAAAAAAAAAATCAGTTAGGCATATTTGTGTGGGTCGTTTCTGGGCTCTCTGTTCTGTTCCATTGATCTATGTGTCTATTCCTCTACACATCCTTGATTACTATAGCTATATAATGTCTCAAAATAAAATAGACTTAATTGATTTAGCTACTATTTTTTTCCAAAATTGTTTTGCCATTCTAGTTCCTTTGCATTTCCATATAAATTCTAGAATAATTTTGTCTATATCTACAAAAAATCTCTCTGGGATTTTAATAGGAATTGTGTTAAACCTGTATATCAATTTGGACAGAATTAACATCTTTACTATGTTGAATCTTCCCATTCATAAACATGGTGTGTTTCTCCATGTATTTAAAATTATTAATACTTCAATTTTTTAATCAACATTGTGTAGTTTTCAGTATACAAAAGTTTTGTATGTGTTTTGTTAGATTGATGCCTACATGTTTTTTTTTTCCTGGAGTGATTATAAATGGTATTGTATTTTTAATTTTACTGTCCACATAGTCATTGCGAGTACATAGAAATACAATTAATTTGTGTATGTCTATCTTATATTCTTATCAGATCATTCCAACATCTGATTCATCTTGGTGTTAGTATCAGTTGATTTTCTTTTCTCATTCAAACTACAATTTTTCTGGTTCTCAATATGGTGGATTATGGTAGGCAGGGGTAGGATGACCCCCAGGCTGCTTGTGGAATGCTTGGGTAGGGGCAGCCGTGGCTGTGCTGTGGCCCTGCTACTGAGACGGGCAGTGTTGGTTTCAGTGGAAGAAGCTATAGGCAGGTGGTGGGGGGCACACACTTTGCTTGTACCTGTATTAGTCCATTCTTGCACTGCTATAAAGAAATATCTGAAACTGGGTAATTTACAAATACAAAAGGATTAATTGGCTCATGGTTCTGCAGGCTGTACAGGAAGCATAGTGGCTTCTGTCAAAAGGGCTCCAGGGATGTAGAGATGCAGGGGCTGTTGAGCCCCAGGGCAGGATGCAGTCTGGTGGGAGCTGGACTTTCAAAATGGCGCTGTGCTGCTACTGCTTAGGACTCAGAGGTTTATGGGACTCACTGTGAGCTCTTTCTCTGGTTTAATGTTGGACAGTCTCCCGGCAGCTCTCTTATGTTTCTCAGAGCCCAGGAGAATCAAATGGCTCTCCCATGGCTAGTATTGTAAGAGTCAGAGGCAGGGATGTGGACCATTATGGGTCTCTCACGTACTTGTTCCTCACATCAGGGAGCCTCTCCGGGCTCCTAGACAATCCCAGCAGAGTAGATTGCCTGACTTCCCTCCCCTTCCTTGCTTTTTATGCTTCCCACCACTTCTCTGTTGAATTCCAGTATCCTCTTTTAGATGATCTATTCCAAGTGTGACTATCTACATGCTATTCTGGTTCCTCTCTGTGGAGGAGGCGAGTACTAGATGCACCTAGTAAGCCTTGAATCCCTTCTCCATTTGTTGAGTTTTTCTATGTAGACAATTATATTATTTGCAAATAAGAACAATTTTATTTCTTTCTTTCCAATTTATATGCCTTTTTCCCCCTTGCCTTACTGTAGTGGCTAGAACTTTCAGTACTATGTTGAATAAGAGTGGTGGGAACATACATCCTTGCCTCGTTTCCGATCTTATATAGAAAGCATTTAATCTGTCGCCATTGTGTCTTTTACCATTAAGTCTTTCACCTTCAGAAAGACATTCATACATGTCCTGTTTTAACTTAAGGAAGTTCCCTTCTGTCTTAATTTGCTAAGAGGTGATATCATTATTGGGTATTGCATTTTATCAAATACTTTTTCTGTCTCAATCGATATTATCATATAATTTTTCTCCTTTAGTCTGTTGATATGGTGAATTACATGATTGATTTTGGAATATTGAAAAAATCTTGCGTACCAGGCCATGGTATATAATTATTTTTATACATTGATGGATTTGATTTGCTAATATATTTTTGAGGACTTTTCTGTCTAAGTCATGAGCAATATTGGTTTTTAGTTTGTTTTTGTTTTTATTTTTGTTTTATACTCTTTGTCTTATTTCAGTATCAGAGTAATGCTGACTTCATAAGTTGAGATTGGAAGTGTTTCCTCTTATTTTCTGGAAAATATCGTACTAAATTAGTATCACTTCTTTAAATGTTTAGCAGAATTCTTTATTGAAACTATCTGAGCCTGAAGATTTATTTTTCAGGAGCTTTTACCTATGAATTCAATTTCGTTAATTATAATAGGACTATTTAAATAAGTATTTATCTTCTAGTGACAAATCTTTTTGTTTTCCTTTGTCCTTCATTTCTGAAGGATAGTTTCACTGGACATAGAAATTATGTTTGAGTTTAGTTTTTTGTTTGTTCGTTTGTTGTTGTTGTTGTTGTTGTCGTTGTTGTTTTGAGACAAAGTCTGGCTCTGTCACATAGCCTGGAGTGCAGTGATGTGATCTTGGCTTACTGCAACCTCCGCCTACCAGGCTCAAGTGATCCTCCTACCTCAGACTCCCAAGTAGCTGGGACTACAGGAATGCACCACCATGCCTGGCTAATTTTTGTATTTTTTTTTTTGGTAGAGACGGGGTTTTGCCACGTTGCCCAGCCTGGTCTCTAACTCCTGGGCTCAAAGTGATCTACCCACTTTGGCCTTCCAAAGTGCTGGGATTACAGACATGAGCCACCATACCTGGCCTATTTTAGTATTTTCTTTCAGCACTTGAAAAGTGTTTTGCCACTTTTTTCTGGCCTCCATGTTTCAAATAAGAAACCTGTTTTATTTAGAATTGATGTTGTCCTATAGGTTAATGTGTCATTTCTCTCTGGCTTCTTTCAAGATTTTTTTCTTTGTTTTTAGTTTTCAGAAGTTTAATTATAATGTGTCTTGGCATAGATTTCTTTAGGTTTACTCAATTTGGGGTTAGCCTAGTTTCTTGCATCTGTGGGTCTTTCAGCAAACTTGGGGAGTTTTAAGCCATTATTTTTTTTAATATTCTTTAAACTCCACTCTCTCTCCCTTCTCTTCAGGACTCCAATGATACAAATGTTGGATCTTTTGTAATTGTCCCACAGCTTCCTGAAACTGTTCTCTCTCTCTCTCCTCTCCTTTCTCTCTCTCTCCCTTTTTTTTAGGATGGAGTCTCACTCTGTCACCCAGGCTGGAGTGCAGTGGTGCGATCTCAGCTCACTGCAACCTCCGCCTCCTGGGTTCAAGCGATTCTTCTGCCTCAGCCTCCCGAGTAGCTGGGACTACAGGTGTGTGCCACCACGCCCGGCTAATTTTTTGTATTTTTAGTAGAGACGGGGTTTCATCATGTTACCCAGGATGGTCTTGATCTCCTGACCTTGTGGTCCACTCCCCTTGGCCTCCCAAAGTGCTGGGATTACAGGCATGAGCCACCATGCCCAGACTCCTTTTTTTCTTCTATTTTACCTCTATCACTCAGATTGTGTAAATGCTATTGAACTGTTCTTAAAATTACTGATTCTATGTTTTGTATTCCTCACTCCACTCTTAAATCCAGTGAGATTTTTATTTCTATTATAATATTTTTAATTCTATAATATTCATTTTCTTCTACATTTTTGCTGAGATTTATGTCAAGAGAATTTATAAATTCTTGTCGAATCATTTTTATGATGGTTGTTTAAAAATTCTTATCAGATCATTCCAACATCTGATTCATCTTGGTGTTAGTATCAGTTGATTTTCTTTTCTCATTCAAACTACAATTTTTCTGGTTCTCAATATGGTGGATGGTTTCCAATTCTATACTGGACATTTTGACTGTTAGTTAAGAGACTTTGGTTCCTATTTAAATTTTTATTTTAACATGCAATCATCCTGTTTAGATTTAGCATACAGGTTCTGATCTACTTTTGTGGGCTGTATTTTTAATGACCATCTAATTTGCACTGGCTCAAATAGCCTACGTGGTGCTATTTGGTTTGCTTGTTTGGTTTATCTTGTGCTACTGGGGCTCCACTTGTCCCTGTTGATGCAGATTCAGAGAGTGAAGGAAATTCTCCAGGCTGGGCCACCCACTGCCTCTAGGTAAAGGAGGGAGGCCTCTAGCCTGTGATTATAAAAAGCACTTCCCGAGCTAGGCATTGTTGTGGCAGGATTCTTCCTTTCTGTGGGGTACTGTTAGTGCTTCCAGGATGGGCTCTGTTGTGGCAGGATGCCCCTTGCTGATGTTGCCTAGCTGCCTGGTGACTCTGAATGAAGGAAGAGAATCTCAAGTTCACAGTACTGAAAAGTTTCCTGAGCTTGCCCTCTCTTGTGTGGGGCCAGATTCCCCTTGCAATTACTCTGGGCCACCCATTATCGCTAGGTGGGGGAATAGACTCTCAGGTCCTAGAAGGAAAGAAAGGACTCTGAGTCTTTCCTTTCTTCTTCTGTTAGGTAGAGGTTTGTAAGGCACCCTGCTGCTATGTCATTCCTCCTATCCTGGATCCCTGAAGGTTGAATAATGTCTCCCCAAAATTCATGTCCATCTGGAACCTCAAAGTGTTATCTTATGTGGACTCTATTTAATTTTTTTAGAGATGGGGTCTCACTATGTTGCCCAGGCTGAACTCGAACACTTGAACTCCTGGGCTCAAGAATTCCTCCCAATCTCAGCCTCCCAGGTAGCTGGGACTACAGGTGTGCACCACCACACCAGCCAGCTTGTGGTTTATTTGCAACAAAAGGTCTTTTCAAATGTAACTAGTTCAGATAAGATAGTACTGGATTAGGGTGGGTTTTAATCCAATGAGTAGTGACCTGATAAGAGGGATGTTTCTGGACACAGAGACACACACAAAGAGGGAGAACACCACGTAACCATGAAGGCAGAGATTAGAGTGATGCATCTAGAAGCCAAGGAATGCCAAGCATTGCTGGCAACTACCAGCAGAAGCTAGGAGAGAGGCATGAAATGGATTCTCCCTCAGAACCTCCAGAAGGAACTAACCTTGCTGACACCTTGATTTTGGACTTGTAGTCTCAGAAACTGTGAGTTAATACACTTCTGTTGTTTTAAGCTGCCCTGTTTGTGTTGCTTTGTTCTGGCAGCCCTAGGAAGCGAATATACCAACGGGTTTGGCTTCCTTCTTCTCCCTTTCGCAGTTTTCCCTTAGTTGTCCCCTGCATTATTTCTAGGGCTGACAGTTGTACTTAGTGAAAAGGAGCATGGAAAGATAAGTGTATCCCATCTTGACAAATGGAAGTTAGATATTGTTTTTATATGTTGTGCATTATATTTTACCTCAGTGGAGACATTATTCTGAAACAATAGTTCTCCATTACTGTCATTGGCTGCCCCTTATTGATTATACATGGTATAAGTGGGAAGCAAGAGATCCAATGGAGGAAAGAGACAAAGGTAACCCCTTTGACAATGGTTGAGGGAGGCTCCAGGATAACTGCAGTGCACCAGGTGGAGGAGGCAGCTGACCAGATCAAAGTCATGTGTCTCAAAAGTTGGACATGGCATTACCAAGATCCTTCTGCCATCATACTCTTTTTTTAACCTGAACGTGCCCTGATGCATCTGTCCCAAATTCCTTTTTAAACATGGCTTTTCTCTACCATGATGAAGTTCCTCTCTCCCCTCCACACCCTATGCGTGGTTCAGCTGAGGACCTCAAGGTAATCCCCAAAGTGTCCTGATTGGACAGACTCTTAGGAGCTGGGGGCTGGGCACGTGGAGCTGAGAAGCATAAAACACAGAACAGCTCCTTTGACCACATTCCTACCAGATGCACAGACTCAGCCCACACTGCCCTGCCAGACACCCCAACTGTGAAGAACACAGCATTTCCAAGAATGCGCCATGTCCTGGCCCACTGACCTCTCCCAGGAGGACTCTGGTAAACTCACAATGAAGCTGAAATTAGACCATGACCCAGCCCATCTTATTCTCAGAGCTCTCACCTAAGAGTGATAGCATTGTTCTTTTCTTGTTCTGCTAGGTTTGCGCTTGCTACTCAGTTTTCCAGATGAAAAGGATACATTATTTATGAATATATATATATATACACATATATGTATATTCTATCAAAATAGAAATAAAAACACATAAGAAGGGAATGTGGTTGGAGTGGACCCACAGGTACTGATGATGTTCTGTCTTAACATAATGGGGCTATGCAAATGTTTGCTTTATTATTCTTCAACTGCACATCCACATTCCATGTACTCTTAGGTATGGATGTGTATTTCAAAATACAAGTGAATAAAGTGCTCTACACATTCTCTTTACATAACAATAAATGGATCAAACAAACTGCTTATGTGGCACAAGACTTCATGAGGGGGAAGGGATTTCAGAATTGATTCCGCATAGCCAGCCTGCTAGGACAAAAAGAATATGGGTTCAAATCTCAGCTCTGGCCCCAGGGTCCTCACAGCTGTTTGGCCCCTGCCAAAAACTGTGAAGAATTAACGGAAGTATACAAAGGGAGCTTTCAGTCAAGAGTTGGGGTCTCACACTCTCATAAAATAAGACCAACTGTCTTAGTCTTCTCAGGCTGTCATAACAAAATACCATAGACTAGGTGGATTTAACAACAGAAATTATTCCTCACAGTCTGGAGGCCTGGAAGTCCAAGACCAAGAGCTGGCAAAGTAGGCTTCATTCTGAGGCCTCATATCTTGGCTTGAAAGTGGCCACCATTTCTCTGTGTGCTCACATGAACTCTTCTTTGTGCACAAGGCGGGAGGCAGAGAAAGTGAGCTTTCTAGTGTGTCTTCTTATAAGGATAATCATGTCATCACGACGGCCCTACCTTCATGACCTAATCTAACCTTGATTACCTCCCAAAGACTCCATCTCCAAATACTATCGCACCGGGGGCTGGGCTTCAAGATACAAATTTTGGAGGAACACAAACATACAGTCCACAATACCTGATGAATGACTGGCTCAAAGCAGGCAGTAAGAAGGGCTTCATAAGCACAGAGTCTGGAAAGAAGTTGGGATTACAGTAGGACTTAAAGCACTGGCAAGGAAGTACTTTTGTGTTTGGAGGAGGGAAACTCATCCATGCAGGGGGTGATGTCAAAAGACAGAGAGCTCCCCAAAATCAAGAGGTATGTTGTCTTCCCCTTTGAGTATTCAGATCTATCCACTACATGGCAGGAGTTTTTTTCCAAATCTGTTGAATTGAGCTGCCTGTGGGTAGAAGAGTTTGTTCTGGAGCAATAGTTATGGAGAACAATAAGAAATCCCTATGAAGAGACAAGTTGAGGCAAGCCTGTGAAGGATGTTTGAGAGGTCACCTGTTGCTTTAGCCTGCCAGGCATACATTCTCCCCGCCCTTTCTGATGTCAGCATGCCAACTTTCCCTTAGGAAACGAGCCATCCTCCACTGTTGGTCCATATAGTCCTGATAGAGCTAATCCCACTCCCAGCTCCAGAGGTGGCCATGTGGACCAGGTCTGACCCAACAGCGTACTCCATTCTTCCAGCTATGGTGTTGGTTCAGAGATGGACACGTGACCTAAGCTGGGCCAATGGGAGCCTTCTCGGGACTGTTGCTGACACTTAAGAGAAAAAGTGTCCTTTTCCACTGGGGTTGCTAAGCTAAAGTAAAAAGAAAACAAACTAAAAGAAACAAGCTTGTGCTACTGGTAGTGGCCATCTTTTCCACAATGTGGGGAGAGCCTGTGTGTCAGGAGAAATCATTTCTGCTGCTACAAATGACAGAGAACCTACTATAAAGTAGCTTAAGTGACAAGGAAAATGTGTTGTTCACATAAAAAGGTAAGGAAAGCTCCAGGGATGGTGCCTTCAGTGATTTCATCAAGGGCTTATATTCTTTGCATCTTTCCACTCTGCATCCTTAATGTGTCAGTTATGGTTTCAGGCTATAATTGGCCACAGTCGTTCCTGTTTTAAACATCCAGACACAGTAACCAACAGAAGAATAACAAACGGAAGAATAAGAAACAATCTCTTCCTAGAGTCTCCTTGTAAAAGAGCAAACCTGCTCCATAATTTCCTCTGCAAAATTCCCCCTCTACAACATTGACCAGACTTTCATGACATGGCCATGACCAAACAAATTACTGACAGGGGATTAGTACTACCATTTCTTTGAGCTGGAAAAATGAACACTTCTTGTGATGGGCAGTTTTATATGTCAGCTGGCTAGACTACAAGTCCCCAGTTATTCAAACACTAAATATTATTGTGAATATATCTTGTAGATGTGATTAAAGGTCTTAATCAGTTGACTTTAGGCAAGAGAGATTATCCTAGGTAATATAGATGACCATGCTTCTGTCAGTTGAAAGACCTCAAAAGCAGAGCCAAGGCTTCCTTGAAGAAGAAAATATTTTTGGTTGTCAAAATGGGAAATGGGTTACAACTGGTGTCAATAAAAAGAGTCAAACCCTGTAAAATATTTGAAGAGATTTATTCTGGGCCAAATATGAGGGACCAATGGCCTGTGACACAGGCCCAGGAGATCTTGAGAACATGTACCCAAGGTGGTGGGGCTACAGCTTAGTTTTGTACATTTTGGGGAGGCATAAGATACCAATCAATACATGTAAGATGTATATGGGTTCAGTCCCAAAAGGTGGGACAACTGGAAGTTGGGGGCTTCCAGGTCATAGGCAGATTCAAACAATTTGGGCACTAAAATAAATAATGCAGTATTGGATTATAATCCATCTTAGTCTGCTCAGACTTTTATAACAAAATATCACAAACTGGGTGGATTAAAAAACATAAATCTGGGCAACATGGTGCAACCCCATCTCTACTAAAAAAAAAACAAAAATTAGCTGAGTGTGGTGGCCGGCGCCTGTAATTCCAGCTACTCGGGAGGCTGAGGCAGGAGAATCGCTGAATCTGGGAGGCAGAGGTTGCAGTGAGCCAAGATTGCGCCATTGCACTCCCGCCTGGGTGACAAGAGCACAACTCTGTCTCATAAATAAATAAATATCACATGATTATATTAATAGACGTAGAAAAGGCTTTTGATAAAATTCAACATTTCTTCATGTTAAAAACTCTCAATAAACTAGGTTTTGAAGGGAAATACCTCAAAATAACCAGAGCCATCTATAACAAACCCACAGCCAATATCATACTGCATGGTCAAAAGCTGGAAGCATTCCTTTTGAAAACCGGCACAAGACAAAGATGCCCCCTCTCACCACTCCTGTTCAACACAGTATTGGAAGTTCTGGCCAGAGCAATCAGGCAAGAGAAAAAAATAAAGGCATCCAAAAAGGAAGAGAGGAAGTCAAACTATCCCTATTTGCAGATGACATGATTCTATATCTAGAAAACCACATGGTCTCAGCCCAAAAACTTCTTCAGCTGATAAACAACTTTAACAAAGTTTCAGGATACAAAAATCAATGTACAAAAATCACTAGTATTCCTATACACCAACAACAACCAAGCCAAAGCCAAATCAAGAATGCGATACCATTCACAATTGCCACAAAAAGAATAAAATACCTAGGAATACAGCTAATCAGGGAAGTGAAAGATCTCTACAATGAGAATTACAAAGCATTGCTCAAAGAAATCAGAGATGACACAAACAAATGGAAAAACATTTCATGCTCACGGATTGGAAGAATCAATATCATTAAAATGGCCATACTGCCCAAAGCAATTTACAGATTCAGTGTTGTTCCTATAAAACTACCAATGACATTCTTCACATAACCAGAAAAAACTTTTTAAAAAATTCATATCGAACCAAAAATGATAAGGTTTTGCTCTGTCACCCAGGCTGGAGTACAATGGCATGATCATGTCTCACTGCAGCCCTGACCTCCTGGGCTCAAGCAATCCTCCCACCTCAGCCTCCCAAGTAGCTGGGGCTACAGGTGTGAGCCACCATGCCCGGCTAATTTTTTAAATTTTCTATAAAGATGGGGTCCGTCTTTGTTGCCCAGGTTGGTCTTGAACTCCTGGGCTCAAGCAATTCTTCCAGCTTAGCCTCCCAAAGTGCTGGGATTACAGGAGAGAGCCACTGCCTCTGGCCCAATATAAAGAAATATTAACTGGAGATTGGAATAACAGGGAATTGTAGAGTAAGAGTTAAAGAGGACCCTAAAGAAGATAGGGGTAGCAAATATAAGAAGCAACCACTATCCCTAGGGCTGAGCTAAGAGTAACCAAAAGAGATTCCTCCTTCCTGGACTGAGATTCAAAATTCATTGAAGAGGGCATGGTATGGCTCACTGGATGATGGAGGAGTCACCAGGGTGCCTAAGATGCCATGCTGGTGTGACTTGATGGAAATATGCCCTCTAGGATGCCAAGTCCACAGTGAGGTGCTATGCCTCAGATCTTGCTGCAGAGTTGATAAATGTGTTGATGGGATGGCCCTTCATGAGAGGTGCCTCATCAGCAGCATTTTACTGTGAAGCCACCTGAGAAGGTACCCAGTCTGCTATACGCAGCTGGCTGTCACATGCTGCAGGACTACAGAGCTGGAGAAGCCACTGCTATAGTTTGAATGCTTTTGTCCCCTCCAAATGCCATGTTGAAACTTAATCTCCAATGCAATGGTATTGGGAGGTGTGGCCTTTGGGAAGTGTTTAGGTCATGAGGGCTCTACCCTCATGAATGGATTAATGCTGCTATAAAAAGAGCTTGTGAGAGTGGGTTCTCTCTTCTGCTCTTCTGCCATGTGAGGGAATGCCATGAGGAAACAGCACTCAAGGTGCCATCTTACAACCAGAGAGACTGGGCACTAAACTGCTGTGCCTTGATCTTGGACTTCCCAGCCTCCAGAACTGTGAAAGAATAAATTTCTGTTTTTTACAAATTATCCATCTCGGGTACTCTGTCATAGCAGCACAAAACAAGGTAAGACAGGCACCATGCTAAACTAGCCAAGCACTGAAGAATGCCCACACTACAGGAAGAGGAGATCCTTTACTCCTGCAGTGTCCCTCAGCACTTTTTACTAATAAGACTTCATATGGTGCCAGCTGACAAAGAAGAAATAGTCACATGGCCCAGCTCCCTTCCCACAGACCAGGTAAAGAAGGGTGGAGGTGGAGTTGGAGCTGACAGGCAATAACTTCATTTGTACATGGCCAGAAAAATTCTAATAACAAAACCTGACAGACTACATGAGGAAAGAAAATTATAAATCCATATCTTCCCTGAATATAAAAGCTCTTAACAAAATATTAGCAAATCAGTTACAGCAATGTGTTAAAAGGATAATACATTATGACCAACTGGAGTTTATCTCAGCAACTCAAGGTTAGTGTAACATTTAAAAACGATATATCAAATCCAGGCCTGGTGGCATATCCCTGCAGTCCCAGCTACATAGGCGGCCGAGGCAGGAGGACTGCTTAAGGCCAGGAGTTCAAGGTTACAGTGGACTATGATTGTGCCTGTGAATAGACACTGCACTCCAGACTGGGAGACACAGCAAGATCCCATCTTATTTTTTTAAAAAAAATCAATACAATTGACCACATTAAAGAATAAAAGATGAAAAAATACACATTGCAACAGAAGCACTAAAAGCATTTGACAAAATTCAAAATCCATTCTTGATTAAAACTTAAGTGAACTACAAATTGAAGGAAACTTCCTCAATCTGATAAAGGATATCAATGAAAAACTTATGGCTTACTTCATGGTGAAAGACTGGAGCCATGGAAGAGAAATAAAAATGTGATAGGTAAATTTGCTGCTAGAGATGTTGCCTTAGGCAGAAGGGAAAGAGAAGAAATATTCTGGTTTCTCTCTTCATCCTACCCTTTAATCTCCACCAGTGTCTCCCTTTTGTTGATTCCAGCCAGAAACCAGTTCTCCTAAGAGCTTGGGAAACACAGACCATGGGGTTGGTTCCCTGCAACTCAGAGCAGAAGCAGGAAAAGACAAAAAGGGGATCTGAGGAAAAACAGGTCCAGACTCTTATAGAGACATCACAGCCTGCTGGGAAATCACTACATATCCTGGCAGAAGAGAAAAGGGCTTGGCTCTCTTCTTAACAATATGCCTATAATTAACCTTTTTCTACTCATTATCCCCACTCTCATCACCATAGCATTCCTTACACTCATTGAATGAAAAATTTTAGGCTATCTGCAACTATGCAAAGGACCTAACATTGTAGGTCCATATGGACTACATCAATCCTTTACAGATGCAATAAAACTTTATATTAAAGAAACTCTATGACCATTAGCATCCACCATTCCTCTATACATTATCGCTCCAACCCTAGCCCTATCTATCGAACTCCTTATATAAATTCCTTTGCCCATACCATACCCCTTACTTATTCTTAATATAGGTCTCTTATTCATACAGCCACATCAAGCCTAGCCATCTACTCTATCCTATGTTGGGACAGGCACCCAATTCAAAATATGCACTAATTGGTGCACGACGGGCAATAGCTCAAAAAAATTCATATGAAGTTACCGTAGCTATCATTCTCCTGTCAGTCCTCTTGATAAGTGGCATATTTAATTTACCTACACTCATCGTAACACAACAGTTATCTGACTACTCCTACCATCATGACCTCTAGCCATAATATGTTTCATCTCCACACTAGCAGAGACTAACAGAGCCCCATTTGACGTAACAGAGGGGGAATCAGAGTTAGTTTCGGGTTTTAATATTGAATATGCCACAGGTCCATTTGCCCTGTTCTTTATAGCAGAATATATAAATATCATTATAATAAATGCCCTAATCACTATTATTTCTCTAGGAGCACTATATAATATTTATAAACCAGAACTCTACACCAAAAATTTCATCACCAAAACCCTCCTTTTAACAACTTCTTTTTATGAGTTCAAGTATTGTACCCCTGATTCAGTTATGATCAGCTCATGCATCTTCTATGAAAAAACTTCTTACCACTCACTCTAGCACTTTGCATATGACATATTTCTATGCCTATCCTAATATCTAGTATTCCACCTCAGACATAAGAAATATGTCCGATAAAAGAGTTACATTGATAGAATAAATAATAGAGGTTTAAATCCTCTTATTTCTAGAATTACAGGAGTTGAGCCTACCCCTGAGAATCCAAAATTCTCCATGCTACCTAATATACCATATCCTGCAGTAAGGTCAGCTAAATAAGCTATGGGGTCCATACCCCAAAAATGCTGATTTATACCCTTTCTGTACTAATTAATCCTCTAACCCAACTTACTGTCTCTTTCACTATCTTTTTTTTTTTTCTTTTTGAGATGGAGTCTCACTCTGTCACCCAGGCTGGAGTGCATGGCATGATCTTGGTTCACTTCAGCCTCCACCTCCCGGCTCAAGTGATTCTCCCACCTCAGCCTCCCGAGTACCTGGGATTACAGGCCTGTGCCACCACGCCCAGCTAATTTTTGTATTTTTAGTACAGACAGGGTTTTGTCATGTTGGCCAGGCTGGTCTTGAACTCCTGATCTCAGGTGATCCACCCGCCTTGGCCTCCCAAAGTGCTGGCATTATATGCATGAGCCACTGCGCCTGGCCATCTTTCACTATCCTTATAGGGACTCTCATCACAATAATAGGCTCACACTGACTTCTCATCTGAATGGGACTAGAGGTAAATATACGAGCCATTATCCCAATTTTAATTTAAAAACAAGCCTCCACTCCACAGAAGCAGCTACCAACTATTTCCTTACACAAGTACCTGCATCCATAATCCTGATAATAGGGGTCATTACCAATATACCGTACTCCTGATGATGAACAATCATAAACTCAATCAATCAAGTAGCATCCTTAATAATAATGGCCTTAACAATAAAATTAAGCATATCTCCTTTCCACTTTTGAGTCCCAGAAGTAACTAAAGGAATCTCATTGACATCTGAGACAAAATGTCACATGACAAAAACTAGCCCCTATTTCCATTATATTTCAAATTTTCTCCTCAATAAACCCAAACATTTTACTAGCGGCCACAATGTTGTCTATTCTGTTAGGTGGCTGAGGAGGGCTCAACTAAACACAACTGTGAAAAATCTTAGCCTACTCATCAATTGCTCACATGAGCTGAATAATTGCAATCTTAACATATAACCCAAACATTACTATCCTAAACCTAATTATTTATCTTATCCTGACGGTAGCTATATTTATAATACTTAGTTCAAGCATAGGCACTACAACTCTATCACTATCCCACGGCTGAAATAAGATACCATGACTAGTATCCATAATCCTACTTATCCTGTTATCCTTAGGAGACTTACCCCCATTAATAGGGTTCCTATGCAAATGGACTATTATTCAAGAATTTACAAAAAAACAATAGCCTTATTATACCCACTATTATAGCTACCATAGCCCTATTCAATCTGTACTTTTATATGTGCCTAATCTACTCTACTTCACTATCCCCTACATCTAATAATATCAAATGACAATTCAAGAATACAAAACATATACTGTGGCTGGGCGCAGTGGCTCATGCCTGTAATCCCAGCACTTTGGGAGACCGAGGCGGGTGGATCATTTGAGGTCAGGAGTTCGAGACCAGCCTGGTTAACATGGTGAAACCCCATCTCTACTAAAAATACAAAAATTAGCCGGGTGTGGCAGTGCATGCCTGTAGTCCCAGCTACTGGGGAGGCTGAGGCACGAGAATCACTTGAACCTGGGAGGCGGAGGTTGCAGTGAGCTGAGATCTCATCTTTGCACTCCAGCCTGGGCAATAGAGCAAGACTCCATCTCAAAAAACAAACAAACAAACAACAACAACAACAAAAAACTGGGCTGAGTGCAGTGGCTCACCCCTATAATCCCAGCACTTTGGGAGGCTGAGGCAGGCAGATCACCTGAGGTCAGGTGTTGGAGATCAGCCTGACCAACATGGTGAAACCCCAACTCTACTAAAAATGCCAAAATCAGCTGGGCATGGTGACATGTGCCTGTAATCTCAGCTACTTGGGAGGCTGAGGCAGGAGAATCGCTTGAACCTGGGAGGCGGAGGTGGAGGGAGCTGAAATCGTGCCACTGCACTACAGCCTGGGCAACAAGGGCAAAACTCCATCCCAAAATGCATATATATATATTGGCCCCACTCATTACCTCCTCTGCTCTCCTCCTACCCATCTCCCCACTATTCCTAGCTATAACCTAGAAATTTAGGTTAAATTAGACCAAGAGCCTTCAAAGCCCTTAGTAGGTAGACTCTACTTAATTTCTGTAAATAAACTTTAAGGACTGCAAGACTCTGTCCTACATCAATTGTATGCAAATCAATTGCTTTACTTAAGCTAAGCCCTTGCTAGATTGGTGGGACCTAAACCCATGAAAATTTAGTTAACAGCTAATCAACTGGCTTCAATCTACTTCTCCCGCTGTTGAGGGGGGAAAATGGCAGCAGAAGCCCAGGCAGGATTGAAGCTGTTCCTTTGAATTTGCAAGTCAACATGAAATATCACCTCAGGGCTGCTAAAAAGATGGCTCAACATCTGTCTTTAGATTTACAGTCCAATGCTTGCTCAGCCATTTTACCCTTATACCTATGTTCATCTATCGCTGACTATTTTCAACTAACCATAAAGACATCGGAACATTATATTTACTGTTTGGTACCTGAGCTGGGATAGTAAATACTGCCTTAAGTCTTCTAATCCAAGCAGAACTGGGTCAACCAGGGACCCTATCAGGAGATGATCAGACTTATAATGTTATTGTCACTGCCCTCACATTTGTTATAATTTTCTTCATAGTTATGCCCATTATAATCGGGGGTTTCAGCAAACTGACAAGTCCCCCTAATAATTGGTGTGCCAGACATGGCATTTCCCTGGATAAATAATACAAGCTTCCAACTTCTTCTCCCATCTTTTCTACTCCTACTTGCATCCTCAATAGTCAGGTGCCAAGACCGGCTGAACAGTCTACCCTCCCTTAGCAGAGAACCTGGAACATGCAGGAGCCTCTGTTGACTTGAGCATTTTTTCACTCCACTTAGCAGGTGTATCCTCTATTCTAGGCACTATTAATTTCATTACCACAATTGTTAACATAAAACCCCCAGGTATATCTCAACATCAAACACCCCTCTTCATTTGATCAATCCTTATCACAGCAGCCCTATTACTTTTATCTCTTCCAGTTCTAGCTGCTGGCATCACCATGCTATTAACTGACCACAACCTCCACTTTCTTTGACCCTGCTGGTGGAGGTGACACTCTCTTATATCAATACTTGTTCTGATTTTTTGGTCATCCAGAAGTCTATATCCTTATTCTACAAGGTTTTGGAATAATTTCCCATATTGTAACCTATTACTCCGGGAAAAAAGAACTGTTAGGTTATATGGGCATAGTATGAGCCATAATGTCCATTGCGTTCCTAGGGTTTATCGTCTGAGCCTATCACATATTTCCAGTGTGCATAGATGTTGATACCCAAGCGTACTTCACATCTGCCACCATAATTATTGCTATTCCCACTGGTGTCAAAGTCTTTAGCTCATTAGCCACACTGCATGGTGGTAACATCAAATGATCCCCTGCAATGCTCTGAGCACTAGGGTTGATTTTCCTCTATACAGTAAGAGGGTTAACTGTTACTGTATTAGCCAACTCATCATTAGACATTTTTCTATACAATATATTATGTTGTAGCACATTTCCACTACGTTTTATCAATAGGAGCAGTATTCGCCATTATAGGAGGCTTCGTCCATGGATTCCCTGTTTTCAGGTTATACACTTAACCAAAACTGAACCAAAATTCACTTTACTATTATATTTGTAGGCGTAAACCTAACTTTCTTCCCACAACACTTCCTCAGACTGTCGGGAATGTCTCAATGATAAGCTGATTACCCTGATGCATATACTGCATGAGATACTATCTCATCCATAGGCTCATTTATCTCACTAACAGCAGTAATACTAATAATCTTCATAATCTGAGAAGCCTTTGCATCAAAATGAGAAGTACTAATAGACGAACTCCCAACTACAAACTAAGAGTGACTTTATGGCTGCCCACCACCCTATCATACATTTGAAGAGCCAGCCTGCATAAAAGCCTAAGCAAGAAAGGAAGGAATCAAACCCCCAAAACTGGTTTCAAGCCACCTTTATAACCTCTATGACTTTCTCCATGAATATTAGTAAAACAATTACATAACTTTGTCAAACTTAATTTATAGGTTAGAATCCTATATATCTTCATGGCTCATCCATTTCAACTAGGTCTCCAAGATGCTACATCTCCTATTATAGAAGAACTACTCCATTTTCATGATCACACTCTCATAATCATTTTCCTGATCAGCTCCCTAGTTCTCTATATTATTTCCCTCATATTAACAACAAAACTAATGCATACTAGCACTACAGATGCCCAAGAAGTAGAAACTGTATGAGCTACCTTACCCGCTATTATCCTAATCTTAATCGCCCTCCCATCTGTATGCATCCTATATATGATGGATGAAGTGAATAACCCCCTCTCACTGTCAAAGCCATAGGACATCAATGATACTGAAGTTATGAGTACACAGATTACAAAGGCTTAAGCTTTGATAACTACCTGATCCCTATGACAGACCTAAAACCAGGGGAACTACGACTCCTTGAAGTTGGTAATTGAGTAGTTCTCCCAGTAGAAATCCCCATTTGCATACTAATTTCATCAGAAGATATTCTACACTCATGAGCTGTCCCATCATTGGGTCTCAAAACAAATGCAGTCCCTAGGCAATTAAATCAAGCAACCTTAACATCCACATGATCAGGACTTTACTACGGCCAGTGCTCAGAAATCTGCAGATCCAACCACAGCTTCATATCCATTGTTCTTGAATTAGTTCCCCTAAAATACTTTGAAAGCTGATCAGCATCTATACTATAATATCACTGTAAAGCTAATTAGCATTAACCTTTAAAGTTAAAAACTGAGGATTTTAAATTCCCCTACAGTGAGATGCCACAACTAGATACATCTACATGATTTATTACTATCTATGATCATAACTTAATTTATCTTATTTCAATTAAAAATCTCAAAATTTATCCTATGAACCCTGCACTAAAAGCATTTGAAACACAAAAACACAAAACCCCTCGAGAACTAAAATGAATGAAACTGTATTCACTTCTTTCATTACCCCAACAATACTAGGCCTACCCACAGTGACCTTAATTATTTTATTCCCCATCCCCAACTGCTTAGTAAAAACTCGACTGACTTCCATTCAACAGTGACTGTTTCAACTTGTATTGAAACAAATAATAACAATACATAATATCAAGGGATGAACCTGATCCCTCATATTAATTTCCCTTATTATTTTTATTGGCTCAACTAACCTTCTAGGTCTTCTACCCCTATTCAACTGTCAATAAATTTAGGAATAGTTATCCTTCTGTGGGCAGGAGCAGTAATTACTGGCTTTCACTTTAAAACTAAGCCTTCCTTAGCCCACTTCCTACCACAAAGCACACCTGTCCCACTTATCCCTATATTAGTAATCATTGAAACTATTCGTCTTTTTATTCAACCAATAGCGCTAGCTGTACAGTTAACAGCCAACATTACAGCTGGCCACTTACATTACAGCACACCCAGCGCAGCTCTTGAAAATCCAGCCATGTTTTCTTTCTACCCCAATTCTGGAGGGCCTTCTGCTCCTAGTCTGGCTCCTCTTCCTCATCCTATAATCCTTCTTCAAATGGCCACCAGCTGATTCACCAAGTGTATTCAAGTCTGACATCTGGGCTCCCAGGTCAGCATCCCTTCCCCTTGTACCATGCTGGGGTTCACCTTTCCACAAAGTCATCCTGAAGACTGGGATCCTGTCTTGCTCCTCCACTCCTGACTCCGTCTCAGCTCTAGTCTCTGACACATACACACACACACACACACACACACACACACACACACACACTTGGCCACCTAGCTCCACCCCAATTCCTAAATTTTGCATGACATTCAAATTGCCCAATTAGCTGCTTTACCATTGTGAGTCTGTCTGAACTCTGGGTCAGCCAGGCCCACCTGGACTTTCTGGCTGCATCCTATTATAACCCACATGCTGCCAGCTGCCCAGCTGCCAGCAGAACTTGTGATCTGAGCTGTCTTCCCAGCCTGGTCCTCACTGGGTTCTCACCACATGATGTTCACACCTCCATTAGGCCACAGGCAATCCCCTCTGGCAGAGGACATTTGTGATTTGATTTTAGGGGCACTCCTTCCCCATTATGAGTCCATGAAGTTCAGGTGAAATGGACCCCTCATTTTCTACCACCACCCCCACCCTCATACAAAGTATTTTAGGGACAGAGCATCAGACCCAGGCTGAGCCTTCAAAGCATCTCATTCCTCTGCCCTAGAGATTGATTCAGAGATGGTCACACAACCCCAGTCAGACAAATCAGAGCTAACAAGACTCACTTATAAGACTAATCTGAGCTATAAAGAAAGCAGATGCATCTAGCAAGACTTCTCCTGGAGTGGAAGAGAATGTTTCTCTACTAGGACATAGGCTTGTCCTAACAGGCCCAAAGCACTTCCTTGACTCAATTACGATCATTAGGCTATTTTTCCTGGAACTCACCCCCAAATAGGAGAGAACATCTAGGGCCTGTGCAGAACAAATCTACAGGGCATAGACTTATCTTTCCGGGGACTCTGCTCCTGCTTCTTCAATGCCAGTCCTGGGAAAAGCTTGAGACATCAACTAACTGATGGCTCTAATGTTAATCTTGCCCATGGGACAGGTAATTGCACTTTTGTTCCTCAGCTCCTTCTATACTCTGCTCTGCTGGGACTGGCCGTGCAAACCCCAGCCTTCGTTTTGCTAATTGCTTTGCCTGCTAACTTCCTGTAAAGTTTTGACCATATAGGGGACACTAGAGGGAGACTGGAAGGCAGGAAGAGGTGAGAAGGGACTTGCTCTTCTCTGTTTGCTGGTATTTCCTGTCAGCATGGCCAGAAATTTATTCTAGATAAGAAGTTTCCCACTTCCTTTGGCAACCTCAGCACCAGCCTCATCGAACCCCCTTATTGGCATCAGCATGAGCTGACAATGACCTCATCAAGGGTCTGAGCTCTGGCTTCACAGAAGCTCCAAGATTCTAGGTTCTAATAGTCCGAACCTTCCCTTTGTTCCCCCAGCTTAGAGGTTGCAACTGCTTTCTGTAGTTATTACTCTGTGTCTCCTTGGTGTAACCCTTTTGCTTTTTCCAACTTCCAACACCTGCTTGACCAATTCCCCATGTTAAATTCTTTCAGCTGAAGTACCTAGAGTACTTTCTGTTGTCTTTATTGGACCTTGACCAATTCATCTGTTAGAACAGTGGTCAGGAAACTTTTTTTTATAAAGTGTGAATTGGTAGATATGTCAAGTACCAGAGTACCAGGGGTCATATGGTCTCTCTGGTGTGACTACTGAACTCTTTTATCATAGATCCTAAATGAATGGGCATAGTTGTATTTCAATAAAACTTTCTATAGGAAAACAGTTGCTAGGCCATGGTTTCCTGGCTCATGTATTAAACCAAGATTTCAAAGGAGTCATAGTAGGTTAAAGCAGTAAACCAACCCATGCACAACCTAAGCCTAGTGATTAGTAGGGAGTGATTAGACCTAGCCTCTAACTTTGGGAAAGTTGCAGTCCTATCTTGAATTTTGGGGTCTTCCTTTATAAGACGGATGGTTGAGCCATTACTAGATAATTCTTATGATTTCTTCCAGCTCTAAGAGCTCTGTGGTTCCATTATTATCTCCAAAACACTAAATCTGTAAAGCAACTTCTCAAGTCAATTTCCCCAGCAAGCAAACTGAGGTAGAGATTACTGTGCAGGAAGTTTAGGAGAGAGTTCTCTTAGGATCAACACCTACAAGTGGTAAAGGAAAGAAAGAAAGCAGGACTGGGAAGAGGGAGAAGTTGGACTGAGATGTTGTCTCAACAGAGGACTCAGTTTACTGGAGGGGAGCTTTGAAGCTAGGATGGCCCTTGATGTTATTCCAAGTTGGAGTGACAGGGATGAAATTGTATACCCTACGTTGACTAGTAGTCATATGCAGGCTGCCCCAAGAAAGGGGCATGACCTTGAGTCAGGCAACTATATTAGGGTAAGGCCACTTCTGAAGAGGACTGAGAGCTGAAGGCACTCCTCACATCTGAGGGAGTGTATTAGTCTGTTTTCACACTGCTATAAAGAACTGCTTGAGACAAGGTAATTTAGAAAGGAAAATGTTTAATTGACCCACAGTTCCAAATGGCTGGGGAGGCCTCAGGAAACTTACAATCATGGCAGAAGGTGAAGGGGAAGCAAGGCACCTTCTTCACAAGGCGGCAGGAGGGAGAATGAATGCAAGAGGAATTACCAAACACTTATAAAACCATCAGATCTCATGAGAATTCACTCACTATCATGAGAACAGCATGAGGGAAACCATCACCCCCCATGCAATTACCTCTACATGTTCTCTCCTTTCATATGTGGGGATTATGGAGATTTGGGGGATTACAATTCAAGATGAGATTTTGTGTGGGGACACAGCAAAACCATATCAAGAAGTAAGTCCTTCATTACCAAATGAAGGGTGGAACATCACAGCATCCACTACAGTCCTCCCCCTTGTGCACTCAAATCTTGGATTCAAGTCTTTGTATAATTTCAGAGTGCAATTTCTCTAGAATTCTGGAAGGCTTTCTTTCCGGGGGAAAAACTTGGAAAATGAAGGCACCACCTAGAAGAAAACAATACTCCCTGCTGTGTTTGGTCTCAGACCCCAACCAACACACATAATCTCTCTCTCTTTTTCTATCCATTCTAGATTTCCTTCACCCATGGATAGCATCTTTGCTGGTCATAGTGGCTTATCTGATGGCATGACCCAAATCCTCATCCCTGGGAAGTCTGAGCTGTCATCACTATGCTATACTCACCTGTGGCCATTGCACTAGTTTATTTACCACCAAAATTGGGCAAGGGAGTTCTATGATGCTCCCAGGTGGGTCATCTGGGTAGCAAACCTAGTACTACTCCCTGCCTACACTGTGTAGCAGCAGTCCTACACCATTCTGGGGATCAAGATCAATTACTTATGCCAAGATAGTGACTCAACTTCTTGCTTCAGAGAGCTTGACCTACTAATATTACAGCCTTAACTTGTAGTTCAGTGGACATCTGCCTCTGGCTTTATCTTTTGGTAGAGCATTGCCCCTTTGGAATCATAGAGTCTCCATGCCCAGAGTGGTGGAGACAGGCAGCCAAATTCCCCAAGAAGGTCATTAAGACTCAGTGATGGAAAAGGGAGCTACTCGGACTTCCAAACTTTTGATTGCTGGACTTAGGTGTTCTACTCTACTGAGTACACAATGCCATATAAAGTGTGTTGATTTAGAGTCTATAAAGTATTCTGGAAGATCCTTTCTGACTCAGTGGTACCTTCAATCATTCCAAGGCTCTGTCAGGCCAGCAATTTCTTAACAGTGCCATATGTGAAATGACCAGTAGATCCCATGATCCTGTGTCTACTTCCTTACCTCCTTTACTGTGAAATGGGCCCCTTGATCCCACACAATGCAGTGTGAGTATTCTAAGACAGAAGATTCATGTTGGAGCTGGGATGCCTAGGAAGGCCTCTGCAAAAGTGGAGACAGCTTTTTCCCTAAGACACAGCATTGCAGCCAACTTCATATTTTAATATTTCAGGACCATCGCCTCCTGTCTTCAATTTTTCCTCTTATCTGCTCTTTCCATACTTTAATACCCTTGTGGTATCCCCTAGGGCATAAAGAATGGACCATTAAGGACAAACTAAAAAACAAATTCAAGGATGAATTTGATATAGTCTCCCTGCCTTGCACTTTAGGTTCTCACCCCCAACCCCAGGTATGTAGTAGTCTACATCTCATACATTTGCAGAGCCCTCTACTGCTTTTAGAACATGTATTCAGCAACACATTTGTAATGCCAAGGCTTTCTTACACCTATATGAAATATTCAACTCTCTTTCAAGCTCGTTTGTACATGAAAACTTGCTCCAGGTAGAATTAAGGGATCCTTCCCTTGGCCTTTGGGGCAGCATAGCCCCCTGGTTGTCCTCCTCCCTTTCTGTCCACTCCCTCTTAGTCTCCTTACCCAGCTCCTACTCCTGTCTTCTGCCTTTAGAGGATGGAGTACCTGAGACTCATTCCTAGGCCCTTCTTGTTTCACTCCATGCTCTTTGCGTAAGCCATCTCATCTACACCCAAACACTGACAATACCCAAATGACTCACAAATGTACGTCCTCAGCCCAGACCTCCACCAAGAACTGTGTAGCCAACAGTCCACTCAAAATCTCCACTTGAATGTCTCAAAGGTGCCAAACATGTGTCTTCCAGAGACCTCCATCTCACTGAAAGGCACTGATCTGCAGTGAGCAGGTCCACACAAACCTACCCCCAAAGGCTGAGGAAGCTGAGGGACCAAAGAAAGAAGCTGACAGATCCAGTTTCTCAGAAACATTTAATGGGTACTTATGAACAGAAGCCCATCTTGGCCAGCCATGAGATGAGATGGTAGATCCCTGCACTGTTATCCCAGACCAGGGTTTATATACCACACGGAATTTGCCTAAGGGCAGAATTTATGGAGAGTATCTGCTTATCATAATATCAAGGTTGTTTTGACCTAAGAGCAGGATTTACAGTAAGCATGTGAAAGTAGAAATCTTAGAGGCATTCCCAGAACTGGGATTAATCAGAAATCAGCATGGTGGATTAGCATCCAAGATGAAGTTGCCTTAGCCTCCACAGGCGCCATTTGTACTATTCCCTCCCTAATGCCTCGTATTCTATCACCAGACCTGCCCACTCTCCCTCTTGCACATAAATCCACCCACTTCACTCCATTCCCATTGTCCTTACCCTGGTCAGGCCCCATCCTCTCTCACCTGGGTAGCTACGCCTTTTGGCTTCCCCTCTGTTCATGCCAACCTGCTCTTCACATACACACTGGTCTCTTCATAAATGTTCATTATGAACATGTCATCCCCAGCTCAAAACCACATCATGTTCCTGTTTCTCTCAGAGTAAATACTCACAAAACTCTGCAGGACCCAGTGCTACCAGCGTATCCAGCTTCATCGTGAACCTCTCTCTCTTGTTCTCCATGCTCCCTACACAAAGCCACTTTAGTTTACCAAATGTGCCATGATCCTTCCTGCTTCAGGCGTTTATGTAGGTTAATCCCCTTTCTAAAGCACCTTTCCTGACCCCTGCATCCTCCTACTGTAAGGTCTCATTGCACCCTAAAGCTTTTCACTCATAGCTGTCATCAGAGTATCATCATCTACGTGTATGATTGCTTTGTTAATGTCTGACTCCACAAGCAGACTAATTGTTGCCCTGTAAGGGACTATGGATGTTTTGCTCATTCCTATCACTGACCCAGTAGCCAGCACATGGTAACCCTCAATAAAGCATTGCCCTTCCCATGAGCTAAGCATCATTCTAAGTGTTATTCATGTATTAGCTCATTTAATCCTAGAACAACCCTAGGAATTAGTACTATTATTTTCTCCATGTTATTAATAAAGGAAGTGAGGCCAGAGAAATTAAGTAATTTGTCCAACATCACAAGAGAATAAGATTCATACATAGCCTGGATTCAAACCCACCTGCCTGATTGGAGTTGGTGCTGTTGGTCACTCCTTATGCTGCCTCTTCACTTAACAGAGAAACAGTCTCCAGTTCCATGGAGCTAGAGTTAGGATCAAGAGCCCCAGTAGTACTCTTCCTGCCAGACTTGGTTCCTGCAGCTTTGCCTGTAGCAACTCTATCAAATGTTTGTAATCTACTCATCTACGGCCTGGCCTCAACTCTGCCTTCATATCAAAGTCACTGGGGGCATTTCTTAAATTTTCAGACTTCTGGGTTACAAGAGGGCCTACTCTGGGCTTGCATGCACACAAGGTTTCTATACTTCTTGGGGATGAAGTCATGGGAGAAGACAGGCCCTCCTGTGCAGGCTGTACAGCTGCTCCAGGCCAGAGAATAGGAGGTCCTTACAGAGAGGATTCAATTTCATCCGAAGAGGATTCTCAGTGTTTATCTGCTAGGAAAGACATGGTCATAAATAGCCCAAATCCCTGCTTTTCTAATTCAAACCACTTCCCCTGGGTCTAATCTCTAAGAGGAACAGCTGGCCACCACACTGTCATAATGATCCTTCATAAACATTTATGGGACAGAGGTAAGGTGTGCCTAATTGACTTGGGCCATCTTGGTGTCTGGGCAATTGTATTGACAGGAATTTGATTTGTAGTTTCCTGTGCAGACTTGAAGCTCTGCAAAACAGTGCTGCCTTCTGCACTAGCGTCTGCAAAGTGTACCCCACCCACCAAAGAAGGTCGCATGCCAGGGAGCCTCCAAGCCTGCTCTGGTTTCTGGTGGAAAAGAGTGACTGAGCCACGGGCACACACCACCAGCTGGCCTCATTCATAAGGCCTGCACCTCCTTCTTTAGTAGTTGTTCAGCAAGGAGCCTACATTGGGTTGGCTTTCCAACAAGCTCACAAGTGGGACCCACAGTGTAACACAGAGCCAGGGTTGACTTGAGGTCAGAAGACCTATTCTTATTCCCACTCCATGATATTATACAAACGAGTGCCCCTGGGTGAGTCACATCACCCCTCTGAAGCCTCAGTTTCCTCATCTGCAAAATGGGAGGCTGATCTCTCATGACGCTACCTCACTGATTTGATAAGAAACAAAAGGGTGAGAAAATGCCACCCAAATATAAACCTACGTCATAACCACGGATGATACTGTTAGAGTGGTCGCTTAAGTTTGCAGGCTCTGAAGTGGGCTGCATGACAGGGGCAGCACAGGAACAGCCACATAGTAAAACTTCTAGTTACACTTATTTTTATTTCCTGAGCATACATTTCTTAGGGATATATATATATATATATATTTTTTTTTTGAAATGGAGTCTGGCTCTGTTGCCCAGACTGGAGTGCAGTGGTGTGATCTTGGCTCACTGCAACCTCTGCCTCCCAGGTCCAAGCAATCCTCCTGCCCCAGCCTCCCAAGTAGCTGCCTCAGCCTCCTAAGTAGCTGGGATTACAAGCATGCACCAGCATGCCCAGCCAATTTTTTAATTTTTAGTAGCGACGAGGTTTCACCACATTGGTCAGGCTGGTCTTGAATTCCTGACCTCAAGTGATCCACCTGCCTCTGCCTCCCAAAGTGCTGGGATTACAGGAGTGAGTCACCGTGCCTGGCCTCATAGGGGTATATTTTATAATGTGCATATCATATTTGTTCATACATGATTGAACACACTACCTGCTGTTGCTGATCACTTTACACAAATTAGGTCATTTAAGGCCTAGAGGTAGGTACCTATTAAACTGACCCCTTTTATAGGTGAAAAAATGAAGGTGCCTCAGAGAGCCTGAGCCAACAGACCAAGGTTATGCAGCTACTAGGTGGAGAGTCCAAATTGGAACCCAGGCTGTCTGGGTCAAAACCCCATCCTCTTCTCCACTACTTCATATTTCCTGGCACAGAAGTACATCTGTAATTTATAAATAAATCAAACTTTGCATATGTTTTATATTGTACATTAAATATAGCAAGAATCATGAATAGCTAACATATTTTGAAGAGTGTGCCCAAAATAGTATTCTGATAGGGCTACATAATCAAAAAAGTTGGGACCACTTGCTTGAAAGTTTAAAGAAGGAGGAACATGAGGCTTATTGTACCCACAGCAGGGATGAGACTGGAGTGGGGCAGATGGGGTGCACAGGGCACAAAATGTAATAACTCTCACTAAAATTTTTACCTCACTCTCTACGTCATGCAAGGCTGGCCCTGCCCCTTCAGCACTGGCAGAGAGTAAGGGGAGGTGAGGACACCACAGGGAGAGAAAGGAAAAGTCTCTGTTATTTATTGCTCCCAAACCCTTTAGTTCCTTGCCCCCCGCGAAGCCCTACTGGGACTAGCCCACCTCTGAAGAGCTCCAAAGGGTGACAGAGCATAAGTCTGGAGTGTGGGCAGTGGGTAGGGGGGCAGCAGGATGACAAAAGGAAGATTCTCTGCCAGCTAGCTGGAGTGGACACAATGGAAGCTGAGTTTCAGTCGTGGCTCTGTGAACTTGAGCCTCAGTGTGCTCTGGTAGAAAATGGAAATTTAAAAATCCCTTTCTGGCCAGGCGCAGTGGCCTGTAATCCCAGCACTTTGGGAGGCCAAGGTGGGTGGCTCACTTGAGGTCAGGAGTTCAAGACCAGCCTGGCCAACATAGCAAAATCCCATCTCTACTAAAAAGAAGAAAAAAAAATTAGCCTGATGTGGTAGTGCATGCCTGTAATTCCAGCTACTTGGGAGGTTGAGGCACGAGAATCGCTTGAACCCGGGAGGCAGAGGTTGCAGTGAGCCAAGATCACACCACTGCACTCCAGCCTAGGAGATGAAGTGAAACTGTCTCAAAAATAAAAAATAAAAATCCCTTTCTGAGTCAAAAAAATAACAGATACTGGCAAGGTCACAGAGAAAAGAAAGCTCACACACTGCTGGTAGCAATGTAAATTAGTTCCGCTGCTGTGGAAAGCAGTCTGGAGAGTTCTCAAAGAACTTACAACAGAACTACCATTTGACCCAGCTGTCCCATTACGAGGTGTGTACCCAAAGCAATACAAGTCATTCTACCATAAAGGCACACACATATGTTCATCGCAGCACTATGCACAATAGCGAAGACATAGAATCAACCTAAGTGCCCCTCAACGGTGGACTAGATAAAGAAAATGTGGTACATATACACCATGGAATACTACGCAGCTATAAAAAATGACATCATGCCTTTTGCAGGAACATGGATGGAGCTGGAGGCCATTGTCCTAAGCAAATTAATGTAGGAACAGAAAACCAAATACTGCATGTCCTTACTTTTAAGTGGGAGCTAAACATTGAGTACACATGGACACAAGGAAGGGAACAATAGGCACTGGGCCTTATTTGAGGGTGGAGGTTGGGGAGAGGATGAAGATTGAAAAACTACCTCTTAGGTATTACGCTGATTACCTGGGTGACAAAGTAATCTGTACACCAAGCCTCTGAGACACACAATTTACCCATGTAACAAACCTGCACATGTACCCCTTGAGCCTAAAATAAAACTTGGAAAGAAAAACCAAATACACAAAATAAACAATAAAAATATCTTTCTGTCTCCCTTGCAGATTATGTGAGTGTGTGAGAGGGTGATGCACCACCTTCAAAATTCTGCATGAACATGAGTTAACTAAGTACTGCATGGAAAACGGCACTGCCTCGCATTCTATTGCCTTTCCACTGCGTTAATCTAGAAATAATTCTGGACTCTCCTCACCTACCACCCCTGTCCCCTTCCTGCCTTCCCAACCTGATAACTGGAGCTGGAGGTGTGGGTGAGTATCTCATCCATGGTGACCTAAAGAACTGAGGTGGATAGATTCCTCCCACTCTCACCCCAAACCAGCAATTCAGAAACCCTTTGGTTCTTACTGCTGCTGCCTAAAGAGAATCACCATGGGCGTCGGAGGAGGCACCAGGGTTGGGGAAAAGAGGACCGGCCAGGCAGAGAGCTCATCTGCCATCTCAAGCCTGACTTCTACAGAGGAATTCCCAAAGGAGAATGTCCCCTGCCCTAGGCCGGTGGATATGGGGAACGTAAGTACTGCATTTAGTGAAATCAATTCACACACAGAAAGTAAAAACAATATGTGTATGGCTGAGGGAGGCTGCCCCTATTTAGGGAATGAGAAGAGCATCCAAGTTCGCACAGATGGTGGGTGGGGCACACTTTCGGTTTTTCCAGAAACAGGCTTGGAGGAGAAAGGAGCTCAGTAGCCACACACCCGCAAACCAGCTCCCAGCTCTATCCCAGCACCTGAAGACAGGAAGGTCTGAAAGCCTGCTGTCAGCAAGCATGCCTGACCTGTTGCTGAGTGTCACAATGGCCCAAGAGTTGCTCTGCACCAAGAGTTAAAAGATGGAGGCAGCAGAGGATGGCTTTCTGAACTCCCAGTGCCAAACCTATCTTTCCCCACTACCATCATTGCCCCCAGCCCTTCAATTGCTGGTGAAAGGCCAATCGGCCAGAAACTCAGACCCAAGGAAATTTTGTGTGTGTGTGTGTGTGTGTGTGTGTGTGTGTGTGTCTGTGTATGTGTATGTGTTATTTGGGGGAGGGGAGTGACACTCTCTCTGGGTTTCCTCCATTCACAGCAGAAGGCCCATTGACATCTAAAATTTCCAAATTTTGCAAAGTCGAAGAGGAATTTACCGAATATTTCCCTCACAGATCTCTCCTTTAACAGAGGAGAAACAGGCCCAGAGGAAAGATATGCTTTCAGTGACACAGGAGTAGCCGCAGAGCCAGGCTGCCTCCCCCACCCCACCCCCAATCCTCACGCACATCTGCTGCTCTTCCCATCAAGTTTTGTCACCGAGGCTCGCATCTGGAAACGTGCATGCAACCTGCTAAGGAGACAAGCAGGCTGGAGAAGCTGCCAAGCAGAATCCTCCCGGTGTACCCGCCCGCCCCTAGTGCGCCTCAGGTGGACGCCAACTCCTGGGAATCCCAGGAGGACGGGAGAGTCTTCACCATCCGAGAGTTCAAGAGCCCAGGGGTCAGGCGATGCCCAGCGAGCACCCCCAGACTTTCCAACCCTCTCCGCTCCGTCCAGCGGCCCCTGTCCCAGCCGCCTTTTGGCAAGCCGCGCTCTTCCTCCGCTGCCCTGCGCTCTCCTGGCTGCCAGCACTGTGAGGTGGCGCAACGCGCCAAAGGGCAAGAGCTCCAAACTGGAGCCGCCTGGAGGTGGCCTCCCCTCCCCCGCCGGGTTCCGTTGTTTATTTCTTCCTGGGGAGGGAAAATCACACAGCCTATTCGTTTCCCCAGCCGGGATGGGCGCAGAGCCGGACATATGGGCATCTCGCGCTCCGCATCTGTGTCATCAGTCGCGTTTTCTGTGGATGCCTGCGTGTTTGTACGTGTGTGTGTATTTGGGGCCAAGCGCTGGGAACAAATGTGCATGTGTTAAATTTGACAATAAAGTCCTACAGCGAAGCTGCTAAGATTGGGGCGGTAGGTGGGGGTGGAAGACGGGGGGTGGGGGGTGGAGGAGAGCTAAACTCTCAAAAGGCGAGGCCAAAGCGCCTGGCCCAGGTATTATGTTGGGAGAAGGTGAGGAGAGCAGCTGCTCCTTCTCGCGGGGTGTGTATGGGAGCGAGGGTGCATGTGTCCCTGTGAAGAGTACACAACGATCTGCTCAACATATGTCGCCACAAATCACAGTGTCTCTCCCTCCTCCCACCCCCCGCTCCCTGCGCGGCTCCTGACCGAGCGCAGAGCAGAGAGGGGCGCTGAGAAGAGGAGCCGCTTCAACAGGTGTCTTGGTGCGCAATGCACCTTTTCACGCATTGACGGTCTCAGCCGCCGGCGAGGATAATGTGGACACTTTGTTTCCAGGCGCCGCGCGCGAGCTGCGGACGCCTAGGGGAGGCGGCCCTGAGCAGGGAGGGGGGATCTGGAAATAAAGACCTCCGGCTCTCCTGAGCGCCCGGGCCCTCTCTTCCCTTTGTTCGAAGACTCCCTGGGCCGGAGCTCCCGTGTGCGCCCTGGGGGGTGGCATATGGCGCCCTGTCACCTACCCAAGAAAAAGAACCGGCCACCCTTTCAAGAGCGCACGAGGTCCCTGAGCCTGGGGAGGGGGAGTCTCTGAGGGAACGGCTTCTCTCCGAAAGTGGGTGAGGAGCCCGTCTTATCTCTCCCTACCCTGCCTCCACCATCCCCTCAGCTGGCGCAGCAGCCGTTGGGTGGGGAGCTGCGCGCTGGGCAGCACCAGCCTGCGGAAGCGCTCCAGCTCCTGGCAGATGAAATATGGGTCTGGTGAGCCCCTGGAGACCATATGCTTTCAATAAAAGAAGACAAATAGGACCGAGATAGGCCTTGCAGCCAACCTGTTATAAATGAGTGGCAATTGGGCCAATGTACACGGGGGCAGGGCCCCCGCGGGGAGGCCTGCTTGGTGCCAAATCCATGTGTCAGCTTCTGGGACAGGTGTGTCCAGGGGCCAGGGGCCAGGTCTCCCCCCTCCGGGTTTATCACGGCAAAGGTAATATTGTGCTAACTATGAGTAAACAGTCATTGTGAAAATGAGGGAGAGTTTATCAGGGCGAACTAGTTGGGGGGTGGCTTAACAATAAAGTTGTTCGCCTTAGGAGCAGGTGACGGCTGGCTGCACGGACTCCCGCGGTAGATGTTTTCCAAAGCACTCCACTTTACAATCTCTTGTAATTATTTATTAAACGAAATCTATTTATTATTATTTTAGCAAACACTGGAGACAGGTGGGGCTTTCTTTTCGTCGTCTCCTTTTGTTTGAAGGGCTGTTTGAAGTGGCCAGTCTCGGCCCGGGCAGCTCGCTCGCCAGATTTTTGTCTTCCCCTCTTTCACTGCTGAGCTGAAGGCGAGAGAAAGAATCCCCCTCCTCTGGCAAGCCATTAGCTATTCAGCTTCCCATGGCCCCCCTCCCTCCCTGCACAATTCTCAAAGAGCCCCCAGGCAATGCTAAAACTACCCCCGCCGACAAGAAGGCAGGAAGGCGGGCCGCTGCCTTCCTTCTTTTCCAATGTGCCCGCGGTCTCCAGGCGTCTGGCTACCGCCTCTCTCCGGGACCCCTCAGCCTCCAGGCAAACTTAGGTCTCAGGAGGTGTAGGGGTGCGGGAGTCCTGGAGGTCTTAGGGGCGGTGGATGACCAGGAGCTGCAGGAACAGACTCTGCTGTCTGCGGGAAGAGCCATTTCACAAACACTGCCGGTGCGCACGGAGTCATTACCGCCTGCGCCTCCGCAGCCAAAGGCACAGGAATTAACTTTGGAGAGGGGTCTATGTGTCCCCTGCAGCTGAGACAGAGGGCATGGATCCTCAATCTCTAATCGCCTAAGACTCCTTGACCTCCGGCCCTGGCCTCCTGGCTGGAAGAGGACTGCGGGAAATCCTTGCATCCCTCAAGAAGGCGGCTGCCCCCAGCCACCGCGCGCTCCTCGCCCTGGCTGCTTTTTGCGCAAAGCAGGAGTGATGGAGAACTGCAAGCCCTGGAGGGCCCTGAGCCGGAGGGGTTTGGGGGAGGCTGGATAAGAATTCCAAGCAGGTCCCAGAATTCTCTACCTATCAAGAAAGCTTGAAAGAATCCCCAGAGTCTTTCCTGGCATGGGAAGCTCACCCTGCGAACCTTGTCAGTATCCATTAGCCGCTCCAGGCAGGCCCCAGCCAGAGTGAGACCTACCCCTATCTGAGGTCCACTCACCCCCATCTGAGGTCCACCGCCAGATGAGAGTCATCCACAGGCTTCTGGGAAACCAGAGCGGTGCTTGGATCCCTCGTGGCCAGGGTTCCCTCCAAGGTGCTTAGCCAGGTCAGGAGGCCCTAGAGAAGCATGGTTTGGATTTTCTTTCCCAGACCAAAAAAGCTCCAAGTTGGTTCTCTCCCAGTTTCTAACTTGCAGTTAAATAAATCAGGCAAGGCTGGCCTATGAGGCAGACAAGTGTGAAGAAGGAGAAGGAGGAGGAGAAGGAGAAGGAGAAAGAAGAAGAAGGAGGAGAAGAAGAAGAAGAAGAAGAAGAGGAGGAGGAGGAGGAGGAGGAGGAGGAGGAGGAAGCAGCAGCAGCAGCAGCAGCTTGAATGGACAGTGGTTCCCCTTGCCTAGAAAATGGGACCATTATTTCTTTTCTAATCTGACCCCCAGACTCAGGACTTCCTCTATTTTCTGCATTTTGGGGTCTCTTGTTTTGCCTTGAAAAAAAATGTTTTCTCCCAAATCAAGGAGCAGTAGCTGGTGCAAGGGAAAATCTAGGGCTAGGAGTCTTAAGATATGACTTCTATGTGGTTCTGATAGAACTTGCTGTGTGACCTTGAGAGAGTCACTCCCCCTCTCTGGGCCTTGATTTTTTCATCTTTAAAGAAGGCCTCAAATTCCCATTCTTATGAGAAGAAGACAAGCTCCTAGTGAGTGGTGACCTAAGGGAGCAGCTGCAGCAAAATGCTAACCTGACAGTCCCAGATGGTCCCTTTATTGGTTCTGACCCTGGTCTCAGGCTTCATTTCCCCACAGCAAGGGAAGGAGCCTGCTCACAGAGCACCAGCTAAGATCAGCAGGACCGCGCCACACCCCCGCCCAGTCCTAGAGCCCCCCTCTCGCTGGTTCCTGAGCATACCACCCTCTTCCTTGGAGGAAAATTTGCCCCCAAGCAGCCTAGGCGGTAAGAGGCTATCACTAGGGCAGACTCACAGACCTACCTCATCCCCTCACCCCACCCTACAGTCTCGAAGTCGGGTCCTGTCCCCTCCTGCAGTTTCCGGGAGACTCAGGATATCTGGACCTGCTAGAAAGAGAAGCCTTCCTCGCCTAAGGAGACTTAAACCGGGATACTTAAACCTCCCGCCTCGGCGTCTTCCTCCAGGCACGACCGGGTCAAGAGAGAGAAGCGGAAGCTGCAACCCCTCACTCTGAGTGACCGGAAGCAGAAGACCACGGGATGTCCCAGGCGGGGACAAGAGGAGGGGCTGGGGAAGAAAGGAGGGATGATGAGTTCAGAGTCCCTTTGGAAAGGTTTCCAGAGAGCGCTACCAGGGACAACCCAAGGGGCTGGGGAAGTCCCTGCCTTGTGCTCTCTGTGCGATGCCCGAGTGATGCAGAGGCAGGGGGCTGGAGCAGGTGACTGCTGGCAGCTGCTGTCTGTCTGTGATTGGACCGGAGGACTAAGGGGAGAAAAAGTTTATCAGCTTCTCCCAGTGCCTGCACGCTGTGGTAGTTCAAAAGACACGAGGGGGAGGGGCACAGCAGCTCTGCTTCCCAGCGCCTTGGGAGACTGAAGTGAAAGGAACGCTTGAGCCCAGGAGTTCGAGACCATCCTGGGCAACAAAGCAAGACCGCCCCTCACCCCATACAAAATAAAAATACAAATAAATTAGCCGGGCACAGTGGCGCATGCCTGTAGTCTCAGCTACTGGGAAGGCTGAAGTGGGAGGATAGCTTGAGCCCAGGAGATCAAGGCTGCAGTGAGCTGTGATTGCACCACTGCAGTCCAGCCTGGGCGACAGAAGGAGACCGTTTTTTGGTTTTGTTTGTTCGTTTAAAAAAAAAAAGAAGCAAGAGCTCACTGTGAACTCCTGGTTCCTTCCTCCCCTCCTCACACTTCCCAGAACTCTTCCTGTCACGGTTCCTGGCCAGAACGCTGGGATACTATCTACAAGCTGTAGTAGGCTTGTAGTAATGGAATGTCCGCTTGAGGGGTCCCCGCACAGCCAACCCCTGCCTCTGGAGTGGGATCTATGGGGGTGGGGTTCTAAGCGCCTCTGGGGAGTGTGAGGTAGCATCTCAGGGTGTGGCAGAGGCTCGGACACCCCCAAAAGGTCTGCGAATGGAAGGGACATAGGCAGGATCTCTCTCAGTGATGTCCCCTGTCTTCCAGGATGAAGAGAGGCAGTGAAACACCAGGAGAGCAGGGCGTCCTTTAGAATTCCTGGACCCTTCTCCAGGCTGCTAGTCAGGACAATGAGCTCGTGGTTGTCTTTGCCACTATCTTCCTGTGCGATTTCAGACAAGCCACCTCCCTCACTAAGCCTAAATTTCCCCATGTGTAACGTGCAGGCATTGTACCCTAGAGGCATCAAAGTCCCCTCCAGGACAGATGCTAAGGAAAGATAGGCTAGGAGCAAAGCCGTCTGAGGTGGCCTGACCAGAGCCACACGAGGCTCTTCTCACTGGGCGAGGCTCTTTGAGGAACCGAGAGTTGCTGGGACCCAGCCCGCCCTCGAGAGAGCAAACAGAGCGGCGCTCCCCTCCCCCGACCCCGGCCCTTTGTCCGGAATCCAGCTGTGCCCTGCGGGGGAGGAGCGGGCTCGCGTGGCGCGGCCCCAGGGCCCCGGCGCTGATTGGCCGGTGGCGCGGGCAGCAGCCGGGCAGGCACGCTCCTGGCCCGGGCGAAGCAGATAAAGCGTGCCAAGGGGCACACGACTTGCTGCTCAGGAAATCCCTGCGGTCTCACCGCCGCGCCTCGAGAGAGAGCGTGACAGAGGCCTCGGACCCCATTCTCTCTTCTTTTCTCCTTTGGGGCTGGGGCAACTCCCAGGCGGGGGCGCCTGCAGCTCAGCTGAACTTGGCGACCAGAAGCCCGCTGAGCTCCCCACGGCCCTCGCTGCTCATCGCTCTCTATTCTTTTGCGCCGGTAGAAAGGTAATATTTGGAGGCCTCCGAGGGACGGGCAGGGGAAAGAGGGATCCTCTGACCCAGCGGGGGCTGGGAGGATGGCTGTTTTTGTTTTTTCCCACCTAGCCTCGGAATCGCGGACTGCGCCCAGTGACGGACTCAAACTTACCCTTCCCTCTGACCCCGCCGTAGGATGACGCCTCAACCCTCGGGTGCGCCCACTGTCCAAGTGACCCGTGAGACGGAGCGGTCCTTCCCCAGAGCCTCGGAAGACGAAGTGACCTGCCCCACGTCCGCCCCGCCCAGCCCCACTCGCACACGGGGGAACTGCGCAGAGGCGGAAGAGGGAGGCTGCCGAGGGGCCCCGAGGAAGCTCCGGGCACGGCGCGGGGGACGCAGCCGGCCTAAGAGCGAGTTGGCACTGAGCAAGCAGCGACGGAGTCGGCGAAAGAAGGCCAACGACCGCGAGCGCAATCGAATGCACAACCTCAACTCGGCACTGGACGCCCTGCGCGGTGTCCTGCCCACCTTCCCAGACGACGCGAAGCTCACCAAGATCGAGACGCTGCGCTTCGCCCACAACTACATCTGGGCGCTGACTCAAACGCTGCGCATAGCGGACCACAGCTTGTACGCGCTGGAGCCGCCGGCGCCGCACTGCGGGGAGCTGGGCAGCCCAGGCGGTTCCCCCGGGGACTGGGGGTCCCTCTACTCCCCAGTCTCCCAGGCTGGCAGCCTGAGTCCCGCCGCGTCGCTGGAGGAGCGACCCGGGCTGCTGGGGGCCACCTTTTCCGCCTGCTTGAGCCCAGGCAGTCTGGCTTTCTCAGATTTTCTGTGAAAGGACCTGTCTGTCGCTGGGCTGTGGGTGCTAAGGGTAAGGGAGAGGGAGGGAGCCGGGAGCCGTAGAGGGTGGCCGACGGCGGCGGCCCTCAAAAGCACTTGTTCCTTCTGCTTCTCCCTGGCTGACCCCTGGCCGGCCCAGGCCTCCACGGGGGCGGCAGGCTGGGTTCATTCCCCGGCCCTCCGAGCCGCGCCAACGCACGCAACCCTTGCTGCTGCCCGCGCGAAGTGGGCATTGCAAAGTGCGCTCATTTTAGGCCTCCTCTCTGCCACCACCCCATAATCTCATTCAAAGAATACTAGAATGGTAGCACTACCCGGCCGGAGCCGCCCACCGTCTTGGGTCGCCCTACCCTCACTCAAGTCTGTCTGCCTCTCAGTCTCTTACCACCCCTCCTCCAATGTGATTCAATCCAATGTTTGGTCTCTCAGCGCTTACTCCCCTTGCCTTGCTCCAAAGACGCTGCCGATCTGCTCTACTCCCAATCAGGTCCGGGATTTCAGGGCGCCTCACTCTGCCTTAAAGCCACGAAGGCGACCCTCTGCCTTCTCCTCGTGCACTTTTCGGAGCCATTGCCCTCCCGGGGCGGAAGACCAGGCTGTGAACTGGGAAAGCGCTAGCCCGGCCAGGGAGCATCTCCCCAGCCTCCCTGCGAACTGCGCCTGAAACGTGAGCTGCGCTGCAGGTGCCTGGAGCACCGCGCATCTTTTTTTTTTAAATCTGTTTGTAAATTATATGATGCCTTTTGAAATCAATTTTGGTACAGTAAATTATATGGCCCCTCCCCTGTTTTACACATTTGTATTTATTAATGAGATTTCACAGCAGGGAAAAGCCTATATTTTGTATATTAGATTATTTAGGGATTGCTGGATGAGATTTTAAGCCAATAAAAAAAAATGGACCTTCAAGAAGCCTTGGCAAGATGACTCCATTGTGTGTTGGGGAGAGGAGGGCCACAGTCACTACAGCTGAGGAAGAGCACTTCTGTCCAAAGAGAGGGATGACACTCTTTCTGGAGGTCTGGGCTAGAGCCAGGGCAGATTGGGTTTGGAGAGCTGGAAGTCTTCTAAGTAATTATTGGTCCAGCTCCCTTTTTTCTATATAGGGCAATGACTCCTCTTATTTCAAAGAGTGGTTTAGAAGAAAGACAAGCCTCCAACTAGGACAACTGACTCTCACTTGCTGGCCCTTTCCCCAACTCCACCAGCCTAGCTTTAGAGCAACTGTTGGTTGCACTTGGGGAAGGGATACAGTAATAATTCAATTGCAGAGTCAGAGTCCTCGGAAACACGGCTGGGCTGGGCATCCTAGGAATTTTCCCAAGGTGCTTAGAGGCCTAGCAAATCCCCTGAGCATATTTTACTCCCCAGGCACTGAGGTGGCTGTGTCGTGAACTCCTTGAACTGAGCAGCCAGGAGCAAAGAAGGTGGAGCGTCTGGCTGGAATATCCAGCAACGCCCCCTCCCTCATCACCTGGCAGCCTTGATTGAAAACTTATTAAGAAACTGTTCAAGGTTTCCAGCCACACCATGTCTCTTACTGGCAAGGTGGAATAGGACTGGTGCAGCATGAGCACTGAAATCTGTCCCAGGAGTGCCAGTAGAGCACCACTACATGACTTCAGGGACCCCTAGGACCTCAGAGAATATGGTCTAAGCTGTAAGGATCCAGAGTTCGCCTGCTGCTTGGGAATAGGAAAGTGAAGGACGGGCACCCTACCTGCTAGTTGAACTACAGAGGCCTCCTTGAATTGGCCAGGGGTGTCCTGGGAAGAAGTGGGCCAACCCAGGTCAGGCGCGGTGCTGCCAGGCCCCAGGAACTGGTGGAGAGGTTGCTTTTCCAGCACATTAGAGTGCAAAGGTGGTGTCTTCTCAGGGGTTAATGCCTCTTGCATCTCTCTTTCTCTCCTATGCCCTACCCAATTCAAATGGAAATTTTCCTCTTCTCTACCACAAATCTCTAAAGTTAGCTCAGAGGAGACTTGTCTCAGTTATCAGCGGCAGGATTTGAGGGCGGGAAGAGGGACATGGCAAACAAACGAATGAACGAAGGTGTTGTTTCATTCTGTGGCTTTAATCTGGGAGGAGGAGATTAATGGGTTATTGATGACCTCTGCAATAGCCAACTTTCCACCTGGGTCACTGCCCGGGGACAGGTGTCAGCAGCTTGGGAGTTGCACAAACCAAGCAAACACCTGTGATTTGCTGGGCGTTAGGGGTAGGGGGTAGGCAGACACAAAAATCGAGAAGGTCTCTCTATTCTGGCAGGACAGTAGCAAGGATATAGACAAAATCACTTAAGGCCTAAGAAATATTGGTGGTTGAGGGAGATATGAGCCACAGGATGGAACATCAAACTGCCACCTTGGGGCTGGAGTGCCGGGAGCTTGCAGGAGAAGGTGGCATTTGGGCCAGGACTAAAGATTTGGAGAGGAATTCCTCAAGTGGAAAGATTCTTCTTTCTGGGTAAGGCTGTGCGAAGTACTGTTCATCATCTAGGCAGGGGACTCTCTGGGTACAAACTACCCCCAGAAGCTGGAGGGGCGTTTGTTGGGCTAACGTTCTCCAGGCGGCAACCGGGTGAGCTGCGTTCTCCCCCACAGCCCAGTCCCTCTCCTGCTTTTGAGGGCGCTCATTAAGGAGCCATTAGTCACCCAACACACACAGACTGGTCCTCCGCCCCACAAATTAAAACACACACGTACGGGTTAACCAACTCGGCTGCTAGGCCGCCACCTTGGGTTGGGGCGGATTAGACCCCCGGAGCAGTCAGCCCCACTCTCCAAGTCAGGAGAAGGCGGAGGAGGGTTTAGGGTTTCTTTGAATCACGGAGGCAAAGTTTAGGGTTCCGTGCTGGATGAGCTCCGTCTAAGTGTGTGGAATCACGCTGGAGTGGGAAACCTCGTCCATGCCTCTTTCCAAAGAACCCCTGAGCAAGAAGGGCTCGGAAACATTTCTAGGGGTGGCCTGTCCAACTAGCTCTGCACCACCGTCCCCGCCTTCCACTTCTTGCGGCGTTTTGAGTCCTGGGGCTTTTTAAACCGCGCTGCTAGCGGTCTCTGCCCGGAGCCCGCCTCTTCTGCGGAGCCTGCTGCGCTTTGAGATCGCCGCCTGCGCCCAAGCTCCCTGAAACTCCAACAGTGTCCGAAACCCGGGCAGGAAAGACCCTCTCGTCGAATGGCTCTCCCCCCTTCTTCTGCTTTTGTCTGAGCCCAAGACTGGCTTCCAGAAAAACCGCACATGAATCTTGCTCCTCCTTCCAGTCAAGCCGCGCTGGCACACAAGCAGGTAGATTTATGGTGCCCTGCCCCCATCCCACCCCACCCCCAGCCGGCCTCAGTCGGAGGACAAAAGCGTCCCGGGGCCATTGGAATGCTAATGTCTGGGAGCCAGGCCGCTGGGCTGGCACAAAGGTAGGCGGGGCCCGGGGCGCACGCGACCCCACAGGCGCATACTGTTCCTTCTCTCCCTCGCGGACTACCGAGCGGTGTGACCTTGGACAAGTCTCCTTGCCTCAGCTAATCCACAAGAGAAGTTGGAAAGAGTTCCTAATATCCTTTCGCTGGGTTTCTGGGTGCCTAACACAAGGCTGGCACAAGGTGAACGGCGTCACAGTCCCCTCAAGACCGGAAGCGGTGAAAAAAACCCTTCAGACCCTGAGACTAGAGACAGTGTGGGGAAGGTATGGGGGATTCACCTGAGAATGTGGCACAGAACAACCGCTGGGTACATTGTAATTACATTTATGTAAGGAATACTCTCTGCTGTGAGGCTTTCCGTCTGCCCCCTTTAAAAATCCCTGCAGACAGATTTCAACAAAAGTGTGTGAGAGAGTGGAGGGGTGGGGTGGGGGGTGGTGACACTGCTAACCTTACCTGGCTGTTCTGCCTTCCAAGGGCCAAGTGAGCAGTAAATGACTTGAGGCTAGACACTTTTTATTTCCGGTACCCTCCTAGAGCCAGTGAGGTGTGCAAGGCAGTGTGGTCACACCTATGGAAAGAGAGAAGATGACTTGCCCAAGGCCCTCAATCACTAGGCGAGTTATTGCAACAAACTAGGACTGACACCCTGGTTCTAAGCTAGCAGTTTGGAACTCTTTCCTCTGTGCCCATAGATAAGAGTACTGGAGATGGCGAATCAGTCTATAGTAATATGTCCTTTGGCTAGAACTGGGTCCTTGTGGTCTTATAAGGTCCAGGGGTCCCTGAGCTTTGGCCTCCCTGGACCCCTGACGAAGTTCCAGTCTCCTGTCTGCTGTCTCTGCTTCTGGGATCTGTGGGCCAAGGCCGACGGAGCGGACGCCTGTCCAGCTAAGGCTGTCTAGCAGTTGCTCTGAGATCCCGAAATGCAGCTGCGCGCCCCTGACCATGGTGCTGAAATGACCACGTAGATCCAGCGCGAGAGATGCGTCTGGGAGTGAGGCGTTCTCATACTGGAAACAACCTATCAACCCCCTCTGCCCACGATTCCAGTTCGTAGTCCTAGGGAGGCCCCTGTGGACATGCAGACCCAGAGGACTGTCAGGTTTCCCTAGTGCGATAAGGAAAGCAAGGGCTCTGTTGCTACTAACTGACTTGCCCTTCTCTCTGTGCACCTTAGGGCTCCCACCCTTACAAATTATGGAGCTAGAATTAAGTAACTAGCTTAGGACTTTCTGATAGCATCTGAGAGGTCCGAGGTGAACAACCTTTAAAATTTAAGCTGAGGCAGCCCTAGCTGGGAGAACTGGTTTGGAACTTTGCCCTCAACCGGACTCTCATTCTTTGGGTTACAAGCTTTAGTTATTCCAAGAACAAAGCCCAAAGGAAGTCCTCCAGATGCATACACAGGAGATTAGAGTGGTTAAAAGATATGACTTTAGAACCCCACAGACATAGGTTCAAGTTCCAGTCTGCCACAACCTAGTGGTTTTCAATTAAACCTCCTTGTCTCTCCTAAGAACCCTTTTCCTCATTTATGAAGATGGGACAATAAATAGTAGCCACTTAATTGGGCTATTGTACTGATTAAACATGCTTATCCAGCCTTCTAAGCCTCCATAAGTGGTATTTACTATAATTAGCTCTTTATTTGCCTCAAATTCTTCTCTTTCTCAGCTGGGCACAGTGTCTCATGCCAGCACTTTGGGAGGCCGAGGTGGGCAGATCACTTGAAGCCAGGAGCTTGAGACTAGCCTGGCCAACATAGCAAAATCCCATCTCTACTAAAAATTTAAAAATTAGCCAGCCATGGTAGAACACACCTGCAATCCCAGCTACTCAGGTGGCCGAGACATGAGACTTGCTTGAACCCAGGAGGTAGAGGTTGCAGAGAGCCGAAATCGCACCACTGTACCACAGCCTGGGCAACAGAGTGAGGCCCTGTCTCAAAAAAAAAAAAAAGAAATCTTCTCATTCTCCCCCATTTTGGGGAGGAGAGGGCTTTTGTATGAATTTGAATTTTCTCTGCACCCCTGTGTATTGTAAACTAGGAGAAAGGCCAAGAGTCACCCATCCCTTCCTGGTAAACTTACCGTTTCTGAGCTCTAAGATCAAATGTTCAGATGTCCCTAGGGCACTCCAAATAAGAAGTCCAAAATGGAAATCCTCTCCTGGTTCCCCAAGCTAATGCTGTCCCCTTTTCCTGATCTCACTAAGTAGCATCCCTCATACTAGAAATCTGGGGTTCATCTTGATCTCTCACTACCCATATCTAGTTAACCCTCAAGTCCTGCTGATTTTCTTTCTCGTTTTTTGTTGAACATGGCTCCTTCTTTGCTTTCTTGTGACCACTGCCCTAGTTCAGGCTTTTATCCCTTATCTGCAGAGAATACCTAACTGATCTCTCTACCTCTAGTCCTTTTTTTTTTTTTTTTTTTTTGAGATAGAATCTCACTCTGTCTCCCAGGCCAGGGTATAGTGGTATGATCATGGCTCACTGCAGCCTTGATCTTCCGGGCTCAAGTGATCCTCCCACCTCAGCATCCCAAGTAGCTGGGATCACAGGCATATGCCACCACACAGCTAATTTTTAAAAACAATTTTTGTAGAGATGGGGTCCCACTATGTTGGCCTGGCTTGTCTTGAACTCCTGGGCTCAAGTGATCCTTCCACCTTGGCCTCCCAAAGTGCTGAGATTACAGGCATGAGCCACCACATCTGGCCCCACCTCTAATCTTGACACTCATCATTGTACCCTCCATGCAGCAGCCAGAGTTCCCATCTAATATGTGAATATAACATTGTAACTCTCCTGTTTAATCTTCAAATGGTTTCCCATCATTGCATAGGATAAAGCTGATGTTCTAACTAGGAATAATTTTATAGTGTGAGCTGTGAATTTATATGAATCTGGGCTCAATTTCCAGCTGGTTCACTAACAATCAGTATAAACATGCACAAATTCCTTAATCTTTCTTTCCATTTCTTTATCCATAAAATGGGGATAGCGATATTACTTTTTAGGGTTCTAGTAAGCTTAAAGCTTGGTTGCTGTAGGAGAGACTCTCTAATAATTCAATCTGAGGTGAGTATTCCAGGTGGGTGGGAACCTCTGCTCCATGACATCATTCTGGGACTAGGATCCTTTCATCTTCTTCCTCCACCAGCTCCCAGATCCTTGCCAACCAAATGGTTGAAGTTTCATTGCCATAAGTTCCAGCCAGGGGAAAGGGGAAATAAGGCATGGAGGAGGCTTACCCACAGCCTTAAAACTTATGCTCAGAAGTAGCACACATCACCTCTGCTCACATTTCACAAAAAGAATATGATCACGTGGCCTCATCTAGCTGGAAGAGCGACTATGTGCCTAGAAGACGTGAAGAATGTATTCTGGCAGGCAGTGGGCAGACTCTACCACAGCATCGTGGTCTGGATTAAATTGGATTACATATGCTATTATTATTTGTTTTCATCATCAAAAGTCAGGTATGCTTATGGCCAGAGTCCTGCCACACCAGTCTCTTTCTCACAATGCCTCATTTGCCTTGATATTTACCCTCCAGAAGTGATGACCTGCTTGAAGTTTTCCCTTTACACACACTCAGGTACCCCTTCAATGCTTTTCCCCCCATCCCACACACACACTGTTCTGTCTGTCTAAACCTTCTCTCTTTTTTTCCCTCCCCAAACCTTCAACATGGATATCACCTCTGCCTGGGAGCTTTCTCTGTACTATGCCTCCTTCCTTGCTCCCTGCTCCCATAATATCCTGTGCATGTGAATATTGTAGCATTTTGCAGGTAGTGTAGTGATTGTTTATCTGCACTGTCCATTGATCTGTGAGATCTCCTCAAGGGCAGGGACTATGTTCATCTTCATGTCTCCAATGAGAAGAACACTGATTACCCATTTTGGACTAAATGTCATATATTTTGTTATTATTTTTTGTTTTTTGAGACAGGGTCTCACTCCAGTTGCCCAGGCTGGAGTGCAGTGATGTGATCACAGCTCACTGCAACCTCAACCTCCCGAGTTCAGGTGATTCTCCCACCTCAGCCTCCTGAGTAGCTGAGACTACAGGTGTGCACCACCACAGCTGGCTAATTTTTTGTATTTTTAGTAGAGATGGGGTTTTGCCATGTTGCCCAGGCTGGTCTCAAACTCCTAGATTCAAGCAATCCTCCCATCTCAGCCTCCTCAAATGTTGGGATTACAGGTGTGAGCCACTGTGCCCAGCCCAAATGCCACATGTTTTCAGAATGAATTAATGAGTGAGTGAATTGACTATTAATAAATGAATAAAAGGCATTGCAATTATTTGCTTAGAAATCTTTATCCCTCCCCAGAATGGCTAGCACATAAAGGCCAAGGAATTTTGTTGAATAAATGAATGGATGAATGAGTCATATAGAGACCCACTAACCCTCCTGCTTCATATCCTCTGCACAAAAATAACCTGTCCTTTGCTGCCTATAAATCTATTTCAGAAGATGTCCCATCTGACTAAGTAAGAACAGATTATCACAACAGTACCATATCATTGTTTCTGAGATCATGGTAACAATGCCAGTAGTTCATGTGTAGGTGATCCCTCCTGAGAAACTGAGATCCCTCCTGAGTGAGTGGAAAGAGCATGAGGCTTGGGATCTATCTCAACTCCAGTACTTCCTAATCCTATTACCTTGGGCAAGTTACTTAGCCTCTGCAAGTAACTTGCTGTAGCTGTAGTTTCTCCAGCTACAAAAATGGAGAAAACCGTGCTTACCTCACAGGATTTCATGAGATGAAGATGAGGCAGACTCATTATAGCACCCATCTCGTCTCCGTCTTATTCCTACAGATGGGTAGTGAAGAAAGCATGAGCCAGAACTGACCTTCCCAAATTAACCAGGCAAGTGTGATGGGACTTGCCCAAGCACCCAAACCTGATCATTACGGAGACAAACTGAGGCTCCTGCTAACATAACATCATCACCAGCTACACTGCCTCTGTTGTACTAGTTAGCTATTGCTGCATAACAAATTACCCAAAACTTAGCTCCTTAAAGCAAGAAACATTTATCATGTGTGGCTTCTGTGGGTCAGGAATCCAGGTGTGGCTTAGCTGGTTCAGGTGTCTCATGAGGCTGCAGTCAGAGAGGGTCAGCTGGGAATATGGTCTCACCTGATGGCTTGACTAGGGTAGGAGCCACTTCCAAGCCCACTCGTGTGGTTGTTGGCAGAATTCAATTCCTCAAAGGCTGTTGCAATGAGGGCCCCAGTTCCTCACTGGCTTTTGGCCAGAGACATCCTTTATCTCCTTGCCATGTTGGCCTCTCCATAGGGTGGCTCACAGCATGGCAACTGGCTTCCCTCAATGCAAGCAACCAAGGTGTGAAGGGGGGACATCCAAGACAGAGACATGAATACCAGGAGGCAGAGATCATGGTGGGTATTTTACAGGCTGCCCATCACATTGACAGTAACAGAAACCTTTGCTTCCAATTGCTTCTCGGCCTTTTGGCTGAGATCAAACATAGAAATCTTTGCTACCTGCTTTCCACACCCCAGAGACAGGCAGACAGACATATGTACACACACACACAAACACACACACACACACACACACACACACACACACATGCATACACACACCACTACCTCCTCAGGGTCAAATACACCAGAGTTCAAAAAAAGAAAGCCCAGGTAATTTGACTACTGGGGTTAAAGCAGATGTCTCCCTATCCCCAGTACTGGGTTGGCTTCCAAGAAGGGCCCAGGGGACTGCTATGTGTGCATTTGAGCCACCCCAGCTGATACCTGACATCCATTCACACAGGCTTTCACAGGCCTCCCTGCCCCCACTCCCGAAGGCATAGATTTAGGATGTCTGGGGCCTGAACACTGCACCCACTGAAGGGAAATTTACTGCCTCTAGAGAACCAGGGCCTGACTTGGGGTCTTGAATGCATCTTTTTCCCCTTTGCCTCTGCTTTATTAGGTTAATCATTGCTTGAATCGGTTGCCATGGTTTGGGCAAACCCATGGCGACTCTATAATGAAGCCTGAAAGACTCGGACCCCATTTATCATCCCCAGTGTTTGGGAGGCCCAGAGCCTCATTTGCCTCCCCCAGGGTCTGGGCACCACCCTTCTGCCTGGGGCCCCCAGGGCCCTTTTGAATGAGGAATGAACAGGTGGCTACTTGGAAGGGGAGACGAGGAGACCCACACAGGTGGAGTGAGCAGCACACTGCACATTCCCCCACCACACACACACACACACACACACACACACACACACACACACAATTATTTTTGTTTTTCCATTCCTGAAGTTCAGACACAGACCAAATGCACAGGCAGCTCTCTGACTTTTTCTTTCTGGGAAGTGGGCGGCAAAAGAAAGATCTTTAGTTAAAAAGGGTCTGTGGCTGCCCTTAGAAATAAGGGGACCCATGTCTCAGCAGATCCAGGTGTTGTTACACTCTTTATTCCCTGAGCATAGATTGAGTGGCATTGCAATCTTGCAATTAGTTGGGGACAGATGGAGCCAAGTCTAGTGAGGAACTAGAGGCATACAGAGGTTCAGCAACATGTTCAAGGTCACTCATGGTAGAACCCATGGTAGAACCCAGAGCAAGTCAAATGTATTATGGAAAATTTCAAAAGTAGAGAGAAGAGCATAATGAATTCTCAGCTATTCATCACCCAGATTCAGGAATTATCTACTCAGAGACAATTATATTTCACCTACATCCCCACCCATTTTTCCTGGCACTTTCTTCATGAATTATTTTGAAACAAATTCCAGATAGCATGTAATTTCCACAGTAAATCCTTCCCCAATATCCTTTTTTGCTCAGCAGAAATTGCATATATAATGCTGTAGCTGAGAGTATTGAATCCAAAGACAGACAGCCAGCCTGGAGAAGTTCAAATCCAAGCCTTGCCCCTTCTTAGATGTGTGACATTCAGCCAATGGCCTAATGTCTCTGAGGCTCAGTTTCCTCAACTATAAAAGGATACAATGTTACTTTTCTCATAGAGTAATTGTCAAGATTAAATAAAGTAACACAAGACAAGTGCCAGCACCTGTGCAGAATAAATGGTGGCTTTTAAGATTTCCACTCTTGTGACCATTGCACCACCAGGAATGACTGTCATCCTGGCAGGAGGTCAGCTCTTGACCTCCAGTGTCCAGGTCTCTTGGTGCAGTCCCCTGAAATGAAGGCAAGTGCCTCATCGTCATGGCCCTCTACCTGGCACTGAATTCTGACAACACAGACCTCAGCAGTGAACCTGGCTCCAGTTGCTGACAGCCCCTGGCATCTACTGCTCACAGTGTACTAAATTCTGCACCATGAACCCCACAGTGAACAAGGCCAGGTCCCCCCTTCTTCTGCTCTTGCATCTCAGGCTTTCTAACCTCTGATCCCATTTGTTAGCAGGAATTGACATACCTGCCTCAGGGTTGTATGTGTGTGTGCCATGTGTTGCACTTGTTTCTGTGTGTGTGCTGTCACTACGTGTGAACCAGCACATCCCTGAGCTTCCGTGTGCTCATCCTGCAACCTGCCCTCTTGCAGTTTCTGGTTGACTGACAGAGACCAGAGGAAAACTGGTCAAGCAAAGGCATGAAGGTATAAGCACAGCACTGAGACTTCCTGGAGGAGGTAGGGAGAAAACTCTGCCAAATACATAAGACTGAGAACAGAAAAGAGGGGCAGGCAGAGGGCTCTCTGCAGGCTGAAGGCGTGGGAAGGGAAGAAGCCTGCCTGGGTGCATTGTATAGGTGAGGTCTGAGTCCCGATAGCTGACCTCTTCAGGAGAGGTTTATTCCAGGAAATCACCCACACTCCCAGGATCCAAGCTCTGAAGGGATCTCTGGGCTGAAACGGCATGTCCTCCCCACAAATCACCTATCTTTGCTTAACAACAACTACTTTTTATTGAGAGTATACTATGTCTAGGCACACTGCTAGTGCTTTCCATTTGTTAGTCTCTGAGATCATAGACTAATTATTAGAATTATTATTCCCATTTTACAAATGATAACACTGATATTGGTTAAAAAACATGCTGCCAGTTACCCAGTAGAGGTGGAGTTAGACTTGGACCCATGCTGTCCTGACCCAGAGCCAGTGCTTTTAACCACTGCTACTTTGCATCACTGATATGCTCCCCTTTTCTTTTCTTTGTTTTTTGAGTTTGGATTTTGGATACTTCCAAACATAGACAAAAGCAGAAAGAATAGAATAATGTGTCTTCACGCATCATTCCTTAGCTTCTGCAACCACCAATTCATTACCAACCTCATTTCATCGGTTTGCCTCCACCCCAAACCTGCACGGACTTTTTTTGGTGGAATATTTTAAAGTACATCCCAGGTATCTATCATCCACTGGTAAATTCTTCAGTGTCCATTTTTAAATGGTAAGAATATTTTTAAAAACATAACCACCAAACTATTTTTACAATGCATGAGAAATTCTGAAACATGATCTAGTATCCAGTCATAGGCAAAAGTCTCTAATTGTCTTTTTTTTAAAAGTACAAACAAACAAAAATCCTCCCAGCCTGTATCCCAGATGCCTGCTGGAGGCCAGGACCAAGGCTCCAGTACCAGCCTAACCCCAGGGCTTGGTGGGACCAGCCTTGAGCAATTCACTTCCCTCCCCTCTTGTCCCTACCAGCCCCCACCCAAAAGTATGGTGACCAGTCATCTTGGTTTGTCCTGGACTTTTCCGGTGTTAGCACTGCAAGTCCCGTGTCCCTGGCAAACCCAGATGGTTGGTCACCCTCCAAGGAGCCAGAAGCCTGGAGCTCCCCCCAGTCCACCCCCAGCCCCCACTTCCTTGTAGCTCCAGTGTGGGGTCACCCACCAAGAGCAGAAGGAGACCACCACTGAATTTCAAGGGCCCTCAGAATGACAAATAATCTACCGAAAGCTTTCAGGGGCCCAGGTGTGCCTGGCTCTGGCAAGGAGAGAGCATGAAGCCCCCAGCCGCCAGTGAAGAATCTGGGAGCTTTTCACACCCAGGGGCCAAATTCAGCAATCTCCTCCCTCCGTCTTTTCCCCTTTCCAGATCTAATGACAATCCAAAGAGTTCCTGATAGGGTTTTAAAAGATGCTCCTTCATTCACGTCCACCAAGCATGAAAATCCAGCTCGTTTGTCTCCATTCTTCCCGCTAAAGGCCTAGCCGGCCTAGAGCCTGCAGCCTCAAACTTGTCATTCACTTTTCACTTCCTTTTGTTGGATTGCCTTTATTTCATTCTTCTGTCCCCTCCAGGCACCCTCCTCTCCCCCTCCTCACTCCATCCCTGGCCTTCTCCCCCCACCCTCCCCCTAGCACTTCCTAGTCCCTGGTCCACACACAAAAAGCAACAGACCAGTCTGAGAATTTCTTTACAGTTCCCGTGCTCTCCACCCCCACCCCGCCTCTTCTCACTCACTGCTTTTAAAAAGTGGTTGCAAAAAGCCAGCAACAGCTCAAAAGGACTCCAGGAAGAAAACTCCCTCAAGCCCAGGCTGGAAACGGCCTCAGAGACCACTGAGTCCCATTCTTTGGTTTCACAGCTGTGGAGGCTGAAGGCCAGAGAGGAGAAGAGACTGGCCCAGGGTCACAACAGAGATAGTGGCAGAGCAGGGTCCAGCCCCGAGTGCACCAGGGGCTCAGCCTGGACTCCCCCACTTAGAATGGATGGCTACGCCTCTGTCCCCTTGACACAGACTCTATCCCTCAGGTAGGACTCTGGTTGTCTGGGCCTAGAGTCGTGGCTTGAAAGCAGGGGCCATGTCCAGGACATCGCTGTGTCCCTTGAATACTTAGCAAGTGGTAGGTGTTCAGTGGCAGCGGTGGTATTTTTAATAAAACTGAACTGAACGAATGTGGCGGCCAGGCTGTCCCCTGCTCTTTGGGCCTCTTACTGGACACCTTATGGGCCATGGCTTTGCTGTAGGCCTAGGGAATAATGGCTGAGACTCTGGGCCCACAGGAGGGGAGGGGAGGTAGAAAGAGGTGTATGTTTAGCAGGCAGACCCCTTTCCAGTCACTGCCTCTTGTGAGAACAATCAACACTTGGGGCAAAGGAGAGAGGTGAGCCCCCTTTCTTTAAGGGCAAGGAAAGTAGATCGGGAAACCTCAGCCCCTAACCCCAACAAGGGCAGGGTGGTGGCGATGGGCATCTAATCTATGACAACATGAAACAGGAGGGAGGGAGACAGGATGTGGTTCCCACAGACCTCAGTGAGAACCTCCAGCCTGGTGCTAGTGAAGGGAGGGGGGCTGAGCATGGGGCCAACCTCAGCCTCAGAAGGAGGCATAGGTCAGGTTCATGAGCACAAACCTATGGAGCTGGGCCTCTCCTCTGCAACCTGTGTGAAAGGGGCCACCAGCCACCCACCTGCCCAAGCTAGAACCCTGGTGCCACTCTCACCTCGCCTGCCTGGGTACTGTCCTCTGCAATGCCTGTGGATCCCGCCCTGTCCTGCCTCTTGAAGGGCACTGTTCCCCAGCCACACAGGGAGTCCTGCCTGGAGCCTCCCCACCACCTCTCCCTCTAGGGCCACCCACATGTCATCACCTAATCTTCCTGCCTGCAGCGCCTGTCTCTCCTCTGCCCAGACCTTTCCAGGAGGCCTGAGAGCTGCCTCCCTCCTTAGTAGATTGTAGCGCTCAACAGCACCGGCTTCAGAGTCAGGCTCCTTGAGTTCAGGTGACAAATCTATCACCTACCAGCTTGGTGATTGTAGGAGACCTCTTTAAACCCCAATGTCATTTGTGAAATAGGAATAATTATAGTACCTCTCTCAAAGGATAGCTATAAAGATTAAGTATAGAATCTGTAATATAATATATGGTAAGTGTATACTATATAAAATATAAAAGGAGGAGACTGCATGAAGCCATCAGCGACTGTTAGCTGTTGTTATTGATGATGTTGTTGTCATGGTCATGATTAGTGATTTTCTCTACTTTTAAAATTTTTATCATGCCCATATATTACTTTCAGTTTTTAAGAAATTGATCCAGCCTTTGTTTTCAGTATTATCTAATGCCTTAAAATAGCCAAATTTGTTGGCCCAGACAATCCTCCTGAGGAAATTATCAGAAATTGCATTAAAATGTCTCAACAAAGGTATTCATAACATTATCTTTCATAATGAGAAAAAAATTAGATACAAAGGGAAGTGTTCAACCATGGAGAACAGATATTTTCTATGTATCACACAATAGGTTACAATACCCATAGAAAACTGTGTTGTAAAATACTGCTTACTGACATGGGAAATATTCACAACATGTTGCTTAGTTGAAAAAACAAACTGGATTTTAAACAAGATGACAGACAAGGTAACATGCAAATCATTCCACCAGAAAATATCTAAAAATTCTGGATAAAAAATGATAAACATTCTTTTAGAGGTATGGAATGAAACCATTTGTACAAAAGATATAGGCACGTTTATGCTTAGGAAAAAACATCTTGAAAAACATTCATTAACTAAGCGGTGCAATCGCAGGATTTCCTCTCACTTCTACATTTTGTTAGTTTTTTGCACTGAGCTTGTATTATTTTCAAGTTAGAGGGTAATGTCATCACTTAAAAGCTTCAATTAATGAATACAGTGGTATTTCAATTTTTTTTTTTTTTTTTTTAGATGGAGTCTCGCTCTGTCGCCCAGGCTGGAGTGCAGCGGTTCAAGCAAATCTGCCTCAGCCTCCGGAGTAGCTGGGATTACAGGCGCCCCCCAACCACACCCAGCTAATTTTTGTATTTTTAGTGGAGATGGGGTTTCGCCATGTTGACCAGGCTGGTCTCAAACTCCTGACTTTAGGTGATCCACCCACCTCAACCTCCCAAAGTGCTGGGATTACAGGTGTGAGCCACTGTGCCCAGCTACAGTGGTACTTCAATTTTTTTTTAATGCCTATGGTGGAATGGCAGGAATAGCTTCTTTGATGTGGAACACTTTGCACTGGTGAAAGCCTCGCGGGGGAAGTGTGGATGTGAAGGGCCTGGGAGAGGCGCTCAAAGGCTGAGAAGTGAGTGAGTAAGGAAGAGAAAGGGAATTTGAGCTCCTGCCTCCCAACTCAAAGACTAATGATCTTTCCTCGTTTCTCTCCAATTTCCCACTGTACCATGTGGAGTTTGAGAAAGGAATGTAAAAGAAATTGAATGAGCCAATCACCTTGGAATTTGCTGAGTTCCTCTATGTACCCTGATCTGTGGTGGGGACTCTGGGAATTCAAGTAGGTCCAGGTCCCACACACCTGGCCTGCTTGGGAAATGCGCTCTTCTTTATAGAAACATTTAGTCCAAACCGCGGTTTAATCAGTTCAATATTAACGTGGTATGTTTCAAAAATATGTAACCATTTTAGATAGGAATCTTTCTGCGGTGAGATGAATAGTGGCCCTCCAATAGAAATATCCACCGGGACATTGTAAATGTGACCGTGTTTAGAAAAAGGGTCTTTGCAAATATAATTAAGTTAAGGATCTCAAGATGAGATCGTCCTGGATTAGGGGAGGCCCTAAATCCAAAAACAAGTCCGTATAAGAAAAGAGAAGAAGAAACAGACATGAGACGCATTGAAGTCCATGTGAAGACAGGCAGAGACGGGAGTTAGGTAGCCACAAGCCAGGGAATGCCAGGGGCCGCCAGAAGCCGGAAGGGACATGGAAGGAGTCTGTCCTGTAGGCTTTGGAGGAAGTGTTGTCCTGCCAACTCGAGGATTTCTGACCTCTGGCCTCTAGAATTGTGAGAGAATACATTTCTGTTGTTTTAAGCCACCCAGTATGTAGTAACTTGTTACAGTGGCCCAGTGAATGAACACACTCTCTTAAAAGTATTGCATGATTTCGTACCTGCTTAAACAGAGCACATGCCATCCTCAAGTGTGTAGCAAATAATAAAAGCACAGCAAGTGTTAGTTCCTTGTGTCTGCCTGTCTAGGTGATTAGGGAGCTATCACAAATGTGTTTGGCCCAGTTCCGTGCACCCCTGGATCTCCTGAGATGTGCTCATCCCTTTGTCACATGCCCCAAACTGCTGTGGGGCCTGAGCTCCTATCTCTGCTGCCCTTGTCTACTCTAGCTTGCCCGGCTCTGGCAGCGGGTCACCCACTTTCTAGTGTGCTGCCCCTCATCACGTATGGCCTGGGGAGCCAGTTAGCCAAGCTCTCAGTGGGACAGTGCTCAAAAGAAGAATAAATGTAATCTAGGTGCAGACCCATGAGCCTTCCCTGGGAATGATATGCGTAAGCCTTGTTTCTTGGACGCTGTGCCATCAGGACCATGCCACAGGATGGGAAGGAGAGAGGCCTCGTATAATGCGGTAGGGGCAGGGACTCTACTGTATCAGCTAGGGGACTCTACTAAGTACACATTTCAAAGTAGATGCGGCCTTGCTACCTCAGGCAGAGTTCCCAGCCTCAGCACTTGTGAGGGAAGAGGGTTTCTACAATGACTGAGGTGGTCCAAGTCACAGCAGAATAAGGAGTCCCAGGAGGCTACCTGGAGATGGAGGAACTTTTTAAGGAGGGAAGAATTTCAGGATGAAGAGGCAATGAGAGATGGTGAAATGAGCATGGAATTTGAGCCCAAAGATCTGGTCAAATCCCAGCTCACTTGCTGTTAACATTTGGTAGACATCTTTCCAGATATATATATATATATACATATATACACATATATATATATACATATATACATATATATATATACATATATACATATATATATACATATATACATATATATATATATACACATATATGTATATATATATGTTAGTTGCTTTCCCTTTCTCATCTATGACAAAGTTAGTATCTGATTTGCCTATGTTCCTGGGCTAAGGGGAGGTTAAAATGAGAACACTTTTGGTACTGCAGATGTGTGCTGGGGGAGGGGTCTACAAGTGGTTGATGGACATTTGCTGGAAGAACTTGGCTTCTTTTGTTAGCCGTCCTGCCTAGGGGACTAACGCTGCCAGGAACAGCCTGGACCAGGGAGGTGGGGAGAAGTGGCAGGAGAGATCAGCATTCCCACTTCCTGCAGCAGGTCATCCATCAGCCCTGACAAACTCGACCCCCCTCAAGGGTTCCTGCTCAGGCCCCAGCTGCTGAGCAACGGCAGGTACAGGCATGGAGCAGGAACCCCTCCTGGGCCCTCACACCCTCCTCTTAGATCAATAGACACAGTGGGCTCTGTCGACCTGGCTGGGACATGGAAGATTAACGGAGCAGGTGCAGGCTGGGGTGGGACAGTCACCTGGCCTGACAAGGTCCCTCATGGAGAGTGAGTGCCCAACGCAGGCCAGGAACAAAGCCTGATGCCCCTGATGCCCACCCCACCCCCCCCCCAGACTCCCCTACCCTTACTGGGTCTCCCACAGAGGTGGGGGAGTGCTACCTAGATGCCCCTGGAGCCCAACTTGTGGCACCAGCTTTAAAATAAATATTTTCCTTATTTCTTCAATTTCTCAAGTAACTCACTGCAGAAAGTATAGATTAGTAAAAGATTTTAAATCACTTGTTAATCCTACCACCCAGAGAGAACCACTGTTTATATTTGGTAGATATTATATCTCTCTCTCTATCTTTCTATCTACACACACACACGCATATGAAGAGACAGAGAGAGAGAGAGAGAGAAAGAGAGAGAGAGAGATCAGTCTATACTTTTTGTCTTATAATCTTTTTACCCTTAATATCTTATGAACCTCTTTTGGTGCTAATGAAATACAGATCTACTTCCTCATTTTAATCACTACAAATATCCTGTGTACTGAGGCAAAGTATTATATTTAACCAAAAATCCCCTACTGGATACTTAAGTTGTGTCCAATTTTTGCCCTTTATTGATAAGACTGAGATGAACATTTTTATACATATATCTTTTTTTTTCTTGAGACCAAGTCTTGCTCAGGCACCCAGGCTGGAGTGCAATGGCACGATCTCAGCTAACTGTACCCTCTGCCTCCTGGGTTCAAGTGATCCTCCTGCCTCAGCCTCCAGAGTAGCTGGGATTACAGGTGTGTGCCACCACTCCCGGCTAATTTTTGTATTTTTTTAGTAGAGATGGGGTTTCACCATATTGCCCAGGCTGGTCTCAAACTCCTGACCTCAGGCGATCCACTTGCCTCAACCTCGCAAAGTGCTGTGATTACAGGCATGAGCTACTGTGCCCAGCCTATCTTTTTATTATTTCTTTAGAAAAATGTCCTCAAAGTAGAACTGTTAGGTCAGAGGCTATGTGCTATTTAAGGCTTTTGCTACATACTGCTAGAGGATTGTACTTGTGTTATGGAAGCCTGTGGACTGTGCATCCTGGACGGGAGTGAGGAAGAAAGGGTAGGAGGAGGGCACTCCGTGGCTGGAGGTTGGAATGGAGGCCAATGTAGCATGGCTCCCACCCTCCAGGGGTTTGTCATCCAGCCTTCCAACCAGAGAGAGGAGTTGCTGAGTTGGCAGATAAGAAGCCCCATGCTCCTGGGAGGTGGGTACCCTGGGAGCAGCATAGAAGTCAGGGTGAAGAAGGAAAAATCTTTGCCGGAGATTAAAACAGGGAAGATTTCCCAGAGGCGGCAAAATTTCTACTAGCTTTGAAAAAGGAGAAGGATATGACTATTCATCATGAGTATTCCAGGTGAGAAAGGGCCAGGAAAAAGTGCTCCACTTCCCATAGTGGGGATGGGTTGGGGGGACAACCCCCTACCATGTGAGTTGAGTCTTCAAAAGGGCAAAGCCTTGCCCCATGGCCAGATATAAACCGACAACAGAAGCAACCTCCGATACTTATTGGCTTTGTGACCATGAGCAACTCACTGAGCCATTCTGCCCCTCAGTTTTCCCATCTGCAAGTGGGGACCGTAGTTATATCATGCTCACGCAATAGCTGTGGGGACTGAGTGGGCTGCATCTTTTGTAAATTATGATTAGTCTAAGGGATTTCATCATTAAAAAGTAGACGCTACTTTCTCATTGCCATCCTAAAAGCTAAAGTATAGCTTTATATTTTCATGTTCGATTTCTGGAAGATCTTCCCCGCCTACAGGACACTGAGACCCAGGACTCCCAGGACTCCCAGGACCAGATCCCTGGGAGCCAAGGGGAGGAAAGAAAATGGACAATTACAGAAAGCCTAGCAAGTGCTGCCACTCTACGATCCTTCTGTCGTCGCATCCTTACAACATCTCAATGAGGTAGGAGTTTTATTACTTGTTTTATTTGACAGATGAAAAAACTGAGGTACCGAGCATTCAGTTGACCTTGATTGACACTGCTGATAGGCAGCCAGGACTCAACTCCAGGTCTGTCTGACCCCAGAACCCTTGAGCCTTCCCTGGGTGAGGTGTCAGCAGAGCTGAGATTACCTCTCAGCATCACTTTGGGCTAGGAACCCTGTGGAGTACAACTGGGGCTGTGTAATGTGGGATCTGAGGCTGTGGAGATGCAAAGCAGGTTGTCCCGCAGGCTCTCCCCCATGCTAACACCACCACTGGCCTCCTCTGCATGGGGCAGCCAGCTGGTAGCCTGACCTTGTGTCTCTGACAATGATTTAACCACTGGAGTGAAAGTTTAGGGGAGGGATCAGTAAAGTTGCCAATGGGGGAGAGGCTTTAGCTCCAGCCTCTTGGCTCAGCCACTAGTTGGGGGTGGGAAAAAGAGGACCCAGGGAGAGGCCAGGGGAACTTCTGATTCTGCTTGTGTTTCCCACACGACACCAAGAGACCTGCTGCACCCATGAAGTTCTTTGTCTCATCCCCCATCCTAGGTCCAGCTTCCCTTAGAATAAACTCAGGCAGTTCTGAAATATTGTCCCTCTTTTCTCTTTGCCCATCTGGAGAGAGCTTGACTGGCCACAGAATATAGCAGAAATCACACTGGCCTAGATTCCCAGAGACCTGGGCTCATATCGCAGCTGCCCTACTGTCTGTGCACAGACCCCAGTGCAAGTGCTTCAGGGCAAGCAAGCAACGTGCATGAGTGGCAGGGCTCAGTGAGGGCTGTGGTCACCTGGAGAGGCCCCATGCCCCTAAAGGGCCCAAGAACCACTTAAATCCAGCTTACTATTTCTATGTAGCAATTAAGACTTAGAATTCAAGAGAAACTGGAAATTCAGATTTGTGTGTGAAATCTTCCCAATGTCAGCAAATAACTGGAAAAAAAAAAAAAAAAAAGAACACAGCGTGGGCCAAACAAAGTAAGTCTGTAAGTAGCCCTAGGCTGGAGTCTCTGATCTAGATAAGGAAACCGTAAAGGCCAGAAGGAACCACTACAAGATATTATTTAGCACAATTTCTTTGTTCTAGATGGCGAAACTGAGGCCAGAATGCGGAGGTGGGAGTGGGGAGGAGCATAACTCAGTTAGGCTTACATAGAAAATTAGTGGCCCAGCTAGGCAAGGAATCCAGATCTTCTTCCCCCAGCTTGTGCCATTGCCATAACTTGCCTGGCTGAGTGGGGCAGAGATATTGTAGAATCTGAGCAGGGGAGTAAGAGGAGGAAAGCTGAGGCTGTCCCTCCCCACTGGGCTCGCCTGAGGCTCCCTTGGTCCTTTCTGAGCCCAGAGGTCCAGCACACTTCACAGGGCACCTGTGCATTAATATTTCTCTTTACCTTGTCTTACCATCGATCCCTTCCCCTTCCAGGACCCCATGCTCAAGCTCCCATGGTCAATCACATATGGCAGGTAGGAGAGGAGTCCAGTATCCTTTTCCTATCCAGGAGCTGGCAGTCAAGCCAGCCATTGTAGTGGGGGAAGTATCTCCATAAATACTGATTTCTAAACCAATTAAGAAATTAGACAAAGAAGCAAGGCAGATAGAGACCAAGTATCACATTTGCTACCAATGAGGCTGACTTTGAAGAACATGGCTCATGGCTGCAGGCAAGCAGACTGTTAAACATGGAAACCTAGAATTAGTCAGACATGCCCATAGGTCATAAGCAACACTGGACCATCACTAGCCTCTCCTGCTCACAAGGGCAGAGCAGAAATGTGTTTACGTTTCAGGTAGCTTGTACCCAAGGATGGGGTGAGCTACCCAGTAGCCTGGACTGCTACTGCCAAACTCACCAATCAGATAAGTCACTCAATATTCGCTGGAGCAGAATGAAAGAGAGAGCAGGGAGAAGCCAGGTGTGTTATACCAATGGGGTCCCTACACACAGAAGGAAACATCAAGATTTCATTTTATCTCTATTATTGGCTTAGTCGCTATGCCTCTTCATTACTCTCTTAGTGTTGCTCTAGGGCTTACAATATACTTGCTTAACTTATCACAGTCTATCATCAAATAAGATTATAATAATATATTATATACTTCATGTATACCTTAAGAACCTTACAACATACTTCCATTTTTCCCTCTTATCCTTTGTGCTGTTGTCATCATACACTTTCTACATGTATTATAAACTGCCAAATATATCATTATTACTTTTGCTTTACACAATCAACATATTTTATATTTACCCACATCTCTGTCATTTCCTGCTTTCTTCACTCCTTTCTGTAGATCCAAGTTTCTACCTGATACCATTTTCCTTCTCCTAAAGAATTTCCTTTAATGTTTCTTATAGAGCAAGTCTGCTGGCAACAAATTCTACTACTTTAGCTTGCATTTTTAAAAAAATTTTATTTCATCTTAATTTTTGAAAGGTACTTTCACTGTGAACATAATTCTAGGTTAATAGGTTTTTGGGGTTTTCTTCTTTCAGCATTTAAAGATGTTTCATTGTCTTCCAGCTTGCATAGTTTCTGATGAGTAGTCTGCTGTCATTGTTATCTTTGTTCCTAGGTACATAATGTCTTTTCTTAATTTTCCTCTGACTGCTTTTAAGATTTTATCTTTATCACTGGCTTTCAGCAATTTAAATGTAATGCTCCCTGGTGTGATTTTATTTTTATTTATCATGCTTGGGGTTCCTTGAGCTTCTTTGATCTGGATTTATAGCTGTCATCAAATTTGGAAAATGTTTGCCCATTATTTTTTCAAAATGTTTTTTCTGCCCCCACATCCCCTTTTGCGACTCCAGTGTTATGTCTGTCGGACTGCTTGACATTGTCCCATAGATCAGTGATATTGGTTTTTATCTCACTCTTTTTTTCCTCTCTGTGCTTCGTTTGAGATCGTTTCTAAGGTGTGTCTTCAAGTTCACTGATCTTTTCTTTTGCAGTATCTAATTAGCTTTTCATCCTATCTGGTAACATTTTCATTTTAAACACTGTATTTTTCCTCCCTTAGGAGTTCTGTTTGAGTCTTCTTATCTTCAATTTATTTCCTCATTATGTTCATGCTTTTCTCTAAATTGTTGAGCATATCTGTAAGAATCATTTTAATATCTGTCATTTCCAGATATATTTTCATTGATTGCTTTTTCTCCTAGTATTCTGTAGTGAGCAGGTCTGTGCAAACCTACCTCCAAAGGCCAAGGAAGCTGAGAATCCAAAGAAAGAGGCTGACAAATCCAGTTTATCAGAAAGAAAAATTTAATAGGGACTTATTAACAGAAGCCATGTCTCAGATGGTGGTAAGACAAGATGGTGGATCCCCACACCATTATCCCTGCCCCAGACCCAGGGTTTATATACCATAGGGAAGGAGTGTATAAGACAGTTGAATTCAACTCCTCAGGGAAAGGCAAGAATGCTGTGTTAGTCTGCCTGAGAGAAGAATTTATTATCAAGGTTGTTTTGACCTCTGGGCAACATGTATGATAACAGTAGATAAAGTAGAAATCTTACAGGCCTTCCCAGAACAGGGTTAATCAGAAGTCAACATGGCAGATTAGCATCCAAGATGGAGTTGCTTTAGCATCCACATCTAATTATGGGTAACATATTTCTAATTCTGTGTATTTCTAGTCATTCTTGATTAGATGCTGGGTAATGCAAATTTACATCATTGAGTGCTTGATTTTATTGTATTCCATTAAAGAGGGGTTGCATTTTGTCCTGGAGGCCATTAAAAGACAACTATAATCTTTTTAAAGCTTGTTTTTAAGCTCTTAAAAAATGGGACTACAGTAACCTTCACTCTAGAGCTAGGTTAGCCCCACCATTGAAATATGACCCTTCTAGAATCTTTCATCAAATATATAAATGCCTCACATATTATAGCAATGCGTCTCCATCCTGGTTAGTAGAACCTCAAATGATTCCCCAACCTGTGTGAACTCTAAGAATCTTTTTATCTTACTTCTCCCAAGTAATTGTCCTTTCCCTGGATTTTTTTTTTAGTTAGCTTCATGGGAACTCAAGGGAGCTCTATGCATGTTTCTGAAACTTTCTCTGTAAAAATCTTTCCACTACGTGCAAACCCTAGCTGCCTCAACCTCCTGAATTCTCTTCTTTGTATCCTCAACTCAGCAAGACCACCAGGCTCTCTTTGGGTTCCCCATCCCTGCATCACAGACCAGAAATCTCCAGCAGAAAGCCAGGTGATCACAGGGCTCACCTCATTTGTTTCCATTCTCTCAAGGATCACAGTCCATTGTCTGAAAACTGTTATTTCATATGTTTTGTCAAGTTTTCTGTTTACAGGAGAATGGTAAGTCTGTCTCAATTATAGGGCTTCCCTTACAACTGGAAGCAGAAGTCTAGAAAGAAACATCAGGAGTAAGGAAATGTTCTGCCTATGCAGCTCCTGTACAATAATGAGGACTGGACTATCTTAGGATCATACCTGTCTTCTGAGGGATATGTGGTTTGATCATCTAGCTACAACACCATAATGCAATGGAAAGAATCAAGGATCAGTAGTCTAGTTTTGCCTCCACACTGTCTGTAGTGGCATTTTTTGTGTTTGTCTGCCCCCGATCCTTTCCCCCCTTTCTGATTACAGCACTCACCTTCCTTTGGAGAACTGCTCCTCCCCAATTCCATGTGGTTCTTCTTCAGTTACCAGTCACAGTGCCCTCCAGACCACAGGGATGAGTATGTGATTCAAGCCTCTCCCTTCAGAGCTCTTCATCCCCTTGCCTCAGTTACTGGTTCAGGAATGAATACATTATCCAAATTGGGTCAATGACAACCATTTCTTAAGATTTTTAGATGAATGCTAGGAAAGAACATATTTTTCCAGGGGCATCACTAGGCTGGATTGACATAAGCTCATAGCTTTCTGCCACCAGATCTACCATCTACTCTTCACCCATCTCTGCAATAGAAGTCATCAGGGTAGAAGGCCTGAGGAGGCAGACAGAGGGAGTGACAGGTGATGTGTTCTTGGAGTCTCTAAGGTCAGCTCTAATCTACCTCGGCACTTCCTGCTTATGTGAACCAATAAATTCCCTTTCCTACTTGTTTGAATTGGTTTTCTGTCACTTTCAACCAAAAAACTCTATTTACTTCCTGTTTCTGGGTCTTAGTCCAGATGTCTTCAAAGTGCACTGTATGAACTCCAAGGAGTGCATACATAAAATGATGCACTGATATGTGGGAAAAATATAAGACTTTCTATTTATGAGAGTAGACATTTTCTGATGGAAAAGGGTATATCAAAATGGCAGAATAGCAACAACATGAAGAACAGACTTCATCCTCCAGAGTGCAGGGCCAGGGTCTGATTCATGTTTATCTCTCCCAGCAGTGAGCACAGGGCCTGGTTCATAGATGATATCAAATAAAAAATTATGGGACATGTGAATAAATAAATATGAAAAGACAAGGAGTGTTTAGATAAGTGCCTATAGTGGGGTATAGGGTGCATAGCACATGGAAGATGAAGAGCAAGTGATAGGAGTTTTGTTAAGGGATGGCACAGACCTTTTTTTTTTTGAGATGGAGTCTCACTCTGTTGCCCAGGCTGGAGTGCAGTGGCGCCATCTCAGCTTACTGCAACTTCCATCTTCTAGGTTCAAGAGATTCTCCTGCCTCAGCCTCCTGAGTAGCTGGGATTACAGGCATGTGATTCCACGCCCGGTTAATTTTTATATTTTTAATTTTGTATTTTAATTAATTTTTAATTTAAATTATGTATTTAAATTTTTTATTTTTGTATTTTAATGAGGTTTCACCATGTTGGCCAGGCTGGTTTTGAACTCCTGACCTCATGTGATCCTCCTGCCTCAGCCTCCCAAAGTGCTGGGATTACAGATGTGAGCCACTGTGCCCGGCCTCACAGAACTCTTTGAGCAGGGAGATTTTTGTGAGACTGGGTTTGAAGGGCTCTTTGTCTGCAGCAGAAAGACTGAGCAGTGACATTTGTTAGGGATCTATGTCAAATAGTCAAAGTATGAGATGATGGAGACTTAGTAGATGAGGAGAGGGGAGGTGCAGGAGAGATTTCAAAGGCAGAATTACCTTGGTGATTGGATGTTGGGTTGGCAAAAACAATGGGGCAGGAGAGGTGTTTGGTTGAAAAGGGAGATGAGGGTGTCAGGGCAGAGTTGAATCAATGAGAACCCAAGAGTTTCCACCTTGGATGCGTAGGACAGAAATTCCAGTGTGAGAAGGTTTGGAGGAAGCATGAGTTCAGTTGATGGCCTCTTGTGTTTTTGAGTTGAGTTATCCAGATGAATGTGTCCCATAGGCCATGGGATTTGTCAAGGATAGAGACAAAAGTTTGGGAGTCATCAGGGAAGAGATAATGTTAAAACAATGAGTCTGGTTACAGATGAGAAGGCCAAGGAATAAACCCCAGGCACATTCAAGGGGTAGGGTCAACACTGCCAAACTGCACTACTCCAGAGAGTATCTGGAATCTAGAGACTACGCAGGCTCTCTGTTTGTGCATACACACACTGCCCTGGCAGCAGAAGCCCTGGGTGGGCCCCTAGGAAGACGCACATGGAATGATCAGAGAGGTTAGAAGAGTCCAGGAAGAGAGTGGAGTTCTGGAAGCCAAAAGATTGAGTCTTAACAAAATCAAATGCCACAAGGAGGTGAAGAATACGGACTAGGAATGGGTAGATAGCAAGGAAATACAAGGTAAACTCGGCCACCCACTAGCTGGGATTTTTGTTTGTTTGGTTTTTTTGTTTGTTTGTTTGTTTTTTGCTTTGTTTTGTTTTGTTTTATTTTTGAGACAGAGTCTCACTCTGTCACCCGGGCTGGAGTGCAGTGGCACGATCTCAGCTCACAGCAACCTTGGCCTCCCGGGTTCAAGAAATTCTCCTGCCTCAGCCTCCCGAGTAGCTGGGATTACAGGTGCCCACCACTACGCCCAGCTAATTTTTTGTATTCTTAGTAGAGACGAGGTTTCACCATGTTGGCCAGGCTAGTCTCGAACTCCTGACTTTGTGATTCGCCTGCCTCCGCCTCCCAAAGTGCTGGGATCACAGGCGTGAGCCACCGCACCCAGCCTAGCTGGGATTTTTAAGCAAGTTAGCCAGCCTCAGCTACCTCCTAGAGTAGTGGAGGGTAAAGCAGTTAATCCCTTAGGTGTTTAGGAAATCCTGGTGCCTGCTTTTGTTGGCTATGATTATTATTTAAGCTTCACCTTCTTTAAGCTTCTTTGACTGCCTCCGACTGTGCAGATCATCCTCACCTTAGCCCTTCCCCTCAGCCTCCCTCCCCAGGCATCTGACTTGACCGGTGAGCCCGCTGAGGACTTAGGGGTGCCCCTGAGTCTCTGGATGAAACCCGCATTTCCGTAGCCTCCTCTCCTCCAGTATTCTGAGAACAGAGATGGCCTGGGGAGATCAGAGGGGAGCAGGAAGTCCCCAAAGCCCAGGGTGGTCCTTGTCCACTTTTGGACACAAATCTGAGTGGGTGGAGCTTAACCTGAGCCATGCCCTCTAGCAAGCACTGCCCCTCCCTCAGCCTTCCCACTTGGCCTGAATCTCCCGGGGGTAAAGGGGGAGTGAGGACTAGCACTGTGCCATCCTTGGGGCCTAAACTCCTTTGGGACCAAAGCTCACCAAAAAGCCTCCACAGGACAGGAGAAGCAGGCGGGACCCCCAGTTTGGAGAGGGCATTGAGGAAGATCTGCCCCACCCCACCCCAGGTCCTTGTGCCTCAGGAGACTCCCATTTGCTCTCTTCGGAGCTAGGGAGTTCAGTCGGCTGGGGGAGAGGGTGAGGCAAGGCGTGGGAGCCACAAAGGGGCGCGCTGTGTGGCCTCCAGGCCGCTGGCTTTTGAAGGCCGATTTGCTCTGGCTGAGCCAGAGGAAGCGAATGCTAATTTCCTCCTAGATGGGGTCTGTAGCCCTTCCTCCCGAGTCGAAGGGGAGGGAGAGCGGGAGACTGGACACGCTTGTGGCCCTGGAACTGCCATTATCTTCCACCTCCCCCAGGCCTCTCACACTTTCTGGGACTCCAGTGACCACCCCACAACTCACAGAAAGTAGGTCTATCCAGTACTCAATCGTTCCTAACTTTGCCTCTCTTTTCCGGAAGAGGAAAAGAGAGGACTAAGCTAGCTGTTGGGCAACCAAAGTTAAGGGCAGCAAGGCCGTGAAGCCGCCACACCCACTACCCTGGGGGCAGGTGTGGAAGACCTGGAGGCATAGCCTTGCCTGGAGCAGCTTTTGAACCGCTGCGGGAGGGAGGTGTTCCCTTTTCAATCCTCTTCTTCCTCCTGGATTAGACCTGGGAGAAATCTGGATTGCAAACATTTGCTAACCCCACCATCCCATCACTCCCACCCTCCACCCCAGAGAGCCCAAGGCTTTCAGCTCCCTGAGGTTCAACAACATTGGGCTATTTGAATTGTATTTCTATTTAGAATTAGCTTCTACTTTTTCTATTTGCAGTTAGGATATAAACTTCCAAAATACTGAGCTTAAATAATACACTTTAAATAAATGTTTCAAAAAGGGATTAATAGTTTAGGTGGATGCAACAAAGGTAAAAAAGTGTATAATGGGCCTTTGATGACTCAGGTCAGGGAAACTGTAGTCTGATGGGGCAGAGAAATAGGGCTGGGGCCTCTTCTGCACCACTCAGGTTGTTCCACAGGGAGGAAGCCTGATTGCCTGGAGCTCTCAGGGACCTGGAGTTTCCAGGCAGACCCTCTGACCCACTGGAAATCAATTAAAAGCCCCCCAGTTCCAATCTCCCTGCCTGTATGCAGGAGGCCATGTCCTGGAGGCCTGAGGGCTTTGTTCCTTTCCTGGTCTGGGTGGGAGCCTCCCTACACACACACACACACACACACACACACACACACACACACACACACACACACACACACTCCCCTTCTTCCTTCCCTCTCCCCCTCTTCTCCTCCCCTTCTTTCTCCAGGCTGTGAGGCCCCTTCAGGAGCCTCTTTGTGAAGTAATTGGATTTCTCCCCTTGTTAGCTTGCAATGAAAATGTCATCCATTCCGGACCACCGCCAGGGAGGAGCCAAGCCCCCATTCAGCAAGCAGGGCCCAGCGCTGTGAAGCTATTCAGGCCTCCCAGCCTCCCAGTAGGGCAGCTGCAGCTTGGTCTGTCTTCTCTGACAATGCTGCCCTTCCCTCCCCACCTACAAGTGTGCCCAGCCCAGGAGTGGCCCTGACAAGGCTAGGGCTGGGTGGCTGGATTCTGAGGCTGCTAGTAGTCCCCTTGGACTGCTGTTGTCACCACACCTTATCTCAACAAATAGACAGTGGACGAATTTGATTTTAAGTGCATCCCTCCAAATGTCCTTTGGGCATTGGGCACATGGATGGGTTCAGGAAGGGGAGGAAGGAGACTTTTCACCATGAGGAAGTGCCAAGATATTAGGGGTACTTGAAAAGCAGACCGAGATAGACTGCAAAGGGCTGACACTGGGGCAGGAGGAAGGATGTCTTACCCCCCTTTGGAATCACTGTATGTGGTGGAGACCAAATCAGAAACCATCTTGGCACTACCCATACTTAGCTTGAACCACAGACGAATGCATTCTTCTGGCTCTCGGGGTTTCTAGTATTCAGACATCTTCCAGAGTCCTTCCTCATGGCCTTCTAGGCAAAGCAAAGAAATAGGGTGACATGGGATGGAAAGGCAGTGATGTGTATCTCCAACCATGAAAGACTTCCCCTAAAGGGAGAAAGACAAATACCCCACCCCTACCCCAACTATCCAAATGTGGAAACTTTGGTCCAGAGAGGTTGAATACTTGCTCAAAATTGCACAGCTGACAGTGGCCAAGACTTTCAAACCCAGGTCTGTCTCATTCCAAAGCCTGTGTATCTTAATTGTTAGATTTACTGCTCGATATGGCTTGGCTATGTCTCCATCCAAATCTCATCTTGAATTATAGTTCCCATAATCCTCACATGACATAGGAGGGACCCAGTGGGAGGTAATTGAATCATGAGGGAGGTTATCTCCATGCTGTTCTCGTGATAGTGAGTGAATTCTCATGAGATCTGATGGTTTTATGAGGGGCTCCCCCCTGCCACACCGGCCCCCTTTGCTCATTCTTCTCCTTCCTGCTGCCAGGTGAAAAATGATGTATTTGCTTCCCCTTCCATCATGATTGTAAGTTTCCTGAGGCCTCCCCAGCCCTGCAGAACCATGAGTCAATTAAACCTCTTTCCTTCATAAATTACCCAGTGTCAGATATGTCTTTATTAGCAGCATGAGAACAAACTAATACAGTAAATTGGTACCAGGAGTGACATACTAGTATAAATATACCCCAAAATGTGGACGTAACTTTGGAACTAGGTAACAGGCAGAGGTTGGAACAGTCTGGAAGGCTCAGAAGAAGACAGAGAAATGTGGGAAAGTTTGGAACTTCCTAGAGACCTGTTGAATGGCTTTGACCAAAATGCTGATAGTGATGTGGACAATGAAGTCCAGGCTGAGGTGGTCTCAGATGGAGATGAGGAACTTGTTGGAAACTGGAGTAAAGGCCACCCTTGCTATGCAAAGAGACTGGTGGCATTTTCCCCCTGCCCTAGAGATCTGTGGAAATTTGAATATGAGAGAGAGAATTTAGGGTATCTGGCAGAAGAAATTTCTAAGCACCAAAGCGTTCAAGAGGAAGCAGAGCATAAAAGTTTAGAAAATTTGCACCCTGGCAATGCGATAGAAAAGAAAAACTCATTTCTTAGGGGGAAATTCAAGCCCATTGCAGAAATTTGCATAAGTAACGAGGAACCGAATGTTAATCACCAAGACAATGGGGAAAATGTCTCCAGGGAATGTCTGAGAACTTCACAGCAGCCCCTCCCATCAGAGGCCCAGGGGCTTAGGAGGGAAAAATGGTTTGGGGGACCAGTGCATCCCAGTTGCTTCAGTTCCACTTGTGGCTAAAAGGGGTCAATGTATAGCTTAGGCCATTGCTTCAGAAGATGCAAGCCCCAAGCTTTGGCAGCTTACAGGTGTTGAACCTGCAGCTGCACAGAAGTCAAGAATTGAGGTTTGAGAACCTCTGCCTAAATTTCAGACAATGTATGGAAACGCCTGGATGTCCAGGCAAAAGTCTGCTGCAGGGGCGGAGCCCTCAGGGAGAACCTCTGCTAGGACACTGAGGAAGGGAAATGTGGGGATGGAGCCCACTGCTGCACAGAGTCCCCACTGAGGCACTGCCTGGTGGAGCTGTGAGAAGAGGGTCATCATCCTCCACAGGGGTGGAGCTGCCCAAGTCTATGGGATTTCGGACTTGCATGTAGTTCCTTTGTTTTGGCCAATTTCTCCCATTTGGAATGGGTGTATTTACCAAATGCCTGTACCAAATGCCTGTATGTAGGAAGTAACTACTTGCTTAAAGTTCCAAAATGATCTCCTTTGACTCCATGTCTTACATCCAGGTCATGCTGATGCAAGAGGTGGGCTCCTCCTGGCCTCTCTTGGTCTGCCCTCCTCCACCCCTAACTTACCCTCCTCCCACTGAACCCTCCAAACACTTCCTGTATATTCTCTCCAGTATGAACTGCCCCCAGTGATCACTCATGGTCACTGTCTGATTGACATGGCAATGTCCTGATATTTACAAGGACATCAGCCCCTGTATCACAGTGACTCCTTCCCCTCCATCTGCCATCATTCTGGGAAACTTCCACATCCTGAGGAAAATTCACCTGGCACCTCTGTTCCTCAGTCTGGGGATGTTCTCCTTTACTTCATTTCAGCAGCCCACACCCTGGAGGCTGGCACCACCCAGGGCCATCCACTCTGATGTTGCAAATGCTGGAGTCTTCCTGCCAGCTGCAGCCTCCTAGCCCCGCAGCTCTCCTCCTGAACGCAGGACACATCCCCATTGACCTCCCTCACCTTCTCCAAGACCTCGCCCCTCCCACCTGGTCACACTGCTTTCCCTACAGAGCCCAGACCCCAAGGTCCATTTCCTGAACATCTCTAACCACATGCCCAGATCCCCAGACCCCATCTCAGAGAGTCCATCTTGTGGCAGCTCTGCCCTCCAGCATGCAAGCATGTTGGGGTATATCCTCCATAGAGCAGACACACAGACTTCACTCTCACCAAGGCCTCCAGCACCACTTAGGGCAGCCAGCTCTCCTTCAAGAATTGAAAACTTCAGTTGCCACATTCAACCCTCCCACCACATTTTGTCGCTGGGGACCTCATCTCGTAATTCATGGAGAAAAAAATAGAAGCCTTCTGATTGAAATCCCCTCACATTCATGCCCCCTTGCCTACAAGCAGTGGCCAAACGACTATTTCCCAATACCCATCCTCCTCTTTTTCATCTTGGGAGGATTTTAAGCTGTGCATGGGCACCAAAATAAAGACTACATTTGCAGTGGTGCAATCTCAGCTCACTGCAAGCTTTGCCTCCCGAGTTCACACCACTCTCCTGCCTCAGCCTCCTGAGTAGCTGGGACTACAGGTGCCTGCCACCACGCCTGGCTAATTTTTTTAAATGTTTTTTGTAGAGATGGGGTTTCACCGTGTTAGCTAGGATGGTCTCGATCTCCTGACCTCATGATCCACCCACCTTGGCACTTTGAGAGGCCGAGGCAGGTGGATCACTTGAGATCAGGAGTTCGAGACCAGCCTGGCCAACATGGTGAAACCCTGTCTCTACTAAAAATACAAAAATTAGCCGGGCATCATGGTGCATGCCTGTAATCCCAACTATTCAGGTGGCTATGGCAGCCTGGGTGACAGTGAGACTCTGTCTCAAAAAAAAAAAAAGACTACATTTTCCAGCATCCCCCTGCAGCAAAGTGTGGCTGAGGGCTAAGCTCTAGCCTATGTGAGATAAGTAAAAGTGATATATGTGTTTCTGGGTTTCTTCCTTAAAAGGAGGGTGTTGTACACTCTTTCCCATCTTCTTGCTAGCTGGAACATGAACATGATGGCTGGAGCAGGAGCAGCTGTATTGGTCTTGAGGTAAATCTGGAGACAGGTTATTCCCCTGGGAGCAACATAATAGAAGGAATCTGAGCTCCTCTCACCATGGAATCAGCCCCAAACTAATTTCTGGAGACTTCTTCAGCATGAGAGAGACACTCTCTGGTTGGAGCCCTGTTCCTTTTCCTTTTCCTTTGAATTTTCTATTCCTTAATCCTGCAGGGGCTGAGTCTTCTTCTCCTTCTCCTTCTCCTTCTCCTTCTCCTTCTTCTTCTTCTTCTTCTTCTTCTTCTTCTTCTTCTTCTTCTTCTTCTTCTTCTCCTTCTCCTTCTCCTTCTCCTTCTTCTTCTTCTTCTTCTTCCTTCTTCTTCTTCTTTCTTCTTCTTCCTCTTCCTCTTCCTCTTCTTCCTCTTCCTCTTCTTCTTCTATTTTTTTTGTTACATGAATGAGTTCTTTAGTGGTAGTTTCTGAGATTTTGGTGTAGCCATGACCTGAGCAGTGTACACCATACCCAGTGTGTAGTCTTTTATCCCTCACTCCCCTCCCACCCTTTCCTGCAAGTCTCCGAAGTCCATTATATCATTCTTATGCCTTTGTGTCCTCATAGCTTATCTCCCACCTATACATGAGAACATACAATATTTGGTTTTCCATTCCATCTCAGAGGCCTTCAAGCCCCCAGGCCTGGTTCCTACTCTATCAACTGCTCTCTGTCTCCAAAAGACTGTCCTTGCTAATGTCACCAAGGACCTCTATGAGCCAAATTTAGGACTTTTCAGCCTTCATTTGACTCCCAGTCCCTTCAATATTGAAGGCTGTTGACTACCCCTTCATTTGGAATCTCTCTGTCCCTTCTTTCATGTCCTCACACTCTCTCTGACTAGTCCTCCCTCAAGCTTCTCACAAGGAATGGCTTCCCTTTTCTTCATACTGCACACTACTGCAGGGTAAGTTAATCTAGCTCTTTGCAGGGAGCTGTGGACAGAGCTTGGACACACAGGCTGGGGCGTCTACACGTGCATGCAAGCTCTCAACACACAGGAAGGAACTGGAGGTGGGAAAATAACTCTCAGGCTGGTCATGATCTCTCAAACCAGAATTCCCTTCATGCCAGCTGCCTATGGAGCCTCTAGTCAGTCATTGTGATGGTCATGAGTGACCTCACTGAGTGCTGACTGTGAGCCAGGCTGAGTGATGCACTTTACGTGGATTATCACCCTCTGTGGAGTCCCACACTCCTGTGACTCAGGTGTTGTTACTTCCCTTCAAGGCATCAAGAAGTTAAGGGACTACCCAAGGCCACTGTAGCTAGTAAGTGGGGAAGGTGGGATTCACACCCAGGGGTCTTGCTCCAGAGCCTGGGCCTAAAACCACTCAATATCTTCAAACAAACCTCCTGCTCCTCTGTCAGCCCTTTGTATATCAGAGGTGCCATTATTCATGCCCTCAGAAAAGCCAGGGTCCTGGGAGGAGGGGTCCTCACCTCTCAGACAGGGTCATCACCTCTTACCTCTTTCTCCGACCCACATTCAGCCATCACTAAACCAGGCAAACCCCCATATCAGTAACTTTCAAATCCATTCCTGTTAGGGAATGAATGTTTGTTTCCCCCCTCCATTCCTGTGTTGAAGCTCTAACACTCACTGTGATGGTATTTGGTGATGGGGCCTTTGGAAGGTGATTAGGTTTAGATGAGGTCATGAAGGTGGGGTCCTCACAATGGGATTAGTGCCCTTATAAGAAGAGACTCCAGGGCTTCCTCTCTACCACATGAGGACAGAGTGAGAAGATGGCTGTCTGCAACTGCCCTAAGGGCCATCACAAGAACTCAACCGTGCAGGTCTTGATCTCAGACTTCCAGCCTCCAGAACTGTAAGAAATAAATGTCTGTTGCTTAAGGCCCCCAGCCTATGGTATTTTGTTATAGCAGCCTGAACTAAGACAATTCCCAGTCCCCACCCTCAGGATCCACACCACCACTTCCTTAGTTTGGGCCTCCATCAGATCATGCCAGGACTCTTTCCAGAGCTTCCTGTTAGGGACGGAATCACGTTCTTCCCAGAAATTCATATGCTGGTGTCCTGACTTGTCAGAACCTCAGAATGTGTTCTTATTTGGAAATAGGGTCATTGTAGATGTAATGAGTTAGGATGACGTCATAGTGGAGCAGGATAGGCCTCTAATCCAAGATGACTGCTGTCCTTATAAAAAGGGGAAACGCCATGTGAAGATTATGGATTTCTGCTGCCACAAGCCAAGTAACTACCAGAAGCCAGGAGAGAGGGCTGGAGCAAGGGAGCCTGGCCCTGACGACACCTTGATCTCAGACTTCGGGCCTCCATAATTGTGAGATGATCAGTTTCTGTTGTTCTAAGCCACCCAGTTTTCAGCACAGATGGTACCTGACTTACGATATTTCACTTAATGATTTTTCAACTTTACGATGTTGCAAAAGCAATGCACATTCAGTAGAAATCAGACTTCAGATATTATATTTTGATCTTTTCCCAGGCCAGCCATATGCAGTGCCATACTCTTTCACGGTGCTGCAGCCCAGCTCCCAGTCAGCCACATGGTCATGAGGGTGAACGGTTGTTGCCCTGCAGCCTGGTCCTGACTTTATTATAATTCTTAAAACCCACTGTTATGGATTGAATTCCCAACTACCCCACCCCCAACAAATTAATATGTTGAAACCCTAATCCCTAATGTGACTGTATTTGGAGACAGGGCCTTTAAGGGGTAATTAGGGTTAAATGAGGTCATAAGGGTGGGGCCCTAATGGAATAGGACTGCTGTGCTTTTTTTTTTTTTTTTCAAGATGTAGTTTCACTCTTCTTGCCCAGGCTGGAGTGCAGTGGCATGATCTTGGCTCACTGCAACTTCTGCCTCCTGAATTCAAGTGATTCTCATGCCTCAGCCTCCCGAATAGCTGGGATTACAGGTGTGTGCCACCACTCCTGGCTAATTTTGTATTTTTAGTAGAGACGGGGTTTCGCCGTGTTGGTCAGGCTGGTCTCAAACTCCTGACCTCAAGTGATCCACCCGCCTCGTCCTCTCAATGTGTTGGGATTACAGGCACGAGCCACCATGCCCGACCAGGACCGGTGTTCTTATAAGAAGAGAGAGACATCAGGAATGGGTGTGTACAGAGAAAAGGACACAGCAAGATGGTGGCCATTTGCAAGCCAAGGAGAGAGACCTCAGGAGAAACCAACCCGCCAGCACCTTGATCTTAGACTTCCAGTCTCCAAAATTGGGAGAAAATAAACGTTTGTTGTTTAAGACCCCAATCTGATATTTTGTAATGGCAGCCCTAGCAGACGAATACACCCACTGTACCATCTCTTTACCCCAGTAGACTATGAAACCCTTGGGGACAGGCACCATTTCTTCATCCCTCTGTATTTCAATGCCTAGCATAGTGTCTGGTACCTGGAAGATGGCCAAAAAATACTATCTGAAGGAATGGTCAATGAGCATGTGTGACTCTTACATGACAATATAATACTGGTCAAATGCCAGATCAGAACCTTGAGATGGCTCCCATGGAGTCATTAACATGCTCTAATTCACTAATTGAGGTAGCAATTGATCTGGGGCTGGAGTCAGGAAGGGATAGGTTACAGTGAAGTGTCAAATAGAACCTGTTCACTGAGTTCCCTTGGCCCAGTGCTTGATGACAGGATGTCAAACATTTTTATTCCCAAAAAGGTGGCTTCCTCAATCCTGTACATGAATTGGTGGCAGTGGGATGAACTAAGCGACCTCCGGCCTTCCCTCCTACTAAGTAAGTTCAGGTTCGAAGATGCTCCATCCCTGCCATTTCTGAACTCCTCTGGGTCTGGTTTTTAGGAAAAGGCACAGGATTTGCCCCCACAACCCCTGGGACAGTGGGAGAGAGTTGGGAGAAAATCTCTGCAGCTCTTCCTTGAGATGAGGGATGGACAGCGAGCAGGCTCTCTATCCCCCAAAGCCACATATCCTCCAAGTCTCACTCTGGACTGGGTTCACATCACTCTACAGAGGATTTATTGAGCATCTCCTGAATGTAAGGGCATGTGTCAGATGAGAGTGAGGGCCAGGATGCATAGAAATAAATGGAACCATAGCCTCAGGGAGTTGGGTGTGGGTGCCAGGGGCAGAAAGCTGGCCCTAGACACTGAAGGTGAAAGCTTTCAAATCACACCAGATATTCTATTTCTTAGCTAGAATGACTTTATAAGGTGTTTATTATTTGGTTACTCCATGGTACTGTTCATATAAGAGAAGTGGCATAAATGCTTGATTCTTTCCCTTTAATTACCAGGATCTAAGACAACGCATTGCTTCTCTGTCACCCTCCAAAAAAGACAAATTGGTTTGTGGGTTTTATTTTTTTAGTATTATTATTAACTCATGGGTTAAGCATTTGATAGATTTCAGTCCATTATAATTATTACCCTCATTGAAGCTCACATTGTCCCATTTTGGCTACTGGGAGCCTCTTCAAGTTGACTCCTGGGTCCTTTTGACATAACCTTTGTGGCTTAAGAAGTTCCTCTCTGTCTGGTATGATAAGATATTCCAGATTCCTCTCACAATATTTCTCTAAAAGCCTGGTTTATTTTTCATAGGAAAGGGTATTTCAGTGCTATAATCTTGGTCCTAGGAATGCTCACCGCATTTGGGTGGTCATTATGCCCAGATGTTTTTGGTCAACAGAACTAGAAAATAGAAATAAAATATGTAAATATTTTAAGATAAAATACCTCAACAGTTCATACGGGGTTTTCCAATTCAAATTCAATATTAGAATTTGGGGTTTTGTTGTTTTTTGAGACAGAATCTCACCCTGTCACCCAACCTGGAATGCACTGGCATGAACACAGCTCACTGCAGCCTCGACCTCCTGGGCCCAAGCAATCCTCTAACACTCAGCCTCCCGAGTAGCTAGGACCACAGGTGTGCACCACCATACCCTGCTTTTTTTTTTTTTTTTTTTAAGATACAGGGTCTCACTCTGTTGCCCAGGCTGGTCTCAAACTCCGGGCCTCAGACAATCCTCCCACCTCAGCCTCCCAAGGTGCAGGGATTACAGACATGAGCCACTACACCTGGCCCAATATTATAGAGTTTCTATTTAACATCTACTATATTACATCTGTATCTTCTTTCTTCCATGCCAAGAATTCTGGCATACACAGAGGATCAACTGATTAGAAATCTCATAAACACTCATTTGCTTTTTTCCACATTGTACACACAACAGTATCAGAATAGTCATACTAATACTATCACCACCGATATGATTATTGAAAATGTTTTAAAATATTTTTGATAAGCTCTTTCATTCTCCTTGTGCCCCCATTATTTTGAGGGATTGTACCATAATTACACAATCAGATCATATAACCATTACATTCTACAAGTATCTATATGTTAACATTCACCACCAGTCTTTACGCTGGTGTCTCTCTATTCTTTCTGGTTGTCTGAAGCTCCTCTAGTAGATTCCACAGGAAGGGGCAATGGAAACAATGTTCCCTGAGTTCCCACATGTTGGTAACAGTTTGTCTCTGCTTTTGTACTTAAAAGTCACCTTTGCTGGATATAAAATCCTTGGTTTACACTTTCTTTCATTGAAGATCTTAAATATGTTACTCCATTTTCTTCTGGCATGAAGTATTACTGCCTAAAAGTATGATAATAATCCAATTTTCTTTCACTTCTAACTTAAGGAGTTTTTTTGCCTAGATGACCAGAGAATTTTTATTTTTCTTCAAAGCCTAGTAATTTTCCTAGAGTATTGTGTGGAAAACACAAACTGTTTTTCCTCTGCTCCCATGCCACATCTAATAAAGAATACATCTATGACCAAATGTCTGTGGGTTTTTCCAGAACACCAAACAAGCAATCAATTCTGCAGCAGACGCCATCTGGGTGTCCACTAATTCAATTCTGACACTATCTACCTTGATACAGCATCAGATAACACAGGTTGAGCACTCAGTACGCAAAGACTGCTCCCCACTTTTGATGCCAATCACAAGCCCTAGGTTGTTTTACCTGTGCTTCTGACCAACTGACTATAAATTGGGGTTCCCATGAACCCGTCCTTGGGTTTGATTAATTTTCTTTTTTCTATATTTTTTCTTTTTCCATAAGTTATTGGGGTATGGATGGTGTTTGGTTGCATGAGTAAGTTATTTAGTGGGGATTTGTGAGATTTTGGTGCACCCATCATCCCAGCAGTATACACTGCACCCTATTTGTAATCTTTTATTCCTTGCCCACTCTCCCCCTTCCCCGCAAGCCACCAAAGTCCATTGTATCATTCTTATGCCTTTGTGTCCTCATAGCTTGGCTCCCACATGTCAGTGAGAACAAACGATGTTTGGGTTTCCATTCCTGAGTTACTTCACTTAGAATAATAGTCTCCAATCTCATCTAGGTTGCTGTGAATGCCATTAATTCATTCCTTTTTATGGCTTAGTATTCCGTTTTATATATATATATATCACAGTTTCTTTATCCACTCATTGATTGATGGGCATTTGAGTTGGTTCCATGATTTTGCAATTGCAAATTGTGCTGCTATAAACATGCATCTGCAAGTATCTTTTTCATATAATGACTTCTTTTCCTCTAGTAGTGGGATTGCTGGATCAAATGGTAGTGCTACTTTTAGTTCTTTAAGGACTCCCCACACTGTTTTCCATAGCGGTTGTACTAGTTTACATTCCCACCAGCAGTAGAGAAGTGTTCCCTGATCACCGCATCCACACCAGCATCTACTGTTTTTTGATTTTTTGATTATGACCATTCTTGCAGGACTAAGGTGGTAACGCATTGCAATTTGATTTGCTTTTCCCTGATTGTTGGTGATGCTGAGCATTTTTTCATATGTTTGTTGGGCATTTGTATACCTTCTTTTGAGAATTTATTCATGTTCTTAGGCCACTTTTTGATGGGATTGTTTGCTTTTTTCTTGATGATTTGTTTGAGTTCATTGTAGATTCTGGATATTAGTCCTTTGTCAGATGTATAGATTGTGAAGATTTTCTCCCACTCTGTGGGTTGTCTGTTTACTCTGCTGACTGTTCCTTTGCTGTGCAAAGGCTCTTTAGTTTAATTAAGTCCTAGCAATTTATCTTTGTTTTTATTGCATTTGCTTTTGGGTTCTTGGTCATGAAATCCTCGCCTAAGCCAATGTCTATAAGGGTTTGTCCGATGTTATCTTCTAGAATTTTTATAGTTTCAAGTCTTAGATTTAAATCCTTAATCCATCTTGAGTTGATTTTTGTATAAGGTGAGAGATGAAGGTCGAGTTTCATTCTCCTACATGCGGCTTGCCAATTATCCTAGCACAATTCGTTGAAAAGGGTGTCCTTTCCCCATGTTATGTTTTTGTTTGCTTTGTTGAAGATCAGTTGGCTGTAAGTATCTGGGTTTATTTCTGGGTTCTCTATTCTGTTCCATTGGCCTATGTGCCTATTTTTATACCAGCACCATGCTGTTTTGGTGACTACGGCCTTATAGTATAGTTTGAAATCAGGTAGTGTGATGCCTCCAGATATGTTCTTTTTGCTTAGTCTTGCTTTGGCTATGTGGGCTCTTTTTTGGTTCCATATTCTAAAACAATTTTTTTAACTGTGAAGAATGATGATGGTATTTTTAGGGGAATTGCATTGAATTTGTAGATTGCTTTTGGCAGTATGGTCATTTTCACAATATTAATTCTGCCCATCCATGAGCATGGGATGTGTTTCCATCTGTTTGTGTCATCTATGATTTCTTTCAGCAGTGTTTTTTAGCTTTCCTTGTAGAGGTCTTTCATCTTCTTTGTTAATATTCCTAAGTTTTTTTTTTGTTTTTTTTTTGTTTTGTTTTGTTTGTTTGTTTGTTTTGCAGCTATGTAAAAGGGGTTGAGTTCTTGATTTGTCATAGGTGGCTTTTGTTACATTGAGGGAAGTCCCTTGTATGCCAGTTTTGCTGAGTTTTAATTGTAAAGTGATGCTGGATTTTGTTGAATGTTTTTTCTGCATCTATTGAGATAATCGTGTGATTTTTGTTTTTAATTCTGTTTATGTGCTATACCACATTTATTGACCTTTTGTGCAGGTATATCTTTCTGGCATGCTTTTTTTGTTTGTAGTAATATTATTCTCCCCCTTATTCTCTTTTTTCTTACAATACTTTGGGGTTGTTTGTTTGTTTGCTTTTTGAGACAGTCTCACTGTGTCACCCAGGCTGGAGTGCAGTGGCACAATCATGTCTCACCACAGACTTGACCTCCCAGACTCAGGTGATCCTCCCACCTCAGCCTCCTGAGTAGCTGGGACTACAGGCACCCACCACCATGCACAGATAGTTTTTGTGTTTTTAGTAGAGACGGGGTTTTGCCGTGTTGCCCAGGCTGGTCTCAAACTGCTGTGCTCAAGAGATCCACTTGCCTCGGCCTCCCAAAGTGCTGGGATTACAGGCATAAGCCACCACACCCAGCCTATAATACTTTTGAATAAGATTTGACCTCAGTATTTCTTATTTATTTTTATGTGAAATTAGTTTTCCTGAACTTTTAGAAAAAGCAATAGTCAAGGTATTTTCTATGACTACATCAGTCTCTTCTGTTGTGTCTACATAGTGTTAAAAATATAGTGGCTTGCTTGCTTAGATTTCCTAGTTCTGTTTCCCTTGCTCCATTTTTACCTAGATCAGCTCTTTACTTCATCTTTATTTTTCCTGTTCCGAGCAGTTTTTATTCCAATCCCAGCTTTAATCCTGTCTAGTTATAATCTTCATATTCCTATGTTAGAGTTGTTGTAAGAGATCACTTTGGAATTTTATAAGTAGTATTTTTAGCATTTATTGACAGAATTATGTGATCTTTGTCTTTAAAGTATCCTTCATTTATGTTGACAGATTTCCTACTTTTAAACTGTGTGCACTGAGAATGTTTGCATATATATATATATATATATATATATATATATATATATAGAGAGAGAGAGAGAGAGAGAGAGAGAGAGAGAGAGAGAGAGTCTCACTCTGTCACCTAGGCTGGGCACTGCAACCTCTGCCTCCCAGGCTCAAGAGATTTTCATTTTCAGCCTCAGCCTCCCAAATAGCTGGGATTACAGGCACACACCACCACCCCTGGCTAATTTTCATATTTTTAGTAGAGATGGGGTCTCACTATGTTGGCCAGGCTGGTCTCGAACTCCTGACCTCAAATGATCCACCTGCCTCCAACTCCCGAAGTGCTGGGATTACAGGCGTGAGCCACCACACCCAGCCACATCTATATTCTTAAGTGAAATTGGTCTATAATTTTTTAGGCCATTTTACGGACTTTAGGTCTATAATATTTTGGGAACTTACTCATCAGATTTTGTTATTAAGGTCATGTTTGCTTTATAAAGTGGCTAGCAATGTTTTTCAACCATCTGGAATAATTAGAATAACAAAGTTTCCATTTTGTTAAAATTTGATAAGGACTCAACAGTTCTTCTATCTCCTGGGCCCACACTAGACTAGAGTTCTCAGCTTTGCTTGTTGTTAGGGTACCATGTGACTGAGTTCTGGCTAATGGAACAGGGCAGAAGCAGATCCTTTCCAGACCTGAGGCATAGGAACCTTCAATTTTCCATCCTCTTTGCATCTTCTTTTGCAATGACCTTGGAACCATCTGTTAAAGATAGTAGATATCCATCAACCAATGAGTGGATAAAGAAAATGTGAGATACCTATATATAAACACACACACACCATGGAATATTACTCTGCCATAAAAAAGAATGAAATAATGGCATTTGCAGCAACCTGGATGGAGCTTGAGACCATTATTCTAAGTGAAATAACTCAGGAAAGGAAAACCAAATGTCATGTGTTCTCACTTATAAGTGGGAGCTAAGCTATGAGGATGCAAAGGCATAAGAATGATAATGGACTTTGGGGACTTGCGGGGGAAGGGTGGGAGGGGGGTGAGGAATAAAAGACTACACATTGGGTACAGTGTACACTGTTTGTATGATGGGTGCACCAAAATCTGAGAAATCACTAAAGAATTAATCCACGTAACCAAAAACCACCTGTTCCCCAAAAATGATTGAAATAAAGTAAACTAATAAAAAAATAAAGATAGTAGACACATAAGATGGGAGTAACATGGAATCTTGAAATACCATTGGGAGATTGTCACCTAACAATGAGAAACATTGTTTTGGTCTTTATGTGAGTAGAAGGTAAACTTCCATTGTGCTAAGCCCCTGAGATATAAGGAGGGAAGTTACAGAAGTTAATATTACCTTATTAATAGTATAGAGAGCTGTAAAATCATCCAGAGTTGATACATTTCTAAGTCATGGATTTTCTAACAGTTTAATTGAGATATAATTCATATGCCATACAATTCACCTATTTAAAATGTACTGCGCAATTGATGGCAGTGGGTACTTCAGATGGCTGGGCCAGCTGCTATCACACTTGCTGCAGCGGGGATGAGCCATGGGGTTGCACCTCCATGGAGCCAGTGGGAGCCAAAAACAAGTGGGGGCCCTGCTCCTTCTGAGTTGCGGTGGGAATTCTCCAGGTGCCACTGCAGCCACCCAAACTGTAGCTGCAGACTCAGGCATCACTGTACTCTTGGGAACCCGGGAAGGACTCACTTCCCTTGCAGGCTCAGAAGTGCCTGCTCCCACTGCCTGGCTTCTCCCTGCTGTTGGCACCCACTCCAATCTTGGAGAAAATCTGGCAGAGCCGGGGCACCATGAACAGCAGACAAATTCCTGGGCAGAAGGGGGCGGATTCCCAGTGAGGCCCCACCTTCAGGCCAGGGAGGGTCTGAAAGCTGGGGGCTGGGTTGCCGGTCCCACGGACTGGAGTGGGAACTTGTGGTGCCTTTTCCAGGCCCGCCTATGGCTGCCCATGGACCGATCAGCATATACTTCCTCCCCTCTGAGGCCCATAAAAGCCCTAGGCTTAGCCAGAGCTGAGCATGAGACGGGGCAAACAGCTGCAAAGAGGGGCAATCTACTCCAGGGTCTCCTCTCTGCTAGCAGCTCAGCATTCTCATCAGGGCACCCTCATCAGGATACCCTGGCTGCGGAAAGCAGCTATCCTCTGTGGGGCTTCTGTGAGCTGTTCCATTGCTCAATAAAACTCCTCTTCACCTTGCTCATCCTCCACTTGTCTGCATATCTCATTCTTCCTGGTCACAGGACAAGAACTTGAAAGCCACTGAATGGTGGGGCTAAAAGAGCTGTAACCAATAGGGCTGAAACTGTAACACCAACAGGGCAGGCCCCTTGCCTGCCATGTTGTGGGTGAAGAGGAGAGAAGAGCTGCCACCCTAAAAGAGCTGTAACACCAACAGGGTTGAAACTGTAACACAAACAGGGTGGGCCCCTTGCCCACCATGTTGTGGGCGAAGAGGAGAGAAGAGCTGCTGCCCTTTAGGGAGCCCAGACCTGGGAGCTCCCCAGCCAGAGCTGGGTATCCCTCTTTGGGGTCCTGCAGTGCCTGGCGTCTCCAAGTTTCCAGGTGACACTGCATTCCCCAATGCCAGCCAGGGAAGCTGCTTGCAGTGCGCCTGCCCCAGCCACAGCGTCACAGAAACATGGCACCTGAAGCTGCCTGCCCCGCGGCAGCAGCCAGTGTCCAACTGTGCACAGTGACCAGACTCCACGCTTGCTCACATACTCCTGGCCGCTCCACACCTGATTGGCCCTTGGTAGGCATGGGATCCGGGCGGATAGCATGAGTGCAGTGCGCCAGGCCAAGTGAGCCCGAGCAAAACTTGGGCAAAAGCACCACTGGCCACAGAGGTTTCCAGCCAGAAGAGTGACACCCCAAAGATCCCCCAACACAATGGTTTTTAGTATATTCAGATATATATAACCGTCATCAAAGTAAATTAAAACATTTTCATCACCTCAAAAAGCAGCTCCATATCCTTTAGCTGTCACCCCCCTAATTTTCCTATCCCCACCCACAGTCCCAAGCAATCATGAATCTACCTTCTGTCTCCATAAACTCTTATGCTACACATTTCATATGAATCTAAACACATAGTTCTGTGGTCTTTTGCAATTGGCTTATTTCATTTAGCATAATGTTCTAAAGCAAGCTTGTCTGACCCATGGCTAAAAGGTTGCATGCAGCCCAGGATGGCTTTAAATGTGGCCCAACACATATTCCTAAACTTTCTTAAATTTTTTTTTTTTTGAGATGGAATTTCGCTCTCGTTACCCAGGCTAGAGTCCAATGGTGCGATCTCGGCTCACTGCAATCTCTGCCTCCTGGGTTCAAGTGATTCTCCTGCCTCAGCCTCCCGAGTAGCTAGGATTACAGGTATGCACCACCACGCCCAGCTAATTTTGTAGATTTAGTAGAGACAGGATTTCTCCATGTTGGTTAGGCTGGTCTTGAACTCCTGATCTCAGGTGATCTGCCTGTCTCAGCCTCCCAAAGTGCTGGGATTACAGGCATGAGCCACTGTGCCCGGCCAACTTTCTTAAATTTTTTAGCTCATCAGCTATCACTAATGTTAGTGTATTTTATGTGTGGCCCAAGACAATTCTTTTTCCAACGTGGCCCAGGGAAGCCAAAAGTTTGGACACCCCTGTTTTAAAGGTTCATCCAGTGCTGTAGTATGTATTAGAATTTCAGTACCTTTTATGGCCAAATAACATTCCACTGTATGGACATAACACAACTTATTTATCCATTTGTTCATTGATGAACATTTGGGTTGTTTCTGGTTTTTGATCACCATGAATAATGTTGCCATAAACATTTGTGTACAAATTTTTCTGTGAACATATGTTTTCATTTCTCTTAGGCATATACCTAGGAATAAAATTGCTGTGTCATATGGAAACTCTATATTTAATCATTTGAGTAACTGCCAGACTGTTTTTCAGAGTGGCTGCACTATTTTACATTCCCAACTGCAATGTATAAAGGTTCCAATTTCTCCATATTCTCACCAATGCTTGCTATAATCTGGCTTTTTTTTTTTTTTTTTTTTTTTTGAGACAGGGTCTCACTCTGTCACCCAGGTGGTACAGTGGTGTAATCATGGCTCATAGCAGCCTCAACCTCCCAGTCTCCAACAATCCTCCCATCTCAGTCTTCTGAGTAGCTGGGACTACAGGCATGCACCACCACACTGGGCTAACTTTTATTTTTGTAGAGACAGGGTCTCACTATATTGCCTTGCTGGTCTCGAATTCCTGGGCACAGGCCATTTGCCCACCTCAGCCTCCAGAAGTGCTGGGATTACAGGCATGAGCCATAGTGCCCAGCTATCTGGCTTTTTCATTCTAGCCATCCTAGTGGATGTGAAGTAGCATTTCATCGTAGTTTTAATTTGCATTTCTCTGATGATGTTGACAATTTGGCGATTTGTTTATCTTCCTTGGGGAAATATCTTTTCAGGTTCTTTGCCCAATTTTTAATTGAGTTGTCTTTTTATTATTGAGTTGTACTGAGTCATAGACTTTTAATCACATTTTAATCTTGCATATGGTTACAGACCTATTTGCGATATTTTTAAAATTAGTTTTGATAACATAATCTTCTAGAAAATGATTCACTCCTCTAGTTTTTTCAAATCTACTGCCATAGAGTTGCACATTATACTCACCTATAATTCTTTTCATCTCTTCAATATCTGTGGTTATATCATATCTCTTCTTCCTAATATTGTATATTTTAGCTTCTTTTCTACTCTCTCAATCTTATCCGGGCTTGTTTGGGGGCGAACTCTTTATCTTTTATAGAAGATAAAGTTTGGTTTTATTAAATTTTTTCACCAATTTTTCTTTTCTATTTATTTCAATATTTATCTTTTAGAAATTCCCTATAGTGTCTTGTCTATTTTATTCCTTTTATTATTATTCTTTTCTTCAGATACATCAGATAGGAGCTTAATATTGTTCATCAGTGTTAATCATCAGTGTTTCTTTATCTTAGGTTGAATAGTTTTTTTTTTTTTTGAGACAGAGTCTTGCTCTGTCTCCCAGGCTGGAGTGCAGTGGTGCGATCTCAGCTCACTGCAGCCTCTGCCTCCCAGGTTCCAGCAATTCTCCTGCCTCAGCCTTCTGGGTAGCTGGGATTACAGGCGCACACCACCATGCCTGGCTAATTTTTATATTTTTAGTAGAGACGGGGTTTCCCCATGTTGGCCAGGCTGGTCTCGAACTCCTGACCTCAGGTGATCTGCTGGCCTCAGCCTCCCAAAGTGCTGGGATTACAGGCGTGAGCCACTGTGCCTGGCCAGGTTGAATACTTAATTAACTTTGTTTAAAGTCTTCTTTTTTTTTTTTTTTTTTTAAGAGATGAGGTTCTTGCTATGTTGCCAAGGCTGATCTTGAAGTCCTGAGCTCAAGCAATCTCTCATCTCAGTTGCACCAAAATACTGGGATTACAGGCATGAGCCTGGTTTAAGTCTTTTATTCTAAATAAAAAAAAATCTTTATGTCTATATATTTTCTTTAGTGAAGAGTTTTAAATGCATCCTGTAAGTTTTATATAATTTGTTCTCCTTTTGTTGATAATTTTAAATTTCACATTTTATGAACTCTAAAAATACAGAGGTTATTTAATAGTGTTTATTCATGCCTGTAATCCCAGCACTTTGGGAGGCTGAGGTAGGAGAATCACTTGAGGCCAGGACTTCATGAACAGCCTGGACAACAGAGCTAGGCTTGTCCCTTTTAAAAAAAAGATGTATATAGGCCAGGCACGGTGGCTCACACCTGTAATCCCAGCACTTTGGGAGGCTGAGGCCGGCGGATTGCCTGAGGTTAGGAGTTCGAGACCAGCCTGGCCAACATGGTGAAACCCTGTCTTTACTAAAAATACAAAAATTAGTGGGGCGTGGTGGCAGGAGCCTGTAATCCCAGGTACTTGGGAGGCTGAGGCAGAAAAATAGCTTGAACCTGGGAGGCAGAGGTTGCTGTGAGTGGAGATTGCACCATTGCACCCCAACCTGGGTGACAAGAGCGAGACTTCGTCTCAAAAAAAAAAAAAAGATGCATATATATATATAATCTTGTTATTTTAATTATTCAACCCCAATTTCCTTGTCTATTTTTTTTGTCTACTGAATTGTCGAATTCTGAAATTTATGTTTAGATCACCCACTATGATTGTAGTTTTCCTTTTTTTTTTTTTCTAGTTTGCAAGTTCTGTTTGTAGCTTTAAAATATGTTATTGTGCTTACTTAACTGCTGCATAGTTTGGCACATGCAGGCTTATGGCTGTTTTGTGTTCTTCACGAAGAAGGAGTTTTTCTAGAAATGGGTATTGGATTTGATCTTTTTGTTTGTTTGTTTTTTGTTTTTGTTTTGAGACAGAGTCTCACTCTGTCACCCAGGCTGGAGTGCAATGGTGCAATCTCAGCTCACTGCAACCTCCGCCTCCTGGGTTCAAGCGATTCTCATTCCTCAGCCTCCTGAGTAGCTGGGATTACAGGCGCACCACCATGCCCAGCTAATTTTTGTATTGTTAGTAGAGACGGGTTTCACCATGTTAGCCAGGCTGGTCTTGAACTACTGGCTTCCAGTGATCCACCCACCTCGGCCTCCCAAAGTGTTGGGATTATAGGTGTGAGCCACCATGCCCAGCTGGATTTGATCTATGGATACGCTATAACTAAATCTCCTAATACTGAACCATCAGGACTGAGGGCCACACTGATTTTGTTAATTTGTGTGTAACCTTTATTTCCTACTTATATTCTGAGATAATTCTTTTTTATTCCTGAAACATCATAAAACAGAGATGTTTATGTTAAAATACTTATCAATATATATCTAGTTGTAGATTTCCTTCTTTAAATTTTGTTGAATACAGAGTGAATCCTGATTCTACACATTCACCCCATCCCCTTTCCTTTGACAAGTCTAAAAGTATAGAAAAAGGACCCCAAATAGCCAATCCAATCCTGGCAAAGAGGAATAAAGTTGGAGGGCTGACACTTCCTAATGTCAAAACTTACTACAAAGCTACAGTAATCAAAACCATTTGGTACTGGCCTAAGGACAGACATACAGACCAACTGAATAAAGTACAGAGCCCGGAAATAAAACTTATTTATGGCCAATGAGTTTCCAAAAGGGTGTCAAGGATGTTTGTTCATCCAGCGCCTGACAATCCACAGCCATGGCTGGGCCAGGGGCAGCTTTCCACCGGCGTGGGTGCCTCGTCCAGAGCTGGGGCCCTTGGCTTGGCTTCCTATCGGGTACATGACACCCAATTCCCAGATGCCTCTGGGAAGGAGCTCTTTGACAAGGCCAACAAGTACCACTTCTTACACAGTCTGGCCCTGTTAGGGGTGCCCTCTTGCAGAAAGCCCCTTTGGGCCAGGTTACTGCTAGCCTCTGGAATGACCTTATTCTTCACCAGCTTTTACTACCAGGCTTGGGGTGGAGACCCCAGCATCCAGACTTTGGCCCCTGTGGGAGGGAGCCTGCTACTCTTGGGCTGGCTTTCTTTGGCTCTTTGAGTTCCCTTTTGTTTAATTACTGGGTTTTGGGGGCAATTTTTTGAGAGTTGGAGCAGAAAAAGGATTAAAAGGGAAAGGCAAATAACAAACAAACAAAACAAAATGGTGCCCAGACCATTCAAAGGAAAAAGGACAGTCTTTTAAATAAATGGTGAGAAAACTGGATATCCACATGCAAAGAACAATTACTTTACCCCATATACAAAAATTGGATATACACAAAACTCAAAATGGACCAAAGACCTAAATGTAAGAGCTAAAACTATAAAACTCTTAGAAGAAAACACAGGGGAAAATCTTCCTGACATTGGATTTGGTGATGGTTTCTGGGATATGACATCAAAAGTACAGGTGACAAAAAAAATAGATAAATTGGACTTCATCAAAATTTAAAACTTTTGTGTATCAAAGGACACTATCAAGCAAATGAAAAGACAACCTGCAGAATGGGAGAAAATATTTGCCAATCATATATCTCAGCGGTCCCCAACCTTTTTGGCACCAGGGACCAGTTTCATGGAAGATAATTTTTCCATGAATGGGGGTTGGATGGAAGGGGATGGTTTCGGAATGAAACAGGCATTAGGGTCTCATAAGGAGCATGCAGCCTAGTTCCCTTGAATGCACAGTTCACAATAGGGTTTGCATTCCTATAAGAATCAAATGCCACCACTGATCTGACAGGAGGCAGAGCTCAGGTGGAAATGCTTGCTCACCCGCTGCTCACCTCCTGCTGTGCAGCCTGGTTCCTAATAGACCATGGACCAGTACCTGTCTGTAGCCTGGGGGTCAGAGACTCCTGATATATCTGATAAGTGATTGATATCTAGAATATATAAAGCATTCCTACAATAAAAAAAAAAAGCAATCTGGTTCAAAAATGGATAAAAGACTTAAATTGACCTTCTTTTTTTTTTTTTTTTTTTTTTTTTGAGACAAGGTCTTGCTCTGTTGCCCAGGCTGGAGTGCAGTTGTGGGATCATGCCACTGCGCTCACTGCTCACTGCAGCCTTGACCTCCCCAGGCTCAAGTGATCCTCCTACCTCAGCCTCCCCAGTAGCTGGGATGACAGGCATTGCCACCACACCCAGCTAATTTTTTTTGTATTTTTAGTAGAGACAGGGTTTTGCCATTTGTCCAGCTGGTTTCAAACTCCTAGGTTCAAATGATTTGCTCACCTCAGCCTCTCAAAGTGCTGGGATTATAGGTGTGAACCACCATGTCTGGCCCCAAATTAACTTTTCTTCAAAGAAGATATACAAATGGCCAATAAGCACATGAAAAGATGCTCAACATCACAAGTCCTTAGAGAAATGCAAATCAAAACTAGGACATACCACTTCACACCCATTAGGTTGGCTGTTGTATCAGGGTTCTCTAGAGAAATAGAACCAATGTCATATAGAGAGATATACAATAAAGGAGATCTATTACAGGAATCGGTTAATGTCATTATGGAGGCCAAGAAGTCCCCAGTCTGCCATCTGCAAGCTGAAGAACCAGAAAGCTGGTGATGTAATTCAGTCTGAGTCTGAAGGCCTGAGAAGCAGGGAGCTAATGTTGTAAGTCCTGCTCTAAGTCTAAAAGGCCAAGAGATAGGAGCACCGATGTCCAGGTGCAGAAAAAGATGATGTCTCAGCTCAAGCAGGAAAAATGAATTTGCCCTTCCTCTGCTTTTTTTCTTTTATTTTTAATTGTATTTATTTTATATATTTATTTATTTATTCATTTTTGATACAAAGTCTTGCTCTGTCACCCAGGCCAGAGTGCACTGGTGTGATCTTGGCTCACTGCAACCACGCCTGGCTAATTTTTGTATTTTTAGTAGAGACAGGGTTTCTGGCCATGTTGGCCAGGCTGGTCTCAAACTCCTGACCTCAAGCGATCTGCCCGCCTCAGCCTCCGAAAGTGCTGGGACTACAGGTGTGCACCACCACACCTGGCTAATTTTTGTATTTTTAGTAGAGACAGGGTTTCGCCATGTTGGCCAGGCTGGTCTTAAGCTCCTGACCTCACATGATCTGCCTGCCTCAGCCTCCCAAAGTGCTGGGATTACAGGCGTGAGCCACCACACCTGGCCTCCTCTGCCTTTTTGTTTTATTCAGGCACTCAAAGAATTGGAGGATGCCTGCCCACGCTGGGGAAGGAGATCTTCTTTACTCAGTCTACTGATTCAAATGCTAATCTCTTCTGCAACACACTCACAGACACACTCAGAAATAATGTTTTACCAGCTATCTGGGCAGCCCTCAGCCCAGTCAGGTTGACACATGAAATTACCTATCACAGCTATTGTCCAAAAAAAAAAAAAAAAGGAAAATAACAGGTGTTGGCAAGGGTGTGGAGAAACTGGAATTCTTAGGCATTGTGGGTACAAATGTAAAACAGTGCAACCACTATGGAAAACAGCTCAGCAGTTCTTCAAAAAGCTAAATGTAGAATTACCATATGACCAGCAACTCCACTTCTAGATGTATACTCCCAAAAAGAACCAAAAACAGAAACTCAAACAGATATTTGTAAATCAACATTCATGGCAACATTGTTCATAATGGCCAAAATGTAGAAATAACCCAAATGTCCATCAATAGATAAATGGATAAACATAATGTGGTATATGCATACAATGGATTTTTTTGTTTGTTTGTTTTTGAGACAAGGTCTTGCTCTGTCGCCCAGGCAGGAATGCAATGATGCAATCTCGGCTCACTACAACCTCCACCTCCCAGGTTCAAGTGATCCTCCCACCTCAGCCTCCCGAGTAGCTAGGACTACAGGCATATGCCACCACGCCTGCTAATTTTTGTATTTTTTGTAGAGATGGGGTCCCCTATGTTGCCCAGGCCAGTCTCAAACTCCTGGACTCAAGCGACCTGCTTCTGCCTCTGAAAGTGCTGAGATTACAGGTGTGAGCCACCAACCCAGCCAGAAATATTCCTCAGCCATAAAAAGTAACAAAATTCTGACACAAATGCTATAACATGGGTGAATCTTGAAATCACTATGCTAAGTGAAATAAGCCAGGCATAAAAGGACAAATATTGTGTGATTCCATTCTTGTGTGGAGCCTAGAAAAGGCAAATTCATAGAGACAGAAAATAGAATAGAGGTTACAAGGACTGAGGGAGGGGGAAGTGGGGATGTATGGCTGAATGGGTGAAGAGTTTCTGTTTAGGATGAAGAAAACATTCTGGAAATGTATAGGGGCAATGGTTGCACTACATGGTGAATATATTTAATGGCACTGGACTGTACACTTAAAAATGGTTAAAATGGGGCTGGGCACAGTGGCTCATGCCTATAATCCCAGCACTTTGGGAGGCCAAAGCGGGCAGATCACCTGAGTTCGGGACTTCAAGACCAGCCTGGCCAACATGGAGAAACCCCATCTCTACTAAAAATACAAAATTAGCCGGGTGTGGTGGCACACGCCTGTAATCCCAGCTACTCGGGAGGCTGAGGCAGGAGAATTGATTGAACCCGGGAGGCAGAGGTTGCGGTGAGCCGAGATCACGCCATTGCACTCTAGCCTGGGCAACAAGAGCAAAACTCTCAAAAAAAAAATGGTTACAATGGTAAATTTTATGTTATGTATTAATATATTTAGCACAATAAAAAAAATTCACCAAAAAGTAGAGAAAGCTACTGAGAATAACATACATTTCCATCTATGGATATCCCTAATGAACAAATATTTACATTTGAACATTTTTGTTTCTGATTTTTAAAGAAAATAAATAAAGCTGTACAAAGTCAAATATCATTTGATCCACAGGCGCATTTCCTTTTCCCTTTACAGAGTCTCATGAATTTGATATATCTCTTTCTAGTTTTTATTTTTTACTTTTCTTCTTATAGACATCCATAAGCAATATATTATTTTTTTTGAGACAGGGTCTCCCCTCTGTCACCTAGGCTGGAGTACAATAGTGCAATCACTGCTCACTGCAGCCTCGACTTCCTGGGCTCAGAAGATCCTCCCACCTCAACCTCCCAAGAACATGGGACTACAGGAGCACCCCACCACGGCCAGATAGTTTTTTTATTATTATTATTTGTAGAGACAGGGTCTCCCATTGCCCAGGCTGGGCTTAAACTCCTGGGCTCAAGCAATCCACCTGTCTCAGCCTCCCAAAGTGCTGGGATTACAGGCCTGGGCCACCGCGCCCAGCCCTACGTATCACTATGCAACTAGCTTTTCTCCTCAGCATTGTGTTCTTGAGCATGGATACATGGAACTTTAGTTCCTTCATTTAAATAGCTGTATACTATTCCACGCAGAAGCATACCACAGTCCTCCCATTTTTCACTATTATAAACAGTGCTGCAACAGACACCCTCGTGACCGTCTCTTAGAGCACCTATGTGACTGTCTCTAGGGCTCATCTGTGGGCAGTGAGTGGGCCACAGGCAGTTGAGTTTCTAATCCCCTAAGCCCAGGGCCTGGGTGCCTCCTCCCTTTACCCAGGAAACTCATAGATACCATGTTTCTCTATAAGCATTGAAGACATTGGGAAGGACTGCCACAGGAGTTGCACATTGTTAATTTTACTGAGTTCTTTTACTTTTTAAAATCAAGAGTTTATGGCCGGGTGCGGTGGCTCACGCCTGTAATCCCAGCACTTTAGGAGGCCAAGGCAGGCAAATCACGAGGTCAGGAGTTCGAGACCAGCCTGGCCAATATGTTGAAACCTCATCTCTACCAAAAATACAAAAATTATCTGGGCATGGTGGTGTGCGCCTGTAGTCCCAGCTACTCAGGAGGCTGAGGCAGAAGGATCGCTTGAACCCACGAGGTGGAGATTGCAGTGAGCAGAGATCACATCACTGCACTCCACCTTAGTGACAGAGCGAGATTCTGTCTCAAGAAAAAGAAAAAAAATCAAGAGTTTACTTCTTTAATAACTTCTATTTATTCCTGTTTCCTTTACTCTGGGGTGGCGGGGGTGTTGGTAGAGGGAGGGCATGGCAGGCACTCGGGTGAGACACCCGTGACCCTTGTCCTTGTGTGTTCTCAGTGATGCTCTGTCCATAACCTTTTCCTTTGCATTCTTTGCACATTTCTCCATCTGGCCCTTTGATATCTTGCATTTGATTTTTACATTTTCAGATCTGCTATTCATTGCGTTCAATGCAAATTGAAGTCAGTTACTGTATTTTTTGTTTATCACTGTCTCCTACCACGGATTGTCCTTATCTAATAGAAGTATTCTCTGTACCCTACATACAGCCTGAAGTACACATATTCTGTCTTTGCCAATGCAATGTAGAACTGAGGAAGGGTGTACTCTGAGTTGTGTGTCCAGTCAACAAAGATTTATTGAGCACCTACTATGTGTCTTGGGAGGTGCAGGAGCTACAGTGATCGTAAGACGCAATCCTCGCCCTCTTGTTCTCCTTTCCCTGTAGCTACCCCCTTTCCCATGGGCCCAGTTTTCCTCCTGGTGGCTCCTCTAATGGAGAGTTATTTCCACAGGGCATTGGATGCATGGGTTGCCCTGGCTCCCACGCAGGCCCCTCAAACCCTGGCAGAGCCCTCCTCACAGAGCCAAGGCAGGGATATTGGGGCGTGTGGTGCCAGCCGGGTCCTGGCCAGGGTAACATTCTCCACAGGCCCGTTCCCCTCCGGGTGTGAGTCCTTCTGATCCCCCAGGCACCATGGACCAGGAGCCTCTGGGTGTCTCTGCTGCTCTGTGGTGGAACCTGTGTCCTGCTCTCACTGCCCACTCTCTATCCAGGTGGCTCCTCTCATGGGAGTTGGTTTCTGAGACCCACTTTTGCTGCCAGCAAGGCCCAGATGATGCTGAGGGGCCCTCCACCGACTTGCCCAGAGGTTCCCCAGTGGAGCCCTTGTCAGCCTCAGGAGGGCAGCTAAGGCCAGTCATAAAAACCTCCTTCAGGGGGCCGAGCCCCCGGCAGCTCCTTGCTGATGGTGTTGGTCTGGGCCCCTGCTAGAAGCTGCTCCAAGAACTGCCTCAAGCGCAGGCTTAGCTTCTCAAGTTGATGTGGATATTTTCTATTTGTGTGATTTCTCTGGGTTTTTCCACTGGATATTGGGGCTGGGGGCAGCCCTGGCATGGTGACTTTGGCAGATGGAGGAGAAGACACAGGAGCAGCGAGAGGAAGGGAGAGCGCAGCCACCAGCGAGGTGACAGGTGACATCAAAGGGCACCCGTACACCTGGCACAGCCACTCCCTGAGCCATTACACCTGGAAAGCCTTAGATGCCCCTTCTGGAGAGGAGAAGGCAGAGGTCAGAGAGGGACAAAGGTTTGGCCACAGCCTATAAGGAGTCCAACATGCTGAGCCTGGCCCTCTGGGGCTCACACATGGGATCCAGTGAGCCCACTGAGTCCTGGGGGCCCAGACAGTGCAGGGGCCACAGCTCCAGGCCATTTCCATTCCCTGGGTTGGCACCTGCTTAGTGAGCACCCCTTATGTCCCAGGCACCACAACCTCATCTCTCAGGAGACAGCAGAGCAGAAAGCAGATCACCATCCCACCCCTCAGTGGGGGAGACTGACCATACAAAAACGAATCAGTGAAATGGATACCCTCAGTGATTGCAGTTTATTATCATGACCTGTTACTATATAGCCTGTTCAGTGCAAGGGCAAGTGCTGGGGGAGGGGTGGGTGCTGAGCCCTCGCAGGGGCTAAGAACTTTCCATGCATGATCCCATGTCCTCCTCACAGAGACCCGGCCAAGTGGGGATCATCCTCTTGCTTTTGCAGATGAAGAACCTGCCCTCCAGAGCCCTAGTACTCCCACTTCTCATTCTGGCATCTAAGTCATGGCCACCCTCCCCAGCCTCAGTCCAGGCCCCTCTGCAGCTGTCTAAAGACCGAGGCCTCCCTCTGGTGGCCACATGATGCCCAGGTGGAGGCACTGCTGGGGCACTTCACCTCAGATCCTATTGGTGGGGGAAGGAGGCAGCACTGGCCCTGATCCTATTCAGCTACTCAGATGCAGGCAGAGTGGTTCAAATCCTGGTTCTTCCATTTATTCCACTAACTGTATGACTTGAATAAGTCAGCTGATCTCTAAGCCCCTATGTCCTTACCTGCCAAATGCAAATCATAAAGGCCCTGCCTTTTTGCTGTGATGACTAAATGGGATGAAGAATGAAATGTGCTAAGCAAATGCCTGGTACATAGTGACCGAATGAGAGTCGATAACAGTAACCTTGGTTGCTACTCCTATCGTTAGTATCCGGCCTCAGTTTCCCAGCCTATGAAATGGGAATGGGAAAGTCTCATCTATCCGAACTTCACAAAATGATCACTCTTTTAGTCAATAATTATTTATTGAGCACCTACTACAATCAGGACCTATAGTATTTTAGGCTCCCTCACCTTGTGGTCTGCTCTTTTGGGGTAGGGGGCGGAAAGCAGACTCCTGCTGCCACCCAGGCAGGTGCCCAGGCTCTAGGGAGTGGAGAGGGTGGAGTTGCTGAGTGCTGGCTGCCAAGTAGTGGGTCAGCCGCGCCACCTAGCGACCACATGTCCCCATGTCAGCTCTGCTCATTTTCTTGCTGGGAACGTTTGTGCCTTCTGCCTGGGCTTTAGGACTGCAAATCAGGCTCCCTCCAAGGGGTCACGAGCTGTGGAAAGCCAGGACCTTGTGCCAGAGCTTGTGGCCCCATAATATTTCCAGGTGCTTCTCAGGCCCCAGGAAGGTGGCAGCCAAGGCAAGAGCTTGGAAGGAGTCAGGATCTGAGGTTGCTGGCAGGGCCTCTTGGACTGCAACTTACTAAGCTAGTCTGGCCTTTATCTTTCCTCTCCTGCAAAATGGGTGATCATAAAAGAAGTCCCTCCACACACCGAATTGAAATGAGCCTCAGAGGAGATGGGAAGGTGGGGGAGGACGTGAAAGTGGTGGGAGCTGGATCTTCCTGTGAGAGGACAGATGGAACCGTGTGAGCTACGAATGAACTGAGTCAGCCCTGGCGACCTGCTGACTAGAGCAGGGACCCAGGACTGAGGCTAGAGTGGTGGATAGGACCTCAAATTCCAGGCTGGATGAGGTCAACAAGGGATTGTGGATAGAAAAGACAGATGAGGCCCTCAAATGCTAAGAGGTTGGGAAAGCAAAATCAACAACTGAGACTCATAAGAGGGGGCCTCAGAAGTAAGAGAAAAACTAGGCAAGGTTGGTCTCTTGGAGGAAAAACAAGAAGGCATTTCAAGGAGGAGAGAATGATCAACTGGCCACATGTGGCAGACAAGCCAAGAAGCTGAGAAATGCCACAGGGACATAGGACCTAGCAATGCAGGGGTCACTGGTGATGTTGATGAGAGCAATTTGGGGCAAGTGGGACAAGAGTCTAATTAGGGAGGTCCAAGAATGATGGGAGAAGAGGAACCAGAAACAGAGAGGACAGACACTTTCAAAGCAGTTGCTATGAAGGGAAAGAGAGACAGGGCAGGGGCCGGAGAGGAGAAATCATCAGGAGGGCCTTGCTTGTCTGTATCCTTGTTTAAGATGGGAATACTAAGAGATTATTTATATGCTCATGAGAATGGTCCAGCTGGCTCTTTGAGAAGATCTTTAAAATCTATAAACCCCTAGCCAGGCTAATTAGGGAAAAGAGAAAAAAAGACAAATTGTCAATATCCAGGAATAAGAGAGATGAAATCACTACAGATTCTAGAATAATAAGGGAGTGTTATGAACAACTTTATGTCAATAAGTTTGACAGCTTAGATGAAATTATCAAATTCCTTGAAGGAAAAAACTACCAAAGCTCTCAAGAAGAAATAAGTAGTCTTATATCCATTAAAGAAATTAGATTTATAGTTTAAAATCTTCCTACAAAGAAGATTTTCCAGGTAGCTTCACTAGTGAATTTTATCAAACTTTTAAAGAAGAAATACCACCAATTCTACAAACTCTTCCAGAAAATTGAAAAGGAAGGAACAGTTCCCAGCTAATTCTATGAAGCCAGCATGACTCTGATACCAAAATGTGACAAAGATTTTACAAGAAAACAATCCTCCTAAACAAAGGTGCAAAAATCCTAAACAAAATTTCAACAAACCAAATCCAACAATATATTAAAAGGGTACTATATCATCACTGAATGGGGCTTATTCCAGGAATGCAAGGTTAATTCAGCATGTGAAAATGAATGAAATTCACCATATTCGCAAATTCTAAAATATGCAGAAAAGGCATTTGACAAAATCCAACATCTAGTCCCAACAAAAATGTTGAGTAAACTAGAAATACAAGAGAACTTAGTCAACCTGGATAAAGAATGTCCATGAAAAACCTACATCTAACATTATACTTAATGATAAAAGACTGAACACTTTCCCCCTAAGATCAGGACCAAGTCAAGGATGTCTGCTCTGACATTTGCTATACAACATTGACCAAAACGTAGTGAGAAATCCAGAAGTAAACCTACAGATACATGGACAATTGCTTTTCAACAAAGGTGCCAAGGCAATTCAGTGGAAATTCATCCCTGCTTTCAACAGGTGGTGCTGGAGCAATTGGATATGCATGTACAAAACAGATTAACTTTGATGCGTACTTTGTAGCATATTAGAAAATTAACTCAAAATGAATCCTTGACTTAAATGTAAGAGCGTTACATAATTGTAACGTAACTATAAAACTTTTAAAAGAAAATGTAGGAGAAAACCTTTGTGATCTTGGTTTAGGCAAACATTTCTTAGCTATGACACCAGAAGCATCACGCATGAAAGAAAACATTGATAAGTTGGAGTTCATCAAGTTAAAAACTCCTGCTTTTTGGAAAACACCATTAAGAGACTGAAAAGACACACCACAGACTGGGCACGGTGGCTCATGCCTGTAATCCCAGCACTTTAGGAGGCTGAGGTGGGAAGATCCTGAGCCCAGGAGTTCAAGGGCAGCCGGGGCAATGGTGTGAGACCCAATCTCTACATGAAGGAAAGAGAGAGAGAACAAGACAAGCTACAGACTGAAATTTTTCAAATCATATAACTAATCAAGGACCCGTATCCAGCATATACAAAGAGTTGTCAAAATTCAATAATACAAAAACAATCTAATTTTTTAAGAAAATATTTCAAAAGGCGCTTCAGCAAAGAAATTATGTGGATGGCAAATATGTCTACGAAAAGTACTCAACATGATTATTAAGGAAATGCAAATCAAAACCACAACAAAATACCACCACACACCCATTAGCATGACTAAGAAAAACTGGCCATACCAACTGCTGGCAAGGATGTAGGGAAACCAGAACTCTCATACACTGCTGGTGGGGATACAAAATTGTGCAACCACTTTGGAAAATAGTTTGGCAGTTTCTTAAAAAGTTAAACATATAGTTACATATAATCCAGCCATTCTACTTCTAGATATTTACCCAAGAGAAATGAAAGTATGTGTTTTTATAAAGACACATGCACAAGTATTCATAGCAGCTTTATTTGTAACAACAACAAAAAACTGGAAACAAAACGTCCATCAGTAGGTGAATGGATAAATAAACCATGGTGTATCCATACAACAGTATGCTGCTCCGCAATAAAAAGAAATGAACTTCTGATATATGCTACAAAATGAATGAATCTTAAAATGATTACTGAGTGAAAGAAGCCAGACAGAAAGAGTGCATGCTGTATGAGTCCACCTATATAACATTTTAGAAAATACCAAGTAATTTATAGAGACAGAAAGCAGAGCTCTGATTGCTTAAGCATAGGCTGTGGATGGTGGGAAGGGCTATAATAAACAGATTACAAAGGGACAAGAGGACATTTTTTAGAGTGATGGATATGTTCATTATCTTGACTGTAGTGATGGTTTCACTGACACATTTGTCAGTTTAAATACACGCAGTTTATTTTATATCCAGTATACCTCCATAAATTGTTAAAAATATATTTCAAGAATATGGTATTGGACATTTTTATACAAAATCAGTCTTCCTTAATGTGTCTTATAAAAAATAATTATTAACAAATAAATCAAAAAGCAAAGCCCACAAACCTCCTCAACTTCACAAATGATGTAGGCTGCACAAATATTATTATTTTCTATGTGTGTCATGGTGTGGGAAAGGACTCATTTATGGTTCCATCCTTGTGAGACAAGAGGCCAAGATAATGTCATTCATTGGCTTTAAAGCACAAAAGGGTGTCATGGCCAGGGAGTCCTCAACCACAGGATGGACAAAGCCCTCTCCAGGTACTCTGCTTCCATCCATTTCATTTTTTTTTATACTTTAAGTTCTGGCATACTTGTGCAGAATGGGCAGGTTTGTTACATAGGTATACATGTGCCATGGTGGTTTGCCGCACCCATCAACCCATCATCTACATTAGGTATTCCCTCTAATGCTATCTTCCCCCAGCCCCCCACCCTCTGAAAGGCCCCAGTGTGTGATCTTTCCCTCCCTGTGTCCATGTGTTCTCATTGTTCAACTCCCACTTACGAGTGAGAACATGCGGTGTTTGGTTTTCTGTTCCTGTGTCAGTTTGCCGAGAATGATGGCTTCCAGCTTCATCCATGTCCCTGCAATGAGAACAAAGACACAACGTACCAGGGTCTCTGGGACACAGCAAAAGCAGTGTTTAGAGGGAAATTTATAGCACTAAATGCCCACAAGAGAAAGTGGGAAAGATCTAAAATTGATACTTTAACATCACAATTAAAAGAACTAGAGAAGCAAGAACAAACAAATTCAAAAGCTAGCAGAAGACAAGAAATAACTAAGATCAGAGCAGAACTGAAGAAGATAAGAGACACAAAAACCCTTCAAAAAATCAATGAATCCAGGAGCTGGTGTGTTGAAAAGATTAACAAAATAGACCGCTAGCAAGACTAATAAAGAAGAAAAGAGAAAAGAATCAAATAGACACAATAAAAAATGATAAAAGGGATATCACCACTGATCCCACAGAAATACAAACTACCTTCAGAGAATACTATAAACACCTCTATGCAAATAAACTAGAAAATCTAGAAGAAATGGATAAATTCCTGGACACATACACCCCCACAAGACTAAACCAGGAAGAAGTCAAATCCCTGAATAGACCAATAACAAGTTCTGAAATTGAGGCAGTAATTAATAGCCTACTAACCAAAAAAAGGCCAGGACCAGACAGATTCACAGCCAAATTCTACCAGAGGTATAAAGAGGAACTGGTACCATTCCTTCTGAAACTATTCCAAACAACAGAAAAAGAGGGACTCTTCTCTAACTGATTTTATGAGGCCAGCATCATCCTGATACCAAAACCTGGCAGAGACACAACAAAAAAAAGAAAATTTCAGGCCAATATCCCTGATGAACAACGATGCAAAAATCCTCAATAAAATACTGGCAAACCAAATCCAGCAGCACATCAAAAAGCTTATCTACCACGATCAAGTCAGCTCATCACTGGGATGCAAGGCTGGTTCAACATACGAAAATCAATAAACGTAATCCATCACATAAACAGAACCAATGACAAAAACCACATGATTATCTCAATAGATGCAGAAAAAGCCTTCAATAAAATTCAACACCCCTTCATGCTAAAAACTCTCAATAAACTAGGTATTGATGGAACATATCTCAAAATAATAAGAGCTATTTATGACAAACCCACAGCCAATATCATACTGAATGGGCAAATGCTGGAAGCACTCCCTTTGAAAACCAGCACAAGACAAGGATGCCCTCTCTCACCACTCCTATTCAACATAGGGTTAGAAGTTCTGGCCAGGGCAATCAGGCAAGAGAAAGAAATAAAGGGTATTCAAATAGGAAGACAGGAAGTCAAATTGTCTCTGTTTGCAGATGACATGATTGTACATTTAGAAAACTCCATCGTCTCAGCCCAAAATTTCCTTAAGCCGATAAGCAACTTCAGCAAAGTCTCAGGATACAAAATCAATGTGCAAAAATCACAAGCATTCCTATAAACCAATAACAGACAGAGAACCAATTCATGAGTGAACTCCCATTCACAATTGCTATAAAGAGAATAAAATACCTAGGAATACAACTTACAAGGGATGTCAAAGACCTCTTCAAGGAGAACTACAAACTAGTGCTCAAGGAAATAAGAGAAGACACAAACAAATGGAAAAACATTCCTTGCTCATGGTTAGGAAGAATCAATATCGTGAAAATGGCCATATGGCCCAAAGTAATTTATAGATTCAACGCTATCCCCATCAAGCTACCATTGACTTTCTTCACATAATTAGAAATAACTACTTTAAATTTCATGTGGAACCAAAAAAGAGCCCGTATAGCCAAGACAATCCTAAGCAAAAAGAGCAAAGCTGGAGGCATCACACTTCCTGACTTCAAACTATAGTATAAGGCCACAGTAACCAAAACAGCATGGTACTGGTACCAAAACAGATATATAGACCAATAGAACAGAACAGAGGCCTCAGAAATAACACCACACATCTACAATATCTGATCTTTGACAAACCTGCAATGGGGAAAGGATTCCCTATTTAATATTTAATAAATGGTGTAGTGAAAACTGGCTAGCCATATACAGAAAACTGAAACTGGACCCCTTCCTTACACCTTATACAAAAATTAACTCAAGATGGATTAAAGATTTAAACATAAGACCTAAAACCATAAAAACCCTAGAAGAAAACCTAGGCAATACCATTCAGGACATAGGCATGGGCAAGGACTTCATGACTAAAACACCAAAAGCAATGGCAACAAAAGCCAAAATTGACAAATGGGATCTGATTAAACTAAAGAGCTTCTGCACAGCAAAAGAAACTACCATCAGAGTGAACAGGCAACCTACAGAATGGAAGAAAATTTTTGCAATCTATCCATCTTACAAAGAGCTAATATCCAGAATTTAAAGGAACTTAAACAAATTTACAAAAAAAAAAAATCAAACAACCCCATCAAAAAGTGGGCGAAGGATATGAACACACACTTCTCAAAAAAAATAAGATATTTATGCTTCCATTTCTTTAGAGGTGAGTGACCAAGGTTTGGAAAAGAGGAGATGAGTGTCTGCTGGAGCTTAGCCATCTGTGGCACCAGCGCTGGTCCACATAAGCAGCTGGCCAGCGGTGCAGTGTGAGGTAGAGGGGTGTCTGTGAGTGGTGCTGGAAAGAGGGAAGACAAGGGGTCCGGGTTCCAGGGTCCAGGTAAGGTGACCTTGGATAAGCGATTCAGACCAGCCTGTCTCCTACGGGGCCTCTGCCATCCTGCTGCCCCTAAAGGCAGCTGCCGTCTCCCCTCTGGGCACAAAAGGGGTTCTCAGAACAGCCAGAGCCCCAGGACTACAAGGCCTCCAGCCAGACACAGAGCTTGACCTGGCCTTGTGTCCATTAGGTCAAAGTGGGACAAGACAGAGGCTGCAGCAGCGGCTACAGTGAATATCCCCAGGACAGAGCTTCAGAAGCAGCTGCAGCCTCCACTGGTTTTGCATGCCTAGTACCATGTGTGCACAGGAGGCAACAGAGACAGTAAAGCAGAGGGGCTGAGTGGCTCAAGAGATCCTATCTGGGCTCAAGTCATGGCTTTGTCACTTACCAGCTGCCTGCCTGGGCAAGTTACTTAACTGCCCTGTGCCTCAGTTTCCCCACTAATAAAATGAAGATAAGAATTACCCTAGTCGTGAGGATTAAAGGAGTTAATATCGTTCCTGGCAAAGTATGCTCTATGGTGTGTTTGTTATTGTTGTGTTATTGCATACTTTAAAATACCCTCCTCCTGCCCCTTCTTACACATGCGTTTGGCACCCATGGCAGACCAAGCATCTGACCACTTAACTACTGGGTGTGTAGATGGTTCCCACCGTTAGAATCCTTCAGGTTTGGGGCTCTTGCTGCTTTATTTCTTCTTCTTTTTTTTTTTTTTTTTTTTTTTTTTTTTTGAGATGGAGTCTCACTCTGTTGCCCAGGCTGGAGTACAGTGGTGTGATCTCGGCTCACCACAACCTCCGCCTCCCGGGTTCAAGCGATTCTCCTGCCTCAGCCTCCTGAGTAGCTGGAACTACAGGCGCGCACCACCATGCCCGGCTAATTTTTGTATTTTTAGTAGAGATGGGGTTTCACTATGTTGGTCAGGCTGGTCTCGAACACCTGACCTCGTGATGGCCCACCTCAGCCTCCCAAAGTGTTGGGGTTACAGGCGTGAGCCACCATGCCCGGCCTCTTGCTACTTTATTTCTATTGCCCTGGCTACTAAGAGCCTCACAAAAAATCTAGATCCCATGTCTTCTGGCCCGAAGGTTTGAGTGGACTGACGCACGCAAGTCCCGGCATCTCCAGCAGGGGTCGACCGACACCACGCTCTGCATGCGTTGCGCGGCAGCCATTAGGCACACTGAGGGCTGCAGGGAGCGCGGTAGGTGGACCTGTGGGCAACTCCGCTTCCCTGGTCCCCCACCCCATCCACCCCATTTCCTGGAGGTGGAGCCTCATGCTGTACCTGGCCCAGGCTGTTTCCCTCGGTTCTCGGTAAAATAGGCGTGGTCACCTCTGGCCCTGAGGCTTTCCCCCCAACCCCCCACCTGTATCCCAAGCTATGCCAAATCTTCACCCCATGCACCCCCTTCATCCTCGCATCCACAAGGGGTTTCCAAATCCAGGTTGCAGCCTTCCTTACCCCCGCCCCAACAAAACAGCACACAGGAAAGGCAAAAAAAAAAAAAAAAAAAAAACATGTTTTTATTGTTTGATTAACAAACTGGTTGGGGGAAGGGCAAGAATAAGACATGCGGGGAAATACCAGCTTTGATTAGTCAGAAACTCCTGTTATCTGTACAAAAAAATGAATGTTACAAAAATCACGTAAAAAAACTAGGCTCAAGGAAGCAGCCGCCCTTGCAAGAGGGCTCAAGGCACCTGGGAGGCTGAGAAGAGGCCAACCTGGCCATGGGCGTGGCTGCATGGACAGCTCTTCCCTCCTGCCCTTCCCCAGATGCCCTTCCCTCCTGCCCCGAGGGGCACACTCCCTCTCCCCAATTACAGGTGCTACAAAACTGCCTTGAATACCACCGCCAAGGCACTGCCAGAGATGAAATGGGCCCTGAGCAGAGCCTCAGGCTCTCCCTCCCCCGTAGCCCAGGCCTGGAGAAAGGAGGGCCTTGTTCCCCAGGCCCCAGGTGGGCACAGATTCCAGAGCTGCCTCGGGGAAAGCCTCTTAGGGGAGGCCCAGGCTCTGCTCCCTGGGGAGGCAGAGGCCGTGGGACCTACACACAGGCACACACAGCCCTGGCTTTGGTCAGTACTGAGTGTGGGCAGAGGGGCCGCAGCCCTGTCCAGCCCCACGATGTTGACTGAGAGGTGCTATCCCAGACGGTCCTTGTTGGAGCTGCCATGGCAGGCTGGGCCCTAATTGGGGTAGCACAAGCAGCATCCCGTGCCTGCCGCCTCCACGCTGGGCTTGGCACCGGGCCCCAGGAGCCCATCAGTGACAGAGTGCTCCATGATGATGTCCTCCACCCGGGTGATGTACAGCAGCGTCAGCAGCACCCCCAGGAACTGAGAAGAAGGGGCAGGGCTGGTGAGGGCCTGCTGGGAATCAGGGCAGCCCTCCCTGCAGCTCCCGGCTCCCAGAAACCCAAGCAGCCAGTCCCAAGCCCTCATGGTCCTGTGTGACCTGGGCAACACCCACAGCAGAGACTTCTCCCAGCACCCACACTGCCCAAGAAGCTCCCACCTGGGCCCCCTCTCCCCTTCCCAGGAAATCCCAGAGCGCCTCGCTGTGCCCCATCAGCAAGGGCCCCTCCCTTCTGGGATTCCTGCCTCCACCCCAGCTCTGCTGCACACTATCTAGGGGATCTTGGCAAGTCACTGAAGCTTGCTGCTCCTCAGTTTCCTCCTCTGTGAAATAGGCATTATAATAGTGCCTCCCTCACAAAAAGAAGTGAAGCAGCAGTGCCTGCGCAGCACTTGGAAGAGCTTCGCCACGACTGCTATTGCCATTTGCCCCTCCTTCCAGCCATGCAGCCCTCCCCAGGCAAGTCCTGGACTTCTATGAAAAAAGCCTCTTCGCTCTTCCCCTCTGCACCTTCTCTGCCCTTCTGCAATCACCAAGTCACACTTTCTCTGAACCCACGGCCTGCCCACCTGGGGAAGCAGGATGCCCAGGAGGATGCCCGCCATGATGGTGTAGTTGTCCATGAACCAGATGATCACGGCGTTGGTGCAGCCCCGCACGTAGATGACATCCTGCACACTGAAACGCTGCATGGGAAGGAGCTGGGTCAGCCCAGCAGAGGACCTCGGCTGGCAGGAGCCACAGCCCCGACTCTGCCATGTACACAAGGTCCAGGCTAGTCCCTCAACCGCTGTGATCCTCAGTTTCCCATATGCAGCATGAGAAGGTGACCCTAGATTCTGATTCTTAATGGACAGTACTGTTCTCTAGAGAGGACTGGGGACACCGTGGTGGCACTTTTGGTTGCCCCAGCAAACGAGGTTGGCGGCTGAGGGACTGCAGAGCTCAGGGTAATCCTACTCCACAAACAACTGCCCTGCCTGTGTGCTTCTCAGATGTCCCTGCATGAAAAGCCTCACGGATGTTTTCCATACATGAAAAGCCTATTTATAATTATCCAAGCCAATAGCCCCACTCCAGGTACATATAAAAAACAAAGCAGAGTTGGGCATGGTGGCCAGTGCCTGCAGTCCCAGCTACTATGGAGGCTCAGTTGGGAGGAGTGCCTAAGCCTAGGAGTTTGAGGCCAGCCTAGGCAACAGTGAGACCCTGTCTGTCTCTTAAGGGAAAAAAAAAAAAAAAGCATTTCTGCATTGGTTTTAATATACAAAGAATTTTCCAGAAGTACTACTAGGTAAATTAAGGAATGATTACACATTATTTAATTCAGAACTTTATCAAGAATTGTTCACCGTTTTTAAAAACCATGCCAGTGGCAAAAATGATGCCCATGGTATGTGAGTCGCCAACACAATGCCCAGTATCAGCTGCCCTGTAGCTACTACAGCCTCAGGGATGCCTCACATCAGTGCAGACACCTGACTACATTGTGTCTTCTGCACCCCCCACTGCCTAAGCACTTACATGATGAACTATGTTAAACAGCTGTAAATTGCTGTATTTCATTTCTACTTTATCTCAGATCATTATGTTAATTGTATTGGAATTGGGCATGTAGGTAGGTTATCTGTGAATTTCACTTGGGGATAATAAATAGGACATTACCACTGTTTGTTATAAAAATGGCCATTGGTTCTGAGGGGCTGAGAACCACTGCTGGTCTATGGCTCTCAAGCATGTGTCAGAATCACCCACTAGCCCCATACCAAGAATGTGCATTTCTCACATTCCTAGGGGATGCTGTTGCTGCTGGACTGGGGACCCCACTTTGAAAGCCACTGCTCTGCATGTCAGGTCACTATTCCTTTTAGGTCCCTTCTCAGCACCACCCCTGCTTCTCTCCTAGACCAGGGGTGTTGCCCAGGAAGCTGACCCAGGAGCAACCCCCAGAGGGGGTTACCATCCTCTAGGACTCCTGGGTCCCAGGTGGCCCCAGGGGCAGAGGCAAGCTGGTGCTGAGCATGGCTGGGCACACAGCACGCTGCGGGTACCAGGAAGCGCCGTGGTGGCTTCATGTGGAACAGCCCACAGTAGGTGCTCGGCAAACCCTGACAGGCGGCATCTCCCAGCCTGGGGGAATTCTTGGTTCCCTGAGCCCTTCTGTGCTGGGGTGGAAAACCACAGCAGTCCTGGCTCTGGGTCACAGCCAGGAATGTGGGAAAATCTCAGTGGCCAGGACCCCGACCTCAATAAACCCCTCCGATCACCCCAGGGTGGACCAGGAAGAGCAACATTTCCAGGGAAAGGCATTTCAAAGACATTACCTCCTTGTCGATAGTTTTGTAGCCACACATGGTGTTGACAACTTCTGTCTGAAATGGAAATGTATAATAGCTAATATTTATAATGGTTCTAACTCAAAAAGGCACTATTATCCTACCCATTTTACAGATGAAAACCGAAGCACAGAGTTGCACCGTCCAGCAGGGATGGAGCTGAGATTCCGACCCAGGCAGTCTGGCTTGAGTCTCCATCATAACCACCTCCTCCTCCAAGAAATGCCCCGTGAAAAAACTGTAGGAATGCAGGTTCCATGACTTTTACCTGGGAGAACCACCCCTCCACTAGCAGCAGATCAGGACCCCAGAGAAAGGTGTGCTGCCCACGCTCCCGGGCTATGACCGCCCCAGAGCACCGCTTTGCTCACACCGTCTCAGAGGTCGGGGTGGGGCTGTTCCTGCGCCGCTGGCTCTTGGGGAGGAAAACTTCAGACTACAGCTGGCACAGGGTCAGCTGTGGTTTACCTGAGGTCCAGGGCAGGGCCCCTGGCCATGCTTCCGTTCCATAGACCACTGCTCCACCAGCGGAGAGTGCTGCCAAAACTTCCTTCTTGGGAAGAGAGGTGCTCTCCAGAACTCCCGACTACTGATTAATTTAGGCATAGGGAAACCTGTGGTCACGCCCTAGACCTCATCAAACCCCTCCCCAGGCAGGCCCTAACTCACAGGCTGCCGCGGGCACTTCCCATCACCACCTGTGCCCCGCAGGGTCTCCTTCTCCAACCACCAGGGAAGAGAGTGAGACTTCCTGGTCCAGCCCATGACCGTCCCCCCCAGCCCCGCTGCTCTACATGTAAGTGAACGCTGCCGTGAGTGCTGCAGGCGCCAGTGATGACTCAGGAGGGCAACAGCAGAGCCCCCAGCGTGCCCTCTGGTGTCACATTTCCTGGGTCCAGATCTTGCTCTGCCACTTAGGAGCAGAGCCCAACCTTAGGTGGGCTGCTAAGGAACTGGCACGCAGAGGTACTCAATACATATTTGTTAACTGAGAAAATGAATGAATGAATAGGTTGTGATGATCACAGAACCCACCTCCTAGGGCTGTTTTGGACATAAAGTGAGATACACATATAAAGTGCTTATCACGGGGCTGGGCACATGGAGGAGCACAAGAATGCTGGCTGGCGTGATTTGTTCACAATTCCAGCCCCTGCAAAGGAAAGGGAGGGTGTCTTCTCTCCTTCCGAGAGAGGGTTGGGCCTCAGATGTCATCTAGGTCATTCTAAATGTCAGGGCTTGATGTGCAGGCAAGACGACCTCCCTCGGTTTAGCTGGTTCTCCAGGTAGCCTCAGTCCCAGCCATGCCCAGTGCCCACTGGGCATTAGTCAGCCAGTGTTTTTGGCCCTTCCAGGCCATAAACACAACCCCTATGGAGAGGGTCAGGCCTGGAGAGCAGGTGCACGGGCACATGATGGGAGTGAGTGCTTTCCATCTCATTGGTTCATTCATTTGTTCATTGAACAAATATTAACTGAGCACCTATTGCATGTCAATCCCAGTTCTAGTCACTTGAAATACAGAACAACAAGACAAAGTCCCTGCCTTCATGGAACTTACACTGTAGAAAGGGAGATAATGAACATAACAAATAGGTAAGCTGCATGGTACGTAGGGAGGTGACAAGAGTGACTTCACTGGGCCAGCTCTGGTGACCTCGGGGGATGAGTCTCTTAGCACACAGGCAACTGGCAGAGGCCTCTCTGGCATCAGAGCCCAGAACCCTTCTCCAGGCCCAGGGGGGACTCACCTCACCCTGCCAGGAGAGCCCCTCACCAAGGGGTGAGGGGATACGATGCATCCATAGTCTTTCCAAAAGTAAAGCCTGCCTGGGTTTACCTGCCTGACCATAGAATCGATATTCTGCAAGAGGCTCTGCTGAAGTTCACAGGCCCCAAGACCAGGGTCCAGTAGCCTCTTCCATCCTGCACGGGGCCACAGGACAGGAAGTCAGAAGGGGGACTCCTGGGCAGCCAGAAGATCACAGCAATGTTTGTGTGTGCATCCTCTCACCCTGAAAAGACTGAGCAGCTAATGGGGACAGGGAGAGGGGCCTTCGCGACAGGCCCCCAAGGGGTAGCCAACAACAAGGGAGGGGAGGTACGTGAAAATTGGTCCCAAGAGCTCAGCAGGCACAGCAGTCTGGAGCCATTTAATGTAGAAGCACGCTGCCCTCTGCACCAACATCTCCGAGGGATATATCCTGGTATAACCAGATTTTACAGCCCTATGTGAACTTCTATGGCTCAAATCCTCTATTGGAAGCTCATATAAGACATTTCTTTTAAAGCTGAGTGTTAGGGAAAAGGTTACTTTCCCTGAAGAACTGGTATGTTCTGCTGGTATGTTCTGCTGAACAGTAACAATGTAACAGACCATGTCTCCCTTTTCCTTTTGGTTGCCAGGAAACTCTAAGCCAGTGGTCTCCAACCTTTCTGGCACCAGAGACTGGTTTCAAGGAAAATAATTTTTCCACAGGATGGGGTGCGGGGGGGTGGGGGGTGATGGTGTCGGGATGAAACCATTCCACCTCAGATCATCAGGCATTAGTTTGATTCTCATAAGGAGCATGCACCCTAGGTCCCTTGCATGCACAGTTTACAATAGGGTTCACACTCCTATGCGACTCTAATGCTGCTGCTGATGTGACAGGAGGTGTAGCTCAGGTGGCAATGCTCCCTCAACCTCTGCCCACCTCCTGTTGTGCGACCTGGTTCCTAACAAGCCACTGACCGGTACTGGTTCATGGCCTGGAGGTAGGGGAGCCCTGCTCCAAGCCACCAGACACGAGGCTCAGCTCCTTTTCAGTGAGTCCATGAGGTCCTGAGGCTTAGATAGCAGGATTTTATATTTTTCTCCATCATCTAGGCCTCCTATCTGAGAATACAATTCCCACAGTCCTGATTTTTAATGCTATTTTAGTTTTTTACACTACATATTTCCCGTGTACTCATTCAAATCCCAGGTTGAATAGTACAGTGTAAAATAAATAGATCTGGACACAAATCAACCAGTTCTATGGAGGAAGCGAACGCCCTGTTTCACATTTAGAGAAAATCATCCAGGTGTGGTGGCACAGGGAGACTCAATGGTCATGTGTAACACAGGGTCAGATAACCCCGGCCAGGGGAAGGCTCCTCCCTACCTCAGTGCTCTCATTCAGATGCTGTCTTTAGATTCTACCCTATCTGCAGATGATGTCCGTGTTTACACCCCTTGCCTAGTCGTTCCCAGAACTCCAGACTCCTATATCCAACCGCATCTTTGACACCCCTGATGGGATGCTGAACAGGCTCTCAAACCCCCCACGTCCACGGTGAGCTCCTGGTCACCCAGCCTGCCTCCTTGCAGTCCTCCCCTCTCAGGCAGTGGCAGCCCCGTCTTTCCTGTGGCTCAGACCAAAACCTGGGTATCCTCCTTGATTTCTCTCTTTCATTCATCGCCCACATCTGCTATGCGAGCAAATCCTGTAGGCTTACTTGCAAAATACAGCCAGAATGTCACCACGGTTTGCCACTTCCACCACCACCACCACCACCCAGCTCCAAGCATCTGTCTTCCCCTCCCTGGTGCAGGGATGCTGTGGGGAGCCCTTAGGTGTCAGCCCCCTGCAATAACTACTTCATGTGATCATTAATTTTATATGTCAACATGACCAGGCCATGGGATACCCAGATATTTGGCCAGACATTATCCTGGGTGTCTCTGTGGGGGTGTTTCTGCATGAGGCTAATGTTTAAATCAGCAGACTAAGTAAAGCAGATGGCCCTGCCCAAGGGGGAGAGGTCTCATCTGATCAGGGAAGGCCTGAACAGAACAAAAGACTGCCCTCTCCTCAGTGACCATAAGAGAATTCTCCCTGCTTGGCTACCTTCGGGCTTGAACTGAAATGCTGGCTCTTCCTAGGTTTGAAGCCTGACCAGCCTTTGAATGGGAACTCCACCCTCAGCTCTCCTGGGTCTCCAGCCTGCCGACTCACCCTGCAGATCTTGGGACTTGCCCGCCTCCATAATTACACAAGCCAATTCCTTATCATCAATCAATCCCTCTCTTTCCTCTTGCTGTATTAGTCTGTTCTTGGCTGAACAGAGCCAGCAAGTCCCTTCTTGGGTGGACCACTGGACTCATGCAATGCCTGGTCAATGTGGGTGGGAGTGTGAAGGCCTGGCCCCCTCACCCCAGTAGGGGACAACTCTGAAGGGCTGTCCTCATAGATGTGGCTGAGGCCTCCAGCCGAACTGAGCTGAGGCTGCATCACTGCTCAACTCCCTTCATTGCCCAATCCCGCTTCTGGCTCCCACTTCCACAGGTGTTGATCCAAGAGCACCTTCCTGGACAAGATGACCTATGACCCCTGGATCACTGCATATCAGCCCCTAACTCTATCCCTGCATCTAGCATGTCCCTCACAACAGCCAGACTGATTCTTGTAAAACCAAGTCAGAGTGCCCCTCTTCCATGCAGCCCTGTATGGTCCATCACTCAAGGGTGCCCCACAGTCCTGCCTGTGGCCTTCGGGGTACCCATGACCTCCCTGACTCCACCTCCTACCATCCTCCGCTGTGCTCCCTCTGCTCCAGCCACTCTGTGCATTTCTCAAACGCCCTGGGGTGATTCCCACCTGGGGCCTTTGCACAGCTGTTCTTGCTGCCAGGAATGCCCCTCCCCCAGACACCTTCCTCACTTTCTTCAGAGCTTCACCCAGATCCCGCCTTTCTCAGTATCCCAAACTGCAATCCTCCATGCCCTACTTTCTTTTTCTACTCAGCATTTATGATCCTCTATCTTTTACTTATTTTGTTTGTCAGTTTTCTCCACTAGGATGTCACCTCCTTGCGGGCAGAGACTTTGTTTGCTACACCCCCAGAACCTGGAAATGTGTCTGGCATAGAGTAGGTTCTCAGCCAATATTTGTTGAATGAATGAATGAATGAATGAATACAAGTTTGGCTTCCACATCTCAGCTTAGGTATTCAGATGCTGCTGCCCTGGGTGATGAGGTTCAGGATCACCCCACGCAGGCCTCTCTGGAAACTCTGCTACTCCTCAGCACCCCACTTCCCAGAGAACTACCCTAAAATGGCAGCTAACACTTCCAAACAAAGCTTCCCTCCTGGCCCGGCCTTTTTTAGAGCTAGTGCACTTGGCACTGGCTCTCTGACTCATGGGCGAGGCCCCCACCCGCAGCTGCTCAGTTTACAGAATCCAGCAGTGGGCACAGAATGGTGGCAATGTCAGGAGAAAAACTTTCCATGACTATCTGGGCCATGAGTAATTGCAAAGCTCTCCACCTCGTTCCAATCCTGAAACAGTTTCTGGACACATTTGTCAAACACAAGGACTGATGAAGCCTTTCACTTAAGCGCTGACAACACAAGACATCATCCCAAATGACCAAGGTGACAGACCCGAGAGGATCGTGCTGGGGAGAGGAAGAGGATGGCATTTACGTCACCAGACCCCCTTCCAAGCACTCTGCTGCTGATGATCACCAGGACCTCAAGGCCAAAGACCAATGGAGATGCCCAAGGTGCAGGTCCTGCCTGCCTCCACTAATGCTGCAGAGCCAGCTACCCCCGCTAAGCTCCCCTGGCCTGGGCACCTCTCCCTCCTGCCCTCACCTGGCCTGCACAGTTCTCCAGAGTGTAGCTCAGGCAACAGCTGCCTGCACTTCATCCCAGCCCTGCCAACCTTGGGCAAGACACCCAGCCTTTGAGTGCCTCAATTTCCTCATCTGTAAAGTGGGTAAAATAACAGTACATACCTCACAGGGTTGTCGTGAATACTAAATGAGTAAATACCACCAAAGTGCCCAGAGCAGGCCTGCACAAGGTAGGTGCTCAATAGATTTTAACCAACACCACTAAGAAAGACATGGTCTCCCTACCCCCGACCCCCAGAAGCTCCACTTTCAGGAGCCCTTGAGAATCAGGAAAGCCTCCGCTCTGCCACCAACTCCTACTTCCCTGCCATCCACCCACACCACCCATCTTCAAGTTGGGAAGAGAGAAAAGAGAACATTTATACCACCTGGGGTCCCCGACAGCCCCCCAGTCCCCACAGGAGCAGTGTCTACCGTGTTCCTGATGCAGCAGGTGTAGGGCACCCCACAGGCCAGGGGTCCAGGGGCACTGCAGTCGTGGTACTGATTCTTGCTCCAATCTCGGTAGTCCTCCCCGCCACAGCACTTGAACTGAGGGAAGCAAGCAGGAAAGAGGAGCTGCCGTCATCGCCCAGGCCCTGCTCAGACGACAGGAAGGGGCCCTGTCAGGAGACGGAGGCAGTTTATTATGTGGGTCACCCTGGGGCAGGGAGAGGCTGTACACTTTCAAGTCAGAGCTGTCAAAGTGTGGCATGGCTGCCTAGAGGGTAGTGAACCCCCTGTCACTAGAGAGGTATGGAAGCCAAGGCTGGGCTGCCTCTTGGTGGGATATCAGGGTAGTGACTAGGCACTGGGAGGAAAGGTCCTTCCTTGACAACTGGCCTCCACTTTCTTCATCTTCGTGTCCCCAAATGCAGGTGCTAGGCTGGAAAAGATGGCCCTTAAAGTCCCAGAGACCAAGCATGATTCTGTGAAAGTCCCTGCACCTCAACCAACCTTCGCACCCACCCTAGGAGCCACCCCGTCCAGCTCAGCTGGCCCTGCCCTTAGCAAGGAGAGCACCCACACCTCACAACCTGCCTGGAGCTCTCCCCTTAGCCGAGCCCCTCCCTGCCTCCCCTCCCTGCTCCTGTAGGAAGTAGTTGGTAACCCTCCTGATGGCTGGTATGTGCCTGGCATTGTCCTGGGCACTGGAGAGACAGGGTGAGCAAAAGCAAGGCAGCCCTTGCTCAGGTGGAACACATTCCAGTGGAGAGACAGAGAGTGAGCACTGGATGGAAAGGTGCTGTGCAACCTGGAAATGGAGAAATAGGGGGAAAGTGGGGAGGGGCAGCTCTAGGTTGGCAGGTCATGAAAGGGCTCTTTGTAGAGAGGATATTTCATCTGAAACATGGAAACAGAAAGAAGCCAGACGACCCATGCAAAGGCCCCACGCAGAAACAAGCTTGTATTTCAGCAGCAGGTGCGGAGGCCAACAAGCCTGGAACAGAGAGAGTGCAGAGCATGAGGATGAAAGGGCGGCACAGGCTGGACCATGCAAAGCTTTGCCAGCCAGCTGAAGCAGGGAGCTGGGACTGGAGGGCTCAACCAGGGCTGCAGTACACGTCCTGGTAGCCAGACACCTTTCAGAGTCCCCACAGTGCCCCTTAAGCCACCAGGTTTTGGGACCTAGAACTGTCTTTCTGCAATGTAGTTCAAAGGGCATTTGTCTTGCAATGGAACAGACCCAAGGTCAAATCCTCAGACCACCACTCCCTGCTGTGCAACCTCAGGCAAGTTGGTCAGCCTCTCTGAGCCTCAGATGGTTGTCTGTAAAGCAAGAATAAGGATGGCAGCTCTGCACAGCTGAGCTGTGATTACATAGAGTGCCATGCATGAAGCACTCAGCACTGGACCTGGCACCAAGCAAGTGCCCATTCAGCATTAATCACCTCCTACCTCTATGCCAGGAGAAATGAAATCCCCAAGCCAGCTAAAGGCTGGTTCCAATAAAAACATCTCACTCCACCCGGAGCAGAAGTCAGCTCTCCCAGCCCAAGCTGGCAGGCACATCCCTGGCAGAAAAAGACCTTCCAGAGGCTGCACCTGTTGTGACTGAAGAGAAAGTCTGGGCCAAGGGAGCGGCCACAGCAAGTGGCCCTGCATGTGGGGAGAGGCTAGTCCCCACTGAGAGCTGGCACAAGGATCCAGGCCAGCTGAGGCCCCCAAGATTATGTCCCAGGAAGTGCTGTCCCGGCTGAGTGGGCCTGCAGCCCTCACTCTACTTGTCCTCACCCAGGAGAACATACCAATGATCCCCACAGCTGGCACTGTGGTCTCACCCTGTGCTTGGCACTGTTCTAAGCACGTCTCCTGAATTAAGTCAAGGTAATCCTCATGACGACGCCCCAAGAGCTCCTGTCATTATTCCCCTTATGTAGGTGAGGAAGCTGAGGCTCAGGACCAAGTGAAGTTGATGTACAAAAGCCACCCAGGACAGCAGCTGGCCCTACCACTGCCATTATTATTATTATTATTATTATTATTATTATTATTATTATTATTATTATTGCACCAACAGATTTGGGTGGACCTAGAGGGGAGAGATGGTGTCCCAAAAGGAATAGGATCATCATCACATTCAAGGAAGTGTCATGAAAGTAAGAGAGGCGTCTGGTTCACTGTCCCATATTTGGGGGAAACTGAAATTAGTGAAGAACTTTCTCCCAATCAGGGATGTCTTTAACTTGACAAGGAGTGAGTTGTCACTGAAGAGACTTGGCAGAGGGGGCTTTGGACTGGGGTAGGTTACTCCCCTTGAGGTTGCTCACACCTCAAGGAAGGAGGATCCTTGCCCATTGGAGGGTGGTGCCCTGGGACCCTGCAAGGTTGCTTGTAGCAACACCTGACTTTGTTTTATTTGGGGGTATGGGGCAGGAAGCCAGTGTAACTGGAGAGGAACAGAAGGGTGTGAAGGTTTTGGGTCAGGAATGTGGGCAGAGGACTGGCTGAATAGGTTGGGCCCTGGCTTCCCCATCCTTGGTGGGCCATCCATGCTCACTGTTGCCTCCCAATCTGGCCAGCCACCTGCTTTGGGAATGGATAAGTCACCTGGTCCCTCACCCCATCTTCTTGAGCAGGGGCCTGAATGGGGGGCTAAGAGCACGGGAGGCGCATCTCTACCCCAAAGCGCCTGGCTCACCTTTTTCTGAACAAAGTCCATGATGTTTTTGAAGTCCAGATCATCATAGTAGTTCTCAATTCCTCTTCGAATGTTGTCGTTCAGGAAGTCAATGGTCTATTCAAAAGGAGAAATTACAAAGGAAAAGAACCACACACTCCCGGAGTCCAACCCAAGGTTTTCCAGAAGCCTGGATGGGTAGAGAATGCCTTGTGCCAATGCAGCTCGCGCCCAGCCAGCATGGAGCCCCCTCCACTCCCCACCCTGGATGCCCGTGACCTCCCTACCCACACATCCTCCCCGTGCCTCCAGTGTTCATCTGATGCCTGAGTGCCTGTGCTATGTCCCAGCAGGAGTAATTCACTCCACTCCCTTTGCAGACCAGACAGCCCAGGCCCTGAGAGGCTGGGGCCGTGCTTGGGGACACACAGCTCTGATGCCGCCATGCCTGAGCTGAGACCTGGCTGTCCTGGTTCCAGGCCCAGTGCTCTTTCTACCGCCCAGGGATGGGCCCACGCTGGAATCTTCCCTTTGCCCTCCAGAGCCCCTCTCCACACTCCTCCACCATCCAGCCTCTTGTTTTACAGATGAGGAGCTCGAGACTTGGGGAGGGAGTGAGGTCACAGAGCAGGCTGGGTGGGGTCTTGCCAGGACTGGAATTCAGGTCTCCTGACCTCCCTCATGGGCTGTTCTCCTCATCACTGCAGCACTCGGTCCCCCTCGGCTAGGGCTGGGACAATCCCTGCCGGGAGGAACATGGCAGGCCGCCCTCTCCCAGTCACGCTGCGCTTTCTGGATCAACAGCCCGGCTGTTGTGCTGAGACCCAGAAGCACAAAGGGCCCCACAGTGGGAAGGGGCGGGGGCAGGAGCGTGGGCAGCCCAGCTCACTGTAACAATCGCAGCTTTCAGAGCACGGAGGTCGAGTATCAGCAGAGACTGGGGACGAAGGGGGCATTCTCGGCTCCGGTGCCAGACTGAAGAGCCAGACAATTCCCGGGGGTGGCACCACAGCGTACGCTGGGACAACAGGATCCTGGTTCCAGGCCCCATCGCGGCTTACTTCTCCTCTCTGGGCCTCAGCTTCCCAACTGTGAACCAAACCCGTAGGCCTATCTTTAAGGTAACTTCGAGCTCTGAGAATCAAAAACCAAGTCTCAGAGGGGCTGTCAAGCCTCATAATCAAGGACACCTCCCTACAGCCACCTGGGCCTCCGCTACTTCTTTTAACTTCTGAGCCTCTGTTTGCTCACCTGCAAAATCAGGAGGAAAACACTCTCTGCCTCATAGGGATGTTGTGAGATTTAAATAAACAAAAGCTGTGAAGGTGTTTAGCAGGACACCAGGCACATTGTAGGTCCTGGTGTTATTATTCAAGATTTTTGTCTGTTTTTAAAGGAGACAAATACTCTATGGTACTACTTCACACCCACGTCATTGGTGGAAAACAAATCCCGTGGGAAACCGAGGCCCCAACTCTTGTTCAAAAAACTGACTGCAATGGAGGCAGCCTCTGAGGCACGAGTCCTGGCCAACCCCACTCTCACAACACCCTGCAGCCCAGAGAGCGATGTGGCTAGTCCGAGGTTGCCCAGCACACCACTGGCAGAGAGACGCTGGGACCAGGGTGTCAAACTCCCAGCCTGACACACTTTAAGGTGCTAAGAAACCAAGGTTCAGGTTTGGGGCCATCTCCCAAAATTATCTCCAGGATCAGGAAAAGAGGAACAAAGACTGCAGCACCCACCTCCTCCCCGAGCCTCGCTCTGCTCAAAGCCAAGGTAAAGAAGGAGATGGAGGCCTGGCGCGGTGGCTCATGCCTGTAATCCCAGCACTTTGGGAGGCCGAGGTGGGCAGATCACCTGAGGTCAGGAGTTCGAGACCAGCCTGACCAATATGATGAAACCCTGCCTCCACTGAAAATACAAAAATTAGCAGGGCGGCCTGGCGCAGTGGCTCACGCCTGTAATCCCAGCACTTTGGGAGGCCAAGGCAGGCGGATCACAAGGTCAGGAGATCAAGACCATCCTGGCTAACTCGGTGAAACCCCGTCTCTACTAAAAATACAAAAAATTAGCCAGGCGTGGCAGCGTGCGCCTGTAGTCCCAGCTACTCGGGAGGCTGAGGCAGGAGAATCGCTTGAACCTGGGAGGCAGAGGTTGCAGTGAGCCGAGATGGCACCACTGCACTCTAGACTGGGTGACAGAGCAAGACTCTGTCTCAAAAAAAAAAAAAAAAAAAAGGAGATGGGCTCGGAGAAACTGGCCTTCGTGGCCAGAAGGAAAGTCCTCTGCTGATGATAAACAGCAGCTCTGGAGCAGGCCTGGGATTGCAGAAGACTGGAGTCAGCCCCAAGAGAAGAGAGGAGATGCAGGCTCCTGTGAGCAGCTGTCAACTCACCAGCCCATGGCCCTTCGCGGACCTGGCACTGGCCCCCGGGGCAGAAGTTGGGTGGGAGCATTGCCTTCCAGCCGAGCAGCCTGGGCAGAACAAGGACTCTCTTGGCCCCAGGCCCACCTCCCAGAGGCCCCCAGGTCACAAAGCTTTTCCATCCTTGGGTGCCTGCTCCTCTGGGTGATGAAGGGACAGGCCAGCTGGCTGGGGTGTGGTTGGGGGTGCCTAAAAAACAGGATACCAGGGTGGGGCCAGTCTGCCACCCAGGGTGGGGCAGGGGAATGAGCTTACAGCACTGAACGACATGATTGGCTGAGCTACGTACTCATGGGGTGCCGCCAGGGTCAGGGCCTTGCCTAAGGCCACACGTGGGGAGGTTCCTCCCGGGTGGCTTCCCCCTACTCTCAAGGCACCACAGACACAGTCCTGGCCCACCATGTCCCTCTGCACCTACCCGGGCCCACTGGCCCACTTACAGCACCCCCACTGGCCACTGTGCTGTTTGGACTCTCCCAGGGCTGCCAACAGGGTGGGATGAAGGTGGGAAGCCCAGGGCAGGAAGGAGGGGAAGTGGCAGAGTAGAGGCTGCTCTGTGGCTGTGGGGAAAGGCTCTGCCTCTCTGGTGAGCAGCCCCAGCCTGCCTCCCCAAACCATCCCGCCTCCCCAAACCATCCCGCCTCCTGGGCACTTTCCAAGGCTCGGGCTTCGAGAGGGGCCTGGAAAAATTCGGCCTTTCATCTGGTAAGCTGAGCCCTGTTGTTGGGGGAAGGGGGGCCCTGCAGGAGCAACAGATGTCCCTGGGCTTCATGGACAGCAGCTGCCCCCAACCCCCATCAGGGAGCTCTTTGAGGCATGCTGGTTCTTGCAAGTGTGCACCACTTGTATGTGTGTGCACGTGTGTATGTGTACCGGGGAGACGAGGACACTGAGATGGTTCCTGTGCTGTGAGGGGCGATGGTTGGGGGTGGGTGTGTGTGAGAAGATCCCGTGAGGCAAGCTGGCTGTGCAGTTTAACTGTAAAGTGCTATGCCGCCGTTGACAGCACTGGTAATGTTCCGAGAGACCAGGGGAGCCACTCAGAGGACAGGGAAGAGAGAATTCTAGCTTCCTCTGCCATTCCCAGATGCCCAACATACCCAGTGCCACTGCCCCCACCCCATTCCCCTCCAAACCAGGCCATGCCAGCAGGGGCAGCTCCAGTGAGGACTAGAAAACCAGGCTAAATTAAGCAAAGAGTAAGCAAACATCAAAAGCCACAAGGTTTGAAAGCATGTTGTTTAAAGCACCAGAGAAAGCTATGAAGAACTATCCTTTCTAGCTTTGCCTTTTAAATCTAGTTTTTATCTGAAGCCTCCACATCACCCCTCTCTCAGGGTTTTTAAATGAATGAGGAACTGAAGGGGGTGAGGCATGTGGCGGCAGCTCCTCCAACACAGAGGACAGAGGGGTAGGAAAAGGAGTGGAAGGGGCGGCCGCTAAAGCTTCCTACCAGGCCAGCTGCCTGCACAGGACCAAGAACCTCTCTGGGGAAGGAGTGGCCCGGGGCTCCCTCAGGCTGCCTCTGGCTAACACCACTTCCATGTAAGCCTGAGACCTGAGGCTGGGAAGGCCCTGCTGCTGGCCTAGTGCAGGCCTAGCTCTCAAACTTGGAGGAGAAGCTGGTCATGGTGGTCCCTGCCTATAATCCCAGTACTTTGGGATGCCAAGGCAGGAGGATTACTTGAGTCCAGGAGTTCGAGACCAACCTGGGCAACATGGCTTGACCTCATCTACACACAAACACACACAATTATCCAGGCATGGTGGCATGCACCTGTAGTCCCAACTACTCAGGAGGCTAAGGTGGGAGGATCGCTTGAGCCTAGGAGCTGAGGCTGCAATGAGCTGTGATTGCACCACTGCACTCCGGCCTGGGTGACAGAGCAAGACTGTCTCAAAAACAAAACAAAAACTTGGAGGAGAGGTGCTTGGCCCAGGATTTTCCTCCTTCATTTGCGCCTGGAGCCAAGCCATCATCTCAGCCTTTCCCAGTCCCTCTAGAACGGGGACTTACCCTCATTGCCCCCGGACCCTAGCCTCTGCTCCAGTCCCAATAGAAGCCCAATGTGACAATCAGGAATGGAAGAGAACCCAGGGGACCAGGAGAAGGTGGGAAGGGGCGTGTGGAGTGAGCATCTGCCAGACCCTTCCTCAGACCTGGCCAGGGTCACAGGTTCATCTCCATGGTGGGAGAGGGTTATGTTTCAGTGTCCTTGGGACTGGGGGCTCCAGCCTCACTCCCTGACAGCTTTCCACAGTGGGGCACACCCGTGGGGGAGTCTGGCCAAACCAGCGAGAAGCACTCTCTACTTCTGTAAGGCCGACCGCTCTGCTGTAAGTGGGAAGGATACACAGCCGGCCCTCCACATCCACGGGTTCCGTACCCGCAGATTCAAACAACAGTGGATGGAAAATATTTGGGAAAAGGAACAATAAAAAATAACACAACAGTAAAAAATGATACAAACTAAAGAACAATACAGCATAAACAACTATCTACACAGCATTTACAATGTATTAGGTATCTGGGTTTTTTGTTTTGTTTTGTTTTGTTTGAGACAGAATCTTGCTCTGTCACCCAGGCTGGATGGAGTGCAGTAGCACGATCATGGCTCACTGCAGCCTCTGCCTCCTGGGTTGAAGCAATTCTCCTGCCTCAGCCTCCCTAGTAGCTGGGATTACAGATGCCCACTACCACGCCTAGCTACTTTTTGTATTTTTACTAGAGACAGGATTTCACTGTGTTGGCCAGGCTGTTCTCAAACTCCTGACCTCAAATGATCCACCTGCCTTGGCCTCCCAAAGTGCTGGGATTACAAGCATGAGCCACCGCACCTGGCCCTGTATTAGGTATTTGCAAGTAATCTAGGAGTGTTGCAATTTACAGGAGGATGTGTGTAGGTTATATTCAAGTACTACACCATTTTATATAAAGGACTTGAGCATGTGTGGATTTGGGTATCCTTTGGTCAGGGGCATGTTCTGGAACCAATCCCCGTCGGACACCAAGGGAAAACTTTATATATTCAGGTGTTGGCCGAGAGAGCCATGGTGCTGCCTACTTTCTCCTGCCTCTGACCTCAAGGTTGTGCCCAGAGCCAGCTTGTGCCAGTGCCATGATAAAATAGGCAGGCTGGTGCTCCCCACTGTTCCCTGACCACAGTGTCAGGTAGGACCACAATGCCCACTGATCCTACCCTGGTGGTAGAGAGAGGAGGCCTGGGATGGGGGTATAGACACACCCGCTACTGCCCGGACCCTCCAGGTGTCCAAGCTCAGCTGCACCTGGCTGGAAGCATGAGGAGCTGCCCACCTCTGACACCTGACACCCTCACAAGAAGCCCCAGAACAAGCTGGGACAAAAGCAGGTGTCAAGAGGGTTGAGACCCACACAACTGGGGAAGTCACTCAGGTCCTCCTCCAGCCCCTGGCTGGGGTCAGGGGTGTCGTACTTCTCCTGCTCCTAAGGGCTGCTCTGTGCCCAGCTCCCCAGTGCATGGCCACTTGCCCCTCTATGAGTGGAGAAGCGGCACCAGTCCGACTGTCAGGCCATGCCTAGCAGCAGAAATCTTGCCTGGGGTCAGAGCCAGGGGGAGTTTCCTCCTTATATCCAGGAGTCTGTTTAGCTTTCAATGCCTGGCTGTGGCCGTGGTCTGTGCACCTCGCTGAGAACCCAACATGTAATCCTTAGCCTAATTGTTGCGGGAAGTCAGGGACCCCAAATGGAGGGACCAGCTGCAGCCACAGCAGAGGAACATAAATTGTGACGATTTCATGGACATTTACCAGTTCCCAAATAATACTTCATAATTTCTTACACCTGTCTTACTTTAATCTCTTAATCCTGTTATCTTCGTAAGCTGGGGATGTATGTCACCTTACGGCCACTACGATAATTGTGTTAACTGTACAAGTTGATTTTAAAACATGTGTGTTTGAACAATATGAAATCAGTGCACCTTGAAAAAGAACAGAATAACAGCGATTTTCAGGGAACAAGGGAAGACAACCATAAGGTCTGACTGCCTGCGGGGTTGGGCAAAAAGAGCCATATTTTTCTTCTTGCAGACAGCCTATAAACGGACATGCAAGTAGGGAAGATATCGCTAAATTCTTTTCCTAGCAAGGAATATTGATATTAACACTCTGGGAAAAGAACTGCATTCCTAGGGGGAGGTCTATAAACGGCCGCTCTGGGAGTGTCTCTCTTATGCAGTTGAGATAAGGACTGAAATACACCCTGGTCTCCTGCAGTACCCTCAGGATTGGGAAACTCCACCCTGGTAAATTTGAGTTCAGACTGGTTCTCTGCTCTCGAACCCTGTTTTCTGTTGTTTAAGATGTTTATCAAGACAATATGTGCACCACTGAAGGTAGACCCTTATCAGTAATTCTGCTTTTGCCCTTTGCCTTGTGATCTTTGCTTTTGCCCTTTGCCTTGTGATCTTTGTTGGACCCTTATGAGGAGTTTCTGATTTTTCCCTTAGAAGCATGTGATCTTTGTTTTCCTTTTTGCCCTTTGAAGCATGTGATCTTTGTGACCTACTCCCTGTTCTTGCACCCCCTCCCCTTTTGAAATCCTTAATAAAACTTGCTGGCTTTAAGGCTCAGGTGGGCATCATGGTCCTACTGATAATGTGACGTCACCCCCAGCGGCCCAGCTGTAAAATTCCTCTCTTTGTACTCTTTCTCTTTATTTCTCAGCTGGCTGACACTTATGGAAAATAGAAAGAACCTATGGTGAAATATTGGGGGTGGGTTCCCCCAATACCTAATGACTTGTTCTGACTTTTCATAAGTAGATACTCAGAGTTACCAGGGCCCATGGCACTGGAGACTGAACTTGTTACATTGTGGCTCAGAGAAATCCTCTTGATCAGGGAAAAATGGAATTGGGAAATCACCTCCTCCTGGAAGCTGACCTTGATTGCTCCTCACCTTTTTCTCCATCATACACTGCCCTTCCTACCATCATCAACAGCCAGGCCGCTCCTCCCCCATCCCCGCCACTGGCCTGACTCCTGTTTTACAAAATCATATCACATTAGAGTTGGAAGGGATATTATTTTTCTTTTTGTGATATTTTCCCCTTGATTATAAAAAAAAATTGAGAGCCAAGGAAAAATATAAAGGGGAGGAGAAAAATCACCCTAGTCTCATCCCTCAGAGGAAATATGAGTTCATATGCTGATATTTCCATTCCTTTAAGTCTTTTTGTAGACCTATTTTTTTCATTGTAGCGATCTTACTGCATTTATAATTTTGTATCTCATTTTTTAAGTTTTCAAGATGACGAATCATGGCTTGAGCCTCCAAACAGCGGAGAGGCGTCAGTGAGGACCCTTCCTGGGCTGCATACCAAGGCCCTACCCATGAGGGGACACCACCCAAGGGGAAGGAGCACCCTTCACGGACTACAGCATCTGCAGGGTCTGGGGATGATGAGAAATTGTCAGGCCTGACCTCAGGCCCACGGAAACCCAAGCTGTGAGCACTGAAGGGCCCCTGGATGTTCCGCCAGCCAAAGCCTTCATCTCAGCCCAGCTCCATCACTTGAAAGAAGGAGGTGATGTTCTGTTGACCTACAGGGCACTGGAAAATGACAAATCAGATGGCCTCTGCAGCAATGCACTAGAAACCAGAACTGCTGCCCATCATTGGAGGATAGTTTATGAAGGCCGTGGACGCTGCTGACCACAAACTGGACCTGGGCTCCAGCCAGGAAAGTGCTAACCCTGGAAAGCCTCAGGGCGGCCGGGAGCTCTGCTGGCTGCACAGAGAGGCAGCCCCATGGGCAAATGGAATAAAGATCTCTCCCCTCACAGCTGCTGAAAAGTAAACCAGCATCCTGGATCTGCCAGCTCAGAAGAGAGGCTCTGACAAATAGAAAAGAGGGACAGGGAGGGGCAGGTAGCAAGTCAGGACTGGGAAGCATTCCTGAGGCACCTCTGCCTTGCTGTGTGCTCTCGGGGGAATTCTTAACTCCTGTGTGCCTCCATGACTCCATTGATAGGATGGCCACTTGCCCCTGTATGAGTGGAGAAGCCACTTCAGTCTGACTGTCAAGCCATGCCTAGCAGCAGAAACCATGCCCGGGGTCACGGGCTGGTGGAGATTCCTCCTTATATCCAGGAGTCTGTTTAGTTGGCCACAAACTGGACCTGGGCTCCAGCCAGGAAAGCACTAACCCGTAGCCCCTGGAAAGCCGCAGGCTGGCCAGGAGCTCTGGTGGCTGCACAGAAAGGCAGCCCCATGGGCAAATGGAATAAAGATCTCTCCCCTCAAGGCTGCTGGAAAGTGAACCAGCATGCTGGATCTGCCAGCTCAGAAGAGAGGCTCTGATAAGCAGAAAAGAGGCAAAGGGAGGGGCAGGTAGAAAAGAGGAAAAGGGAGAAGCAGCCTCATGGGCAAATGGAATAAAGCCCCTTTCCTGGGGCTCATAAAACAGGAAGACCTCTGGATTCCAGGTTTGTAGACTTGCCTGTGGTTAGGTCCCACTGCAGGAGGCCCCAGCAGAACTGGTGTGGTCCCTGCTCCCACCTGGGCTGGAATCACAGGCACTCCCATGAACATTTTCACAGGGCCAGATCCTGGGCCATCTGAGAGGTCTGCACAACCCAGGGTGTGGGACAGCACCTGCTGCCTTAAGAGCAACTGCTGAAAAGAAAGATAATTTGGCTGGGCACAGGGGTGCATGACTGTAGTCCCAGCTACTTGGGAGGCTAAAGCCGGAGGATCACTTGAGCCCAGGGGTTCGAGGCTGCAGTGAGCTATGACTGCACCACTGCTCCAGCCTGGGTGGCAGAGTGAGACCCTGTCTCAAAAAAATAAACAAACATTATTTTTAAAAAAAAAGATAACTTGGCTCACAGCTCTGACGCATGTCCCAGCAGCAACTGTCCAGATGCACCAGGACCAAGCTGTCTGGGGTAGGGAGGGGTACAGGCCAGGCAGTGGACACAGAGAATGGGGCTTCTGCAAACATGTCCTGCTCCTCAAGCCCCACCTATGGCAGCAATGCAGGATGAGGACAAGGAAGAAGATTATGGGAGGAAAGATGGAGCCCTGGGTTGGAGTCAGCCCTGCTCCACCACCAGCTTCTTGTGGGGCCTTGACCACTATGTGCCAGAACCGTGCCCAGTCCTTCACAGGCATTCTCTCATCAGATCTGTGAGCTAGGTGTCCCCTAATAATCCAAGAGGCCAAGTAACTCGCCCAAGGTGGCACAGCTAGTATGAGGTGCGTACATCCTGCCTGAAGGAGCTGGAGCCGGGAGCCACGAGAACCTTTCTGGCTCTAAGGGGCCCGGATTCTGCAAACCCTGCCAGGGCCAGGATGCCAGGCATCACCCTGTCAACCTGCCCCTCTCCTCACTCCTCTAGCCGGCATAACAGCCTCTGATGGTACTGCCTCCAAAATATACATCAAATCGCCTTTTTGGCCCAGGCCCACTGCCTCCACCTTGGTACAAGCAATCTTACCCCATTCCCAGGATGACCCCCCACAGCCTCCCAGTTGGGCCCCTGTGTACACCCTCAACTCTTCACTGTCCATTCCCCAACTCAGCAGCCATGGTACAATATAAACTGGGTCACATCGCTTCCCACATAAGACTCTCCAAAGGCTCCTGTCACCTCTAGAAAAAACTCCAAGCTCCCAACTCATGGCCTACAAGGACCTCTGTGATCTGCCTGGCCAGCCCTTTCGACTTCACCTTCCACCCCTCTCCACCCCACCTACCCTCAGCCACGTGGCCTCCACGCTGTTTTGCTCACATGCTAAGCTCATTTCTGCTCAGCTTCCCTCTGCTGGGACCTCACTCAGCTGGCTCCTTTTACCATTTCAGCACGGGCCTCCCATCTCCTCCCCAGGCGCTCTCATGTCAGCTTGGTTCATTTTCTTAGTCGCTGCTTTACTTGTTCAGTGCCTGTCATTCTCTTTCAGCAGAATGAAAGCTCCATGGGGGTTATCTGCCCTGCTCACTGCCATACCCCCAGTTAGCCCAAGGCACCCACAGTGGGTGCTCCATACACACATGGCCGATACACAAATCCACAGGCCCACCTGGTTCCGGAAGGTCAAGGCCACCACGCCACCAATGAGCTCCATGATGAGGCAGATCCCAAGGATGTACATGAACTGGAAAACAGAATTCAGAGACTCACCTGGAGAGGAGCAGTGGGCGTGTGTGGGGTACAGGGGAGGCACCATCTGCTCCAAGAGCAAGCACAAAGAGAAGCATCCCTCGGGGAGCTCCTACCAGCTCCTAGGCCTCTGCCCCCTCCTCCTGTGAGAACGTGGACGTGGACAGGCAGGCCCCAGGAAAACCTGTCTCTGGAGCCGGAGGGCAGGAAGAGTGACTCAGCTGTCCCAGCCAAATGGTTACCTCCATTTGTCTTGGGGGTCTATGTGGAAGAGCACGCCCTTCCCCCACCACCATAAGGAGAGCTGGGCCTCGTTGCCACTGAGCCAGAGGGGCTAGGCCTGGCTTAATGGGCAGGCTGGGGCAGTATGTCCAGCTCCCCACAGAGAGCCCTCAGATGTGACTTCCCAGATCCCCCACAGTGGGTGAGGGGGATGGCTGAAGCTTAGAGGATATGCACCCCCACCTCTGCCCTTTACTAGAGAGCAGGCATTACCCAAACTGATTTCAGCAAATTCCAGCCTCAAGTAGCACCCAAACCCGGTTTACAGTGGATCGTAGGGGCTTCCCATATGAGGGGAGACAATGAGGTCAAGAGACACACAAGTGCAGAGTGAATGGATCTGCCTACTCACTACCCCCAGCTTTAGGGAGTCATCCCTCACCCCACAATAATGGGATACAGGTAGGATTGACTCCCCATGCCCCATCCCAGAATGGGCACATGGCCCAAGCCAGGCCCACCAGAGTCCTGGGACTTTGGCCAGAGCTGGTAGGAAAGATTTCCTGAGATCTAGAACCATAAGGACTTTGTTGGCCTGACGCCGGCAGTGACCACTGCAAAGGGAGCAGCCCCGGCTGGCAGGGGCTGGGGAGATTGCCCAACCCTGCCCAGTGGCGCCATCTAAACCCCTGGACCCAGTGTGGGTTTGCTGGTTGCATGAGCTAATGACTCACTACCATCTCCTTTTTTTGTCTTTGCTTGCTCTCATTTGAGTGTGGTTTTTCCTACTCGCAACTGAGCATCCAGATGAACACAGAGTTTAAGTAAGAACAGTATTCAAATCAGCTTTTACATGCAGGAGGGGAGGTGGCCTGGGCATTCTTGGGCCAGTGTGGTCAGATGGGCTGATCTAAGGAGCTCTCTAAAGGAGGTGGTTTGAGGCAGGGACAAAAGAAACTGAGCTGCCCAAGGGCACAGGGGCAGGCGCCCCAGCTCTCCTGGGGAGTCCCGGCTGAGGGGTGGTGTGGTCCACTCACTGCTTGGAGAAGGTACAGGTTGTCACGGAGGGACGCCAGCACACCAATGAAGGAGACCATGAACATGACGACGCCCAGGAGGATGAGGATGATGGCTGGAGCCAGGAAGGCACTTTCAAGGGTTTTATATTTCTGCCGCTCAACCTCTGCATAGATGCCCACAGACAGGACCAGGGCCCCAATCAGCTGCAGCAAGAAAACAGAGGGTGAGAGAGAGACTGAGGTCACTTGATTTTCTACAGCAAAGAGTCATCTGGGGCTGTGGTACCTGCTGTGGGGGAGGCTTGCCCCAGGTTACAGCACAGAAAGGGCCCTGTTAGCGGCTGAACTGTGTTTCCCCAAATTTTCTCTATTGAAATCCTAACCCCCAGTACCTCGAAATGTGACTATATTTGGAGACAGGGCCCTTAAAGAACTAATTAAAGTTAAAATGAGGTCACTAAGGTGGCCCTAATCCAATATGACTGGTGTCCTTATAAGGGGAAGAGATTATGACACAGACACTCACAGAGGGAAGACTGTGTGAACACGCAGGGAGAAGGCAGCGTCTACAAGCCAGAGACAAGCCTCGGAAGAAATCAACCCTGCAGGCCGGGCGCGGTGGCTCACACCTGTAATCCCAGCACTTTGGGAGGCCGAGGCGGGCAGATCACGAGGCCAGGAGATCGAGACCATCATGGCTAACACTGTGAAACCCTGTCTCTACTAAAAATACAAAAAAGCAGCCGGGCATAGTGGCGGGCACCTGTAGTCCCAGCTATTCGGGAGGCTGAGGCAGGAGAATGGCGTGAACCCAGGAGGTGGAGCTTGCAGTGAGCCGAGATTGTGCCACTGCACTCCAGCCTGGGCAACAGAGCGAGACTCGGTCTCAAAAAACAAAAAACAACAACAACAACAACAAAAAAAAAAAATCAACCCTGCCACCTTGATCTTGGACTTCTAACCTCCAGAACTGTGAGAAAATAAATGTCTATTGTTTAAGCCATTCAGTCTGGTACTTGATGTTATGGCAGCCCTAGCAGACTACTACAGACCCAATCTGGAGATGCCACTTTAGAGGAGAGTATAGATGGGTTAGGGGAAATGCCACTGGCTGGAGGGTCAGAGAACATGGGTTCGAGCCCCAGCTCTGCTACTTGCTAACCCTGGGCCTTGGACAGGCATTTGACCATGTGAGTCTGTGTTCTCATCTGAAAGACAGACTTGAAGACATTCATTTCTGCACTGCTCACACCACGGCTTTCGCGAGTGAATGAATGTGGAAACACTACAAACCTGGAAGTGCGAGGCCGCCACAACGCGTATTAAACAGGCAGGTCACCCCGTGCTCAGGGCAACAGACATTTCACACAGTACCATAACACGGAATTTACTTTCAGGATGACCACAGAGAAGGCCAAAGGTTGGAGCAGGAAGAATTTTGAGGGAATTCGCAAGTAGAATCCCTCACTCAACTTTTCTAATAGTGGACATGCTGTCACAGAACACCCTGTAACTTTCCACTAGGAGAACCCAGGCTTCTTGATGCTTGTCAACTGCCATGTGTGCTCACCCCAGGGCCTTTGCACAGGCAGTTCCAACTGCCTGGAATGCTCTTCCCCTGACACACTCATGGCTTACTCCCCCATCTCCTTCTCTTCTTTGCTCAGTTGCCGCCTGCAAAGGGAGGCCCTTCAGGGCCACTTTATTTACAGATGGGAAGTTCCTCCCCATGAAACTCCTGATCTCCTTTCTCTTTTTTATTTTCTCCTTTGCACTTACCAGTATTTAACATACTACACTATTTCTGGTTGGTTTTTTTTTTTTTTGAATTTGTCTTCCTCACTAGAACATAAGCTCCAGGAGGGATTTTTCAATTGCTTCGGACATCCCCAGCACCAAGACATTCTGACACTGAGGAAGTAGAATCAGCATTTATGATCAACATCTTCTGAATGAACAAGACCTGGGCTTTCCAATAGACCCTCTGAGTTCAAGTCAGGCACTGTCTACCCAGTCCCCTGCCTGTCCAAGGATTCTGACTTTCTGGGCCTCATGTTCCAGAGGGCAGGGACAAGTCATCAGATAACTGGACTTCTCCACTAAGCTGAAGGCAACATGGGAGAGTAAGTGGAAGACATGGTGCTGTCAGCTAGGGTCCAAGGAAAGGAAGGGATGATACAGACAGATGTTGTCGGGAGGTGACATGAGCATAGCCACCCCAGTGTCACCATGCAAAACACCGAGGAGGCCGCCCCTCCAGCCACTCACAGGGCTGCCTGAGCCTTAAACTGACTTCATGGGTCTCCTTACTGATCATCATGTCCTTAAGCAGATGCCCGTGACCTCCTTCTAAAGAGAGCTAAGTCCTGAATAAAGGGAAGTGACTGCTTCCTCCTAAGCTTTGATGCGTGACGGGGATGCCAAAAGTCAAATAAGCAGACAGAGCTTATGCAGAAACACAGGATAACAGAGGATTACCAGGAAACCATCTCACTTGGATCCAGTACTCTGCTATGTTTCAAGGCTAAGTGCCATTCCCCTTGGTTTGAAAATTAATCCAGGATTAGTGAGACCTTTCCCCCCAGTCTAGAAGGATGCCTTTCCAACACACAGGCCGGCAGGGACTCAAGACACTGACAAGCTCAGCCATCAGCCACTTACTAACAAGTTGGCCTTAGAAGGCAGGACACACACATACACATACTCATCCTCTACAGGAAAATGAAGACCATGAAAAATATCTACTTTTTGGTAGAGAAAGGTAAACCAGAGACTATCTGGACAGACACAGTCATGCTCCAAAACCCAGAACATGGAGAAATCACTGTTTGGGGGCAGCCTAAGTGCCCCAGGTCCTCGGAGAGCAATGGCGAGCAGCCTTTAAAAAGCCAAGTCCAGGCCGGGCGCAGTGGCTCACGCCTGTAATCCCAGCACTTTAGGAGGCTGAGGTGGGCAGATCACTTGAGGTCAAGAGTTCGAGAGCAGCCTGGCCACCATGGCAAAACCCCTTCTCTACTAAAAATACAAAAATGAGCCGGGCTTGGTGGCACATGTCTGTAATCCCAGCTACTTGGGAAGCTGAGGCAGGAGCATCGCCTGAACCAGGGAGGCAGAGGTTGCAGTGAGCCGAGATTGCACCACTGCACTCTAGCCTGGGTGACAGAGCAAGACTCTGTCTCAAAAAAGAAGAAGAAAAGAAAAGAAAAAAAAGGCCAAGTCCCCTTCCTCAGTGACTCCACCCATGAGGAATCACTCACTAAACTCTAAACCTGGACAAATAAAAGAGCCCTGAGGCTCATCCACCTCAAAGCAGAGAATCATGGTTAAATAAGAACCCCATAGAGCATGGAAGTTTTCAGAGTCCAGGCATGGAGTGAATAAAATATTCAGGGACTCGGGTACTGGAAGGTAGCAGAGGTAGGGTTTTATCTTCCATTTTGATGAAAAGCGTAATTCTCACCCTGTCGTGGAACGAACACAACTATTGTATCTTAACATTTTCAGAACTGGCCCGATATACTTTTGAAAGTTCTGTGTTCCCTGTTGTAAAAAAAAAATGCTTCTTCTTCCCTGGCAGGATGGGGACAGCTGACATCCTTCCCCATTCCCCTGCCCCCATCCTGTTCCCATTCCTCCTTCCTGCCTGAGACTGTGCTTCTGAGTTAAGGTAGTCTGCTTTGGAAACCATCCCCCAAACACCAGAGCTGCCACTGGCCCCAATGCTGAGCAGAACTGACCCCAGCCCTCTCCATAAAGGCAGTCAGTGGCTTCTTCTATTTTTACAAGCTCCCCAGAGCCCTGGGACCCACTCCAGAACACCCTTGCTGGCAGAAAACAAAACCCCTTGCTCTGATCTCACTCTCTGCTGTTATAAAGCATTGCCATTTCCTTGCTAGTTAGCCTTGAGACATTTCCAGACCATAAACCCCATGGGAAAAGCTCCCAAAGCAAATGTAAACCAAGAACTCCCTCAAGCAATCCTAGGCCCTATTTCTCCTGGTCTAGCAGAAGGAGCTGCCACCCCAACCCTCCCAGCAGCCTGGCAGGCAACTCCCAGGCAGCTCCCCATACAGCACAGGCCTCTCTGGCCTCCCCATTCAAGTGCTCCCAAGAGCAGCGGGCATGGGGAGAGGCCAGCATAAACCTTCCCAGGAACTTCAAAATTTCCAAATGATATTTACATCTCTGATGACATCAGTTTATCCATCTGAGGATAAAATTATCTGTCAATGCCAGCATGCAATCCCATCCGCTCCACTCTGCTAATTATAGCCTTCCACTAGGCAGCCGGCCACTCAGCTCTAGAACAGGAAGCAAATGGCCCATCTGTCAAGCAGGATGGCCTCAGCTAAACAGGGCTGGGGGTGGGGGGCACACGGCCATGCCCATTTGGGGCCAAAGAGGGAAAGTGCGTGCTGCTGGCAGCCCACAGCCAAGCCCAAAAGCCCAGGCTTTGTGAACCACGTGGCATCTTCAACAGGCTGCAGAGGAGCCCTGTGGCCCAGCATGAACCAGACCTGAAGGTCCTCTGCATCCTGGAACCCTGCTTCCTCCTGTGCAGGGAGAGGCCCAGTTCCAGGCAGCTGCTGGGAAGCAGGAGACTCTGTGAGGCATTCCAGCACCTGTGCCTCCTGAAGGAAGCATCTGGTCACCCGTGCCGGCTGGCTCACCACAGCTGGGGCAAATCTGCACTTAACGAGGACCTGCAAGGCCCATTTTCACCCCCAAAAGGCAAATACTAGGCTCTGTTGTGTTCCAGGCCCTGTATTACGTTCTATAGGCTCACAAGGGGCCAGAAGACTATTGAGAAGGGAGAGTAAGAGAGGCTGGAACTGATGGTCCAATGGATGGAATTTAGGGAGCTCTCAAACTGGAGATGGAGAAAAATCCACATCTTTACTTTTGTTTACCTCTAACTGAAATATCCCTTCCATGTGGGATGTGGGCAACAAACTGAAGTAGTATTAACGGCACCTGCAATTTTGTCACCAGTAGAAATCACTTTACAATTATTCTGAATATCTTAAAATGTCATTTACATTCCTCATTACTTCAAAATTATGATAGTATTAGGCTCACTGCTAGATCTTGTGATTGAATGCGCTGATAAAGTTGCACATTATTACATCAAAAATTTGGTTGTATAAAATGTTAATAATTGTATCCTACTATAACTGGTTTCTTTTGTATCCGTGTGTATTTCGTTTTATGCATTTAAATATCTTGTTCTGAAAAAGGATCGATCCACGGGCTTCCCCAGAGAACCAAAGGGTCCCTGGCACAAAAAAAGAACCCCTGGTCTACAGGAAGCAAATATCATTCCTGCCATGGAGAGGTGAAGAGGGCTCTAGGAATTTGAACAAAAGTGACAGGGAAGAGGGAGAGCGCAGAACATCAGGATGAGCCCCCTGCCAGAGCCCGCATTTCCTGGAAGGCCCTGAGAACCACTTCATTCCACAACCGTCTCATGGAGTATTTGAGGTCCAGGGCTCCGTGTTGGACCAAAACAAAGCGCTTTTCAGACTTTCTAGCTTGAAAGGGGGTGGGGAAGAGCTAAACTCCAAGGCTTGAGAGAGGTTTTGAATAAAGTGGGACTAGCAGGACCCCCTCCTCCTGCCCAGAGAAACCCTGCACCTCCCTTCCCAAGGCCCTCTGTCCCGAGGCCCATCCTGCCTGGCCCCAGACCAAGCCCACCCTGCAGACAGCCACCTGCTCTGCACACTGCCACCTGCTCTGCACACTGCCACCTGCTCTGCACACTGCTGCCCCAGCTTCTCCTGTCCCAGAGCAGGGTGCTGGCGGGAGCAGCAGAGGCAACATAGAAGGCAGGAGTTCTGGGCCTCCATGGGTGAGCTCAGTACCCTTGGCCATGTCACTTCCCGCTTGTGGGCCTCATTTTTCACCTGTAAAACAGTAAAGCCTGTTGGCTCTTATAGTGATTATGCTTTGCCACTATCCTGTCAGGGGTCATACCTGCATCATCTCATCTCCCTTAATCAACATACCCCCTCAAACATCCAAGGAACAACTAATCTCGTTTTACAGACTAGGCTCAAAGAGACTAAGCAGCACAGAACCCATGAGACAGTCAGGATTCACAACCAAAACTCGTCTGCCTGGCCAGCCACTAAGGCTACCAGATGGGCCTTTTATGAAGAACTGGGGGGAAAGGGGTGTGAAACACCTTTGCAAAATACAAAGCCGACAATAGCGGAGCAGCAGTGCTGAGAACTTCCTAGATGATGCCAACACCTAGTGTGGTATCCACGAGCCACGTGTGGCTAGCAAGCTCTTGAAACGGGGCCCTGGTGCCTGAGGAACTGAACCTTCCATGTTATTTTGCTTTAAGTTAAATTCGACCACAGGTAGCTGGTGGCCACATTTTGGACAGCACAAGTCTAGAGCATCTCTCGCTGGTGCTGCCCCTCACCACTCCTACAAGGTTCCTTTCTGAAGGTAGAGCCCATCCTTATGAAAAAGGTGGCCGGGTGCAGTGGCTCATGTCTGTAATCCCAGCATTTTGGGAGGCCAAGGGAGTTCGAGACCAGCCTGCCCAATATGGTGAAACCCCAACTCTACTAAATATACAAAAATTAGCTGGGTGTGGTGGCGTGCACCTGTAGTCCCAGCTACTCGGGAGGCTGAGGCAGGAGAATCACTTGAACCCGGGAGGCGGAGGTTGCAGTGAGCCAAGATTGTGCCACTGTACTCCAGCCTGGCGACAGAGTGAGACTCTGTCTCAAAGAAAAAGAAAAAGGCACATGCTTCAACCCTCCTGCCACAAGCTAGGGAAGGCTCAGCAAGTATTCACCAACTTACTCGGGAGAAAACAGTCTTCTCTCCCACATCCCCAGGGCAGCTGGGTTCCTGCTGTCCCACTCCCCTTTCCTGTAAGGAAAGCAAAACAGACCAAGGATAGGAGGTCCTGGCAGTGCCCCCAATCCAAACCGCTAAAGGGCCCATTCTGTCTCCCCTAGGGAGCACCGGCCCCACCTCCAGGACCACCAGGCGGTACTCTAAGTTCTGGGGACACTGAACCTCCATCCCACTGACCTGGCCCTACTTATGCTTGAGGAACGGGGCTCCCCCACAACCCCAAATCAAAGCCAGCTCTTGAGAAAGCAGCAGAGGCTGCCTCCTGCCGCCAGCAAAGGCGCATTCACTTGTCTTTGTCACTAGTACTTTGCTGTCGACCCTGCCTTGACTCTGGACAGGACTTCTTCCTTTATAAAAACTGGACATCAAGTACAGAGAACCTGGTGAATTGTAATCCTCAGTCCCTGACATTCTCTGACACAGCCTGCTTTTGTTACTTTTTTTTTTTTTTTGAGACCCTTTGAGACAGGGTCTCACTCTGTCATCCAGGCTGAAGTGCAGTGGCGTGATCATAGCTCACTGCAGCCTCGATCTCCTGAGCTCAAGCGATCCTCCCATCTCAGCCTCCCAAAGTGCTGGGATTACAGGTGTGAACCGCCATGCCCAACTTTGTTTGTTACTTTTGGTAACGTCAGAGCACATTGATCAAACCAGTCCTTCTGTCCCCACTGATCTGCTATGACCCCACTGTCATACTCTAAGGTTCTACATATGCCTGGGGCTGTTTTTGCCTATCTCTTCCATTGGTCATTCTGTCTGTCCCTAAACAAACCTCCTTATTGTAATGACTTCAGTTTTACAACACATCTTGCCATCTGGTAGGCCAAGTCTCTTCTTCCTGTCTTCTTCAGAAGTGTCCTAGATATTCTTAGATCTCGAATCTTCCATACACATTTTAGAATCATCTTCTCAAGTCTCGGGAGGAAATCAACTGAACTGGACGTTGATTGGAACCAGAATGAATCTATAGATCCGTTTGGGGAGAAATGACATTTCTACTCTAGCAGGTCTTCCTGCTCCTAAGTGAAGAAATAATAAATAAATATTTATTATTTGTAAATTATCCCTTTATTAATGTTATTAAATAAATAATCCCTTCTTAATTTATGGTTTCTTTAAAGAATTATGGCTTCTTTAACAACAGTTCTCATTGCCTCCCTCAAGTTTTCCATGGTGTCTGAGCTGGAGAAAGACATCTAACGTCTTGGGTTCATCAGTTCAAAGGTGACAAACATAGCCTTTGGAAAACAAACCTCTCTAGGAAGCAAAGTGGGCACACCAGTCTGTTTTGCTACCCCTCCTGTTGGCAATAGTTGCAGATACTTGATTTAAGACTCCCACAGGCACACAGCACATTCCAGGCTGTGAAGGAGCTAGGCTGGGAGTTTTGCAAACCCCAGTTATTCAATCCAGCCAGGGCAGAGAGTGGAATTTCTAATCCAGAACAACCACAAATGAAGCACAGGGTGGGAGTGGGGATGGCATGCCCTGGGCTGTTTTGGGGAAGAGTTTGGGGACAGGCAGGTAGAAGCGGTAGAACAAATAACTGACCAAGGCATTCTGAGACAAGATGCAGAGCAATTACTTCCTCCTGGGGAAACCAGAGAAGGACTCTGAAGGATGCACAGAGTTTGACTTCATGCAACTGGACCCTCCCTGAGCACAGGGACTGGCCTAATATATCTGCTGGGAGAATAAATCTGAGAAATGGTTTATGGCTTCAGACGCCTGTAAGCCCAAAGAAGGAACTCTGCGATGATCCCAGTCTGGAACAGAGCCTTCCAAGGCTTAAGGATAAGAATGACTCATGGTTAATCGGAGAACCACAGAAACAGCCATGGGAAGGAGAGTCAAGAGCAACTTCATCTCCACCCAACACCCTCCTCCCCCTGGTTTTCTTTCTCCCTCACTCTCCAGACCTCTCTGTCTCTCTCTCCCCACCTTCCATGTGTCTGAACCAAGAGAGCCACGGGCCTGCCTCCCAAGGCTGTGTCCCCAGCGTACATGGGTAATGGTGTCTGGTGATTTTCTTCCCAGATCTCAGCCCTGGGTGGACCTCCGGCCAGGCCCCCCCAGACCCCGCTGACTCAGTAGCCAGAGGTCAGTCAGAGCAGAAGACAGTGCTCCCGGATGCACCCTGGATGTCTGGCCCTGGCAGTGAGACAGGAAGTCCCCAGCTCAGGCCACTGCCAGCAGCATCCTCTGTCTGGGGTTGGAGCTCTAGCTGCGGGGTAGGAATGGGGAAAGGAGACTGGAATTCTGGGTATGGGCTTAGGGAGCCCAGGAATGAAGAGCTGGGTGGGGTGGGCTGGAGTGGGGCTTGCTTCCTCCCAGGGTAACCGCTCAGGGGTATATTCCTGTGTCAAAGTACTGCTGGTCACCCCTCCTCCTCCTTCCTCTGGCCAGGACTGTGTCCCTCTGCAGCCCACAGCACCCAATCAGCTAAGCCTCCACCACTCGTAACTATAGGCCACCACCAGCAGAAGTGAGTAAGATGGCCCAGATCTTCCTTCTCTCAGACCCTTTGAAAGGAGACATGGGCTCACAGAGATGACAGGAGGTCTTTGTCCTATACAACAGCCTCCAGTCCAAGGTCCTGGCAGCCTTTCGGAGCCCATCCTGTCTGGGAACTGGTTCATGCATCCCCTATTCCTCCACTGGCCTAGGGTCTTCCCTAGAGACTGCCTGAGAGTTATCCTCATGGGGCCCAAAGTGAGGGCAAGAGGAGTTCCAGGGAAGGGGTATGGGAGTGCCCTGTGGTCTCACTGTCCTGACCCCTCTGGGCTGCTGAGAGGAGAAGCCGCCATAAGGGAGAGCCATCTGAAAAGGAGCAGGCGGTGGGGAGAGCAGGTGGGGGGAGGAGGGTGGGCAGAGATGAAGGGAACTCCAGCAGCAGGAGCCGAGGATGTGAGGCTCAGTCAGAACTGCCGGCTCCCAGGGGACACCTGGCTGAATCAGGCATATAGAAACTGTCTCTACACAACTTGGGCAATGTTAAGGCTTATTATTATTTCATGTATCTTGTTTTTAATGTTAGATGTAGTTTCCTATATAAAAAAGAAATGCATCAAATTGCTTTTTATATATGTGGCCCTTGGTTTATTCTTTCCCCCTTTGCATGGAATCCCACATCGGAACTGTACCCTTTGCCCCTGAACTATGGATAGAAGGCAGAGGAGGCAATCAGATCTCAAGTGTCTGGAACGTGCAGGGCCTTAATGAAGATAAATGGCCCCAGTCCAAGGGCTCATGTCTCCAAAGAGGACAAAGGGGAAAGGGAAGGAGCACTGGGCGGCTGGCCACATGGGCACCCTAGGCTCCAATCCCAGCTCTGCTATCAACTCTTTGTGACCTTGGGCAAGTCCCTTACCTTTTCTGAGCCTCAGTTTCCCAGTTGGCATGACAACCCCAAGGGTTGCTCTACTGCTCCGGGAGTCCATGGAAATTCCCCTCAAATCCTGGCACATCAGCAGACTGTGGGCGGCCCCCCTCCTCCTCTCGCCCCACACACTGCTCTGACTCCGCCCCCACGGGCTGCCTTCTGCTCTCCCACCCAGCCCAAGGATGTCACATTTCCGCAAGGGTAAAACCCTAAAGCGGACAGCAATGCCTTCCCTCCCCAGCCTTGATGAAGGCACACACCTCCAGCACTGCCTCCCATAGCAGCCTTGGAAAGGAGACAGTTTCCTGGAAATACTAAAGCCAAAAGGGGCTCATACCCATCCTCCAAGCTCAGCTCAAAGCCCTCCTCCCATCGCTTGAGCCCAGGAGATCAAGGCTATAGCGAGCCATGATCGTGCCACTGCACTCCAGCCTGGGTGACAGAGCAAGATTCTGTCTAAAAACAACAACAACAAAATGCCCTCCTCCCCTGGGAAGTCTTCCTGGATCACCCCAGCTATAGGGATATCTCTCCACTTCTGAATATCTATAAAACCAACAATGGGAAGCCCTTGCTGGTAGTGATATTGAGAGTATTAACTATGCCCTTTGGACAGGGAATTCCGGGTATCTCTTATGGACAGCATACAGGACATGGTGGCTAGATCCAGCAACACACATACAACTTTGCCCTCAACAACTTCACAGTCTGCACGTACTATGCAAATGTGTTAGGATGTCCCAGAAGTTCACAGAAGTTTGGTGACTTAGTTACAAGACCACACTGTCCTCATGGAAGCCAGACAGAAAGTGGTTAGGGCCCAAGCCAGTTCACAATGGCCAAACAAACCACAATATCCTGAAGCCAGATGCCACGCAAAAGCTCCTGGGACCCGGCAGGCGCTCAGTAAATGTTACTTCTTCCCCAGTAACCATGTAGCACTGTTGTAATGCTGACATTTCAAAACCCAAGTCAGAAGCCAGAAACCATTTCCCCTTCAGACCCTCTTTGGTCCAGGGTTAATTCCAGGGAGGGAGGAGTCCCTATTCTGAATTCCAAGGCAGCACTCACTGATTCCACATACACTAAGCACCTCTTATGTACCAGACATTTGGAATAAGCAGATAAGATGAGTTCCTGTCCTCAAGGAGCTCTGTCTGGTGAGAGACATACCAGCACACCAACACATGTGGGAATCAGCAAAACCCTGGGGTAGATGTGATCAAGTGTGCAAAGGCGCCAGAGAGGAGACACTAAATCAGAAAGGCAAGATCAGGGAAGGCTTCCTGGAGGAGGTTACGTTTGAACGGAGTCCATTTAATGGACAAGCAGGAATTCCTAAGGTGGACAATAGGGATAAGGAGTTCCAGATGCCCATGAAGGTACCACAGGAACAGCAGGTCAGGTCAGCAGAGCTGGAATCAAGGACAGGCAGAGGATGAGGGAAGGGGAGGCGAACAGGGAGGTTCACAGAAGCAAGAGCACCAAGGCCAGGTCTCATGGGTTAAGCCAAGAAGTCCATTTATTCACATGACATCTATTGACTGAGTGGTTTTTGCACACCAGGCATTGTTTAAAGCCAGTGGGTCTCAAAGTTTTTGGTCTCAGAACTCCTTTTCATTGTTAAAAATGTTTGAAGATTCTGGAGCTTTTGTTTATGATGATATCCATCAATTATTTACCATAAATTAAAACTGAGACTTATTTTAAATATTTATTAGCCCATTTAGAAATAACAAGAGATAGCTGGGAGCAGTGGTTCATGCCTGTAATCCCAGCACTTTGGGAAGTGGAAGTTGAAGGTTCACTTGAGTCCAGAAGTTTGAGACCAACCTGGGCAACACAGGGAGCCCTCATCCCTACAAAAAGTAAGAAGAATTAGCCAGGTGTGGTGGCACGGCTCTGTGATCCCAGCTACTTGGGAGGCTGAGGTGGGAGGATGGCCTGAGCTCAGATCAAGACTGCAGTGAGCCGAGATTGCAATACTGCACTCCAGCCTGGGTACCAGAGTCGAAAGAGAAGGGGAGGGGAGGGGAGGGAAGAGGGGAGGGAGAGAAGGTGGGGAGAAGGGGAGAGTGAGAGAGAAAGAAAGAAAGAAAGATTGATTTATATGTTAAATAGCATTTTTCATTTAAAAAATTCCCCCAAAAGACACAAAAACTGAGTGGGCAGAGTGGCGTGGGCTCTGCATGTTTGTAAATGTTAACGTCTGGCTGCCAAGAAAGCAGCTGGATTCTCAGATCTGCTCCTCATTGGCTCCACTGCCACATCGAGTGTTCAGGTGCCTCTGGAATACTCCATCACATGCTCCCAAGAGAGTGGCAGTGGGAGTCTTACTATTACTATGAAAGTGGTTCTAGATACAAGAGCCCCTGAAAGGGGAACCCAGAGGTCCCTAGACCCACTTTGGGAGCTACTATTTTAAGAACTGGGTGTGCAACGAGAGCAATGAAAGAAAACCACAAAAATCCCAGCTTTGGTGGAGCTCACATTCTACTTGCGCAGAGGCAAATAAGTAAGAAAAACATATACTGTGCTATGGTTATAAGTGCTACTAAGAAAAATAAAACGGGGAGGAAGGCTAGGGAAGCTGGGGAAAGGGGCCGTCAGTGTGGCCAGGGAGGGTGACATGTGAGCAAAGACTTGGAGTAGAGGAGGGACCAAGCCACACGGATACATGAATAAGCATCCAAGCAGGCACCATGGCCTTGGGATGTGCCTGTGTTTTCAAGAAACAGCAAGGGGGACGGGGCTGCTGGAGAGGGAGCATGTAGGAGATGAGGCAGTGGGCTGATCAGGAGGGGACTCTGAGGCCACTGAGAAGACTTGACTTTTGCTCTGAGTGGATGGGAGGCACTGAAAGTTTGCAGAGAAGTGCTCTGTTCCAACTGTGATCTTTTTTTATTTTAAATAATTGAGATGGGGTCTTGCTATGTTGCCCAGGCTGGTCTCGGACTCCTGGGCTTGAGCAATCCTCCTGCCTTAGCCTCCCAAGTAGCACTTGCCACCATGCCTGGCTGTGATCTTTAAAAGAGTTGCTTGGACTGCTATGCCAAGAGACTGGGAGATGCAGGTGGGAGGGGCTGGTCAGGGAGCTACTGTGGTGACCAATGTGAGGTGACAGTGGCCTGGACCACAGTGGGCATGTGAAGGTGTCTAGAAGCAGGCAGTGTATTTTGAGGCTGGAATAGGGAAATAATTGAAATAATTTAAGCAGGGGAGTCTCACATTCAGATTAACTTTTAAAAGTTCTTTCACCAGGGTGTTTCACATCAGCCTATGTGTTCATCATCATGGGGAAAGGTGCCTTTGCAATGGAGAGGACTGGTCAAGTTCAGCCTGGCCAACCATGGTGTGGCCAGATAGCACACACCCCCTAATGTGATATTCCATACCTCCCGCTGCACACCCTGTGAAATGCTCCTGCAGGAAATGTGTGGCCTGAACCTAATCATGAGGAAGCTGTGAAGCTATGAAGCAACTCAGACATCCTACAGATCAAGTGGCCTGGAGGCTTCAAAGGACTCAAAAGAAGTAAGGATAGTCTAGCCTGGGGGAGATTAAAGAGACATAGAGCCAGAAGTAATGTACAAACCTTGGGTGGATCCTGAATTGGGTAAAATATCACCACAAAGAACATTTGGGGAATGAGGTGCTTTCCAATACCATCAGACAGTTCTTTGATTCTCTTGAGAGACCAGCTGGGTGTCGTACAATTTAATTCAACTCTGACACATTTACCTGGAGTTAGCATCAGATCCCACAGGTTAATGTGCTCAAGCCCACGAGATTAGGCTGGGCATGGTGGCTTATGCTTGTAATCCTAGCACTCTGGGAGGCCAAAGTGGACAGATTGCTTGAGCCCAGGAGTTTGAGACCAGCCTAGGCAACATGGCAAAATCTCATCTCTACAAAAAAATGCAAAAATTAGCTGGACGTGGTGGTGTCCACCTGTTGTCCCAGCTATTTAAAAAAATATTATTATTAAAAGTAATGGCAAAAACTGCAATTACTTTTGCACCAACCTAATACGTGGGAGGCTAAGGTGGGAGGATTTCTTGAGCCTGGGAGGTGGAGGTTTGCTTGAGCCTGGGAGGTAGAGGTTGCAGTGAGCCAAGATCAAGCCACTGCACTCCGGCCAACCTGGGTGACAGAGTAAGACTCTGTCTCAAAAGAGCCTACAAGATTGCCTGACCTTCAGATGCCAATCACAAGTCCAGGACTCAAAGTCTGGCTATAAGTCAGGGGTTCCCACAACCCCTTCTCCAAGTTTGATAATTTGCGCGAATGGCTCACAGAACTCAGGGTTACTTATATTAACCAGTGTATTACAAAGAATACAACTCAGGAACAGCCAGAGGGAGGAGATGCACTGGGCAAGGTGGGGAGGGAGCTCCCAGGCCCTCTCTGAGCCCACGCTCACCCCTTAACACCTCAGTGAGTTCCCAAACCCAGAAGCTCATCAAATCTCATTGTTCAAGAGTTTTTCTCTTCTACTGGTTGAGAGCTGGAAAAAAAAAAAAAGTTTTACATAGAGCTCAATCTCCAAGCCCCAACCCCCACCCCCACCCTCACCCTTTCTGTCCAGCCCTCTAATTATTTGGTGTTTCTGGTGATTCGCCCCATCCTAAGGCCGTCTAGGGCCTTACCCTAAGTCATCGCATCAGCGTAAACTCAGGTGTGACTAAACGGGCTCATTATTAATAACAAAAAGCATTCCTATCAGGAAATTCCAAGGGTTTTAAGAGCTCTGTGCCAGGAACTGGGGACAAAGAACAAACATATTTCTTACAACACAGGAATGTCATAAGAAATGTGGCCTGTATATAGGACTGAAAAGTTTGATTTCATGGTGATTTTTTTTTTTTAATCAGATGGACAGCAGTGGTGTGAGGAAGAATGCCCTTTCTGGGAAGGCGAATGCTGGGGTATTTAGAGGAGTGGGGTCACAACGACTGCAGCCTCCTTGTAGCTGGGTTGGCAAAAAAAGAAGTGGTGTATTTAGAGAGAGCTCTTAAGACAAGATGTTCACAACTGATAACTCAGAAGCAGGCAGATGTTCTTTGAATTCCTCCTTCCATTTTTCTGTGCGTTTAACTTTTTCAAAAAAAAAAAAAAGTCCATTTCCTCTATCGCAGCTTGATACAGAAAGTATTGATTAGGGGATACTCCAGCCACCTGATAATGCTCCCCATCTGGTATGAGAGAAGGGAGCTCTCTCGGCCCTACCCCAGCCTACCCCAAGCATCAGAACCAAGGAACAAAGAGCCACTGCCCTACACATCAGTGCACTGACTTGCCAAGAGCCATGACCCGGCCACACCAGGGCACACCGGGTCTCCCCAGGCAGGCTGTGGGCAGCCAGCTGGGGGTCTTTCAGTTCTTTAGAGCATCTTTCCCCAGTGCCTGACACAGGGCCCAGTGTGTGCACCTGGTGATTAAGGGTGGGGACTCAGGGAGTCTTGGGTCTGGCTTCCAGACACCGATCAGCTCTCCTAATGAGAACGTGGGGGAGGGGGGCGGGGGCTGGAGTCTCATGGGTGGGGACAGTTTTCCAGGCAAGCCTTTCCTAATTGGCTTTCTGAATTTCCCTTAAACAACAAAAGGAACCAGCTGGCCCCGGTAGGTCTTGGATCAGGTACAACGTAGGCAAGTAACACACGACAGTCCCCATCAGGACCCCAGATGCTATAACATTCAGGGCCTCAGAGGTCACCCCTCAAGTTTCAGATGCACTGGGACATTTTTTATGAAAAAGAAACCCAACGCAATGTATAAACTGTGATGCTGGGTCCTGATTTTTTTAAAGACACTATGAGAGATGTTTTAGGGACAATTAGATATGTTTTTGCATAAACTTAGTATTTTCTTAGGCATGATAATGGTGTTGTGGCTATAACTATATCCAAGAACATTCTTTCACCTTTTCTACAGCAACCAAGTTCTGTTTTCCAAGAAGAGGTGTGTGTGTGTGTGTGTGTGTGTGTGTGTGTGTGTGTTGTTTTGTTTTGTTTTGTTTAGAGGAGACAAGGTCTCACCCTATTGCCCAGGCTGGACTACAGTGGTGTGATCATAGCTCACTGCAGCCTCAACCTCTTGGGCTCAAGCGATCCTCCTGCCTCAGCCTCCCAAGTAGCTGGGACTGCAGGCACATGCCACCACACCTGGCTAAAGGAAGAGGTTTGTTTACTACAGGTTTGCGTCTTCCTTTGCCTAAAGCTTCAGACCAGATTCAGTGCCATCAGGAAAGTCTCAGTGGCCCCAGGCAAGGGTCAGCTCACCAGAGGCCTGGGTCTGGTGGCCTGTTCTGGCCTGGAATTAATGCCCAAACCAGATGTTTCACTAACTGCTACTTGGAGCTAAATACAGGCTGTAATGGGAACCTACCTATTACACATCCAAGTGCACCTATTAGGAAACAGGGTGCCGAGGGCTTTAGAACATGCCCCTCACTGCATGGGGAAGAGGCCTGGGGGAAGGGAGAAGGAGGGTCTCTTGTCACCTTAAATCCTTTTCTCCTCTGCTTTAAGAAAATCAGGACAAGAGAAGATGCATGCGACAAGCCAACATGACCATGAAACCCTGTGCAGAAAGTGGCAGCCGGGAAAGGAGGTAAAGGTCAGGAACGGGCTCCCAGAGGGCTGGCGCTGATGCGACCCAGCAAAGAGCCCAGGCCAGCTGCAGGCGCTGGGCCACTTACGAGCTGCACAATGCTGGCCAGACCATCTCCCTCAGAGCGCCAACTGCCTCTCCACTGTGACATGGGAATATAATGGTCACGCGAAGGAGACCCTGAGGTGGTGAAACTCCTTTGTAAACTGTAAGATGCTGTACCATAATGAGAAGCCACTTCCTTCTCTAACAGTCAGCAGTACACAGACTGTGTTAAGTGTCTGCACCTGACCAAGAGGTGCCACACTGCCTACATTCCCAGAAAAGAGCTGGAAGGAACCACTGAGAACTCCCAGTGTCTCCCAAACTCCAGCCATTCTCCTATCACGTCTCCACGTGGTCAGGTTGGCCAGCTACTTGCATTATTATTAACTCGATGTTTTAATAAAACCCCACTGGCTTTTCTTACTCAAGTAAATACGGTCCTGACCTAAACTAATCAAGATCTACACAATCACAAGTTTGAGGTACTAATTATTTTTTTAATACACATCACACTTCCCACATGCATATTAAAATGTTTAAATGTTCCCCCATGGCCCAGCTACAATCATCTTGTGCACCACCAGGAATCAGCGGGGGGATGCTGATCTGGCCCAACCCCCTGATTTTGCAGACGGGAATCTGAGGCTGAGAGAGAGGCTGGCACTCCCACAAGGTCACACCACAAATTAGCCCTCACTCAGCAGCTGCGACCCGGGTCTCCCAGCTCCCAGGCCAGTGCTCTGTCACACCACAGGCCACCCTCCCTCATCAGGAACAAGACTTCTCACGCCCTGGCATATCCTATCCAAAAAAATAAAAATTAAAGGATGCATTTCTGAAGGACAGTGATGCTGGCCCCACTTCTGCCTTCCTGCAGCTCCAGAGAGCCAGTGGGATCTGGGCCCTGGCCTCTGGTGCCACTTCAGGTCAGCTTGCTCCCTCTATCCCCACACAAGGTGGCAACCGGCCCACCTCCCTAGGGGAGCCTGTGGCCCCTGCCCTGGGAAGCTGGTGCTACTCCAGCAGAGATACCAGTCCCTGTGTTAGCAATGTCTTGTAACTTCTACGTAAAGTTACAAACCTGACCGGGATGGCCTTCTGGAAGCGCAGAGCTTCGGGGAGGATCAGAGATGCCCTCATGCCTAGAACATGTTTGATGAGTGACTAAATGACCAAACCACCCATCCCCAAAAAGTCCATCACTCTAAGAAAAGTTCTTCCAAGAAAGAAGAACAAACATCTAGGCCAGGAAGGAAGCTGGTAAGTCTGCCGAGAGAGAGAGGCTTCACACCCCACCTCTAGCTCTCACGAGTGAGTTACCTAACTCTCTGAGCATCTCTTTCCCAAGTGCAAACCAGGCAAGAGCAGCGCTGTCTCTTAGGTTGCTGGAGGTTGAAGTGAGAGAATGGCTAGAAAACAGCTCAGCCCAGAGCCTGGCACACAAGAAGGGCTCGTTAACTGTTAGCTTTAAAGACAATATAGGACAACCTAGGAGGATGCAGAAGGCACAACCCAGCTAGACAGAGTGTGGGGGAATTCCTGGCTGAAAAAAGTCAAGTTTCATTCCATGTGAGGCCGGCACCAGAAGACCACAGTGGAGAAGGAAAATACTGTAGAAATGAACAGGCCAGAAGTAGGCCCCACCCCATCTCAGGGTCTGTGGGTCCCTGAACAACTCCTGCCCTCATCTTGTCTCTGCTCTGAACATGAGTCTACCCACCTAGTGGTTGGAAAGCCAAGTGGCCACTGCCACCCCCAGGGGAAGCCCAGAGCCCAACACCCCGAAGCTAAGTGTCTCTGCCACAGCCTCCTGGGAGACTCTGGCCAGGCCTGCTTGCCCCACCCAGATCACAGAATGTCTGCAGCTGTCAGAGCATGCTGCTAGGACTCAGTGAGTGCCAGCTTCTCAAGGGGACAGGGACAGGGCTGGTTCATCTGTCCCTGTGACCCGGTCCCTCCCAGGTCAGAGGCTGAGTCAGAACCAAGCCAGAGGCATGAACAGGGTTCCCCCAGCCTGGGTTCTGACCCTGCAGAGAACATTCTTCCCTTCTCTGTGAGAAGTCATAAGTCAGGCCTCTGTCCCCACACCCTGGCTGGAGAGGAAGCTCCTGGTTTGAAACCACTGAGTAGTGTCCATTGTCCCCCCTGCACACTAGAGATTGTCCCATTGGCAGAGTTTCAGAACCAGGGGCACATGCTGGGTGGCTTGGGGCTTGGTTTCCTTCTCTCTGAAAGGAAGGGGTAACACTAGATGCCCTCTACGGCCCCTCAAAGTTCAACCCACTGGAAGTTCAGGCCACATCCTAACTGCCCCACACAATGGGTGACGCTCCTGTTCTGAAGCTGTCAGGGAATCCCACGTTTTACAGCTCAGCTTGGCAAGCAGTTTTGATTTAACTGTTTTCACAGCCGGCAAGTCCTTCCTGAGAGCTAGCTCGCATCCACCTTCCCCGGTTTTAACCTCTTTCCATTAGGTTTTCCTTGCAGAAGGGAAGCCCCAAGAAACCAGCAGTAGGGCATGGCCCCCTGGCCTGAGGACGGGACAGAAGCCTCACTCCCCACAGTCTCACTCCTCCCCCAACCCCTCTGTTCTCGCCCCACTCCTTCCCCCTTGGTTTTCAGCACAACCCACAGAAGGAAGGTGGTTCTCAGGGCCCTCCCTGCTCAGTTGGGCCCCTCCCTAATAAGTCCACCTGGTGAGGCAGAAGGGCTTGCATTTTCCTATGGCTGCCCGAACAAATGACCACAAATGGGGTGGCTTAAAACAGAAGTTTAATCTCTCACAGTTCTGGAGGCCAGAGGCCAAGGTGTCTGGTGAGCCATACTCTCTCCGGAGGCTCTAGGGGAGAAGCCCTCTTGCCTCCTCCAGCTTTTAGTGGCTCCCAGAGTTGCTCGGTTTGTCTGCCCCTGTCTGCACACAGAAGGCCGTGTATACTCAGTTTCCTCTGTGTGCCCGTGGCCTCCTCTTCTGTCCGTCTCATATCTCCCTCTGCCTTTCTCTTATAAAGGCACTTGACACTGGATTTATGGCACACTCAGGTCATCTAAGATGATTTCATTTCAAGATTTTGAACTGAATTATATCTGCAAAAACCCTTTTTCCAAATAAGGTTACATTCACAGGTTCTAGGACCTAAACATACATACCTTCATACTTTTTTTTTTTTTTTTGAGACGGAGTCTCACTCTGATGCCCAGCTGGAGTGCAGTAGCGCCATCTCGGCTCACTGCAACCTCCACCTCCCAGGTTCAAGCAATTCTCCTGCCTCAGCCTCCCAAGTAACTGGGATTATAGGCATGTGCCACTATGCCCGGCTAATTTTTGTATTTTTAGTAGAGATGGGGTTTCACCATGTTGGCCAGGCTGGTCTCTAACTCCTGACCTCAAGTGATCCACCTGCCTCAGCCTCCCAAAGTGCTGGGATTACAGGTGTGAGCCACCGCACCCGGCCAAGAACATACCTTTTTGATGAGGCCACGACTCAACCCACAACAGAGCTCACCAGTCAGAGTGAGAAATCAAGGCCTCATCCTTCTGCTAACTGGCCCCTAGCTTACCACCATGATCCCAAGCAAGGTCCTCTCCCCTGTCTGGCCCTCTTTCACCATCTGTGAAGTAGAGATAGACCACCACCTGCCACACCTCTCCTATGGAGGCCAGAACTGCAGTTCACTGACCTGGAGATCACAGCCAGCTTTCCAACATGATAATCCTGCATCGAGAGTTCTCAAACTCGAGATATCATTGAAGGAGGAAAAATTATCACAGGCCACCCCACAAGTTTCTGAATCCCTGACTCATAAAAGTTAAGACTGATTCTATAGAAACTTATTCTATTTACAAAGGTAACTGCATAGAAACCTTGCCTTTAGAGCACATAAAAGAATGTTTTGAAGACAACCAAAAGGAAAGCAAAATTCTAGAACTCACAGACTCCCCTCCCTCCCACAACATCATCCTGGTTCCCTGCAGGAGAAGCCAGCTCCCATAGTCTCCCACATTCCCAGGCCAGTGGTCTCCACATACCTCCACCAGCCCTTCCTCGCCCACATGGGGCCCTACTGACTCCCCCTGCACTTCTCCCAAACCCCTGGCTAGAGTGTTCTCTTTCTTTCTGGGCCTCTCCCAACTGTGTTTGCTAACTTTCCCCAGCTCAGAGAACCTGTCCAGATCGTAAGAGATGTCAGAAGAAGGTTTCACATTACTCAGGATTCACCTGCAGAGACAGGTGTCCTGGAAATCGCCAGTACCATCAGAATTCCCTTACAGATACCACCCTGAGCTGTGGTTTCGACTCCAGCTGCACGTTAGAATCACCCAGGGAAGTTTAAAAATCACAGGTAGGGCCAGGCGCGGTGGCTCATGCCTGTAATCCCAGCACTTTGGGAGGCCGAGGCGGGCGGATCACGAGGTCAGAAGATCAAGACCATCCTGGCTAACATGGTGAAACCCTGTCTCTACTAAAAATACAAAAAATTAGCTGGGCGTGATGGTGGGCACCCATAGTCCCAAGCTACTCAGGAGGCTGAGGCAGGAGAATGGCATAAACCTGGGAGGCGGAGTTTGCAGTGAGCCGAGATCACGCCACTGCACTCCAGCCTGGGCGACAGAGCAAGACTCCGTCTCAAAAATAAAATAAACTTAAAAAATAAAATAAAAATAAAAATATTACAGATAAAGCTAGGCACGGTGGCTCACGCCCATAATCCCAGCACTTTGGGAAGCGGAAGCAGGTGGATCACTTAAGCCCAGGAGTTCAAGACTAGGCTGGGCAACATGGTGAGACACTATTTCTACAAAAAAAAAAAAAAAAAAAAAAAAAACTTTAAAATTAGCCAGGTATGGTGGCACATGCCTGTGGTTCTAGCTACTCAGGAGGCTGAGGTGGGAGGATCACTTGAGCCCAGGAGGTCAAGGCCACAGTGAGCCATGATTGGACCACTTGCTCTGGGTGACAGAGCAAGACCCTGTCATTATAATTTTTTTTTTTTAATTACGGGTGCCTGGGCCTAGACCAGACCCACTGAATCAGAAGCTCTGGTGATGGGGGGGGTGGTGGCGGGGGGGTGGTGGACATGTGTTCTTGTGAAATCCTCCCAGGGTAGGAGGCCTTGAGCCATGAAGTCAAGGTCCACTGGCCAAGAAGTTCCTGTCTTTTGACTCTGGGAAGTGACCTAGTCTCAGAATCCTGTGCAGCCTCGGCAGCCAGCACCCCAACCCTACTGCACCCAGGGGATGGTCCCAATCTGCCACAGGGTGGGCCAGAGGCTGGCCTCAGCCCACCACCAGCCACACTGTGCCCATGCCTGCACCCAGCACCTGGCACACAGTGAGTGCCCAGAAATGAACACTCTGACCCCAAGCACCCCCACAGTCTCCCCACACTGCACCCAGCACAGCCGGAGAGGTCAGCATGGCCAACCCTCTGGTAGGAGATGGGAAACAGCCTGTGTCACTCATACAAGGTCACAGGCAACATCCTGAGAGGGACTTCCAGTGGCCCCAGGAGTAGGGGGTTCCTGCTCTCCCAGGCAGGAAGTGGGAGGGCTCTGAAGAGGGAAAAACAAGCCCATCTGGGCCAAGGCTGTTTTCCTTCCACCCTCCAGTGAAATACTTGCTTCCCTGCAGGCCCAGATGCAAATGTCTTGGCGAGAAAGTCCCTTTTGGAAAAAATTAAAACCCAACAGTAACCTTTCCCACAGTGAAACAGTTCTTGTCCCAGGAACACATGCAAATGATGGTTCTCACACAAGTTACTTCCCCGCTCAGGGCCTTAGTCTCCTCCTCTATAAAATGGGACAAGGCACATGGGGTCATTCTGAGAATGCAAAGAGATGAAGCAAACTGTGGTGAGACACGTGGCAGACGGCGTCTCCTCCCAGCATCTGCATGAACGGTTACCCAGCCAGATGCCCACTCAGCGCTCTGTGGGCACTGCCTCATCTAAGCCTCACCCCTGTGGGCAGCACAACAGTTATCCCCTCCCAGCAGACAAGAAAACCAAGGCACAGAGAGTTGTCCATGACTTGTCACATGGACCTTCTCCTCACCCGCCAACCAAGAAGTGCTCATCCTCCTCAGCTCTGCTTGGCCTCCAGACCTGGTCTTCCCAGAGGACATTTCTGACCTCAACACTCAGGCCCAAAAAACATTCTGTAGCCCGCCCTCCCTCTCCTAAGACTCATCTCCACTCCTCTCTGCGAGGCCTCCCTGCCCAGTGAAGCCCTCAGAGTCCTCCCAAAGACTCCTCTGTAAAACAGGACAAGACCCCCTGTCCAGCCCAGCTCAAGGGTCACTCTGAGAATCCAAAGAGATGAAGCAAAATGTGGTGGTCAGGCCACCACAGTCAGGCAGCCTAGCTCAGACTGGCCCTTGATGGAACCAGCTCCTCCAGCCAGCTGGTCTGACCCCTTGGGCGTGCATGTGGTCTTTTCCAGGGACTGGGCCCTTCCCACCCCTTAGTTCCTGGGCTAACATGGCACATCGCCAGAGGCAGAGATGGCTGCCAGCTCCTTCACAGGCCAACCCTCTAGCTGGGGAAGGTGACATCGTAAGTCTACAGTGTCTCTACGGTGTCTCTTCCTCACCTCCACCAGCCCAGGGGCCTAGCTTGGAGCTGAACAACTCATGCTGACCGAGGGCTGGGACCCCTCAGAGCCTAGCAGGACACTTCTCAGACGGCCTGCCTGGCCCCGCGTGCCTGTTGTGGCCTAGTGCTTCTGACAGTGTGCCATGGTAGCCCAGAAACTAAGGGGTGGGAGGGGCCCAGCCTCTGGAAAAGACCACATGCACACCCTAGGGGTCAGACCAGCTGGCTGGAGGAGTTGGTTCCATAGCCATCTGTTCTAGGCAGGCTGAGTACCCCCAGGGGCAAAGGAGCCTCCTCTGACAAGACGGATTCCAGAGGTTCTCATCTCATCTCATCTCATCTCATCTCATCTCATCTCATCTCATCTCATCTCCCCAACTACCCCTGAGCAATGCAAGGCTCCCAGGTGACTCTCCCTCCCTCCGTGGGCAGGGAGCCCTAGAGTCTCCCTCCATTCGTGGGGGGGGGGTGCCTAGAGTCTCCCTCCCTCCGTGGGTGGGGGACCCTAGAGTAGGCCCCGTGCTTTGGCACCTCTCATCTCACAGGATCCTCCCCACTGCCCTCTGGGGTACCCACAGAGGAGGCATCTCGGAGGCTCAGAGAGCTGGTCCTTTACCCAGTGTCACACAGAATAGCCAACACCTGATCTAGGTCTCTGGATGGCAAGACCACAGGGCCTGACAATGAAACCCTGCTTCTCAGTCACTCGAACCCCAAACTCTTCACACAGCCAGGCCCCTGCCACCCTCTCCACCCACAGCGCAGCCCTTCCCGGGCTTCCTCATCTGCTGTAGCCATGCTTGCGACCTGCCTCAGGGACTTTGAACTCATGGCTCTCTCTGCCTGGGATGCTCTGGACAAGTCTTTATGGCTGGCTCCTTCTCTATTTGAGCTTCAGCTGAAATGTCAGCTCCTCATAAAGGCTTTCCCTGACCACATCATCGAAAGTGGAAACGCCCATCCCTCCCCACTTGCTCCCTAATTTTCTCCTTAGCACCTATCACAAGTGATATTTATTTACTGCTCTGTCTTCCAAGGCCTGGACTAAACCTGTCTTGTTCATAGTTGCTTCCCACACCTATCACGGTATCACAGTGCCTGGCATTCAGTAGGCATCAAATAACTATTTGTTGACTTAATGAACAAACCAACCAACCAGAGAGCACGGCTGGTTAAGACTGAATGCTCCTGCCTTCCAACAAGAAGTCAATTCAAACCCATTCACATCTAAAAGTTCTCTCTGGGAAAGGTTGTTTTGTTGTTGTTTTTTTTTTTTTTTTTTTTGTCTGTTTTGTTTTCCCCCCATCAACCTCTTCTGACCAGACTTACCCAGAAAACATCTTTCCCCTGTGTGGAGCCAGTTGGTACAGAAATTTCATTATCAGTCCCTTATCAGGTTGACCGTGAGCCCCACCCCAGGGTGGCACTGTGAGTCACCTGGGAAGAAAGGCCTCCGGGCAGGAGGGCAGGTGGTTATTCCTGCTTCTCCAGGAACCAACCCAAAGGCAGCAAGGTCCAGTCCTACGACATAAAGCAATTCCTCTATTAAAGCGGGGAACGAGACCATGTACAAAGTCTAGGTTAAGAGCGAAGGACACTTCTCAGGGCCTTAGTTTGCTCATCTATAAAATGAAGGTGTTGGAAGGTTCTCCAAACCCCTGGCAGGGCTGCAGCCCTGATTCTCTGGATTTTAAAGGCTCTGTGGCCAGACTGGGGGAGGGGAGGACCTCTCTGTGCCCGAGGCCTGAGCCCAGTCTGATGCTATGAGATCATCTCTGACAGCCCGTTAGGCACGGCTGGCCACTTCTCCAATATGAAGGCTGCCCCACTTTCAGCTTCACTATTTGAGTTTCACTATTTGGAATGCTTACCTAGAGCCAGAAAATGAACTTTGCTCGACAAATCAAACACAATAAGAAAGATAATTAAAGAAATAAAATGTCTACATATATGTACAAGATGTCCAGATGGATGTTTACCAACATATAACAGTGGCTGAATCCCAGTGGTAGAATCAAAGGGGACTTTTGCTGTTTTCGTTGTACTTTCCCAAATGGCTTGAATCTTTTAAGCTATGCGCATGTATGATTTTCACAAAAATAATAAAGCTCTTCTCGAAAGTAAAAATCTCCTGGAAACTGTCTCCAGAGAAGTGCTTTCTTTTTGGCCTGGCTTCACCTAGTGCTTCACTGGGAGGCCAGGGACGTGGCCTCTTTCAGAAAGGTTATCTTCTACCCTCACCCTGAGACCAGGGAGAAACATACATGGCGCCTGGAAAGGTCATGGGGGCCCGAGGAAGAAACTGGAGTCAGGCAGCCTGGATCTGGTCTTGGCCTGTCACTGACTTGCTGTGGGCTTTCAGGCAACTCACTTCTCTTCAGGCCTCTGATTTCTTATCGGTAAATTTAAAAGGCTGCACTAGAGGTGTCTTTAACAGCCCTTCTCATTCTTAGTCTATGGCTCTTGAGCAGCAAGGCTAGAGAGGAAGGCAGGAAAAGAACGACTAATCCATGACTAGTTGATGGAGTGTTCATCATGTGCCAGGCACCACTCTAAGCTCTTCAGATGTATTAATCCATCTAATCTGCTTAGCAACTCTTCAGGTAGGTTAGGTGCATGGAAGTTATGTCTAGGCCACTTAACCTTTAAGTGTCAGAGCTGGGATTTGAACCCAGGCAACCTGGTACACAGCCCACACTCTTAACCATTAAACTATAAGAAATGTAAGAAATCACAGGCCAAGCTCTAATAAGCAGGTTCATCCTTGGAGAAAGCCCAGAAAGAGTTCCTATTGCCTCTGGCATTTGCTGCCTCCACCACCTACCCACCCTCAGCTCCTCCCTACTTGCCCCCAACTCCCACCAAGTCCTTTTCTTCCTGATTAGTCAACACTCCCCAGCCATGACACCTTTACCCACTTGAAAGTCCTACCCTGTTATCAAGGAAACAGGCTTGGTGCTCTGTGGAGAGTCCGTAGCACCATGATCAGCCCTGCCCACTTTGCAAAGTCAAGGCCTCAGCAGACCTGACCACTGCGGGTTACACCCCCAGCCAGGCCTCTGCCCCAAGCTGGATCCTCGCCTTGTAGGTACAAGTGGGACTCAATCACCATCATGCAACATGCCTCCCCTGAGCACCTACTGTGTGCACAGGCCCCAGGGGCAGCATTCAGAGGAGGATATGGATGAACTACAATCCTGACCTCTGGGAGCCCACAGTCCAGCAAGGAAAAGCAGTCCTGTAAACGGATCTCTAAGATACCCCGTGGGCAGTGCTAAAATTAGAGGTGTGTCCCCAATGGGCTGAGGGCGCATGTGTCAGAATGATTCACCCTGTGTGGTGGGAAAAGGAGGCTCTAAGTGCCTCAGCGTGAGCTCATTTCTCCCGCAGACATCCCCATGACTTACTGGAAGGGCCAAGGAGCACCTACCTGAGGATGCAGGGACCTGGGGTACATGCCAGCTCTGACAAGTGAGCCTCAAACACACCCTTTTGCAGCCCCAAAGTTCCCTGCCGAAAACAAGAGGGCCCTGAGTGTGGGACAGATAACCATAAGTGGTTTAGGGGTATACCTATCATAGGGACTTACAGACTGAGCTTTCCTCGTTCAATGCCCTTTCGACCCCTCCGATTGCATCAAGGAGCGGGTCTCAGTTTGGGTGCTAGTTTGTCTTTCAGCCCCTCAAGCACTTGCCAACCTACCTTTTGAACAGAGAGGGTAGGCGTCAGGGTCACAGCCTTCAGCACCCATGACATCCAGCTAGGATTTAGTATCATTGTTTTGTTTTCCCTGTACTGTACTTATTTTAAACCTTTACCTGCTATTTATGATGGGCGTCTTGGTTTCCCATTCATAATACTGATATAAAGCCTCCTTTTAAAAATAAATTTAAAGGCGTGCATATTCAGGGCAACTTGAACCTATGTGCCTGGAAAATAAAAAATATATACTTTAAAAAAGGGAAAAAAAGGAAAAGAAATTTAAGTTTAAAAAGGAAGTTTAGGCTGGACACAGTGACTCACGCCTGTAATCCCAGCACTTTGGGAGGCCCAGGCTGGTGGATCATTTAAGGTCAGGAGGTCGAGACAGTCTGGTCAACATGGTAGAACCCCGTCTCTACCAAAAATACAAAAATTAGCCCATCGTGGTAGTAGGCGCCTGTAGTCCTAGCTACTCGGGAGGCTGAGGCAGGAGAATCGCTTGAGCCTGGAAGGCAGAGGCTGCAGTGAGCCAAGATCACACCATTGTACTCCAGTCTAGGTGAAAGAGCGAGGCTCTGTCTCAAAAAAAAAAAAAAGTAAGTAAATTTAAATAAACATATTAAGTAAATAATATTACAATTGGTGTCACCTCTATATAGGACAATTTAATAACATCAAAATGTTAAATGCACATACAAAAACAGGCAAAGCTATTCTATACTGCTAGATAATCCAGTGGTGATCACCCACAAAGGTAAGAGATAGTGCCTAGAAGAGGGTTTGAGGGGTATCTGCCTTCTGCTGTCCATTCTGCTGGTTGACCTGGGGGCTCAGTGTACAGGTGTGTTCACTTTGTGAAAACTCATCAAGCTGTATATACTGATGGCAGGTGCGTGTCTGCATGTATAACATATATTCATATACCCCTTAACTCAACAACCCCACTCCTAGAATTACTCCACAGACATATACACCCATGCAAAATGACACATTCAGAGATACTCACTGTGTCACTGTTCTCAGTGAAAGAAAGAAAGGAAGAAAGAAAGAGACGGGGGGGGGAGAGAGAGAGAGAGAGAGAAAGAAAGAAAGAAAGAGAAAGAAAGAAAGAAAAGAGAAAGAAAGAAAGAGAGAGAGAGAAGAAAGAAAGAAAGAGAAAGAAAGAGAGGGAAAGAAAGACTGGGAACAACCTAAGAGTTCCCCAGCTGGGGACTATTAAATAAATGTGGCATAGCCTAGAGTGGAATCTATGTAGCCAACACACAGAATGAGGCAGCTCCTAGCAGATCTCCATAATTCACGTGGATTTAAATTTAAGTGAAAGAGGGGCTACATACGTAGTTCTGTGTATAGTGTGCTACCTTATTTTAAATATACATATGTTTGTCCTAGGACATCCTTTGACTACGATAGCTCAGAAAAGAGTGACAGGAAACTGATAACAAAGGCCTCCTCTGGACTGGGCAGGCCAGGAGAGAGGGGTAGGAGGGGAGGCTTGTCACTAACCACTACCCTTTCCTTTTTTTTTTTTTTTTTTTTGAGACTGTCACCAGGCTGGAATGCAGTGGCGCTATCTAGGCTCACTGCAACCTCCGCTTCCCGGGTTCTAGCGTTTCTCCACCTCAGCCCTCGCTGTAGCTGAAACTACAGGCACACGCCACCATACCCAGCTAATTTTTGTATTTTTAGTAAAGACGGGGTTCCGCCATGTTGGCCAGGACGGTCTTGATCTCTTAACCTCACGATCCGCCCGCCTCAGCCTCCCAAAGTGCTGGGATTACACCTCACCCGGCCTTACCCTTTTCTACTTCTAAATTTTGTAACAAGCCCATGCATGCATTTCTATCAGTAGTAATTTATTTTTTATTTTTTATTTTCTGCAACAGAGTCTCATGCAGGCTGGAGTGCAGTGGCACAATCTCAACTCACTTCAACCTCCGTCTCCTGAGCTCAGGTGATCCTCCTACCTCAGCCTCCCAAGTAGCTGTGACTACAGGTGCATGCCACCACGCCCAGCTAATTTTTGTATTTTTAGTAGAGACAGAGTTTCATCATGTTGCCCAGGCTGGTCTCGAACTCCCAGGTTCAAGCAATCTGCCCATCTTGGCCTTCCAAAGTGCTAGGATTACAGGCATGAGCCACAATGCCTGGTCAATAGTAATTTTTTTTTTTAAACCGAGTCTTACACTGTCACCCAACTACAGTGCCGTGGCACGATGTCAGCTCACTGCAACCTCCACCTCCTGGGTTCAAACAATTCTCATGCTTCAGCCTCCCGAGTAGCTGGGATTACAGGCACACACCACCACGCCTGGCTAATTTTTGTATTTTTAGTAGAGATGAGGTTTCACCATGTTAGCCAGGCTGGTCTCAAACTCCAGACCTCGGGTGATCCTCCCGCCTCAGTCTCCCAAAATGCTGGGATTACAAGCATGAGCCACCGGGCCCGGCCCCAGTAGTAATTTTTAAAGTAAGCAAAAAGTCTTACAGAAGGTACAAGGCTGTCATAAAACTTATGGCCCTCCAGACCTAAAAACTGAGATGCAAATTGCTAGCAGTTTGGACTTACAAAGCAAGTAACCCTTCCCTCAACCCCAGAGATGGCACCAGAGATGGCACCAGAGATAATAGGCTTTCCTGTAAATGGTTTCCAAATAACAGTAAACCTGGTCCAGGACAGATTACTTACTCACACTGGGCCCTGCCCTGCAGTCAAACTCTGGCACCTGGAGCTGCTCTGGCAGAGTTGGCAGGTGGCTGAGTTCTTGGCATGGGTGTAGAGACTTTTAAACAGAAATACTTCCAGGGATGGGAGTTAAGGATTTGGTAAGGCAACCTCAGTTGGCAGAGGAGGGATTCCAAGTTCTGAGAACCACCCTGCCCAAGAGAAGCAAGGCAAGGGCCATTGGGTGGGCTTCTCTGGGGGCTGCAAAGGACAGTGACAGAACAAAGCCTTAAAAATTAGAGTTCAGTTTTATTTAACTGCATGAGGTATGTTTGTACTGCACTGATTTTGCTCATATGTCACTCTTTCCCCATATCACTAATCCTAAAACAATTCAGTGAGGTACAGGGCAGAGATTCACTTATTCATTTTATAGATGAGAAAATGGAAACGTGAGGAGGTAGAGAGACTGGTTTGTGATTATATATCTGGGGAAGGGGTGAAGCCCAAAATACAACTCCATCTTCCTACCTCCCCACCCATCAACCTTAGGCTCTTTCAACTCTGATTTACAGAGAGAAGGGCTCACAGAACACACAAGGGGCAGGCACAGAAATCCTGGGGACTTAGGGGACCTATGAGACCATCTAGGGCAGCAGTTTTCAATACTGACTGCACACTAGAATTACCTTAATTCTAGTAAGTAATTTACTACAATTAAGCTTATGTAAATTTAAATAAATACCTATGCCAGGGCACAAGAATCTGATGCAACCGCTGATTTATAGCTCAAATCACCCCCACTCCCATCCCACATATGACCTTCTGTCTCCCTAGAGCTTCCACCAACAGGTCCTTGCTCCATCCTCCGCCCCCCAAACATACTGTTCATCTCTCCTCCACATTACCTAGAGTCAGAGAATTGGATTGGAAACTGGCCTCAGACTAGTCTTCTAGATGGAAAAGTCAATGAACAGTTCTGAGGCCCAAAACAGGAAAGTGACTTGCCTAAGATATCCATAAGTCAGTAACAGAGCTGAATCTGGATCTCCGATTACCAGGCAAGGCCCCACCCACAAAGGGGTCACAGGGAAAGCCAGTCCTGATGGCAAATCCAGCAGCTCCTGCTAGCAGAAGAGACCCAGCAAGGGGCTAAGGAGGACACCAGGGGAGAGTGTGTGTATTTGGTGGGAATGGGGTGTCAGTGACCACCCTGGGTCCCTGGGCAAGTCTGCTCTTGTGGCATACTGCAGGCAGAGAGCGATTCTGGAGTGACAGGGGCGGAGCTGGCCTATAGGAAGATATCCTCATCTCTAGAATAGGGCCCAGCCTAATATGAAACGCCCTTACAGAAACCCAATCTCTTGGGGCAGCTTACACCACAGGTGTCCAAATTCCCTGCCCACGATAGTAATAATGTCTCACACTTCTTGAGCTCTTCACTAGGCACCATACCCGGCCTATTTCACGTAATCTCCGCGAGCATCCTACAAGTTGAATATAATTACTGTGTCCATTTACAGATGAGGAAACCATGGCCGAGAGGAATGAAGTAACTTCCCCAAGATCACTCAGCAAGTGCTCATTTCAGAAACGCACAAACTGAAATTGGAACGATACAGAGATTAGCAATGTTTTAAATAAAAAATAAAATATAAAATAAAAGACCACTCGGAGCGACGGAATTCAAAGCTTGGTTCATGTCTAAACACTACCATCCTGCCCCCTAACAAGGCAGAGGAGGAGGTAAAGCCCAGCGACAGCGGAAACTGAGCACCTAGGTGTGCAGGAGACGTCGTCTGGTGGACTTCTCCTCGCCACGCAGGAGGCACGTGCATCCACCAAAGAGGAAACCAAGACGGAGCGGGGAAGCGTCTCGCTCAGGGGCATCAGCAAGTAACTAGCAGGGACCAGACCCGGAATCCAGGTCTCCCAACCCCGACTGCAAATCCTAACTACTTAAGCTCCACAGGCCGATGCAGAGGCAGTCAGTCCTACCGGGTAGGCGTGGTGGGCGCGGCCAGCGCGTTCACCTCAGCCTAGCCAGCCGGCCAGCGGACGCACAGCGGGCAAACCGCCCAGCCGGTGCACACAGGTGAGCCAGGTGGCACTCGGTCGGTCGACAACCGGCTCTCACACTCCCGAAAGGGCGGCTGAAAATTCAGGCTGAGCTCTGGCCGCCCGAATGTGAGGTAGAAAGACAAGGAGTCCGCGCGCGCTCACCCGCGCACTCCCTGGAGCGGCTAAGTGTGGACCCAACCCCGGGCCAGTGAGGGGGCGGCCGGATTGTGGGTCCCCACCCCCATCCCCGGGCCCTACTGGGGTCACTCACCCAGAACACGGTGGAATAGATGATAAGTGAAAACTTGAGCCAGAGGTAGGAGAAGCGCGCGCAGTAGCGCACCTGCTCCGAGTCCCCGCGCGGCATCCTGGGCGCTCCCCGCGCGGGTTACGGGGGCTCCGGGGCTCTCCGGCTCGGTCCCTCAGCCAGCGCTCGTGGCCCCACCTGCGGCTGCCGGGCTACCAGCCCCGCCACCGGCGTTCTCTCCGGGACTGACACTGGAGCGCGGCAATCACAGCCCCAGCCGGGAAGCCTGCCAGCCCTGGCGGCCAATGGGAGGCCGCGGCTGCCTAGCGTCTGGGAGGGGGCGGGCCAGGGGCGGGGCTGCTGCCCTGGGCCCTAGAGGGGACCAAGAAGGGATGGGAGGGGGAGACGGTCTTGCAAATGAGCTCGCGTGCAACTCTGGAAACGCCTGTGCTAATGCAGGGGGCGTGGGAGAGGTGAACCAGAGGTGCTCTAAGGAGAGAGCGAGCGTGCCTAATCGGGGTACATAGAAATGCAAGCTTTCCTCTTGTCAAGAGGGAAAACTTTGGGAAAAGGGCAAGAATTAATCGCCCAGGTGTTGAAAGTGCAAATGAGTGTGCTAAACGTGAATGGAATAAGGAAGTGGAGTTGCTCGGCTCAGGAAGGCTCAGGGAGGCAGACCAGGGTGGGGCTAATAGGCCCCCATGGAGCTGGAGTCTGAAGTTTGCTCGTGAAACAGATCTGCTGAAGGCCTTCACCAAACGACCTCGGAAGTCCCCTTCTTTTGCCAGGTGATAACCCAGCCTTGGGAAGGGTTCCTCCCGGGAAACCCCATCTTCAAACTAGGTTGAAGGCCTGGCGCGGTGACTCACGCCTGTAATCCCAGCACTTTGGGAGGCTGAGGAGGGCGAATGGCTTGAGCCCCAGGAGTTCAAGACCAGCCTGGGCAACATGGCAAAACGCCGACTCTATAATTAAAAAAAATAAAAAGCCAGGCACGGTGGCGCGCCTGTTGTCCCAGCTACTTGGGAGACAGGCGGGAGAATCGCTTGAGTCAGGGAAGTCAAGGCTGCAGTGAGCCGTGATTGTGCCAGTGCACTCCAGCCTGGGAGACAGAGTGAGACCCTCTCTCCAAAACAAAAACAAAAACAAGGCCGGGCACGGTGGCTCACGCCTGTAATACCAACACTTTGGGAGGCCAAGGCGTGCGGATCACTTGAGGTCAGGAGTTCGAGACTAGCCTGGACAACGTGGTGAAACCCTGTCTCTACTAAGAAATACAAAAAAAATTAGCCGGGCAGGGTGGTGCATGCCTGTAGTCCCAGCTACTGGGGAGGCTGAAGCAGGAGAATCGCTTGAACCCGGGAGGCGGAAGTTACAGTGAACCGAGATCCCGCCACTGCACTCCAGCCTGGGTGACAAAGGGAGACTCCATCTCAAAAAAACAAAAAACAAACAAACAGAAACTATAGGTGAGGGAGGCAGCTCCCTCTCTTGCACATAGCCAGCCACTAACCCAGCCTCCTCCCACCTGGCCTTTTCTCAGCCTGGGACCAGAGGTGGCTGTGAGCCTGTCTCTCATGCTAGATGGTCCCAGCTTTACTCACTGTTGTTTCCTGTCTCCCAAGCCTAGCTCAGCCTGGGACTTGGGAGCCAGACAATCCCTGCTGTGGCCTTCAGTAATTAAATCCATGGCAGAGGTCATAAGCTCTAGCAGTGCTGGGTGGGGTCCCTGGTGGTGATTTCAGGAACGACACTCTTATACAAGTCCCCAGTCCTGGGTTCCCAGGGCTCCTGCATACACAAACTCAACAGAGAAGGACAGACTCAGAGACTTAGTCCAGGCTGGCTTTAGCCCCCAGAGCTCTGCCCTAGGAGGAAGAAAGCAAGATTGGGGGGTGGGGAGGGAGGCAGTGCCATGCCTGGAAGGGTAAAAGGAAACCAATTTCCTGGTACAAAACAAACAAACCTTGGGAGGATGTTTGTGTGGGGTAGAGAAATAGAACCAGAGCCAGGCACAGTGGCTCATGCCTGTAATCCCTGCACTTTGGGAGGCCAAGGTGAGAGGTTTGCTTGAGTCCAGGAGTTTCAGACCAGTCTGGGCAACGTAGCAAGACCTCATCTCCACTGAAAATCAAAAAAATTAGCCAAGCATGGTGTCTCGTGCCTGTAGTCCCAGCTACTTGGGAGGGTGAGGTGGGGGTATCACTTCTCGAGCCCAAAAGATCAAGGCTGCAGTGAGCTATGATTGTGCTACGGCACTCCAGCCTGGACAACAAAGCAAGACCCTGTCTCAAAAAAAAAACAACAGGGAAAAGAAAAGGTGGAAAGAGAACCAGAGAGTAATGCAAGCTGCCCTCAAATGATTATCTGAGGGCCAAGAAGGCATCTTACCATAGTGTTAAAAGTTGTCCATTCTGGCCGGGCGCGGTGGCTCACACCTGTAATCCCAACACTTTGGGAGGCCAAGGCAGGGGGATCACTCGAGGTCAGGAGCTCAAGATCAGCCTGGCCAACATGGTGAAACCCTGGCTCTACTAAAAATACAAAAATTAGCCGGGCATGGTGATGGGTGCCTGTAATCCCAGCTACTCGGGAGGCTGAGGCAGGAGAATCACTTGAACCTGGATAGCAGAGGTTGCAATGAGTCAAGATCGTGCCACTGCACTCCAGCCTGGATGACAGAGCGAGACTCGGTCCCCAAAAAAAAAAAAAGTTGTCCTTTCTGTCCTTTGAGGAGGAAGACTAACTTTTTATTCCTCTTTGAGGGCTAGAGCCTCCACCCAGCCCTGCAGAGCTAAGTCCACACCCATTATTTGAGGTGCTAGTCTCTTCCCCACCCATAGAAGCTTGGAACCCTCTTCATACCCTGGAAGGCTAGTTTAGCCTCCTAGTTCCCTTTCATTCTCCATATTTAAACTACAGTCGAAACTGCCACACACCTCCATCAGGTTTCCTTCCCAGTTGCCCCTGGACTTCTATTCTTCCCTTCTGGCCTCTCCAGCCAGCTGCATTTTCTCTCATCTTTCAAATATTCCCTGGTGACACACAAGCTTCTTAGCAAGCCCTCTCAGCTCTCCCTAAGCCCTCGAGGTGAGCCATCCCTACAAAGAGCCTTGGAGCTCTTTGGGGCTGGCACAGCCTTTCCCTGGCTGCTGGGCTTCTTCACTGTGCCTCCCCACCTGCAATCCTGACCCTGACCCCAAGCACTAGGGCTCCTCCTGAACCACATTTGCAAACACTGAGACCTCAGAAGAAATGGCCATCTGTTTCCCACTTTTCCTCCTTTAGCCAGGAACTCTGGCCTAGGGGCCAGCAGGCCTGGTGCAAATCCTGGTTTTGCCATTACTTTTTTGTAGGACTGTTAGAATGTGTGGCATAGTGTGACACACAGGTGTGAATGCAACCCTAGCTGCAGACTAAAAGCACCTGGTAAGCTTTAAATGTATCCTGATATTCAAGCCCCACTGCAGTCAAGTCAAAATCCCCACCAACAGGAACGTGGTAATCAGTATTATTTTTAAACTCCCCAGGTAATTTCTCATTTTTATGTTTATTTTTATTTTTTTGAGAGGCAGTCTTGCTCTGTCACCCAGGCTGGAGTGCAGTGGCGTGATCTTGACTCACTGCAACCTCCGCTATACAGGTTCAAGTGATTCTCCTGCCTCAGCCTACCAAGTAGCTGACATTACAGGCCCCCGCCACCACACCCAGCTAATTTTTGTATTTTAGTAGAGACAAGTTTCACCATGTTGGTCAGGCTGGTCTTGAACTCCTGACCTCAAATCATCAGCCCACCTCCGCCTCCCTAAGTGCTAGGATTACAGACATGAGCCATTGTGTCTGGACTCCCCCAGGTAATTTCTAAAGTGCAACCAGAATTAAGCATCACTGGTACAGAGGTAGTCATGAGGGTAAGGTTGTCAGCCAACATCTTACCAGAAAGCCACATTCCAGAAGTCACTTACTCAGCTATCCACTGATATACTGGTAAATATTTAAAAACTAGCTGGTGTGGGGGATTCCAATTTCCATAAAGTAAATACTTCCACCATGTCTGATTTTAAGTTACCAACTTCACTTCAATGAACTTGGGAGTTCAGAGGCATGCAGAGTCTGGAACAATCACTCAGTATCCCATGCAAATATCCATATCTCAATCCACCCCCAAGGCTTTTCTAATTAGCATAATGAATGGATTGGTAAAATTCTGGGCTTATTAATTAGCATAACAGGTATTAGAAATGAGTCTCCTTTGGAGAAATTAACAGTATTAAAGATATTTAGATTGGCTAAAATAGTTTTGGCACCACCCATTCCTTGTTCAAACAGTGTCAAAGAATCTTGGGAAGCTGCTAATTCTCACTTATGGATAATACACTGAGCTAAAGGCTTGAGAGTGCTTCTGTCTCAAAGTATTCCAATGCAGCCATCAGTCAAACTGAGTCCTGCCTTTAGAATATTGTATTTTCCTCCAGCAGACCCTTCTTGCAAGGTGGAAGAGCTCCTAAAAGGACAGAAAGCTGGGCCTTTTTGAGTTTCACAGAAAGGTTGTATGAACCAATTTTGTGGCTACTAGCTAATAAATGTTTGTTTTATAGACATTCGTATGGGCAGCAGAATCCGTCCTGAGATCTGTTTTCTTGATAACTTGACAGTGAGATTTAGGGGGAAATGACTAACCCTTGCCTTTAATGGCTATTACAGTTTGTGAAAAAGAAGCTAACAATTATGCATGACCAATTTGACTTGGGTATGTCTGTATTCATGCCACTGGGCAAAGGTCTCTGTCTGTGCCTCTGTTTCCCCACCTGTGAAACAATGAGGTTGGCCTGTTTCTCTTCCAGCTCTAACAATCTTAGCTATAATTCTCACAGTCAATAGATGAGTCAGCAAATGCACAACGAGCTTCTCCTGTGAGTCAAGTCCTGCCCAGGCTCTGAGGATACAACTGCAAACAAGATACACAAGGTAAACAAGAGCTTCTGTTCTATTCTGTTGGAGAGTGAGGGGTTGTAGGAACATGCAACACATGAAAACAGACACATGAAAAGTATCATTTCAGCCCGCAAAGTGGCTCGCTGGTAATCCCAGCACTTTGGGAGGCTGAGGTGGGAGGATGGCTTAAGGCAAGGAGTTGGAGACCAGCCTGGGCAACAAAGTGAGACCCTGTCTCTACAAAAGCAAATGTTTTAAACCATCTGGGCACAGTGGTGCATGCCTGCAGTTCCAGCTACTCAGGAGTCACTGGCAGGAAGATTGCTTGAGCCCAGGAGTTTGAGACTTCAATGAGCTATGATTGCAACACTACATTCCAGCCTGGGCAACAGAGCAAGACCCTGCCTGAAAAAAAAAAAAAAAAAAAAAAAAAACAGAAAAGTATAATTTCAGATATGGATCCCTGCTAAAGATCTGAGAGCAGAGCTTTTAAGTGGAAGAAACAGCAAGTGCAAAGGCAGGGGACAGGAAAGGCCTTGGAGAGATCTGTGTGGCTCATGCAAGGGGTTCCTGGGAGAGTGGAAGGAGGCAAGGTCAGAGACATACGAAAGAGCCTTTGGCTTTAGAAAATGGTTTAGATTTATTTCTAGTTTCACTGAGGGCCATTGGTAGGTTTGAAGCAGGAAGGTGATACAGAATCTGATTTGTGCTTTGGCAGGCTCCTGTATGGAGGATGGACAGGAGTTGGGGGAACCTACAGAAGGGGAGGGAGGAGGAAGACTGGTTAGGAGGCCGTTGCAGCAGTCCTAGTGCAAGAAGGTTTTGACTTGGACTAGGAGGACAGCATTGGAAATAGTGACAAGCAGTTGCATTGGGGATATATATTACAGGTAGAGCCAGCAGGGCTTACTGATGCTTTGGGTGTGGAGTGTGAGAAAAAGAGAAACCAAGGATGATCCCTTGGTAGATGTTGCTGTCATTTACAAAGGCAAGAGAGATAAAGAAGAGTGGCAGGGGAGGTTAGGCCAAAACTCAAATTACTGTTGTGCTTGTTTCAGCAGCACATATACTTTAAAAAAAATTCAATTTCTTTGTTTGGCCATTTTATCTTTTGAGATGTCTTTTCAAAATCCAGGTGCAGTTGTCTGGGGGGCTCAGAGGTGAGGTTTGGGTTGGATGATACAGATTTGAGAGTCATTTGATCCATTTAAACTTTGGCCTATATGAGGTCATCTAGGGAGAAAGTATAGCAAGAAGAGAAAAGAGAGACAAAGGCCGACCCTGGGACCTCCTACACTGAGAAGGAGAGAGGCAGCAAAGAAAACAGAGAAGGTACAGTCAGTAAGGAAGAAGGAAAACAAGGCCAGTGAGGGGACAGGGATGCTTGGAGAAGGAGAAAGAGATGTGGGAAAGGACTAAGTGTCCTGGGAACTCCCCTTCCAACCTGCGCCAAGGCTTCTACTATGCCCGGAGAGGTCAAGTGGAGGCAGCACAGAAAATCATCCATTGGCTTTGCAAGGTGTGAGTCACAATGACCTGATGAGAGCTCTTTCCACAGAGTGTGGGGGTGAAAGCCTTATTAGAATCGATAAAGGAGAGGAAGGGCAAGAAGTAAAGGAAGTAAGTACGGGAAACACAGGGAAGAAGACACTCTTTCAAGCAGTTGTGAAACCATTCACAAGGGAGTTTGCACATAGACTTCTTCCCAAAACACCAAATACACAAGAGTAACCTCTATTTGGCAGATTTTTTTTTTTTTTGAGATGGAGTCTCGCTCTGTCGCCCAGCGTGGAGTGCAGTGGCGCGATCTTGGCTCACTGCAAGCTCCGCCTCCTGGGTTCACGCCATTCTCCTGCCTCAGCCTCCCAAGTAGCTGGGACTACAGGTGCCTGCCACCACGCCCAGCTAATTTCTTTTTTTTTTTGTATTTTTAGTAGAGACTGGGTTTCACCATGTTAGCCAGGATGGTCTCAATCTCCTGACCTCGTGATCCACCCACCTCAGCCTCCCAAAGTGCTGGGATTACAGGCATGAGCCACTGCGCCCAGCCTATTTGGGAGATTTTAAATGACCATGAACTCCTTACAGCTTCTATCAAGAGGTAGAATCTATTTCTCCACCTTCTGAATCTATGCTGCACTTCTGACTTGTTTTCACCAATAGAACGTGATGGAAGTGAGGTTTGAGTTCTAACCCTAGGAATCAAATGCCTTGACTTGTCATGAGAACAGTTCTGAGCTAGCCTGCTGGAGAGACCACACGAAGTAGAGCCATGGCTCCTTGCTGACAGCCACCAACTGCCTGACATGTGAGTGAAACCATCTTAGCCCATCCAGCCCATCAGCCCAACTGCTAACTATATCCATGTGAGTGGATCCAGGCAAGACCAGCAGAACCACCCAGCTGAGCCCAGCCCAAATTTGTCAACCCACAGAATTACGAACTAATACATGATTGTTGGGTTAAGGCACTAAATTCTGGGGTAATTTGTTTTACAGCAAATGCTAACTGTTATATTCATAGATTTTTTTTTTTTTTTTTTTGAGATGGGGTCTTGCTCTGTCACTGAGGCTGGAGTGCAGTGGCGCGATCTCAGCTCACTGCAACCTCTGCTGTCTGGGTTCAAGTGATTCTCCTGCCTCAGCCTCCTGAGTCGCTGGGATTACAGGCATCTGCCATCGTGCCCGGCTAATTTTTGTATTTTTAGTGCATACAGCATTTTACCATCTTGGCCAGGCTGGTCTTGAGCTCCTGACCTCGTGATCCACCCACCTCAGCCTCCCAAAGTGCTGGGATTACAGGCGTGAGTCACGCCCAGCATCATAGATCCTTTAAAAAAAAAAAAAAAAAAGGAACTCAAATACCCATCCCCTTCTTTTCCTCTTCCTCTAGTTTTTCCCCGCAAATACTGCAGTTTTCAATCTATATATTTATTCTTGAAATGGGACTTCGTCTTCATTAGTAGAGTGATGAGTAAAAAAAAAAAACAAACCCCCCCCCCAAAAAAAAAAGAAAGAAAGAAAAGAGACTTCACTGGGCACAGTGGCTCAAGCCTGTAATTCCAACACTTTGAGAGGCTGAGGCAGGAGGATTGCTTGAGGCCAGGAGTTTGACACCAGCCTGGGCAACATAGTTGAGACCTCATCTCTAAAGAAGTAAGAGAAAGAAGGGAGGAAAGGAAAAGAAAGGAAAGGAGAAGAGAGCAGAGGAGATAAAAGAAAAAGGAAAGGAAAGGAAAGGAAAAGGGAAAGGAGAAAAAGAAAAAGGACTACCGTTGTCCAAGTTTTCCATGACTCCTGTCTTTCAACTCCCAAGGCTCTATATTCATTCTCTACCAGTTATTTCTTTAGCATCAGGCATTGAGCTGGGGGCTTTCACATAATTAATTACCTCTTAAATCTCACAACTCATGGAATTTGGCAAGTGAGGAAACTGAAGTTCAGAGAAGTAAACTGATTTTTCTCCATTAAGAAGTTAAAGTGGGCCAGGCACGGTGGCTCATGTCTGTAATCCCGGCACTTTGGGAGGCCGAGGCAGGCGGATCAGGAGATTGAGACCATCCTGGATAACACAGTGAAACCCCATCTCTACTAAAAATACAAAAAATTAGCTGGGCATGGTGGTGGGTGCCTATAGTCCCAACTACTCAGGAGGCTGAGGCAGGAGAATCGCTTGAACCCAGGAAGCAGAGGTTGCAGTGAGCTAAGATCGCTCCACTGCACTCCAGCCTGGGCAACAGAGCGAGACTCCATCTCAAAAAAAAAAAAAAAAAAAGAAGTTAAAGTGCCCCCTGACCCAGCAAGCAATGTGCTTTTTACTCCAATGCAGTTGTAGCCCCAGCTATGTTAGAATAAAATCATTTAACTAAGTGGTTAAAAAGCAAATTGGAACAATACACTCAGCTCAAATATTGGCAGTTCAATACTGGTTGGAGTTGAAACTTTACATGGAGAGGCAGGTTACTGCAAAATAGTAGTTCCAAGAGATTTTAAGTGTTTGTTTGTTTGTTTTTTAAAAAAGGATCCATTAAATAAGTCTGGGAAATACTGCAGGACTTCTTCATAGCCTTTAATGAGAACGGATGCAGTATTGTGTGTCTCTAAGAGGAAAGAAGGATGTGTAGCCTCTCTCAACTGTATTTGAGGACACAACATTTTCCCCAGACACCAGCTATTAACATCTCAAGGAACTAGCATATCTGGAAATGTACTTCGGGAAATGCTATCCCATGGCACTAGTTCCTAATTCTTTTGAAGTTGAAAGCAACCTCCTCAAAGTTTTATGCTCTATACTTAAGAGGAAAATTAAAGACAACAGTGATTATTTATGTTTTGTGCTTGACTTTGCAAATTACACAACTTATTCTGCAATGATTGTCAAACAACCAGACTAGGCTATGATCACACCGCTTAGGGTCCTGCATGGGGTGATGGGCACACTTTAGTGACTTTGGGCCCGAGGGGATTTGGGACAACAGCCTCCAAGGACATGCAAAATGCTCATTACTCAGAAGGGCCTGGGTCACCCCAGCGGCTTCTTGTTTTGGAAATCCCTCAGAGAGCTGCCTCTAAAAGCCCTGCTCCTTTTGGCTTCCTTTCTGCAGCCCCACCACTGCCCCCACAGAAGGCCGACTGCCCAGATCCTCTTCCATGCATCCCTAGGCCCATTCCTACCTTTGGTTACTGAACAGCCGTCCTTGCAGCCCCCACCCCAGGACTCCTGTCCTTCCTCCTGTCCCCTGCTCTCCCTGCTGAAAGGCTGCTCCTGACTACCAGCTGGGGAGAGTGGATGGCCTCATGAAGACCTAACTGACCAACCATGGTGTCTATTACTGGGTGATTGGCACAACCATGCTGTGAGCCCTGTGCAGTCATTGAAGGTGATGTAGAAAGGTATTGAGTGTGGTGGGAACTGCTCTTCATACCCTGAGGTTCTGTCTGTGTGTTTGGGGGTGGAAGTGGGACATAAGTCAGGTTCTTTAAGTTCTGAGACTTCAGCAGGCTTTCTGGGCCTTTATCCCCATCAGTGGTCGGGGGAGCAGAGAGGTGATACCAGCAGGTGTATGAAGCCTATGGAACCCACAGAGGAACTATCTTCAGCCTTTAGAAGGGGACATCTGGGGAGTCCTGGGGACAATGGCCCAGGCCAGATGACAGAACCAAACTAGAGGGTCTTGAATCTGGCAAGTGGTTATATGCTACAGGAGATGGTCACTCCAGGCTGGGGTCCCAGGGCTGGGAATGCGATCAGGAGCTGGCAGAGCCTGCTAGAGTTCTACTGTGTCCAGTGAGCCTTTTTGAGGCGACAGGCTCTGATTGTGCACTGCCCCTGGGTAATGGCTGGGTGCATGAGTTGGGGAAGGCTAGCGGGTCACTAAGCATAGGGGTGCTGGGCCATTTCATGATGTAATATGATGTACCCTCCCAGTGGGGCGGGTATGTGGGGCAGCACACACAACATTAAGTTCAATATAATAATAACTATTTCCCAAAATATATTGTACCTCCATTTGTAAGGATGAGGTCACACCTCTATAAAAGAACATGGTGGAAGGGAGTTCTCCTCAAATAGAAACATGCAGATGTCAGGCCAGGTACGGTGGCTCACGCCTGTAATCCCAGCACTTTGGGAGGCCAAGGTGGGCAGATCATTTGAGGTCAGGAGCTCGAGACCAGCCTGGCCAACCTGATGAAACCCCGTCTCTGCTGAAAATACAAAAATTAGCCAGGCATGGTGGTGGGTGCCTGTAATCTCACTCTGGAGGCTGAGGCACAAGAATCACTTGTGTACCCGGGAGGCAGAGGTTGCAGTGGGTCAAGATCACACCACTGCACTCCAGCCTGGGCAACAGTGGAAGACTCTGTCTAAAAAAAAAAAAAAAAAAAAAAAAAATGCAGTCATTCTTCTCCCATATGACTAGTTTCCCAGCCTGGACCCCAGGTGCAACTGCGCATCTTTTGGGACTTGTTCATTTTTCGGGTGTGTGTGTGTGTGTGTGTGTGTGTGTGTGTGTGTGTGTGTATGAAACCCTCAGAGAGTAGAGGCAAAATCTTCCCTCACCCTCAGAGGGAAAGCCTCAGAGACCCCCAGGGCCACTTCCCTTCCTGACAGTGCAGGGCTGGCCCTGTACTTGGCATCCGCCGTTGTAAGGTATCTGTCTTCTGGCTGGCTTTCTCTGTCAAAATTTTTTGGATTGCTTGATAGTTTATTATACCTAAAAAAAAGCTTTTAATCTTTTTGGACCCACCTAAATCAGTGCTGTGAGGCAGGGTGTGTAGCTGTTTGTATGCCCAATTACAAATGAGAAAACAGGTTAGACTATTTCCCCAGGTCATTGAGGGAATTAGCAGTAAACCAAGACTGACAGTAGTGATGATTCAAGAGGTCCCAGAGCTGGGAGGATCTTTAGACATAATTGTGTCCAACATCCACATGAGTGGATAGAGAAACTCAAGCTAAAAGGGTGGTGTATTGCTCACGGCTATATATTTAAGTTTGTGTCCTCTTCTATTTATGGGCTGTATTGCACAATAAAATGTTTTCTAAGTGAAAAATATCCTGTTTAATTTTCATGTCTATGATGATTAGTGAGGTTGAGGATATACAGTTCTGAAAATTTCCTGTTTTTATCCTTTGCACGTTTTCCAGTTGAGAGATTCTTGTAAGTAGCCAATGCCAGGTGGCTGGCAGGCTGAGAAAATGCCATTCACACCTCTTATCTCCACAGGAGAGGGGCCCTTCCAGATGAGGAGACTCCAGGCTGATCTTGCAGGGCTTTTTTTTTTTTTTTTTTGTGGGCGGGGGGGGATGTGGACAGAGTCTCTTGTCCGTCACCCAGGCTGCAGTGCAGTAGTGGTGCAATCTCACCTCACCACAAACTCCGCCTCCCAGGCTCAAGCAATCCTCCTGCTTCAGCCTTCCAAGTAGCTGGGATTACAGGCACCCACCACTACACCTGGCTAACTTTTGTATTTTTAGTAGAGACGGGGTTTTGCCATGTTGGCCAGGCTGGTCTCAAACTCCTGACCTCAGGTGATCCACCTGCCTTGGACTCCCAAAGTGCTGAGATTACAGGCATGAGCCACTGCACCGGGACATCTTGCAGAGCTTTGACAGAGGAAGAGTCTCAGAGCCATCTGCCTGCAGGGGCTGGCCTTGTTGGGGTTCAGCCAGGCATTCCGGGGAAGCAGCTGGGGAGCACTGGCTGATGGGATGTTGGACCAGGCCTGCCTGACTCACACTGGAAGAGGTTGGATGCCCCGGTGCCCGGGCATCATGCCCCGAGCAGCTCCATCTGTCATTCAGGAGGGCAGGGCAGCTGCTCTGGGAAAGGTTGGGTGCTGCTGGGGGAGGGGAGCCTCAGGGAAGTTAGCTGTGCTCCCAGGGCAGTCTGAGGGTACCAAGGATAGAGTACTAGGGGACACTGAAATGGGGTCTGGATTTGAGCCTGTGGCTATAGAGGAAGGTGGGCAAAAGAAGGGCTGGAAGGCTTTTACATTCAAAAACACACATGGATCTGCTGGTTCATGAGCAGCAGTAAAGGAACCACAGCGTCTGGCCATGTGCTGGTTGCTATGGGACGCCAGCAGCCCTTAAAGGTGGATTTCACAGTTTGCAGTTGACAAAGCACCTCCACCTCATATATTAGAGCACTTTCCAAGTGCAGATTTACTCGGAGAGTGCCCCCTTCCTTGCTGGATTGTCAGCACTGTGGGTGGAAAGAACCGTCTTACTTCCAGATGCCACCCCAGTGTCTGGGTGCCTAGGGGTGCTGGACACAGGTAGATGCTCATTAAACATGGAAGCCAGCTGTCCCCTCAGCCATGAGGGCTGACTCTCTGGCAGTCACACCTCAGACTTCTGACAGCTGAAGACTTCTGCAGAATTCAGCAGAATTCTGTCCTTCCCCAGGCTTCCCCTGAAATTCAGTCACCATTTGATGACAATCTTGTTGGGTCTCCTGGAGGCGTCAGTTCTCTGCTCCCAGACTTTCTGGCTTTCTCCTACTTCCTATATTTTCCCTCAGGGCATTTTAACTTCCTCGTTCCTGTCTACTGAGCTCAGCTCAGCGGCAGCACCTACTTTCTATCTTACACACCCAAATCCCTCTCAGCCTTGTTCAGAAAAAAACAGATGGCGCTTCATTAACAAAATATAATCTTCTGTTACAACATGTGTCGACTAAACCGTTGTTTTTCTTTCTCATGGGTCATCATAATCACTCTGTGTGGAGAAAAAGACAGGAAGGATTCTCCCAGGTTTACCCAGGAGGAGACAGTCTCAGATTTTTTGCCCAAAGTTTCTCACTCTGCCAGAGCAAACGGCCCTGAGCATTTCACAACGACTGCAGAGAAACCAAGTCAGCCTTGAATTCCTGGGGGATAGAAGTAAGGGGGCTGGGTAAAGACCACTGCTGGGGGCTGCTGAAAAATTCACTGTGGGTGCACAGTTTCACCTACTATTTAGTGGTTAGTTATAGTGCAGTGTAACTGCTGTGAGGGTACCTTGTAATTAAAGTCAGCTGGAGCTAGAGGGGTCATAGACTTCTTTTAGTAAAGGATCTAAACTCCCTCCAATTTCACTCTCTCGGGAAACCACGTCAACTGCCCCCAGAACGTCCTCTAACTTAGCATTGCTCATATGTTTTTAACATTACCTGGAAATGTATGATATACTATAGCACAATGTGCATATGAATCACGCAACTGAGCCTGAAACAAACTCGCCCTTACCATGTGATGCATTCTTTTATTTCCTATACCATCCTTTTGTCTGAACTCTATTCACAACCCACTCATCTAATTCAATCAAACTACTGACAGAATGCCTCCAGAGAAGCCTTGCTAGGCCTGTTTTGGGAAACAGGAAAGATGCACTTGGATTTACAACATCTGTTTGTACAGCAAATATGGAGGCATTAAGCAACAGTCAAACCTTTATAAATATGGCTCCAGTGATCCTGAAAGTCCCATGATGAAGCGTTAAATGCCAGTGTTCCTCACCTCCCTTACCCTGTCAGTTCACTCACTCTTTGGGTAACATAATCAGGAAGCCCTGAGGTGCACCTGAAGACCAGGAGAGCCCCTACCTCTCCAAGGACAAGAACAGGTTTGGGGCTTCTGTCTCCTGAGCGAGAGCTGAAAGGCCAGCAGAGAGAAGGCATCAGTTGGCACGGAATTTCTGGTGCCTGGAGATGACCCCACCAGCAGAACTCTTCTCGGGGAAGGGCTGCTTCTGCTGCAGGCTGTGCGTGGTCCTTGGGGGCCTGCCCTACCCACCTGACGTCTGTGGAGCAGGGGAAACGGCACTTGCTGACTGATGGATCCTAGCTGGCTGTGAGACTCTGAGGACAAGTGAGATGGAGAGAGTGAAGAAGTGACAGTTTGCCAGACCCTTCCCTCGCCATGGGCCCAGGAGAAAACAAAGTAAATGATCTTCCAGCACTTACTGGTTTTGCCCTACTCTAGAAATATCAACAGCCTTGTCCCTATGGGAACCAAGAGGAAAAAAACATGAGCAAGTAAAGAAAAATCGCACCTGTTTAAGAAGACTCGGTAACACGGAGGAGGAAGCCCCAGGTGAACTAGTAGGAAAGGCAGAAAAGAACCTCAAAGAAAAAGGAGGGAAAAGGGTATGGGAACTCTCAAGATGTGATCACAGCACACTCAAAAAGATTCTTGCAAACTAACATACATGACTTTCAAATATAGCAATTCATTAGAAGACAGTAAATGCTGGGAATTGAATCAGTGGTCTGGAAGATATTGGGAGAGAGACATCTTGCAGTATAGAGCAAAAACACAAAGAAGTGGGAATCTGAAAGGAAAGAGAAGAGACGTGGAGGCGAAATCCAAGATGAAGAAATGTAGCAGCTGCTGTTGGCTGCCTACTCAGCCCCATTTCCATCCATTCCCTTCTCTGACTCCACTATGGAGACTGGAAAAGTAAAATGTACTCGTTATCAGCTCCCCTTGCTGGATGACACAGTTCTGGCCAATGGGACATAAGCTTCCAATAAGATTTTCGCATTTTAAAAAATATAAAATGCGACCAGGTACAGTGGCTCACGCCTATAACCTGCAGCACTTTGGGAGGCCATGGCAGGCAGATCATGAGGTCAGGAGTTCAAGACCAGCCTGACCAACATGATGAAACCCTGTCTCTACTAAAAATACAAAAATTAGCCAGGTGTGGTGGCATGCGCCTGTAATCCCAGCTACTCAGGAGGCAGAGGCATGAGAATCGCTTGAACCTGAGAGGTGGAGGTTGCAGTGAGCTGAGATTGTACCACTGCACTCCAGCCTGGCCTACAGAGAGAAAGACTCCGTCTCCATAGCTCAGCCAGGGCTACGTGCTCCACAGAGCTGGTGGGAGCCAAAAACAGATGGGAGCCCCACCTCCTTCCGAGTTGGCGGGGTGGGAGCCCTGCCCTCCCAGGCACAGCTGCAGCTGCCCAGCTACAGCTGCAGACCCAAGCATCCCTGCACTCTCAGAGGCCCGGGAAGCCCCCTGCCCTGCAGGCTCTGAAGTGCCTGCTCCCACTGCCTGGCGTCTTCCTGCTCCCAGTGCCTGCTCCAATTACGGAGCAAAGTTGTGGCCAAGCCCGGGTACTCTCGTGACCCGGCTAGGTGTGCGCATGCTTGGATGGTGCTGATATGCCAGCCCCCTGCCGCCTCAGCCCCTTCCGGACTCTGGGCACAAACAAGCCTGGGAGGGAGGCTGAGGTGGGGCTGAGTGTGGCTCAGCCTGGGCCTGCTGGCCTGCCAGGCCTCGGCTGGAACAGCCTGGGTGCCATGGATGACATGTAGATGGTGGCAGGAGGCAGATAGACTCCTGGGTGGAAAGGGGCAGGTCCCTGGTGAAGCCCCACATTCAAGCCATGGACGGCCTAAAGCACAGGGCCAGGCTGTCAGTTCTGGGTAGAGTCGACAGCCCAGAGCGAGAACTTAATGGTGTTTTTTCCGGGCCCACCCATGGCCTCCCATGAAACAATCAGCACACACTTCCTCCCTTCTGAAGCCTGTAAAAACCCTGGACTCAACCAGACTCACAGAGACATCGGGACAACCTGCCTATGGATAGGAACTACCCACTCCAGGTCTCCTCTCTGCTGAGAGCTGCACTCATCGGGACAACCTGCCTGCAGAAAGGAGTTACCCACTTTAGGTCTCCTGAGAGCTGCACTATTGCTCAATAAAGCACCTCTTCACCTTGCTCACCCTCCAATTATCCATGTGCCTCATTCTTCCTGGACACAGGACAAGAACTCGGGACCTGGCCAAATGGCAGGACTGAAAGAGCTGTAACACAAACGGGCTGAAACACAACCACCCCCTGGATTGCCACATTGTGGACCACAAGAAGGAGAGAAGAGCTGCAGCCCTTTGGGGAGCTCAGACCTAGGAGCTCCCCAAGCCAGGGCTGTGACACCCTGTTTGGGGCTCTGTGGTTCCTGGCATTCCCCAAGCTTCCGGGCACCACTGCATTCCCAGGTGCCCACACTGGAGGCCACTTGTGGTATGCCTGGTCCAGCTGCAGCCTTGCAGGGAGCCAGCACCCATGCTGGCGCCTGGAGCTGCCCACCCCACCAACGCTGGCATGCCTGGCTGTGTGCAGTGGCCAGACCCCATGCTCACTCACTCACGCACCCTTTACCGCTCTGTTCCTGGCTTGCCCTTGGTAGGCATGGGATCCAGGCCAGTAGCGCAAGTCAAGCGCAGCCTGCCAGGCCAAGTACATGGAAGGAGCCCAGTGGGCCCAAGCAAAACTCAGGCAAAGGCGCCACCGGCCACAGAGGTTTCTGGTTGGCGAAGCGGCACCTTCAAGGATCCTGTAACATGAGCCACTGTGTCTGGCCCCAAATGGCAATTTAAATCAGAGCAGAAATTTCAAGATGGGGGAAGACAAACAGAAAACAGTAGTGAGCAATAGATATAGTTAAATCTAAATGAATGCTACCGATATGGTTTGGATTTGTGTCCCTCCCCAAATCTCATGTCAAATTGTAATCCCCAGCATTGGAGGAGGGGCCTGGTGGAAGGTGATTGGATCATGGGGGGAGGGTTTTCCCCTTGCTGTTCGCGTGATACTGAGTGAGTTCTCATGAGATCTGGTTGTTTAGAAGTGTCTACTACCTCCCCTTCATTCTCTTCCTCCTTCTCCAGACATGTAGGACGTGCTTGCTTTCCCTTTGCCTTCTGCCATGATTGTAAGTTTCCTGAGGCCTCCCCAGCCATGCTTCCTGTACAGCCTGTGGAACTGTGGGTCAGCTAAACGTCTTTTCTTTATAAATTACTGAGTCTCTGGAAGTTCTTTATAGCAATGTGAAAATGGACTAATACAGCTACCATAGGACTCAGCAATCCCTCTTCTGGGCATATACACAAAGGAAGTGAAATCACCACCTCATAAAGATAACTGCACTCCCATGTTCATTGTGTCATTATTCACCATAGCCAAGATATGGAAACAACCCAAGTGTCTGTCCACAGATGAATGAAGAAAGAAACTGGTACATGTATACAACATACATATATACACATATATTCAGCCCTAAAAAGGAACAAGATCTTGCCATTAGCCGCAACATGGATGAACCTGGAGAATATTACACTAAGTGAAATAAGCCAAACAAAGAAAAATATTACATGATCTCACTTATATATGGAGTCATTTTAAAAACTGAAATATACAAAGATAGAGAACCAGACAGTGGTTACCAGGAGCTGGGAGTGAGGGAGAAAGAAATGGAAAGACATAGGTAGAGAACACAAAGTACTAGACTTGAGGGATGAAGAAGTCTAGAGATCAAATGTAGGTAGATCTAATAAAATGTAGATCTAATTTTATTACTTAGAGCTCTAGGTAATAAAATTGTACAGTCAATGAGATTCATGCTAAATGAGTAGATGTAGCTGTTCTTGCCATAAAAACAAAAAAAAAGGTAACTGAGATGATGGATATATTAACTTGCTCCATAATAGTAACCTTTTTATTATCTATATGTATCCCATAATATCACCTTGTATACCTTAAATATACACAATAAAATTTATTTTTTTAAAAAAATCTAGGGCTGGGCATGGTGGCTCATGCCTGTAATCCCAGCACTTTGGGAGACCAAGGCAGGAAGATCTCTTGAGCCCAGGAGTTCAAGACCAGCCTGAGCAACATACCAAGACCTCGTCTCTACACACACACACACACACACACACACACACACACACACACAAAAAAAAAAAAAAAAAAAACCTAAATGGATTATGATAACATGACTGGGTATGAGATGTGTGTGTGTAGATATAGATATGTTTTTAAGTGAGAACTCTTGGAATAAATAATCCATATTTTAAAATACTCCAAGACAGCTGAGACCAAGGGCTAAAGCTGGGAGACTGAAAAAATATAGACCACCAGGGCACTACTCATTTCTCCAGCTCTGATCTGCTGTTGTACCAGGGGTCTAATCGGGCCTGTGTCTGCCTCCTTCTTGAATAGCCCAGAGAATTCATCTAAACAGCTTCCTACAGCAACTCCCTACTCCAGGGGCCAGACAGAAGTTCCAGACCAGTGTTGTCTCTGGGGACATTGACACAGCAGCCAAGTTGATTGGTGCTGGGGCAGCCACAGTTGGTGTGGCTGGTTCAGGGGCTGACATTGGAACTGTGTTTGGCAGCTAGATCATTGGCTATGCCAGGAACCCACCTCTCAAGCAGCAGCTCTTCTCCTATGCCATTCTGGGCTTTGCCTTGTCTGAGGCCACGGGGCTGTTCCGTTTGATGGTTACCTTCCTCATCCTCTTCGCCATGTGAGGCTCTGTGGGGATCACCTGCCTGTCCCTGCTGCTGCGACTCCATGCCATTCCTGGTGCTGGGGTGTGCTAAGCTTTACCATTAAACACAATGTTTCCCTAAAAACAAATGAACAGGCCTGGCGAGGTGGCTCACACCTGTAATCCCAGCACTTTGGGAGGCTGAGGCGGGTGGATCATTTGAGGAAAGAGTTCGAGGCCAACCTGACCAACAAGGTGAAACCCTATCTCTACTAAAAACACACACACACACAAAAAAAATTAGCCAAGCATGGTGGTGCACACCTGTAATCTCAGCTACTAAGGAGGCTGAGGTAGGAGAATTGCTGGAACTCAGGAGGTAGAGGCTGCAGTGAGACGAGATCATGCCACTGCACTCCAGCCTGGGCAACAGAATGAGACACCATCTCAAAAAATAAAAATAAAAACAAACAAAACAAAAAAATACTCCGAGACTAAAGAAGTTAAATGATATCAATGAAACCCAGGACCTTAAGTGGAGAAGAGGAGAGAATAGGGAACACAAAACTTTCTAAAAATTTTACTTACCTTGAAAAATAAAAAGTAAGTAAAATATCTTATTGGGGAAAATGTAGCTATTTAATTTTTATGTATTATTAGAGAACTAAAACTTTAAGGTGGTTAGAAACTCAAAAGCAGGTATTCTAGAATTTGACCAAGAAAAAAAAAGGAAAGAATGAGATAAAGAGAAAAGAACCATGTTGCACAAAATAAAGCATAAATGTAAAACATGATGAAAGGAAGAAAAGTATTTCAGTTACTACAACAAATATGAATGGGTTTATGCACCTATTCAAGAGATTGTCAGTTGCATTGAAAAATAATCTAGCTATATGTGGTTAATGTAAGATGTACCAAAAACAAAGTGAAAAAGGAAAGTTGAAAATAAAGGAATAGGCAAAGAGATACCAAGCAAAAGCAGCCTACGAAAAAAAATCAGAATCACAACATTAGTATCAATGTGACAAGATAAAATGCATGAAAAGGCCATGCATGGTGGCTCAGGTCTGTAATCCTAGCATATTTCAAGGTCAAAGCAGAAGGATTGCTTGAGCCCAGGAGTTTGAGACCATCTGGGCAACATGGTGAAACCCATCTCTACCAAAAATACAAAAGGTAGCCAGGCATGGTGGAGCCTGTAGTCCTAGCTACTCAGGAAGCTGAAGCAGGAGAATCGCTTGAGCCCAGGAGGTGGAGGTTGCAGTGAGCTGTGATCGCGCCACTGCACTCCAGCCTAAGTGAAGAGTGAGACCCTGTCTCAAAAAAAAAGAAAAAAGAAAAAAAAAAGAAGAAGAAAAACAAAAGCATGAAACTGGACGAAGTATATTATGTAACTTAAAAACCTTTGGAAAAGCAGCCGTGGCTGAAGCCTGTAATCCCAGCACTTTGGGAGGCCGAGATGGGTGGATTGCTTGAGCTCAGGAGTTTGAGATCAGGCTGGCAACATAGCAAAACTGTGTCTCTACAAAAAATACAAAAATTAGCCGGGAGTGGCAGCATGCATCTATAGTCCAGGAGGCGGAAGTTGCAGTGAGCCAAGATGGCACCACTGCACTCCAGCCTGGGTTACAGAGCCAGGCCCTGTCTAGAAAAAAGGAAAAAGAAAAAAAAAAGAAAGAAAGAAAAAAAGAAAAACCTTTGGAAAAGCTAGAAATCTTTATGTACCAAATAACGTAGCAGCCAAATATATAAGGTAAACATTCCTAGAAATGCAGACAAAATTAATAAAGCAATATAGTTGGACATTTTAATATACATGTTCAAAACTTGATATATCAAGTAAGCAAACAATAATCATGTATAGAGGATTGAGCAATAAAATCAATAAACTCAGTTTAATAGGTACATTTAGAATTTTTGGCCGGGTGCAGTGGCTCACACCCGTAATCCCAGCACTTTGGGAGGCCAAGGTGAGCGGATGGCTCGAGGTCAGGAGTTTGAGAGGTCAGGAGTTCAAGATCAGCCTGGACAACATGGTGAAACCCCGTCTCTACTAAAAAAATACAAAAATTAGCCAGGCATGAGGGTGCATGCCTGTAGCCCACGCTATTCAAGAGGCTGAGGCAGGAGAATCACTTGAACCTGGGAGGTGGAGGTTGCAGTGAGCTGAGAACGAACCACCACACTCCAGCCTCAGCAACAGAGCGAGACTCCATCTCATTAAAATAATAATAATAATAATAATTTTTAACGCCACGAATACAAAATATATATCCTTTTCATATGCCCATGGAAAGTTTACCAAAAGTAGTCATGTACTTGTGGAAATTTTAATAAATTCTGAAAAGTAGAGACTTCAAATGAAGGATGTGCTGATCAAAGCCATTAAAACTAGAAAAAAGTAAGGCCAGGCATGGTGGCGTCACCTATAATCCCAGCACTTTAGGGGGCTGAGGTGGGAGGATCACTTGAGCCCACAAGTTCGAGACCAGCCTGGGCAACATACTGAGACCTCATCTCTTTGAAACATTTTTTAAAATGACCGGGTGCGGTGGCTCACGCCTGTAATCCTAGCACTTTGGGAGGCCGAGACGAGTGGATCACGAGGTCAGGAGATCGAGACCATTCTGGCTAACACGGTGAAACCTCGTCTCTACTAAAAATACAAAAAAAAAATAGCCGGGCGTGGTGGCGGGTGCCTGTAGTCCCAGCTACTAGGGAGGCTGAGGCAGGAGAATGGCGTGAACCCGGGAGACGGAGCTTGAAGTAAGCTAAGATCGCGCCACTGCACTCCACCCTGGAGGACAGAGCGACACTCCGTCTCAAAAAAAAAAAAAAAAAAAGAAAAAGAAAAAAAAATTAGCTGGGTGCAGTGGCAGATGCCTGTAGTCTCAGGTACTCAGGTGGCTGAGGCAGAGGAATTGCTTGAGCCTAGGAGTTCAAGGCCGCAGTGAGCTACAATCGCGTCACTGCATTCCAGCCTGGGTGACAGAGGGAGACTCTGTTTAAAAAAAAAAACATTTTTAACTATTAAAGAAAAATTAAATAATCATGTTATTATGTTAAGACATATAGATATAAATTCCAGAAAAAATGACTAAAAGAATTGAAATCAATTGCCTCTGGGGACAGGAATCAAGATTAGGGAAGTATTAGAGGAGAAAACTTTCTATTGCTATTAGTCTTATGGTATTATTTGACTTCTTAAACTATATAAATATATCAATTTGATAAAGATTAAATTAAGCAAAATTAAAGAGTGAAGTGAAAGCAGCTCTGGAACTTTTTACTTTTTTTTTTTTTTTTTTTTTTTTTGAGACAGTTTTGCTCCTGTTGCCCACGCTGGAGTGCAGTGGCGCCATCTCGGCTTACCACAACCTCTGCCTCCCAGGTTCAAGCAATTCTCCTGCCTCAGCCTCCCAAGTAGCTGGGATTACAAGCACCTGCTACCACGCCCAGCTAATTTTGTATTTTTAGTAGAGAGGGGGTTTCACCATGTTGGTCAGGCTGGTCTCAAACTCCTGACCTCAAGTGATCCACCTGTCTCAGCCTCCCAAAGTGCTGGGATTACAGACATGAGCCACTGCACCCAGCCTTTTCTTTCTTTTTTCTTTGAAGACAGGGTTTTGCTCTGCCACCCAGGGTGGAGTACAGTGGCACCATCTCGGCTCACTGCACCCTCCACCTCCCAGGTTCAAGGGATTCTCCTGCCTCAGCCTCTCGTGTAGCTGGGACTACAGGTGCACACCACCATGTCTGTCTAATATTTGTATTTTTAGCACAGTCAGGGTTTCACCAGGTTGGCCAGGCTTGTCTTGAACTCCTGACCTCAAGTGATCCAGGCACCTCGGCCTCCCAAAGTGCTAGGATTACAGGCGTGAGCCACCGCACCCAGCCAGCTCTGGAACTTTGATCCATCCTGATATAGTAGAAAGAATATGGATAGTCAGTTAAAGCCAAGTTTGAATTTTCCCTGTCTTACTTATTAGTAATAGGATCTTGGACAATTCATTTAGCCTTTTGTCTGGGTTTCTTCCTTTGTAAAATGGGACACTGACCTGTACAGCCCCTATAGGAGAGACAATACTGGGCTCCAGCCCCTTGAGATAAACCCTGTATCCACTGCCCACCCCTACCCCAGCACAGGCAGGACCCCCCAGCCACAGACACTTGTGGGTTAACTCAGCCCATCTGCCCCTGCTTTCACCTCCTGGTTAAAATTGTTGTTTTGGTTTTGGTTTTCCGTACATCATAAGCATTGGGGGGTATTTTCCACAGTGTCAAGGTCCGTGGGTAAGGATTAGCCACAGCTTGGAAATTTCAAGTAGAAAATAGAACAAAATGGCTTTGAGAGTATTAAGTACAGGTGTTTTTATATCTACATCTGTATTTGAAAAGAAAATGTATCTCTTTATGCTTTAAACACTGTAAACAGATCACTGCAAAAACAAAAACCTGGGGCAAAATTCAAAATTGCTAAGAATAATAAAACTCACTTCTTGTGTTCTTATAAAGATTTGTTCCATTCCCGTGTTTGCACACACATGCATCAGGGAGCCCAATCCTTTCTCTCAGTGGAGGGAGGGCAGTTGGTGGTGACGGGTAGGGAGGCAGGTGTTTGAAGAAGCAGTCACAATGCAGCGTACTAAGTGTGGCTGTGGGGAGGAGCAGTCGATGGCTCTGTGCTGTTCAGGCTCGGCAGCAATGTTAGAGACCCGCCTGATTATCGAGTTGCCCAGCTAAAAGGACGTGGAAGAGGGTCTCAGAGAGAGAGCACAGTGATGCCTAAACATGGCTGCAAACTGGAACAACCTGGGGAGCTTTAAAAAGTACTGATGCATGGCCGGGCATGGTGGCTCATGCCTGTAATCCCAGCACTTTGAGAGGCCAAGGCAGGCGGATCACCTAAGGTCAGGAGTTCGAGATCCCCCTGACCAACATGGAGAAACCCCATCTCTACTAAAAATACAAAATTAGCCGGGGTGGTGGTGTGCACCTGGAATCCCAGCTACTCGGGAGGCTGAGGCAGGAGAATCACTTGAACCCGGGAGGCAGAGGTTGCAGTGAGCCGAGATCACACCATTGCACTCCAGCCTGGGCAACAAGAGCAAAACTCTGACTCAAAAAAAAAAAAAAAAAAAAAGTACCGATACCTGGTTCCCACCCCCAGACATCCTGACTTAATTGGTCTGATGTGTGGCGTGGGCAGCTGGAGTTTTGGAAGCTCTAGGAAATTCCAATGTGCAGCAAAGTTCAGGAGCCGCTGGCCTGCATGAGGGCCTGAGGCAGGAGACTGGGGCTTTCTGTAAATCGAATGGAAAGTTGGAGGAGAAGGACAAACTGTGGGCCTGGAGAGATGGGGATGCGACAAGATTTAGGATATAGAATGGATGGGAGTAGGTGGTAGAGTGGAGAGAGGGAAGGAGGAAGAAGCTGATGGTGATGCCCAGGTTTCAGGCTTGGGTAACTGGATGGAGGTGGTACATTTTCTGCAATTCAGAACACAGCAGAACATGGTATGCACAGAAGACCTGCTGGTTAGAGATGATATATCATCTTGGCTCAATACATAGTAGCCTCAACCGCCACCGCCGCCACCACCACCACCACGATCATTATCATCATCATCATCATCATCATCATCATCAATCTGGTGGAGGCTTCTTAAAAGCCTTTGTGGTCACCAGGATTAAAGCAGTGAGGCTGCCCTCTAGTGTCGTTTGTTTTTCTTTCTTTTTTTTTTTTTTTTTTGAGACAGAGTTTCACCCCGTGGCCCAGGCTGGAGTGTAGTGGCACGATCTCGGCTCACTGCAAGCTCTGCCTCCCAGGTTCACGCCATTCTCCTGTCTCAGCCTCCCAGGTAGCTGGGACTACAGGCGCCCGCCACCACGCCCGGCTAATTTTTTGTATTTTTAGTAGAGACAGGGTTTCACCGTGTTAGCCAGGATGGTCTTGATCTCCTGACCTTGTGATCCGCCCGTCTCAGCCTCCCAAAGTGCTGGGATTACAGGCCTGAGCCACCGCGCCTGGCCTCTAGTGTCATAATCTGTGTATTACAGGCACTCCTGCACTTAGGCTACAGTCTGCATATCTCTGCAGGGGATGAGGCTGGGCCCACGTAGGAGCCAGAGTGGGAGTGGAGGGTCAGGGATGAGTAAGGCATGGTCTCCCCTGTAATGCTCAGGCCAGGATCTCCCAGGCAAGCCCCATTCTTGGCCCTACTGTGAGTAAGGGTCTCCTTTGGATGAGTCGCTGTCTCTGCAAAATGCTCACACGGAGGAAGCCCGGAGCAGGGAATGGGTGCTGGGCAGTCATCCTGGAGGCCTAAGATCCAGTTGCGGCTCCCCTAGTACTTGGCTGTCTGACCTGGAGGGAGTGCCTTTCCTGGACTTCAGTGTCCTCATCAGGGCTGGGCATCTCTGGAGGATGACGTTGTGTCTTTGCAGCTGACCACAATAGCGGGCAGGACCTACATTTCCCAGCCCTCCAGAAGAGACAAGAGGAAGCTTCTCATGTTCTCCAGAAGGGCCTTCCCAGAGCCAGCAAGGGGCAGAGAGCAAGTGCCCTGGAAGGCTTCCAGGAGGAGGTGGATTAATGAATTAGTAAATAGTGTCTGTGGCAAGACATCCCACCTTTGAGACACTGAGGAGAAACTTGCAGACACAGCAAGGCCTGGCAGCAAGAGAAGAAAGGCTGTGGGCTCTAGAGTCAGAGAAACCAGGCTTTCACTGTTGGTTCCCCCGACTGTGTGACCTTGGACATGTTATTTATTCCATCTGTGAAATGAGGATATAAACAATTCACAACAGCAAATGCTTATTTAGCCCTTTGTGTCAGGTACTGTTGTAAGCACTTTGTCTGTATTAACTAATTTAATCTCATAACAATCCCATGAGGTAGTACAAATTTTACAGGTGAGGAAAAGGAAGCACAAAGAGGTTATGCAACTTGTTCAGTCACCAGGCACGTGGCTGGTGCTCAGTAAATAGTAGCGACGCTGTAACCACAGAGATAACAATCACTGATTGCACTGAAACAGGTGAGCTTATGGGCAGAGTCAAGGGAAAGGCTGGGTGGGCCAGTGTCAAGGGAGAGAATTTCAAGAGACAGAATGTGATATCCTCCAGCAAGCATCAAGCACAAGGCATGGCTTTTTATTTGTGACCAGATCGTGATACCCCATTGTCCCTGGGGCTTCCCAAATGGGACCACCTGGGCAAGGAGGGGCAAGGGCTGTTAGAACTGGTTTATTCCCACTGGGTCCTGAAGAAGGAAGAAGTTCCCTTTCTCAGCTTCCCATGTGGCCTGGGGTGGTCATGTGACCTAGTTCTGGCCAATTAGATGTGAGGGGCATCTGCTGGGGGGAATCCTGGGGAAGGCTTTCCTCCCTGACCAAAAGAGAGAAGCCTAGAAGGAGACTTATTTTCCTTCCTGCTCCTTTCCTGGGATGAGAGTGCAGTTAGATAAAAAGATTGTTGGAGCTGTTGCAGCCCTCTTGCAGCTATGAGGGGAAGGCCAAGAAAAATCAAAGTTCCCAAAGAGCTTTTGACATCACTGAGCTGTTTCTCACAGAATCACCTATTTCCAGATGCCTGGTTATGTGAGAAAGATATTTGTTTAAGTTACTGTTACTTACAGCAAAAAGTATGCATGGTATCATATCCAAGTTGTTCCAGTGTGTTCATTCATCGGCGCACCATTCATTCATTTAATTAGAAGTTATCATTGAGCCAATCACAGTGGAGGACAGGGAGGATATGGCTGTCATCAAGGCTGTCATCAAGGCTGTCATCAAGGCTGTCATCATCATTCCTGGCTTTGTGGATTTCCTAGTATGGTAGGGAAAACACACTTTGAATACATGTGATGGATCAGGATGTTAACAAGAAAAAAAGCACAGGAATGCTATTAGAATGTAGAACAAAAATAGTTAACCTGTGGAAGCATCAAAGAAGTTCTTGAAGGCTAGTGTTTATTTAGAGTTACATGCCATCATAAAGGGTCCCCAAGATGTAAAATGCAGTGCCTCAAACAAGAGAGAAGTTTGTTTTGTTTTGTTTCCTTTATTATTTTTTTTTTCTAGACGGAGTTTCGAAAAACAGGCAAGACAGGGTCTCCCTGTGTTGCCCAGGCTGGAGTGCAATCTCAGCTCACTGCAACCACCACCTCCCGGGTTCAAGTGATTCTCCTGCCTGAGTCTCCCAAGTAGCTGGGATTACAGGTGCCCACCACCACGCCTGGCTAATTTTTTGTATTGTTATTAGAGATGGGATTTCTCCATGTTGGTCAGGCTGGTCTTGAACCCCCGACCTCAGGTGATCCACCTGCCTCGGCCTCCCAAAATTCTGGGATTACAGGTATGAGCCACCATGCCCAACCTGTTTCCTTTTTCTTTTTCACATAAGAGCCCTGAGACCTCCCCAGGCTCTGCCATCCTCAATATGGCTTCCCTCTGTGGATTCAAGATGGAAGTCCCTGTTGTTGCCACTGCCCTCCAGTAGGAAGTGGGGAGTCAGCAGCTCCCTCTTTAAAGATGAGACTGTGAAGTTTTGTGTGTGTGTGTGTGTGTGTGTGTGTGTGTGTGTGTGTCACTTCTGCCCACATCTCATTGGCCAGATCTTAATCATGTGACCACATGTAGCTTGGAAGGGAGTCTTGGAAATGCAGACTTTAGCTGGTCAGCCAGGTGACAGCTAACAGGCAGGGAGGTTCTGTTTCTAAAGGAAAGAAGGGGAAGTGGTTCCTGAGGGAGCGTGAGCCGTCCCAGCTGGTGAAGGAGCAGGGCTATTTCCTCTTAACCATGAGAACAATGAGTCTTTGAAGAGCTCAAAGCAGGAAGTACCTGGTCAGGTTGTGTTTTTGGAGAGATCACTGTGAGCAGACGTGGAGAATGGAGTAGAGGAGAGCGAGTGAATGCAGAAGGTAGTGAGGAGGCTATTGCAGCAAATCTGGTTGTAATGGTGACCTGGACCAGTGGGGATAGAAGGAAAAGCCTATATGGGTCCAGACACATTTTTGGCTGAGTGAAAAAATGTTATACAAAGTATGGCAAAGACTAGGTGGTATTCCAACATGAATTGAAGGCATGTAACACCTTACTTTATGGCTGTATTCCATTGGTCAGGGAGTCTTCCAAATCCCCCAGCTTTATGATGTCATTTTACTGGAATTGAACTGGAGCAACCTAAATTGATATCATGAGAACTAGTTAACTGTAATTTCAAACACAGCCAAGCCTGGGATGGGCTCTTGTCAGCTCCCCTACTATGATATGGGCAGGGAAAAAATGTTTTGCAAATTACCCCAAGTGTACCACCCCAGGGGCAACATCAGTGGTCAAGAAGGCCATATGGGGACTGGCGCAGTGGGTCACACTTGTAATCCTAGCACTTTGGGAGGCCGAGGCAGGAGGACCTTGAGCCCAGGAGTACAAGATCAGCCTGGGCAACACAGGGAGACCCTGTATCTAATTTTATAATAATAATAATTAAAAAAAGAAAGTCGTTTGACCCAAAGGTCACATGCATCCTCGAGGAGGTAGCATCTGAGGGGTCCTTGAAGGACTGGTAAGATGGCCTCAGACAAGGGGCCCCAGAAAGGGCATTCAAGGTTCTCTCCATCAGCCTTCACTCTCCCTCTCCAGGCTCATCTCTGGGCAGGAAATGGATATTCCAAAGCTTTAATATGGAAACCTAGCTTTAGTTTTTCCTGCCTTTCTTTGCCATGCTCCAGGGATGGAAGGCAAATATTTTTCTCCCTTCTTAGTAAGGTCTGAAGATGAAAGGTCTGCATGTCCTGGAGGAAAGCAGAATGGTTTTTTTGGTTGCCAGTATTCTCGGTCTTATCAAAGACATCATGAAAGAGCATGAAGGATGGTGGGATTTGGGGGAAGAAGCTGAATTTTTAACGAAGCAGGACTTCCAGAGAGGGCTGGGAGAAGAGAGGACCGTGGGGCCAGGAGAAGTGGGTGTTCAGTTCCTCCCCCTAGCAATGCCCTGAGAGGAATGGCCAAGATGGGAGAAGGAGAGGAGCTCTGGGAAGTTGGGCCTCCAGGACCCAATGCCCAACTAAGCGCCAAACTCCCAGGGCCCAGGATTGTCTCAGAAACAACAGCCCCCACCCCCTTCCTCAAGAACCCTGCAGAAATGGACAGCAGGCATCTCCAAAGTGACCTGTGTAGATTAATGACCAGTAAAGGCACACCCCAGATGCCCTGGCACTATGGACGGCACCAGGAGGGGGATAGTGGGAGCCCAGGAGTAATAAGTTGGATTTCCCTGCCAGCTGGACGAGATGAGGACTCAGAGTCAAGATCAAGTTGCTTTTCAGGGTATAAAGAAAGAGGATGTTTCTTGCACTCCTGGGGTTGTGACAAGATTTATACTTGCTGCAACTCTCATTACCCTCCTGAAGGAACCCTTGGCTCCCCCAGGCTACTCTGACCTTTCTCTCAGGATTGGGGCTCATTCCCATGTCCCCTCCCTCATGACCTCCCAGAGCCACTCAAGCTCACTCTCCGCCACCCCTAAAGACCTCTTCCTCCCTCCTCTGAAGCTTGAAGCTCACGCATCACCCATTTGACAGAAGGGTATGGTGAGTTCTCTCTGCAAGGCTGGGTCTTGGCTACCCAGCTTGTCCAGGAGCCTCCTGAAGGAGGAGATGTGACCCTTTCTTCTAATTCTGGGCTGAGCCTCGGAGCAGCTGCTCAGTGACAGACCCAACCACAACACACAGGACTGGAGCCTTTCAGCAGGCAGGCCCTTTTCCAACTCCTGTCCTCACCTCAGCCATGCCACAGCACGTGTTGCCACATCCGCCAGCACCCAGAGCAGACGCCAAGTTCCTTCTGTCTGCAATATCCAGGCTGGCTCTGGGATGACTCCCCCGTGACCCAACCAGCCAGTGGGTGTCAGGGCGTCCTCTCCTAAGACAAGCCTCACCCACTTCCTCCTCCACCTGCCATAGATGGACAGATTCTGCTGGAGCCCGATGTTGAGAAATGAGCACGTTTTGTGTTAAGAGCTCTGTGTACACCAGGACCACAGCAGATGTAAACACTCCAGCCTCTCTTCTCCAGCTAGATAAACTTCAGGCTTTCAGGGCAAGGCGCTGCCCCCAGCACACTCTCAGTGTTTAAAGAAGATGTCAGCTGCAGCCCGTGTTTTGGCAGAGGCCGACTCTCCCTCTCCCAGCTGAAGTCCCAAATTCTGGGCCACTGATGCCCAGGCCAAGGGGCAGGGGGCACAGAGCGCACCTTCTAAAGGGGCCGGCCTGGGGCCCTCTGGTTTACAGACTAAGAGGGGACTATCTATGAGAAATAAATCCAGGAGTGCTATAGACTCTGATGTCCTGCTACAAAATCCCTGCAGGACGTATGGAGAAATATTCTCTTACTTTAAGCTTTAGGGCCTGTAAAAATAAAAATGCTACCCATTCACCCCTAACAAGGTGATAATTTAGACTTTACTCATCATTTGTTATTCATTTATTCATTTGATGTTTATTGAGCATCTACCATGTACCAGTGTGCCAGGCATTATACGGCCCTGCCCACTTGAAATCCCACCATTAACTTAGAACTTTCATATCTGTATCACAAAGACATAGATATAAATAAATAAATAATGTACACATAAGATTCCCCATCCCTCACTGGAGTATTATTTTACATTTTATTCATCATTTTTATTCAACCAACCTTTATAGGACACTGACAACGTTCTGGCCACTCCTAGACACTGGAAACAAACAAGACGCGATCCAAGACCTGAGAAGCCTTGCCTGCCATCAGTGTGACAAGGAGGTGATCAAGGAAGTGGTTTCGATGGGCCTCCGGGACGTGGAGGCCGACAGAACAGTAAAGGCAAGACAAGGGGACGTGAGCCCCACCTCACTGGTGATGAAACCAGGCCTCGCCCTGCCCCTCTTGGGAGCTCCTGCACCTCTTTTTTTTTTTTTGAGATGGAATCTCAATCTGTCACCCAGGCTGGAGTGCAGTGGCTGCATCTCAGCTCCCTGCAACCTCCGCCTCCCGCATTCAAGTGATTCTCCTGCCTCAGCCTCCCGAGTAGCTGGGATTACAGGCACTTGCCACTGTACCTGGCTAATTTTTGTATTTTTAGTAGAGACAGGGTTTCACCATGTTGGCCAGGCTGGTCTCGAACTCCTGACTTCAGGTGATCCACCCACCTCAGCCTCCCAAAGTGCTGGGATTACAGGTGTGAGCCACCATACCCAGCCTCACTCCTCTTCTCTAATTGAGGAAATAGATAGGGGCTCCTGGGTCTTTGAATTTCATGGGCCAATATAATATTAAAAACCTATTGAGGGGGCCGGGCATGGTGGCTTACGCCTGTAATCCCACCACTTTGGGAGACTGAAGCAGGCAGATCACCTGAAGTCAGGAGTTCAAGACCAGCCTGGCCAACATGGTGAAACCTCGTCTCTACTGAAAATATAAAAATTAGCTGGGCATGGGGGTGGGCGCCTGTAATCCCAGCTACTCGGGAGGCTGAGGCAGGAGAATCGCTTGAACCTGGGAGGTGGAGGGTACAGTGAGCCAAGATTGTGCCACTGCACTCCAGCCTGGGCAACACAGTGAGACTCTGTCTCAAAAACAAACAAACAAAACAAAAACAACAACAACAACAACAAAAACCCTATTGAGGGAACCATACCGGTCACTGACTTTTTATTCCACCAAGTAAGGAATTTTAAAGAAAAAGCAAAACCAGGTCAACAACTACCATCCGCCATCCCCATTATTTCATGAAAGAACTCAAACAGCAGGAAGGGCATGGTCTCGGAATGAAGGACAGTCCATGGAACCAGATTCATCTAGCAGAATGAAAAGTGTTCTTCTTCTTGTCCTCATTTGGCCCCACCAGGAGCTCCCGCAAATACAGATGTGATCCTTCCTCCTGTCTCTGGGATGATCACTGGAGCAGCGGCTCAGGGTCAGACCCACCACCGGGCACAGGACTGGAGCCTTTCAGCAGAGGGGCTGACCCTTTGCCAACCCCACGTCCTCCTCTCACTTCGGCCACCTCCTGGCACCCCCAGCATTGCCCTGGTGACAGGGTGACCCTCAGCGCTAGTGTCCCGCGATGCTGTCTGTGACCTCTGAAGCTAGGGCCCAGAGCAGCCTCCCAAACAGAGATAGGCCACTCTCAAGAGCATCCCCCAGGCGCTGATAGCAACGCCTCATCCACAGTGCTTTCTGGAGCCGCCTTTCCTCTCCCACCCACTTCTCTCACACACCACAGCTCTCCCACCTTTTCTTCCTCAAACTCCCTGGAAGATCATTCCTCTCCCAACTCTGGTCTTTAAGCCTCTAGCCCAGAGGTCACAATTACACCAACCAGCAAGGCACAGTTGCCAGCGCACGCCCGTCTGAAGGAGTGGCTGCTGTCTAGCTGTGTGGACGTTGCCCTGCGCTTCCCAGGCCCCCTTCAAGCTGCCGGGCAGGCATATAGTACCAGCACCATGTTTAGCGTCCCCGACTGCAGGCCTCGCCTCAACTGCCTTGACAACAATCACATGATTTCTTGGGGTGGCCCACGTCCAGTGACCAATGTGGAAATATAAAGGCCTGGTTAACTTTGCCCCACACGGGGCAACTCTGAAGCTATCCCAGTTCCAATTACCCATGGGGTTACCAAGGCTATTGTAGGCCTGGACCACAGCACGATGCCGTGCTTCAGCCACACTTGCTTCCTGCCTTGTCTGCTGCCCCAAGTGTTGACCCCAGTGGTAGCTCCCTGAGAAACAGCTGGTGTGTTTCTTACACAGCAGGGTCTGCTTCCTGGATGCACGCAACTGGCACCATCAGCTCAGGTGTGCGATTACAGGTGTGAGCCACCGTGCCCGGCATTTTTTTTTCTCCTTTAAAAGGACTGGCCTTCCAGGCGCAGTGGCTCATGCCTGTAATCCCAGCACTTTGGGAGGCTGAGGCAGGTGGATCACCTGAGGTCAGGAGTTCAAGACCACCCTGACCAACATGGTGAAACCCTGTCTACTAAAAAAATACAAAAATTAGCCAGGTGTGGTGGCATACACCTGTAATCCCAGCTACTTAGGAGGCTGAGGCAGGAGAATCGCTTGAACCCAGGAGGCGGAGGTTGCAGTGAGCCAAGATCGTGCCATTGCACTCCAGCCTGGGCGACACTGTGAGACTCCATCTAAAATAATAAAATAAAATAAGGACTGGCCTTCGGGATCGCTGTCTAGCTATGGACTCAGAAGGCCAGTGCCAAGCAGCAAAGCTGATCAGGAACCCCTTCATCCTGGGTGGCCCGCATCTTCCCCTTTCACGAGGCTTCAAACCATAGCACATAGTTGGAAGGCTGCAAGAGCAGATAATTTAAGGGGAAAATAAAAACTCAGATGTACAAGCTCCAAAACATAATCCCCTTTACATAAACAGTGGAGGTGGCGGGATGTTGTGGGGAGGAAGGAACTTGAACTCTGCTGGGCTTCTGTGACTGGTGACAGGCGCTCAGGCATCCCAGCCCTGCACTGGGTTTGCACCTGAAGCTCAACAAATTCCCACTGCCTGGGAGCAGGAGGACAGCAAAAAGAGCAGGCTGTCTTGGGCTTCCATTCTTATTTCTACACATTCTGCTCTTTAGGACCCTGGCCAGATGGGCATGAGACAGAAGCAAACCCTAAAGTACTGCTACTGTTGCCGCCACCAACAGAGATCAAAGGCAGAGACCCTTCTGCTAGGGTCCAAAGTCCAAACAGGCCACTCCAGAGAGGAAACAGGCACACAGGCACACACCCACGGGAGGAGTAGGGGCCCAGGAAGCACTCCCTCCCCAAGGGCAAGGATGGGGTTCCCATTCGACCCAGCACATGCTCCTCACATCTGCACAGCAGGGAGACCAAACAATAGATACAATTTCAGTGTTGATTGTCGATGAACTTACCCAGAAGTTCATAATCAGAAAAATCCATAAAGAAGCTCTTTCAATTTCAGCATGTTTAAGTTTCATGACTTATGGTTTAGTGTTGTTTTTATATTGGATTCCATGGGTGGCATAATCTTTTCAGCACTAGAGACCTTTAAAGGTCTTTCTCAGCTCACCCCGGGAGACAAGGGCTGGGTGTCAGGAAAGTGACACACAGGGAGAAGCAGAAAATGGACTGGGAGTGTGGGGGCCGAGGCCCAGCCACGAGAAACCCAGGCGGTGCAAGGCAGAGCCCTGGGAGCACAGAGGCTGCTGTGCCGTGGGTTGCTGGTGAATGAGAAGCCTCCTCTGCTTTAATGAAGAACATGCCCCCCCGACTCCCGCTAATCCTGCCCTGCCTTCATGGTCCACACACCACAGGTGTGCACAGGTTCATGCGTGTGTGTGAGCTTAACACGTCAGCCGCACATACAGTTGCTCAGAAACATCTTCACTGCTTCACACACGTGCACACAGTCAATGACCAGGAGCAGGGATCTTGGGGCAAACCTAGAGCAGCTTCTCAGGAGTTAAAACTCCAGCTTTGCTGTGGTTCCCGGAAGAGCCCTGACTTTGTCCTAAGACAGTGGTTCTCAAAGTGAAGTGCTGGCTCCAGCAGCATCAGTATCACCTGGGAACTCGCTGGAAACGCTCCGGGTTCTGGCTTCTCCTCCTAGAGCGCCCAGAGCTGTGGGGTCCTCCCTTCGGGCCAGAAACTCCAATCATAGTTTTTATGTACCAACCCCTGTGCTAAGTAGACTTTGTGCACATTATCTCCATTTAAAATTCACAAATGTACTGTAAGATGCACACCATTTTTCTATATTTTTCAGATGGGGTAGACAGAGCTCAGAAAGGTTAAGAGACTTGCCTGGAGTCACCAAACCAGGCTCGAACTCCTTCTGTATTCAGAATCACTCTTCAGACGTAGCTCCTGTCCTGGGCTGAAAGTCAACATCCGCCGAGAGCTGGGCCCTCTGTACCAGCCCCATCTCCCCCAAGTCTCTCCCTGCCTCTGCAGCCAGTCCTAAATCTTTCAAGAGACAAGGCCAAGCAGGGGGTGGGACCAGGGGCGGGAGCCAAAGCCCCCCCTCGTGAGCAGGCAGCACCTCTGCCAAGGCCCCCACTGGCCCTGCCCCAGAGAACGGCAGGGAAGCTGCAGCGAGGGCTGGCAGCTGGCAGAGCCCTGAGCACCCAGCACCCAGCCCGGCTTGCAGCCCAAAGCCTGGAGAGAGGCTGCTGCGCCATTGACCTGTGGACTCCAGAGACTCCCGCTGTGCATTCCTCTGATCTGGAAGGTTTCCTGAATTACGTGACGAGAAACCTGGGTTCGAGTCCTAACTTGTCACCAACTTCCTGAGTGACCTGGGCTGGTCCCGTCCCCTCTTGGAATCTCTGTCTTCCATCTCTTCAGCGAAGGGGTTGATTTATAAGGGTGTTTTCTGCTCTGACACTGTGATTTGAATTCTGTGTTTCCACATGATATTCGAGAAGTCTGGCCGGAAGGATGGAATCTGAAATGACAATGGTTCTGGACTGGGCTTTGTGCTCAGCCCAGCTCATCTTTGCCTGAGACCTAGGAGTGGCCCCAGGCTCTCCTGATGTGCCACCACGCTTGGCATCTGCTCCTCTCCCTGCCCCCATATTCCCATGCTCTGAAGGGGAGTTCTCTTTCATAGCAAATCCGAGAGGAGCCGAGGAGCCAGGTCCTTTGTTCCAGACCCAGAAGCAGCCATGGGGACCTGTGACATTGTGACTGAAGCCAATATCTCATCTGGCCCTGAGAGCAACACCACGGGCATCACAGCCTTCTCCATGCCCAGCTGGCAACTGGCACTGTGGGCCACAGCCTACCTGGCCCTGGTGCTGGTGGCCGTGACGGGTAATGCCATCGTCATCTGGATCATCCTGGCCCATCGGAGGATGCGCACAGTCACCAACTACTTCATCGTCAATCTGGCGCTGGCTGACCTCTGCATGGCTGCCTTCAATGCCGCCTTCAACTTTGTCTATGCCAGCCACAACATCTGGTACTTTGGCCGTGCCTTCTGCTACTTCCAGAACCTCTTCCCCATCACAGCCATGTTTGTCAGCATCTACTCCATGACCGCCATTGCTGCCGACAGGCAAGAGGGTCCTTGGGGAAGCTGGGGGGAGCCTCCCCACTGAGCCGGGGCTCAGATAAGGGTGGTGACATGCCTGTGATTACACAGCAAGTTTGGGTAGAACCATGGGAATGGCTTCCCAAATCTGGTCATGGTCCAAAACTATGAATCTGGAAGGCAGGGGGACTGTGGAGCTGAAGAAGGTAGACTGAGGGTTAGACACAGAGAAGGACTTTGCACTAGATGCACTAGACAGGTTGTTCAAGTCTGTAGGGGAAGTGGGCAATGTTTTAGCGACCTTCTGAAGTGTTCTTTCCTGGAGTTGATCTTTGTTTTGTTGTCTTTATTTCACTCCAAAGATATGTCTTATACAGTTTTTTTTTTATTATTCCGGATAGATTACACGAGGGGAAAATGTTAAGTTTGCTTGCAGTTACAATCTAATAGGGCCAATTATTTTCCCAACGCTGCTCAGGGCTGAGCTTCAGGCTAATGTTGGATGCTTGATCTTGCCCTGAGATGGGCTTCCAGTGTGGCTTTCTTGTGGCCGTCCACGGGCATGTCCATGCCCAGAGGGAAATGGTGGGCCGAGGTGCCTGGGCCGGGGTTCCAAGGCATCAGTGTGCTGTGTGGCTGTGGGAGAGTCACCCAGCGGGCTCTCTGCAGGTCGGCTGATACTATGATATCAGCAGATGGCAGCAGTGCGGGGAATGGCTAGAAGGCGTGGGCCTGGGTTGGGAGAGAGGGAGACAGGGGAAAGGGAGCTGGGCTAACAGGAGGGCCCCTGCCGCTCAAGCTGCCCTCTGCTCACAGGTACATGGCCATCGTCCACCCCTTCCAGCCTCGGCTTTCAGCTCCCAGCACCAAGGCGGTTATTGCTGGCATCTGGCTGGTGGCTCTCGCCCTGGCCTCCCCTCAGTGCTTCTACTCCACCGTCACCATGGACCAGGGTGCCACCAAGTGCGTGGTGGCCTGGCCCGAAGACAGCGGGGGCAAGACGCTCCTCCTGTAAGGCCTCTGGGGGATTGTGGAGGGCAACAGTGTGTGTGTGTGAGTCTGTGTGTGTGTGTGTACACACGCGTGCATGCATCCATGTCCATGCATGTGTGGTGTGCATGCATGGGTGTACACATGAGTGAGTGTACACGGGATTGTGTGAATATACCTATATGCTTAGTAAGCAACACACACGATGTAGCCGATCTGTTTTTCACACTTTACATATATTGACCCATTTAATTCTCCTAACTATGTGGGATATATATTATATTATTATTCTTACCATTTTTTAGATGAAGAAACTGAGGCACTGAAAAACTAAGTAACATGCCCAAAACCACACAGCTAGTAATTCAAATCCAGCTAGTCATTTGAATCCAGCTATGGATTCAAATCTAAGCAATCCTGCCCAGGGCCCAATCTCCTCACCACTCTGCTACTCAAATATGCACCCTTGCATCCTTAGATAAGGATATGCATGCATGCACACGTGTATGTGACTGTACATGTCACGTGAACATGCGGCACCCATTTCTGCCTGTGTGTACACGTGCAAGTGTGTGGGCATATTTGTAGATGTGTTTGCACACAGGCACGTGTTAGGGACATGTGTAGGCGTGTGTCTGGGGGAGACTCTCTATATGCTCAGGCCACAAAGCGGCAGGAGACTGAGGCAGAACGAGTCCATGATGGAGCCTGGGACATTTTCAGGCTGCTGAGGTGGGCATCACAGGCTGGAGGCAGGGAGGGCAGGGTTAGAGGAATTCAGGCATGGCCCAGCTGCTGTGTGACCCTGGGTGAGTCCTTTCTCCATTCCGGCCTCAGTTTCTGAGGATCTCACGATGTGTCTTTGTGGTCCCCAGGCACTGAGCCATTGCTTGGTAGAGGCTAAAGAACCGACTGGGGTTCTGGGCTCAGTCAGGCCCAAGTCGTGGCCTGGTCCCACGTGGCCGGAGGATGCCTCACACTCACGTAACCTCTGAACCTCTGGCTTTCTCTCTCTAAAATGAGGATTCATAATAGTACCTCGCTCTGTGAGCATAAATGAGATAGTGTACCTGAAGCCCTTAGCACCATGCCTGGCACAGAACTGGTACCCAGTATGTGGCAGCTTAAATAGGGGACACATGAAAACACACCTGGGGGTGGCAGATCCTTCCCACAAAGTCCCAGCTGCCCCAAGCATGAGGGTGTGCATGGTCTGAGGTGAGGGCTGCCAGGTAGCCATGGCAACACACCTCTCCTCCAACATCCTCCCTGCCTGGTCTCCATCTGTCCTGAGCACCTGCCAGGAGAAGGCTGCTCTTGTGGGCTTCAGGGATAGGGAAGGTGCCATTCTTCTGAGAAGCCGTTCCTGGGGACTGGCGAGTCTCGAGGGCAGGCCCTGCCCAGGGTCTCTGCCCCCTCCCTGCACCCCACCCTCTCACGGAGGGCGATATCCATATATGGGGAATGCCCGGCTTTCTGGCTCAGCAAAGGGTGGAGAGCAGAACATATTGAGACCGGCCACTTGGGGTCGGTATTTCTCCATCTTCATACAGGACCACTGTGCGTGCCAGCTCTCTGAGAACAGCGAGTTCCATCCCAGATTCAGGCGACTGGGAAAAACAGGCGGGCAGGGGTGGGCTAGGAAAGCCATACTTTGGTGTTGCTTAAAATTCCGAAAGGATTTGGGGAAAGCCTGGTTTTAAGTGTGAGAATGTGTTATTGTTTTTCTTGGGGGAGAGCCTAATTTAGGATGAGGGCTCCATCCACACAGGCTCATGTAACTGTGTGTAATTAGGAATCTGATGAAATTAAAGATGCCCTCTTCAGGAACATGCGCACACACCCCCAAAATCAAAATACAAAAAGACTACCTTTGGGAGGCCAAGGTGGGCAGATCACCTGAGGTCAGGGGTTCAAGACCAGCCTGGCCAACGTGATGAAACCCTGTCTCTATTAAAAATATAAAAATTAGCTGGGCTTGATGGTGGGTGCCTGTAATCCCAGCTACTTGGGAGGCTGAGGCAGGAGAATCGCTTGAACCTGGGAGGTGGAGGTTGCAGTGAGCCAAGATCACACCATTGCCACCAGCCTGGGCGACAAGAGTGAAACTCCGTCTCAAAACAAAACAAACAAAGGCGGTCCCTGGAACTCTTCCCCTCTGCCTTCTGCATGGAGACCTAGCCCAGGGTGAATTCCTGTCCTGCACAACATCCTAGGAGCAAGCAACAGAGGAGTGTGGCTCCTGCTAAGGAAGGACTTAGAGATGGCCTCCTCCTTTTACAGATGGGGAAACTGAGGCTGAGGGAAAGCCCTGACTTGCCTAAGATCATGCTTTAAACAAGAGGCTGGACAAGAGCCCTGTACTGACTCCCACAGTGCTGACCCTCAGAAAAGGGGAAATTTGGTCATGATTAAATCTGTAGACGGGTATGACACAGACTTCCTGTGCCTCTCTGGGCCTCAGTTTCCTATCTGGACACTGAGATAGGTGGCCCTGTAGATCCTCACTCTGTAAGGTGATGGGCCCTGGCCCTCGTTGCCCCTCCTCCCCTCTTATCTGCTCCACACTGGGGTTCTCAACCCAAAGCCTACTTGAGGATCAGGGAGTCTAGGAGCGCCTGAACCTCTTGTAATTGGCATGCTTGCCAAAAGAACCCAAGCAGAATTCTAAACACAAGACTTTAGGAGAGAGATTTACTGGAGCCATTATAATCACCCAGTGGGTTCACCTTGCCTGCTGCCTAGACAGAAATTATTTATCAAGACAGGGGAATTGCAATGGAGAAAAAGTAATTAATGCAGAGCCTACTGTGCAGGAGACCAGAGTTTTATAATTACTCAAATCAGGCCAGGCGCGGTGGCTCACGCCTGTAATCCCAGCACTTTGGGAGGCCAAGGCAGTGGTCAGGAGTTCAAGACTAGCCTGGCCAACATGGTAAAACCCTGTCTCTACTAAAAATACAAAAATTAGTAGGGCGTGGTGGCAGGCACCTGTAATCTCAGCTACTTGGGAGGCTGAGGCAGGAGGATCACTTGAATCTGGGAGGTGGAGGTTGTGGTGAGCCAAGACCCCACCATTGCACTCCAGCCTGGGCAACAAGAACAAAGCTCCATCTCAAAAAAAACAAAATCAAATCAGTCTCCCTTAGCATTCAGGAATCAGAGTCTTTAAAGATAATTTGGCAGCTAGGGCCTTGGCAAATGGGGAATGCTGATTGGTCGGGTTGGAGATGGAATCACAGGGGGTCGAAATGAGGTTTTCTCGCTGTCTTCTGTTCCTGGGTGTGATAGCAGAACTGGTTGAGTCAGATTACCCGGTCTGGGTGGTGTCAGCTGATCCACTGAGTGCAGGCTCTGCAAAACATCTCAAGCACTGATCTTAGGTTTTACAATAGTGATGTTGCCCCCAAGGAATTTGGGGGAGGTTCAAACTCTTGGAGCCAGAGGCTGCATGACCCCTAAATAATTTCTATCCTTGTAGCTAAGTTGTTAGTCCTGGAAAGGCAGATTGGATCCCAGGCAAGAAGGGGGTCTTTTCAGGAAAGGGCTGTTATCAATTTTGCTTCAGAGTAAAATCATGAACTGAATTCCTTCCCAAAGATAGCTCGGCCTACACCCAGGCATGAACAAGGACAGCTTAAGGATTAGAAGCAAGATAGAGTTGGTTAGGTCTGATTTCTTTCACTGTCGTAATTTCCTCGTTATTTTTGCAAAGGTGGTTTCACCATGGGTCCCCTTCCCTTGGGGTAGCAGCACCTCTAGAAAGGGGCGCAGCAAGCCTAGCATGTGGCAGGTAGAAGCAGGAGGTTTGGGAACACCTCAGTCCTCCCAGTAAGAAAGAAAAAGTCAAATGACGGGACCAGGGGTCTCAGGCCCATTGGTGGAATGCTCTAAGGACTCTGTTCCATGAAAGGGACCCCCAAATGCCAAAGGAGCCCAGACCCAAAGAAGGAGGCAGAACAAATCCAGTTTGTCAATATTGGGTGATTTATTGAGGGAATTTACAGACCGAAGTGGGATCTTGGGTGGCCACAAGACAGGTGGAGCTCTGCATTCTCACACCCCAGATGCAAGGCTTAGATACCATAGGGAAAGGGTATTCGTGCTCCAGCAAGACAACCAAAGGCAGCCCTCCAGAACAGGCAAGAACGCTACGTGAGTCACAGCCTACGATTTGTGGAGTAACATCAAGGTTGACATGTTCTTACACTAGGGGCAGTAAATAAAGTAGAAATCAGAAGGCATTCACAAGACTGGGGCGAATCGGAAGTCAACACAGGGGAGTGGCATCCAAGATGGAGTCACTTTTGTCTCCACAGGTTCCCACTGCAGACCTGCCGAGGAGTCAGTCCCCAGCCTGCAGCTCATCAGAGAGAGGCTGCAGCGTCACTCATAAACCAGAGATCTGAGAACTGGGGACACTGTCGTTTTTTTGTTTTTTTTTTTTGACAGGGTCTCACTCTATCGCCCAGGCTAGGGTGCAGTGGCCCAATCATAGCTCATTACAGCCTCGATCTCCTGGGCTCAAGTGAACCTCTTGCCTCAGCCTCCTGAGTAGCTGGAATTACAGGTGTGCCCCATTACGCCTGGCTAATTTTTTTAATTTTTTTTAATAGAGATAGGGTCTCACTATCTTGCCCAGGTTGGTCTCAAATTCCTGGGCTCAAGCAGTCCTCCCATCCTGGTCTCCCAAAGTTTAGGGATTACAGGCATGAGCCACCACGCCTGGCCTACACTGTTTCCAAAAGGAAATGAAAAGCCTCAACACAACCCAGTGTCCTCCCTGGGGACGGGGTAGGAAGCCACGCAATGGTACTCTGCATCACTTCCTCAAAGGTGGTATGAAAGAGCATTTGCTGACACAAACGAGGTTCCCAGCCAAATGCTGATAAACCATAAGCAGATGACACAGCAGCATGTGATATATGGCGCTTTTCCACTGTCCCATGCCTCCATAGCGATGTTGGTGCAGATGGAGCCTTATTAACACCAGTCATTCTATCCATCCAGACAGATACAGATTATATATATATATATATATATATATATATATATATATATGTATATATATATATGTATATATGTATATATATATATATACATATACATATACATATACGTATACGTATACATATATGGCTATACTGTAGGATACACTCCAAGACACCCGGTGGATGCTTGAAACTTCAGATAGCACTGAATTCTCTCTATATAGATATATACTGTTTTTTTCCTCAACATACCTATGATAAAGTTTAATTTATAAATTAGGCACAGTAAGAGATTAACAGTAACTAGTAATAAAACAGAACAAGTATAACAATATACTGTAATTAAACTTCTGTGAATGAGGTCTCTCCCTCTCAAAATATCTTGTTGTACTCTCCTCCCCTATTTTGGATCCGCAGTTGGGAGGGGTTACTGAAACCCGGGAAAGTGAAACTCCCATCAGGGGTGACTACTATTCATACATATGATTCTGGAAAAAATATGCCAGATATTAATAGTTAATGTTAATAGTGGTGGGAGTGGGATAATTTTACTGCCTCCTTTGTGCTTAATGGCATTTTAAATTGCAAACAAATTATTTCTTAATTTGTTTCATTCACTTTTCCTTTTTTTGACACGTGTCTATCACGTGGAAGGATGTGATATGGAAGGACGCAGGGCTACTGCTGGCGTCCCTTTTGCAGGGAAGCCGTCTCCTGGCACACAGGCTACCCAATGCCACCTTTATTTTTGTTTAAATCAAACCAAGTCCCTGGGAGGCGCCCAGGGTGGGCCCGCAGGGGCGGCTCCACAGTGCCCGCGGGGTCCCAGGACCAGGCGCTGGCAGACTTCGGAGTCGCCCCCGGGCCCTCCGCTGCCCAGGCCTCGGCTCTCCCTGCAGGTACCACCTCGTGGTGATCGCCCTCATCTACTTCCTGCCGCTCGCGGTGATGTTTGTAGCCTACAGCGTCATCGGCCTCACGCTCTGGAGGCGCGCAGTGCCCGGACATCAGGCGCACGGTGCCAACCTGCGCCACCTGCAGGCCATGAAGAAGGTGGGCGCGGGGGCGGGGGCCTGGAGGGGGCGGGGCCTGGAGGGGGCGGGGGGCTGGCGGGGGCGAGGCCTCATGGGGGCGGGGCCGGACGGGGTGGGACGGGGGTGGGACGGGGGCGGGACGGGGGCGGGACGGGGCCTGACCCCGCCCTGGGGAGCCGCCCTTACGGTCTCAAGGCCGGTCCGCAAGAGGGCGCCCGGGAGAAGCTTGCGGAAGCTGCCTTCGCGCGAAGTCTGGGGCCAGAGCCTGACCGCGTTCCTCCCAGCCGGGCGGATTTGCCTTTGGTCTTTGGCCAAATACAAAATTAAAGAAACTTGCCGGGCGCGGCGGCTCACGCCTGTAATCCCAGCTCTCAGGGAGGCAGAGGCGGGAGGATAGCTTGAGCCCAGGAGTTCGAGACCTGCCTGGGCAACATAGCGAGACCCCGTTCTCCACAAAAAGGAAGAAAAAAAAAAGACAAAAAAAAATTAACTTCCCAGAATGTTAGGGGAGTCAGGGACTCCTAAAGCCCCGTAGAATTCAGATACCCCCAAGAATCTTAGAATGATAAAATATTAAAATCTTAGACTTTTTGAATAATCAGAATGTTGAAATTGAGAAGCCCCACAGAACTATAGAAGGTGCCTGACAGTCACAGGAGAGCCCTCAAAGGCTGGAACTGCGGACCCCGGAGGTCGTGGAGACCAGATAGTTGTCCAGCTTCATCAAATCTGTCTCCAGTTTCTTCCGGAAGTGGCAGTGTCCCCCTACTCCCTGCCATCCAGGGTCCCCCGAAGGTCCTGATGTAGCCCTCTGTGCCCAAGACCCCCTTCACCCTCCTTCAGTCCAAGCTTGTCCTTGCCCCCTTCCTACCAGGCAACAGGGGAGGTAATGGGTTAACCACATCATGTAGCCAGGTCAAAGCCATGCTTCTCACCCAAAAGTAGGCATCTTTCACAGGGTGGTTCGGGGAGATAGCTGCACATGGGCGCCATCTGGTGCCCCTCATGGAGCACTGGCCTCCATCTGCTCCACACTAGGGGTCTCAACCCAGATCCTACGTGAGGATCAGGGTGCCCAGGAGCCCCCAGACCTTTTGTAATTGGCATGCTGGGCTGCCAAACGGAGCAGGAGTGTGCCTGCAGGGGCCAGGCTCTGAGGAGGGGGAGGTCCAGGAGCTGACCCGTGGGCAGAGGCAGGGGTCCCTGGTTGGAACCTTACAGCCCACAGAGAGAAGGGCTGTGCCGATACGGATCCCAGAGAGGGGGCGTCCTGGGAACGCATAGCTGACACAGGGGCTCCCCCAGGGATGGGGTTAGGAGAGAGAGCTCAGCCACTCTCCAGGGAGGGGGAGCTGCAGTGAATGAAGGGGTCCCAGACACCTTTTGTAGGAAGTGGCCATTGAGCTGGGCTTCAAGGAGTGAGGACTTCAAAGGAAGGATGGCAGTATGGGCAGAGGGACCTGCCTGAGCACAGGCCTCTGAGGTTGGGGGCTCAGGAAGGTCTGGGCAAAACATGCTCAGAGGCCTGAGTAATAGAGCTAACGGGGTCTGTGTGTGGAGCAGTTCCCAGGTGGGTGCAAGGGGTCCTCTGTGTCTGCCCTCGGAGGGCTGGGGCTGGGGCTTGGGCACTAAGAAGTAACTTGAGCCTCTCCTGGACCAGTTTGTGAAGACCATGGTGCTGGTGGTGCTGACGTTTGCCATCTGCTGGCTGCCCTACCACCTCTACTTCATCCTGGGCAGCTTCCAGGAGGACATCTACTGCCACAAGTTCATCCAGCAAGTCTACCTGGCACTCTTCTGGTTGGCCATGAGCTCTACCATGTACAATCCCATCATCTACTGCTGTCTCAACCACAGGTGAGCCCCCACTCCAGCCCCACCCTCTGCCCTCAGGGCCCCACTGCCCAGCCCCAGGTGGGCTCCCCTGCACAGCTCAAGCATCCATCCTCATTCCTGCCGGAACCTGTGGCCCTGTGCCCCCAGCCTACATGAGAAAGCCGTCCTCACACTCAGCCCCCAGCACAATAATCCCTCTGGCCTGGGCCTAGCTTGAGCCCCCTTCCTCCCCAAATCCTCACCGTCTCCCAGGCTGTAGCTCTCACTGTCTGTCTGTTCCTGCTGGCTCTTCTGGGTTCTGTGTCTGGGGCAAGAGAAGAGAGAAGGGAGGGCCAGAGAGATGAAGGGGAGGGGAGAGTCACAGAGAGGGGGTGGGACAGACAGACGAAGGAAAGAAAAGCTAAGTAGCGGGAGGGAGGGACTGACTTCTGTTCTAGTATTTTCACAAGCTTCCTACTGAGGGCTTTCCTGGAGCCAAGTGAATGGCACCCATCCGGCAGTGGAAGCAGTGGATGGGGGCTGGGGCCAGCACAGGGGTGGGGCAGGCTGCTCCCTGGAAAGCTCACAGTGCATGCCCTGTCCTCCAGGGACTTTCAGGGCAGCTGGGAAGTGACCCTGTCAGAGACAGCCAGGAAGGAGGGGGCCAGAATCTCACTCTCCTGGCATCATCCAGTTTCCCTACGCCTCGTGATTCTGAGGAAATGAGTCCCAGAGAGGGGCCTGCACTTGCTCTGGGGCACCTGGAGAGGTGGGGGGTGGTGAGTCAGGGAGGAACCCAGCCCCAGGAGTTCTGCAGAGCAGGCCTTTCAGTGGCAGGAAACCCTGAAGGTGGGGCAAATAAGGGGCGGCAAGAGGTGGACACAGTCTCACCTCAGTGAGACAATGATGTGGGCGAAGTTGGCCTTGGACCTCTTTGTTCATGTTTTTTGTCACCTCCCTGGCCAGGTAGCCAGGCTACTCATAATGCCATTGGGATCTTTGTGGCTCAGACATTTCACCCGCCTGGGGCAGGCCAAAAGGAAATAAGGAGCTATGATTTTTTGCAGGAGGCCAGAACTCTCTATCTCCTGAGAGGGAAGTAGATAATAGGAGAGAAGCAGGTGTCACCCCCACTCTACAGATGGGGAAACTGAGCTTCAGAAAGTAAGATGCTCCCAAATTCATACAACAAACAGTAAAGCCAGGACTCCATGGGTCTCCAAGGCCTGTCATCTTATCCCCACACCACGCATTTCTCTTTTAAAGACTTGTGGGATTGAAAACCTGGAGACAGGGACTCTGACATCTGGGAGGGGCCACCAGCCCACTGTGTCTGTGGGTTGATCACTCTCCTGCTACCCAAGGGAGATACAGTCCCTGGGAGTCTAAACAACACCCCAGGCTCTACAAGATCCTGACATCACTTCTGGATCATTCCCTTCTCTGAGCAGCCAGCGTTCCCTTTCTGCCGTCTGATTTCTTCCACTCACCGTGTGTGCTTCCTCTGAACTCCCGTTCAGTGCTGCCATGGGGAGAGCTGTTTGTTTTCAAGCAAATGCATCAGAACTTGGTGGCTCCGAGTGTGGGTTTTTCAATGTAGTCCCCTTGGGAAAAGCATCCTTGTTCTCCCAAGTTGCCAAAGCCTCCATTGTGTTTTAGCAGGTTCTTCTTTGACTCATCCCTTAGAAGCCAGTTAACAAGTCAGACAAGAACATCTGCTGGTTTTTTTGTTTGTTTGTTGGTTGGTTGGTTTTTTTAGTAATTATGCTGGGGTCATTTTTTGTTCGTAATAACAGATGACCTAAATCAGCTTAGTCACCCACTTCATTCACTAGACCCAGCTCCAGAACACTCTGGCAGTTTCCAAAAATCAAACTCACCCACGAAGGCATCTCTCAAGAGCCCCTGAGCCATGGGAGGCTCTTGGAGAGAGACAGTGACTTTCCTCTGGAAGGGAGTCAGTTTCCTGGGGGTGGGGGCAGTCACATCACAGCTCCTGAGCCCCTAACTCCCTGGCTCAAGGTGCCCCTCGCTCCCCCAGGTTTCGCTCTGGATTCCGGCTTGCCTTCCGCTGCTGCCCATGGGTCACACCCACCAAGGAAGATAAGCTCGAGCTGACTCCCACGACCTCCCTCTCCACGAGAGTCAACAGGTGTCACACTAAGGAGACTTTGTTCATGGCTGGGGACACAGCCCCCTCCGAGGCTACCAGTGGGGAGGCGGGGCGTCCCCAGGATGGATCAGGGCTATGGTTTGGGTATGGTTTGCTTGCCCCCACCAAAACTCATGTTGAAATTTGATCCCAATGTGGCAGTGTTGGGAGGTAGGGGTTAGTGGGAGGTGTTTGGGTATTGGGGATGGATCCCTTATGAATAGATTAATGCCTTCCAGTTGAAGTGAATCATCACTCTTGTGGGAATGGACTAGTTCCCAAAATAACAAGTTGTTAGAAAGAGTGTGGTGTCCTCAGTTTCCCTGTCTTGCTTCCTCTCTCACCATGTGATCTCTTTGCACACAACACTTCCCTTCCACTTTCCACCATGACAAGAAGCAGCCTGAGGCCTTCACCAGATGCAGCTGCCCAATCTTGGATATTCCAGCCACCAGAATCATGAGCCAAATAAACCTCTTTTCTTTATAAATTACCTAGTCTCAGGTATTCCATGAAAGCAACACAAATGGACTGAGATAGGTGCCTATTGAACCCTGAAGCCTTGTGCCTGGCTGCAGAATGAGGTGTAGCACCCTTTGAGAAGTAGCCAATCGAGAAGACCACATCTGAAAGTTCAGCTCATGCCCCATCCTTCAGTATACCAATACAAAGACAACATGGGGCCAGAACTCCAGAAAGGATGCTGACTTTAAGAGGACTCAGCCACCCATCTCAGAGAGCACTTCAGAGGATCCAGTAAGGGTCAGAAAAGACAGTGTAAGCTGATATTTATCTAATTTAAGAGATGCAAGCTCAAATGCCTTCCTGGGGCATACAAGAATATGTATAAAAGAAAAACTGCAAATGTGATGATAAAAGGCAACTGACTTCCACCCTCAGTTTGAGCTAATAGGGAATGGTGGGGGCCATGGCAACCTGGAGAGGACAGGCATTCAAAGGGGACAAGAACTACTCAGCTCTGGACAAACGTTGCCACATGATAATGGGAGCCCACTGTTGCTAGATCTTCTAAATCTTTCAAGAGAAGCTATAAATCCACATTTGTATGTGAGTCTTCCAGATTTGTTGAATTTGACCCAAATTTTCATAAACTTTGCATAAGTTAAACAAAACGTATCTGTGGGCAATGCAACCATGACCCTGATTCGCCATCAGGCTGTGGATACAAAGGAGGAAACTTCTTATTTCACAAAGCCCAGTGACTGAGTCAGCTGAGGGCTTCTCTGTCTCAGTATTTAAGAAGTCAGATACAGCCCACGTAGATGGTGATTAAGAGCCAAAAAAATCAGCTGTGTTTCCTCAGGCAAGTCACTTTGACCTCTGCCCAGTATCAAAACTACTTCACAGGGATGCTGTGAGGAACAATGGGAGTAATGCCTATAAACTAGCAGGCCAGACCAGATTAAGTGCCCAATACATGGTAGCCAGGACTTTCTTTTTTTTTTTTTTTTTTTTTATGAGACAGGGTCTCACCTCACTCTGAGACCCAGGCAGGAGTGCAGTGGCACCATCATGATTCAGTGCAGCCTCAACCTCCTGGGCTCAGGGGATCCTCCTGCCTCAGTCTCCCCTGTAGCTGGGACCACAGATACATACCACCACACCCAGCTAGTTTTTAAGTTTTTTGTAGATATGGGGTCTTGCTATGTTGCCCAGGCTGGTCTTGAACTCCTGGGCTCAACCATTCCTCCTGCCTGTCTCCTGAAGTGGTGGGATTACAGATGTGAGCCACCACACCTGGCTGTTAGCCATGACTTTTAACTATTTCACACAAAAGCCACCTACAAAGCAGCAGCACAGCTCCCACTCCCACTTCTGCAGCAAGAAGCTAGAGGGCAGAAAGCAGCAACTGTCCCAACTCCCAGAAAGCTCCCGGTCTGGCCCAGCCCATCCCAGGGGCACACCTCCTGCTTGCCAACTCAGCCTCCACGCCCTGGTTCCCCTGCAGAAGAGCCATGTAACATTGTCAATGCACACTGGAAGGTGTAATGTTATCTGTGTTCTCCAAAAAATCACTGCTCCGTAGACACCAGCACCATGCCCCTAATAAAGGGACTCTGATCTCACCAAACCAGGTGGTCTGGCAATCGGTCTCGCAGGAAGCCACTTAGAGCCGCAGCTGTGGCTTGGGACATCACAAGGTGCTTGGGTGCAGAGTGACATGGAACCCACCAAGGCTGGGGGAGAATCCAAAATGGTAGCCTGGGGATAGACCAGGAATCTCTTGAGGTGGGGGTGGGAAGGGAGAGTAAAAGGTCAGACAAGGGTTAATTTCCTAGGGATGAGGTCAATCTAAGATCCAGAAGGGGTGGGCCGGGAGCGATGGCTCACGCCTATAATCCCAGCACTATGGGAGGCTGAGGGGGGCAGATTGCTTGAGCTCAGGAGTTGGAGACCAGCCCTGGCAACACAGTGAGACCCTGTCTACAGAAAATAAAAATAAAAAATAAAGAAAAAAGATCCGGGAGCGGGAGCGTGCAGCCAGCCTGGGCTGCTTCAAGATTTCATCTGTGTTTGGGTAGAGAGGGAGGGGAGGGGTGGGGCAGAGCACATTTCATCCTTTGTCTTGGGGTTGGCAGAGAGGAAGATGAAGGGCAGGATCCGGGTGGGGATGGCAGAGAGGGGACCAGTGTTGCAGTCCTCTCACTGAACCCAAGCAGCCTGGAAGCCAAGTGGCCTTGTTCTATAATCCCAGCACTTTAGGAGGCCAAGGCAGGCAGATCACTTGAGGTCAGGAGTTGGAGACCAGCCTGGCCAACATGGTGAAACCCCTTCTCTACTAAAAATACAAAAATTAGCTGGGTGTGGGGATGCACGCCTGTAGTCTCAACTACTCAGGAGGCTGAGGCAGGAGAATCACTTGAACTCGGGAGGCAGAGGTTGCACTGAGCTGAGATTGTGCCACTGCACTCCAGCCTGGGTGACAGGGCAAGACTCCATCTCAAAAAAAAAAACTCCTCCGCCCAGAAGGCCACAAAACTCCCCAGTGTTTGGTCTTTGCCACATCCCAAGAAACTGCACCCCCCTCTGCCTGTCCCCCCGTCCCCAGCCATTAAGCATCACTCGGGTCTTTGAATTGGTACAAAGTTTACTAGGTCATACGACACGGCTCACAAAGCGGTGGGAAATTCCAGTGATGGCATTGTTTGTTGGTTGGTTCCTTTTATCCAAATGGAGACAAGACACATTTCCGCAGGACTGTCCACCTCCCCCCACGAGACAAACAGAATGCAAGACTGTCACACGCGGCTAGGACTGGTTCCACGGACACACGATTTTGTGGCATTGACACACCACGATGCGATGCCAGGCCACAGTGGGTGCCAGGAGGGGAGGAAGCAGCTAATGCTATGCCCACACTCGCCTTCAGGCAGTGCCCCCGGGAGGGAGGCCCGGCAGTGTCTGCTGGTGATAATACATTTCACACAGGGAGGGGGAACCCCAAGGATGGGCTTTGGAGGCCCAGAAGGCCTGTCAGGTGGTGTGATTTTCCATCTCCAGCCAATAAATAACTCTGTTGGATGAATGCATACATTAGAAATGGATGCCACTACACTTCACACGTGGGGGACCAGGTCAAAATCAAACCATGCAAAGTGGCAGGGCAAGTGAGGAGGGATCCGGGTGAGAGATATTATCAACAGCACACGCTCTATTCTGTACCCTACAATATATACCATTAGTTGGATTTTGCTTTCCTCCCCGCGCCGGCAGGCCCTGGCGCCAGCGTCTCCCAGCGCAACTCGCTGGGAGGGTAGGGGGTCGCCGCTTGAAGAGAGAAGTGCTGGAGAGGCAGTAGGCTGGGGATCCCGGACTCTTAGCTGCTTGCCTCTGTGCGTAACCGCACGCCCACGGCCGTGATGAGGGCGGCCCCCTTGCCGCTGCCATCCTCAGACAGGAGGAAGGACACGTTACATTTTGGTGACAGTTCCTTCACCGTCTGGTGCATGATTCTGGAGAAGCTAAAAAGGACGAGAAAACAGAAGGTAGTTGGAGGAAGATGAGAGACGCTGGGCCTACCCGAAAACACCAAAGCACAGACAGCCCCCTGACTGGTGATGATTCGACTTAGGATTCTTCGACTTTGTGATGGGTTTATCAGGACATAAGCATCGGAAGTCAAAGAGACTCTGAACCCAACAACAAGGAGGGTGAACATGGTTGGGAGGCAGGCTGCTTAGAAGCAGCTGTGGCCAGTTGAGAATGGCTGGGAGGAAAGTGGGCCCACGGTCAATCCCATTGTCACAGTTTTCAGCAGGGAGGCCCAACTGCGAATCCAAACACAACTGCTCTGTATGGCTTATGAAGGCTAGGACATGAATAACACACACACCCACATCGGAGCTTGAGGCTCCAGGGGGACCTCAAAACCAAGGAGGATGTTAGGGGCTGACATGGATCATTAAGGCAGGTGCAAGCCAGCCAAGCACTGGATCGGTTCAGGAGGCTATGCAGGAATGAATATCACCCATCTCCAGCTGCAACCCTGAGACCCCCAGCGCCCCACCATCAACAGCCTGGCCCCCAAAGACAGGAATGCCTTCCAGTGAAGATAGTATCTGAACAAAGGCTGAATCTACATGCTTGTAAGTTGGGCTCAAAATGAAGGGCAGGGCCAGGCTGAAGATGCTTGTGGTGAGGGGCTCTCAAAAGTAGTCACTGTCCTTGGTTGGGGACCTATTAGGTGGGCGGAGTGCGGTGGCTCATGCCAGCACTTTGGGAGGCCAAGGTGGGAGGATCACTTGAGCCAAGGAGTTTGAGGACCTACTAGGTGCCCCATATTTTACAGCTCTAATTTCTAGTCCTGCCAGTGGCTGCCACCTCATGAGGAAGATGAGATTTTGCAGGGATTAAGCAATTGCACACAGATTCTAAGTGACGGTGCCAGGGTTAAATCCAAGAGTATGTGGCTCCAAAGCCTAGCTCTAAACCACTCCTGTGTGCTGCCTCAGCTGATGGCAAGGACAGCTATTAAGGGGGAGAGACAGAGGTGAGGATGGAGCAAGACAGATGGTTCCACCCCAAGCCACGGCCATGAGGTAAGCAGGTAATGTCTACACTGAGTCGGGTGAGGTTGCTTATAAGTAGGGTGACACTATGGCCTCATTTATCTGGGATGGTCCTAGTTTGCCTACAGTCCCAGAGTAATAATTATTAGCACTCTTGACTGGCAAGAGTACCCTAGTGTAGACAATAAATAAATAATATGGTCACCCTATTCATAAGGTGAGACATGCGGTGGATCACAATCACACAGCAAGTGCAATCACATGTCCTTCTCTGGCATGGGGGGTCAGATGCCTGACCAGAGGGAGGCCACTCCCTACCCCTCCCTGCCATGAAGCCCAGGGCCCAAACCGCTCCCGCCCTTCCAAGTCTTAGCAAACTGATTCAGCAGATGAACAAGAGAGTGGCTATCCTCCTTTCCTATTTTATTTTTTGAAATAGGGTCTCACTCTGTTGCCCAGGCTGGAGTACAGTGGCGTGATCTGGGCTCACTGCAACCTCCACCTCCCAGGCTCAAGCAATCCTCTTCCCTCAGCCTCCCGAGTAGCTGGGACTACAGGCATTCACCACCATCCCTGGCTAATTTTCAAAATTTTTTTGTACAGACAAGGTCTCACTATGTTGCCTAGGCTGGTCTCAAACTCCTGGACTGAAGCAGTCCTCCCACCTAGGCCTCCCAAAGTGCTGGATTACAGGTGTGAACCACTGCACCCAGCTCCTCCCCTTTCTTAATATCCTCTCCCCACTTACCCAACAGAGCCTCTGGCCTGGCTACAGCTCACCAGGCTTATGAGTGAGCCCACGCCCACCCTCACCTCCTCTCCCACTGCCTAGCCCCCACCTAAGGGGGACCAGGAGGAGTGGGGTGAGGGTCACATCATGCCACTGGTGTGAGCTGGCCAAGTGAAGCCACTTCTCTGTCTCCCTAAGGATCCCAGTCAAACCCTACAAACTGTTCATTACCTTGTCCTAGACAATCCCCAGCTCCTGAACGCACAGCCTTCAGCCTGGCTGGGCTCCCGCAGGGCATTTCCCCAGCGTAAACCACACCCTGATACCCCCTAACCCAAAGGGATCCCAGCAAGCTCTGCGCATCCCAACTGGAAGGCCCACTCACTGTGGATGAAGCTTGTAGAGTGTCCCGTCCACTCCCACAGTCACATTCAGACGGTCCAGTCCTCTGTTCTCGCGGATCTTATCCACAACCGCAGCCATGCCTGCGCCACACAGCTGTGCGGCCCTCCTGGACACCACCCCGCACACTGTCTTGACGAGGATACTGTCATCGCAGGTGCTATTCAGACCTAGCTGCTGGAGGATAGCCCGGACCTGGAGCAGTGCTAATCGGTCACTGTGGGGGACAAGAGCCAGAGGGCTGGATGAAGCAGGACCCACAAGAGCAGCCTGGAGACCACGTCCAAAGGACGCCCCCCGCCCCCAATCACTGTACTCATCCACAGACAGAGTCAAGGGCAAGTGTTACATGTTAAACTGTGGAGAATTTGGCAAATCTAGCAAAATAAAAATTGGAAAATCTAAACCATTCACTATCTCAACATCTAGGAAAATGCTATTAACATTTTAATATATTTCCTTCCAGTTTATTTTTCCTAGCTGGTATGCTTCTCATGATATGCAAAATGGGATTATCCTTGATATGTGATTTTCTTTCTCTTTCCTGTTTCATGCATTGAGCAATTTCCCACAGCCTTATCTGAGAACAGGATTGGAAACAGCTGCTGCAGTATTCCCTCTAGGGATGCACCATGATTTCTTTAGCCAGCTTGGAGAAATTCAAGTTAATTGCAATTTTCTGCTATTATAAAGAAACATTTTGATAAGGTTTGTTTATAAATCTTTGTGTGCAATTCTGATGTTTTTCCTTAGGATAAATTTCTGGGTCAACGAGCTTTTGCTACACATTGCCAGATGCCTTACAGAAAATTGTATCCATTTACTCTTCAGCAGAGTATTTGGCCACACTTATCCTCACTGGAAAAGAGCATTTTTTTACAACTTTTGACAGTTTTATAAGAAGGCATCACAAGACTGTAGTTCAATTTATATTATTCTCTATTAGTGAGGATGATCTCTTTTTTTTCCATTTGTTTTTTGGCCATATAAACTACTTCTTACGTCTCAAGACTTTTCTCCTGATATATTTGTCTTATTTATATTAAATTGAAAGAGACGATAACTGGGATGGTACAATGAAGACCAGCCAGGCTTCTTGGAGGACTTACCATGTAACATATATTTTACATACATTACCTTACTTACTCCTCAAACAACCAATGAATGTATGATTATTCCCATTTTAAAGATAAGGCAACTGAGGCTGGGAGAAATTGAGTATTGCAAAGCACACAGCCGGTGGAGAAGAGCAGGTGTAGACCAGACCTGCCAAAGCCCACCATGCCCTGCTAGGCGTCTTGTCATACACAGTACAAATGTCTTCCTCAGTTTACCGTTGCCTTTTAAGTTTGATTACTTTTTTTTTTTACTTACAGACACTATGTAGCTATATTTGGCCATTTTTCTTTATGATTTCTTTCTTTGCTATTATGCTTGAAAAGACTTTCCATACCACTTCATACCCATTAGGATGGCTATTCTCAACTCAGAAAATAACAAGTGTTGGCGAGGATGTGGAGAAACTAGAACTTTCACGGGCTGCTGGTGGGAATGTAAAATGTTACAGCCACTGTGGAAAACAACATGGTGGTTCCACAAACAACTGAACAGGGAATTACCATATGATCCCGCAAGTCCACTTGGGGTGCGTACACACACACACACAAACTGAAAGGAGATACTGGTCACCCGTGTTCACAGCAGCATTTGTCACAATATCCAAAAGGTGGAAGCAAGCCAAGTGTCCATGGATGGATGAATGAATAAACAAAATGCAGTGTGTGCATGCAATGGAATATCACTCAGCCTTAAAAATAAGGAAATTATGGCCGGGCGTGGTGGCTCATGCCTGTAATCCCAGCACTCTGGGAGGCCAAGGTGGGCAGATTACCTGAGGTCGGGAGTTTGAGACCACCCTGATCAACATGGGGAAACCCCATCTCTACTAAAAATACAAAATTAGCCGGGCGTGCATGGTGACGCACGCCTGTAATCCCAGCTACTCAGGAGGCTGAGGCAGGAGAATCGCTTGAACCCAGGAGGCAGAGGTTATGGCGAGCCAAGTTTGCACCATTGCACCCCAGCCTGGCCAACAAGAGTGAAACTCCGTCTCAAAAAATAAAAATAAAAAAATAAGGAAATTCTAACACATGCCACAATACGGATGAACCTTAAGACATTATGCTAAGTGAATTAAGCCAGTCACAAAGGACAAATGCTGTATGATTCTATTTATATGAAGTATCCAGAGTTGTCAAATCCATAGAGACAGAGAGTAGAATGGTGGTTGCTGGGGTGGGGGGAGGGAGGAATGTGGAGTTAGTGTTTGCTGCGTACAGAGTTTCAGCTGAGAAGATGAAAAGAGTTCCGGAAATGGATGGTGGTGATAGCTGTGCGACTATGTGAATGTACTTAATGTCACCGAACTGTATACTTAAAAACCATTTTGCCTGGGTAAGAGCAGTGTATAGGCTTGTTAGGTTTTTTTTTGTTTAAGGTTTAATATTTTTTTTCTTTTCTTTCTCTTTTTTTTTTTTTTTTGAGACAGAGTCTGTCTCTGTCGCCCAGGATGGAGTGCAGTGGTGCAACCTCAGCTCATTGCAACCTCCGCCACCGGGCTCAAGCCATCCTCCCACCTCAGCCTCCCAAATAGCTGGGACCACAGGAATGTGCCACCACGCCCGGCTAGTTTTTGCACTTTTTGTAGAAATGGGGTCTTGCCATGTTAACCAGGCTGGTCTCGAACACCTGAACTCAAGTGATTCACCTGCTTTGGCCTCCTAAAGTGTTGAGATTACAGGCATGAGCCACCGTGCCCAGCCTACACAGAGCCTACGTTAGGTTATTATGACCATTCTAAGAAGAACACAGTATTTGCACAATTGCTTTTGTTTTTTCTGACCCTTTTTTCCTCCTTCTCACACAGCGTGCCTTAGAAGACAGCAAAGGCCAGGAAGAAATGTACCCTGGACAGGAGAAAAGTAGAAAGAAGGTGGAACAACTTGCTGAGGGGCATCAGCTCCTGGGTGGCCTGGCACTGAACCCCAGGCTGCCTTTCAGATAAATCCAGGTGGGCCCTATGCACCCCCAATACAAGTATGTGTAGTGCATCTTTACCATCTGAAATGGAATCCATATGGCCCTCTTACACACATAATTTCAAATAAATCAATATAATGCCCCAACATAAAGGATGGATAAAAGGAAAGTAAGTAATTTACTTATTTATTGAGATGCAGTCTCGCTCTGTTGCCAGGCCAGGCTGGAGTGCAGTGGCGCGATCTCAGCTCACTGCAACCTCCACCTCCTGGGTTCAAGTGAGTCTCCTGCCTCAGCCTCCCAAGTAGCTGGGATTACAGGCATATGCCACCACACCCAGCTAATTTTTTGTATTTTTAGTAGAGATCGGGTTTCACCATGTTAGCCAGGATGGTCTCAAATCTCCTGACCTCATGATCCGCCTGCCTCGGCCTCCCAAAGTGCTGGGATTACAGGCATGAGCCACCACACCAGGCCAAGAAAAGTAATTTATAATAAAATTATAAGATTTCACTATGCAAATGCCCAGGGTCTGCTATTCCAGAGGAAAAAAAATCCTCAAAAATGGCCAAAATGTCCCCTAGGGTCCCTACCACCCCCATCACAATCCACCAGCCAGGCGACCTCTGAAGGGTGGGCGCTGGCAGGGAAGACACTGCCCACTCACCTCTCGATCTGAGAGAGAAACTTGGTCTCAAAGATGCCCCGGGTCTTCAGCGTCTCAGAGATCTGCCCTCGGAAGAGGAATCCCTTCTTGGTGAAGTCGATTAAGATGTTGCGGACGATTTCACCCAGGTACATACCACTGATCATCTTCTCATACCTGAGACAGGAGGAGGGGCCTGGGGTGTCTATGGGAAGTGGCCAGGAGAACTGTCACCCCTCGGTCTCACGGTCACTCCGCGTCTCCTACTGCCCCTCAAGCGCATCATCAACAGCCATGTGCCCAGCCCTGTGCTCTGCCGCAGAGGCAGAGTGGGAGGACCAGGAAGGACCAGGGAGTCCTCCACTCTCTCACATCAGAAACAAAACCACCAGCATTCATGTCTACCTGCTAGACTGGTCTCCCTCCTCAGCTGCCTGATAGCTCTCAGCCCCAAGGTCACTTCCCCGAGAGCCTGTCCTCCTCCTGATCCTGGGTTCTACCTGCCTGTTTCAGGTTCCCACACACCTCACCATTCTCCTCCTTCACAACACACCTGAGCTCACTGCCTCCCACCACCACTGCTGTAGTGACAGCCCCAAGAGGACAGGGCATGTGTGTCTTTTTCAGCTCTGAGTCCCCAGGGCACAGCACAGCATAGCATAGCACTGGGCCCTCAGGAAAGTGCCCAAAAACTATCTGCAGAATAAGCAAATGACTGGGCTAAGTCTTAAAGGAACAAGAAGACAAAAAAAAGGAAAGTTTCTAGATTTTTCTAAAGGTTTTGCAAATACCCAGAGTACTGGTCAAGCCCACAGCAGAGTGATGAGGCCACACAGGAGGGAGAATTCAGTGACCACAACACACTGGAGGTCAACCTGTTCTTGGGACTTCAAATTTCCTGCCCTCTCCATGCTCAAGGATCTCAAGAAATAACAAAGGATTGATTCATTTCCATGGCACATGCCCAAGCCCAGTGTCCCAAAGCTGAGAAGAGTCCCCTGGAATTTGGAACTCCAGGATTCCTCCTATTTCATGTGGTCCATGGAAGAACATGAAACAGAATGGAATCACAGAGGGGTGGGCCACCACTACGAAGTCCCACCCAGTCCTTCTCATTCCACCACAAAGACCACCCCAGTTTGGTGCTGACATGTCCTTAACCCCTTCCAACACTTGCTGATCCCCCCGCTTTTTAACCAAGGGGGTCTTACTATTATTGTTGTTATTATTGTTATTAATTTTTAGTAGAGACAGGGTCTCAACCCTATGTTGCCCAGGGTGGTCTCAACCTCCTGAGCTCAAGCAATCCTCCCACCTTGGCCTCCCAAAGTGCTGGGATTACTTTGATGATAGACTGCACTCAGCCCAAAGGGGGTCTTAGTTCAGGTCATTTGGTAGGCGACAGCATCAGCTAGACTTGAATAGCACGGTTCTTCACTATACTCATTTTTTAGTTACCATCTCTTTATGGTACTATTGGTTCTTCCTCTTTTTCCTCCTTCATTAAATGTCAGTAAAGACCTTAAAGGCCACTGGGCACGGTGGCTCACGCCTATAATCCCAGCACTTTGGGAGGCTGAGGCGGGCCAATCACCTGAGGTCAGGAGTTCGAGACCAGTCTGACCAACATGGTGAAACCTGGTCTCTACCAAAAATACAAAAACTAGCTGGGCGTGGTGCCGTGCACCTGTAATCCCAGCTACCTGGGAGGCTGAGGCAGGAGAATCACTTGAACCCAGGAGGTGGCAGTGAGCTGAGCTCGCACCACTGCACTCTAGCCTGGACAACAGGGTGAGACTCTGTCTCAAAAAAAAAAGAAAAGAAAAGAAAAGAAAAAGACTATAAGGGCTGGTTGCGGTGGCTCACACCTGTAATCCCAGCACTTTAGGAGACCTAGACAGGCGGATCACCTGAGGTCGGGAGTTCAAGACCAGCCTGACCAACATGGAGAAACCCCGTCTCTACTAAAAATACAAAATTAGCTGGGCATGGTTGTGTATGCCTGTAATCCCAGCTACTGGGGAGGCTGAGGCAGGAGAACTGCTTGAACCCGGGAGGTGGAGGTTGTGGTGAGCCGAGATCACGCCATTGCACTCCAGCCTGGGCAACAAGAGCAAAACTCCACCTCAAACAAAAAGAAAAACAAAAAACTGTAAGCTGATTCGAAGAAAAGCACTAAGTAAATAACAGCATGGGTGGTATTTAGAAAAGGCAAAAACCTTGAGGGGGCTAGGGAGTGACTCATGCTGGGTGCTGCTCCAGCCCTTCTTTCTGCTCCTAGGGAGACAACTTGGACCAACTCATCCTGGCCGTGGCAGAGGATGGCCTGATTCCTGGGGGCTTGAGACAAAGGGCAGACACTGCCATTTCAGACATGGTACCTGAGACCTGAGCTGCAAAGCTCCACAAGGCCACTAGGTGGTGCAGGAGGCTCACGGAGGAAAGGACGATTGCGACAGGGCCTCTGCTTCACACCAACCTGCCGCCCAGCCACCCTCACCCCACCCCCTTGTTATTCTGATGGGAAAGGAACACAGCAAGGGGACCGGAAGGCCAGAATCCTCCAGGCTAAAAAACAGTCACAGGCAGCCCCTAGACAGGCATCAACCCTGGGCCATCTTGTACCATGTTGGGGGTCTGTCCTCCCTGGTTCTCTGCTGTCCAAAAGACAAAGGTCAGGAGTGAGCCAGGGGGTCCAGTCTTGAAACCTCTGTTCAGACCTCTCCTCCTAGAAACTTCTTCCACTGCAAGTGGCAGAATGCAGCCAAGTGCTGCCCCCACCCTGACTGTGAGTGTCCTCTCCACCAGGCGGGGTTACCTTTGTTTCCCAGCATTTAGGGAATATTCGTCCACCAGTCTGTCGTAGTGTGTCCTGATATCATCCAGACACCCGTTGTCCCCAAAGGCCCCCCACTCCATGTTGATGCACATCTGCCCCTGGTCCCCCTCCACCATCTCCACGTTCTTCATCTCCTCCATGTAGCAGGCATTGCTGCCGGTCCCTGGAACACACGAGGGGGCAATGAGGAGCGGTGGCCTTGCATTTGGGGGTCTTGCAACTGGGCCTGGGGTCTGGGGCCTGAGGTTCCACAGGCAGGGGGCACGTTTTTTGTGATGAACAAAGTAATAGTTTTTCTTTCCCAATTTTGAAATGGAAAAATTTGAAATGTAAATGGAGAGTCTGAGCCACATCACCCAGAGGGCACCTGCTTAGCTGACTTTCAACCAAGAGCCAATGTGTTCACCCGTCCAGGCAGGGTTATGTTTATTTTAATAGAAGATGGCTTTATAGCAAAGAGATGGAGCATCAATGGTAGAGGTTTAGGCAACATTCAGACCAGAAGAAGAAATATATACGTACACACACAACATCATGCACACATGAATATACAATATATACATGCCTATATATATGTGTATAAAATATTAGGGGATTATCTTCTATCATACCATAGATATTCACTTATTTTCTTTTTCTTTTCTTCAAGACAGGGTCTGGCTCTGTCACCCAGGCTGGAGTGCAGCGGCGCAATCTTGGCTCACTGCAACCTCCGCCTCCAGGGCTCAAGTGATTTTCCCACCTCAGCCTTCCAAGTGGCTGGACTACAGGCACCACCATCATGCCTGGCTAATTTTTTAAAATTTTTAGTAGAGATAGGGTTTTGCCATGTTGCCTAGGTTCATCTCAAATTCCTGGGCTCGAGCTACCCTCTCGCCTCAGCCTCACAAAGTGCTGGGATTACAGGCGTGGGCACCACGCCCAGCCCCACTTATCTTTTCTCGACAAGGATGGTTGGTCGTGGACTATGCCTGCTCAATAAGCTTTCCTACATACCTTGGGATGAAGCCCACAGTTCAGGGCAGGACAGTGTCTTCAGCATTTCAAGGGGGGCTTTCAAAAGCAATGGTTTTTCATCATTTTTGTATCAGACCTTTGAAGATCAGAGGATTCTTCTGTGAAAAAGGCACCTTTCTCTGGGTGGACCCACACACCGCACACATGCAACCTGACATATGCTTGCCAGGGGCTCAGGAATCTCTGACTTCCATTCCTGAACTCCCTAGAGCAGAGTCACTCAAAATAGAAGGACCACCGACTGTTTGCTGTTCCAGCCCATGAGGAGCTAAGAAACTGAAGGCAAGCATCCTGCAACTTTCACAGCAATTTTAATTGCCATGATATCCAAGCTTGTGGTCACTGAACTTGCCTCACTGAATAGACTGGACATTTAAAAACCAATCAACTAACCCAGGAAGAGTGCTTCACACACATACTTTAATATGCACCTGGATCACCTGGGGACCCTAAGAAGCAGATCCAGATTCAAGAGGCTAGGGCCAGGACCTGAGAGCCTGCATCTCTAACAAGCTCCCAGGATGATGCTAATGATGCGCCCAGGAGCACCATCCACCCATCCAGGGTGGGATGTAGGTGAACTTTCATCGGGAGGGCACAAGACACACCCCCTGGCCAGACCAAAAGGGCTTTGGTAGTTTTCATCCCCTTTGAAGAAACTTAAGTAGAGTTCAAAGACTGTACAGTTGGATGATTTTTGTTCTTTGTTTTCTCAGCCCCCTTTTCACCCAAGGTTAAAACTGAGAGAAGAGGAGCTCCAGAAACGGAAGATGATGGGAGTGGGAGATGCAAAGAAAGCCAAAACATGGAAACCATACATCTTGCCTATGGGAGTCCTGAGCAAAGAGATCAATTGATGGAGGAAAGAAAAAGTAGCTATGAAGTAGCTATGAAATGTAGCTGGAGCCTGGTGCCAGGAAACGGGCGGGCCTGACCTCCCAGGAGGGAAGGTGGGGCCTGCAGGAGGAGGAGAGCTGCTGTGTCACTCTAGCTTTGCATTTCATACCCAAGCCCATTCATGGAAAGAAAGGGAGGGGCTGGGTGGAGAAAGCCAGGCCCCAAACAACCTTTTCACCAGCAGCTGCTCCCTAGGTTTTTTAAAATTTCAACAGAAGCGAAAAGTGGCTTAACAATGAATGAAAAGTTCTTCCTGGCACCTGGAAGGCAGCCTGCTGGGGCCTCTTCCCAAGCTCTAGACACTCAGCAACTGATCCAGTAGCAGGGGTGCCACTGCTCACTCACCAGGCAGAGTCCGCAGATGTTGGCTAAGAAACTCCCTGGGGTCTTTCCCAGCATCCCCTGACGCGAGGAGCAGGGCCAGCAGGACAAATGGTTTCCTCATAGCCCAAATCAATATGCTTCAGGAATTATGTGCTCGAGGCCCAGACCCCTAATGTGTTTTGGATTACAAGGCAACGAGCTGCAGAGACAACCCCTCTGCAACCCCCTTCAGTGGCTGGGACCATGCGCACACAGTGGCTGCTAAAGGCAAAATGGTGCCCAAGACCATCCTGCCCCTTTCCATGCTCTAAGTGTGGTCAGCATGGGAGGTGCTCTCTACTTCCTTTCCAGCCGCAGACTCCCTCCCCACCCCATCCCCCTGCAATACCTGACCAGAGCCCCTCCATACAAGGCCCATAGAGCTGCCATGTTTGCCAGGCCCGCTCCAGGTACCTGTCTCCACTCAAGCCAAGTGAGCCTTTTGGGTCCTCATTCCTGAAGAGTTCAGTTCTTGACAGTCTGATCATAAGCAATGTGTAGCATTATGGGTGTCTTAAGAAAGGCCCCCCCACCTCCCCCCGCCAGAGACTCTGCTGCCTTCGTCCAGCCCTGAACTCTGGAGCTGGTCAAGAAATGATACTGACAGATAAGACTACCCCATACAGAGGACCAAGCTGCTGGGCCAAGGCCCCACAAAACGGGGAAACCCCAGCCTTCCCTTCTGCAGGGAAAGAGACCTTCCAGGACACTCACCAACAATGAGTCCAACCTCACAGGTGGGCTCCTCATAAGCACAGGTCATCATGGTGCCCACTGTGTCGTTGACCACAGCCACCACGTCCAGGTCAAATTCCTTTGCAAAGAAAGGGACACAGCTTTAGGAATAGGATCACTATGCCTGGCTTGAATGCTGCCGGTTCTGTCTGTTGCACTGCAGTCAGAGAGCCACTGGTCATCATCTAAGATGGTTTTCTTACCAGCCTACAAAAAGGTAATGAATGTTCCTTCACAGACTAAACCCCTGCTATTAAGGATATATCTGAAACATGAGATCTAAGGAAGGGAAAGTATTCTACCCATTTTACAGATGATGATACTATTAGAGGAATCATAGAATAGGAGAGACAAGGGGCAATGGTCAAATAGCTTCTTCCCTTTGGAGTTTAAAGCATTATGGCCTTTCAGAGGGCAAAATGGAAAATATTAAACTCACTGCTCAGAATCTGTCCTTGAGAAATAGTCTGCAGGTGCACAAACGCACACATACAAGGATATTTACTGCATGACATGCAATAGTCAGAAAGAGGAAACAATCCAAGTGAAGATCAAATGGGCTATGTAAAAGGCAATTCAGACACATGCTGGAATCCTACGCAGCCAGGAAAAAGAATGAGGTTGATCTAAATGCAATGATGAGGAAGGATACCTGTTTCATATTAAATCAAAAAAGCAATTTGTCATGTTGTATATATGGTATAATTCCTATTTTTAAGTGAGTGTGTGTGTGTGTGTTGGCATATGCATGGAAAGCAAGCTAGAAGAATTAACACTAATAGTTGTGAAGCAGGCAAAAATAGATCAGCAGGTATCCTTTCTTATTTAAGAGACAGAGTCTTGCTCTGTCACCCAGGCTGGAGTGTACTACCGCAACCACGGCTCACTGCAGACTCAACCTCCTAAGCTCAAGTAATCCGCCCACCTCAGCCTCCTCAGTAGGTGGGACCACAGGTTGTGCACCACTATGACGGCTAATTTTTTATTTTTTAATTTCTTATAGAGACGGGGTCTTACTACGTTACCCAGGCTGGTCTCCAACTCCTGGGCTCAAGCGTTCCTCCTGCCTTGGCCTCCCAAAGTTCCTCCTGCCTTGGCTACAGGTGTGAGTCACTGCACCCAACCCGCAGCTATATTTTCAATGAAATATTGTAAGTTGTGTAGCATACCCTTCCAGATGCAACTCAGCCCTTTTTGTTTTTTTTCTATTTAACTGCAAAAGACAGCAGACAAATCAGCCCTCTTTCAGACACTCATTTCAGCTTCCCTGACAGCCTAGTGCCCAGGTATCTGTCTGCTCTTTAGACTGTTATTTGAAGTGTTCTGTTTTGTTTTGTTTTGTTTTTTAAAGTTCTTACTTTGCTCAGTGTAATGGGATTTGAAAAAAAGTCAAAAAAAAAATTTAAAACAGTCTCTTACTGACTCCCTCATTAATTAATGAGTTAAATTAAATCTTGGGAATTTTTCATTTTATATTTTTTCAATGTCCTCCAGCCAAAGACCACGAGAAACACACCTGTAATCTAACAAAGTTGGGCTTTACTGACTCATTGCAACACTGGAGAACACACCCCGGGGGCATCTTGGAAAGTGGCTTGGTGTGGTGGCCCATGCTTGGAATCCTAACACTTTGGGAGGGTGAGGCAGGAGGATCACTGGAGCCCAGGAGTTCAAGACCAGCATGGGTAACATAGCAAGACCCCACCTCTATTTAAAAACCCCAACACTTTGGAGGCCAAGGCGAGCAGATTGCTTGAGCCCAGGAGTTGGAGACCAGCCTGAGCAGCATGGCAAAACACCATCTTTACCAAAAACACAAAAATTAGCCAGATGTAGATGCCCACCTGTAATCCCAGCTACTAGGGAGGCTGAAGCGGGAGGATCGCTTGAGCCTGGGAGGCAGAGGTTGCAGTGAGCCAAGATTGCTCCACTGCACTCCAGCCTGGGTGACAGAGTAAGACCCTGTCTCAAAAAAGGAAACTTTAAAATTCTAAAAATTTTTTTTAAAAAAGTTTAATTTGGATCTGTGTCTGTGTTGTGGTTTGGGGGAAGGTTTAAAGAAGTGGGGCTTTGCTCTGGATTGGATATTGTCAGGAACCAGGGGCAATTCTATGGTTACAGACTGGTCTTATTCTTGTCTAAATCCATCATGGTCCCGGACGGAGTGGCTGTGTCTGATGTTTCTGCTCTGCAATTGTTTGTGGACTCTGTGAAATTGTTTGTGTTCCACAGGAGAACACCAAGGCCTAACTGAGAGTGCCAGGCTGTGCCCACCTGTCAGGGGCTGCTTCTCTCTTTTTCAATTTGTATGAGAGTCATGATTTGCCTTTCTAAAAAAAAAATAATAATAATCTTTTAACAACACAAACCTATGAGCCCTTATTTTATTGCGGGCAGTGGAGTCAGGAAATAGGGAGCTTTTCTTGGCCAGGTCACATACTTCTGTATTGTTAGAATTCTTTTTTATGTATTATTTATTTATTTATTTATTTATTTAGAGATGGAGTCTTGCTCTGTCGCCCAGGCTGTAGTGCAGTGGCGTGATCTCAGCTCACTGCAACCTCCTCCTGGGTTGAAGCGATTCTTCTGCCTCAGTCTCCCGAGTAGCTGGGACTACAGGTGCGCACCACCACGCCTGGCTAATTTGTGTAACTTTAGTAGAGACAGGGTTTCACCATATTGCCCGGGCTGGTCTAGAACTCCTGACCTCATGATCCACCCGCCTCGGCCTCCCAAAGTGCTGGGATTACAGGCGTGAGCCACCACGCCTGGCCTGAATTCTTTACAACAGGCAAATACACTTTTTAGAAGCCCCTAAAACAGTAAAGATTTTAAAAAACATTCTTTTAATAGTTACCTCTCTCCTTTTTATCGCATCCCTTAGTAAGGTGACTACATCGTGGCCCACGCAGTCTGTTGCCTTAAAACCCTTTGTCCACGTGATCAAGATTCCCTACAACATAAAAAGCACCAGGAGAGTCCTGTGTAATTAACCTGGAAGGGGAGAACACAAAATTCCAACCCTCCCTCCTGAGTCAACAACTGCTGAGGGCTTACAACATCGGAGACGGAGTTCAAACATCTGAGGACAAACCAATAAAATATGAATAGACCCTCCTCACCATCCTCATAGGGGTTTGAAATAATCCCACTTCACAGATGGAGCATGAGGCACATTAGGTAAATAGCAATGTCTAAGTTCACTCAGCAGACGGCAAAGACGGCACTCAATACTGGACAAGAGCCCAGATCACCCGATTCCAAGCCTGGTGCTGCCACTGGCATAACCAGCTGTACAGAAGAGTCTACTGACACTATAACTGAAGGATCCTAAGAGTTTAGTAATACTGTGTCTACCTAAAGTACATTTTAGCTTTCACTGGATTGAAGTTAAAACACTTCCTGGGGAAGAAAGTACACTGGGTGTGTGTTGACTATGATGAATCCAAGGTGAAGGTATAAGTGAAATGCTTTAAAAACAAACAAACAGATCTAACTCCTGAGCTCTAAAAGGGTTTCAGAAGAAAAAAGTCCCAAGTCAGCGATGTAACTGGATTAACTGGTTTACAGAGGTAGGTGACCCTACCTAACTCTCCTAGGGCTGCTCATTAAGCCTTAAACCCTGGCCTAAGACCCACCTCCAGAACTCCTGCCTGGTCACGTCTCCACCTGTGACACCCAGAGCTACCTACAGCTCTTCCAGCGTGACAGGCTGGGTCTTGCCTCCGTGACTCTGCACCATTGGTTCCTTCTGCCCAGAATCCACTCCCCAGCCCTGACAGCATGGAGCTGGAGCTGCTGGTGTTAGGGACTCGGCTCCCCCACTAGACTGTGGCCTTCCAAAGGACAGGAGCTGTAACCTTCAGCTCTGAGCCCAGCCAATCAGTAGTCAGCAGGTGCTCAAGCTCTGATCCTGGACCCTGATTCATCTCATATATTGAACAAACATTTATTATCTCCTCTGATTGGACACTGTGCTAGGGCGTGCAGGGATACAGGTCCTTGCTCACGGAGTCTACCACTAGCAGAAACAAAAGACACTAAGAACTAACTGTGTAAGAAGTGTTATAAGCAAGGCAACAATCAAATGAACAGGGGGCACAGAAGAGGATGAGGTTCTTTTTTTGCTTGGAGGACCAGAAGGTTTCCCAGAAAAGGTGACGCTTTCAAAGAGAAAAGAAGAGAGAAGAGTCTCAGTATGCCCTGCAGGCTGTGAAATAAAGCCTGGCTCAACCCACTGTGACTGTGACTGTCATCTAGGAATGACACTGAGGCTGGAGAAGGCCTCAAGGGCCAGCCCACCCAGGCCACAGGGGACTCAGTGCTGCCCGATCACTGAGCCCTAAGAACAGAGACTCACCGCGTCCAGACTCGTCTGCTGGCAGGGAAATGAGAACGTGAAGCCCAGAGGCATCCTGGGGCCTTTGATCCCCATGTAGTCCAAGAAGTCAGAGATGCAGGAGACAATGTGATCAAACAGCTGCAGGGGAAAAGAAAGGATCGCCCGTGCTCTCTGTGGTTTTAATTTTATCAGTGCACATGGACCAAAGTGTGTATACACACACACACGTAGGAAAACACACCCCACACACATGCAGAGTGAGCCTCCTTTTCCAGAATCTTCTCAGCCACCAGAGTGTCACAAGCCAGGCATGGCAAAAAGCATCTGGTGCTTCTGGGCCACAAGGACACAAATCCATGTGGGCACCCCGTGGCGGATTTTGGTCATCACGTGACTGCCGGTGCCACTGGCCGTGTGTGCAGTGCACATGCACTATGGTTTTGTAATCTCACCTCTTCCCCAGTGCCCTGCATGATTTCAATAGGAATGGCGTAGATCTTGTTGTGCATTTCCACCGTTCTCTTTTTCCCACTACGGATTTTCACCAGCAGCACACGGAAATTGGTTCCTCCAAGATCCAGGGCCAAGAAGTCACCATTCTCTGTTGCAGTCAAAAGCGTAAAGAATGTCAAAAACAGCTAAGTGCCTCTTGGCAGCCAGTAACCCCAAGACTCCAGACTTTCAAGGGGAGAACCCCATAGCAAACATAGAGGAGAAGCTGCAACTCCTCCCTTTAGGACACAGCACAGACTCAGAGGAAGAGTGGGCACCACATCTCTGACCACCACAGACTTGGAGCCACACTGGGAGGAGAGCATGTGAGTAAACCACCTGTCACAATACACAGACTTCACCAGGGCTGCAACAATGAAAATCTCCTACAAAAAATAATAATTTATGTCAAGGTGTGGGGTATTTGCAAAAACAGCTGCATCATTCCCTTCCCTGCATGTGCAAAATCCTTCTTTGCAACATGACTGCAGTTCCTCCCACTGAAACATGGAGTCAATTTCTCCTCCCCTGGGATCTAGCCCAGCCCTAGGATTGTTCAGGCCAACAGAGTGTGGCAGAGGCAAAGCTGAACCTATCCCCAGCCTGGGCTTCCAGGAGGCTTTGAAGTCTTCCCCTCTCCCTCGCAGCCCTTGCTGCCACCACTTGAACAGCCAGGTGGCCCACTGAAGGATGAGACACAGGGCCAGGGGCCCCTGCACCCCAGCTGACAGCCAACTGCTGGACATGTGGGGAAGGGCGTCTGAGATCTGCCTCCCAGCTGACTCAACAGCTGACTGCAGATGCAGGAATGAGGCCGGCAGAGGTCAGCCAATCCTGGCCCTGATGAGCAGAACTGTCCAACTGACCCACAGATGCATGAACAATAATAAAGCGTGGTTGTTTTAAGCCACTAAGTGTGAGGGTGGCTTATAATGTGGTATTAGGTAACTTACACATAGGACACATTCCTGTCACAAACATTCGTTACTCCAAGGACCCACCTGAAAAGCTCTTCAGATTCCCCATAATGATCAGCTCCAGTGAAAACTACCAAGGTTAGCATAAAGGGTTGGATTTTGTTCTACAATTTGCCTGAATGCGAAACTCCCCAGGCCCTGAATGCCTCATGCATACTCTATCAAGATTTAAGAAGGGTACACTGAGTGTTTATCCTTCTGCTGGCTTTCCTTGGCTTTGGGAAAACCTAATCAGTGCTGTGGGATTTGCCCAGCTTTTAAGAACACTTCTTTTTTATTCATTTAATTTTTTTTGAGACAGGGTCTTGCTATGTTGCCCAGACTGGTCTTGAACTCCTGGGCTCAAGCAGTCCTCCCACCTCAGCCTCTTAAGTAGCTGGATGACAGGCGTGTGTCACCTTGCCCAGCTAAGAGCACTGTTCTGAGCAGGGCTGTGGTTTTAGAGATAGCACTTGCCTGGGAGGTCTGACCAGGAAAATTAAACTGCCCTGAGTCACACACATGACAAATCAGTTAATAAAAATGGAAAACAGAGATGTGAGGGAGTTTCTAGCTCTGGCAAAATCGTGCATCACCAGTGTGAAGGCATCCACTGGCGAATCCAACCTCCCCCACTGCGGCTCAGTTCCTGGCAGGAGCAGGACAGGCATGTCAGCCCCCAGCAGGCCCTCACCGGTCCCGTCGGGAGTTCTCCGGACGAAGGAGGGCAGCATCTTAACCACGGCATTGTTGTGCGTCTGCTTCCTCAGCCCCAGCTCCATCTCGGCCCGCATCCTCTTCTTCACCTCCAGCAGCATGTCCTTGGTGAGGTGGAAATGAGCCAGGGTCTCCTCTATCTGCCGGTGCTGCTCGGCCAAGCGGTAGGCCACCGCCGTCACCATGGCAGCCCCCTTGCCGCTGCCACTCTCCGAGAGGAGGAAGCGCACATCGGAGTCTGGCACCAAGCGCCTTAGAGTCTTGTGGAAACGCCGGGAATACCTTATGGGGGCAGGGGGGACATTCCACAACAGCTGGACTGAGCATTTATTGGGGACCTCCGGCCACCCTTTCTTTCTCCACTCTTTAACTCTTTTTTCTTTTCCTTTTTTTTGAGACAGGGTCTTGCTCTGTCACCCAGGCTGGAGTGCAATGGCACAATCACAGCTCACTGCTGCCTCAACCTCCCAGGTTCAGGTGATCCTCCCACCTTAGCCTCCCGAGTAGCTGGGGCCACGCCCGGCTAACTTTTTTGTATTTTTAGTAGAGACAGGGTTTCGCCATGTTGCCCAGGCTGGTCTCAAACTTCTAGGTTCAAGCTATCCACCCGCCTCAGCTTCCCAAGTGCTGGGATTACAGGCATGGGCCACTGTGCCCAGCCTAATTCCATTTTCTGCACCTGCTTTTTTCATTACACAAATCATATACATCCACTGTAGAAAAGTTAGCAAATGCAGAGAGGTAAAAAGGAAAAATGAAATCGTTCATAATCACACATAAAAAGAGAAGACTCTCATTATTACATGAGTATCACATACAAAAAATTCCAGGTCTAAAAAGATTTTGCCCTCCACCATGACAGGAAGATAATACAGCACAGTGGTCAAAAGCACGGTGTTCAAAAGTCAGATGGGGCCAAGTGCGAGGTGGCTCATGCCTGTAATCCCAGTACTTTGGGAGGCCAAGGCAGGTGGATCACCTGAGGTCAGGAGTTCAAGACCAGTCTGGCCAACATGGTGAAACCCCGTCTCTACTAAAAATACAAAAATTAGCTGGGTATGGTGGCAGATGCCTGTAATTCCAGCTACTCGGGAGGCTGAGGCAGGAGAATTGCTGGAACCTGGGAGGCAGAGGTTGCAGTGAGCTGAGAGCACACCACTCCGCTCCACTCCAGCCTGGGCAACAGGGCAAGACCCTGCCTTCAAAAAAAAAAAAAAAAAAAGGTTAAGATGATATACTTCATGTTATGTGTATTTTACCACAATCTAAAAAAATTCTAATGTGATGCTGCAAATCCCTAGGCTTTCTTGTCCAAAAAATTAGCCAAGAAATTACAAAGAAAAAAGAAAGAAATGGCTAATAAAAGTTTCATTATCAAGATTTTTGCAAATACTTTAAAAATATTTTAAAAATACAATTACGTCCTTGGCTCAAACCCTATCCCCTCAGCAACACAAAACTATTTCTCTCTCTTTCTTTTTTTGAGACAGGAGCTCATTCTGTCCCCCAGGCTGGAGTGTAGAGGCACATCAGGTCACTGCAACCTCTGCACCCCCATGCTCAAGTGATCCTCCCACCTCAGCCTCCCAAGTAACTGGGATTATAGGCACACCACCACACCCAGCTGTGTATGATTTTTTGTAGAGCCACATTGCCCAGGCTGGTCTCGAACTCCTGGGCTCAAGCAATCCACCTGCCTCAGCCTCCCAAAGTGCTGGGATTACAAGTGTGAGCTGCCATGCCAGGCCAGAACTATTTCAATTGAAGTCGACATTCTTTGAGCCATCAACAGAACTGGGTGTGAAGGTGCAGTACTGACATGGGTGCTTCACATGCACATTGTATTTATATGTACAGTGGGAAACAACTCTGAGGTCCTGTGCAAAACAATCATGTCACAGGCTAGCATTAAAACTTATTAAATAATGACTTAGAATTTCCCTTTAGCCTTTTAAAAAAAGTATAAGCCACGTTCTCACAGGACAACATGGCTTCTAAAACTAAGGTGAGATGGCATGAGGACTGGCTGGGGCCACTGACAGACCAGAAGGCTGTGTGGGGAACAAAGCACCTCCTTGCCAATGGGGACAACTTACAGCTCCTGCAGCTCCAGCTCTCAGAGGCCAAGCACAGACAAGCTGCCCATTTAAAAAAGTAAAGTCTGAGGGTTTGGGGGGTTTTAACAGGAGCTTCTGAAACAAGAATGTGGGTACCACACCTATGACCCAAGGTCCTCCTGATGAAATGCGGACGAGAGACAGACACATTCCACCCAGAGGAGCCGACAGCTACAGAAATCTCCATCTCGACTTTTGACAGGGCGAGGTAACGACAGAGTGCAGAAGCAATACCAGCAAGAATCGACTAAGGGCGATACTTCCCAAGGGGGCGACGCTGACCTTATGCCCAGAACTAAGCATGTTATTTATCTATTTATTTATTTTCAATTTTTCGTAAAGATGAGGTCTTACTATGTTGCCCAGGCTGTTCTCAAACTCCTTCCTCCTGCCTCGGCCTCTCAAAGTGCTAAGATTACAGGCATGAGCCACAGCCCCCGACCACCATTGTCTTGTCTGCCGAAAAACGTTTACCGGGTACAAAAGTCTGATCTCTGGAGAAGGTCCCTACCCACAATGGGTACAGAGTGCCAATGATAGCAAAGGGCAGACTCACTGTGGGTGCGTCTTGTAAAGAGATCCGTCGACACCAACCGTGGTCCGCAGCCTGGGTGTGCCCTTGTTATCACGCAGGCGGTTCAAGATGGCGCCCAGTGTGGCAGCCACCAAGTTGGCTGAGCGAAATGAGACAATGGTGCAAACGTGCTGGACTGAGACACAGTCATCATCGGACGGCTCCACTCCCAGGCGGGTCAGGATTTCTTTGGCATTGTGGAGGCCTTCCTTATTCCTGTGAAGTTAGAAGCCAATACTGATGCACTGAGGACCACATGAGGCAGTGCAAAGCACTGAGGCTCAAAGGTGCTGGAAAGGGACAGCCCCACTTACCATGTGTGGGATGGTATGGGATGGTATGGGATGAAGACTGTCAAATGCCTGAGAAGAGCCCAGGAAGGGTTCTCCTCCATAAGAAATGCCAGGTAGTGATAGGAAAAACTGTACCAGGTTGCACTATGCCAAGCCAGGACCATGAAGAGAAGTGGAGAGGCAAGACTATGTGGCCTCTGAACAGGTGGCGAAATGGCTGCCACCACCCAGGGCTCATGAGGCTCAGGAGAACCTCCCACTCGTGGGGTCTGTGAGTTGCCCCTGGATGCTTATACATCCTTCCTTGATGTCTCTCAGTGAAATTGTAATTTTCTGTACACGTGTTTTGTGTATCTTTTGTTGGATTCATTCTGAAGTACTTTATAGTTTTGTTATTGCTGCAAATGGTGCCTTTAAAATATATATGTATACATACAGGCATACATATACACTCACACATACACACAAACACATATACATACACTCTATCTTTGCAGCTTTCCTGTAAATCTAAAATTATTCTTAAAAATGTGTTTTAAAATATGTACATATTTTTATTATTGCTGATAGAAATACAGTTGACTTCTGTATCTTATCTCCAGACATCTTTTTTTGACAGATTTTTTTTAATATTTAAAAACAAAACCAACCTCGCCCCAAATAACCCCCAAACAAAAAACCAGATTAAATAAAATGTACAGTGAATATACCCAGCAAACATCTGTATGTGCAATCAAATACTGTGTCTGTTACTGCGGCACGAACCTCAAACAAACAATATACAAGTGTTCTGGGAGGGTCGGGGGAGTCCCAAGTTTTAACTCTGTGGGGTCTAGGAAGACAAGATGGGGAAGTGAGAGAATGGGGAAATCAATTTTGTTTATCTTAATTCTGTCCATATAAATATATTCATAAAGACCAAAAAAGGAAAGGAAGCTTGGGATGTTAAGGTAATACGAGAATAGGAGAGTGTGGGACTTTCCCAATTCTACCTGACCAAAAAATATGAGAGAAATTAATTTTATGATGGGAGAAGAGATTTTAAAAATGATAGAAGAGGATGGGGGCTGGGCACAGTGGCTCACACCTGTAATCCCAGCACTTTGGGAGGCCAAAGTGGGAGGGTCACCTGAGGTCAGGAGTTTGAGACCAGCCTGGCCAACAAGGTGAAACCCCATCCAGACATCTTTTTAACCTCTCCCGTCATTCTATTCATTTGTCTGTAGATATTTTGGGGGTATTCCATATAGACTTTTACCATTTGCAAATAATGACAGTTTCACTTCTTTTTTGATTCTCATACCTTTAATTTATCTCTCGTCTTTTCTTTAAAAACAAAAACAAAAACGAAAACCCACTGGCTAAGACTCCAGTACGATGCCAAATAGAAACTGGTGATACTGTCTCGCTCCTGATTTTAGAGAATGCCTCTAACATCTGCTCTTGTAGGATGTTTTTATAGTTTTTTTTTTTTTGAGATAGCCTTTATTATAATATACATGCTTTCTTGAGCTAGCTGGGTTTGTGTTTCTTGGTAACCAAAGAGTCAATACCAGAAACAGGCCAAGAGGAAGGCATGCATTTCCTGACTTGGCCAGTGATTTTCAAGACAATCCACGAGTCTCCCGCTCCCCTTCCTTCCCAGCCACTGACCAGGAGACTCATGAAAAGGGACAGCTGGAAACTCAGGAGAGTGATCATACAACAAACTCCAGCACATGGATTTGGCAGAAGAGTTGGTCCAGATAAACCCCTTTCCTCTTCCAGCAGCTGCCTTCTCTAACCTCAAAGAGAGCTGATGCAAATCTTCACAAGGAGACAGAGAATCCCGGGTTTCTTGTGTGATGCCAAGGGGCTACAGTTAGTTGCTGGCTGGCTCTGTCCTTCCTTCTAACTGTCCTGTCTCATCTGTTAACCGGTGTTTCTCAAACTTGCACGTCAGGGCACATTTCTGGCTGTTAACAGGTTTCCTCTGAAAGAATGTGTGTGTGGCAGGGAAGGGGTGGTTTCAAGCACAAAAGAAGTTTGGGAAATGACAAGTCAAAGCAAACTGGGTTTTCTTTAATGTGTTGATGATACTATAAATCTGTATTTTTATACTTTATACTTCTTATTCTTTTTTACTGTGAGTCTGTATTTATTTTACCATAATATTGTAAACTGGAAGATAAATGTGCCATATTCCCAATCCTATTGGTCAAGGAAGTCTTTTTTCAGGGAGCACCTAATTAACATCTTGAGGTTACTAGGGTGCCCTTAGTGCCCTCAGCACAGTCTGGAGGTCTCCAGACTGGAAGTGGGAGGTGGAATTCCAAAAACCCAGGCTCCGGGCTTTACCAGCTCCTTGCTCCTTGCTCGAATAGTCTGCTTCCTGGACGCTAATCTTACCCTGAGTGTGTGTGGAGGGTGGGGGTGATGGGCTGATGGGGGTGGGAGAGGAGGCTGCTCTTGTAGCTAGACAGGAAAATCACCTGTGCACTTGAGGCTAACTATGTCATTCTTTAATGAACCGCCACAAGTGCCTTCAGGGAGTCCGGCCCAGAATGGGTCAACTAAGAGTGAGAGGACACGGACCCAGAAAGCCATGACACTCTTGAAGGAAAAGCCACCAAACTTGGACTCAAGAAGTAACAAGGGACCAATTGCTCTTCTCTGCCCCAACACCCCAAGAAAGCCTTGAGGGGATGGTACCTACTTTTCGATGGCTGACACATCACTGGTGTTAAACTTCCCTCGGGTGAGCAGCTCCGGGGTGATCCGCCCTTCAAATAAGAGGCCCTCCTTGGCCATCTTGACTAGGATCAGTCGAACCAGCTCTCCCAAGTACATGCCACTGACCATCTTCTCAAACCTGTGGAGAAAGGCACACCGGCACTTGTCAGCCTTCCTCTGCGCCCCACACACGAGGGCTGGGACAGACATAAAAGGAATGGGAAGCCCCGACTCACCCCTCACCAGCCCCCAGCCTCGCTGGCAGGCAAAACCATGTGCTTGAGTGACTGAACAGCAGAGGGAGAGGGATCGGAAGCCAAGCCGACTGTGGAGAGGGCAGGAGTCATCCAGACCCCATGCCTGTGACTAGGAGAACACCATGGGCAGGAGCAGGCAGGGAAGGCTGCCTGAAGGCAGGGGGAGCGTTTGGATTTAGATTGCAGATGTCAAGAAGGCCCCAGATAGAAATGTGCAAAATATGATAATCTCCTCCTAAACTGTATGCTATACTTTTTATTTTTTATCTTTATGTATGTACGTATGTATGTATTTACTTATTTATTTATTTTTTGAGACAGGGTCTCACTGTCGCCCAGGCTAGAGCGCAGTGACACAATCTCGACTCTCTGCAGCCTCAACCTCCTGGGCTCAAGCCATCCTCCCACCTCAGCCTCCTGAGTAGCTAGACCACCACGCCCAGCTAATTCTTAAAAATTTTTGTAGAGGGGGAGTCTCCTTATGCTGCCTAGGCTGGTTTCGAACTCATGGGCCCAAGCGACCCTCCCAGATGCAAGCTACAGCACCTGGCTTGTATGCTATACTTTTCAAAGAACTTTCACCTCCACTCCTATGGGAGACCCCAAGCCCTGTGGATAGGAGGTGGCCAGGAAGTATTCTCCCCATTTCCCAGCTCAGAAAGGGTAAACAGCTTCTCCGAGGGAAAGGCAGCCACTCCCCCTGGGGCCGCTGTCAGGACATTTGTTAGGCACCTCCCTGGCATGATTTTCTCCTTCTCCGGCCAAAAGGATCAAGAATTTGCTTTGAGGAACTCACTCCTCCCCCACTGATGTTACCCTAAACTCCAGGGCTGGGCTCTGCATACTGACAGCCAATCAGCTCACCGCACAGCTCCAGCCCCGGTCAAGCACCGACCAATGACAGAATGAGCCCAATGCTGCAGGGGAGAGGCAGCCAGGTGTAGAGATAGAAGCCAACACGCATTGCTGAAGGCCCAGCCGGGAGCTGGCAAGAACCAGGGCTCGATGCCATATGTGAGCCAGATTCAGCCCCCACATCCTGGCTGACGAGGGGCCAGGAGGAACCCCTGAGCAGGGCAGATTGAAGAGGTGGGCGCACATCAGAGCAGCCCGCCGCTCCTCTGCGGGAGCCCAGCTGGCACACCCACAGCTGGCTGTGACACAGCAAAACAATCTGTTCCAACCAGAGCCGCCCAGAAGCCAAGGATGCTGCCGAGACCTGAGCACCCGGCCCTCAACCATCAGCACAGGGCACAGAGCCTCCTTAAAAACACAGTCCTCATTGTTCCTGCTCCTGACAGAACCAGACGTGACCGCCTGGCTGCAGCCAGGCAGAGGATCCCTGGCAGGACAGTGCCCTTCTAAGTCTGGTGCCACCCCAGGCTCCTGTGGGAACAGCCTCTGTGTAGCCCTGAACAGGAATCTCAGCACTGGTGGAGGCCTGGCAGAGCCACTACTGAGCTACTCACCCTGGCCTCCCTACCTGTGCAATGAGATACTGACTGCTTTCCTGTAAGGTTATATGGAGGATATGGGTTAATATAGGTCAGATAGTGCTACAATATCTGGCTAACAATGAGTGCCTGTGGCCCTTCCTATGTGTCTGACACTTTTCCCAGCACTTTACCTGTATTAACTTTTTTCATCCTCATTACAACCCTAGGAGGGAGACATTAGCATTATCCCCATTTCACGGATGAGGAAACAGAGGCACAGAAAGGTTATATAACTTGCCCATGGACAGGGCTAACAAGTGGCAATCCACATTTTGAATCCAGTTAGATCTAACACCAGAAGTTGTACTCCTAACCACTGTGCATTCCTGCCTGTCTCATGGACCGTGTCACTCAATGTTAGCTGTCACTATCATGCTAGCAGCCACCTAGGACCACCCTACCCCAGCTTCTCTGCCTGTTCTCCTCCCTAGGCAGCCTTCCCTGTTGGGCAGTGTGACAAGAGAAAGGGCATTCCCCATAGGATGCGCTAACATCAGCCTCCTGGCACCCTCTGCCCGCTGCTTTTCACTCTGCCTTCTAAAGACGCCCAGAACAATCTGCTCCCTTTTCTACATGGCCTATTACACACATGGATAGTGATACCCCCTTTTCCAGATAGAGGCCCACGGCCAGGGTCTGTCCTTTCCCAGTCCCTAAAGGCCCTGTTAGAGCAGCAGAACAAGCAAATAGCACCTCTCACGAGCTTCTCTCTGTTCAAACCAAGGCTCATGGAGACCGGCTCCTGTTCCAACAGCGTGCTTCCCATCTGCTCAAGTGAAATTAATGAAATCGAGCAAGTCATGATCTGCCTCTCAGGGCATGCCACCTGTGATAACTGAACGGGTAACGCCCGGGCCCTTTTCCTTGTGATAACTGAACAGGTAATGCCCAGGTGTCTCGGCAGTCAGACACCTACGACCACAGACAGGCAGTGAGAGGCGGCGTGGCAGCGTTCCAACCAATCTGCCTGCTGGTGGGCCCAGGAAGGGCTGAGATGGGGGAGGGGAGCATCATCAACCACGAGAAGTCATGGGCAAGGACCTGCACACCAAAGAGGAGCCCTCAGCACCCTGGGTCTGCTTCAGGTAGAAGCCCAAGGAAAGAAAAGAGACAGAGGCCCATGGCCAAGCAAACCAGGACCGGAGCTGCCGAGAGATTCCATGGAGCAGCAGAACCACAGAAAGAAAAGGCATCTGGGTGCTGACTTGAAGGCGCACAGTTACTCAACCACCATCCAGGCCAAAGAGCTCTCCTGAACACCAACCACCAGCGTTTGCTGTTGCAGTCACTGCTGTTGCTGTGTTGTTGTGTGGGGTGGGGGCTCTGCATTTTGAAGGATGTGATAAGGAATCACAGGGAAAAAGGATTCAAGATCCCAGAGATTCCAGGCAGAACACAGAGCAAGAGCAGAAGAGCAAGAAGCCCAAGCAGGCCGGGTGCAGTAGCTCACACCTGTAATGCCAGCACTCTGGGAGGTTGAGGCAGGAGGATCACCTGAGCCCAGGAGTTCGAGACCAGCTGGGCAACATAGGGAGACCCAGTCTCTATAAAAAAATTTTAAAATTAGCCAGGCATGGTACTGCTGCCTGTGGTCCCAGCTACTCAGGAGGCTGAGGCAGGAGGATCACCTAAGCCTGGGAGTTTAAGGCTGCAGTGAGCTGAGATCACATCACTGCACTCCAGCCTGGGCAACAGAGTGATACCCTGTCTCAAAGAAAAAAAAAAAAAAACCTCAAGGAAACAAAAGGGAAGGAGAATTAAAAATGATATAAAAGGTGGGGCTAACTCCACAGTATAAGACAAGCATGTGGCAAGAATATCAAAGGCCTGGAATATAAGGGCGAGACAAGGAAACCAAAAGACTGATCCCTTTTAGAAACAGACCTTCTGGCTCTGGGGCAAGGTGGGGCCTGAACACTCAAAGCAGGTTCCTCTGCTGCCTCCCAAATGCAGTAACTACCAATGAAGGCAGGAGCCACATAGCTATTATGACAATGTCCTCCCTGTCCACTGTATACAGTAGGTACTCAGTTAAATGCTAACTCCAATCAAAGCAAATGGAATGAGTAGCTGTTGGTAGTCTAGAGCCCACTTGGGCACTGAGAGCCTTTGCACAAATCTAACACACTGAGATTTTAAAACCTGGTTAATGGCTGGGCACGGGGGCTCACGTCTGTAATCCCAGAACTTTGAGAGGCCAAGGTGGCTGGATCACCTGAGGTCAGGAGTTCGAGACCAGCCTGGCTAACATGGTGAAACCCCATCTCTACTAAAAATACAAAATTAGCTGGGCGTGGCAGCAGACGCCTGTAATCCCAGCTACTTGGTAGGCTGAGGCAGGAGAATCACGTAGAACCTGGGAGGCAAAGGTTGCAGTAAGCTGAGATTGCGCCATTGCACTCCAGCCTGGGTGACAGAGCAAGACTGTCTCAAAAAACAAAACAACAACAACAAAAAAAAAACCCTGGTTAAAAATTGGAATCGCCCAGGGAGCTTTTACAATACAGAGGACTGGGCAACCCAGGCCAACTGAATCATTAGTGAGAGGATGCCTGGACATCAGTATTTTTTTTAAAAGACCGCTATGTAACTCTAACATGTACTCAGAGATGAAAAATCACTTCCCTAGATCCTCCCTGATTACCAATGAGAAAAGATTCTGGAAGCTCACTCTGAAAACCTCAAACCTTCAAACAGGGCAAAAATCCCCAAACCTACACCAGACCACACCTCAACAATGAGTCTTGGGTCACCTCTGTCCTATTCTAGGGCCATAATTTTCCCATCAGTCAAATGGAGCAAACGTCTTTCCCTGCCACAAAGAGGGTAAAATGGCTTTCAAGAACTAGGCATTCCATGGAAAAACGACATAGGGAAGATCCAAAGATTCAGATAGAAGCCTGGGGGCACAGCAAAAATTTGCTTAGGCAAAAAAACTCTTTAGCCTACAGCCTATTTCCAGGAATATGTGATGCAACTTGGGAATTTGTCATTTCCTTGGAATTGTTCTCAATGAGACCTGGCCTACAGTATGCAGTAAACTAGTGATATGGTTTGGCTGTGTCCCCACCCAAATCTCTTCTTGAATTCCCATGTTGTAGTGGGAGGGACCCAGTGGGAGATAACTGAACGTGGAAGCAAGTCTTTCCCACGCAATTCTCGTGATATTGAATAAGTCTCACAAGACCTGATGGTTTTATAAAGAGGAGTTCCCCTGCACAATTTCTCTTTGCCTGCTGCCATCCATGTAAGACATGACTTGTGCCATGATTATGAGGCTTCCCCAGCTACATGGAACTGTAAGTTTATTAAACCTCTTTCTTTTGTAAATTGCCCAGTTACGGGTATGTCTTTATAGGCAGTGTGAAAACAGACTAATACAACTGAGAAACATATTCAAGAAAAGAGATTTTGCCCCAACCTTTCACTTTCTCATCTGTACCCCCATTTAGCCACCCACTCATCTCTCATCCATCATCAGCCACCCATCCATCCATCCATCCCAAAAATATTTATTGCAAGCCAACTGTAAACACAGTTTATAGTTTAGCCTTGGGATACAGTTCATCTCTTTGGAAAATTTCAGGCAAACATCAATGGACAGCAGAGAGATCCAAGTTTACACCCAAGCCATGCAGGGTTCCCAAACTGGGAACCAAGGATAAGGGCCTGGGCATTACCTGTCGAGTTACCACAAGTGGCATGCCCCACCTGCACTTCTAAGAAAAGAGACTTCTCATTAAGTGACTGATAGTAACTACAGGTACATAACCTCTTATCTGAAACCCTTTGGGGTCACATGTGCTTGGGAATGTGGAGATTTGAGAATTTTAGAGATGCAACAGGGTATACATGCCATGTGTCACAGAATACCTCCAGAGGTGCCTGAGGCAGCACTGCCATCAAGCACATTCAGGGCTATTCAGTGAAACATACAAATAGGCACAGTAATAAGTTCATGTCATGCCAGTGGGGTCAATGGATTGGGCGGGGTGGGGGGGGGTATGGTAAAAAACCTTTGACTGTCAGAGCTTTGGAACTGGGGTCCCTTGTCACCAAGCTGGTACCACAGTCTCAGCCTGCAATGGTGATGCTCAACTCTGGGTGTAAGAACTTGGGAATTCCCTCACTGAGAAACCTAGTTTATTCACTGCTGCCACCTCCACTGGTGGGGAGCTCGCCATTGATGAAAATCCATTAATTCAGGTGGAAAGGCCAACTGTCCACCCTGCAGTACTGAGATCTTTTGGGTCATGCATTTCAATATGGCTAGTAAATTCCTGTCCCTCTAGCATCAGGATAAGGGTTATTAGGTCTACAGAGTCAGTGAACATCTCTCTGTAGGTTGACAGTATCCAACTCTGGGATAAGGCTGCTGGGAGGCTGGGTAGATCAGAGAGAGCTAGCAGCATGCCAGCATCACAGAGAAATGTGAGCAGGCACTTCAGGAAATAAGTGGCTCAGAGAAAGCAATACCCACTCTAACCTGAATAATATCACTCTTACTTCTGTTCTTTATCAACTCTGGTGTGTCTATTTATGCTTGACATTGGAGATACGGAGATTGCCATAGTAAGAATGGAGGTTGCTTCTCCATTCTCCCTAACGTCTACATGACTTATACTCTTCTTACCCCAACTCCTCTGCACAACAGATATTTGCATGTCTGCCCTACCTCCCCATCTAGATTGTAAGTCTTGGGAGGGAAGGTGCTGTTTTGGATCCTCAGAGCCTAGCACAGAGCTCAGCACATAGTAAGTGCTCAATAAATATGTGATGAATGAATGGACACTCATCTCCCTTAGATGCCCCACATACCATGTTGGCCTCTCTTACCATGAACAGCAACACTCGTGACTACAGCATAGAGATATTTTTTAAACCTTACATTTACACTAACTTTCCTGTGCTTTGTTGGGGAAGCATTTTTGAACCATTCATATTTATTAATTTTCATGCAGCAGGGGATAATTTGAGGATTTTTTTTTTTCAGGGGCTACTGAGCTCCTGGGCTCCCATTCACCTCTTGATCTCCTCCCCTGACCACCAGTACCTGCTCAACTCTGGCCGCATTCCCCATCAGATGGGTTCATTGTGAGCCCCACACCAAGATGCATCAATGCCTCTGTGCTTTTTGTTTTCATGATGTTTTACAAGGACACAATCATAGTGTAATTAAACAAAGAGAAGATTATTTTAAAGGTGCTTTTCAGCTACAGACTCTACAGCTGTGCATCTCACCAAACAAGGAGCAACAAATAATGCAAATTTGATGGGCTTTAGGCCGCGCTAGGTGGCTCATGCCTGTAACCCCAGCATTTTGGGAGGCTGAGGCAGGCAGATCGCTTGAAGTCAGGAGTTTGAGACCAGCCTGGCCAACATGGTGAAACTCTGTCTCTACTAAAAATACAAAAATTAGCTGGGCATGGTGATGCATGCCTGTAATCCCAGCTACTTGGAGGCTAAGGCAGGAGAATCGCTTGAACCCAGGAGGTGGAGGTTGCAATGAGCTGAGATTGAGCCACTGCACTCCAGCCTGGGTGACAGAGCAAGACTCCGCCTCAAAAAAAAAATGTGACAGGCTTTTCTGTTTGTGATCACTTGGCTTTATGCCCTTTTCATCTCCCATCCCAAATCTTTCATCAAATGTCCCCTAACTCACATATGTGGTTAGAAGCAAAAGTCAAGGACTCACAGCTGTTTTCCAGGGTTGAGGGATCCCCGGTCTATCTCCCTGTCAAACTCTGTCCGGATGTCTTCTAATGATCCATCGTCTCCAAAGGCTCCCCATTCTGTATTGATACACATCCTCCCCTCGTCTCCTTCCACCAGATCAATGTGCCTCAGTTCCTCCATGTAGCAAGCATTGGTGCCAGTGCCTGGGCAGGACAAGATCAGAAGCTATGACCACACAACGGGGAGGGTGCAGAGCCACCTGGAAAGATGGGCCGAACAAATGGATGGGCAAAGGGGAATGCATTACCGATGATCAGGCCGACTTCACAGTGCTGGTCGTCATAGCCACAGGTCATCATGGTGCCCACTGTGTCATTCACCACAGCTACGATGTTGGCATCATAGTCCTGGGGACAGATAACGGGGTGTCATTGTCCACTCACACATGGGAGCAGAGATCACACACCTTAACAGCGCTTGGCAGAAGTGCTCCCGTTTTCAGAACCCCTGCTTTTGTGAGTGGTACTGGTTTCATTACAGCTGGTACTCAAATTAACTAGATCAGAGCATGGTGATTAAATGATGAAAACCTCACAGTTTCCTTAATTACCTGGCTTAAGAGTCTTTGGGTAGTGGGGATTTTACTCATGGAGCTACATTCCTCTGCAAACCTCCACAGGAGGTCCACGTCCCCGATAAGGCGGGCTCCTCTGCCCTTGTTCTAAGCACAGCAGGCTGCATCCGTGACACCCACTCCCTGAATAGCCCAGCACTCCTGTCAGGAGGTGACCCCCTGCTCCAGGCCTGGGTGCTCCAGGCAGCACCTCCGAGAGCTGGGCTTTGCACCATCCCCATCCTCATCATTCCACACTGTGAGCCCTCAACTCTCCCCTGCCTGGGTCTTCAGGCTTTGGCACTACTGCCCCCCAGGAAGGGCACTGGTCTGTTTTAGAATGCAGCCCTGCTCCCCACACCCCTGCATGGCTGAGGCAGAGGGCCCAGGAGAAATTACCCCTCGCTTTTTGATGGCTTTGTTAAGCAGTTTGACCACATCTGCTCCTTCCACTCCGCTCGCTTTAAATCGCTTTGTCCAGGTGATCAGGATGGCCTGCAAAGAAGAATGGATGGGGCTGGATGAGGGCTGGGAGGCCTCCAGCACCCCAAGGCCCTGGGCATTGCTCCAGGACAGGGATGAAGCAGAAGCCCATAGGGGCCAAGTGGCTCCTCCCAGATCACACTGGGCTTGGGGAGGGGCCCAGACTCATTTCCATCTCCCGATCATCCACACAATGGGCTTCTCTGGGGGCAAAGATAGGGTGGGGAGAAACCTGCTCACAATATCCAGTTCACTCCAGAAGAAAGCAAGTGGATGTGGGGACAGTAATGCCACATGGCTTGCCAATCTAACTGGATGCCAACTGCGCAGCCAGACCTATTTTAAAAGGGAGCAAGAGAAATCCCTGGCCCCCTTCCCCACTTCCCAACCAGACCCCGGCTTCCACAGCCCTGGGAAAAGAAAGCCAGAGCCAAATTGGAAAAAGAAACAAAATGCTAAGATAATTCTTGGCTGCTGAGCTTTTAAGAGCCAGGTCCCAGACATTTAGGGAATGATGTGGACTATACATGATTTGTGCCTCTTCACCAGCTTTGGGACTTAACCGCCATTTGTAAGTGGTGACTCCCCTATTTACACAGTATGATCCTATTTCACTTTGCATATTAGCAGAGAAACATCAAGGATAGACATCCAATGGTAAACATTCTATAATTTTATCTTACTTTGATAGTTTTACATATTGCTTTTGCTTTCTTAAAAAAAAACTAAAAAGATATGAGAACAGAAAAATAATTGTTATACTTGGCTGTTTTACTCTGAATGGGGCAAGTCACTATAAATGCAGCAGGGTTGGAAGATTCACGGTCCAGGCCCCGCAGGCCTGCAGAGGTAGCTCAGGGATAGCATTCTGAGCACATGGGCCCCGCCCCAGCTCACGGTGGGAGCCACACAGACTGGAGTATGCACCAGGGAGGGCAGCCCTTGATGAGAACTGGTGGTTCTTTGCTCAGCAGCAACTAAGCTAAGTCAGGAACTGCAAAAGCCCTGGACACTATCTGCCTCCTCTCAAGCAGCCCTCTTCCTCCTCCAAAGCCTCAGAGAACCAGGTGTTGTGGGACAAAGGTGGGGCTGGCAATCTGGAGACCTGGTCCCACTTCATACTGTCTGCCCATTTCCTGCTGGGCAGTTCCCTTCACTCCTCTGAGGTTCACTGTGCTCCTCTAGAAACAGGGAGCTGATCTAGAAGTGGACAATCTTGAAGTTCTCAGCCAGCCCTAAGGGGTAACATGCACAGGCCTCTGGATGGGAAATTGAGGGTCTGTGCTCCACTGGCGCCACAGCAAGTACCCTGGCCCAGCCTAGGAAGCATTCTCCAGAGGGGGTGAAGGCTGGCAGGTGGACACCCCCCACCTCTGGCTCCTTCTCTGTTCACAATGCCCCCTCTTGGGCATGTCTGCTCCACCCTGCAGGCTCTCGTGCCCAGGAAGTCATTCCCTCCCACCTCCTGCAACACTTCTGTCCATAGAAGGCTGCACCTTCATGGGGAACAGGCTACATCTGCTGTTACGGGACCTACTGTACGGTAACATTAAACCTCAGCACTGCAGGAATACAAAATAAATACACTCTGGCCATTCTCTCCCAGGGCCTAGCCCATGCCTGGCACAGGGATGGCACTCAGTCAATAGCTGCAGAGAGCACATGTAAACAACGGTGAAACGCAGTCCACCAAAGTCTCTTCATTCCAGGCCCACCTCTCACAAGGGAAGGGGAAGGGGGAGTGACTGTCATGTCTCAGTTCTCAAAAGCCAAGGGAAACTTGTACTGAAAACAGGCCTTGCCAAAGGGTTTGGAAGGACACAGTGGAGGCCAAACTGATCTGAACACCTTGGAGGGGCGTTCTCAGATACCAGAACCAGATTAAGAGTCTACATATGGCCACAGCTTCCTGAAAGCATAACAGGTCAGACAGAACATCTCGGAGGCATTTAGACATGTTGGAGGTGGGTGGAGCACTGGATGGGAGGTGGGGCCTGGGACCCTGGTCCAAGGCCTGCCATTAATAAGCCCTGTGACCCTGGGGAGACCTCTGCGCTCATCTTGGCCTGCTGTGCTCTCAAGCCCCTTCTTGCTGATTCCACAGATTTTACAGATGTAAGGGTTCCAGCCACAGGAAGCAGTGCCCAGGAAAGGACGCTTACCCTAATGGCATAAAGGGACCCAGGGGTGCTCCCTGCAAGTGTGGAAGGTGCCCTGAGCCCAAATGCTACTAACTTGCAGCAGAGTAGACCAGTTACGAGCATGGAATCTTCCTGGCTAGGTGACCTTGGACAGGTTCTTAGCCCCTCTGAGACTCAGTTTCCTCATCTGTAAAGTGGGAATCATAAGCACTTAACTCATAGAGATGCTTGAAGATTATGTGCAATACCTGTGAAGTATGTATTAAAACAGAGCCTGGCCAGGTGCAGTGGCTCACGTCTGTAATCCCAGCACTTTGAGGGGCCGAGGCAGGCGGATCACCTAAGGTCAGGAGTTTGAGACCAGCCTGGCCAAGATGGTGAAACCCCATATCTGCCAAAAATACAAAAATTAGCCGGACATGGTGGTGGGCACCTGTAATCCCAGCACTAGGGGGGCTAAGGCAGGAGAATTGCTTGAACCTGGGAGGTGGAGGTTGCAGTGAGCCGAGATCGTGCCATTGCACTCCAGCCTGGGCGACAGAGGGAGACTCTGTCTCAAAAAACAAACAAAAAAAGACAAGGTCTCACTCTGTCCCCCAGGTTGGGGTGCAGTGGCACAATCATGGCTCACAGCAGCCTCGATCTCCCAAGCTTCTCCCACATCACTGGGACTACAGGCACATGTTAACGCACACAGCTAACTTTTTGTACAGATTGCCCAGGCTGGTCTTGAACTCCTGGACTTAAGTGATCCTTCTGCTTCGGCCTCCCAAAGTGCTGGGATTACAGGCATGAACCACTGCACCCAACCCCAGAATTCATATTATTAGAAGTTTATTCATGGGTGGTTTGTGTTTGTGGTGTGTGTGGTTTCTGTCTTTCCATGTAAAAAAAGAACAAGGCTGTATGTATTTATTTTGTATTCCTGCAGTGCTGAAGTTCAGTGTTATCATCACAGTCCATCCTTGCTGAATGAATGAACGAATGAAAAAACAAATAGATGACAAACAGGAAGGTGGGTACAACAAGTCACCTCGGAGGTCGCCAAGGGCATCCCTGGGGCTGGAGCCACTGATCAGCTCCACTATGGAGAGGCAGCCCTGGCACCTGAGGGACAGGGCCCTGAGCATATTCGCAGTAACCAGGGCAGTTTCCAGGTAAACATCACACCATGCAATTCTGGCAAAGAGCTTTCCCACCTCTCTCCACCACCATTAAAACTACTTTATTTTCCTTTGCTTGCCTAAGATTAATAAATGCTTCTGTCTACCTGGTGGCCAAAAATACCCTGATTTGTCTCCAAAAATACATAAATAACTGAAGTTTAAGTGAAAAAGTAAACACTATATCATGATACCACACTAACTTCTGCAAATGTTTCTTTAAAAATACCAGACATGCAAACCATTCTGCCAACAAAGGGGAAAAGTTGTGGAGAAAAGGGCTTGTTAGCTTTTCCATCCCGGGGCATCTGCAGAGCCCGATAATCCCAGAACATCCTTACCTCATCTATTTTGGATTGTTGGCAAGGAAAAGAAAACGTGAATCCCACAGGTAACTTCTTGTCCTTGATCTTCCTTTTCTCCATGAAATCTCCCAGGCACTCAGCAACATGATCAAAAAGCTGAAGGAAACATGAGAGCAGTCAGGGGGCCCCAAAGCAGGCTTAGCATTTCATAGAAAAATATAAACCATTCCCTCCCACACACACAGAAAGGAATACATCTACCCAAACAAAGTGCTCGTACTCCTGGGACCTGGTGGCCCTGTCTGAAAAGCCATGCTGTGTGTGAATGCAGAGAAGAGTCACTTTTCAAAAGCTACCCTGTGGGCAAGTACAGCTCTTAAGAAGCAATTCAAAGCCTTCAACAGAACTGGCCTCTCAGTGGTCACTAATATGCAACATCTGGGTACTGAGAAAAATGGAAAAATAATAGAAAACCAGCTATGCCTTCATAACACACAGGTCACGGATCTCCACCAGCCACCAGGTGGAGTGGCCTTCCCGCCCCGCCCGACGCCACGCTCTCTGAAAATTTCAGAAACTCTGAGGGCAATTCCACAGCCTCTAGCCCACTGGAGTGACTTAACAATTCAGACTGTCATAATGTTACTTTTTACTGAAGTGTCTTATGCATACCCCAAAAAGTACACACATCCTAAGTGCAGAGTTCACTGGATTCTCACAAGCTGCAGCTATCCATGTAACCAGCACCCAGATGGAGAAACACGAGATGGAGAAACACCTGTAATATGCCCCCTTCTGCCCCTGCAGTCACTACCGCTACCACCCAGCCCAAGGGCAACTGCCAGCCACCCCGACGTCTATCACCCTCAGTTACATCTGCCTGTTTGTTTGGTGTGTCTAAAGGGAAATGAGACCGTGTGTGCTCTTTGGTGTCTGTGTTCTTTCACTCGACACCATGTGGATGACAGTCATCCACGGAGTTGTCTTTGACAACTGTTCATTCTCATTGCCGCACAGTATTCCTTGGTATGAATATACCACAATTTATCTACCGCACTGTAGCTTAAGCTTGCCTGTGCTATAACATGTTATCTATGACTTATCAGGTACATACATATCTTAGGAATCTGCTAGAAAGAGCCTGGAACACTGGGTCCCTAGCTTCTACATGAATACTGCCCATGAGGAGAGGCTCAACACCTCTAAGGTAATCTTTTTGGATCTCTCTAATAATTCCCTTCATCTCTAAAATATAACCAGGGCCAGGCATGGTGGCTCACGTCTGTAATCCCAATACTTTGGGAGGCCAAGGCAGGAGGATCACTTGAGCCCAGGAGTTTGACACCAGCCTGGGCAACAAAGTGAGACCTCCTCTCTACAAAAAGCTTAAAAATTAGCCAGGCATGCTGGCACATGCCTGTAGTCCTAGCTACTTGGGAGGCTGAGATGAGATGATCCCCTGAGCCCAGGAGGTCGAGGCTACAGTGAGCCATGATCATACCACTGCACTCCAGCCTGGGCAGCAGAGTGAGACCCTGTCTCAAAATATAATCAGAACAGAAGATAATATTCTATGTGTGTTCTAACCAGAAGAGTGGTTAGTAGAACTAAGAACCTCCCTTCTTTATCTCTCTGCCTCTAGTAATCCAACCTGAGCGTATATATATACACTTTTGGCAGCCATGCCACAGCCTAGCTAACCCCTTGTCTCTTTCACATGACTCTCATGACACTAGACCTCCCTTACACATGGCAGTGACACAGCCATGGAGCTTTTTGGAACCCAGAAGAAGGCTGTCTTAGGAGAGCCAAACCATAGTCACATGAAGTGGCCCCAGCCCGAACTCCCAGACAAGGCCAGCTGCCTGAAGGCTTTACTTGCAGGGCCTCATGAGGGGGCCAGAAGTCATTACTGCTGTTCCCATCTTTCCCCAGATCCCCCCCAAGCCAGCTCTAAAGTCGGACTTTGTTGCCAGAGTAATAGAACGCCTGGTCAATTTTAATGTAGGACCTTCTATCCCTGAGTCACTATTACTCAGGCTGCAGAGCAGCTGGCATCTTAGGCTGAGTTGACACATGACCCTCCCCAGAGAAGCCGGCTAAGCTTCCTGCGACCTACATTGCAGACTGATATAAACTCATTACTAAGTTGGTCCTGGCGCCCCACGCCATCTGCACTCGGAGGCTCCAGACTCTCCTGCAGCCTCGGGAGAGAAGGCCGGGTGAAGGGAAGGCTGCCTCAGGAAGGGGCAGAACTCAAATGGATTCCCATGAATGGGACCTGTCACCAGTTCCCGGATCCAGGCCAAACACAACTCCCCAGAGTGCACCATTGAGAAGGAAAGGCCGTTTCTGGAGTGCTGGTGATCCAGGGTGACAAGCCTGCCCAAAGAGGCAGGAAGTGACCCGCCCCAGGCTAGACTATGTCTGCGATCAACCAGGAAAAAAAGTCACCTAACCGCTCTGAACTCAAAGCTTTAGTGTCTTAAAAAAAAAAAAAAAAACATTATTTTCTCTTCTTGCCTGACAACACACTCTTTATTTGAGAAATACACACACTATGGCCAGGCATAGTGGCTCACATCTATAATCCAGCACTTTGGGAGGCTAAAGTGGGAGGATCGCTTGAGTCCAGGAGTTTGAGATCTGCCTGGGCAACCTGGCAAGATCCCATCTTTAAAAAAAAATTTTTTTAATAATTTAAAATAAAAATAAAGACTCAGTCACTCTTATTAAAGATGGCAAATGATGGCTAATACAAAAACTTAAAACATTTACTATTCAAAATTCCCACAACTAAGTAAGTGATATTTTAAGAATGTTCCATTTGTGCTTCTGAATTTATTAAAGCTTAAAAGTGCTCTGGGCTGGGTGTGGTGGCTCACACCTGAACAGGCAGTTCCAGACCAGCCTGACCAACATGGAGAAACCCCATCTCTACGAACAATACAAAATTAGTCAGGTGTGGTGGCGCATGCCTGTAATTCCAGCTATTTGGGAGGCTGAGGCAGGAGAATCACTTGAACCCGGGAGGCGGAGGTTGTGGTGAGCTGAGATCGCGCCACTGCACTCCAGCCTGGGCAACAAGAGTAAAACTCCGTCTTAAAAAAAAGAAGAAAAAAAAGAATTTGCTATAATGGTACTACATTATCATGATTATCGTCATCATCCTCTTTTCAGGCTGCTTAAAAGGAGGAGAGGAAGAAACAGAGACAGTAGGAAATAAAGTGATTCTAGGACTGAGAAGAGGGGACGATGGGGATAGAGGCTGGGAGAGACGAAGAGGGCAGTGGTAAGAAGGTGAGGGTACTCCCTTAATTAACAAACCTTGCTCCTAAAAGGTCAAGCCAAAACACACAGGGAATGTTTGTAAAACACACAGGGAATGTTTGCAGCACAGGGTGAGTCTCAGTGTTGAATGCGCCAGGCTTAGGTAGCTCAACCCAAGGACCTTGGGAAACAGAGTGATAGGCCAGTGTGTGTTCCAAACAGAAAGTGCAGGATGCCAAACCATGGGCTGCTGGCCACCTGCAAGGAGAAGCAATGCAGCAGCCAACTGGGCATGGTCAAGAGACCTACCAGCTGGCAGCCTTTGTGCAGGCGCCAGATGGATGGGCCAGTCTCTGCAGCCCCAGTAATGGGAGTAGCAGGGGAGCCCTTGGGCAGGGCCATCCAGTAGTGATGCACCCAGCTTTGGTGGCCTACTATAAAGTGGCTCACCTGCTCTAGTGACAGTGTCACCTGTGACACTCACTGTGACATAATCTGAAGGGCTCTGAACCCAAATCCCAGGGAGCAGGTTAGCCAGGATTAGCCCTTGTCTCTTGGACAAAGAAAAGGCTTGGTGGCTTGCTCCAGGTCCCACCCACAAGAACTTAAGAGCACAGTAGAGTCAAGAGAAGGCTCCTGGGTCTCATCTCGAAGTCCACCCCAGAACCAGAGTTCCCTGGAAATCTTAGTCATGAACCTTGCGGTGAGCACACCCTCCTTAAAGCAAACATTTGGCCAGCTCTGAGTACATATGCTGGACAGCAGCCACAACTCAGGAGGCGAGCCAGACTGGAGGAGCCAGAATGTCTACAGGAGAGAGGAGGAGTGCACCTTGCCCCACGACGGGCTTAGGGACCCAGAAATGACTGAAAACCTGCAGTGGGCTGCCTGAGCCCTGATCACAGGGTCCTCAGTGAGCTACAGACCCACCACTCCCCGCACCCAGAGAGGAGGGGGCAGGTGGACAGGCCCTTCCTAGGCATGCCCACAGCCCCTTGGGCAGGGAGGAAGGGCAGCCCTTCCTGGGGGCCCAGCGTGGGGAGCCCCAACAGGAGTGTAAAAGGAGGGGACCGTGATTTCCCTGCTTCCTCTGCTTTCTGTGCCAAGGGCTTGTGCAATGGTATTCTAAATCAGGTAACAAGAAGCCCCCAAATAGCCCAGAGCTGTGAGACCTCATTCCTGCCCGACAAGGCCACAGCCATACCCTACAAGGCCGGGGCCTCCAGTAAGTGGGTGAGGCCAATGACCAGGAGAAAAGGGCATTTTCACCCAGGGCTCTGCTAAACCTGCACTGGGGAACCGACCCCAGGATCCACAGGGAATGAGTGCATTTACCCAACAGAGCTGCGGAGCCTCCCTCCTCAAACCCAGACTCTGCTAGTCCAAGCAGCCCACTTCCACTACACCAGTTTGCCCAGACGGAGAGCCTCTGTTTAAGCAGGGCCCCCATGCAGGCTGTCACATCCTCTGCCCAGGAGTCCTTTTACATATGCATCTATGAGGGACTCTTTCCAGCAACCCTCTTCCAGGGGCTTGGGATGCCAGTGCTTTGAGGCCTGGTTCCTGGAGGTAACCAAGGGGATGCTGGCCCGACGGGGTGACCCGGAGGGAGCAGGGACCCACCTGGCTTCCACTGCCGTGCACGATGTTCTCTGGGGTGTCATAAACCTCGGACTCCATGTGAACATTCTGGTTTTTCTCATGATTCACTTGCACCCGCAGAATTCGAAAGGAAGACCCACCAAGATCCAGGGCAATGAAATCTCCCTTTTCTGTTTAGGGAGACAACAGGTATCACATGAGATTCAAATGTTAAGGGGAAGCCACATACCATGCCCGCTTCCTGGCAGGGCGTAGGCCCTGTCTGCCTCCCCCTGCCACATGCTGTTATCAGCCAGAAAGCAGCAATCATGCAAACTTCATCCAACCACTGCCATATACGCAGAGTAGGCAAAAGAAACCCTATCCTACCCCAGAGTCCTTAGACAGAAATAGCTTCAAGCAATCCCAGTCTCTTACTTCTGACTATAGGGGAATGGAAGTACTGAATTAAGTACAAATTCCCACCCCATGTTTCTCTAGTTTCTTAACCTATTTCAAAAACAGCACTGCTATGCAGAAATAAAAAATCACACCGCATTTCAACTCAGACAAAGCCCTACATCTGAGGTCCACCCAGTGCCTGCCCTGGGTCTCTGCATGTCAGCTCTGACATCAATTATTCCAGGGTTCTGCTTACTCCTCAGGGTTGTGTTTTATTATTGTGGTAACATACACATAGCATAAAATTTACCACTGCAACCATTTTCAGGCGTACAATTCAGTAGCATTAAGTACATTCACAATGTTGTGCAACCATCACCACTATTTTCAAAACTTTTTCATCACCCCAACACAAACTCTATAACCATTAAGCAATAATTTCCATTTCCCCTCACCCTCAGTCCCCAGCATCCACGATTCTACTCTCTGTCTCTATGAACTTGCCTATTCTGGATATTTCATACAAGAAGAATCACACAGTTATTTGTCCTTTTGTGACCGGCTTATTCCTCTTAGCATAACGTTTTCAAGGTTCATCCATATTTTCAGAATTTTACTCTTTTTTTTTTTAATTAATAGAGACAGGGTCTTGCTCTGTCACCTGGGCTAGAGTACAGTGGTGTGATCAAAGCTCACTGCAGTCTCAAGCTCCTGGGCTCCCAAGATCCTCTCACTTCAGCCTCTCAAGTAACTGGGACTATAGGCAGGTATGAGCCACCCTGCCCCCAATAGAATTTCATCCTTTTTTTTTTTTTTTTTTTTGAGACAGAGCTTCGCTCTTGTTGCCCAGGCTGGAATGCAGAGGCATAATCTCAGCTCACTGCAACCTTGGCCTCCCAGGTTCAAGTGATTCTCCTGCCTCAGCTTCCCGAGTAGCTGGGATTACAGGCATCCGCCAGCATGCCTGGCTAATTTTTTTTATTTTTAGTAGAGACAGGGCTTCACTATGTCGGCCAGGCTGGTCTCAAACTCCTGACCTCAGGTGATCTACCCGCTTTGGCCTCCCAGGGTGCTGGGATTACAGGCGTGAGTCACCGTGCCCAGCCTCATTCCTTTTTAAGACTGAATAATATTCCATTGTATGGATCCACTACATTTTGTTTATCCTTTCATCTGTTGATGGACCCTTGGGTTGTTTCCACCCAGAGGATGCTTTTAACAGAAGTCCCTCTTGGTCACATAAAAGTACCAGTGGCCAAAGTACTGGTCTGCTATGGTTACCTCCCTCGGGAGTGACATGTGCAGCACTGGGGTGGGCCTCAGGGGGCAGAGCAGGACTGTAGGCTGAGACCATCGGACAGCAAAGGCAGGCGGCCATGGGCAAAGTTCCAACCATTAAGCCACAGCCAAACATTCTCTACCCTTCATCTCATTAGTTATCCTCACGATGCTCCCAGAAAAATCAGTTAAGATATGTTTCACTCGTGATGCTAAGGTGACATCCCCACTGTCCTAATATCTACCACGCCAGGGGTGACGGCCACCCCTGCCTTCCACAGCACATGATCCACCAAGCTCTCAATCCTATGGCAGTAAATACTAGACTGCTTTGGGGCATATCATTTTCCTAGGCAGGGAAAGATCTTTATCATTATATCTTATGTAACAGCATTATTGAAATTTAATTCACATACCATATAATTCACCCATTTAAAGTATACAATTCAATGGTTTTTAGTATATTCGGAGTTATGCAACCATCAGCACAGCCAATTTTATAACATTTTCATTATTTCAAAAAGAAACCCTATACCCTTTAACTATCACCTCCCAAGCCCCTCATCCTTCTCCAGCCCTAGGCAACCACTAATCTATTTTCTGTTGCTATAGATTTACCTCTTCTGGACATTTCATATCAATGAAATCATACAGTGGCCAGGTGCGGTGGCTCATGCCTGTAATCCCAGCACTTTGGGAGGCTGAGGCAGGTGGATCGCTTGAGCTCAGGAGTTTGAGACCAACCTGGGCAACATGGCGAGCCCCTGTCTCTACCAAAAACACAAAAAAGATTAGATGGGCATGGTGGTGTGAGCCTGTAATCCCAGCTACTTGGAGACTGAGGTAGGAGAATCTCTTGAGCCCAAGAGACAGAGGTTGCAGTGAGCTGAGATCACGCCACTGCACTCCAGCCTGGGCAACAGAGCGAGGCCCTGTCTCAAAAAAAGAAGAAAAGAAATCATACGGTATATGACCTTGTATGACTGGCTCATTTCACTAAGCAAAATGTTTTTAAGGTTCATCATGTTATAGTGCATATGAGACTTTATCCCTTTTAATGGCTGTTACACTCTATAGATATAACACATTTTATTTATTCATTTGTTACTGACAGACATTTGGTTTGTTTCTACCTTTTGGCTATTATGAATAACACTACTATGAATATTTGTGCCCAAGTTTTTGTGTGGACACGTTTTCATTTATCTTGGGTATATATACCTAGGACAAGAATCGCTGTCAAATAGTAACCCATGTTTAACTTTTCAAGGAATTACCACCATTCTTCAAAGCAGCTGCACCATTTTACATTCCTACCAGTAATGCATGAAGTTTTCAGTTCTCCATGTCTTCATCAACACTTATTACAGTCTGACTTCTTTATCAATTTGCATTTCTCTGATGACTAATGGTGTTGAGTACATTTCTATGTGCTTATTGGCCACTTGGAGAAATGTCTATTCAGATCCTTTGCTCATTTTAAACACTTGGCTTATCTTTTCCTTTTTTTTTTTTTTTTTTTTTTGAGATGGAGTTTCGCTCTGTTGCCCAGCTTGGAGGGCAGTGGCTCAATCTCGACTCACTGCAACCTCTGCTTCCCGGGTTCAAGCAATTCTCCTGCCTCAGCCTCCTCAGTAGCTAGGATTATAGGCGTGCACCACCACGCCTGGCTAATTTTTGTATTTTTAGTAGAGACGGGGTTTCACTATGTTGGCCAGGCTGGTCTCGAACTCCTGACCTTGTGATCCGCCTGCGTCGGCCTCCCAAAGTGTTGGGATCACAGGCGTGAGCCACCGCACCCGGCCTCATTTGTCTTTTATGTGTTGAGTTGTAAAAGTTCTTTTTATGTTCTAGATACAAATCCTTTATCAGACATATGACTGGCAAATATTTTCTCCCATTCAGTGGATTGTCTTTTCTTTTTTTTATGGTATCCTTTGATGCAGTAACATTTTATGTTTGTTGTTGTTGTGTTTGAGACAGGGTCTTGCTCTGTTGCCCAGGCTGGAGTACAATGGTGCAATCATGGCTCACTGCACCCTTGACCTCCTGGACTCAAGAAATCCTCCAGCCTCAGCCTCCCAAGTAGCTGGAACTACAGGCATACGACCACACCTGGCTAATTTTTAATTTTTTTTAGAGACAAGGTCTCACTATGTTGCCCAGGCTGTCTCAAATGCCTTCGCTCAAGTGATCCTCTTGCTTGGCCTCCCAAAGTGCTGGGATTACAGGCATGAGCCACCAAGCATGGCCAAGTTTTAAATTTTGATGAAGTCCAGTTTTACGTTTTTTCTTTTATTGTTTGTGCTTTTGGAGTTGTAGCTAAGACTCTATTGCCAAATCCAAGGTCACAAAGATTCAAACCTGTATTTCGTTCTAAGAGTTTTATTAGTTTTAGCTCCCACATTTAGGTATTTGATCCATTTCAAGTTAATTTTATATATGGTATGAGGTGTAGGTCAAACTTCATTCTTTTGCATGTGGATATCCAGTGTCCCAGCACCATTTGCTGAAAAGACTATTCTTTCCCTCATTGAATAGTCCTAGCATTCTTGTCAAAAGTCAATTGACCGTAATGTATGCATTTATTTTTTTTTTCGAGACAAAGTCTCACTCTGTTACCCAGGCTGGAATGCTACCCAGGCTGGAATGCAGTGGCATGATCTCGGCTCACTGCAACCTCCACCTCCCGGGTTCAGGCAATTCTCATGCCTCAGCCTCCCAAGTAGCTAGGATTACAGGCGTGTGCCACCACAACTGGCTAATTTTTTTGTATTTTTAGTAGAGACGGGGTTTCACCATGTTGGCCACGCTGGTCTCAAACTCCTGACCTCAGGTGATCCACCAGCCTCGGCCTCCCAAAGTGCTAGGATTACAGGCATGAGCCACCACACTCAGCCTGTATGCATTTATTTCTGAACTCTCTATTCTGTTCCATTAGTCTGCATGTCTACCTTCATGCCAGTACCACATGTCTTGATTACTGTTGCTTTGCTGAAAATTTTGAAATTGGCAGTGAAATTCCTTCAGCTTTGTTCTTCTTTTTCATGATTGCTTTGGTTATTCTGGGTCCCTTGAGCTTTTGATTTTCAACACAAAATAAGGTTTGCTTTCTGTTTTTAACAATAAAGCTGACTTATCTTTGTATTTGATTCTACCAAGCTATAAGCCCTGACACACTGCTATATTTCTGGAACTTACAATGGTGTTTGGAATGTAGGTAAAAACTGAGCAAATACTTGTGGAATTAATGAAGGTATAAAGAAATAAACAACAAACCAAGGAATTCTCACATTGAATGTCACTGTTCCTATCTTTTTTTTTTTTTTTTTTTTTTTTGAGAGGGAGTCTTCCTCCATTGCCCAGGCTGGAGTGCAATGGCGTGATCTTGGCTCATTGCAACCTCTGCCTCCCAGGTTCAAGTGATTCTCCTGCCTCAGCCTCCCGAGTACCTAGGATTACAGGTGTCCACCACCATGCTTGGCTAATTTTTGTATTTTGTAGTAGAGATGGGTTTTCACCATGTTGGTCAGGCTGGTCTCAAACTCCTGACCACAGGTGATCCACCTGCCTTGGCCTCCCAAAGTGCTAGGATTACAGGCATGAGCCACTGCGCCCAGCCTGTTCCTATCTTCGTTCTCAAGTTCCTTGAGGGAAAGACCACAACTTGGGATTCTCTGTCCTTGGCACCCAGGACAGCTCAGCAAATGCTCATTAGCTGCCTGGTCACAGGGACTGGTGGTCCATTCATTCATTCAAGGCACCTGATATGGTTAGGCTTTGTGTCCCCACCCAAATCTCATCTTGAGTTGTAACCCCCACAATGCCCACATATCAAGAAAGAGACCAGGTGGAGGTAACTGAATCATGGAGGTGGTTCCCCCCATGCTGTTCTCGTGATAGTGAGTGGGTTCTCATGAGACCTTATGGTTTTATAAGGAGCTCTTCCCCCTTCGCTCAGCACTTCTCCTTCCTGCCGCTTTGTGAGGAAGATGCCTTTTCTCCTTCCACCATGATTGTAAGTTTCCTGAGGCCTCCCCAGCCATGCTGAACTGTGAGTCAACTAAACTTCTTTCCTTTATAAATTACCCAGTCTTAGGCAGTTCTTTTTAACAGTATGAAAACGGACTAATACAGCACCCCTGCTTGCTGTTTATTAAGCACAAAGCAGTTACGCCATCATGTGAGACACACACAGAGGAAAAACCAGAGTATGTTTTTCCTTTTCTCTACTCACCACAACACAGAACACACCTGTGACCCTGGATGCATGTGGGTTTTTCCCCACACACCAAGCAAGTAATTCTGCAGTGAATTCTCCAGTGAACACCAGCTCCATGCTCTCTAATTCAATTCAATTATTTCACTAGCTACCTGGAGATAGCATCATATCCCACAGGTCGAGGGCTCGTTCACACGAGGCTGCCCTCCCTCCAACTTCAGACACCAGTCACAAGCACAGGTTGTGGCCTGTGCTTCTGGCTGATCACTATAAATCGGGGTTCCTACAACCCCCTCCTTGGGTTGCATTAGTTTGCTACGGCAGCTCACAGACCCAGAAAAAACACTTCACTTACATTTACATATTTACTATAAAGGATATTACAATAAATACAGATGAAGAACTGGATGGAAGAGATACACAGGGAGGGGCATGGGAGAAAGGGCAGGAGTTTCCATGCCCCCTCCAGATGTGCCACCCAGGAACCTCCATGTGTTCAGCTAGACAGAAGCTACCAGAACTCAGTCATTCTAGGTTTTCTTCTTTTTGCTTTTTTTTTTTTTTTTTGGTTTTGTTTGTTTGTTCTTTGAGTCAGGGTCACACTCTGTCACCCAGGCTGGAGTGCAGTGCAGTTGCATGATCACAGCTTACTGCAGCCTCAACCTCCAGAGCCCAAGCGATCCTCCCACCTCAACCTCCCGAGTAGCTGGAACTACCGGCACGTGCCACCACATCTGGCTAACTTTTTTTTGTATTTTGTGTAGTGACAGGGTTTTACCATGTTGCCCAAGCTAGTCTCAAACTCTTAGGCTCAAGCGATCCACCCACCTGGGCCTCCCAAAATGCTGGGATTACAGGCGTGAGCCATCATACCTGGCCTGTTTTAGGTTTTTGTGGAAGCACCATTACACAGTTGCGATTGATTAAATCATCGACCATTGGTTTATTCGCTCTATTTTCAGGCTCTCTCCCTCCCTGGAGGCGGCATGGGGGTTGGGGCTGACAGCAACCCTCTGATCACATGGTTGGTTCCCCCTGGCAACCAGCCCCCCATCCTGAGGCTATCCAGGGTCCCACCAAGGAACAAAAGAGACTCTCCTATCACCCAAGAAATTCCAAGGGATTTAGGAGCTCTGAGTCAGGACCAGGATCAAAGATTCTCCTAGCACCTGTATTGCTCAAGAAATTACAAGGGTTTTAGAAGCTAAATGCTAGAGACTAGGGGCAGAGACCAACATGTATATTTCTTATTATTTCACATATTGGTTGGTTGTTTTTTTAATAACAGTTTTATTGAGATATAATAATATAGCATACAATTTTTACCCATTTTAAAGTGAAAAATTCAGTGGTTTTCAGCATATTTACAGAGTTGTGCAACCATCACCACTATCTAATTTTAGAAAATTTTCATCATCCCAAAAGAAATTCCATACCCATTAACAACCATTCACCATTTCCTCCCAACCTCCCTATCTCCCAGCAACCACTAATGTACTTTCTGCTCTACAGATGCCCCTATTCCAGACATTTCATATAAGTGGAATTGTATAATATTAGGTCCTTTGTGTCTGGCTTCTTTCACCCGGCATAAGGTTTTCAAGGCTCATCCATGCTGTAGCGTGGATCAGTACCTCATTCCTTTTTATGAACCGATTATATTCCATTATATGTATATATCACATGAAGCCACTGGTTTTAAATTATTTGTGGTCCAAAGGAAAGAGAGAGAACAAGGGAGAATGCTGGGAAGCAGGTGTCATAGATTTGGTGGAAATTCTGACCCCGACTTTGTGGCATTGTTCAAATCAATATAGAATTTTCTTTGGGCTCCCATTGGAGTCCTAACTCCAACAGTACTTTACACCACCACTAGGTTAAAAAATTGAATTCAGCCGGGCGCAGTGGCTCATGCTTGTAATCCCAGAACTTTGGGAGGCTGAGGCGGGTGGATCACTTGAGGTCAGGAGTTCGAGACCAGCCTGGCCAACATGGAGAAACCCTGTCTCTACTAAAAATACAAAAATTAGCTGGGTGTAGTGGTAGGTGCCTGTAATCCCAGCTACTCAGGAGGCTGAGGCAGGAGAATCGCTTGAACCCAGGAGGCGGAGGTTGTAGTGAGCCGAGATCATGCCACTGCACTCCAGCCTGGGCAACAGAGCAAGACTCTGTCTCAAAAAAAAAAAAAAATTGAAATAACTGAAAAAATTGAATTCAGTATGAAGTAGCTCCTCGCAGGTGAGTCACTAGAATATCAGAAACATTTTATTTGACCATCCATCAGCTAACATTCACTGAGTCTTTCTGTACCAATCACTAAGTGCTTATACGTATCCTTTTATTTTCAATCTTCACAACCCTATGAAGTCAGTACTGTCAGGATGCCCATTCTACAGATGAGCAAGTAAAGGTAAAGAGGGGTTAGATAACTTGCCCAAACGCACAACCAGTAAGTGGCAGAGTCAGCATTTGAATCCGAAGCCATAATGTATAACCATGAAAACTGCCTCCTGGACAGAACTCAGGGACAAGGATCCCCAAGGAAAGTGGGGGCCAGAGAGAGACTTCAGCACATCAGGAATGGCTACACTTCTTTTCTGGGGCTCTTCAACTTCCATGATTCCTTATAGCTTTGGGTTTTTTTGTTTTGTTTTTTTTGTTTTTGTTTTTGTTTTTGAGACGGAGTCTCACTCTTGTTGCCCAGGCTGGACGGCAATGGCGCGATCTCGGCTCACTGCAACCTCCGCCTCCGGGGTTCAAGCGATTCTCTTGCCTCAGCCTCCCCAGTAGCTGGGATTACAGCCACCCACCACCACGCCCAGCTCATTTTTTGTATTTTTAGTAGAGACGAGGTTTCACCACCTTGGCCAGGTTGGTCTCAAACTCCTGACCTCAGATGATCCGACTGCCCTGGCCTCCCAAAGTGCTGGGATTATAGGCGTGAGCCACCGTGCCTGGCCTAGCTTTGGTTTTATTTATTTATTTATTTATTTATTTATTTATTTAATTTTGAGACGGAGTCTCGCTCTGTCGCCCAGGCTGGAGTGCAGTGGCGTGATCTTGGCTCACTGCAAGCTCCACCTCCCAGGTTCACATCATTCTCCTGCCTCAGCCTCCCAAGTAGCTGGGACTACAGGAGCCCGCCACCACGCCCAGCTAATTTTTTTTTTTTTTTTTTTAGTAGAGACGGGGTTTCACTGTGTTAGCCAGGATGGTCTCGATCTCCTGACCTCGTGATCCGCCTGCCTTGGCCTCCCAAAGTGCTGGGATTACAGGCGTGAGCCACGGCGCCCGGCCAGCTTTGGTTTTATTTTGCTTCATTCTCTAATGAAGACAGTGAAAGCTCAGTCTGATAAACAACTATAAACCACTTGTGCATAGGGGGAAAAGGGGCACAAAAGCAAATACTACACTGAGATGAAATGATCGGTACTTTTTATTTTAATATTTTACTTAATTAATTTGCTGTTTTAATGTTCACCTAAACATTTATTTATTTCATGTTTTTGTTTGTTTGTTTTTTTGAGATGGAGTCTCACACTGTTGCCCGGGCTGGAGTGCAATGGCGCAATCTTGGTTCACTGCAACCTCCAACTCCCGGGTTCAAGCAATTCTCCTGCCTCAGCCTCCCGAGTAGCTGGGTCTACAGGCATGCACCACCACGCCCAACTAATTTTTGTATTTTTTAGTAGAGACGGAGTTTCACCATTTTGGCCAGGATGGTCTCGATCTCTTGACCTTGTGATCCGCCCACCTCGGCCTCCCAAAGTGCTGGTCCTATACGCTGCCGGGCAAAAGACACTGAGGAATGATGTCTGTTAAGGACAACAAGATAACTGATAAACTTTCCTGGATGTCCAGCATCTCTTTAGATAACTACCCTCCCATTTTTCACCTATGAGGTTGGAAGTGGGGCTGAATCCCCACTCCAGCTCCAGGGGTACCAATGCGTAATCCAGGCATGGGATCCAGGGGCATCCCAAGTCACCCATCTTGTCCATCGTGATTGGTTCAGGATGGGCACATAACCCAAGTAAGCCAATCACAGCCCTCTCCAAGACCATCACAGGTCCATGGGGAGCAAGGCCTGCTCTTTGCACAGAGATCGCTGGCTATAAGGGGAGGGGTCAGCCTAGGGCTGCAGGGGCCGTCCCTGCCACTGTAAGAGGAGAGATGGCCTATGAATGAAGCCAACACACAGGAAAGGAGCTGACTGAACTAGTAAGAGACAGATGAATCCCTAGATACAGAAGTCAACTCACAGCGAGACTTCCCAGTTATAGGAAACTAGAATTCTCTTTTTTTCTTAAACAAATTTGAGTCAGATTTCCTTCAGCTACAACCAGAAGGTTTCCAGGTTAGTTCAATATTCTTTGTCAGGAAATGAATCCCCCAAATACCCACTTGCCCTCCATAACAAAAGGGACCTATCAGTCCCTTTTACCTCGGGTTGGCTCCCTGATTCAGAGCTGTCGTGTCCAGTCACCCCCTTGCAGAGGTACTGGAGCTGTAGCCTGTGGTCTCACCCACATTTTATGTGGCTAGCTCAGGGGTTGGGGGTGAGACAGCCTGCCTTGGCTTGCCCCTTTTCTCTGCCTCCTTCCCCTGTAACATCACAGAGATGCCAGCGAATCCTGAAAAACTCTGCATCCTTCCTGCAGGGGCTCGGCTTACACATTCAGGCCTGCTGGGTGCGGTCCTTGGACTGGCTCCATTGGTTAGGAAAGACTTTCCCAAGGAATTCTTCCAAAGCCAGTTATTATATCATAAGACTGATGAGGATGACGATGACGCACCATAACTCACGGTGGTTTGCAGTTTCCAAAGACTCTCATTTGATCCTGATGATAGCCTGGTGAGGCAGGTGGGGCAGGGATTACCATGGCCATTTTACCCATGAGGAAATGGAGGCTCAGAAGTTAAGTGGCTTCTCCAAGGTCACACAGGTTGGGAGTGGCAAACCCAGAGACCGATTCAGTGTTCTAGATTTTTATTTCCTTTTCTCTTTGGCTACAAGCTCAGCCTCTTTCTGCAGTAATAGGTTTCCTCCCAACTTCCTCTTTCAATCTTTGGTCTCAAACCTTGCTTCCTGCTACTGGGGCCTCCTGCCTGTGACCTTTCCTCACATTTCTCATTTCCACTGAAGCTGGGAGAACCGCTCAAGAGAAAGCTCATTAAACAACACATCCGAAGGGCTACTGGCAATTCTCCACTTTCTAATGACAGCCATTATTACCAGCAAATAATGGAAAACAAACACAGGACAGATGTGTCTCGAGTACCAGCCTGTGCTGGAATACAGGGCAAGCAAAAACTCTGCCTGCGGGAAATGCCTGCCTGAGTCCAGCTCAATGAATTGATTCTTCTTTTTTTTTTTTTTGAGACAGAGTTTCTGTTGCCCAGGCTGGAGTGCAGTGGCGTGATCTCAGCTCACTGCAACTCTGCCTCCCAGGTTCAAGTGATTCTCGTGCCTCAGCCTCCCAGGTAGCTGGGATTACAGGCACCGGCCACCATGCCCAGCTAATTTTTGTATTTTTAGTAGAGACGGGGTTTCGCCATATTGGCTAGGCCGGTCTCCAACTCCTGACCTCAGGTGATCCGCCTGCCTCGGCCTCCCAAAGTGCTGGGATTACAGGCATGAGCCACCGTGCCCAGCCTCAATGAATTAATTCTGTACATGAGATACACAGGCATTCCTGCCCATCTACAATCCAGCTGCATGATGGGAACTCCACGCCTTCAACTCAGGAGGTTTCACAGATAGAGAGAATACTTGAGATAACCCAACTATCCTTCCATATAAGAAAACTGAGACCACCCAAATGCTGCAAGAAGAGAAGGTAAATATTTTCCTTCCGTTGACTGGAAAACAGTAGTATGAATATTTAGGGCCCCAAAACAACCGTGACTACACTGTAAATGGCTCTGCTTTGCATGAAAAAAGATAATGGCACATCCAAGCTTCTAGAAAATTTTTTTTTTTACTTCTCCTTTGGGTAAAAACTTCTCTTTTGGGTAAAGGCTGTGTAGGAACAATGAAGCCGAAACCAAGAAGTATCGATTCCTATTTAGCCTCCAAAAGCTTACACTCTAATTAGTGCTTACAATATCCTTAGGGATAAATGAGAAAAGGAGAAAAAAGGGACACTTCGCGAATGGGGGAGGCTGGGCACAGAGGGACAGCAATTCCCAAGAGACTGGGTAGTGAGGGAAACCCAAAATACTTCACCCCAAAATATGGCTCCCTGGTATAATGAGTATTTTGAACTAAAGGCCCTTAAAGATCAACAGATGCTGGAAAATGCTTTTCTCCTATCTGCATAAAGACCACGCAGACCCTCCAAGGAGAACTTTATCCTTACCCTCCCTGTTATCTCATTATCTATTGCAGAAAAGAAGACTGAAGAATCTGACCACACCTGAATGGACCTTTTTAAAGATGTCTGTTCCTAAACCGGGCGTGGTGGCTCACACCTGTAATCCCAGCACTTTGAGGGGCCAAGGCGGGCAGATCACAAGGTCAGGAGTTCGAGACCAGTCTGGCCAACATGGTGAAACCTCGTCTCTACTAAAAATACAAAAATTAGCCCAGCGTGGTGGTGCGCACTTGTAATCCCAGCTACTCAGGAAGTTGAAGCCGGAGAATTGCTTGAACCCGGGAGGCGGAGGTTGCAGTGAGCCGAGATCATGCCACTGCACTGCAACCTGGGCGACAGAGCGAGACTGTCTTAAAAAAAAAAAAAAAATCTGTCTCCTATTCAATTTCCAAAGAGAACCGGTACTGGTTAATCTCTGTTCCCTGATATCTTCATTCTCCCTAGTAATCATTTACTGTTCCCTGTCTCCTGCCTCCCCTCTGAAAAGAGGAAATGTGTGGCCGGGCGCAGTAGCTCACACTTGTAATCCCAGCACTTTGGGAGGCCGAGGCGGGTGGATCACCTGAGGTCAGGAGTTCGAGACCAGCTTGGCCAACATGGCAAAACCCCGTCTCTACTAAAAATACAAAAATTAGCTGGGCATGGTGGCAGGTGCCTATAATCCCAGCTACGTAGGGGGTGCTAAGGCAGGAGGATCGCTTGAACCATCGTGCCACTGCACTCCAGCCTGGGCAACAGAGCAAGACTCCATCTCAAAAAAAAAAAGGAAAAGAAAAGAGGAAATGTAAGTATCTGGGCCCCACCGGGATACTTGAGTAATCAGTCTGTGATTCTCCCACATGCATGTTAATAAATGTGTATGCCCTTTCTCCTATTAATCTGCCTTTTGTGAGCTGATTTTTCAGCCAACATTCAGAGGGCAAAGGGGACGTTTTCCCTTGCTCCCTACAGTAGCTTTGAAGAGGGAATTCTATTTAGCCAAATCACCAATGTTAAGAGGCTTCAATATTTTCCTTCTTTATTATTCATTCATCCACTACCTCAAAAATGATATGCAGCAGCAAAAAGCCACTTTAGGTTTTTGGGGTTTTTTTAATGATATACAGATTATTGAAGAACAACTAAAAAATAAAAATAAAAACAGGCCAGGTGAGGTGGCTCACGCCTGTAATCCCAGCACTTTGGGAGGTGGGAGGATCGCCTGAGCCTAGGAGTTCAAGACCAGTCTGGGCAACATGGCAAAACCCTATCTCTACAAAATACCAAAAACAAAAACCTCACTGCCCATTAAAAAAAAAATGACCAAAAAAGAAAGAAACTAATTAAAAATGGGCTGATAGGTATCAGAATGTATGTATCAGATATGTTTTCAGAAATGCTTCTGGAAAGTCAGTTGAGTTCCAAAACTCTGTGTCTAGTCGACCAGGGTCAAGGTCAGCAAGAAAGGAAAGGCTTGTTTCCTTCCTTTGCCTTGGAAATCACATCACCACTTAGGCATTGCTCCACCATGGTGAGCGCCAATTTATCCCTCCGTGGTTTGGGATTACCACTAATTCTGTCACTAATTACTACAGTTGAAGCAGTGATTAACATTTCAAAAAGGGAACAGCACTATGGATTTACTATTAAGAGACCCAGATTCTGATTACTGCAGGGATCTCCTGATTCTTGGATGATAAAGGAGCCAAGAGGCAGGGGGAGGTGAAGACAGAAGCCCGGCACAACACGAAGGGGCAGGAAGTGGACTGGGGGTTGGGTATCCAAGTCCTTAGCATCAACAGCAATGTCTTTGCGGGGCTGTAGGGACCATTGCAAGCGAAGTGTGGGCTCTGGGGCACATGAACTGAACCCACCCATAAATATTTGGAATGGGGGGGTGCCGTTTCTATGAATCTCTAAAAGGGGGTGAAAAATACATTTCACAAATGAGTATGAGTTCTAAGCCTTGTTTGGAGGAGTAGCCAATATGGCAAATGGCTGGATTTCTACTGCACTTGGATCACACCTTGAGACTCTCAATCCTGGAAACAGTTTGTGAAGGAGAGGGAGAGCACCCCTGCTGACATAGGTCCCTGGGACACAGCTGGCTTGAGAGCAGGGCCCAGTGGGTAGGAGGCAAAGTGTCTCCTCCCCTGTGTCTGCCCTGAGCCAGTCACACAGGGCCAGGTGCCTCGCAGGGATCAGGTAGCCTTCTGAGCTCTCCCAAGCAAAGCCAAAGCAGGTGCTCTCCTGGGTGCTGCCCATACCCCCTCCCCTCCCCGCTCCTTCCTCTTCTCTCAGCTGGAAGCAGTCAGAGCCATGCCTCTGCTACATAGCTCTCCTCATCCTGGAAAGGTTCCAGTGCTCCTGGCTGTAGGTGACATCCATGGCTGGGAAAAAGCAAGAGTGAACTATATATAAAGTTCTTTCTTCTCCAGCCAGAGACAAGCGAACACACCCAGGGTAGACCACAGTCTATTCACTCTGATGGCCAGAATCTCTTCAGTAGTTCTTAAAAAGCTAGAAGTAGGTGCTAGTAATCAACACCTAAACAAAAGGGTGGAGGTGGAGTAGGCTTACATCAGAGATATACATGCTAATATGTGAGCATGAAGTAGACCCCACCCGTGGCCACAGTGAACAGCACAAGGCCTCTTTATCAGCGTCCAAATCTCATTCAGGATGACTGCAGGCAGAGAGCAGAGGTCTTTTCCTGCTGCAACCAGCCTACTCCCACTTGCCCATCTTTCAAGAACATCAGTTGCAACAGCTGCAGTTTCCTGGCGTCCATTTTGCAGGCTGCATACAAGATGCCCCAAATCACTCCTTTAAATAAGAGCCTCGAGAGCAGGGAAGAAATCGCAGGGGTGTGTGAAAGCTGTACTCACTGGTCGTGTACTCACAACCCCAAGGGAAACCTGACTTCCTCCTGCTCTCCCTCCCTCTGCTGCCTACAGCAGGTGAGCCCCACCCTAGAGCACAGAACACAGCTAACAGGGGATTCCTGTGAGGGCGCCACGCTGGAGCAAGCACAGCATTCACCTCCACAAACTAGTAACTGCGGGTCTGCCGGGAAGAACAGCTTCCACTGAGCAGGCCAGACTGCGACTTCTCAGTCTCCGCTCAGCCAGGTGCAGGGGCTGATACCACTCCTCTGGGGAGGAGAAACAGACAATCCTCAGGGGGCCCTCCCCCAACGCCCCACTGCAGGGTATGAGCCACAGGATGCAGAGTGAAAGGATACAATTTTTCTTTCAATTCTACCTCCCCTCTGTATTTCTTTGTTTTGGGGGCTGCCTCAATTCTGCATCTGTGAAATCTGTCCAAAGGGGGTCTGGAATCTCTGCCTTTAAGTCTGAGACCCACCTGTCCATTAGGATTGCTATTATCTGGGATAAGAAGAGAGGGAAGCTTTGATTCCCTGATGGAGAGATTTCCCTAAAATGAACCCTTCATTTGTTCTGGAGTTCTTCATGTTCTGAAGACATAAGAGCAACCCACACAGTATCTGCGAGACCCATAAACACTACACTTTCTAAAGTATCACAAGCCACTAGACAGTAAAGTCAATGACAGCAGGTCAGCCTTGCCCAACCATGGTATCCCCAGTGACTGGCATAAGGTCTCAGTAGACACATATTGGATGGATGGATCAGCGGATGGATGGATGGATGGATGGATCAGCAGATGGATCAGCGGATGGATGGATGGATGGATGGGAGAGCAGATTGATGGAATGGTGAATGAATGAATGAGCAAATGTATGAACAAATGAAGTTAGAAGGAAGATTTCACAGAACATTTAGCCCTCAGGGTTCAATCTCTGGGTGACAGACTTACCAGAGCCATCAGGAATGGACCTTACGAATGTTGGCAACATCTTGACTGTGGCTGTTGGATTAAAATCCCGGGAGAGGCCATTCTTCATCTCCTTCCTGAAGCGAGTCATGATATCTATGAGAGTTTCATCGGAGAGCCGCATGGCATAGAGATACTTGTCAATCTGGAGGGGGATGAGAAGGAAGGAGAGTGAGGTCGAGGGGGAGGACAGGGCAAGGTGAGGCACCCACCCGCTGAGATAGCCAGCTCCCACAGGCACAGGAACACGCACGCTGGCACATCGCATGGCGGAAGGTCATTCAACTGCTGTCATCCATGTCACCCAGAACAGGCTTGCAAATGCTCTGAGCCCTAGTTCCTGGCCTGTAAAATGAACCCGATATCTCTAAGATCCTTTCCAACCCTCAAATATGACATGGAAGCTGCTCTTCAACCCCCAAGTACTTGATGGAGGTAGGTTTCCTCCAGTATCAGGAACACCTCAAGCCTCCTTCTCTCTCTGAGAATTGGCTGGCTCACTCTCACTGGGATGGGAATGACAGAGAGGCTACGAACAAGGGCTCTGGAGCCAGCCAACTGGGTTCAATCCTAGCCCCAGAGCTTAACAGCTGTGTGAATTTCAGTTTCCTCAACTGAAAAACTGAGATGATAGATAGGACCTAACATATAGGACAAGTTCAAATGAGACACAAGCACTTAGAACACAGTAACTGCTCAATAAACATCAGCTATTATTATTAACATGAGACAGTAGTACTGGCAGGTGTCCATGGGCAAGACTTCTAGAAAGACAGAAATGGCGGCCAAAGGGCTAGGACCCTTCTGAGAACACAGGGTGGCAGGCCCAGAGCACAGAAACCTTAAACCCAGCCTCAATGAATGGAGACAGCCCCTGGGCTCCCATACCCATGTGCCGGGCCTGTGTGCCAGGCCATGGGCCCTGCACCTCCGAGTCAAACTACTCCCACCCTTCACCAGGCCTGACCCAACCTGCTCCTCTTCCTGAGTTCCCCGTTCTCCTCAAGCTGCCCAGGCTCCTAACCTTAGGCACCCTGGGTTGTCACTGGCTATCACTAATTGTTTGTCCTTCATGGCATCTTCGCATTTATTCTCCCAAAAAAGGATTCACTGGGCACCAGCTAGGTGCCTAGAATTGAGCTAGACACCTGTCCTGATGGCACTATCCCTGTAGAGTCCACCGAGGAAGGTTCTTTTGTTTCACCATCCACTCTTTCTGCTGCTCTGTGTGCCTGGATTGCTGATGATCCACTGTAACAGTTTATCTTCAATCTCTTCCTTCCAACCCATCTTCTACACCACTGCAGCATCAGCCTCTTAAAGTGCAACCCTAATCAAGTCATGCCTCTGCCCAAAGCCTTGCAATGCCTCCCCACTGCCAAGGCACCTACCCTCTGCAGGTGTGGCTCTGTGCTCTCTGAACTCCGGCCAAACCACCTCTACCATTCCTAGTAGGTGCTCCAGGCTCTCCTCCTTCTGCTGTCACCTCTACCTGAAATGCCCTTCCTTTTCTTCCCAGCTCACCTAACCTTCAAGGTTCAAATCAACTGTCACTTCCTCCTGAAGATGTCCAAGTCCTTCAGGCTGGATATCACCACTCCTTCAGCACTGACCCCTAGGCAGGGTCTGGTCTGGATCCCAGCTTTCCATGCGTGTCACCCTGACCTCCCCAGTGCCTCACATGGAGCCTTGCACACAGAAGGCTCCCACTGGATAGAGAGACAGATTTACAGCCCCACAAGGCTGAAAAGACCTTAACACTGGTGTTTTTTCCTTTGTTTGTTTGTTTGTTTGTTTGTTTGTTTGTTTTTGGGGTTGGTTTTTTTTTCATAGTCTATCTCTGTCACCCAGGCTGGAATGCAGTGGCAGAATCTTGGCTCACTGCAACCTCCACCTCCCAGGTTCAAGCAATTCTCCTGCCTCAGCCTCCTGAGTGGCTGGGATTACAGGCGTGCGCCACCACGCCCTGCTAATTTTTGTATTTTTAGTAGAGACAGGGTTTCACCATGTTGGCCAGGCTGGTCTCAAACTCCTGACCTCAAGTGATCCACCCACCTAGGCCTCCCAAAATGTCTGCCAACACTCTCTGCGCCCAAGGATGATCCTTGCCCCCACTCCTAACCACTAGCCCTACCACCTTTTTCCCTTTACAATAAAGCAGCTCAAAGAAGGGCAATCAGGAACCACCAAGAGCCAGAATAGAAATTGCCAGAAGAGGCCAGGCATGGTGGCTGACACCTGTAATTCTAGAACTTTGCAAGGCCAAGGCAGCAGGATCATTTGAGCCCAGGAGTTCGAGATTAGCCTGGGCAACAACCCTGTCTCTACAAAAAATAAAAATTAGCCCAGCATGGTGATGCACACCTGTAGTCTCAGCTACTCGGGAGGCTGAGGCAAGAGGATCACTTGGGCCCAAGAGGTTGAGGCTGCATTGAGCCATGATTGAACCACTGTACTCCAGCCTAAGTGACAGAGTGAGACTGTCTCTAAAAAAAAAAAAAATTAACAATTGGCCAGGAGCAGTGGCCCACACCTGTAATCCCAACACTTTGGGAGGCTAAGGCAGGCAGATTGCTTGGGGCCAGGAGTTCGAGAGCAGCCTGGGAAACTTGGCAAAACCTCGTCTCTAAAAAAATACAAAAATTAGCCAGGCGTGGTGATACGCCCCTGTAGTCCCAGCTACTCGGGAGACTGAGGCGGGAGGATTGCCTGAGCTGGGGAAGCAGAGGTTGCAGGGTGCTATGATCCTGCCACTGTACCCCAGCCTGGGTGACAGACTTAGATCCAGTCTCCAAAAAAAAAAGAAAGAAAGAAATATGTATATATATTTTTTAAAGGAAATAAAATTGCCAAAAACATGGCCCTGGGAGGAGAGACAAGCCATGCCCTATTCTGGCTGGTGGCATTCATCAGCAGCCCTTGCCATCATAGTGCCCTGGGTCTGCAGGGAGAGACAGCCACGTTGCAAGCATGGGAGAGAAGGCTTCCTGGAGAGGCGAAGTTGGAGAGCATGCCCAGGCACAAGCAAGGGCATGTGTGAAGTCCGAAGGGGAGGGAGGGTGGTTTTTGTGATGAACAAGCAGACGGTGTGCCTGGAAAGACTGTCCAGAGCTCAACCACACAGGGCCTGATGAGCCACATAAACAAATACAAGCGGGATCCCACAGCACAGCGAGCCTTGGGACGGCTTTACTGATTACAACCATGATGAGAGTTGTGTGTCTGCTGCGTGGAGAATGGAGGAGCAAGCGCAAGATCATACAATAAAAGCTACATTGCTAGCTGGCACAGTGGCTCATGCCTGTAATCCTGGCACTTTGGGAGGCCGAGGCAGGAGGATTGCTTAGGCCCAAAAGTTCAAGACCAGCCTGAGCAACATAGTGATATCGCACCTCTAAAATATTTTTTAATTTTAATTTTAAGGCCGGGAGCAATGGCTCATGCCTGTAACCCCAGAACTTTGAGAGGCCGAGGCGAGTGGATTACCTGAGGTCAGGAGTTCAAGACCAGCCTGGCCAACATGGTAAAACCCGGTCTCTACTAAAAATACAAAAATTAGCTGGGCATGGTGGTGCATGCCTGTAATCCCAGCTACTCAGGAGACTGAGATATGAGAATCGCGTGAACCCAGGAGGTAGAGAAGATTGCAGTCAGCCAAGATCGCGCCATCGCACTCCAGCCTGGGCAATGCAGCAAGACTCCATCTCAAAAAATTTTTTTTAATTTTAATTTTAAAAAAGGTACATTGCTACTCCAGCATTTTGGACACGCCCCAACGACCACACTCCTCACACATCATGATTATCCTTTTACCAAGCTGTCCATCTCCTATGATACTGCGTGAGTTCCCCAGGGAAAGAAAACATATTGAATAGACCTTTGGAACTCACCCAGTTGCTTGACACAAAGGAGGAATTCAAACAATGCTGGATCCTGGAATAATACTATATAATTCTCTTGTGGCTTACAGTATATCAGTATATCAAGATCCAGTATGTCATTTAACCTTCAAAACTGTCTGGGAGATGTTCTTAATCCCCATTTTACAGACACAGAAACTGATGGTCCAAGAAGCTAAGTGATTAGTTCAAAGCACACAGCTGGGGGAGTGAGGTTTTATACCTGCAAGTCTAAGGCTCCTCCATACAATCATCCCTGCCCCTTAAGAAAGACTGGTCCCCTGCTCTGCAGAAGGCAGATCCAAGTAGAGCTGTTGGGGTTTTCCCGCTGGACAGGAGAAGCTTCTAGAAAAGGCAGCTCTCCATAACTCCACAGCTATCCTGCCTTCTAAGTCAAGGTGCAGCTCAGCACACAGACATTGATCCAAAAACCCCAACGTTTCAGGACAACCAAGCTAAATCCAAATAAAGCTTAGAAGCTCAAATCAAAAAGCAGGCTGCAGACACAGAGAACGGCCTGGTCCTCAAGCTGCTATGGAGGGAGGGTTTTCCTCCTTTTGTTCAGGTTCATGAGTCGTCATGAGGTACAACCCCTCTCAGAAGAGACATGAATACTGGGGCCAAAAGGGAGGCCCAATTGAGGCAAGGCCGGAACTGAAACTGGGGCCTCCTGGATTTTACATGAATGAGGACAATGAAGGGAAGCCCTTTCTTTCCACTGGTCCTCGGGAGATCAGAAGGGGCCACTGAACCAGCAAATACCCTAGGCCTGGGGCTGGGCTGCCAGGGGAGAAGTCAGCTCCCTGGTATCTGCCACACTGCCCAGCCAGGCAGGCACCTGGTGCAGGACTCAGCAGACATGCCCCTCTGGACTGTGGGCCTTTAAGTGGCCCGGAGGCACTGGAGAAAAGCACATGACTAGAGACACCTGCAGAAAACTTCCAGGGGCCCAGAGAACCCAGCACTTCACTGAGCAAAACGCATCTTCCTCGTTCAGACCAGCCCCTCCTGGCACTCCACTGGACCACGCCTGTCTCCCTGGGAAAGAGGCTGGGAATGGGCAGTGGGTTGAAGGAGAGAGGGAGGAAGAAAGGGCATTGGAGAAATCTCTCCTGCCCAGTTGCTCCAGATCTCTGCCAGAAACCCAGGAAGAAAGGCTGACTCTTGGTCTTTGGGGATTTGGCCAAAGTCTGGCCTTTCAACTTTTCTATTTCTGTCCTCCTCTCCACAGCATCTCCAGATCTTTACTCTCCTCCTTCCTTTTCCCCTCTTCCCTCTCTCTCTACACACACACACTCTCACATACACAATCTCTCACACACACACACTCTCACACACTCACACATACACACACAAGTACTTACACACACACACACACACACACACACACACTCACATCTCCATAATCCTGTCCCCTTCTCTTAGGTGCTGCCTCCACATCACCGCTGCTTTACTGCTCCAGCCAAACATCAGTGCCCGAAGAATCCCTCCCCACACTCCATTTGGGAGTTGGGGAGGACACCGCACAGCACCACTTCCAGCTGCTTCCACTGCAAGCCTCGGTCTGTGGACCATCTATCAGAAGACAGAGGTTCCCAGGAGTCATGACAGAAACCCAGGCCCTCAAATGCTCCCTCTCAAACCAGTGTCTGAGACGAATATGTGGGACTCTGGTCAGTCTGGTCAGGCTGGGATGGAAATGGGAAGGCGCCCAGTCCCAGACACCAGACATCAGACACCGAGCTGGGTCCCTCAGACTCTTGCCTGAGAACCCGCATCCAGCCTCCAGGGCCTCTGTCCACCGCTGCCCAGAGTGAAGAGCCCTTCCTATGAGGGTAGCCAGACCGGCTGCACAGGGCGGGCGCTCTTGCTCAAACACTTTCCAGACACTTGTCCTGGATTCTCCTTCTTGTGGACCAAGGGGGCCTTGAAGCTCTCAGCGGCTCCCAAAGTTGGACCCCCGCAGAGCAGGAGGACATGTCATCAGCAGAGAACACACAGCCTCGCCAAGCTTCCCTGGCTCAGAGCCCTCCAACCAAGGAAAGAACTCAATGGCCTAGCACTGCAATCAACTCACAAACATTTCTGTGCCCGACCCCAGCCCCACCTCCTGCTCCCAACAGAACATGCACAAAAAACAAACGCAAGATTGGACATGCCCAAGTGAACAGGCCGGTCGCAGCAGGAGGCACCAGTAACCACTGGTAACCATCCCAGCCATTTTCACCCCACCCCGTGGAAGGGTGCACAGCCATGGAAAATTTCACTCCCTCTCTCATCCACCCTCCCGTGAGGATCGAGAATGCTGCAGAACAGCAGGCGTGACTGAAGCTGCTGACGCAGGCCTTTAAAATGAACTTTCCAAGCAAGGCGCTCCACTTACAAAAGGAAATTGTGGCGTGCACCCTGAAGGGTTAAGAAAGATGTTAGCTTAGGGGAGGACAGAGATTTCAACATCAGAATTCACTTCCCTTTGCTAAGGACACTGACTCAGAGAGAACGGGTCCTGGGTGCTTATTAACATCACAATTAGCAATGGCTCACATGTGCACTGGCCCTTCAGATACAGGACCTTCACATACATTATCCCATTTGAACTGTGTAGAAAGAAGTGAAATGAGCTTGTGGATGCCAAGTGCCACGCAGGAAGCAGGTGCTTTAATGCTAGTTCCCTTTCTCCTGTCACTGCAGCCCAGTGAAGTAGGCAGGAAAGACATCATTATCTCCATTATCTAGGAGAGGAAACAGACCCATGATTCAAGCTAAGTTGGGGAGTTTAGAAATGGCAGCTGGGTCTAGATTCCAGGGCTCGTAACCTCCCATTTGGGGCTTCACCTTAAGCATTTCCATTTTCCTCACATGGTGGAAAGTACACAGGGCTGTGGACAGAGAGCTGGGTTCAAATCCGATTTATTAGCTGTGTGACTTTGGACAAGTTACTTAATCTCTCTGAGTCTCACTTTTAAGATGGAGATAATAAATCCTCCACTTCAGAGGGTTATGGGGAGGATTTTAATGTGCAGAAACAAAGTAAGCATCAAGTGTCATTTCCCTCCCTCCCATCCCTAAGTGACATAATCATGTACCCCTAACTCCTTTCATCTCAATGCCTGAAAAATACATCTACCGGCCAGGCACGGTGGCTCACGCTTGTAATCCCAGCACTATGGGAGGCCGAGGCGGGTGGATCACTTGAGAGGTCAGGAGTTCAAGACCAGCCTGGCCAACATGGTGAAACCCCAACTCTACTAAAAATACAAAAAAAATTAGCCGGGTGTGGTGGCAGATGCCTGTAATCCCAGCTACTTGGGAAGCTGAGGCAGGAGAATCACTTGAACCCAGGAGGCAGAGGTTGCAGTGAGCTGAGATTGCACCACTGCACTCCAGCCTGGGCAACAAGGCGAGAATCCATCTCAAAAAAAAAAAAAAAAAAAAGGCATCTACCAAAATGCTATTGACCCATTGGTAGAAAACTAAAGCTGGGAGGCAATATGCCTGAAAAAAATGGCAAATGAAAGATTCTAACAAAACTACTTGAAACATTTACACTGTTTCATTTTTTTTTTTAAAGATGCAATAATAGGCCAGGCGCGGTGGCTCGTGCCTATAATCCCAGCACTTTGGGAGGCCGAGGCTGGTGGATCACCTGAGATCGGGAGTTCAAGACCAGCCTGACCAACATGGAGAAACCCTGTCTCTACCAAAAATACAAAATGAGCCAGGCCTGGTGGCACATGCCTGTAATCCCAGCTACTTGGGAGGGTGAGGCAGAAGAATCACTTGAACCCAGGAGGCGGAGGTTGCAGTGAGCCGAGATCACGCCATTGCACTCCAGCCTGGGCAACAAGAGCGAAACTCCATCTCAAAAAAACAACAAAAAAGAAGCAATAACAGTAATATATACTTATTGTAAAATATATTCCAACATCATAAAAATGCATAAAAGTAAAAATTATTAATTCTTCCCCCAGTCTCCCCAGAGATATCCCTGCTTTATGTACAAGGACTTTAGAGCTCTATGTACTAGGACTATCTTCCTCCCTAAACAAACACTCATACATAAAGAGATGGATGGTTCTTTTTGTTTTACAAAAATGGAATTATATCATAAACACTTTTTTCTTTAAAAACCTACTTCCCGCTTCCTATTTCCTGCAGACACTCTCTAAGACTCAAACTAGCAAAGCCGTACTAAAGACTTCCTCAGGACCCCTCCCGGTCCGATGACAGGGCACAGTCGGGGCCATGTAGACACCTGCATTTGACTTCTGGCTCTGCCATCCTGTGGGCACCTCAGTCTTCCCATCTGTCAAGTGGGTGCGTTCCTATGACTTTGACCTATAAAGGCCTCTCTAATTGGCACAGCGCGTTTACCTGTTGGTCCTTACAGCATCCTGTCTGCAGAAGCAGAGCAGGTACCATCACTTCCAACACCCTGGGCAAGAATGAGTGGCCAGGAGGTTCCTCAACTGGCCAGGGCGACATACTTGCAGAGACTGGGGTGGACAGCAAGCTCCCTGATTCCTGGTCCTGTGCTCTATCCTCTCAGTCCAGGGAGAGCCAGGGCCAGGGGCTTCCTGGAGAGGGAGATGCGGTACTACAGGGGCTATCACCGCCACAGCTCCAGCCACCCAAGAACAGCATGGCTGCCTGGCCTTGCCAAAAGCACGCCACTCCAGTGTGACCTCCAGGAGGCCTCTTCTCCCCTCCAGCTGGGATCAGAGCCACAACAAGCTGTCCGATCTGCTCCTTCCCCTTTCACACAGTCTGGGAAGGAAGTTCAACAGCCATAGCAAGCTGAGAGCCTGGGCCCGCACCGTGGTCTGTGCCCGCCCAGCAGCCCCGGACTCCTCTTCCTGACTGCACATGGCTTCTGCGGCTGCCCAGCCCCACCTCAGTAGTGTGGGTGGCAGCCGGGAACCTAGTTTCTGTCCTGCTCTCGGCAGCCGGTCTCTGAGCAGGGAGGGAAATGGCCACGAGGGGAGGCAGCCCTGATCTAGTGGGGTCCCTAAAGCAACCACTAACCCCCAGCACCCTGATGGTGGCTCATCACCTCAAAGGTCCTTCCTCGCAAGCCCCGTCCAGTCTGCCTCCTGGGCCTCTCCGTCCCCAGCTCCTTCTTCCTCCCAAAGCTCACCTCCCAACTCACCTTCTCAGGAGCACATGCCATGATCCGCCCCACCCCACACCGTCCACTCCTCTCCTCAGCATCCCCTCGGCCTTAGGTGTTCACTATGTAGGAGTCGATCTGCCTGGGAGACACTTCGTGGTGTGTGTCTTTCCTGGGCGTTGCAGGGACACATGCATGGTCCACACCGCCAGCTAGACCGTGAGTGCCAGGGGTACAGGAGCCATGCCCTCTGGGCCCTTTGTGTGCCCAGGAGCCCTAGGAGGCACCACGTGGTGGCTCCTGGGCCAGGTTGGGTGGCTCCTGTGCTGGGCGGGAGGCCTCCAGTAATGACTAGCCTAGGGAGGTCTCAGAGGGTTTGCTGGCTCAGATAAGGCCCGGAGACTTCCCCGAATGGCCCAGCCCTTCTCCCCCGGCAGCGGCCTCTCACTTTAAGGTACAGAGTTCCAGGCACTTCTAACCCCTGCCTTCCCCTCAGCACTTCACCACTGCATGGCTGAGGCCCAGAGGGACAGAGGGGCCTAAAGATAATCGGGATTCCCACTCCCATATTCAAGCTGAGTCACCTGCAAGCTACCAGAGGAACTGTGTCTGGGATAATCAATTCCACCGCAGGGCTCCTCAGTGACAGGTCTGTGTGAGATCATCACCAAAGCCAAAACCATCCCTCAGGCACTCAAAAACCCCATCCTGGGGACACAGCCTTGCCCGGTCTCTTCTTCCAGGTTCATATGTGTCTCTCAGCATGTGTAAACTGTTGGTTCTGTTTCAATGAACTCTGTTTACGCACAACAAATCATGAGGAAAATGGGATCCCCATTTTTTTCTTTTTTGAGACAGAGTCTCGCTTTGTCACCAGGCTGGAGAGTACAGTGGCGCAATCTCAGCTCACTGCAAACTCCACCTCCCGGGTTCAAGCGATTCTCCTGCCTCAACCTCCTGAGTAGCTGGGACTACAGGCGCACACCACCATGTCCAGCTAATTTTTGTATTTTTAGTAGAGACACGGTTTCACCATGTTGGCCAGGATGGTCTTGATCTCTTGACCTTGTGATCTGCCCACCTCGGCCTCCCAAAGTGCTGGGATTACAGGCGTGAGCCACTGCGCCCAGCCAGGATCCCCATTCTTGATGAAGAAACTGACGTTCTAGCAACGTGAATGTGGACAGGGCCCACGCTGGGTGCTCTAAGCTCCTCCATCCAAATCTGCACAATGTGTAAGGTAGCTGTTATGAACCCCACATGAGGCAGGTGGAACCTAGGGCTGTGCAGTTAAGCCAAATGCCCCAGGCCCCCAGCAAGCAGAGCGGCACTCCAACTTCAGCTCCCCTTCCCTTGGCCCCCTCTTCCTAGGAGAACCTGAGTAGGGCCTGGAGGTTCTAAAGGGAGCTTCCTGACTGGTAAAAGTGGCCAAGTCCTTGCCCAGAAAGAGAACAAGGCTGTCACACTGAACTAGCTAAAAATAAAGCAGGCCCCCATTCCCTCGGGGAGAACAGAACAGCCCTGGAATGTGGCAGGGCAGGCACAACAGGCTTACTTCTCAGCCTCCTGGTGGATGGCTTAGCAAACAGCCAGCCTCTGGACCTCCAGTCTCACAATTCCCACTGTCCCAGCACCTCCCGACAACAGGGAGAAAAGGATCTGAGTGCAGACAGGTTTACTTTCACTGTGAGACAACCAAATCCCAATGCTGTGGCTTGGAGATACTGCAGTGGTGGGACTGGACTGAGCTAGAAATCGAAAGACCTCAGGCCTCGGCCATGGGCACTGCCTCCCTCTATGACCCTGAGCAAGTCACTTCGATCTCTTGTGTATTTCCATCAGTAAAACAGCAATCATGAAATCTGCCTTCTGGCCTCACATACCATACACAGGAGCTCCATGACACTTTAGAGTCCTCAGAACATGGCATTTCAGCAGCCCATGGTGTCATTTTCATCTGTCCATTTGGCCAGGGCACACAGACATGCAGATGGTCCAGGAGCTCTCACACAATCCAAGGCAAAGGCAGAATGGCACTCAGGACCCCTGCCCAGGCTCAGGGCTCTGTTGTCTGCCTACTCTGTTAGCCAGGAAGCTGCCGTCCTCCACTTGGCTACTCAAGGTGTCTACAGGTGTGAGCTGGGTGAGTGACAATGATAACACCTGGCATTTGTACAGTTGTGTACACTTTCCAAGTATTTCCTCGTCCATTCTCTCATTTGAAAAGTGGGGGCAGAGAACAAGGCAGGAATCATTTACCTTATCTGACAGATGAAACAGAGGCCAGGCCAGGTACAATGGCTGACACCTGTAATCCCAGCACTTTGGGAGGCTGAGGTGGGTGGATCACTTGGCCAGTTCAAGACCAGCCTGGCCAACATGGCAAAACCCGTCTCTACTAAAACTATAAAAAAAAGTTAGCTGGGTGTGGTGCGGCGCTCCTGTAATCCCAGCTACTAGAGAGGCTGAGGCATGAGAACCGCTTGAACCAGGGAGGCAGAGGTTGCGGTGAGTCAAGATTGCGCCAGTGCACTCCAGCCTGGATGACAGAGCAAGAGTCTGTCTCAAAAAAAGAAAAAAAGAAAGAAAGAAAGAAAGAAAGAAAATGAGGCCTAGGGAACTTGATGGTCACCTCACAATACTGCTCAAGCTGGATGGGTCCTTTCGAGATAATGGATTCCAGATGAGGAAACTGTGGCTTACACATGAGGAAACTGAGGCCCAAGGATGCCCAGAAACCCACTGCTTTAAATGCAGAGTGCAAACTCCTGAGCCATGGAATTTACCATCTAGCAGAGCACTGTCCAACAGGAAGATAATATGAGCCACATATGCAATTTTAAGTTTCCTACTAGCCACATTTAAAAAGAACAGATGAAATTAATTTTGTTTTTTAGATAATCTCACTCTGTCACCCAGAATGGAGTGCAGTGGTGCAATCAAGGCTCATTGCAGCCTCAAACAATCAAAGCAATCCTTCTGCCTCAGACTCCCAAATGAAATAATGTATTTTATTTAACCCAGTATATCCAAAATGTTGTTTCTATGTCTAATCAATATCAGAAAAAAAATTTTTTTTTTTTTGAGACAAGGTCTTGGCTCCATCACCTAGGCTGGAGTGCAGTGCACTCCAATCATGGCTCACTGCAGCCTTGACCTCCTGGGCTCAAGCAATCCTCTCACCTCAGACTCCCAAGTGGCTGGGACCATAGATGTGTGCCACCATGCCCAGCTGACGTTTTTAATTATTTGCAGAGATGAGGTCTCGCTATATTGCCCTGGCTGATCTCAAGCTCCTGGGCTCAAGTGATCCTCTGGCCTCAGCCTTCTAAAGTGCCAGGATTACAGGTGTGAGCCACCATGCCCAGCCAATATTAGAAAACTATTAACGGGCTATTTCATATTCTTTGTGTCACATGAAATTTTTGAAAACCTGTGTGGAGTTTATATGCCACAGCACATCTCAAATCAGACTTGCTACATTTTAAGAGCTCAACAGCCACCTATGGCTGGCGCCTACTATTCTGGACACACAGCCCCAGCATTTCTGACATATCTCCATTATCAGAGCCTTGGGTGACAGTTTCTATGAAGAAGGCCGCTGAAATGTAGAACACGCAGTAGCTGAAAAGAAATATCCTTCCTTCCCATCTTAGGTTTATGGCTGAGGCCCCTATAACAAAAGACAGAGTAACAAGAACAATGTATACAAATTAATCTAAGTTTTTAGGTGACGCAGAAGCCTTCATAAGGAAATGAAGGTCCAAAGAAACAGGTAACTCTGGCCCGGCGTGGCGGCTCATGCCTGTGATCCCAGCACTTTGGGAGGCCGAGGCGGGCAGATCACTTGAGGCCAGGAGTTCGAGACCAGTCTAGTCAACATGGTGAAACCCCATCTCTACCAAAAATACAAAAATTAGCCAGGTATGGTGGCGCATGCCTGTAATCCCAGCTACTCAGGAGACCGAGGTGGGAGAATTGCTTGAACCAGGAAGGTGGAGGCTGCAGTGAGCCGAGACTGCACCACTGCACTCCAGCCTGGGCGACACAGCGAGAACTGTCTCAAAAAAAAAAAAAGAAAAAAAGAAAAGAAACAGGTAAGTCTGCATATTTCCCTATGTCAGGTTTGATGAAGAAGTGGATGATCGTGAAGAAGTGTGACTGGAGAAAGGGGATATGATCTAATAGTGATAAACTGAAGAGAACTTGGCAGGCCCTGTTTGTTCTTCTCTGTGTCCCTGTATCTCCAGAGATAAGGATGTCCCTTTCTTCTGGGTATAAGGTAGACACCTTCTTGAATGAGAGTCTGCATCAGGGAAGAAGGGAGGGGAAAGGTGAGAGACCTTCCTGCTTCTGCTGTTTTCTCAAATGCCATATTACTATTTGGGGATAGTATGTCCTGAACCCCATCAATGGCTTTGGAGTCTGGAGCCCTGGACCACCGTTCTGGTTCTGCAGGTACTGCAAGAATTGCCCACTGGCGTTAGGGAGGTCTGTGTACCCATCCTAGCTCTTCTGCTTTCTGGCCACCGAGATCACATGAATTCCACTTCCTGGGACTCACCTGCCCCATATGTAAGATGCAGGAAGAAATTCCTACATCCAAGCTTGATGGAAAGATCCAACTAAAGTAAGCATCTGATTAAATCAAGTATTTTATAAATGAAACAGAACTTTGTAAAGGTGAGGTGGTGTCTTTATCACAGCAGTAGCCTGGGTCTCCTACTTCACTCACCACACCCACCCAGACAGGGTCCTAGAAGGCACCAGGAGACATCAGGGACATGAGGTCTGGGTGAATAACATGGCTGAAGACAAGCCCCATGTGTCAATCAATTGATGGAATCGACAGCTGCTTACAGTACCCCCAGGCAGAGGCCAGGAGTGGGCATCGCAAGGAGCATTGAGGGGGTTTTCATGCAGGTTAAGCATTGCCCTCCTGGGGGGTCCTCTTTTAAATGCAGACAAGAATGGGAGAGGGAGACAAATGAAAAGGGAGATTTGAAAAACAGGGCAAATTCCTAACATTTCACTGTTAATGACCTTATCGGATCCATTTCCTTCCCAAGTGGAAGGGGCTCATCAACACTAAGCAAATGGGGCTGGGGGTGAGGCAGCAGGCACAGGCAGGAGACACCATGCTGGTGCTGGGGAGGGGCAGGAGATGGGGGGCAGGGAACCTGGAGGATCCCAAGCCAATTCCACCCCTCTCCCACCCCAGTCTTTCCCTCCTTGCATCTGTTTCCCTAAACTGCACAATGAGAGTTGGGTGTAATGGTGGAAAGAACATGGATTTCTGAATCAGGGGACCAGCAGTAGTGTTCCTATCCCTGTCATTCATGAGTTGTGTGGTCATCAGAAAGTCAATTCACCACCTGGGGGGCCTTCGTTTGCTCATTTCTGAATGGAGTTGATGCCTTCCTCCTTAAATCGATTAAAAGCAGGGGTTTTCCAAGAAATTCCATTCCTACATATACACCCAACAGACATGAAAGCATGTCTGGCCGGGCGCGGTGGCTCACGCCTGTAATCCCAGCACTTTGGGAGGCTAAGGTGGGTGGATCACAAGGTCAAGAAATCAAGAACATCCTGGCCAACATGGTGAAACTCCGTCTCTACTGAAAATACAAAAATTAGCTGGGCATGGTGGCATGCGCCTATAGTCCCAGCTACTTGGGAGGCTGAGGCAGGAGAATCACTTGAACCCGGGAGGCAGAGGTTGCACTGAGCCAAGATTGCACCACTGCACTCCAGCCTGGTGACAGAGCAAGACTCCATCTGAAAAAAAAAAAAGAAGAAGAAAGAAAGAAAGCATGTCTATACAAAAAAAAATTCACACACAAATGTTCAGAGCAGCATTATTCATAACAGCCGAAAAGAGTGGAAGCAGTCCAAATGCCCATCAACTGACAAATGGAAAAACAAAATGTAGTAGATAAATACAATGGAATAGCATTCAGCAATAAAAAGGAATGAAGTGCTAACACATGCTACTACATGGATGAACCTTGAAGACATTATGCTAAATAAAAGAGGCTAGACACAAAAAGCCTCATTTTATATTATTCCATTTATATGAAATGTCCATAAGAGGCAAATCCATTTAAAAAAAAAGAAAAAAAAAGGTAGATAGTGGTTGCCAGAAGCTAGGTGGAGGAAGAAATGGGAAGTGACTGCTAACGGGTAGTTTTTTTCGGAGGGTGATGAAAATATTCTGGAATTAGATGGTGATGGTGCTCGGACAACCTTGTAAATCTATTAGAAACCACTGAATTGTACACTGTACAATGATGCGTTTCATGGTAGGTGAATTATAACTCAATTGAGAAAATAATAAAAGCAGGAGCTCTGCCATCAGCCTTGATGAGGCTGAATGCTGGCTCTATCGTTCACTATCTGGGCCTCACCGTCTGAAATCACACCCACCTCACAAGGGCGTTGTGGGGATGAACTAAGCAAAGGCTCACGATGCCTTTAGCACAGTACATGGCAATGAATACAACAATGAATGTTGGCTTTGGTTCATATGAGTACTAGAAATGATTAAATAAGACCCCTGCTAAGAAAAAGAAAAGCCGGGCGCCTAGTAGGCACTGAATGCCCCCTTCCCTGTAAGGCACCCTCGAGGTCTCCGAGTCTGGAGCCTGTAATCAGGCATAGACTCAAGATGAACATGAGCCGACATTTTCTGCCTCGCACAGGGACAGCTCAGCTTCTGTGTGCAAAGGGCTGAGCCGCCGACTTCACGGTTCAGTTTTCCCTGCCACGTGGGTACAGCCACCCTCTCCTTTTACGGAAGACGGTCTGAGAGGCTGCTGGCTTGAGTTTTCTCTGAGCAGAGCTGGGCACATTTACGCAACAGATAAGCCTGCCCTACCCGGGTCGGATCCACCCGGGAAGAGAGAAAGTGTGTGCAAGTGAAAGCTCACAAATGTGTGTTTCAACTCCCAGAAAAGCTTAACGGAGTCAGCCCACAGCACCAGGGGCCATGGAGAGCCATCCTAAGCCTTTCCCTGCATCAACTATCCCTCCCCAGTGCAGATATCTCAGCAGCAGCAGTCCATGGAGCTGTCAACTTCAGTCCGTGGGACTCTGAAGCAAGGACTCTGATAAGGTAACTCAGGAAATGGGCTAATTTTAAACACAGCTCGAATACTGTGATGTGAATGGAAACAACTGAGGAAGGAAACAGACTAAAACTCATCTATTACAAATTTGCAAAGGTTTGACCATAACAAGGGTTGGTGTGGAACAAAGGCAACCTGCACATACTTCCGATGGGAGTGTGAACTGGCATGACCACGGATGGCAACTTGGCAGAATCTCGTATATGGGAAAACGCACACATCTCTCCGCCTGGTGATCTCAGCCCTAGGTACACAGCTTAGAGCCTAGAGAAACTTGTGCATGCGCTGAATGAGTTGTTCTAGAGAAAGTTCACCAAGGCATTGTTTGTCACTTGAAACATTAGAAACACAAATGCCTATCAAAAGCAGAATAGATGAATTAACTAGGGAGCTTTTATACTCTGTAAGAAACCAGAGCAGTTTAATGAAACAGTTACGTAGATCAACATTTTTAAAATCTCAAAAATACAATGTTGAGCTAAAAGAAAGTAAATGGCGGAAGGATACATACAGTATAGCACCATTTATAAGAGTTTAAAACTGGCTGAGTGTGGGGGCTCAGGCCTATAATCCCAGAACTTTGGAAAGAGGCCTAGGCAGGTGGATCACTTGAGGTCAGGATTTTGAGACCAGCCTGACCAACATGGTGAAACCCCGTCTCTACTAAAAATACAAAAAAATTAGCCAGGTATGATCTCAGCTACTCAGGAGGCTGAGGCAGGAGGATTGCTTGAACCCAGGAGGCAGAGGTTGCTGTGAGCTGAGACCGTGCCACTGCACTCCAGCCTGGGCAACAAAATGAGATTCCATCTCAAAAAAAAAAAAAAAAAAAAAAGTTTAAAACCACACAAAGCAATACCATATATTGCTTAAACACATAGTCAGTATAGCACCATTTACAAAAGATCAAAACCATATATCTATAAAGCAATACCATATACTGTTTATAGACATATGCATATGTAATAAAAGCGTAAAAACATGCATGAAAAGATAAACACCAAATTCAGGACAGAGGTCACCTCCGAAGGGAGAAGCAGCAAACTATCTCAGAGATGGCATAGAAAGGGCTTCAACTGTGTCTGTAATGTAATTGTAATTGTGTCTATAACTTCTCAAGCTGAGTAGCAGACTCAGAGGTGTTTATGTGAACCTCAATCTTCTTTTATGTGCCTCAAATATTTCATAATAAAAAATTAACTCAAATGTATTGATTTGTGAGGGGACAGTATTAAAATACAGGTTCCAAGGTAAAACATTAAAATCAACAAGGACAGGTTTTTCTCCTAAAAGAAGGAAACAGAGGAAGCAAGAAGAGCCCTCTGAATCCTATTCCTGATTTTCTTTCGACCTTAGAAAAATGTTTTATCTCCTCTGGATGGGCCTTCAGTCTCTGTTTCTAAATGGGGAATAAATTGCTTGCCTTCTGTCTGCAACACACAAGGCAGGCAGCAGGATGCCCTGGGGAGGGAGCCGTGCTGGGAAGCCCGGGAATAATACTTCCTGTACTGACAACCTCGCTGAGGCTTTTGAAAGAGCATATGAAAGCATACACACACCTACACATATGTTAGTATAGTTGTGTGCAGAAACATTTATAGTGTAATCTCAATTACATATATATATAATTCATACCCGACATGACACTCACGAAGTGTTCCAGGATGCCCAGAGACAAAAAGCCATTAAAAAAAAAAAAAGCGGCCAGGCGCGGTGGCTCACGTCTGTAATCCCAACACTTTGGGAGGCCGAGGCGGGTGAATCACGAGGTCAGGAATTCAAGACCAGCCTGGCCAACACGGTGAAACCCCGTCTCTACAAAAAATACAAAAAATTAGCTGGGTGTAGTGGCAGGCACCTGTAATCCCAGCTACTAGGGAGGCTGAGGCAGAAGAATCGCTTGAACCTGGCAGGCAGAGGTTGCAGGGAGGTGAGATCGTGCTACTGTACTACAACCCAGGCGACAGAGTAAGACTCTGTCTCAAAAAAAAAAAATGCAGTCCAGAGGCAGTAGCTGGCACCCGTAATCCCAGCATTTCGGGAGGCCAAGGCGGGCAGATCACTTGCGGTCAGGAGTTTGAAACCAGCCTGGCCAACATGGTGAAACCCAGTCTCTATTTAAAATACAAAAATTAGCCGGGCATGGTGGCAGGCGACTGTAATCCCAGCTACTGGGGGGCAGGGGGGGGCACTGAGGCAGAAGTATCACTTGAACCCGCGAGATGGAGGTTTCAGTGAGCTGAGATCACACCACTGCACTCCAACCCAGGATACAGAGTGAGACCCCATCTCAAAAAAAAAAAAAAAAATGCAGGCCAGGAGCATTGGCTGGTGCCTGTAATCCCAGCTACTCAGGAGGCTGAGGCAGGAGAATCGCTTGAACCCAGGAGACAGAGGTTGCAATGAGCCGAGATCACATCACTGCATTCCAGCCTGGGCAACAGAGCAGAACTCCATCTCAAAAAAAAAGAATAAGAAAATACATGGCCGGGTGTGGTGGCTCACACCTGTAATCCCAGCACTTTGGGAGGTCGAGGCAGGCGGATCACAAGATCAGGAGATCGAGACCATCCTGGCTAATACAGTGAAACCCCGTCTCTCCTAAAAATACAAAAAATTAGACGGGAGTGGTGGCAGGCGCCTGTAGTCCCAGCTACTCAGGAGGCTGAGGCAGGAGAATGGCGAGAACCCAGGAGGCGGAGCTTGCAGTGAGCTGAGATCGTGCCACTGCACTCCAGCCTGGGCAACAGAGCGAAGACTCCATCTCAAAAAAAAAAAAAAAAAAAAAAAATACACATTTTTGTGACAATTAATTTTGACTCCACCTTACAAAGTTTCTAAGTATAATATCCCTGATGTGTACTGTTTACCAGAAGTCAATGTTATTTCCAGAAATCAAGACCAATCAAACTGTAAAATTTTTACCTATTTTTCTTTAAGATCAAATACAATGAACACAACCCAGTGTATATTAAGTGGTTGCAAAAGATCCCGTTGTTAAGGTTTATTAGGCCAGAAGGCAGTGGGCACCTGTCCTGCTACTCCAAACAGACTAACACATCCCCAGAACTGGGGATGGGAGCAGCTTCCTGAAGCACTTAAGGAGCTAACATCTGCAGCCTAGCTGTAAGCAGTTCCTAGCCTAGGGATTTCCCACCCAAGGTATGACCACACCATGCTGTGGGCCCTCATAGCCCATATGCTTTGCACATATAACACAGCAAATACTTCATTTTTTTTTAATTATTATTTTTGTTTAGATGGAGTCTCGTTCTGTCACCCAGACTGGAGTGTCAGCTCACTGCAACCTCCGCCTCCCAGGTTCAAGTGATTCTTCTGCCTCAGCCTCCCGAGAAGCTGGGACTACAGGCATGAGCCACCACATCTGGCACCTTTTTTGTATTTTTAGTAGAGACGGGGTTTCACCATGTTGGTCAGGCTGGTCTCGACCTCCTGACCTCAAATGATCAGCCTGCCTTGGCCTCCCAAAGTGCTGGGATTATAGGCATGAGCCACCACGCCCGGCCAGCAAATATTTTATGCTCCATGAGAACTGGGACCGTTTCTGCCTTGTTTATAGTTGTCACCCCAGCCTAGCACAGTCCTCTGCACATAATAAAAAAATCAAACATTTTTTAAAGAAATGATTGAGCTCCTGTGATCAGATTTGATCTTCAGGGTTTTCAAATCAATAAGCATACTTAGGGAGGCCAAGGCGGGAGGACTGCCTGAGCCCAGGAGTTCAAGACCAGCCTGGGCAATATGGTGAGACCCTGTCTCTATAAAAAAATAAAAACAAATCCATAAGCAGGTGCCAGCAGTCTGACCACAACTGATTCCTGGATGCAGAGGTATACAGCTCCCTGTCTTTATCCATGTCTTCCCTGGACCTTCTCAGGCATGCTCAGAGGTGATTCCAGTGGCTAAATCTGTCTGCCAGGAATCCCTGACTGCAGACACACACAGACAGTCCCAGTCATGCCAAATCAGTCTTGTAAGGGGAAAGCTGCCTATGTCTTCTCCGGAGAACAGTAGGAGCGTGGGAGCATGGCACAGCTTGGCCAGATGTGAAAGCACCTCACAGACACCCTGCCTGCCAGTTTATTCCTTCATGACATTCCCAAACTATCCAACCAGATAAAGTGATGGGGCTTCTCTTGGGAGAAACCCTAGGAGTATCTAAGGTAGGAAAGGCAGGGATTATAAAGTCAAGATTCACCAAGAAGCTCTCACTGAATATTTGTACAACATCAGAATTGAGAGGTTATGAGACACTTCTCATAATTTTCTTTCTTCTTTTTTTTTTTTTTTTTTTGAGACAGAGTCTCGCTCTATCATCCAGCCTGGAGTACGGTAACACAATCATAGCATCACAGCTCACTGTTTTGGGATCAATCTTTTGGGCTCAATGAGCCTCCTGAGTAGCTGTGACTACAGGTGTGTGCATGCCACCAAAGCAGGCTAAAAAAAATTTTTTTTTAAGATGAGGTTTAATTTTGTTGCCCAGGCTGACTTTTCATAATTTTTTCTTTTTTTTCTTTGCCACTGCAAGAACCCACAGATTTTTCATAATTTTCTTTTTTTTTTTTTTGAGACAGAGTTTCGCTCTGTTGCCCAGGCTGGAGTGCAGTGGCATGATCCTGGCTCATGCAACCTCCGCCTCCCCGGTTCAAGCAATTCTCCTGCCTCAGCCTCCCGAGTAGCTGGGACTTCAGGTGCATGCTACCACGTCCAGCTAATTTTTGTATTTTTAGTAGAGACGGGATTTCACCATATTGGTCAGGCTGGTCTTGAACTCCTGACTTCGTGATTCACCTGCCTCAGCCTCCCAAAGTGCTGGGATTACAGGCATGAGCCACTGTGCCCAGCCAGATTTTTCACAATTTTCTAACTATCACCTCTCTCACCCCTGAGCAATAATGAATGGGCATTTTTTTTTTTTTTTGAGACGGAGTTTCGCTCTCGTTGCCTAGGCTGGAGTGCAATGGCGTGATCTCGGCTCACCGCAACCTCTGCCTTCCAGGTTCAAGTGATTCTCCGGCCTCAGCCTCCCAAGTAGCTGGGATTACAGGCATGCGCCACCACACCCAGCTAATTTTGTATTTTTAGTAGAGACGGGGTTTCTCCATGTTGGTCAGGCTGGTCTCGAACTCCCGACCTCAGGTGATCCACCCGCCTCAGCCTCCCAAAGTGCTGAGATTACAGGTGTGAGCCACTACATCGGCCTTTTATTTATTTATTTATTTTTAATGCTTGCTTTTGCAGCTGGAACACATAGGCTCTAAGGAATGTACCTTGGGCAACCCTTTAATTGCTAAGCCTACTCTCCCCTGTCTTCCTGGGTCAAGTACTCAAGGACTCCTGAGTTCGGCCATTGGACAAATCACACTCTCTTCAACAGCACCCATTAACCAATTTATGCAGATGCCGTCTGGATAATGGGGTTCCAAACTGGGAAGTCAGACACCTGAACTGTTTCAACCCAGGATATATTTTTATGGAGTTGAATTATTGATGTGCCTCAAGGCAATGAGGAAAGAAATGACACCCTTTTCATGATCACCTACTAGTGGAAATCACTTAGCGTTATGGGGATCTCGCCCAGAGAAAATCCACTGGCATTTGCTCACCATTCTGACAAGCCTGGAGGAAAGGAAGTCTAATCTTTCTTTAGAAGCCAAGTTCTGACCTTCCTGGACCCATCTTCCCTTTCTAAACAAACAGAGCACTATGCAATCCTTCACCCTGCTCCAAGCTCCTAATGGCTAAACCGAGTGGAAGAAGCTGGCGAGATGAGATGCGTGTTTAAAGTTACTTAGAGGTCAAAGAACCCAGCCTCTAGCTGCAGAACTGGCAGATGTCTGGGATTCTGATGAATGGAATCCTTCACAAGCACACATATGCCTCCCTTTCCTCCTACAGGCACTAGAAGAGTGAAAGGAATATATGTGTTTTGTGCTTAGCTCAGCCTAATGCCAGTACACCCTCTTCAACAGCACCCATTAACCAATTTATGCAGATGCCGTCTGGATAATGGGGTTCCAAGCTGGGAAGTCAGACACCTGAACTGTTTCAACCCAGGATATATTTTTATGGAGTTGAATTATTGATGTGCCTCATAGGCAATGAAGAAAGAAATGACACCATTTTCATGATCACGTTTGGATTCTAAGCAATCCCAAAAACTTCCCCGGCATGGTCCCCAGCTTCCCTTCTCCTACCTCTGGCTCTGAGGGCAAGAAGATAGATGAGAGTTACTGAGGGATGCCAGGTCTGTCTCCAGAGCCCCGGAGGCTGCCTACAGCTGGAGGGCTGAATCATCATGGCTGCCCACGCTGGGGGGGAACCATCCTCAGCAGGTCCCTGCTGGGAGGCAGGCAGAGTCCAGCCCCACAGGAAGAACAGGGGGTCCCGCACCTTCACCTAGCCTTTCCTATGGTGAGTGGTACGTGGAAAGAGCTGGTCTCTAAGAAATCCTGGGCCCCAGAAGAGCAGATGTGGTCCCCAGCATCTGCACACTTGGGCAAAACTGAGTAGGTCACTGGAGCAAGTACCCACTATGTCACTGTCCTTAGAAGGCCCAGGCTGGAGTGCGGTGGCGCAATCATAGCCAGGACCACACCCACAGATGGCTGTGCCACACAGTCCACTATGCAAAATGAGTGGACCCCCTGGCAGGAATCCACGTACTCCCCTATAGAAAGCAGCATAGGAAGTCCGTGGTGAAATGCAAGCAAACATCTTGTTTTTAAGAATCTCCTTGACAAATAATATCTGGTGGAAACCTTGGCCTTAAGACCTTCCTCCAGCAAGGTTCTCGGGGAAGAGAAGGGAAGAACATCAGAATCCCAAACTCGGAGTGAGGAGGGATGGAAGGGTCAACTGAATCACACACTCAGGTACCTACGGGGGCCTAGGAGATAGACTGTGCATCCATAGATGTGAATTGAGCCACCCACAGGAGTGGAGAGCTCTGGGCCCACCCTAGACACTGTATGTCTGAGAAAACATGTCCCACTGAATGGAGTCCAAACCTCAGCCCAGCTCAGCTGCTGGAGGCCACCGGCAGCCAACAGCCAGCAGTCTGTTGTGGGTGGTGGTGGGTGTGGACACTGGAGGTTTACAAGGTCACCCAGGCACCCCCCAGCCCAGCAGCCCACTGTCTTGAGCTATAAAGGACACCACGTGCAGGAGGACAGTGAACTCTTGGCTTCAGGAGGCCTGTTCTGGGCACTTCTTGCCATGCCGGGAGAACTGTCTCCCTGGTCCAATGGGAAGAACATCAGTGATGCACAACACCACTAGAGAAAACTCATGAAATGCACACACCCGCACGCACAGCTCCCAGGTCAGTGGCCAGAGGGAAGCTCCAGGGTGCTCCATAGGAGCAAGTGTTTCGAGTGCCACGGTTTGACAACCCCAGAGTGCTTAAAGCCATAAAGAGCAATGGCAGATGGCATTCCCAAGCCTATCTCCTACCTACCTCACTCCCGGTCCCCACCCACCATGGGATCCAAGATCACGGCAGGGTCCCCAGCGGCTTTGTCTCTCAGTACCCACTCCCTCCTGGAAGCTGACCTCCAGGAGGACCCTGGTGAAGTTCCTGGGTGGAGGCACTGGGAGACCTGGATCCCCCTGACTGGCTCTGCCTCTAACTCACTGGGTGACCTTGATAAGGTCGCTGCCCTCAGTAGGCCTGTTTCCTATGGTGCCAGATGAGGGAGTCATCTTAGATGCACAGGAAGAGGATGGAACACCCTATGGCTTGCCGGGCAGAAAATCAAGGCCTGTCACTCCTGCCTTTCACCTGTAGAACTCCACCTGTCTGAACGCCAAAGTCAAGATGACTTTGCCAGTCCATCCCAGCTAACCCCAGCAATAACGTCACCACGTTCAGGGTGGGTGGGCCTGGAGCCTGTACCAGACCTGGCACTGATAAAACGGGCGTCTTTCCCTACAGCTTAGGCTGTTTCTTTAAAATATGGTAGCACAGCTGGCAGAAGAGACAAATACACCTTTAAGACCTGCCAGCGGACAGTATTTTACACTAAGATGTCAAAGGCAACAACACCTCAGGACAGGAGGATGCATGCGTCCAAGTGCTAGAACAAGCATGCCACAGGCGTCCACCCAACTCAAATGACCAGTCGCTTATTTGAGCTCCTGTGCTGGCTAGAAATTACAGCTTAAGAGGAATAAAAAATTCCATTCAGACGTGCCGCTCCAGACACGAGGCCTATGAGCAAAGTTTCCGGTGGCCTCGCCGCCCCTCCCCGTTCCGGGAAGCCGGGCGGGTCACCTCGTCCTCAGATTAACGAGCAGCTCAAACAACTGGGAGAGCCCGGCGACAGCTTCTCCGGGGCACCCGACACCCTCCGCCAGGAACCCCAAATATGGGAGGCCTGGCCTCCAGCCAGCACCCCCGCCTGCTGCTCGATCACCTCCCCAGCATCTCCATGATCACACCTCCTCCCACGGCGCTCGGACCCTCCCGAACAGGCCCTGCGGAAGGGCCCACCGGCCACCTCCCCGCACAGCCCGGGGGCCTATCTGACATCCAGGGCCCGTTTCAAGGACACTGCAGCAGGCAGCCCGGTCTCGGGGGTCTTCCGCCCGATTGCCCCCCTCCCAAAAACGCACACACACAGAGACACTGACAATGCCGGTAGAATCGAAGGCGAAGGCTTTCCTTGCGCCCTGCAGTCCAACTCGATGCTGGCCCGGAGAAGGCCGGGCGCCGGAGGATGGAGGCAGCGGAGGCGGCGAGCGGATGCCGGAACGCAAGGCTGCGGCCAGGACCAGCGGCGGCGCGGGCGGGGGCTCACCTTTTTGACCTGGTCATCCTTCAGCTCCGTGAAGTAATAGGCCAGGAGCTGCGCGGCGATCATGCTGGCGGTCGGGGTCGCGGGGCGGCAGGCGTGGGGACGGTCGGTCCTCCGCAGCCCTGGCGAGCCGTGGTCCTCCGGCGGCTGCTCGGCGGCTCCTCCTCCTCCTCCTCCCCCGGCTCCTCCCCCTCGGCCCGGGGCGCGGCGACAGCTCGCGCGCTCCCGGTCTCCGCGCTCCCGTCCCCTGGAGGGTGACAGCCGCCAGCCGACCCACCTCCTCCACGCCCATTGGTTGCGGCGCGCCTCTGCAACGCCCGGCGGTGGCGTCCCGGCCGGGGAGCGGGGACGCGGCGGCCGCTCCCTCCTGCGCCGGAAAGGGGGCGGGCGACGCAGCGAAATCCCCCCCGACCCCGCATCATCCTGCACGTCCCCCACGTAGGGAGCCGATGCGGGCCTTCACGCGTGGCGGCGCCGTGCCCGGGTGGGCCGTGCCAGGCGGGGAGGTGCGAGGCGCAGGCAGGAGGCACCGCCCGGCTCCGCCGGGACGAGAAGCCCCTAGGGCTAGTCTAGGGACTGGCAGCCCCGGGGGCACGAAGGCGGTCCCATTCCTCGGAAATGAGGGCTCGCCCCTAGGAGTCCGGTGGACGCCGAGGTGCCGGAGGGGACTTGCAGAAGTGGGCGTGGAAAGCGGGCGGAAGCGGGAGCCGGGGACGCTACGCAGTCCTCGCACCCGGGTCCCGCGCCTTCCTCACCCAGGCCGAACGCACCGGCCTACCTGGGTCTTCAGCGGCAGTGCATCACCTCTCCCCGGCGTGCCCCGCCTAATCTCCAGCTGGCAGATTTGTATTGCTGAACCCAAAGCGACACCCCAGAGCACCCGCCCCCGAGTCACCAGCTCCGGTGGCTCTCCCTCAGGGCGCACTCCCTCTGGGCGGGACTTGGGCCACAGGTCGTGGCCTGTCCCCATCCTCTGGGCCTCCTCTTGCTCTTGGGCATCCAGGCCCACTGGGACTTGGGGCACGGTTCAGCGCCCCTTCCCAGGTGCCGTGTTTTCTACTTTCCCAGAGGAAGTTACGTAGGATGGGAGGACTCCCTAGAGGTGCTACCAGGACAGCCACTTTAGGATTCTTAGATTAATTATTTCTGTGTTCCGGAAGCCTCCAGGAGCTTTAGTGCCTTACAAAATGACATGTAATGAGCTCAAATATACAAACAAGTTGTTGCTATTCTGGTTAGACAGGTAAGGAAATTGAAGCTCAGTGAGGCCTCAGTCTTGCTGGACTTTATACAGCCAGGAAGTTGTAGATCTAGGATCACAGCTTGGATCTGTGAGTCTTTGAAGCAGGTGCTCACCTCTAGGGTTTGCTGTGGTCCCAGTTGTATAGAGCCCCTCTGCCTAAATAGGTCACTTTCCTGCAACCAAGTCTGCACCATATGGTGCCCTGAGATCCAACCCCCAACCTCTACCCTAGCTCTTGACTTTAGGAGTCCCTAGCCCTTGACCAGGCCTAGCAAAGGTACAGTCAAATCAGAGGGAGGGATGACGTAGGTTCAGGGGCCTGACAGCCACCATCACCCACAGAAAAGGAGGAGCTTAGATGCAGTCCTGAGGCCCCAGCTTCCTGTCCAGGTCACAGTCCCCACCCCCTGCCTTAGGGCCTATGCAGAGGGGCATCTTGAATCACCTCTGAGACTGTGTCTTCATCCATAAGATGAAGACACTAATGCCCACCTCACCTCCCCTTGATTGTTGTGTAATACTGTACGCAAAATACGTGCACATAATACACACTTAAGGAATGGCAGGTATCATAGAACTGACTGAAAAGTTAATGCGGTTAAAGCTTCAGGGACTCTCACTTTCATTCCTACCCTTCTAGGCCCTGGGAGGGCCTAGCAGTGTGATATTTGTATATTTATATTTGAATTATTTTCCATAGAGAGTGCCAATTTATTTAATTTTCAAGCCCAACAAAACCTGGATTTGCCCTGGATCATAATTATAAACCAGGAAGAGAGAGATTTTCTGGTACACATCAAACATTTGGAACTACCTACATGGCCGTTAAGCAAAATGGAGTGAATGAGAACAAGATGGTTGTTCTCAACTGCCATTTCATTTGAGTTCTGCAGATCTGCCAAGCTCACAGGGCTGGAAACTCCTTGAGGATGGAGGACTATGTTTTGCTAATTGCTCTGTCTCCTACACAAGCGCAGGGCCTGGCACTTGGCAGGCTGAATAAGCCTAATGCATAATCAAAAACATGGCCCTTAACCCAGCCACCAGCCGGTGCCATCACCCATGCCCAACCCGTTGTTACAACTCCTATCTGAGCTGGAGCCAGGGAGAAGCTGACGCTTGGAAGAGCCAGGTTACCCTGAAATGTCCTGTTTGCAGGCAGGAAAGCTGCCTCTGCTTTGTCTTCCCTGGCCTTTGAGAGGGAAACTGCTTCTCAAGGTGACTCATTCCTCCCCACTCCATGAATGCAACCAGGCCCCAAGGCCTGTCAATATTTCCTGAGAAATGTCTCTAGGCCTGACCTATTGCCACCTCCCAACTCCCAGTCCATCTCCCTGTGCCAGAAATATTACAAGAGTCTTCTAACTGTCCTCCTCGGCTCCTGGCCTCATGCCATCCAAGTCATTCTGAGCACCAGGTCACATTAATCCTGCTAAAATGCAGCATAATCATGTCATGACCCTTCCCTAAATCCCTTCATGGCCCTCTCCTTCCTGAGAGAGCCAATTTAAACATCTCTGCCTGGTTTCCGAGGCCTTCTGTAATCGACTCCACTCTTTCCCACTTATCTCTTCCTCCACTCTGGCCGCAACAAGGCCACTTCCCACCATCCTCTGCCCCCACCATGTCCACTCCATTTGTTCGCCGCTCATATTCCCTTCCTTGCCCTGCCTTCTCCACTCACCTCTGCCTGACCAAGCATCCCCTCTCATCTAAGGCCCAGCTTGCCAACCTTCCCTGGACCACAGCTACTCACCCCAATCTCCCAGGCCTCAGCACCTCGACAGGGCAAACTCAGGCTGTGCTCACAGTCCATCTGGATATACACCCAGACTCCTCTTTACAGGGCAGGAACCTGGGATGCCACAGGTGGGCCATCTTGCCCAGTGTCAGGTTGTGGTAGAGTTTTGAGCCAGGACTCCAGCCTAGTCCTGATGCCCAGCCAGTGCTCTGTCCATCCCACCCCCAACCCCTCATGCAACCTGGGCCTCAGATAAGTAACACTGAGTCATGACTGCCTAACTGATATGGGTGACTGTCTTCTAGGGGGCTGGTCCTATCTGCCCCAATCAGACAGCTTCCTGAGGCCAGGGCCCATGCTGCACTGCTGTGTCCCCTCTCTGTTGTTCCAGTGCTGACTTCACTAATTTCCTTAATAATTTGCCTCTTTTTGCTCTTGCATAGCTCTTAGATCCCTGCTAAGGCTCCTTGACAGTTACTCCCTGGATCCTCAGGAAGACCCCAACCCACAGGGAGTCCTTAGTTCCCTCCCTCTCCAGATGGCCCTCCACTTCCCTTCAAGTCCCCTGAACTCTCTCTACTCATTTACTGTGGTACCTCCTACACAAGTTGGGGTTGGAGTGACCAGTGCCAGGCTGCCACCCCAGGAAACGCACCTGCTTATAAGACAATAAAGGCTGCCTTCTAAGTTGGAATGTCTGTACCAATTCCCATCTGACCCATGGCACTAGGAATGTTACTTCAGGAGTGATCTCCAACAGATAACAGCTGTACCTCCCGCACCTGGGAGCACACTCTGAATAGCAATGTTTACATAACGTTGACAGTTTGCAGAGCAATTTCTCATTTATTGCTTCATTTCTCCTGATAACAGCCTGGTGAGGTTAGAAGGGCAAATATCATTATCTGCACTTAATCAGTCAATGAGGATGTGAAGGTTATAGAGCTTGGGTGTTTTGGTTTTTTTCTTAAATTGAAATGAGGTCTTGCCATGTTGCCCAGGCTGGTCTCGAACTCCTGGACTCAAGGGATCCTCTTGCCTTGACCTCTAAAACTGCTGGAATTGGCCAGGCGCAGTGGCTCACGCCTGTAATCCCAGCACTTTGGGAGGCTGAGGTGGGAGGATCACGTGGTCAGGAGTTCGAGACCAGCCTGGCCAACATAGTGAAACCCTGTCTCTACTAAAAATACAAAAATTAGCTGGGCATAGTGGCAAGAGCCTGTAGTCCCAGCTACTTGGGAGGCTTAGGCAAGAGAATCGCTTGAACCTGGGAGGTGGAGGTTGTGGTGAGCCAAGATTGTGCCACTGCACTCCAGCCTGGGCGACAGAGTGAGACAGTCTCAGAAAAAAAGAAAGAAAAGAAAAGAGAGAAGAGAAGAGAAAAGAAAAGGAAAGAAGAAAAAGAAAAAAAGAAAAAAATGCTGGGATTATAGACGTGAGCCATTGTGCCCAGCCCTATAGAGTTTGTTAAGGTCTCAAAGAGAGCGAAAAAACGAAAATTAAGACCAGTGCCTAAACCATTGGAGCATCTTAGAACCCTGACACTATGGGACTGTCATGCACAGCCTGTCCTAAAGAGATGCCTCGGAAGAGATCCCAACCTAGCATTTCTATTAGTTGGATCAGTGGTTTCCAACCTGGCTGCACCAAAGCCACCTAGGGAGCTTCTACAAATGCTGATGTCCAAGCCCCACCCAGAGACTGGACTAATGTGAATGCCGTCCAAGTTTCACTTTCTAACAGTTCCCCAGGTGAAACTCAGGTGCTGCCAGGAATGAGGACCACTGATTTAGACCCTAGCTTTCCATGGGAACATCTGGAAGAAATGTCTAAAATGAATTGACCCATAATCCTTTTAGCAGCTTCTGTTGGATGCTGAAGGCAGTTGCTCCAGGGTCTTAGTGGCTCTGCAGATCCTGAGCTCAGTGGGGTGAAGGTTACTGTGACTCCATCAGCGTTGCAGACAGTTCTGCTTCCTGCGGGAGAAGGCTGCTGAGGAGACACTGGCCACCCAGCCCCTGGAGAGGCTGGAGTTGTAAAATCACATTCTCAGTCTGCCTCCTTTTCTCTTTCATTTGCCCAAAGTCCTGACCTCCAATATTATAACAGGGTCAGTAAATCAGCAACCACCAAGCTAAAACTGTGGCCTGTAACATTTTATTTGGCCCACCTGATGTTTTATAAATTTGTGCCTGCCCTTAAAAAAAAATTAAGAAATTTCACTTTAAAATCTAGATTTCAGGCCGGTGCCTCACGCCTGTAATCCCAGCACTTTGGGAGGCTGAGGCAGACGGATCATCTGGTCGGGAGTTCGAGACCAGACTGACCAACATGGAGAAACCCCATCTCTACTAAAAATACAAAATTAGCCAGGCATGGTGGCACATGCCTGTAATCCCAGCTACTCAGCATGGTGGTGTACGCCTGTAATCCCAGCTACTTGGGAGGCTGAGGCAGGAGAATCGCTTGAACCCGGGAGGCAGAGGTTGTGGTGAGCCGAGATTGCGCCATTGCCCTCCAGTCTGGGCCACAAAAGCGAAATTCCGTCTCAAAAAATATGTATAGTAATAAAATAAATAAAATAAAATCTAGATTTCAGGCACCTAAAGGTGACACCACACAGGACCCACTTGATCCTGTGGCAACGTGGTCATCATGGCACTAGCTCCTTATCTTAGCCAGCGCCTTCCCCGCATATGCTGGAGCTGAGCAGCCACCGCCCCCTTTAGACAGGGTAGGGGAGCTCCAGCCAGCCCAGGCCCCACCCAGCCCACTGCTTGACACTGCTGACTGGCGCCTGTAAGGCATTGACATTTTCAGCTCCTAATAATGGGAATTTACCGGCAAAAAGCCTCCCATTATTAGGGCTGGGATGAGGATGAGGCAAGAGCCGTGCCTAGGATGCAAGACTTAAGTCTTGTACCTGAATCTTACTCCATCAGTGCCTCTCTTGCTCCATCCAAGCCCCAGTCCTCTCAGGTATCATAAAGGCCCCTGCCAGCCTCCTCCTTACTCAACCCTGACCTGTTCATCTCCACTCAGAGAGGCCCTGACCTTTCAGGACACATTTCCCACCTCCCAAGGAGGTGAAGGAAACCAACATAATTCACCCCAAAATACGGCTCCCTTGTGTAAAGAGTATTTTGAATGAAAGGCCCTTAAAGATCAACAGACACTGGAAGAGACTGCCCCACCTCCAAAGGGGAAAGACCAAAAGACCAGAAGGATGCCCCTGGGGGAACAATTTTTTCCCTTCCCCTTCCCGTTATCTGATTCTCTATTGCAGAAAAGAAGACTGAAGAATGTCACCACCCCTAGAGGGATAAAATGCCTGTCTGTCTCTCGGGCTTATTCAGTTTCCAAAGAGAGCCATTTACAAGTTAATCTCAATTCTCTGATCCCTTCTTTCTCCTGAGAAATCATGCAGAATTACAGAATTAGCATATTCCCCATCTCCTTACCAGCTTCAGAAAAAAAAAAAAGGGCTATATGGCCAGGCACGGTGGCTCACGCCTGTAATCCCAGCACTTTGGGAGGCCGAGGCGGGTGGATCACTTGAGGTCAGGAGTTCCAGACCAGGCTGGCCAACATGGTGAAACTCCATCTCTCTCCTAAAACCACGAACATTAGCTGGGCGTGGTGGTGCAAGCCTGTAATCCCAGCTACTCAGGAGGCTTAGACAGGAGAATCACTTGAACCTGGGAGGCAGAGATTTCAGTGAGCCAAGCTCATGCCACTGCCCTCCAGCCTGGGCGACAGAGTGAGCCTCTGTCTCAGAAATAAAAGGCTATATAAGCTTCTGTACTCCATTGAAGGGTTAGGGTAATCACTGTGTTTTCTTCTAGGCATATTAGAAAATGTGTATGCCTTTTCTCTTAATCGTCTTTTGTCTGTTGACTTTTCAGCAAATTCACGGAGGGGGAAGCGGAAGTTTTCCTTCCACCCTGCAGTGGCTTCTACTCCCCTTTGAAGGTAAAAGTTCCTCAGAAGAGCCAAGGAAATCCGAGTCCCACCCTGTCCCTTTCTAGACATCCCATCCTCATTAAATTGCCTCTGAGCCTGACAAAAGTCATAGGCGTAAAGAACTGTAGCTTGGGCCGAGCGCGGTGGCTCACGCCTATAATCCCAGCACTTTGGGAGGCCGAGGCAGGCGGATCACGAGGTCAGGAGTTCTAGACCAGCCTGGCCAATATGATGAAATCCCATCTCTACTAAAAACACAAAAATTAGCTGCACGTGGTGGCATGCACCTATAGTCCCAGCTACTCGGGAGGCTGAGGCAGGAGAATTGCTTGAACCCAGGAGGTGGAGGTTGCAGTGAGCCAAGACTGTGCCACTACACTCCAGCCTGGGCAACAGAGGAAGACTCCGTCTCAGAAAAAAAAAGAAAGAATTGTATCCTGGAGGAGGAAGGGTTAACCAGATTGTTGAGGCCTTCCCAGGCTTCAGACTAGCTCCTTATCTCAGCCAGCTCTCCAAAGGAAATGGTTTCCCCAAATGAAATCGTTATCTTTTGGACCAGAGCAATCTCAAATCACCTTGCCAGTTACCCTGAGTTTCCTGGGATAGTTCTCCCAGCACCCACACACAACGACCTTCACAGGGCCAGGAAAAAGTCCTCAATCCTTTCCTTCGAGTTAGCATTGTAAACCACAAATAAAATTCTAACCCACCATCCTCCTCATCATCTGATTCAACCTCTCCTCTCAGCCAGGGCATTCAAGAGTTAACCTGAAAAACTAGCTCAGGCCATGATGGAATGGGGGTGTCAGACATACTTCATCATACCTTCATCCCTTTTGGAATTCAGTCCCATCCGACCAGCATTAACATCAACAGACTGATAGAATAGAACAGACTCTCTAAGTCTAATAAGAAACATTTACAATCTTTTCTCTGAAGCCTGCTATCTGGAGGCTTCATCTGTATAAAACCTTGGTCTCCACAACCCCTTATCACTTTTTTTTTTTTTTGAGACGGAGTCTCACTCTGTTGCCCAGGCTGAAGTGCAGTGGTGCAGTCTCGGCTCACTGCAACCTCCGCCTCCCAGGTTCAAGTGATTCTCCTGCCTCAGCCCCCTGAGTAGCTGGGATTACAGGTGCCTGCCACTATGCCCAGCTAAATTTTGTATTTTTAGTAGAGACAGGGTTTCACCATTTTGGCCAGGCTGGTCTCGAACTCCTGACCTCAGGTGATCCGCCTGCCACAGCCTCCCAAAGTGCTGAGATTACAGGCATGAGCCACCAGGCCCAGCCAACCAATGTACCTCTTACATGTATTGACTGATATTTTATTGTCTTCCTGAAATGAATAAACTTGTAGTTTGACTGCTTGGGGCACATGTTCTCAGGATCTCCTGAGGGCTGTGTCATGGGCTACTGGCTGCTCATATTTGGCTCAGAATAATCTCTTCAAATATTTTACAGACTGACTCTTTATCAACAGCACCAAGATATACTGGAAAATGCTCACACAGAGTTCATGTCAACACCTAGGCAGGGTTCCTAGGCTCTAAGATGACATGGGTCAGCAAGTTAAACATATAAACAAAAATTAGATTCTGAGTTTTTATATGGCTTAGAAAGGATTTTTTTTTTTTTTTTTTTTTTGAGACAAAGTCTGGCTCTGTCACCCAGGTTGCAGTTCAGTGGCACGATCTCGGCTCACTGCAACCTCTGCCTGATGGGTTCAGGCGATTCTCATGCCTCAGCCTCCCAAGCAGCTGGGATTAGAGGCATCCACCACCACACCCGGCTAATTTTTGTGTTTTTAATAGAGAGGGAGTTTTGCCATGTTGGCCAGCCTGGTCTCGAACTCCTGACCTCAAGTGATCTGCCTGCCTTGGCCTCCCAAAGTACTGGGATTACAGGTGTGAGCCACCATGCCTGGCCAGATTTTTTTTTTTTTTTTTTTAGATGGAGTTTCACTCCGTCACCCAGGCTGGAGTTCAGTGGTACAATCTCTTTTTTTTTTTTTTATGAGATGGAGTTTCGCTCTTGTTGCCTAGGCTGGAGTGCAGTAGCGTGATCCCGGCTCACTGTGACCTCCGCCTCCCGGGTTCAAGCAATTCTCCTGCCTCAGCCTCCCAAGTAGCTGGGATTACAGGCATGCGCCACAACACCCGGCTAATTTTTTTTGTATTTTTAGTAGAGATGGGGTGTCACCATGTTGGTCAGGCTAGTCTCAAACTCCTGACCTCAGGTGATCTGCCTGCCTCGGCCTCCCAAAGTGCTAGGATTACAGGAGTGAGCCACCTCGCCTGGCCGAGTGGTGCAATCTGAACTCACTGCAACTTCCGCCTCCCGGGTTCAGGTGATTCTCCTGCCTCAGCCTCCCGAGGAGCTGGGACTACAGGTGCACACCACCACGCCCAGCTAATTTTTTGTATTTTTAGTAGAGATGGGGTTTCACCGTGTCAGCCAGGATGGTCTCAATTTCCTGACCTCATGATCCGCCCACCTCAGCCTCCCAAAGCGCTGGGATTACAGGCATGAGCCACCTCGCGGCTTTTTTTTTTTTTTTTTTTTTTTTTTTAATGAGACAAAGTCATGCCAGGCGCGGTGGCTCACACCTGTAATCCCAGCACTTTAGGAGGCCGAGGCAGGCGGATCACAAGGTCAGGAGATCGAGACCATCCTGGCTAGCACAGTGAAACCCCATCTCCACTAAAAATACAAAAAATTAGCCGGGCGTGGTGGCGGGTGCCTGTAGTTCCAGCTACTGGGGAGGCTGAGGCAGGAGAATGGCGTGAACCCAGCAGGCGGAGCTTGCAGTGAGCCGAGATCATGCCATTGCACTTCAGCCTAGGGGACAGAGCGAGACTCTGTCTCAAAAAAAAAAAAAAGAAAGAAAGAAAAGAGACAAAGTCTTGCTGTCACCTAGGCTAAAGTGCAGTGGTATGATCATAGCTCACTGCAATCTCGAACTCCTGGGCTCAAGCAATCCTCCTGACTTGGCCTTCCAAAGTGCTGGAATTAGCAGTCATGAGCCACCATGCCAGACCAGGATCTTTTTTAGGTGTATGATTTTCATATCCTATAATCATAATTTCCTAAAGTAGGGTCCCCAACTGGTCTGTGGCCTGTTAGGGACTGAGCTTCACAGCAGGAGGTGAGCAGCAGGTGAGCGAGCATTACCGCCTCAGCTCTGTCTCCTGTCAGATCAGCAGTGCAATTAGATTCTTGTAGGAGTACAAACCCTATTGTGAACTGCTCATCCAAAGGATCTGGATTGTGCACTTTTTATGAGAATCTAGTGCCTAATTGAGAGAAGAGAGACAGACCCTCTCATATTGTTTTATACTCAGAAAAAGAAAGAGAAGCAAAACTAAAGGCAGGTAGCCTGGCGCCCAGGAACCAGACCCGAAAGCAAGGAACCAGACCCGAAACCAGGCCTGGCCCTGCCTGACCTAAGCCTGGTAGTTACAGATCGACCCCTGACCTAACCGTTTATGTTATCTATAGAGTCCAGGCATTGTATGGAAAGGCATTGTAAAAATCCCTGTCCTGTTCTGTTTTGTTCTGATTACCAGTGCCTGCAGCCCCCAGTCACATACCCCCTGCTTGCTCAGTCAATCATGACCCTCTCCCAAGGACCCTCTTAGAGTTGTGAGCCCTTAAAAGGGACAGGAATTGTTCACTCGGGGAGCTCGGCTCTTGAGACAGGAGTCTTGCCGATGCTCCTGGCTGAATAAACCGCTTCCTTCTTTAACTCGGTGTCTGAGGAGTTTTGTCTGCAGCTTGTCCTGCTGCATAATGATCTGAGGTGGAACAGTTTCACCCCGAAACCATCCCCACACACACACGGGTCTGTGGAAAAATTGTCTTCCACAAAACCAGTGCCTAGTGCCATAAAGGTTGGGAACCGCTTTCCTAAAAGAAAATATATTTTAGGCGGGGCGTGGTGGCTCACACCTGTAATCCTAGCACTTTGGGAGGCTGAGGTGGGTCGATCACTTGAGGTCAGGAGTTCAAAACCAGCTTGGCAATCATGATGAAACCCCGTCTCTATTAAAAATACAAAAAATTAGCTGGGCGTGTGGTGTGCACCTATAGTCCCTGCTACTCCAGAGGCTGGGGCAGGAGAATCACTTGAACCGGGGAGGCAGAGGTTGCCATGAGCCGAGATCGTGCCACCACACTCCAGCCTGGCTGACAGAGTGAGACTCCATCTCAAAAAAAAAGAAAAGAAAATATATTTTAAAACAGAGAAGTAAAAATAATGGTTGCTTTGTAAGCTAAATACATTTGGCTTTATATTAATAGCTAGCACTTAGGTAGAACTTACTATACACCATTGTTCTAAATTATTTACTTATTTATTGACTGATTGATCCTTAAAACAACACAATGAGGTGGATACTCGTAATATCCCCATTTTATAGATGAGGAAACTGAATCACGGGGTGATTAAGTGACTTTCTCAAGGTCACACAGCAACTGAATGGAAAAGCTGGGATCCAAGCCAAGGCAGTGTGTCTCCAGCCCACCTTGTCATTCCGACAAAATGCAATATTTATTTTACTATATTGTCCTTATTTCTCTTATTTCACTCAGGTCCAGTGAAGGGGTCCAAGAACCTGCACCGAGGAGACTGAGTCGTGGCTTAGATTCCTAAAGCGTGGCAAGTGGATCTGGGCCCTGCAGAGTTCCTTTATAAGGGGAATTCTCAAACCAAACAGAGAGGCAGATCTGCAAGGCCAGAGGGGCTATAAGTGGGTTATGGAAGAAGTTGCCCTCCCCCGGGGGGTGGGGGTGGAGACTTCTGGCTTGGGTTGATTCCACTGAGTGGGCTGAGTATGTCTCCTCTCTCGCTGTTTTCTGTAGGTCTGTCTCGCTATGCCCTTCCCAAAGAATCACTCTTGTCAAGGGCTTCAGCCACATCTCCCTCCCAAGTTCGTGATTATATTTCCAGCTGCCTATGAGAATCAAGTCTTATATGTCCCATGGGCACCCGAAACTCAGTATCTTCCAACACAGTCATGTTCTTCTCCTTAAACTTACTCTTCTCAATTCCCCTCCTTGTCATTTATTCACCCAACACATATTTGTGAAACACCTAATCTGCCCTGCACTTTCCTAGTCACTGGAAATGTGGTGAACAACCCAAAAATCCAACAAACTCCCTATGCCAAAGGAAAGTGTTTAGCTTGGGAACTGTGTCACCCAAAACACCTCCCATTTTGTCCCTACATAGGTAGCTGCAAAGGTAGGCCACATATCTTCCCAGGGGGCTTCCCTCACAATTTGCTCATGAGGAAATCCCTTTACCCTAAAACAGAATTCTGTTGAATTTCACCCAAACAATGTACACTGACAGCTTACCATCACAGGTACAGGACAAGGACTGGACTAGAAGTTATCCCTTCCTTCACCTGCGCCAAACGCATATTTGACTGCTTCCTTTATTCTATGCTTACTTTACTTATGTAAAAATGCACATTCACTGAGTATGAATGCATAGCTGACTGTTCCTCCACCCTCCTCATTTCACATGTGAACTGTGGGTTCAGGGAACACTAAGCTAATCAAAGTCTCAAAAGAATGCAACCCCTTGTCTCTTTTATCTACCCTTCCCTTTTTTCCCTTTCCTCTTTCCTGCACTGCTCACCCTTTCCTCTTTATTTTTTATTTTATTTATTTATTTTTTATTTTATTTTATTTTTATTTTTTTGAGACAGAGTCTCACTCTGTCGCCCGGGCTGCAGTGCACTGGTGCGATCTCAGCTCACTGCAAGCTCCACCTCCCGGATTCACACCATTCTCCTGCCTCAGCCTCCTGAGTAGCTGGGACTACAGGTGCCCGCCACAATGCGTGGCTAATTTTTTTTTTGTATTTTTAGTAGAGACGGTGTTTCACTGTTAGCCAGGATAGTCTCAATCTCCTGACCTCATGATCTGCCCGCCTTGGCCTCCCAAAGTGCTGGGATTACAGGCGTGAGCCACCGTGCCCAGCCCCACCCTTTCCTCTTTAAATATTGAAGTCCTCAAACCCTCTTTGGAAAAAGTGTGGGTCACAGATCCTACTGTGGCTTATGTCTCTTTTTTCTGGGCATATTCTCATCCTTGGCAAAATTAACTCTAAATTGATTGAGACTCGCCTCAGTCATTTTCTTCTTCTTTTTTTCTTTTTCTTATTTTTTTTTGTTGTTTTTTTTGTTTTGTTTTTTGTTTTTTTTGAGACAGAGTCTCACTCTGTCGCCCAGGCTGGAGTGCAGTGGCATCATCTCGGCTCACTGCAAACTCTGCCTCCCGGGTTCAAACGATTCTCCTCCCTCAGCCTCCCGAGTAGCTGGGATTACAGTGCATGCCACCACACCTGGCTAATTTTTTGTATTTTTAATAGAGACAGGGTTTCACCATGTTCCAGGCTGGTCTCGAACTCCTGACCTCAGGTGATCTGCCTGCCTTGGCCTCCCAAAGTGTTGGGATTACAGGTGTGAACTACCACACCCAGCCTTCTTCTTTTTCTTTTTTTTTAACTGGTACCTCAGTTTTCTTCTTTGGTTTTACACAGCCCACATTCTGATCGGGAGAGACAGATGGTAAACAAATGGCTAATTAAATATACATTAGGCCAGGCACTAGGAGAAAAGGCAGGCGCAGCTGACACAGCTGTATCCCACAATATCCATTTCCCCTTTGTCCTAATAAACTAATCAATGCTCCAATTTTTAGGTGAACTCAGGCCTCCCAGAATAAAGATTCCATTTCCAGCCTCCCCTATAGTCGGATGCAGGCATGTGACCAAGCTCTGGCCAGAGATGAAAGTGAGAGTGTCTCAGTAGCTTCTGGAGCCTCCCTTAAGAGACACAGCTATTCTGTGGCTTTCCTGCTTCTTTGCCATTCCTCCTTCCCGCTGACTGGAGGACAGGCAGAGTGGCTGGAGATCCTGCAATCATCTTGGATTATGAGATAACCTTGGGACACACAGGGAGAACGCCATGTGAAGGGACATACACAGAAAGAAGATGACCATACAAAGATGCAGGCAGGGATGGGAGTGATGCTGCCACAAGCCAAGGAACGCTTGGGGCCACTGGAAGCTGGAAGAGGCAAGGGAGGGTCTTCTTCTCCAAGATTCAGAGGGAGCACAAGCCTGCCAACACCTTGAATTTGGACTTCTAGCCTCCAGGCCTCTCAGAAGAAGCAAGATGTGAATCCTACAGCTACAAGGAACCGAACGCTGCAAACAACCACATGAGCAGGAAAGCATGACCCAAGGCAGGACACCTAGCTCAGCTTATCCCAACTCCTGACCCACAAACATGAAACACCCATGGCAAAATATTACTGAGACAGTGAAAGATCTGACCTATCCAACTCCATCTTGCTTTTAACCTCCAAGCTGTCCTTGTTCATTCCCGGTCATAGGCTGAACTAACTTTGGGAGGAACTTAGTTTATAGTTTAAAACAAAGATGAGGCTGAGCGCAGTGGCTCACGCCTGTAATCCTAGCGCTTTGGGAGGCCAAGGCGAGCGGATCACTTGAGGTCAGGAGTTCGAGACCAGCTTGGCCAACATGGTGAAACGCTGCTTCTACTAAAAATACAAAAATTAGCTGGGTGTGGTGGCGGGCGCCAGTAATCCCAGCTACTTGGGAGGCTGAGGCAGGAGAATCGCTTGAATCCAGGAGGCAGAGGTTGCAGTGAGCCGAGACTGGGCCACTGCTCTCCATTCTGGGCGATAGAGCGAGACTCTGTCCCCCAAAAATAAATAAATAAATAAATAAATAAATAAATAAATAAATAAATAATAAAAATAAAAATACAACAAGATGATAACAGCCCTTTTCCAAAACAAACCCTCTTCTTGTCTGGAGATCAGACTGCCTTTGAAGGACTAACAAATTAGCAAAAAGATTAGAAATTATGGTTTAGGAGTCATGCAGCTGGAGGCTACAAGATTCTGACCCTCCCAAATTGATCCTGGGGATTACATCACTATTGTAAAGCCTAAGATAGTGCTTGAGATATTTTGCAGACCTTGCACTTGATGGATCAGTTGGCACCCCCCAGATTGATAAACTGGATCATCTGATCTTGTGGCCCCCAGCCAGAAACTGACTCAGTGCAAGACAGTTTCAATTCCCTATGATTTCATCTCTGACCCAACCAATCAGCACTCCTGACTCACTGGCTGCTTCCTACCCACCAAATTATCCTTAAAACTCCAATCCCCAAATGCTCAAGGAGACTGATTTGAGTAATAGTAAAACCCCAGTCTCCCGCAAAGGTGACTCTGAGTGAATTACTCCTTCTTTATTGCAATTCCCCTGTTGATGAATCAGCTCTGTCTAGGCAGTGGGCAAGGTGAACCTGTTGGGCGGTTACAAGTTTGGGAGCTTGTCCAGGATTGCCCTTAAGACTACCTGCCATAAGGGTAATCCTGGTTCGGTAGCCTCCCTCTGGTGACGGATCCAGAGGCCAGTCCAAGTGGCCGCCTACTTCTCTTGGACTGGGGGTTGACTCCGCTACTGTCTCTACAGGCCGGTCACTGCTGACCCATGGTGCATGGATTTAATTGCAATAGAGAAATAGTCCTGGGGAAACTGATTTGAGTAATGATAAAACTCTGGTCTCCCACACAGCCAGCTCTGCATGAGTTACTCTTTCTCTATTGCAATTCTCTACCTTGATAAATCAGCTCTGTCTAGGCAGTGGGCAAAGTGAACCCTCTGGGTGGTTACAAAAATCGTAGATAATACATGTGTGTTATTCTAATTAAAAAAAAGAGATAACTCTGGGAATGATGCCCATACAAAACAAAGCAACAAAATAGAATAGAACCTGCATCCTTGTCATCAAGCTGCCCCATATCAGCCTCCCCCCTCCCCCCACCACATTACCTCTATATTTCTAAAATTTGAGAGAAAAACAAAATTCCAATGTGTTTATCCAAATGCTATTTTGGAGTTTTCTGTTACTGCCAGCCAAATCTAATACTAACTGATACACACGTTGAACAAATAAAGGGTAGGGATTTCATTTTAGTCAGGATGGACAGGGAAGGACCTCTGAAGATGCGGCATTTGAGCAGAAACCAGAATAAGATGAGGGACACTATGCCAGTGTCTAGGAAAAGAGTGTTCCAGGCAGAACTAGCCCCTCATCGCCTCTGCTGAAAATCTGCCATCATCCTTGAACTCCTTCCACTCCCATGGGCTCCACATGTAACCTGTTACCAAACCCTAAGAATTCTACCTGTAAATGTATCTCAGAACAAACAAACAAAGCAAACAAATGAAACCTACAAACTTTTTTTTTTTTTTTTTTTGAGACAGGGTCCCATAGTTTTGCCCAGGCTGGAGTGCAGTGGATCAATCACAGCTCACTGCAGCCTTGACCTTCCAGGGCCCAAGTGATCCTCCCACCTCAGCCTCCCAAGTAGCTGGGACCACAGATGCACCCCACCACTCTCAGGAAATTTTAAAATTACTTTTTGTAGAGACAGAGTCTTAGCACCATCTGTTGAAAGGCTTTTCTTTCCCCATTGAATTGTTTTCACATCTTTGTCAAAAATTATTATACCTGGGAGGCTGAGGCAGGAGAATGGTGTGAACCCGGGAGGCGGAGATTGCAGTGAGCTGAGATCGCACCACTGCACTCCAGCCTGGGCGACAGAGTGAGACTCTGTCTCAAAAAAAAAAAAATCATTATACCATAAATGTAAGGGTTTATTTCTGAACTCTCAATTTCAGTTCATGCAGCTATATAATTATCCTAATGTTAGTATCACATTGTCTTGATTACTGTAGCTTTATAAGTTTTTTTTTTCTTTTTTTGAGATGGAGTTTTGCTCTTGTTGCCCAGGCTGGAGTGCAATGGTGTGATCTCAGCTCACCGCAACCTCTGCCTCCCAGGTTCAAGTGATTCTCCTGCCTCAGCCTCCCAAGTAGCTGGGATTACAGGCACCTACCTCCACGCCTGGCTAATTTTTTGTATTTTTAGTAGAGATGGGGTTTCACCATGTTGGCAAGGCTGGTCACGAACTCCTGACCTCAGGTGATCCACCTGTTTCGGCCTCCCAAAGTTCTAGGATTACAAGTGTGAGCCACCACACCCAGCCTGCTTTTAAAATTTTGAAATCAGGAAATGTGAGTTCTCTTTCTTCTTATTCAAGATTGTTTTGGCTATTCGGCACCCCTTCCATTTTCATATGAATTTTAGAAGCAGCTTGTCAATTTCTGCAAAGAAGCCAGCTGAGATTTTCATAGGAATTGGGTTGAATCTATATATTAATTTGGGGAGTTTACCACCTTAACAATAGTGTCTTCCAATCCATGAACATGGGATGTCTTTCCATTAATTTAGATCTTCTTTATTTTCTTTCAACAATCCTTTGTAGTTTTCAGAGTAAAAGTCTATACTTCTCTTGTTTATTCCTAAGTAATTTGTTCTTTTTGATGCTATTATACATGGAATTGTTTTCTTTTCTTTTTTTTTTTTTTTTTTTTTTGAGACAGAGTCTCACTCTGTTACCCAGGCTAGAGTACACTGGTGTGATCTCAGCTCACTGCAACCTCCACCTCCCAGGTTCAAGCAATTCTCCTGCCTCAGCCTCCCGAGTAGCTGGGATTACAGGTGTGTGCCACCACAACTGGCTAGTTTTTGTATTTTTAGTAGAGATGGGGTTTCACCATGTTGGCCAGGCTGGTTGCAAACTTCTGACCTCAGGTGACCCACTCACCACCACACCCAGCCAGGAATTGTTTTCTTAATTTCATTTTTATATTGTTCATTGCAATTTTATAGAAGAAGTACAATTTAATTTTTTTTTTTTTTTTTGAGATGGAGTCTTGCTCTGTCACCCAGGCTGGAGTGCAGTGGCGTGATCTCGGCTCACTGCAACCTCCATCTCCCAGGTTCAAGCAATTATCTGCCTCAGCCTCCCGAGTAGCTGGGATTACAGGCACCCAACACTACACCCGGCTAATTTTTGTATTTTTAGTAGAGACTGGGTTTCACCAGTCTGAAACCAAGGCTGGTCTTGAACTCCTGACCTTGTGATCCACCTGCCTCAGCCTCCCAAAGTGCTGGGATTACAGGCGTGAGCCACCGTGCCTGGCTACAATTGATTTATGTATATTAACCTTGTATCCTATAACCTTGCTGAAATTGTTTATTAGTTCTAATAGGTTTTTGTGGGTATTCCAGGATTTTCTACGTACAAAATCATGCAGGGCTCTTTTTGCCATCTTTCCACGCCACCACAGTGGTGCACATTAATGTCCTGGCTGATGCTCTCAAGAGCATCAACAATGCTGAAAAGAGAGACAAACACCAGGTTCTTAGGCCATGCTCCAAAGTCATCGTCTGGTTTCTCACTGTGATGATGAAGCATGGTTATATTGGCGAATTTGAAATCATGGATGATCACAGAGCTAGGCAAATTGTTGTGAACCTCACAGGCAGTCTAAACAAGTGTGGCATGATCAGCCCCAGATTTGATGTGCAACTCAAAGATCTAGAGAAATGCAGAATAATCTGCTTCCATCTGGCCAGTTTGATTTCATTGTACTGACAGTCTCAGCTGGCATCATGGACCATAAAGAAGCAAGACGAAAACACACAGGAAGGAAAATCCTGGGATTCTTTTTCTAGAGATGTTATACATATTTACAAATAAAATGCCTCATGAAAAAAAAGCAAAAAACAAAATTACATAGGAATAACCTTTTGATATATGCAGCAACATTAAAATATTAAAACCAGACACAAGAGAGTACATATGTATGATTATATTTATATGAGGTTCAAGAATGGAAAAGCTCTGGTGATAGAAGTCAGAATAGTGATACTGTCAGGACAGGAAATGGGAAGTATTGACTGGAAAAGACTGTGAAGGGATTTTGGGGGGTGATGAAAATGTTCTATATCTTGAACTGGGCAACGGTTACATAGGTGTATACGTGTGTTAAAACTTCTTAAACAGCCGGGCATGGTGGCTCACATCTGTAATCCAAGCACTTTGGGAGGCTGAGGCAGGTGGATTGCTTGAGCTCAGGAGTTCAAGACCAGCCGGGGCAACATGGCAAGACCCTGTCTCTACTGAAAAAAAAAATTAAAAATAGGCCGGGTACGGTGGCTGAGGCCTGTAATCCCAGCACTTTGGGAGGCCAAGGCAGGCGAATCATGAGGTCAGGAGTTCAAGACCAGCCTGGCCAACATGGTAAAACCTCATCTCTACCAAAAGTACAAAAAATTACTGGGTGTAGTGGCAGGCGCCTGTAATCCCAGCTACTTGGGAGGCTGAGGCAGGAGAATTGCTTGAACACAGGAGCCAGAGGTTGCAGTGAGCCGAGATTGCGCCACTGCACTCCAGCCCAGGCAACAGAGTGAGACTCCATCTCAAAAAAACACAAACAAAGCTGGGCGCGGTGGCTCACGCCTGTAATCTCAGCACTTTGGGAGGCCGAGCTGGGCAATCACGAGGTCAGGAGTTCGAGACCAACTTAACCAACATGGTGAAACCCCGTCTCTACTAAAAATACAAAAATTAGCTGGGCCTGGTGGCGCACGCCTGTAATCCCAACTACTCGGGAGGCTGAGACAGGAGAATCGCTTGAACCCAGGAGGCGAAGGTTGCAGGAGCCGAGATCACGCCATTGCACTCCAGCCTGGGCAACAGAGAGAGACTCCGTCTCAAACAAACAAACAAACAAACAAACAAAAACCACAAACAAACAAACAAAAAAATGGGCAGGCTGGTACATGGCTGTAGTCCCAGCTACTTGGGAGACCAGGTGGGAGGGTCACTTGAGCCCACGGGGTGGAGGCTGCAGTGAGCCAAGATCGCACCACTGCACTCCAGCCTGCATGACAGAGCGAGACCCTGTTTCAACAACAACACACTTATTAAGCTTACAGAATTTGTGTGTTTGACTGGTAGTAAATTATACTTTCATTTAAAAAAAATAAAAACATAGGTCGGGCATGGTGGCGCACGCCTGTAATCCCAGGTACTTGGGAGGCTGAGGCAGAAGAATCACTTGAACCCAGGAGGGAGAGGTTGCAATGAGCTGAGATCATGCCACTGCACTCCAGCCTGGGCAACAGAGTGAGACTCTGTTTCCAAAAAATAAATAAATAAAGAGATAAAGATGAACTATTTTAAAATTTGGTGGCCTAGTAGTGTCATTAGCTAATTCTCTCAAGGCACTCTGTACACATAGTGATTAGTTCATCATTAACAATATCATATGTAAAGCCAGAATTTAAATAGCCTGCTAATTTTTAATTTTTTGACTGACTTGGCATTATATCTAATAAGATCTTTATCTTCTTTCAACCCCATGATGTAGCTGAATAGTCTGTACCAGGGGTAGGAAAATTATCAGCCATCTTATTTTCTCATTGTTCATTTGTGTTAGCTTCAAAAGCTTCTACTTTTTTTTTTCCTTTTAAGAGACAGGGTCTCACTGTCACCCACGCTGGGGTGCAGGGGCACAAATCATAGCTCACTGCAGCCTCAAACTCTTGGACTCAAGCAATTCTCCTGCCTCAGCCTCTCAAGTAGCTGGGATTGTAGGCACACATCACCATGCTCAGCTAATTTTTACAATTTTTTTTAGAGATGAGGTCTTGCTATGTTGCCCAGGATGTTCTCAAGACCCTGGCCTCAAGTGATCCTCTCCTTGGTCTTTTAAAGCACTGGTATTACAGGTATGAGTCACTACACCTGTCTCAACCCACATTTTTTATGCAGAAATCTTTTAAAACCACTTGCCTATTTTGTGAGGATCAGTCTAATTAAACCCAAATAACATGATACGTAAGACTACTTCAACCAAGCAATTCTTTTTTTTTCTTTTTTTCCTTGAGATGGAGTTTCTCTCTTCTTGCCCAGGCTGGAGTGCAATGGCATGATCTCAGCTCACTGTAACCTCCGCCTCCTGGGTTCAAGCATTTCTCCTGCCTCAGCCTCCCGAGTAGCTGGGATTACAGGTGCCTGCCACCACGCCTGGCTAATTTTTGTATTTTTAGTAGAGACGGGGTTTCACCATGTTGGCCAGGCTGGTCTGGAACTCCTGACCTCAGGTGATACATCTGCCTCGGCCTCCCAAAGTGCTGGGATTACAGGCGTGAGCCACCGCACCTGGCCCGACCAAGCACTTTTTTTTCTTTTTTTTTTTTTGAGACAGAGTTTCACTCTGTGGCCCAAGCTGGAGTGCAGTGGCAGGATCTCAGCTCACTGCAACCTCCGCCTCCCAGGTTCAAGCGATTCTCGTGCCTCAGCCTCCCAAGTAGTTGGGATTACAGATGCACACCACCATGTCTGGCTAAATTTTTGTATTTTTAGTAGAGATGGGGTTTTACCGTGTTGGCCAGGCTGGTCTTAAACACCCGACCTCAGGTGATACGCCAACCCCGGCCTTCCAAAGTGCTGGGATTACAGGAATAAGCCACCACATCCGGCCTCAACCAAGCAATTCTAAAGCTGCGATGCTTCAGAATATGCTAAAGATGGTCTAGGAAATAAAGGAGGGGGCCACTATCAACCCCTCCTCATTGTGAGAGTCCTGGGTACCTGCAAGGCCACCAACGTTGATTTGTCTTTAAAAAGTTGGTGACAATGGAATTGTAATACAGTTGACCCTCGAACAACACCGGTTTGCACTGCAGGAGTTTGCTTACACCTGGATCTTCTTCTGCCTCTGCCACCCCTGAGACAGCAAGACTAAGCCCTCCTCTACCTCCTCCTCAGCCTACACAAAGTGAAGACTACAAGGATGAAGACCTTCATGGTGATCCACTCCCACTTAAAGAATAGTAAATCTATCTCTCTTCCTTATGATTTTCTTAATAACATTTTCTTTTCTCTAGCTTACTTTATTGTAAGAATACAGAATATAGTATATAAAACATACAAAATATTTGTTAATTGACTTTATGTTATCAGTAAGGCTTTTGGTCAACAGTAGTTTTAGCAGTTTGGTTTTGGGGGAGTAGAAAGTTATATATGGATTTTCTACTGCATGATGTGGGGGTGGTCAGTGTCCATAACCCCCTCATTGCTTCAGGGTCAACTGTACTTTCTTCCCACTGGGAAGTAGATCATCTTGCACAGCACACATCCTGGAGGTCTCACTACACTTATGCCCCCTACCCCCTCTCTGGTTTCCTGGATGCCCAAGGCTTCCTCCAGCTCAAGCTCCTTGCTACTGCCAGACAGAAAACAATGTAATCACAGGACTCCTCAGCCTAGAGGATCCTTCAGGCCATGCTGTCAGAGTTTCTCAACTGGACAACCAATCCCAGTCCCATCCAACCTCCTCAGTCTCCCCAGCTTTTTCCCATTTTTGCAGGCTCTGTTTTGGCACATGCTGCTCTCTCTGCTTGAAATGCCCTTCCTCGCCTGACACATGCTTTCCTCTTCTTCAAGACTCTCTGCAAATCTCATCACCTCTATCCAGCCTTTGTTATCTGGACCCAAGACGGGGTTGACCACTCCCTCACCCAGCTCTTAAAGCACGTTTCACCTATGTTGTAACTTTCTCTTTTGAAAAAATATTGAGCTTCACTTCTCAGTCATTAAGTCTTTTGAGGCTGGAGACCGAGTCTTATTTATTTTCAAAAGAACAAGAATAAAGCTACGCAATCAGTGGAATGAGGAGCAGGGCAGAGCTCTGGGGCTCCAGGTTGAATCCACACCCAGCTTTGGCCCTCACCTGGGACTAGGTAATGGCCCCGGACACAGGGGAAATCGAGAGTTTCTGTGCTTTTCTCCCAAGCTGATTCATAAAGTGTACACCTCACCACCTTCGCATGAAGCAACCCATCTCAGATCCACTCTGTTGCCACTTTAAAGAGATAGTAAGCTGTGTGCTTGGGGAATGGGAGGGAAGAGGGTAGGTCAGCACAAACAGCGCAGGAAACTCTTTGATTTGGGGCTAAATGGGATATGTCGACAGGAAAGATCTGAAACTTGTCCATATTGAAGTGCAGAGCAGATGGGTGCCAAGTTTCTGGCATGCCTGACTGTAAAATGGAAAAGACGGGAGGGGAGAGACCCTTCCATTTCCCCTCCCAGGGTCTCTCACAATCAGGACACCATGCATCCCCAAGGCAGGAAGGCCTTGTGTTTGGCTCTGACAATTAGCATTCTGCTTCCAAGAAAGGGCTAAGAAGGGGGCCTCTGTTACTAGGCACCCTTGGAAAGCACCTTCCCTGTTCAGGTGTACTGAGTCCAGCAGGGAGCAAGTTGGAGGTCAATACTGCTCCACACCCTGGAGAAGCCACTGCACAGCTGCTTGGCTGGCTGAAAATCATTATCCCAAAGGGGATTGCCACGCACTATCTTTTACAGAAAATGTTACAGAAGGAAATAAAAAAAAAAATAGCTTTCTTACCTCACTTTCAGCAAGTAGATGAAGTTTTGGTTTTTCAGCTGCTGTAGCCTTAGAGAAAGACAGGACAAGTAAAGTGTTACAAATGCATTTTAGCAACTTGCATTCACAACATATTGATGCTTATAACTAATCAATCACGCTCAGAAAACAAAAGTAATTACAAGTAACCTTGGAATGTCTAAGCAAATTCTATCATGATTACCAATTCTCTGGATGAAATGCAGCAGAGCTCAGTCATGTGCAATTCATGAATTTATTCACACAAACACTAGGTTCTTACAAATGTACCAGGCACTGTGTTGGAAGCTGGAGAGTCCAAGATGAAAGACAACCGTGGTTCGGCCCTCAAGGAGCCCACAATCCACTAAGAAAGACAGATGTGCCGGTCAGTAATGGAAGCGCAGCAGCACCGGAGCTGCGGCAGAGGCCTGGAGAGGAGCTGTGGGAGCACAGGCATCTAATCCCTACTGAACCGCAGGCCCCGCTGTGTCTCCCACCCTGAAGATGCAATGCTTCCCTGATGAGCAAGGAGGCAACATGGCCATCAAGCAGTGACCAGCTCTTGGCAGGGTCTGCGAAAGATGAGTTAGCATTCTGCCCTCCCCTCGCTATTTTTTTTTTTTTTTTGAGACAGGGTCTCTCTTTCTCTCTCTCTCTCTCTCTCTCTCTGTTGCCCAGGCTTGGAGTGCGGTGGCATGATTAAGGCTCACTGCAGCCTCGACCTCCCGGGCTCAAGCAATCCTCCCACCTCACCCTCCCAAGTAGTTGGGACTACAGGTGTGCAACACCACACCTGGCTTATTTATTTATTTATTTATTGAGATGGAGTCTCGCTCTGTTGCCCAGGCTGGAGTGCAGTGGCATGATCTCTGCTCACTGCAACCTCTGCCTCCCAGGTTCAAGCGATTCTCTTGCCTCAGCCTTCTGAGTAGTTGGGATTACAGGCATCCGCCACCACACCCGGCTAATTATTTTTTTTGTATTTTTAGTAGAGATGGGATTTCTCTATGTTGGCCCAGCTGGTCTTGAACTCCTGAACTTGAGTGATCTGCCTGCCTCAGCTTCCCAAGTGCTGGGATTACAAGTGTGAGGCACCGTGCCTGGCCACATTTTTTAGTTTTTGTACAGATGGAGTCCCTCTGTGTTGACCAGGCTGGTCTCAAACTCCTGGGCTCAAGTGATCCACCTGCCTCAACTTCCCAAAGTGCTGGGATCACAGATGTGAGCCACTGCCCCTGGCAGATTCTGCTTTTTTATAACTTCCTTTGCCTCACAAATTTTGGAAGCTGCTGCCAATCAAGAGAAAAGCTCATATGAATTTTTTCCTGATGATAGCTGAATGGATAGGGAGGGTGTGGTAAATTGTTTGCAAAAAACAGCCACACTAATTCTCCTCCCTATACCCATGCTTTTACATAGTCTCCACTCACAGCAACTCCAGAACTGGCCATGTGACTTGCTTGGGCTCATAGGACAATAGCAATGCCATGCAAACAGACACTTGAAATATGCTTGTGCAGGGCCGGGCGCGGTGGCTCACGCCTGTAATCCCAGCACTTTGGGAGGCCGAGGCGGGTGGATCACAAGGTCAGGAGATCGAGACCATCCTGGCTAACACGGTGAAACCCCGTCTCTACTAAAAATACAAAAAATCAGCCGGGCGTGGTGGTGGGCGCCTGTAGTCCCAGCTACTCGGGAGGCTGAGGCAGGAGAATGGCGTGAACCCGGGAGGCGGAGCTTGCAGTGAGCCGAGATCACGCCACTGCACTCCAGCCTGAGCCAAAGTGGGAGACTCTGTCTCAAAAAAAAAAAAAAAAAAAAAAAAGAAAGAAATATGCTTGTGCTTCGGGGCTTGACTTCCCATGCTGCTCTTGGAACCCTTGCAACCACCACTATGTGAATGAGCCCCAGTTATTCTGCTGAACATGTGTGGCACATGGCCCAGTTACCACCCTTGCCTACAGCCAGTCAACTTTCAGATGTGGAAGAGAAGCCACAGACCTCAAGCTGCCTGCAGACCTCTGAGGGAGCCAGTCTGACAGTAAATGGGACAGAGAAGAGCCGTTCCAGGTGAGCTCAGTCCAAATTACCAACTCACAGGATTGCCGGTAAATAAGAGATTATTGTTTTAAGCCACTAAGTATTAAGGTGATTTATTACACCACACACATAGCAAAAGCTGGCTGATACAGAGAAGGGTTTCAAGGTTGGAGGCAGAAATGACAGTGCATACATATCTTGGAGATATCTTCCTTCCTCCTCCAGTATCTCCAAAAATCATGTGCAAGCTGGCCTGTTTAGATGCTTGACTTTCTGGTTGCTGGAATACTTCATGGAAAAGGAAACCTAGACCTATTGGAGGTGAACTGAGGCTGGGAACCTCAGGCACATGTGAGTACCAGCCCACCTGCCTAACATGCCCAGGGCATCTGGCTGAGGCTGGGAACTGAGCTGTCCTGTGTCACTGGGCACAGAAGAAGGCTACCCAAGGAGCACAGAGTTGATAAACGTCCCCACATACAGAAGATGCCAGATAGGGAGCAGGGGGGTGAATAAAAATGCTTGGTAATGGGCTCAAGTCACACCTCCAGAAATGAGTGTTGGGAGTGTAGCCAGCATGCCTGCTCTGGAGCCAGTGGAGGCCAAATCAGTCTTGTCCAGTGAAAGGGGAGATGAATCAGATGGATTAGAGCCTCACCCCACCTTTCCACCTACCACTAGCAGGGGATAGGGTGGGTCCTGGTCCCAACCAATCTCAGGGCTGCTAGAGACAAACTTTCTGGGGAGCCCCAAGTCAGAACAGATGTAGCCCAAACTCAAGTATATTGGTGACGCCTAGGGACTTCAAAGGACTCTGCTCTCAACTTGGAGATCTCATAGGATTCTGATTGTCAATCTCCACTCACCCCTGCAGGTATCTCTGCAGCACTGGAGGTTGGGGGAAAACTGGGGGAAAAATACGAATACGAATACTGAGGCCCTCCTCAGCCCTTTATCTGTAATAACAACCTGTAAAGTGCCTCCTATCTTAGTGCCCAGACCCAGAAAGCACAGCATAAATATTAGCTCTTCTTCTTCCTCCCCACTATTAGTGGGTGAGAAGGGATGGAACCCAGAGTGACAGAGCACAAGGGGCAATCCCACTCTATAAGGAAGGAGACTGAAGTTCCTGGAAGCTTGCATAGCAGCCCATGGACATGCAGGTAGTCCCTGTAAGAATCAGGGGTAATCCATGTGTGTATCTCCCCTGGAGGGCAGGGATGATCTTTCCAGCACTTCTTGTCCTACCTCACATAATCAAGGTCCTAAGCTGGGTGCAGTGGCTCATACCTGTAATCCCAGCACTTTAGGAGGCTGAGGCAGGAGGATCACTTGACGCCAGGGATTTAAGAACAGCCTGGGCAACATAGCAAGACCCTGTCTCTACAAAAAAAAATTAAAAACTGGCTGGTTGTGGGGGCACACGCCTCTAGTCCCAGCTACTTGGGAGGCTGAGGCAAGAGGATCAGTTGAGCTCAGGAGTTCAAGGCTTCAGTGAGCCATGATTGTGCCACTGCACTCCAACCTGGGTGACAGGGCAATATCCCATCTATAAAAAATAAAATTAAAAAAAATTATGGTCCTAGGAAAACTACGGAAGCAAAAAATAGCATCCCATAGACAGTCTGAGCTTCCAGAACAATCCAGGCAGGTTTTCCACATGCCCAAAGCCAAAACTGCCTAGGCCTTACACTGACACCCCCATGATAGCCAACTCCCTGCTGAAATGGCTCTAATGAAGGCTTGCAGATACTTCCAAGCCTACATGAGAATTAATAGTAAGGCAACAGGGAAAAATACTCTCTGGGGCTTGGAATTGTCAGGAAACCTATGAGAAAGAAACCAAATGGACCATGCAATTTTTGGCCCTTCCTTACACTAACAGTGGAAATTTCAATATCCCGAGCATGAGTTTCTAAGCTTGGAACAACTCAAAATATATCTATCCTTAGGAAGATAGGGTTGGAGTCACACACCTCACTTTCAGCCTTGAGCTTGATGGTGGGTAGAAAGAGCACAGTCCTGGAGTGAGAGAGTCCTGAGTTTATGTCCTGGATCTGCCAGGACCAGCTGTACAAGCTTGGCAAAGGAATTTAACCTCTCTAAGCCTCAGTTTCCCCATCTGTAAAGTGGGAATGACACCTTCTTCACTGGGCCTTTGGGAGTGGTGGGCATAGAGGATTTGCTTGGTAAATGGCAGCAGCTACAATAAAGATCATGGATTGACAGAGGCTCCAGGCAATAAGAACTACAACTGCTCTGGGCTAATTGATGGGACCAAATCAACGTCCAGCTGCTGGATTTCCATCTGTGTCTGAGATCCCAGAACCTGTGCTCCTCTCCCTGGACCTCCAAGCACCAAAGAGGGCCTGTCGTCAGATTGACACTGAACTCTGGGTGCAGGAGTCCAAACCTGCTGACTGCCACATGGCGCCTGTGACACTGGCTGCTTTGTGCCACCTCTCCAAGGCTGGCCTGGCCTGCTTTAAATTCCTGGTGGCATTCTGCCTGGGACTGGCAAAGCCAGGCAGGGGCACAAGAAGGGGGCCATGAGAGGTGGCAATGACATCCCAAACAAGCTTCCAGGTTTAGAAGGGCTCCTTCTTTCCCAGAGCAGGCAAAACTTTTCTCACTCTGGTTGCGGGGTGAAGGAGGAGAAAAGGAAGAGGCCTAAGAGACCCAACGGCTAAGAGGAATTTTGATTTTCTGTATTTAGTGGCCTCCACTCCCCACTGACAACCACACAGGAGCCTTGGATTCCACAAAGGAGAATGAGGCTGAGAGCTTCCAGTTGGGCATTAGGAACAGGACAGAATTCAATCCTCTCAAAAGCCTGAGAGGGGCTGAGCACAGAGGTTCACGCCTGTAATCACAGCACTTTGAGAGGCTGAGGCGGGTGGATCACCTGAGGTCAGGAGTTCGAGACCAGCCTGGCCAACTTGGCGAAACCCCGTCTCTACTAAAAATACAAAAAATTAGCCAGGCGTGGTGGCGGGAGCCTGTAATCCCGGCTACTGGGGAGGCTGAGGCAGGAAAACTGCATGAACCTGGGAGGCAGAGGTTGTAGTGAGCCAAGATTGCACCATAGCATTCCAGCCTGGGCAATAAGAGTGAAATTCTGTTTCAAAAACAACAACAACAAACAAACAAACGAAAAACCCTGGGAGGCAGGAGGGATGCACCTGAGCTGGACTTTGCAAAGCCCTTCTCAAAGAAGCTGAAGAGGGCATTGTAAGCTACTCTTGTAGGACTGAGGGAAAGATAACCACCCCAGGCGTGCCCAAGACCCTCACCTCTTGCCTCGAGGTGGAAGCAACTCCTTGAGCTTGTATTGTCCACTTTCAGATACTAATCAGGAATTAATTTGCCACCCAAGGGCTGACCAGGGGAAAGTCTTCATAAAGCAAACAGGCCAGGCCACTGCAGTGATTTAAATGGGGCTCTGAGAGTGTTCTGGGCTCAGGGCACTCAGTTAGTATGAGCACTGTGTTTGTCTTTGAGATCAAGCCCACTGTGTCTCAATTTCCCAGATTGTTCTGTTGGTGGGGGGCGGGGTGGAACAGCTGTAGTCCTTGCTTCAGAGGGACCCACCTACAGCATAGATTAATTTGAAATGAGCCCGCTACTCAGAACATAATTTATCCTATAAACATTTTCCAGGGTTTATTTCAACATCCAGGGGGAGAATCAAAGCTCTTTAAGATGTAAGAACGGGCTTCTGGGCTGGGCACAGTGGCTCACACTGTAATCCCAACACTTTGGGAGGATGAGGTGGGAGGATCACTTGAAGCCAGGAGTTCAACACCAGCCTGGGAAGCATAGTAAGACCTTGTCTCTGTTAAAATTTAAAAAAAAAAAAAAAAAAAATTGGCCGGGTGCAGTAGCTCACGCCTATAATCCCAGCACTTCGGGAGGCTGAGGTGGGCGGATCATATGAAGCCAGGGTTTCGAGACCAGCCTGGGCAACATGACAAAACCCCATCTCTACAAAAAAATACAAAATTAGCCAGGCATGGTGGCGCACGCCTGTAATTTCAGCTACTAGGGAGGCTGAGGCACAAGAATCACTTTAACCCAGGAGGCAGAGGTTACAGTGAGCCGAGATCATGCCATTGCACTCCAGCCTGGGCAACAGAATGAGACTCTATCTCAAAAAAAAAAAAAAAAAAAAAAAAAAAATTTTTTTTTTTAATGGGCAGAAGCCCATTTTTACATGGCAATATAAAATTCAGCCAGAGGGGGCTTCTCTTAGAGAAGAAAAAGCCAAACTCCTATTTCCAGCACACACTGATGACTTCACAGCATAACTGTCTAAAAAGCAATTAACCAGGGGGATACAGAACGATCCTCTGGGCTTCCCTTGGTCAGAACACAAGTGGCCCCTGCTGCACCAAGACTTAGAGGCTGGGTCTGAGGGGGCTCCTGCCTTGCCTCATGACGCTTTCCTGCTGTGCTCTTGGTCAGAGTTTTCCCTCCTCTAAGATGGACCCCAACACACCCCTCTGCCAGGGAGAGCAGGTTGAGCAGGCTATGGTACATGTGAGCCCTCTGAGAAGCTAAAGAAACACCAGAGCGGCTTGTAATCCCAGCACTTTGGGAGGCCGAGGTGGGCGGATCACCTGAGGTCAGGAGTTTGAGACCAGCCTGACCAACATGGAGAAACCCCATCTCTACAAAAAAATACAAAATTAGCCAGGTGTGGTGGCCCATGCCTGTAATCCCAGCTACTGGGAGGCTGAGGCAGGAGAATCGCTTGAACCCGGGAGGCAGAGGTTATAGTGAGCCGAGATCGCGCCACTACACTCCAGCCTGGGCGATGGAACAAAAACGTCTCAAAAAAAGAAAGAAAGAAAGAAACACCAGAGCTTACCGATTCTCGCTGGCAGATCTGCCCCATTGTGGGGAGGGCACTTGCTGACCTCGGGTCCTTTCTTCTGCTTTTCTACTCTCAACAGCTGGGTCTTGAACGCCTAGAGAAAGGCCAAGTTCAAAGAAGGCAGGGTCAGAGGATTGTCGGTCTCATTTTTGTCCTCACCAATTAGGAAGCTAAACACCCTAATACTGAGAACCAAGACATAGTGCAGACACATTTCTAGAGTATTCGTAAACCCAGGTAAAATGTCATAAAGTTTCTCCTTTTGTTTGTTTGAGGCAGAGTATTGCTCTGTTGCCCAGACTAGAATGCAGTGGCGCCATCATAGCTCACTGCAGCTTCTGTTGCTCAGGCTGGTTTCGAACTCCTGGGCTCAAGCAAACCTCCCACTTCAGCCTCCTAAAGTGCTGGGTTACAGGCCTGAGCTACTGCACCCAGTCAAGGTTTCTGGCAGCCTGTCATTCTAGAAGAAATTCCCTGGAGCCTGGTCTGGAAGTGGTACCTCGTCACCAACTACAACCTTCTCTGCTTATGACTATGTCCAAAGAAAGAGTCATGCTTTGGAGAGGAAATCCAATAGAAGTGGAAATTAGCAAAGACATCTCCAAAAGGCCAAGTCAGAGTCTCAGTCCGTTGACCAGGTTGGAGTGCAGTGGTGCCATCGTAGCACACTGCAGCCTCAAACTTGAACTCTTGGACACAAGCAATCCTCCTGCCTCAGCCTGCTGAGTAGCTGCAACCACAGGCATGGGCCACCATGCCAGCCTAATTTTTAATTTTTTTTTTTTTTTTGTAGACACAGTGTCTTGCTATGTTGCCCAAGCTGGTCTTGAACCCCTGGTCTCAAGTGATTACCCTGCCTCAGCCTCCCAAAGTGCTGGGATTACAGGTGTAAGCCACTGCATTCAGTCTACTTACGACTTTTAAAATCTCACCCTATAACTTTTTAAGGCTATTCTTTATAATGTACACATTATTTATATGTGATTTTTTAAAAAATGAGCTATAACTCACATACCAAAAGACTCACCCTTTAAAGTGTATAATTCAGTGGTTTTCTGTATATTCATAAGGTTGTGCAACCATCATCACTAATTCCAGAAAATTTTCATCACTCTATAAGGAAACCCATACCCATTACCAGCCATTCTCATTCGATCCTTCCCCCAGCCCCTGGCAACCACTAATCTACTTTCTGTGTCTGTGAATTTGCCTTCTGGCCATTTCGCATAAGTGGACTTATAAAGATATATAATCTCAAAATAATTAAAATATATGTACTGAGGAATGTGTGATATGGTTAGGCTTTGTGTCCCAACCCACATCTCATTTTGAATTATAATCCCCATAGTCCCCATAATCCCCACATGTCAAGGGAGAGACCAGGTGGAAGGAGTTGGATCATGGGGGCGGTTCCCCCCCTGCTGTTCTTGTGATAGTGAGTGGGTTCTCATGAGATCTGATGGTTTTATAAGAGGCTCTTCCCCCTTCACCCTGCACCTCTCCTTCCTGCAGCCGTATGAAGAAGGTGCCTTGCTTCCCCTTTGCCTTCCCGCCATGATTACAAGTTTCCTGAGGCCTCTCTAGCCATGCTGAACTGTAAGTCAATTAAACCTCTTTCCTTTTTAAATTACCCAGTCTCGGGCATTTCTTTTTCTTTCTTTTCTTTTTTTTCAACTGAAATACTTGTGTGATGTTATTATGACATAATTGAGGGCCATTTCTTTATAGCAGTGCGAAAACAGACTAATACAATGTGTCTACAAAAATATTTTACTGATGGAGTGCATAACCAAAATGATATGGAGAGCCCTGGCTGAAAGCGTAAAGCCTTCTAGGATTTGTCCCTGGTTTCTCTATGAGCTTCCTCGACAGAGGCACTGATGGTTCCCCTAGTTCAAAGCAAAGCATGAGGCCAGGCGCCTCATGAGGTGGCCCATGCCTGTAATCCCAGCACGTTGGGAGGCCGAGGTGGGTGGATCACCTGAGGTCAGGAGTTCGAGACCAGCCTGACCAACGAGGTGAAACCCCCTCTCTACTAAATACAAAAAATTAGCCGGGCATGGTAGCACATGCCTGTAATCCCAGCTACTTGGGAGGCTGAGCCAGGAGAATCCCTTGAACCTGGGAGGCGGAGGTTGCAGTGAGCCGAGATTGCACCATTGCACTCCAGCCAGGACAACGAGAGCGAAACTCCATCTCAAAAAAAAAAAAAAGTAAAGCGTGATCTAAAAATAAAATATATGCCTTGCAATTATTTGTTTGCTTGTTTTTGAGACAGCGTCCTGCTCTGTCACCTGGGCTGGAGTGCAGTAGTGCAATCACACTAACTGCAGCCTCCACCTTCAGAGCTCAAGTGATCCTCCCACCTCAGCCTCTGCAGCTGGGACTACAGGCTCAAACTACCACAGCTGGCTAATTTTTTAATTTTTTGTAGAGACGGGATCTCACTATGTTGCCCAGGCTGGTCTTAAACCCCTGGGCTCAAGCGATTCTCCTCCCTCAGCCTCCCAAAGTGCTGGGATTACAGGTGTCAGCCACTGTACTCAGCTATAATTTATGATTTAACTTTGTTTTTGTAGATAGATGTTCTCCTTATTATGCTATATGGGCTTAACAAATTTTGACAAATTCCACACACATTTTTGCCTTCCTTTCTGATCCCCAGGCAACTTCCCGAGTCTAGTTAAAACACTGCTATGAGTTACCAAAGTACTTGCAGAGAATGCATGTTACCTCTTTCCCATTGGTATTTATTTCTTAAAAGCTCCCTGGGTCTGTAACATGACAGAGAAGATTATGCTATCACCTCCTTTCTTCCCAGTCTTACAATGTTGTTACCCAGGAGACGGAGTAGGAGGAGGGGAAGGAACCCTTGGGACTGGCCCAGGGCATTCGCTTTGAAGGTCATTCAAAGCAGAGTTGCTTTTTGTCTAGAGAGTGTTTGGTCTAGAGGTCATGTAGAAACTGGTGTTTCCACCAGCCCACCATGCAAGCTGGTTTATAGCTAGTCATTCCATTCTCCATATACTCTCCACCCCGAAGTAACTGGCCCTCTCTCTGGTACTCGCACATGTCGCCGCAGAACTGTGCCCCTCTCTCCCTCTTCAAGATCTAGAGCATCTGTGTAAGCCAAGTATTGCCCTTCCCCCAAATCTGGCACAGGCACCATCATAACACAGCTTCAAATTTGATGCTTTGTTTATTGTGTCATTTACTTGAGTTTAGGGATCCTGATATCTCTACATTTTAATAACAGAAAAATCCACAATTCATTTGAATTTTGCTAATAGCTGGATTCCTTTCTGTTTTTTGTTTGTTTGTTTGTTTTTTGTTGTTGTTTTGAGATGGAATCTCTCTCTGTCGCCCAGGCTGGAGTGCAGTGGCGCAATCTCGGCTTACTGCAAGCTCCGCCTCCCGAGTGCACGCCATTCTCCTGCCTCAGCCTCCTGAGTAGCTGGGACTACAGGCGCCCGCCACCTCGCCCGGCTAATTTTTTGTATTTTCAGTAGAGACCATGTTAGCCAGGATGGTCTCGATCTCCTGACCTTGCGATCCACCCACCTCGGCCTCCCAAAGTGTTGGGATTACAGGCGTGAGCCACCGCGCCCGGCCTGTTTGTTTGTTTTTTTAAGGAATAGGATCTCACGGCTGGGTGCGGTGGCACATGCCTGTAATCCCAGCATTTGGGGAGGCCAAGGTGGGCAGAACACCTGAGGTCAGGAGTTCGAGACCATCATGGCCAACATGGTGAAACCCTGTCTCTACTAAAAATACAAAAAAATTAGCCGGGCGTGGTGGCTGGCACCTGTAGTCCCAGCTATTCAGGAGGCTGAGGCAGGAGAATGGCGTGAACCCAGGAGGCAGAGCTTGCAGTGAGCCAAGATCATGTCACTGCACTCCAGCCTGGGTGACAAAGAGAGACTCCGTCTTAAAAAAAAGAAAAAAGAAAAACTAAAAAAATTACTGAGCGTGGTGGTGAGTGCCTGTAATCCCAGCTACTCTGGAGGCTGAGGCAGGAGAATCACTTGAACCCTGGAGGCGGAGGTTGCAGTAAGCCGAGGTTGTGCCACTGCACTCCAGCCTGGGCGACAGGGCAAGATTCTGTCTCAGAAAAAGGGAAATAGGATCTCACTATGCTGCCCAGGCTGGTCTCAAACTGCTGGGCTCCAGTGATCCTCCTCTCTCAGCTTCCCGAAGTGCTGGGATTACACGAGTGAGCCACTCCACTTGGCTTAAGCAGCTGGATTCCTTCTTCCTTTCCAGTGATGCTTTTTTTTACATAGTTTTAGCCTTGCTTTCAGAGAGGATGTACCCACTATTCAATTGACTTCCACTTTGCCCTTAAGCAACTCTCTTGGAGGTCATTAAATTCAATAAATTAGCATTTATTGAATACTTCCTGTCTGCGAGGCACTGCTATAAATATAATACCTCACAGGCATTAGTTCACAAGAACTCCTCATAAGTTCTATTTTCCCAGTTTTACACATGAGGAAACTGAGGCTCACAGCAGTCAAGTAGCTTCCCAAGGTCATATGGCTGTAAGCTAACCAAGCTGAGATTTGAAATCAGGCTCCTCCATTCTTAACCAATCTTGCACACTGTCCCTCAACTGCAGAGCATCAGTCCCAAACCCTGAGGGTAGTAGAGGACAGATGGGTACTCAGGGAAGAGAGGCATTTTACAAGTCTCAAACTGTGAGGAATATCAGCACAGCATTTGCCTTAAAAGAAAAAATCATAGATGGCATTATCTCAGTCACCTCAAACAAAAAGACTTAACTATAGTGAGCTTTGGCCCAGTTACAAATTACTGTGTATCCTTGGGAAAGTGTTTGCCTCTCTCTGGGCCTCATCTGTAAAATAAGTGGGCTTAAACCCCAGGATCTACCTTTTAAGATCCTGAGACTTGGATAGCTCTTTATTTTCTTTTTCTTTTTTTCTTTTCTTTTTTTTTTTTTTTTTTTGAGACAGAGTCTCACTCTGTCACCCAGGCTGGAATGCAGTGCGGTGGTGCGAACTTGGCTCATTGCAACCTCTTGTTGCAGCCTCCGCCTCCTGTGTTCAAGCGATTCTCGTCCCTCAGTCTCCTGAGTAGCTGGGACTACAGTTGCCTGCCACCATGCCTGGCTAATTTTTGTATTTTTAGTAGAGATGGGGTTTCACCATGTTGGCCAGGCTGGTCTCGAACTCCTGACCTCAAGTAATCTGCCCACCTTGGCCTTCCAAAGTGCTAGGATTACAGGCATGAACCACCACGCCCAGCCAGCTCTTTATTTTTATTTTTATTTATATTATTATTATTATTATTGAGACAGGGTCTCACTCAGTCACCCAGGCTGGAGTGCAGTGGTGCGATCATGGGCTCACTACAGCCTTGACCTCCTGCGCCCAAGTGATCCTTCCACCTCAGCCTCCAGAGTAGCTGGGACCACAGGCATGCACCACCACGTCAGGCTAATTTTTTTTTTTTTTAATTTTGGTAGAGATGGGATCTCTCTATTTTGCCCAGGCTGGTCTCGAACTCCTGGTCTCAAGTGATCCTCCCGCCTTGGCCTCTCAAAGTGCTGGGATTACATGTGTGAGCCACCGCACCCTGCCAGATTATACCTTCATTCATTTTTTTTTTTTTTTTTTTTTTGAAACTGAGTTTCGCTCTTGTCACCCAGGCTGGAGTGCAGTGGCGCAATCTTGGCTCACCACAAACTGCCTCCTGGGTTCAAGCGATTCTCCTGCCTCAGCCTCCGAAGTAGCTGGGATTACAGGCGCCTGCCACCATACCCAGCTAATTTTTTTTTTTTTTGTATTTTTAGTAGAGAAGGGGTTTCACCATGTTGGCCAGGCTGGTCTCAAACTCCTGACCTCAGGTGATCCACCCACCTCGGCCTCCCAAAGTTCTGGGATTATAGGCATGAGCCACCGCACCCAGCTCATTCATTTTGTTTTACAGAGAAGGACAGGAAGCTACTTAATGCGAAAAGCCAGAGAGAGAGTCTCATGCAGAAGTGAGGCCGTCACAGCCCAGGCAACCCCCTAGTTGCCTTGGGATGACTTGAGACACCTTTGCTTGTTCTTCATTTGGGCTCACTCTCATTTTTCCAAAAGGACAACATACACTGTCCTTGCAATCCAACTGTGGATTCTTGGCACAAAGCAGGTGTGGGTAGGTGTTTGGACTCTTTTCCTTCTCAGGAACAATGCTCTGGGGAACAGTTCTTTAGTTGGTTAGTTGAAGTCCTGAAAACAGAAGAGACAAAAGATGTATTTGTCGTAAAATCAAGAGTCACCAAAGGCTTGCAAGGGGTTGAGCCTGCGCCAGCGTCCTGGGGAAGGAAGGCATCCTTGGATGTTACTCCAGGACTTGTGGGCAGGGGATGGGGCACTTGGATGCCCTTGACATTCAGACAGTGCTTCATGGTTATGAAGTTATTTTATCCCATTGAGACCTCAGAAACCTTGGGTGTGGGGACAGAAATGGTGACAATGGTGAGGAGGACGGTGATATTGAAGATGGTGATGACAATGGCCACTCATGTGCATTGAGCCAGGGATTGTGCTAAGGACTTCATGTGCCCTGATTCCTGGAAGTGTCCCAACAAGATTAGGAGTAGAAACCCTTTTCAGGAGGGAAGCCGACGCTTACAGGAGTTAATTCAGGCACTCATGGAAATGCAACAGTAGCAGAGCTGGGTGTTGTACTTAGGTCTCTTCAGCCCTGGAGCCTTAATTCTTTGTTTTATGGGTGCTGTAGCTGAGGCTTAGAGCGGGTAAGTAGCTCAGAGCTAAAAAAAGAAACAACTAGGATTTTAAAATGCGTGGAGAGATGAAATGCCCACTCTGTGGCCAAAATAGAGCAGGCAAACCTCTGGTTGGCACCAGAGAGAGCTGGGCTAGACTTGGCAGCCAACGTTCTAATGGATATTCCAGGCCACCTTTTTCCTTCCTCCTCCCTCCCCTTCCTTTATTCTTTGGGGACAAAATCTGTTGTTTCACTCTCTTTTATTGTGCACAATCCTAAGGGTGACTCACCACCATTCCCCACCCAAACCCTTCCTTTTTTCCTACTATTCGTATATCCTGTCTTCATGGAGCTTACATTCTCTGGAGGAAACAGAGATTAAGAAATCACACAAATCACAGTTGCAAATTGTGAATCATGATAGCTATCAAGAAAAAGTATAGGAAGCCACAACATCTAATCCTGGGGTTCATGAACGGCTTCCTATAGAAAGTGACATTGAATCTGGGACACATTGGTCTAAGTCAGAGTTTTCTTTGGAGGCCCCTGAGGCAGGGATCAGGTAAGCCTCGATAAAGGAGGAGGATGAGGAAGAGAAAGAGGAGGAAGAGGACAGCACACCCTGGTACTTATTAATCTGCCCCCTCTGCATTTGGGATTTTACTGAGAGTGGGCTGGCTTGGTCCCCGTCCTCTAGGGTGGTGGTTCTCAAAGTGTGGTCCCTGCACCAGTAACAACAGCATTAGGTGGGAACTTGTTAGAAATGCACATTCTTGGGCCCTTCCACAGACCTACTGAATGGAAAACATTGGGGTGGAACCATGAATCTGTGTTTTAACAAGCCCTCCTGGTGATTCTGTGACCTGCTAAAGTTTGAGAGCCCTATTTTAGATGCCTACAATCATGTGGATTCACTCATTAAAAGTACAGAAGATCCCAGTTCTCTCTCACTCTCTCATGTCCTCCACATGGAAGAGGAAGTCATAAACGATATTTTGAGAGGTCTGATAAGAGTCTGCAGCTATACAGAGACATAGGACAGGTTGTTTGATAAAGTGGAGAGTAGGAGACAAAAATGCAAAGATTTTAGCAATTCAGAGATTAGTGGCACAGGGGATGAAACTCCAGAAGGTAAAAGCATATTATTTGAAAACTGGAAAGAACCTAGCACATCATATTCCACTCCCACCCTCACTGTCTTGGTCCGTTCAGGCTGCTACAACAAATTACCATTGGCTAGGTAACTTACAAATGATGGAAATGTATGTTTCACAGTTCTGGAGGCTGGCAAATCCAAGATTAAGTCACCAGCAGATTTGGTGCCTGCCTGGTGAGGGCTCATTTCTCAAAGACAGCCTTCTTACTCCGTCCTCACTGGTAGAAGGGGCAGACAAGCTCTCTAGAGTCTCCTTTATAAGGGGATGAATCACATTCGTGAGGGCTCCACCCTCATGACTTAATAACCTCCAAAGACCCCACCTTCTAATATTATCATATCGGAGATTAGGTTTCAATTATGAATTTGGGGGGCCATAAACATGCAGACCATAGCACCCACCCAAGACAAGATCCAGGTAGGTGCTACCTCACTCTTTAAAAAACCTTTTCCGGGCTGGGCGTGGTGGCTCACGCCTGTAATCCCAGCACTTTGGGAGGCCGAGGTGGGCAAATCACAAAGTCAGGAGGTCGAGACCATCCTGGCTAACACAGTGAAACCCTGTCTCTACTAAAAATACAAAACAAAAAAATTAGCTGGGCATGGTAGCAGGCACCTGTAGTCCCAGCTACTTGGGAGGCTGAGGCAGGAGAATGGCGTGAGCCCAGGAGGCGGAGCTTACAGTGAGCCGAGATCTCTCCAGCCTGGGTGACAGTGCGAGACTCTGTCTAAAAAAAAAAAACAAAACCTTTTTTCATCATTGGCCAGTTAAATCTGAGATGCAATCTACCTCCATCTGACCTGCTTCCCTTGGCCTTAGTTCTCTAGATTCTCGCAGGTCAATCCTTTCATCCTTCCTCGTGTCTGCCCAAGGATGACAATATGGGTGGTTCTTAGTGAAGACACAATCGCTGATCAACCAAAGTATAAAATAAGCTCCTGGACTTATACATGCTTTTATTAAAGCAAGAGTGAAGGTGAAAGAAACTTCAAGCACATGTGCTCTCCAGCTGAGCAGCTGACATGAGGGTGGCTTTGTAGATTGGGCCACATTCTGGAGAATGTTAAGTAAATTTTGCGAGGTCCTGATTCCTAACTGTGACCCAGGCCTCCAATATCCTAGGTCACAGACACCTCTCACATGTGGTTTCCTTTAAGTCCTGCATTTATGACTTGACTGATGAGGAAGAAATTTTTGGACTACATATTTAAACTATCATTGCTTGTTATGGGTACTAAATACTTCACAGCCCAAGATCTACTTAGTTTCTGGAGAAACATGTTTCTTGGGTCATTCTGAGGTTCCCCATCAAACATTCGATCTACATATGTTCATTCATACATTCATTTAACCATTCTGCACATCCTGCAAACCCCATGCAAACCCAGTTCAGCCTCTCAGTCTACCTGCAGTTGGGCACTACTCAATTTCTTCTCCAAATCAAGACACCAAAGTCAACCATGGACAAGTTCTACTTCAAAGAATGTGCTAACAAAAGACCCAATTCAGAGCAAGCAAATGTGACAGAGTACAAAAGAGCAGCTTCACTTCTCCTTTGAACCATATTTGCATGTTGTCCCAACGCCCTTCACCACATGAGGAAGAGGGCAGAGAGAGGATTAGCCCATTTTAGAAAGAGACAGACTAAAGCCCAGGAAGAAATACAACACAGAGACCTGCCTCTCAGCCTGGGCCTCCCACCACCAACCAGTGCTCCCTAGGCCTGTGAAGGCTCTTAGGGACACCATCATAAGGAGACGACATCAGCCCATGAGTGATAATATAGCATCGACGAAAACAAAACTTCCAAAGAAACTTACTATGAAATGGGCCTCTGACATTTCTTGCATAAAGATGGTCTTTGAAGAGTCACCCCACAATAAAAACTCGCTCCTCTGAGGCTAGAATCACAGCTTCTCTACACTCTTGATGATGCCGGACAAAAATGTAACCACATGCTCTTCAACTGGCTTCCCGCCAAACACTGGAGAGCAAGCTCATGTGCCCACCACTGCGTAATAACCCAAGCCAAATCTCTGTTTTATTTTTATCAATAAGGGAAAAAAAAAACAACTTCATCTTACCACACAGTCCATTGAATTCAAGCCTTTTCACAGAGGAAGCAAAAGACTTCCTAATCTCTAGCAAAAAATGCCAGCTATGTGCTCCCACAGGGTTCCAGTCGCTGGAGGCCGCAGGGCACCAGGACTACCACAGTAACTTCCCAGCTGATCTACAATTCAATTCTCTTTTGTGCAAAACTCCAGACGCCGTCCAACAGTTCGGATCCAAGCTTCAATCCCGGGACGTTCCAGCCTTGTCGTCAGCCCCAGTGCATTCCCTGACCTGGAAAGCAGACTCAGAAATCAGGACTGGAATCTGGGGCCCAGAGCCTGACCACATAGCTTTAGCTGCCTTTGAGAGGAGAGATGGATTTCCAATTTGATCCATAGTACTTTCCATGTAGCAGCTACCGGAGGAAAATGGGATGGGTGAGTGGGCAATGTGTGGAGTAGAACTACAGAGCCCTCAAAAAGCTTCATAGACAAAATACAGATTAAATATACATATTCTCAAGGAAAGCCAGCCAGGCAGCCATAGTGTAAGCAGTGAGTGCTTTACAGCAAGTGCTTCAGATGTCAGAGGAAATGGCAGGCAGTTTCCAAGAAGATGGATTGGAATAGGAACATTGGCTAACCTGTCAGTTTCCCTAGGAAATGTCAGTCTCATTTCCTCTGCCCCCTCAGTCCTAACCCTACCATCAGATCTATTTTTGTGCCCAGCTTTGTCCCTTATCCCTCCACAGTTCACTATAAAACAAACCTTTTTTTTTTTTGAGACGGAGTCTCGCTGTTGTTGCCCAAGCTGGAGTGCAATGGCACAATCTCGGCTCACTGCAACCTTCGCCTCCCAGGTTCAAGCAATTCTCCTTCCTCAGCCTCCTGAGTAGCTGGGATTACAGGCGCCTGCCACCACGCCCAGCTAAGTTTTGTATTTTTAGTAGAGACAGGGTTTCGTCATGTTGGCCAGGCTGGTCTCGAACTCCTGACCTCAGGTGATCTGCCTGTGTCGGCCTCCCAAAGTGCTGGGATTACAGGCGTGAGCCCTGTGCCTGGCCTAAAACAAACCACTTTTATCAGCACTCAGTTGTGTGGTAAATAGTATTTTATTTAGGCTTATAAGGAGCTACAAAAATACAAAAGATGGAGAGTGGGAAAGCCTTTTTGTAATATATAATAATAAATGAAAAAAGCTAGATAAAATTTCTAAAGTAGAATCCTATTTATTTCTTTATTTATTTAGACACAGGGTCTTACTCTGTCGCCCGGGCTGGAGTGCAGTGGCATGATCATGGCTCACTGCAGCCTCGACCTCCCAAGGCTCAGGTGATCCTCCTGCCTCAGCCTCTGAGTAGCTGGGACAACAGGTGGGCACCACCATGCCTGGCTAATTTTTGTATTTTTAATAGAGGCGGGGTTTCAACATTTTGCCCAGGCTGGTCTCGAGCTCCTGGCCTTAAGCAATCCTCGTGCCTCAGCCTCCCAAAGTGCCAGGATTATAGGCATGAGCCACTTCACCCAGCCAAAAAGAAAATTTTAAATGCTTTCAGAGACACAAAACAGATTACTCAAAAAGAAACAAGAACCAGATTGGCATTAGACTTGCAACCAATGATGCAAGAAAAGAATAAGGTAATAGATTTAAAGAACAGAAGAAAGGGATCTTTGAATCTAGAATTTTATATCCAGCGAAATTAGCATTCAAATATGATGGCATAATAAAAATATTCTCAGTGATTTAAACCCTCAGCTTGCCACATAATATCTCTCCGTCAAAACACTTAGAGGAAGCCAAATAAGTGAAAGTTTATGAATAATAGCACATAACTAAAATTCTAGACCATTTCAGTATGATGGGCTATAGGGGTAAGAGAGACTAAAATACATAAAAGCATGCTGAAATACTTGTCTTCTTTGGGAGAAGATACATTTATCAATCCTTCGCTTCCATCCTACATATATGTAGGATATATATAGATATATAAAATATCCTATTATATGTAATTATATATAAAGATAATAGTTATAGTTATAATTATTATTAATTAAATGATTGAATGATTTGATGTTTAATTATTATGTTAATTAATAATTAAATAATTTTAATCATTTAAAATTAATATCTTAAAATTAAGATATTAATTTTTTTTTAAGACAGAGTCTTACTATGTCACCCAGGCTGGAGGGCAGTGGCACGATCTCAGCTCACTGCAACCTCCGCCTCCCGGGTTGGAGCAATTCTCATGGCTCAGCCTCCCGAGTAGCTGGGATTACAGGAGTGCACTACCACACCCGGCTAATTTTTGTATTTTTAGTAGAGACAGGATTTCACCACGTTAACCAGGCTGGTCTCAAACTCACAACCTCAGGTGATCCACCCGCCTCGGCCTCCCAAAGTGCTGGGATTACAGGCATGAACCACTGTGCCTGGCCAGATGTTAATATTCTAATAAATTAACCTCTAAATATTAAAGCAAGAATTGTTAGACCTACAGAAATACTCTGACAAATCCACATTACAAGAATAAATTTAAATGTATTTTTCTCTGCCATTAGATCAAGCAAGCAAACAAACAAAATCAACAAAGTTATAAAAGATTTGAACAACAAAACAAGTTTAATCTAATAAATATATAGAATTACTTATTTAATATAGAATATATATATGTGTATATATATATATATATGTATTTTTTTTTTTTTTTTTTTTTTTTTTTTTGAAAAGGAGTTTTGCTCTTGCTGCCCAGGCTGGAGTGCAATGACACAATCTTGGCTCACTGCAACCTCTGCCTCCTGGATTCAAGCGATTCTCCTTCCTCAACCTCCTGAGTAGCTGGGATTGCAGGCACCTGGCACCACGCCCAGCTAATTTTTTGTATTTTTAGTAGAGACAGGATTTCACTATGTTGGCCAGGCTGGTCTCAACTCCTGACCTCAGGCGATCCACCTGCCTCGGCCTCCCAAAGTGCTGGGATTACAGGCATGAGCCACTGTGCCCAGCTAATACAGAATATATTTTAAGTGCACATGAAAAGCACTCAAATTTCAAAGCAAACATATTTATAAAGCAAGTCTTAATAAATTTGTAAATAATTAAGATAATTTAGACCAGGGATTGACAAACTGAATTGCAGGACAAATCCAACCTGTCACTTATTTTTGTAAATAAAGTTTTATTAGAACCAAGCCATACCCGTTCATTTACATGTTGTCTATGGCTCCTTTTTTGTTACAACAGCACAGATCATATGGCCCACAGAGCCTACAATTGTGACTGCCTGGCCCTTTACAGAAGTAATTAGTCAATCCCTGATATAGGCCATAAATCAACATATAATTAAGTTAAAATTAACAAAATGATCAAATTTAAAACAATATACTTGGAAATTACAAATGTACAAATTTAAGTTGTTTTTTTTTTAAATTTTATTTTTTATGTATTTTTTAATCTAGTAGAGATGGGGTCTCGCCATGTTGCTCAGGCTGGTCTCAAATTCCTGGCCTCAAGCTATCCTCCCACCTTGGCCTCCCAAAGTACTGAGATTACAGGCGTGAGCCACCGTGCCCGGCCTTAAAAGGTTTTTTGTTTTTTGGTTTTTTTTTTTTAATAACTCATGAATAAAATAAGACATTGTAATGGGAATTTAAAATATTTAGAATTGGTGGTTAGGATATAGGATGTAAGAGGGGAGCAGTAGACCATTGTGTCCACTATAGCAATTAGAAAAAATATATATGGATAAACTAAAAATCATATATATTTCTTTTTAGAGATACTGGAAGGCTGGAAATCTAATGGAATTAAATTCCAGAGCAGAAGGGACCCTCCCAAAGTGAGTGGAGATTCATGACTGCTTTCCTCTATGAGGGCATTTGTTGAGTCTCGGCATGGGTTGGGGGAGATTAGACTTGCCAGAATAGAGGCAAGACTACTCAGAGAGAATGAGAAAGCAGCCAGCTTTTATGGTCATGTGAGCTGGCTAGACAGAGTAGAATCTGGAGAAGCTTCAAATGCATAGCTGGTTTTCCCCACCTGCCAGTTCTCCCCATAGGATTTTTGCTAAGTTCTGGGCAGTAAAGAAGGCTAGATTGAAATTCAGAGAAAGATACCCTATAATATTGTTGTATTTGAGAAAGAGAAGGCTGCTTGAAAAAAGGGCCTGTAATAAACACAAGACAGGCATGACTCTAAGATATTTGAAACTGTTTTTTTTTTTTTTGAGACAGAGTTTTGCTCTGTCACCCAGGCTGGAGTGCCATCTCGGCTCGCAGCAACCTCTGCCTCCTGAGTTCAAGCAATTCTCCTGCCTCAGCCTCCCAATTAGCTGGGATTACATGTGTGTGACACCATGCCCAGCTACTTTTTGTATTTTTGGTAGAGACAAGGTTTCACCATGTTGGCCAGGCTGGTCTCAAACTCCTGACCTCAGGTGATCTACCTGCTTTGGCCTCCCAAAGTGCTGGGATTAGAAACGTGAGCCACTGCGCCTGGGCAAAAGTATTTTTTAAATTAAAATTTGAAAAATTAAAAAAATACAGATGAGATCTATGTTGCCCAGGCTGGTCTTGAACTCCTGAGCTCAAGTGGTCATCCTGCCTCAGCCTACCAAAGTGCTAGGATGACAGGTATGAGCCACTATGCTCAGCTGATATTTGAAACGAAAAGTGAACTGATCCAGCTCAATATCAGACTGGATCAAAGTGATCAGTCCATCACCTTAGCTGCCTGAGAGAAGAAAGAGTGTTCTCTTTCTGGTGAAAAATAATATCTACATCAGACTCTATGGCTATTTATGCTTAATATTAAAAAAAAATGCAAAGAAGTAGAAAAATGTGGCCTGTAAGCAAGAGAAAAAATAGACAACACAAACAGTCCTACAGGTAACCCAGATGTTGGAATTAGCAGACAAGGACTTTAAGATGATTTTTGTAATTATGTTAAAGAAAAATAAAAGAAAAGTTAGAAAAAATGGACGAAAAGATAAATAATGTCAATAGAGAAATTAAATCTCTAAAAAAGGACATGGATATTCTACAATTGAAAAATATAATGTTTTAAATTAAGAATTCATTGGCTAGGCTTAAGAGCAGGTTGGCCACAGCAGAAAAAAAATCTGTCACTGAACTTGAAGACTAGTTATTGGAGATTATGCAAACTGGCTGGGCGCAGTGGCTCATGCCTGTAATCCCAGCGCTTTGGGAGGCCAAGACAGGGGGATCACCTGAGGTCAGGAGTTCGACACCAGCCTGGCCAACATGGTGAAACCCCATCTCTACTAAAAATACAAAAGTTAGGCTGGGAGCGGTGGCTCATGCCTGTAATCCTAGCACTTTGGGAGGCCGAGGTGGGCGGATCATGATGTCAGGAGATGGAGACCATCCTGGCTGACACGGTGAAACTCCATCTCTACTAAAAATACAAAAAAATTATCTGGGTGTGGTGACGGGCGCCTGTAGTCCCAGCTACTTGGGAGTCTGAGGCAGGAGAATGGCATGAATTCCGGAGGTGGAGCCTGCAGTTAGCCAAGATCACGCCACTGCACTCCAGCCTGTGTTACAGAGTGAGACTCCATCTCAAATAAATAAATGAATAAATAAATAAAAATACAAAAGTTAGCTGGGCATGGTGGCGGGCACCTGTAACCCAGGTGCTTGGGAGGCTGAGGCAGGAGAATTGCTTGAACCCAAGAGGCGGAAATTTCAGTGAGCTGAGATTGCACTACTGCACTCCAGCCTGGCTGACAGAGTGAGACTCCATCTCAAAAAAAAAAAAAAAAGGTAAAAAAGAAAGAAAAGGAATTATGCAAACGGAAGCACAGAGAAAAAAAAAATGGCAAAAAAACTGGAACAGAACTTGAAAGAGATGTAAGACAGGATGAAATGCTCTAATGTTTGCATATTGGAATTTCAGAAGGAAAGAGGAGAAATAATGAGTCATAAAACAAGAATTTTCAAAAAAACAATGAAAGATATTAACCCACAGATTCAAGAAGATCTTAGCAAAGCCCAAGCAAGATAAATTTAAAAAAAGAAAAAAAAAGAACACATGCACTAAAACAAAAACACATCCAAGCACATTATAGTTAAATGACTGTTGGAAACTAAAGAGAAAGAGAAACCCTTACAAACAGCTAGAAAGGGGAAAAAAAAAAAAACTTGCAGAAAAACAGTAATAAGAATTATAACTGACTTCCCAAAATAAATTATGGAAGCCAGAAGAAAATGAAATGACATTCTTAAAATACTGGAGGAAAAAAGTACCAAACTAGAACTGTGTATTGTGTATTCTTAAAAAAGGAAGGGTAAAAAGACATTTTCAGACAAACAAAAGTTGCGTGAATTTACTACCATCAGTGCTGTACTACAAGGAATGCTAAAATTGCTTAGATCTGCCATCTAAGATCTGTCTCTAAATAAGTGCCAGCTCCATTAGAACATTCTGATCAGAGATTAATAACCTGGGCATCAGAGACCCTTCAGGTAGAAGGTGATATCCGTAAGCTTCTGTGGGAAAAAAATACAAATTAATTTCTGATAGTCTGTAACTGAAATTTAGCATTTCCTTTAATTCTGAATGTGGGCAACAAACCCACTAGTGCTAGCAGCATCTGTGACTTTGTCTCCAGTGGAAATCACAAATATATTGGGTCAGGCGCAGTGGTTCACGCCTATAATCCCAGCACTTTTGGAGGCCAAGGCAGGCGGATCACCTGAGGCCAGGAGTTTGAGACCAGCTTGGCCAACATGGCAAAACCCCGTCTCTACCAAAAATACAAAAATTAGCTGGCCATGGTGGCAGGTGCCTGTAATCCCAGCTACTCGGGAGGCTGAGGCAGGAGAATTGACTGAACCCAGGGGGTGGAGGTTTCAGTGAGCTGAGATTGTGCCACTACACTCCAGCCTGGGCAACAGAGCAAAACTCCATCTCAAAAAAAAGAAAAAAAAAGAGAAATCACAGATATATTCATATCTATGCTGTTGTTGCAAATGTCTCAAAGTAGTGTTTACACTCATCAGGACTTCAAAATTGTCAGGCCGGGTGCAGTGGCTCATGCCTGTAATCCCAGCATTTTGGGAGGCCAAGGAGGGTGGATCACGAGATCAGGAGATTGAGACTATCCTGGCTAACATGGTGAAACCCCATCTCTAATAAAAATGCAAAAAATTAGCCGGGCGTGGTGGGAGGCACCTGTAGTCCCAGCTACTCAGGAGGCTTGAGGCAGGAGAATGGCATGAACCCAGGAGGCAGAGCTTGTGGTGAGCCGAGATTGCGCCACTGCACTTCAGCCTGGGCAACAGAGCGAGACTCCATCTCAAAAAAAAAAAAAAAAAGACTTCAAAATTGTCATTGTTATTAGGTTCCTGCTGGATCTTGCTGAATAATGCATTAATAAATACATGCATGTATTACCATGGTGCCACTTTAACATTTTAATAAATGTAATTCATGCCATTAATTTCCCTTATAATCCTGTGTATTTTATGCATTTAAAAACATTATTCTGAGAAAGAATACAAGGTTTCTTGTATTCTTGATTGTCCAAGGGGTACATGGTACATGCACACACACATACACGTGCACAAAGGTTGAGAGTTCCTGATCTAAAGGATACAGGAAATGGTCAGGAACAGTCGTCACCTTGTTCCTGTTTACCATGTTGTATTACAGATATTTATATATCTTTCTTTCCTTACTAGCCTATGAATTCTTACAGAGCAGGAATGATGTCTTTTATTTCTTTTGGTCTTCAGTGCATAGAACAGGGCTTGGCATTCATTGAATCATCATTTATAGAGTATCTTCTGTGTATAAGGATCGAGCCCCATTGGGTGAGGAAGAAGAATGGAGAGATTCAAAGGAAAGTGATAATTAATTCATGTGCTTATTTGAGCATTCATTCATTCATTCATTCAGAAAACTGTTCAATTGCTACTCAATGCCAGCCAGTATGTAGGCTCTGGGGACAATAGGAAGAATGGAACCCAAGTCTTTATTCTCATGGAGCACCCATTCCAGCTAATGGGAGAAAGACAGATAAAAGATTTCTGAAGAAAGACAAATGAGAATGAACTCACTTGTTCTGGAAAGGCAGCAACATGGGGAAAATCTTATTCTTAAATCTATATTCATCACCTCTTTCTGGGCAAAATGTTACTGGGAGAAAGTAACACTTAAAGGTTAGAAAATGAAGATAAAGATGCTCTCTCTTCCTTTTTTTTTTTTCTTTTTTAGACAGACTCGCTGTGTACCCAGGCTGGAGTGCAGTGGCACAATCTTGGGTCACTGCAACCTCTACCTCCTGGGTTCAAGCAATTCTCCTGCTTCAGCCTCCCGAGTAGCTAGGATTACAGGCACCTGCCACCATGCCCAGCTAATTTTTTTGTATTTTTAGTAGAGATGAGGTTTCACCATGTTGGCCAGGCTGGTCTAGAACTCCTGACCTCCAGTGATCTACCCACCTTGGCCTCCCAAAGTGCAGGGATTACAGGCATGAGCCACCACGCCCAGCCAAAGATGCTTAGAAGGAAAAGTCAGCTGGGTGCAGTGGCGCGTGGCTGTAGTCCCAGCTGCTGGGGAGGTTAAGATGGGGGGATTGCTTGAGCCCAAGAGTTCGAGAGCAGCCTGGGTAACATAGCGAGACCCTGCCTCAAAAAAAGAGAGAGAAAAATAGTCTTTGGAGTTCTCGTGAGGACAATTTACCTTGTTGCATGGTTGCTGGTCTTGCCTATTAAACTTTGAGAAGTTAACCCTCCATTGCCCAAGATGTTTCAGGGGCTGGCCTGTCCAAACACAGCAAGATAGATGTTTTCCCTCTCTGGAGTTCTGGTTCTTGTTCAAGGATTCTATGATGCAATCAATTAGTCAGAATGTGCAAGCTTGCCTAGATACCTTGTGTCTCCTTTTTCTTGTAAGAGACCACGGCTGGGTGAGAAGGGACTGGGTGACCTCCCTAACCTGCCAAACATGTGCTGAGAGACCAGGTCATGGGAGAACTTAGTGGCACAACAACCTGAATCTATGGGTCAGATCATTTGTCCAGGAAAGACAGCAAAGAGAAAGACCCCTAGCAGAACCAGGGGAAAGAGGGACTGGGAGCTGAGGATGACTTACCATGAAATGGGAGACCTGGGGAAAGAGAATAAGGACAGCAAGGTTTTCAACTGATTAAGATGAAACCTGATAAGGTGAAACCTTTCTCCAAAGAGGCATAACTTCAAAATATAAAAAGATACATTTAATAAATTCATACGACATTTCTCTAAAGAGATATAACCTTAAAATACACAAACACACAAAAAGATAATTTTGGTAAATCTAGGACCTGTTCACAGTAGTATCACCATACATTTGTATTGAAAGTATGGACCAGGCACAGTGGCTCACGACTATAAATCTCAGCACTTTGGAAGGCCAAGGCGGGAGGATCACTTGAGGCCAGGAGTTTGAGACAAGTCAGGGCAACATAGTGAGACCCCTGTCTCTACAAAAAATTTAAAAATCAGCTGGCATGGTGGCATGCGCCTGCAGTCCCAGCTGCTCGGGAGGCTGAGATGGGAGAATGCCTTGAGCCCGGGAGGTCAAGGTTGCAGTGATTCGTGATTGCGCCACCATGCTCCAACCTGAGTGACAGAATGAGACCTTGTCTCAAAAAACAACAAAAAAGAAAGTGTAAAAAATATGTCCTGGGGAACCCTCAGCTCCCTCATTATCCCCAGCCCTAGCTGGCCTCTCTCTCTCTCCGTCTTTAGACTCAGCCCCCTTCACTCCATCTGGACATCCCGCTTCAGCAAATGGTGACGCTTAGAGCTGGAATCCAAAAACTTTTTTTTTTTTTGAGACAGAGTCTCGCTCTGTCACCCAGACTGGAGTGCAGTTGCTCAATCTCGGCTCACTGCAACCTCCACCCCCCAGGTTCAAGTGATTCTCCTGACTCAGCCTCCCAAGTAGCTGGGATCACAAGGATACACCACCACGCCCGGCTATTTTTTTTTTTTTTTGTATGTTTAGTAGAGACGGGGTTTCACCATGCTGGCCAGGCTGGTCTCAAACTCCTGAACTCAAGTGATCTGCCTGCTTCAGCCACCCAAAGTGCTAGGATTACAGGCATGAGCCACCACGCCTGACCAAAGCCATAATCTTTTGAAGAGACAGCAAGAGCACTCTGTGGAGTTGTCATACTTAAGTATGTAATTAAGCACATAAATACAAATAAAATCACTGTGGATTATTCTTTTCAGTTTGTTTCCCATGACAATAGTTGTCTCTTTCCTTCCTTCCTTCCTTTTCTTTCTTTCTCTTTCTTTCTTTTTCTTTCTTTCTTTCTTTCATTTCTTTCTCTTTCTCTCTCTCTTTTTTTTTTTAAGAAGCAGGGTCTCTTTCCGTTGCCCAGGCTGCAGTGCAGTGGTGCAGTCATAGCTCATTGTAACCTCAAACCTAGACTCGAGAGATACCCCGCACCTCAGCCTCCTGAGTGGCTGGGACTGCAGGTGTGCACCACCACATTCAACTAATTTTAAAAATTTTTCTGTACAGATGGGGGTCTTGATATGTTGCCCAAGCTGATCTTGAACTCCTGGCCTCAAGCAATCTTCCAGACTTGGCCTCCCAAAGTGCTGAGATTACAGGTGTGAGCCACCATACCCAGTCTATACTTTATCTGAAGAAAATTTCTTGAAAAGTTCTATTTCTTCAATCATGCCTCCCACAAGTAAGTATTTGATAGGAATGGCACAGTGCTAGGTTCACTAGAGCAATACAAGAATGTGTTTGACAAAGAGTTTACAATCTATCTGGCCAGATGTGAAACTCATACAGATAACTATGTGGCAGAACAGAAAGGCACAGGCAGTTCAGGTAAAGTGGGGAAGAGAGGAGAGAGAGAGGAAGTCCACTGGAGAAATGGTCAGGGACAGGCCTATTACACATAGTTCTGCAGGGTAGAATGGAGATCAGTGGGGTGTATGGGAGGAACCGAGCTCAGAAGTCAGAAGGACTTCCAGTCCACTCCAGCCGTTCAAAAGCAAGAGCTGTAGGATCATGTGGGAAATGCTCAGTTACTGGAAGTATTCTAAAGACATCTGGATAATCTGTTAAGGATATTGTAGAAGATATTCCATATATTACCCCTGTTGGTAGGAAGTTTGGACTCGAGAAAAATGCTCAAGCTCCTTCTGACTCTGCATCCCTTATTCCATCAACAAAGCATGGTATTACCAAGTGAGCCTCCCAGAAGAAATATCACCACTTCATGCAAAGTTTATTGGAAAATCAAAATTTTTTTATTAATTTACTGGATTTCCTATACCTAACAATCCTTAAAACAACTATCAACACCTGCAACACAAACCACAGGCAAAATGAAAAACAGATGCCCCAGACAGCACCCCACCACATGGCACACACTTAATAAGGAACAAAATCCTACAGGGTGCTGACATAACTCGCTTTAAGCATGCAATGATTCCTGCAGTGCTCCCTGGCAATCAACCTCTCTGCACCCTGGGGCTGGATACTTCAAAGTCTTTGTTCTCTTAATAGGTTTGAAGTCAACATGGCAAGTTAAGGACAAGTTAGATGAGATCCCCCTAGTTCATAACGTGAGTTCCTCTTGCTCTCCAATGTTCATCCACAAGTACAGGGTCCAATCCCCTATAAGAGATGGCTTAAGCATCCCAATGGGGAAACAGCCTGCCAGCCACATGGGCAGATTCTATATATTTCCAAGTCCCGCAGCCACAAGACTGAAAGCCATAGAGAATTGACAGCTCAAGCCTCACCTGAACAATGTGTTGAAAGGGGATCTCTCAGGACAGACACTTTGATTTCATAAGTTGGCCCATTTTGGCCCAAATATACCAAATAGAGATGTCATGTAATGTCACTGCAAATCCAGTACAAGATACTAAGAGTACCCGAGAACCTGGGGTTCTCTTTCGGCCATCCAGAAGGTGAGGTCAGCCAGGAGGGTGCCCATTGGTCTCTGACCAACTGATCTGCCAGAGGAAAAGCTGTTCAGTATCCAAGATGCATCAGGTCCAATCCCAGGGGTTCCTAGTTCTCCTTCTGTGCCTGCTGTAACCTCTTGGCCACAGCAGTGATCAGTGCTGCCCCTTTTCCACTGCCATCTTCTGACAGCATGAATGTCACATCACATCGAGGGGCTAGTTCCTTCACAGTTTCCTGCAATATTCTAGAAAAGCTATGAAAAAGAGAAAGAAACATCATCAGCCCTTCCATGTAGAATCAGAACATTTATAAATGATCATAATCTAATTTCTTTAGCTTCTTCCCTTTGGTTTGCTTTTCAAGGCTCTAAACAGCTTCTTCTAATTTTTTTTTTTTTTTAGACATGGTCTCACTCTGTTGCCCAGGGTGTAGACTGCAGTTGTGCAATCACAGCCCACTGCAGCCTCGAGTTCCCAGGCTCAAGCCCCCCAGCTCAGCCTCCCATGTAGCTGGGACCACAGGTATGCACTATCACGCCCAGCTAATATTTGTAATTTTTGTTCATTTTGTATTTTATTTATTTATGTTTGTGGAAATGGAGTCTCCCTGTGTTGCCCAGGCTGGTCTCAAACTCCTGGGCTCAAGTGATCCTCCCGTCTGCCATTACAGGCATGAGCCACTGCACTCAGCCAACTTACATTTCTTGAGCCCCGTGTGAAGCACTTTACATGTGCTAACTCATTTCAACCTCACACATTTAGCCCTATGTGGTAGGGATTATTAGTGCTGGCCTTTTGTGGATGAGGAACCTGGGGTTTAGAGAGGCCGGCTAACATTCCCACATCGTATTACCAGGTAGCAGAGGCACCAGGGCTCACACCTTGTCTGTCAGATTGAATAGGTGACTTGACCACACAGCACTCCTTTCCCATAAAAGGACGGGGATGCATCTTCCCATGCCGCAGTTCAGGAGGCTATGCCAAGTCCACACTTGGCCGCCAGCCCTCCCCAGCCCCACCCGCCACGCCTCTTGTGGGCACTCACTGAGGGTGCAGCTTGTACAGGGTGCCGTCCACACCCACAGTGATCCTCAGGTGCTCTAGCCCCTGGTCTTCTCTCCTTTTTTCCACTATAGCGGCCAGGCCAGCACCGCAGAGCTGGGCCGCCCGCCGGGACACGGCTCCGCACACCTCCTTCACCACGATGCTGTCCTCACACGTGCTGTCCAGGCCCAGCTGCTGCAGAATCCTCCTGACCTGGAGAAGGGCCAGCCGATCGCTGCAGGCAATAGAGCAGGGAGTCAGGACCTGCTTCCCAGGACCCCGGGATGTGCCCAGTGTGACCCACAGCCTCCCCATTCTTAGATGCCCTTACAGGAGGGAGGAGAAATTGACCCAGGCAATGGCTAGGCTGGAGCAGAATGCCTTAGAAGCCGAGACTCAAGAAGGTCCACCACCCCTGGAAGTTCCATCAACTTTAAAAAATAAAGTGTGAATGCCTCTGGTGTTCAGCATGTTCATATCTGTGATCTCACTAGAAGCCATATGAGCTGCAGCAACCAACACACCAGGTACCCATTTTTCAGAAGAGGAGGCTGTGGCTCAGCCTGCTAGAGCTGTGCCCTCTCGTTAGAGAGCAGGGGCTCAAATTCAAGCCTTTTCACACCACCTCTCGCACTTTCCCACAAATCGTGCCAGCTCCCACACTCTGGCCCCCTTCAATTGGAGGCCAACTTTCCTTCTATTTAACTTTTTCTGATTCTCTGCACTTTCTTCCCTTTTTCTCATTTCTCTGCTCTTTGACAGTAAGACTATATCTTCAGTAGTAGCCAGCAGGGTATATTCAATGAGCAAGTGAATAAATGAATATACAAAATACAATCAGAACCTTAGAGAAGGGGAACCTGATAGGACTGTAAACACATGCAGAGAAACACCCATCATAGGGGCAGGCTGGCTTCAAGTCTAGACCCTGGTCATCTCACAGTGAACTAATGGTACTTAAACGGAGCCCTGACTCCCACACCAAGCAATGTGAAGTTGTATCCTTGACTGTCTCAGGTAATACTTAGAGAAGAAGAGTGTTATCAAGAAAGACAATTGAGAAACAACCTATATGACCATACAGGGGATTCAGCAGGTAAATGGCGGTGTAGCCAAACAATAGAATTCTTCATAGATCTTAAAGATGAGTTTGTGGCCAGCACAGTGGCTTACACCTGTAATCCCAGCACTTTAAGAGGCTGAGGCAGGAGAATCACTTTAGGCCAGGAATTTGAGACCAGCCTGGGCTACATAACAAGACCCCATCTCTAAAAAATTTTAAATGAGCCAGACATGATTGTGTATGCCTATAGTCCCTATTTGGAGGCTGAGGCATGAGGATTGCTTGAGCTCAGGAGTTTGAGGTTGCAGTGAGCCATGATCATACCACTGTACTCCAGCCTGGGTAATAGCGTAAGATCTTGTCTCAAAAAAAAAAAAAAGATGAGTTTGCGTGAGAATATTTCACACCATGGAAAATCTTCATGACATAGTGAAAAAATAGATTATAAAATACTATGCACTGTATGATGCTGGCTTTTTGTTTTAATGTTTGCCCTTGCCCAGATTAAAAAAAGACACACACACACACACACACACACACACACACACACACACACACAGAAGGAAATCTATTCAGACATTGGGAGGATTACAGGTAATTCTCTTCTTTTTGAGGCGGAGTTTCACTCTTGTTGCCCAGGTTGGAGTGCAATGATGTCGGCTCACCCGCTTCCTGGGTTCAAGCGATTCTCCTGCCTCAGCCTCCCAAGTAGCTGGGATTATAGGCCCACCACCATGCCCAGCTAATATTTGTATTTTTAGTAGAGACAGAGTTTCACCATGTTGGCTACCTGACCTCAGGTGATCTGCCTGCCTTGGCCTCCCAAAGTCCTGGGATTACAGGCATGAGCCACCACACGTAGCTTAATTCTTATTTTTCTTCCTTTGTTTATCTGTATTTTTTAGATTCTCTAAAATGAATGAATAACATTTGTATAGTAAGAAAAAGAGGTTTTTTAACTGGTGTGTCTAAAGAGAAAGCCTGCAATTCCTTCCTGGGCCCAGCCTTTCACAGCTTACCTAGTTCAAGTACATTCCCTTCCTGATCCTCAGAGCAATCCTGGGGGTTAAGCAACAGGGCAATTATTTCTGTTATGAAGCAGGAAACTGAGGTTCAAAGAGGTGAAACAACCTGCCCCAGGTCACGCAGCATAAACAGGTTAAGTAGTGGAGATAAATCTTAAAACTCAAGCTCTAAGACTGTAAATTCAGGGCACTTCCCCCGGAGAACACTGTCCCATCCATTTGACAAACTGCTTTGAAATGGGCTGCAGTCAGCACAGCACCTACCAATTCCCACTGGCACTAGGTGGATATGATTTTTTTTTTATTCCATGAAGCTTTTAAAAAACAAAACCTGGCCAGGCGCGGTGGCTCATGCCTGTAATCCTACCACTTTGGGAGTTCTAGGCAGATGGATGGCTTGAGCCCAGGAATTCAAGATCAACCTGGGCGACATGGTGAAACTCCATCTCTATAAAAAATACAAAAATTAGCTAGGTGTGGTGGTGTGTGCCTGTAGTCCCAGCTACTTGACAGGGAATGGGAGCAGGGGAGAGGAGCAGTGGTGGCAGCTGAGGTGGGAGGATCACTTGAACCCGGGAGGTTGAGGATGCACTGAGCTGTGATTGCAACACAGCACTCCAGCCCAGGCAACAGAGTGAGACCCTGTCTCAGAAAACAAAAACAAAACAACAACAGAAACCTGTAGAAATCAAAACATCCAAAACAGACACCTCTTGTGCAGCAGAAGCAAATCTTTCTGGTGGCATAAGAGTGTTACCACCTTGTGCTTGTCTAGGAACAACTTTTCTTTTATTACGGAAAAAAAAAAAAGCAAGGCAAAGATAAGTAAACTTGTCGGTCTATTGCTTATGAGGGAGAAGCTGTTTTACACAGCAAAACAGGATCCCTTTGGTCACCAAGCGTGATGATTTTTAACCCATCTGTTCAGATTGGATGGGTTGAAGACTAGACAGGAGAAGGATGCTGAACACTTGCTAATTTACACCCCAAAAATACATAATCGCTGCTGCTGTTACTGATTCCACCATCCTCTCCTTAAACAATAAGAACTCCCCTTAAACAGCCCATCTGATTTGCCTCATTAAGTAAACCACTTTCATGTATAATGTGTTTCTTTTTTCCCCGCTGAAAAGTGATTTTTCACTTGTGGGCATCTGACCATAAAGACCAAGAGAATTAAATGAATGAACACAAATGGAGAGAAAATCCAAACACAAAGCATCAGATAACATCCAGTGCTAGCACAAAAAGCAGTGAAACTGACACATTTGTACATAACTGATGGTGATGGAAATTGAAACTACTTTAAAAAAAAAAACACTGCGCCCATGGTGAAATACTCTTTTAACCAAATGTTTCTACTACTAAGGAAATGATTTACTGTATTCAAATGACTATGTGTACTAAAAGAAAAACTATGGTGTTACTCAGAATAACAGGAATTTATAAATTACAAACTAGACATCCTATATTAAAGGGAAAGTTTAGTAAATTATAGTACAGTAACATAGTATAATATGCAGCCATTCAAAATGATAATTACACCAAAGAGTTGATAGGGGAAAGTTCCTCTTTCTAGAAGTATTCCAGCTAATAACTGCAGGAATCATCACCATTTACGATGTCTAGTGAAATAATAGATCCAGGCAATATGCATCAATGACTGATAACATCCTAAAAGAAAGAGAGACAGACAGACAACTCAATGCCACCTAGAAAATATTCTTGTCCAGAATTCACTACTGAATCTAATTAAGCATCTGGGTCTAACTATGAGTTTTTGGGAAATACAAGAAGACAGAGGAAAATGCTAAATGCTGCAATCCACAAAATCTAGAATACAGGAAACTCATAGATAAGACAACAGTTTCTTCAACAAATACATTGCAAGGGAAAGTAAGAGAGGGAGAGGAAACCCATAGATTAAAAGAGATTCTTTAAGCATATCAACCAAATGCAGTTTATAAACTTTGTCTGGATACTGATGCAAACAAAAGAACTGTAAAAACCATTAATTTTTGGCAATTCAGGAAATAAGAACACTAACAGGATATTTTGTGAGATTGAGGTTTATCATTAGCTTTTTAAGTGTGATAATGGTACTGTAGTTATGTTTTATTAAGAATCCTTATATTTCAGAAATACATTATGAAATATTTATAGATGAACTGATGTAAGATGTGGGGTTTGTTTCAAATTAGCCCAGCCTGAGGATGGGGACAGCAGGACTTTATAGATGAGCCCAGTTTGGCCATGAGTTTATTATTGTTGAAAGCGATCCTGAATCAGTTGGAAAGAGAAGAGCAGCCCCAGGAGGCAATCCCTTACCCAGCCAGGGCCTTTCTGTTTTTATTTTTAAACCTCAAATTGGCCCAACCCCAGCGTGGTGGCAGCATATGCCAGTCAGAGCCTCATGATGAACTTGATCACAGGTCACCTTTCGATCTGGGACAGGAACTTGGTTTCGAAGATGCCCCTGGTCCGGAGACGCTCTGAAATCTGCCCTCGGAAGAGGAGACCCTGCTTGGTCAGGTCGATCAGGATCTGCCGCACAATCTCCCCCAAGTACATCCCACTGGTCATTTTCTCGTATCTGTTTGGAGAAGAAGGATAAGGTTGGGGCAGACCTGCAATGCAGAAGACCACATGATGTGAGAAGGCCAGGCTTTGGAGCTACGCATGGAGCAAGATCCAGATCCTAGCTCTGCCACATACTAGCTGCTTGATGTGAGCAAGCACTGCAAGCTATCATCTACAAAACAGGGAGAAGAGTAGCGCCCCTACAAGACTGTTAGGAGGCAAGCATCTGGGTACAGTGGGCACTAAGCAAAATTTAGTCCCTGGTCTTGGCCCCAAAGCCAATTCTCCTTGGCTTTGTGCTACAAATCTGTTCCACTCTGCAAATTCTACTCTGTGAGTTAACACATTGAAACTGTCTGCATGCACCAGGGGTGCTCAAAAGCATTAATTCCCTTCCTCCTTTCTACCAGACCGTGAGCTCCATGAGGGTCAAGAGAGCAAGAGAGAAAAGGGGCCTTGTACTGACCAGGCACTCTGCACAGGGTGTGTGATGGTGACACACATCATCATTAACAACAGTGACACAGAGCCAGACTGCCACTGCTTGCAGAGTCAAATGGGAAGCATTTATGTGCTGGGCTTGGGTTCTCTTAACTGCTCAAGACCTCATCAGCCTAAGGGAATTAACACCAGAACAAAAAATGGTGATTTCAAGGCAAGTTCAAAGGTGCTGCCCCCTTAAAACCTCAATCCAAAAATGTGAGCCTTCAGTGGCTACAGACACAAAGCTAACTAGAATGAACTGCCCCTTGGGAAGAGCCATGACACTCAGGTGCCCCAACTTGGGATTCAAAGGGAAGGTCCCTTCTTTTTGGAGCAATCCTTGCTTCAGCTGGGCTTACCACAACTCACCTGCCTTCCAGTTACAAGATTGGTGCCAAAGAGGAAAGAAACCACCAGGGCCAGTCTTGGTCTTGTCTGAGCCTCTTCCTAGACAACATTCTCAGTTCAACAGCTCCCAAGGTGTCCATGGCCTAAGCATCCCCTCACATTTCCCATCTGCTCAAGCTCTCAACTTGGATAGCACCCATAACAATAAATCTATGTTTCCCATTATTTTCTATATTAAGACACTGAGCTTAGTTTTGATAAAGACCATATGGCCTGCAAAACCTAAAACATTTACTATCTGTTCTTTTACAGAATAAGTGTGCCAACTCCTCTTCTAGTGGATGGGCCTGGGTTAATAATCAAATTTTAGCATGTGATATGATTTGGATTTATGTCCCCACCAAAATCTCATGTTGAATTACAATCCCCAGTATTGGAGGAGGGGCCTGCTGGGAGGTGACTGGATCATGGGGGTGGATTTCCCCCCTGTTGTTCTGGTGATAGTGAGTGGGTTCTCACAAGATCTGGTTATTTTAATAGTGTGTAACGCCTCCCCCTTCACTCTTTCTTCCTCCTTCTCCAGCCATGTAAGACGTGCCTGCTTCCCCTTCACCTTCTGCCATTATGGTAAGTTTCCTGAGGCCTCCCAGCCATGCTTCCTGCACAGCCTGTGGAACTGTGAGCCAATTAAACCTCTTTTCTTCATAAATTACCCAGTCTCAGGTAGTTCTTTACAGCAACGGGAGAATGGACTAATATCACATGCCAGCTCTAGCTCTGCTACCCCTTTCTCTCATAATATCATAATGCAAGTGAAATCTACTCTAATTTATTTTTTAGGCCATTCATTATTTTCAGTATTTTTCATGTGGTTAGTCATTGGAATACACCTCACAAGTGATTGTGACCCGTGGTGGGACATGACATCATGGTCGAGAACCAGCACTCTCATCCATCACAGGTGGCCACTTCCCCACTCCCAGAAAAGGTCACCAACCTGGTAGCCAGCTCTTGAAGGCCTGAGGATGTTGGCCTCTGAAAGAGACTTATTAAAAGCCCATCTCAAGAAGGCTCACTGAGTTACCATGCCCTTGGTGAATGAACATGCTGGCAGCCTCTGCCTCACTTCCAGAACCACCACTAGACCTTATGGGGCCTTATGGTAATTAGAAAAAGGGACTTTTCCCCTTTACCTGTTGCAAACTTGTCATCATATTTTTCTTTTGTTCCAATAGGATATTTCACTGACATTCGACAGCTGTAATAAGCACACAAAGCTATGCTGTCTATGGTACCCCCTTAGGTCTGGTAGTGTTGTTCACTACACAACCCACATAAATGCACACATCCACCCTCTTCACCTCTGCTTGCCAGGATTCAAGGACCCCTCATCCACCTCCGTGTCGTATCGGGTCCAGATGTCATCTATGCAGCCATTGTCTCCAAATCCTCCCCACTCTGTATTGATGCACATCTTCCCTTCACCCCCCTCCACCATCTCGATGTTCCTCATGTCCTCCATGTAGCACATGTTGCTGCCTGTTCCTAGAAGGAATTGTGAAGGAACCTTAGTCTTCAAAGACATCACCAGGTTTTAGAAAGGTGGCAGAGTGCAGCAAATAAGAATTTAAGCTTGGAGTCAGATACAACTGGATGCGATTCCAGCTTTACAGTCATAGCTGGCTAACCTTGGGCAAGCATCTCATCTTTCAGAGGCTCAGTTTCTTCATTTCTGAGGAGGAAATAATACCTGCCTATGGGTTTGTTATGAAGTGATATCTTTAAGTTTCCTTCACATGGTAAGCATTCAATAAACGGTACCTGCTGACTTCATCATCATCATCATCATCATTATCTTTGTTAAGCCATAGGCACACAAAGCTTCCAAGCAGTCGTAAAATTAGCAGTCAGAGCTGGAAGGGACCATGAGGAATCATCTAGTCTTGGACAAGCAAATGCTTGGCATCTGTGAGCCACCCTCTTCTTCCTTGCCCATGACTTGGCCTCAGAACTATTCTCAGCCCAGCAGTCCAGGCAAGTATTTTAGTCAATCAACAGGCCTCACCTCTTTGCTCTCCTAGATCTAGCCCAATCCCTCCCACGGATGAAGAAACTCAAGTCAGACAGAATAAGCCACCTGCCCAAGCTCACAAAGTGGGTAAGAGTTAGAGTGAGAGGAAACCTCTTACCTGGCATGGGAGATAACTCAGTACATCCCCATCTCCTTGTTCCACCTGCTGCTTATATCCAGAAAGCCCAGATGATCAAATGGAACAACTTTTCTAGGTTCTATCATTACTTAGCCTGTGCCTATCACCTGGAATGCCTTTTGTCCCCATCTCCACCTGTTCCAATCCTACCCATTCTACCCCTCTTAGAGAGAACATCCCCCTAGAATCTACCCTTGGCCTTAATCACTGCCAGACTTCTCCCAAAGACCCCTAAAATGCCTGTATCAGGCCACTCCTTTCCCCTCTTCTAAGTTTCTTTCCAGCTCCTCTCCTTCCTGTGCACCCTGAGAACCAGAAGAATTCAGAGAACAGAAGAGGCACACATTGGAGCCAGAGTGAAAATCTATAATAGCTCCCTCAGCCCCAGGCCAAGATGATCCAACTGTAGTCTCCTTCCCCCCCCCATGACAATTGGCCCCAAGGTCCTTATTTAAAAATCTCTTCTTCCTGTGTCATTATCCTTCCTCAATAGAAAGGATGACCTTGGCTTAGGACTCTTAATGCAGAAAGAACTTGGTGACCTGGAATCCCAATTGTAACTTCATCTCTGCCTTGGGCAGAGCCTCTGTATAATGGAACAATGCCCACCCTCTCACTATGTTAAAAGGAAACCATCAATGGATACAGTGGGATTAGGCCAATGGGCCATGCCTGACCACCTACCTGCAATCAGGCCAATCTCACAATTAGGATCTTCATAGCCACAGGTCATCATGGTCCCCACTGTATCATTCACGACTGCAACAATGTCCAGGTCAAACTCCTAAAAACAAAAACAAAAACAAAAAAAACCCAGCTTTACTATGAGTTGAATGTGCAAGCCAAACAGGTTTAGGAGGGGCATGTTATCCCAAGGCAGACAGAGGCCAGAGTCATAGGAACTGGGCAGAGGATGGCAGAGCAGAGGGGCCTGGGGAAGGCAGCAAGAGCAGGCATGAGCCTCAACACCACATCCTACGTTTCTCCTCTTGATGGCTTCCCTGAGCATGTCCACCACGTCCTCCCCTTCACAGTCAGTGGCCTTGAAACCTTTGGTCCACCCTATGAGTGTTCCCTGAAAGAAAGGAGGGGAAATTCATTTGAGCAATAGTTTGCTAGGGCCACTGCACAACCTCAACATCCAACAGATGCAAAGCACTATAGCTGGCTGCTTGTCAAGTACGTGTGCTTTTGACTATGCCTCCACCTCCACAACCCTAACCCTGGGCACAGCAGCATCACAGAGCACAACACTCAGACAAGGTCTATCACTGAGTGGAATCATTGCAGCAATTCATACTCCTCAAGGGTCAAATCATGTTCCCTGGCCATGATTACGCGGAATAAAGGCCTAGGATCATAGTGATCCTACTTCTTCTTTTTTCTTTCTTTCTTTTTTTTTTTGAGATAGAATTTCACTCGTCTCCCAGGCTGGAGTGCAATGGCGTGATCTCGGCTCACTACAACCTCCACTTCCCGGGTTCAAGCAATTCTCCTGCCTCAGCCTCCCAAGTAGCTGGGATTACTGGCATGTGCCACCACGCCCAGCTAACTTTTGTATTTTTTAGTAGAGATGGGGTTTCACCATGTTGGCCAGGCTGGTCTCAAACCTCTGGCCTCAGGTGATCCGCCTGACTTGGCCTCCAAAAGTGCTGGAATTACAGGCATGAGTCACCACATCTGGCCATGATCCTACTTCTAACTTAGTCAAGGACAGATTACAATGTGATCAAAGGCAAAGCTACCAAATGTTTATCAAAGCATGTTTCACAGTGAAAAACTAGAGGTATCCTAAAACTCCAACAGTATGGATCTATCATCCTGTACCTCGATATGGGACATGATATACACCCATAAAGAATTACACTGTAAGAGAACATTTGATGTGAGAGAAAGGTGTTTTCCACACACTGTTAATTGAAAGCACGTCAAACAAATACAGATAGTGAATTATTCTATTTTTATTTTTAAAATTACACTCATACACACATATACACTCGCACTTGGAGAAAGGACTGGAATAATATATACACCAAAAGGGTTAACAGTGGCTCTCTCTGGGTGCAAAATTATGCATCACTTTTCCTCTCTCCTTTTTGTTTGTCTATATTTTCTAATTTTTCTGAAATTAAAATTAACATATATGATTTTTATAATACTGAGAAAGTAGGTTTTTTTTGTTTTTTTTTTTTTTGACACAGATTCTTACTCTGTTGCCTAGGCTGGAGTGTAATGGTGTGATCTCAACTCACCGCAACCTCTGCCTCCCAGGTTCAGGCGATTCTCGTGCCTCAGCCTCCTGAGTAGCTGGGACTACAGGCACACACCACCACGCCTGGCTAATTTTTGTATTTTTAGTAGAGACGAGGTTTCATCATGTTGGCCAGGCTGGTCTTGAACTCCTGACCTCAAGTGATCCACCCTCCTCGGCCTCCCAAATTGCTGAGATTACAGGGGTGAGCCGATGTGCCCAGCCCGAAAGTAGTATTTTTAATTCTCAAAAGGAAGCCCAAAGTTACATTGTTAGCCTGAGGCAGGAGTTAGTCTAGCCTCGCACTCCATCATCTAGAAAGCCAGGGGGGTGAAGGCAGGCAGAGCTAGGGTGTCTAGGCCAGGAGAAGCTCTGGGACAGGAAAGGCAGTGAGAAAATCTGATGGCAGTGCCGTCAGCCCCGTGGCTGGATGCCGCCTCACCCTGAGGCTGTTAGCCCACAAGCCCCAGTCTCCCTCCTTCCCTCCATAGTTCTTGGGAAACTGGACCCCTGGCTGGCTCCTTTCCTGGTTGGTATGTGTAGAACATTAGAGAGACACTCCCAACTGGGAAACCTCTCTTACTGATTGCAATTACACAAAACTAATCTATTTTTTGACGTCTCTCTTTTTTCTCCCCAACCATGGGTATCTTTACTTTTAGCTGCCCACGGGTCTCCCCTCCTTCTTCACTGTGTCTTCACGACACCTTCAGAGCTGCTGGGAGAGAGGCCCAAAGGCCCAGTGTCCTGAGTCAGGAGCAGTAGCTGTGTCCTGGTGCCCCGTCAGGACCGCAGACAGCTGCACACGGCACCCTCCCGGATGGTGTATTAATTTTTAATGGCAGCAGCAATGCAGGAATGCATTAGTAGTGTAAAAAATTAAAATGTTACTGATAAGGATAGAGTTCCCTTCAACTCCCATCCTCCCAATCTGAGAGGTAACCTCTGCCATTAGTCTGATATTAATCCTTCCAGACCTTTTCCTCTCCATTTATTAGTATTTTTTTCTTTTTCCCACCATTTCTTATTTCAGGGGTGAAATTACACATATTTTTAAGTAAGTAAATTCACGCTGTGTGTGAACTATTGCAATTTTTTTTTCTAATTCAATAATGTATCTTCCAGATCCTTCCAGGCCATTTATATGGATGTGCCACATTCCTTCACTGAGCAAAATATTCCTTGAATATAATTGCACGAAAATAAAACCACAAAACACACCTATAAAATGAGTTCTATTTTTGTAATCATTTTCAGATGAGGAAACCAAGGAACAGGGAGATTAAATGACTTGCCCAAGGTCACACAGCCAATAAGTAGAGAAGCCAAGGGTCTGGGGGAAGGAGGACTAGGGAATCAGCGCTCAATGAGTACAGAAATTCAGATGGAAAAGAAAAAGTTTAAGAGATGGATGGTGGTGATGGCTGCACAAAAATGTGGATGTATTTCATGTCATAGAAGTGTGCATTTAAAAAATAGTCACAGTGGGAAATTTATGTTATGTGTATTTTACCACAATAAGAAAATGGTTAAAAAAATTTTTTTTTTCTCTTTTTGAGACTGAGTCTTCTCTGTCGCCCAGGCTGGAGTGCAGTGGTGTAATCTCAGCTCACTGCAACCTCCACCTCCTGAGTTCTAGCGATTCTCCTGCCTCAGCCACCCAAATAGCTGAGATTGCAGGCACCCGCCACCATACCCAGCTAATTTTTGTATTTTTGGTAGAGATGGGGTTTCGCCATGTTGGCCAGGCTGGTCTCAAACTCCTGACCTCAAGTGATCTGCCTGCCTCAGCCTCCCAAAGTTCTGGGATGACAGGAGTGAGCCACTGCTCCTGGCCCTGGACAAAATCTTAGTGCATCTTTGGTGCTACCCTTATTATTGTCCTGAGCTCTCTGGTTGACCTGCTGAGCTGACCAGAGTTCTACCATAAATTTAGGAAGCTGTATTCTGCTTTATGCCAGTCTCGGAAGCTTGGCTGATGAGAGTCTGTCAGAAAGACAGAGCTCCTCTCCACAAGCTGGTGAGTCTGTCTGTGAAGCTGAGGCCAGGGATTGCAGAGAATTCACCGCTATGATGTCAGGCCCTGGCGACAGTGCACCCCTTCCTCACCACCATTACCAGCACTGGATTCCTCTTGGCCTTTTCCAGGCTGAATTTCAATCCTATGCTGCCTCGAAAGTGAAGGATGATACTAGGATTTGAGTGCCTGCCAGGTGCTAGACCCACGCTATGCATTTTACACACACGAGCTCATTTAGTCCTCACCATGTTCCTCCATTTTCACCAATGGGGAAACCATGCCTCAGAGAAGTTAAATAATCTGCTCAAGGTTATTCATATGGGAAACAGTAGAGACAGGTTTGCAAAACAGGAGCCCATAACCCCAGAGCCTGTGCTCTCGAACACTGTGTTTTCTGACCTTAGGAAGGACACTGGGCCTCTCTGTGTGGCCTCATCTGGGCCTGCTCCCAAGCCCCTGCAGAAGGACATGTCCCTGCCCGGAGGCTTTCTGTGTGGGCACTGGCAGAGGCTGCAAACTGTCTCCCTCCATCTGCAGAACAGACAGCTCTGCCCCAGCCTCATGCAAAGGCCCAGCCTCACTCACCCACTGTCAGCTCCAGGCCGAGGCCCCATGACCCACTGGAGCTCTGGGGAGTCTAAGAGCTTAGCCCAGTGTCTAGTCCCCACTTCTAAGCTCTACCTCTTGGTCAAGCTAGTTTACCAAAAAAACCATGCAAAAAACACACAATACTGACCTTCCTGTGTCTTAGCTTCCCAATTAAAAATCTTTATTCATTACACATAAAGTTAAGCCTGGGTGATTTTTTGTTTTTACACACAGAAACACACACACACACACACACACACACACACACACACACACACGTTTAGAGATGGGGTCTTGCTATATTGTCCAGGCTGGTCTCAAACTCCTGGACTCAAGTGATCCTCCCATCTTGGCCTCCCACGGTGCTAGGATTACAGACATGAGTCACTGTACTTGGCTTGCTTGTTGTGTGTGTTTTTGTTTTTGTTTTTGTTTTTAATAGAGATGGAGTCTCTGTTGCCCAAACTGGAGTGCAGTGGTGTGATCATAGCTCCCTGGAACCTCAATCTCCTGGGCTCAAGTGATCCTCCCACCTCATACTCTCCAGTAGCTGGGACCACAGGCATGTGCCACCATGCCTGGCTACAGTTTTTTTTTTTTTTTTTTTTGAGACAGAGTCTCGCTCTGTCACCAGGCTGGAGTGCAGTGGCACGATCTCAGCTCACTGCAAGCTCCGCCTCCTGGGTTCACGCCATTCTCCTGCCTCAGCCTCCCAAGTGCTGGGACTACAGGCACCTGCCACCACGCCGGGCTAATTTTTTTGTATTTTTAGTAGAGACGGGGTTTCACCATGTTAGCCAGGATGATCTCCATCTCCTGACCTCGTGATCCACCCGTCTTGGCCTCCCAAAGTGCTAGGATTATAGGCATGAGCCACCGCTCCCGGCCTGTTTGTTTGTTTTTTAAGACACAGGGTCTCACTATGTTGCCCAGGCTGGTCTTGAACTCCTGGCCTCAAGCAATCCTTCCATGTCGACCTCCCAAAGTGCTAGGATTACAGAGATGAGCCACCACACCTGGACAACCCTGGGTGTTTTTACCCTAGAATTACAGGAAAGATTTTGTAATAAATGTCTCCATATTTATGAATTATCTATTAAATGATAAACTATGATGTTCTTCAATGTCAGCTAAAGTGGCCATGTGATCAATTGCTTCTGAGATACTAATATTAGAAAAGAAATGCATTTCTTGCCAGGCACAGTGGCTCACGCCTGTAATCCCAGCACTATGAGAGGCTGAGGTAGGTGAATTACCTGAGGTCAGGAGTTCAAGACCAGCCTGGCCAACATGGTGAAACCCCATCTCTACTAAAAATACAAAAATTAGCCAGTTGTGGTGGCACACACCTGTAATCCAAGCTACTCGGGAGACTGAGGCAGGGGAATCACTTGAACCCGGGAGGCAGAGGTTGCAGTGAGCTGAGATCACATCAGTGTACTCCAGCCTGAGTAACAGAGTGAGACTCTGTCTCAAAAAAAAAAAAAAGAAAAGAAAACAATTCCATTTATAATAGCATCAAAAAGCACAAATTACTTAGGAATAAACAAGAGAAGTATAGACTTTTACTCTGAAAACTACAAAGGATTGTTGAAAGAAAATAAAGAAGACCTAAATTAATGGAAAGATATCCCATGTTCATGGATTGGAACTCGCTATTGTTAAGGTGGCAAACTCCCCAAATTAATATATAGGTTCAACTCAATTCCTATGAAAATCTCAGCTGGCTTCTTTGCAGAAATTGACAAGCTGCTTCTAAAATTCATATGAAAATGGAAGGAGTGCCGAATAGCCAAAACAATCTTGAATAAGAAGAAAGAGAACTCACATTTCCTGATTTCAAAACTTATAAAGTAGGCCGGGTGTGGTGGCTCACACCTGTAATCCTAGCACTTTGGGAGGCCGAGACAGGTAGATCACCTGAGGTCAGGAGTTCATGACCAGCCTTGCCAACATGGTGAAACCCCATCTCTACTAAAAATACAAAAAATTAGCCAGGCGTGGAGGTAGGTGCCTGTAATCACAGCTACTTGGGAGGCTGAGGCAGGAGAATTGCTTGAACCCAGGAGGCAGAGGTTGCAGTGAGCCGAGATCACGCCCTTGCACTCCAGCCTGGGTGACAAGAGCAAAACTCTGTCTCAAAAAAAAAAAAAAAAAAAAAAAAGAAATGTATTTCTTGTGATGTGCTGGCAAGATTTCTTTCATCAGACGATAAAAACCCATTGTAATTCCCTGTTTACATGGCTGTCCAGAAAGACACAGATCGTATTACTGCCCAATTGTTATAACTGGCCTTCACTGGACATTACCTCTTTCTCCCTCTCTCCATAATATGATTCGACCTCTCTTTTAGTAGGAATATTATGCACATGTCCCTTTATTGCATACTACTCTAAATTCTCTTGTGAATGGTCAGTCTAAAAAATCGTGATAAATTGATTAAAAATTAAATTGTTGAAATTCTCTATCATGTGTTCCCAGCTGCCCTGAACCCAAGATCCCTGTAAAAATGAAGGCAGGCTGGGAGTTACCTGGAGATGGTCCCAGAAGAGGAAGGAAGCCCACTGGGCTGGCCGTGAGCCTGGTGGGGCTATCTTACCTTGTCAATGCTCATCTGCCTGCAGGGAAATGAGAATGTGAAGCCCAAAGGTAGGGAGGCTCCCTTGAGGCCCATGTAGTCCAGGAAGTCGGCGATGCACTGCACAATGTGATCAAAGAGCTGCAGAGAGAGAGAGAGCGGCATTCACACCAGGCGGACATCGATGCAGGGTGGCAGGCTGGCACCTCGGAGCCCAAAGGCCTTGCCTGGCACTTACCTCCTCACCAGTGCCCTGCATGATCTCCAGGGGGATGGCGAAGATCTTGTTGTACATTCGCACTGACCTCCGTCCACTTCTGATCTTCACCAGGAGGACCCGGAAGTTGGTTCCCCCAAGATCCAGGGCGAGAAACTTTCCTTTCTCTGTGATGGAGAAAGCAGCAGCTGCATTCCATGACAGGGACTTGTGTCGGGGCATTGGGAGGAAGAGGAGACGTCGGAGCAGAGCGGACCCAGGGCCTGCACTCCTGGGCCTCATAGACCAGAGGGTCGTGGGGGCCACCCTGCACAGTGCCCGGGCCCCGGGCAGGCATCTTGAGCCTGCGTGAGGCCAGGCTGCTTTCCTTGGCCTCCACTTCTGTGGTAAAGTCCCAGGCACCACCTACACTATCGCCAGTGAGGTGCCGTGAAAAGAGCCCTGGCCTGGAGTCAAGGGACCTGGGGCTTCTGAGAAATGGCTTTTTATCTTGAGCAAGAGAGGCAAGGTCCCATCCTTCCACATCTGCAAAATCAGGAGACTGAACCTCTGAAGGCTCTTTCAGCTTCACTGACTGACAGCCTTCTCGGGAGCCCCAAGGAACGGTACAGGGCATCCAGTCAAGGAAATGCATGATTCTTATACTCAAGGGGCCTCCGGTCTGGCGCGGTGGCTCACGCCTGTAATCCCAGCACTTTGGGAGGCCGAGGCAGGTGGATCACGAAGTCAGGAGATCGACACCATCCTGGCTAACACAGTGAAACCCCATCTCTACTAAAAATACAAAAAATTAATTATCCGGGTGTGGTGCTGGGCGCCTGTAGTCCCAGCTACTCGGGAGGCTGAGGCAGGAGAATGGTGTGAACCTGGGAGGCGGAGCTTGCAGTGAGCGGAGATCACGCTACTGCACTCCAGCCTGGGTGACAGAGCGAGACTCCGTCTCAAAAAAAATAAAAATAAAAATAAAATAAACAGTGTCTTTTACTGCTCTCAGTTAAGAGATCCCAAGTACAGCTGTTGGACCTTGAGTAGGTCATCTAGCCTCTGTAAGTCTCAGGTATGGCATCCATAAAATGGGAACCATTTCCTCTTTGGTAACGTTCCAAGTGGTTGTGAGGATGAAATGAAATGAAAGGTTCAAAAGCAAATTATAAGATGTAAAGCATTTTACTAAGGTCATTATTTCCGGAAGAGTCTCGTGAGATTCAAAGAGGTAAAATAATTTGTCTGAAGAACTGATTTCACTACTTAGTGGCTTCTTTTGGCTGAGCACCGAGGACCAGAAGGATCAAGGGTTGGAGAAGTTGGGGGCAGAAGCAATGAGAGGGAAAGGGAAGTGAGCCAAGCTGCAGAAGAGAACAGAGCCAGAGAAGCAGCAGGAAGACAAGCCCAGGCAATCTCAGGCATCTAAAACAAAGTTCCTGGGGTCAGGATCTGGGGGTCGGGGGGGGTACACTCATGTTCTCATCTACACACACATAAGTGCACACACATAACCTAATGTAGGCTTTTTGTGTTTTTGTTTGTTTATTTGTTTTGTTTTTACTGCAAATGCCTTGGGTTAACAAAGGCCAACAGATTTAGAAAGAATACTAGCCTTCTTCTTACTCTTGCCCTCCATTAGAGACGTGAACCCAAGTTTCTAAAAACCAAGAACCTCACTGGCTTTAAGGAGTTTTGACGGGAGCCCTGGATGGCTGTTCAGAGAGGGAGGCTGTGCTGGCCCACCTGTGCCGTCCGGCAGCCCGCAGACGTAGGTGGGCAGCATCCTGACCGTGGCCAGCCCGTGGCTCTTCTTCTTCAGCCCATACTCCAGCTCAGCCCGCATCTTGGCCTGCACGTCCACGAGCTGCTCTCGGGTCAGCTGGAACAAAGCCAGCACCCTGTCGATCTGCTTCCGCTGGGCCTGCACGCGGGAGGCCACCGCGGTCACCATGGCGGCCCCCTTGGTGCTGCCACTCTCTGACAGGAGGAAGCGGACATCACAGCTTGGGACCAGTTTCCTCACCACCTTGTGCAGGCGTTTTGGGTACCTGAAGCAGGGGTGATGGCAAAATATTTAGCAATCATAAAGGCCAGGCTCAGGCACAGACCCAGGGGCAGCAGTAAACCCAGTCCCGGAGGGCCCTGCGGGGCGGGGCTCAGCCCTTTATTTGCTGATGGTAGGGAGGGGAGGGGATGAGAGGAGGGAGGGACTAAGAAGCTGGGGCAGTGGAAGGCACTTGGGAGGCTCGGGGAAGTGCTTATTCTGTCAACGAACATTTCAACCAGTCTGTGCATAATGTATTGGCTGAACATCATTTCTGTCCAAAGAGAAGGATTTTCTTTCTCAGCTCTTTCCAGGGTGTAACCACTTGACTTCCAAGTCCACCCCGGTAGCCAAAGGGGCTTTCACTCTCCTTCCTTCTGGAAAATTCCCATTTCCCTGTGTTTTCCTACCAGGACCCTTCCCATAATCTTGGCAACCTGTGCCATCTCTATTTTTCCCCATCTATGACTAGGTGTATCTTACTTCCCAGCCTTAACCACATAGTAGGTGTTCAGTAAATAATGGCTAGATGGAAGAATGAATGGAGAGATGAATGGGCGGGTGATGGATGGGTGGACATAGATACATGGATGGACAGCATTCCTAATTAGGCAATTGGCTTTAGCAGAATATTTCTTTAAGAGTAATCCCCAAAAGCAACCCAGCCAGCTAGATGAATGCAGGCCCTGGATTCACCTTTTCCCTTGTAATCTCAGAACCAACAAGAGGGGTTGTTGGTTCCAGACCCCAGATAGGCAGGATAGTCCAGAAGACACTGGGGCCCTGCTCCAGGGAGACTCATTTGTGGGGGCGTGGATGGCAGGCAGCACTCACTGAGGGTGTATCTTGTAGAGGGTGCCGTCCATGCCCACTGTGGTCCGGAGCCGTTCCACCTTCTTGTTCTCCCGGAGGCGTGTCAGGATGGCCGCCAGAGCTGCTGCACAGAGATTGGCCGAGCGGAAGGAGACGATGGTACAGACATGCTGGACGGCAATGCAGTCAGCCTCAGACGGTTCCAGACCCAGGTCCACCAGGATCTCTCTTGTATTAGCAAGGCCTTCTTTATACCTGGCCAGGGGACAGGAATGAGTGAACGACACTTCTCCATCCCACTGGTATCCTCCTGGGGGAACAAGCTTCTCCACCTCTCAGGATTGTGAAAATTAATAGGCAGGTCCATGGTATAGAATAAAAATAACAATATCAACATTGATAGTAGCAGCTGCCACTAACTGAGCAGTCACCATGAGCCAGGTACTTGTCTAAGGATTTTACACATAGTAACTCCTTCAACGCCCACAAAAATCCTGCGGGAGGCACCGTCATTACCCTGTCGTACAGATGAGAGATGTGAGTGCAGAAAGGTTGAGTAACTTGTCCTTGGCTACACAGCTAGTAAGGGCTAGAGCCGAGATTTGAACTTAGCAGTTAGATTCTAGCACCCACACTTTTAATCACCCTGTGCTATGCTGACTTTCACGGAAATTCTGTCCCTGCCAAGTTCTGCATAGACATAGATGCTGCAGGTCAGCGCCACGTGGCTGAGCTCAGAATCTAAACTGATCACAAAGTCAAGGCGATGCCAAGATTTCTAAGCCTGAGGAGCAGGACCCTCAGATGTGCTGGACGGCAATGCAGTCACACCGGGGCCAGCCGCCGTCACCTGCAGCCTTCACCAGCCAGCTCCATGCGAGGGACCTGTGTGTAAGGCCTCACATCACCACATTCAAAGCCAGTTCCTGATGGGAGCAGGTGGAGAAGGCTCTGCTATCACAGGAGTTCTGGACTTGGATTCCACAATGAGCTTAGTGTCCAAGGATGCCCTGATATTGTAAGCAAACTTGTGTGTGAATGTACATTTTCGGGGCTAAGGGTCTAGAACCTGAATAAAGTTCTCAAAAGGATCTGTGATCCTAAAAATGCTACAAGTTACCACTTTAACAAGAAGGCAACAGAACATGGGAAGAGGGTGGCCCTCTGACAGCAGAGTCCCTCACTGATGAAACCAACAAGAACCTCTCATCTGAGTCATGGCAGAAATTGCTAACCCATCTGAAGCCATGCCCAGGTCTGAAATCTTCCTGGTGAAGGAGGAGGATCTAGTCCCTCCTGCTGTCCTACCACATGGAGCACCCCACACCTGGGCCTCCCATCCCAGCCCTCCACAGAGCCAAGGCAGAGGGACTTGCTTACTTCTCCATGGCAGCCACGTGCCGTGTTTCGATCTTGCCCTTAGTGTGGAGAGCAGAAGATTTCTCACCACCAAACAGGAGGCCAGCCTTGGCCATCTTCAGCAAGATAAGCCTGACAAGCTCCCCCAGGTACAGGCCACTGATCATCTTCTCGAACCTGCAGGTTGGTGAACAGATCTGTGGACGCAGCCCCTTTGATTAAGCTGCATCATTTCCCGAAGACCAGGAGCCACTGCCCACAGGAAGGAGCACATGGGAGAGGGCTGAGCTAAGATTCCCTCCTTCTCGCAAAGTGCTGGATGGCAAGAACTTTTGTCTCAAATCACCCTGGCCATGGGTACCATTCTCACATCGAGCATAGGGACTCTCAATTTCACAGACTTTGGGTATTTTCCCAAAATCACTCAAACATGATGCGACAAGTCAAATTTCACACTCAGATGCTTCCCACTCCTACATCAAGCTTCTGTCCAAGAGAGAAAGATGCTGTGCTTGTGAGATGGGCTTGGACAGCCCCAGACAGGCTCTACAACAATGTGGATTTAACATTGCCATGGCTACCTACAGCTTTACTCCAAGTCTGCACACCAACAATTCCTAATTGTTTCCCAGGCAGACTATTGAACATTATTATTATTATTATTATTATTATTATTATTATTATTGGAGACAGGATCTCGTTCTGTCACCCAGGCTAAAGTGCAGTGGTGCAATCATAGCTCACTGCAGCCTCGAACTCCTGGCCTCAAGTGATCCTCCTGCCTCAGCCTCCCATAGGGGTGCATCATCACACCTGGCTAATTTTTTTATTTTCGTAGAGACAGGATCTAATTATGTTGCCTAGGCTTATCATAAACTCCTGGCCTCCAGTGTTTCTCCTGCCCTGGCCTCCCGAAGCACTGGAATTACAGATAAGAGCCACCGCATCAGGCCTAAATATAATGCTTATTTTCCAAACACAATAAGACACAAAATCAAGAACAATCTATGTCACAATCTACTTTATATAGTTCACTATAAAAAGTCTTAGAACAGGCCAGGTACAGTGACTCATGCCTGTAATCCCAGCACTTTGGGAGGCCAAGGCGGGTGGATCACAAGGTCAAGAGTTTGAGACCAGCCTGGCCAATATGGTGAAACCCTGTCTCTACTAAAAATACAAAAAAATTAGCCGGGCATGGTGGCGCATGCCTGTAATCCCAGCTACTCAGGAGGCTGAGGCAGGGGAATTGCTTGAACCCAGAAGGCAGAGGTTGCAGTGAGCCAAGATTGCACCACTGCACTCCAGCCTTGGCGACAGAGTGAGACTCCATCTCAAAAAAAAAAGTCTTTGAGCATTGAAGAAACAGAAGACAATCAAAAGAAATTTAGGGTGGATGTCAGGGAATATAATATATATATATATTTTTTGAGACAGGGTCTTGCTCTGTTGCCCAGGCTGGAGTGCAATGGTATGATCACAGCTTACTGCACCCTGGACCTCCCTGGCTCAAGTGATCCTCCCACCTCAGTCTCCTGAGTGGTTGGAACTACAGGCATCTGCCATCACACCTGACTAATTTTTTTTTTTTAATTTTTATTTTTATAGAGACTGGTCTCACTATGTTGCCCAAGCTGGTCTCAAATTCCAGGACTAAAGCAGTCCTCCCACCTCAGCCTCCCAAAGTGCTGGGATTACACGCATGAGCCACCAGGCCTGGAAGGAATAGAATTTATTTTAAGTAAAATGGAAATGGGTGAAGATGATAAAATTCAAAAAATGGACACCACGTCCTTGGGACATGACTGCAATGGGTCACTAGAGCACAGGCATGTGCCTGGAGTAGGTGCCACCAAAGTGGAATGTGCTTCCCGGGTGCACAGTTCTAGTGTTTGAATCGCTCCTAGAAGGTGCTTGAAATTCACCAGCATGTCTTGACAAAATGGCTGATTCCAGGGCTGGGGCTAGGAAAGTGCGACATGAGCCGGGAACGTCTTACGGTGCCAGGAAATAAGGAAGTACTTAAAGAGTGATGGAACATGTCAAAAGGACACAGGAGGCAGCTTCAGAGGCTTCCTTTGGCCAAATCTGAAACAATTTGAGCATCAAAATAAAAATTGTGGACAGCAAACACAGAGGGAAGGTCCTGCCAGAGTCACCACTTGCTGAGTGATTAGGCCTCCGAGAAAGCAAGGCGGCTGGGGGACATGCGAACACGACGAGTTCGGCTGTGCCTGCCTTCTCCTCACTGCCCAGGTGTGTTCTGCGGCCAAGCGTCCGAGTGCTCTTATCTTCAGTGCCTATCATGCACATACGTAACCCACAAATACTGACTGAATTAGAATTAGGGTTATTAGGGTTATGACTTAGGGAAATCTTTCAATGTCCTTGGCTTCTATTTCCTCATTTGTCAGATGAAACTGAAATACAAGCAATGCCTTATAAATTTGTTGTAATGGGGCCATGCATGGTGGCTCATGCCTGTAATCCCAGCACTTTGGGAGGCTGAGGCGGGAGGATTGCCTGAGCTCAGGAGTGCAAAACCAGCCTAGCCAACATGGCAAAACCCTGACTCTACAAAAAATACAAAAATTAGCCAGGAATGGTGGCCCATGCCCGTAGTCCCAACTCCTCTGGAGACTGAGGTGGGAGGATTGCTTGAGCCTGGAAGGTGGAGGTTGCAGCGAGCCAAGATCGTGCCACCGCACTTCAGCCTGGGCTAGAGAGTGAGACTCCATCTCAAAAAAAAAAAAAAAGGAAAAAGAAAAAAAGAAAGAAAGTTGTGATGGATAGCTAGTCACAACTGGAAAGCCTCCCAGGTAGCCAGGGGACCTGAGTGATTAGGCACTGCCTGGTGCCGATGCCCAGATAACACCAGAAGGGAACTCACAGTTGCTTTCCTGGGTTGAGAGAGCCGAGGTCCAGCTCCCTGTCGAACTCAGTGCGAATGTCCTCCAGGGCCCCGTCGTCCCCGAAGGCCCCCCACTCTGTGTTGATGCACATCCTGCCCTCGTCGCCCTCCACCAGGTCAATGTTGCTCATGTCCTCCATGTAACACGCATTGGTGCCAGTTCCTGAACCAGGGATCAGAGAGAATATGCAGAGAGAGGACTCCCAGCTGGGCACAGACAGAGAACTCTTGACTGCTGGGGAGTCCTCCTCAATGTACCACAAAGTGCTTTTCATTCCCTGGGGGCTGGCTCTCGCTGAGGGAAGCAGCTTGGGCAAGCCCCAAGCACATGGGGAAAACAGCTGACATGTCAAGTCTGCACTTCTCAGGGTGCTCAGGGTTTGCTGTTCTGAATGGAGTCAATTGTGAAGAAGTCCGCTGATGAATATGGATGAAAGCTGACGAAGCGCTCTTACAAGAGGACAAATGAAGATAATCTTGTAAATATTTTTTTCAAAAAATCACCAACCCAGGGTAATTTTGAAAATTCTTTCCTTAAGCTACTTAGCTTCCTCTCTATTTGATACTAAAAATATTCTTTACTTATGGCCTGCCACAAATTGTTTCTAGCATAAGCTGCATCCTTATCTTAGACTGTGATTAGCTACCACCTAAGAAAGCAACATTCCGTTATGCAAACACAAAATCGCTCCAAGGAAATGCCTCAAACACTTGAGCACTGGGGAATGACTGCAAGTGGGCACCATCTTTTTGGACTCTTTTGGGAGGACAGAAATGTTCTAAAATCGGATTGTGGTGATGGTTACAAAACTATACGTTTACTACAAATCATTGAATCGTATACCTAAAATCGGAGGACTTTTATGCCTCAATAAAGCTGTTTGAATTTTCGGGTTTTTTTTTTTTTTTTTTTTTCTTCAGTATCTTCCCTTGGCTGATACTCTGGTATGAGTATTTTAAATGCCAACATGGAAAATGAGAAATGTAGAAAAGCAGAATGTAATATTTGGAAAAAGCTTTTCTCAGAAATGCACGGACACTGTTTAGGCGTGGCCCCCCCAATCTGTGGTTACCAGACGCAGCCACAGTGACAGGCGGGTGCCATGACTGGCAAGGGCCTGAACCATTCTGAGGCTCCTGGAAACAGAAGGGTGGAGGGAGCCCCTCAGGTTTAAAAACCTGCCCTTTGGGAAAGCCAGGCTGAGGAGGGTCTTGAGGGACATTAAGAAAAAGCAATTCAGAAGAACTTTCCCCAGGAGTGGTAAAGGAATGGGAAAAGGAGAAGGGGATATTCAAGAACAACCTATAAGTCAGAGCCATTCAGCTTTACTGTACCCCAAACTGCCTTCCCACACATTCCTCCAGCTGACCCCCTCGCTCTGGTGTGGAGACCACCCACTGGAAACCCCCACTGCACCACGACCTCTCTGGTCCACAGCTGCAGTGCACCTTGCCTGACAGTCCAGTGGTCTCTTGGATGGTCACCCTGCTTCCACTCTTGTCCCCAGTAATCTATTATCCACACAGCAGCCAAAATGGGCTTTTAAAAAATGCACATCCGGCCGGGCGTGGTGGCTCATGGCTGTAATCCCAGCACTTTGGGAGACCAAGGCGGGTGAATCACTTGAGGTCAGGAGCTTGAGAGCAGCCTGGCAAACACTGTGAAACCCCATCTGTACTAAAAATACAAAAAATTGGCCAGCCGTGGTGGTGGGCACCTGTAATCCCAGCTACTCAGGAGGCTGAGGCAGGAGAATTGCTTGAGCCTGGGAGGCAGAGGTTGCAGTAAGCCAAGACTGTGCCACTGCACTCCAGCCTGGACGACAGAGCAAGACTCCGTCTCAAATAAAAAAATAAAATAAAATGCGCATCCATTTATCCATCCCCCACCCAGAGTCCCCCAGTGCCTTCCAGTCTCCCTCAGGGGATAAGCCGGTGACCTTACAGTGACTGTGTGCACATCCTGTGCAATCTGCCCAGTCTGTCCTCTGCCTCTCACTTGAATGGCCTCCGACTCTCAGCCTTCACTCACCTCATCCGGACACCACTCGGCTATAGGGTTCCCCCAGTGCCCCCTCCCTGGACCCCTTCCCATCTCCAAGCCTGTAGGTGTCCTCTTTCCTTTGGCAGGGACTCCCTACCCTCGGGCCTCCACCTTGCTCCCTGGTTTGCATCACTGAGGTCCCGGCTCAAATGCCACCCCTCAGAGAGGCTTCCCTGACGCCTCATCCCACTCACAGTCACATCACTCTCTTTGTTTTTTGTTTTTTGTTTTTTTATCACGCTAACCACCACCTGAAATTATCTTAATAGCCTAGGCCTTCTGGGCCTCTCACCCACCTCCCCACTGAAAGTTCCAGGAGCACAGGAACTCCCCACTCCAAACCCAGTGCCAAGCCCAGGGGCCGGCACACAATGGGTGCTCAGTAAACACTTGTCGAATGGATGAATGAATGAATTTTTCATGTCCCTATGTTGCTTCTCCTAAATAGTGCAGTGCCCTTCCCGCCGAATTCACTCAGAGCTCGCTGAAATGAAACTCCCAAACAGTCCCTTCTCCCCTACCCTCAAAAAACCAGTCCAATTGAGTTACCGATGATGACACCAACTTCGCAGTAGGGGTCGTCATAGGCACAGGTCATCATGGTCCCCACGGTGTCATTGACCAGGGCCAGGATGTCCACGTCCATGTCCTGCCGAACACAAGGCCAGAGGGAATCAGCGGGTGGGAAGGAGGTGTTTCCCTCCCTCCTTCCCCACAGAGGCAGCAGGTAGTGAAGGTGGCTGCTGAGACATCCCTAGATCCTGCCTGCTGGGCCTGTCTGAAGGAGCAAGGCCTCATCAAGGTTCAGGGTCTAGGGGAGAGAAAGAGCCGACAGGAGCTGAAGAGGGGAGCCCATCCTCTTGCTTTGTGGGTGAAGGCCTCTGCAATGGAAATATGAGGGACAGGCCACCGGGACTCCAGCCCTTGTTTTTTGTTGTCGATGTTTTTTTTAATTTAAAAAATTTTATTTTTTAATCTGCAGATAGGGTCTCACTATGTTGCCCAGGCTAGAGTGTGATGGCTGTTCACAGGTACAAACATAGCACACCACAGCCTCAAACTCCTGGGCTCACGTGATCCTCCTGCCTCAGCCTCCTGAGTAGCTGAGACTACAGGCACACATCACACCCAGGTTTCAGCCTTTGTTTGTGAGATCCTGGGAAGACATTGAGGAAAGCATGTTTATCCAGTGGCATTTCCAGGAGAAAACACCAAAGTCCTCACCCACGGGGACAACTCAGCCAGCAGGCACAGACTCGGCCAAGTCTTCCCCATGTATGGCATGGTGACTTCCTGTCTGGATTTCCTGTTCTGCCAAGTCAGCTTGGGTTATTGCACCAACATCCCCCAAAGTTTGGAAGAACATTTTAAAGTAAAATGAGAGCCAGGCATGTGGCTTATGCCTATAGTCCCAGCTATGCAGGAGGCTGAGGTGGGAGGATCATTTGAGCCTAGGAATTCGAGGATGGAGTGCCAGGCACTGCCAGCCTGGGCAACACAGCAGGACCTCATCTCTAAAAAAAAAAAAAAAAAAGTAAAATGAAAACAATAAGGGAAAATGCAGGCTATAAAACAATAAGATCCCAGCTTTAAAGAAAAAAAGGCTGGAAGGCTATGCAGCAAACATGCCTCTTGCTGTCAGGGCAACAAGCAATTTGGGTTTGTGTACTTTCCAGCTCAGCAAGGAGCGAGTCTTGCTTTCGCAGTAGTTTAAATTATTGTAAAATACGTTCAACAAATAGGGATATTTAATGGACAGGGAGTGGACAGTGAAATAGAGAACCAGCCCAGAAAGAATATGGAACCAGCCCGGAAAGTATATGATCTTTTCAGCCTCAGAGAGGAGGGCGTGTGGGGCCTACACACAGCATCAGATCTAACCAAGACCTCCGGAGAGGGCTGTGGCTGCTGGGGAGGCCCAGGGATGAGCTGGCCACCTTTCAATAGGGATTGGTGCAAGCCCCGCCTACCAAGGCTCTGTGGGTTCATCCAAGTTGGCCACATCTGTACTACAGTGGGACCTTTTCTAAGATCAATTCCTTCTCTGATTCTCCCTCCATGCAGGCACCATATGTGACCCCCTCACCTCACCCCCAGCCCCACCAACCCAAGAGAAAGGAGCTAGGGCTGGGAGAGCCTCCCACACCGAGGTGAATTCCTCACCTTGTGTCTTCTCATGGCTTTGGTCAGACGGCTCACCACATCCGTGTCCTGAACTCCTCGTGCCTTAAACTTTTTTGTCCACGAAAGTAGGACACCCTGGGAGAAGATTTCAGGTCCAGTTTGAATGAAAGACGTGCTGAGATGTGCAACTGAGCCGCAGAAACTTCATGCCTACGTGCATCCCCCATGGCCTTCTCTTCTCTAAGCTGAATCACCCCAATTTTTTTAAAACATTGCTTCTGCAGCCTTTTCTAATAATTTAAAGGACTATTACTCTCATCTGAGTGGTTTGAAATATATGGTAGCAGAAGGAGTAATTATTGAAAAGTTAGAGCTCTTGGATTCATGAGACATTAGACAAGTCGTTTAACCTCTCTGAGCCTCAGTCTACTCCTCTGCAAAGTGGAAATGTCACCTCCCTACCTCTCTCAAAGGAATGCTCTAATGAAAATACCTGGTGTAGGCCGGGCGCGGTGGCTCACGCCTGTAATCCCAGCACTTTGGGAGGCCGAGGCGGGTGGATCATGAGGTCAGGAGATCGAGACCATCCTGGCTAACAAGGTGAAACCCCGTCTCTACTAAAAATACAAAAAATTAGCCGGGCGCGGTGGCGGGCGCCTGTAGTCCCAGCTACTCGGGAGGCTGAGGCAGGAGAATGGCGTGAACCCGGGAAGCGGAGCTTGCAGTGAGCCGAGATTGCGCCACTGCAGTCCGCAGTCCGGCCTGGGCGACAGAGCGAGACTCCGTCTCAAAAAAAAAAAAAAAAAAAGAAAATACCTGGTGTATTATACATGCAGAATGCATGGTTTGCCAGGTCCACAAAACAGAACTAACATGGTGTAACCTTGCAGGATTGTCTCAGGAACTTCATTTCAACTTAGAAAAATGATTCCCAACCAGGCAGAGTGGCCCGTACCTGTAGTCCCAGCTACTTGGGAGCCTGAGGCAGGTGGATCACTTGAGGCCAGGAGTTCCAGGCCTGCCTGGGCAACATAGCGAGACCTCGTCTCTTAATAAAGAGAAAGAAAGAAAAATGGTTCTCAATTTGCATTACCAATCATTGCTTACAAATGGTGTTTCCTGAGTTTCGTGTCTGAAATCGCAAATAATCATAGAATGTTTCAGACTGGAAGAGAACTTGGAAGTTAAAAGAGAATCGCCCAAGTCGTCTCAGTCAAGAGCAGCTGACCCAGGCTCACAAACTTCCTGACCGCACCTCCTCCATTTCCCTCAATTTATGGATTTAAAAACGCTGGGATTGAGAGAGGGAGGAAATTGCTCTGAATTTCACCGCGAGTGAAGGATAGAGCCCAAGCCGAATGCAGGTCTCTGACTCTGGACCAGCCCTCGGGCTTTTTTCCTGCACCACAGCGCCGCCGTGTGGCAGCTCTCCCTAACTTCTGCTCTCATAGGCTATGACAACATCCCTGTCTCCAGGGACAGAGCGGGGAGAGATGCACAGGCTGGCTTTCTTCAAAAATCCCTGTTGCAGGGAAGGTGGATGGGGGAAGTGAGGGATAAATGCTTGCGATAGAATGTTAAATTAAAAAGGCAATTACATACAACTGTACATTTTCTTTTTGTCTCAAATATTTGGTGACTAGAATCAACCATAGATTTGCTAAACTGTAGATACAGGATAACACTTGTATTTAATATAGGTATGAGTAAAAGAAAAACCCACAATTCTAGTGGTGGGAATATTTGAATATTGAGATGAGTGGTGATTTCTATTTTCTTCTTTAAACTTTTCCATTCCTTCTCTCTCTCTTTTTTTAAACCTTGAAAAAAGTATTACCATTTATTTTATTATCAGAAAACACACACACACACACACACACACACACACACACACACACAAAGAAATTTCTCTTTGGTTAAGACTTTCTGTTCCCTCAAAAACAAGAATAAAAAACCAAGTGACTTCCTTTAATTCTTATGCTCATGATGTTGGCTATGGGTTAAACATAATAAGAATTCTCACGCTCCTACCTTCTTTAATCATTTTCAGTTTCTCAAAGAAGCCCCCTAATCACACCTCCTCACACAGCCTTCCCCTTTCCATCCCTCTGCAGTCATGGAGCTGAACAGAGCCCATCTTCCCCAGGAGCCCTTATTCTAGTGTTACCGAACCCACTCCTGCAGCAGAGCCCTGCTTAAATAGCTTTGCCAGATGAGGCCACATTCAAATATTATCAGGAATGAGTTTTCTTGTGGTTGGAACTTTACTACTTAACTTTAGATTTTATTGAAAGGCAGTTTGCGAGGAAATTTTATAAAATATAAGTATATTTGACTAGACTGCGATGAGAAAAAAAGCATTTTTCCCTTCCTTGATACAATTTTTTTTTTTTTTTGAAACGAAGTTTCACTCTTGTTGCCCAGGCTGGAGTGCAGTGGCGCCATCTCAGCTCACTGCAACCTCCGCCTCCCAGGTTCAAGCAATTCTCCTGCCTCAGCCTCCCGAGTAGCTGGGATTACAGGCATGTGCCACCACGCCCGACTAATTTTGTGCTTTTAGTAGAGACGGGGTTTCTCCATGTTGGTCAGGCTGGTCTCGAACTCCCGACCTCAGGTGATCCACCCTCCTCGGCCTCCCAAAGTGCTGGGATTACAGGCATGAGCCACTGTGCCCGGCCTCTCCTTGATATAATTAAATGCCCTTCCTTAGTTTAAATTTTACCTGAAAAATCTTTATTGTAATATGACACTAAGTGGGTCAAAATGGGCCGGGCACAGTGGCTCACCACGCCTGCAATCCCAGCACTTTGGGAGGCTGAGGCGGGAGGATCTCCTGAAGTTGGGCATTCAAGACCAGCCTGGCCAACATGGTGAAACTCCGTCTCTACTGAAAATACAAAAATTAGTTGGGTGTGGTGGCAGGCACCTGTAATACCACCATTCGGGAGGCTGAGACAGGAGAATTGCCTGAACCTGGGAGACGGAGATTGTGGTGAGCCGAGATCACACCACTGCACTCCAGCCTGGGCGACAGAGCTCAAAAAAAAAAAAAAAAATCAAAATGCTTTCAGGCACCTGCTGCCATTTTAAATGAAGTTCTAAAGTGGTGTCTTTCTGGAAAGGCACTGTAGTTGGGGAGCTTATGAACTTGGGGTGGGCTACTCTTGGTTGTGTGGCTTTGTGCAAGTCTCTTAACCTCGCTGAGCTGCAGTGTTTCTCAAATATAGAATGAAGATAATCATATCTACCTCTTAGAATTGTTTGGGGGATTTAACAAGATAATGCGCATAAAGCATTTGGCACAGCGCGAGGTACAGTGTCAAAACCGGAGGCACGTGCTTTTATCATTATTATTGAGAAAGATGTTGGTGGGTATTCAACATAGATAAATGACAAAATCCTGGATGGATAAACCATCCGTTCACACCCTCCGCTGCCAAGCTATCAAGAAAGCATGTGCATTTAATTCTTAAAGTTGAATGAATTCTCACAGAGCTTGAGAATTTTCTTCCTTCTTCCTGGAGTCTCTGTTCCAGAGCTCTCTAATAAGAGCAGCTGGCACACTCTCACTCCACCACCTGCACTACAGGATCCAGCCAGGGCCCTGATTCCCAACCCCCTGACATACACATCTACTCACTCCTAGGACCTTTCTCTGCCAGCCAGCTCCACTTGGTCTCACCCAAACATTCCCTGGAAACTTTTTTGTTTGTTTTTTGTTTGCTTGTTGTTGTTTTTTGTTTGTTTGTTTGTTTCTGACAGAGTCTCGCGCTGTCACCCAGGCTGGAATGCAGTGGCGTGATCTCAGCTCACCACAACCTCCACCTTGTGGGTTCAAGTGATTCTCCTGCCTCAGCCTCCCGAGTAGCTGGGATTACAGGCGCCCGCCACCAGGCCCAGCTAATTTTTGTATTTTTAATAGAGATGGGGTTTCACCATGTTGGCCAGGCTGGTCTTGAACTCCTGATGTCAGGTGATCTGCCCCCCTCGGCCTCCCAAAGTGCTGGGATTACAGGCATGAACCACCGCATCTGGCTGCTTGTTTTAGAGATGGAGTCTCGCTTTGTGGCCTGCGCTGCTGGAGTGCAGTGGTGTGATCACAGCCCACTGCAGCCTGGACTCCCTGGCTCAAGCAATCCTCCCGCCTCAGCCTCCCAGGGTGCTGGGATTATAGGCAAAAGCCACCACGCCAGGCCCCTGGAACCTTCTTTATATTATTTTTCTCAGTCCTTTCTTTATAAAAGAATGAAAAAGTAAAACTCAGCCTGTCCCCTGTATAGATGATGGCAAATTCCCACGATGGAATCAAATAAATGATTGACACCTTTCAACTGTGAGATAGTTATCAAGCACCTATTAAATACAACACATTGTCAGAGACCTTGGCGGGGAAGGTCTGTGCCCTTGGCGGGCACTGCTTGCCCTCCAAAAACCTCTGTTGAATTTAGGGATAAGATACAAAAGCACAAAGAGACAAGTAATCCAGGGACAGTCACCACAGCCTAGCAGCTACTGTGTAAGGCCCAACCACAGTGTTGGATGCTTTACAAATGCTTTGCCTAAGCTTCACCTCAGCCCAACAAGCAGATGTTATTATCCCTGCTTTACAAATGAGAAAACAAGGTGGGACACAATGGCCCATGCCTGTAATCCCAACGCTTTGGGAGGCAGAGGCAGGCAGATTACTTAAACCCAGGAGTTTGAGACCAGCTTGGGCAATATAGTGAGACCTCATCTCTACAAAGAAAAAAATAAAAATAAATAAAATTTTCTCAAAGAGAAAACAAGAGGCTCATGAAATTAAGGAACTGGTCCAAGGGGACACAATTTGTCCTGAACCATGATTCAAAGCCATGTGTGTGGAACATGAAAGCTCATTCCCTTTCACTATTCCACACCAATAAGTGACTCAAGCCAACAATATCAAGCACATCCCAAGGAGGTCCATGTGACTGTCAACTGGGCATCATAACCAGGAGGGCCAGGAGGAGGAGATTGATCAGGGTCCCCAACCCAGACAGGAGTGGCCCGGGGAGACTAGACTCTTGACAGTAACTCCCCCAACCTGGCCCCAGAACGTCCCCTTATTTGCTGTCTTTATTCACATAAGATTGGGTTAGCTTCCTCCTGCTTACAGATTGAAAACTGAGACACACAGAGATGAGTTACCAGGAACCCCGGCCTAGCTGGTGACACAGTTCAGACTGTGTATCCCAGGCTCTGTGTCTGCTCCAGGACATTCTCACTCCTCCAGTGCCCCCATTCCTTTTTTTTTTTTTGAGACGGAGTCTTGCTCTGTCACCCAGGCTGGAGTGCAGTGGCACAATCTCGGCTCACTGCAAGCTCCGCCTCCCGGGTTCACGCCATTCTCCTGCCTCAGCCTCCCAAGTGGCTGGGACTACAGGCGCCCGGCACCACACCCAGCTAATTTTTTGCATTTTTAGTAGAGACGGGGTTTCACCATGTTAGCCAGGATGGTCTCGATCTCCTGACCTCATGATCCGCCCGCCTCGGCCTCCCAAAGTGCTGGGATTATAGGCGTGAGCCACCGCGCCTGGTCCTCCAGTGCCCCCATTCTAATCCTCCTCCTGAGGGCTCACTACAGGGAGAGACTCCCCAGCCTTCCCATGTTTCTTCTAGTTGGCTATGTCAGTGGTCCTAAGTGCAGGCCTCAGGCAGCATCACATCTGCCAGGAACCTGTCAGGGAGGCGAATTTAGGGCCTCCTTGCAGAACCACTGATTCCAGTAGGCCCAGCAATCTGTGCTTAAAACAAGCCCTCCAAGGAATTCCTCACACCAAGGTTTGAGAGCTAGTGAAAAGCATTCTACTCCCCCGAGCTGTGCCCACGTTAATCATAAAATCAAGGCCATTGCGTTAACAAGTTCTCTGCCTCACGCTGCCACCTCATCATGAACAAAAAGAAAAGAAAAAGACAAACAAGAAAGCTCCTGCTGTTCTCTCCTGCGTGCAGCCTGACTCCCACCCGTGCCCACATTCCCCAAGCCCCAATTCCTGCACTGCTGCTTCCCTCCGCGCCTTACCTCTTCCAGTTTAGTCTGTCGACAGGGGAAAGAAAAAGTTAGGCCAAGGGGCAATTTCTTATGCTTTAAATCTTTGGTCTTCATGAAATCTGCCAGACAGTCAGCTACATATTCAAACAGCTGCAGAGAAGAGAAAGCAAAGTACATGGGCTAAGGTGTGGTTTCCCCACACACGGATGCCACCGCCTTCCCTGCGGTCACAGGAGCCACCTGCCAGGTACCTCTGTGCCGTTCCCGCGGATGATTTCATTGGGCGTTGGGTAGAACTGACTCTCCATCTGCACGTGTCGCTTCCCCTCTTCAGCGACTTGCACCTTCAGCACTCGGAACTTGGACCCTCCGAGATCCAGGGAAAGGAACTCCCCATTTTCTATTAAGAAACAAATTCAGTTTCCATTTATTGAGGGTCTACTACAGATATGGCAAGCTCTGCATTAGAGGTTGGACATATAATCAACGTCTTCAAATCACAGCCACTAGGTATCATTATGCTCATTTGCCAAGGCTGAGGACTCTGGCCATTTCTCAGAGCCCTCGAGGTAAGGCGCAGAGCTGAGATGTGAACTAAGTCAGCCTGACTCTGCAGCCTGAGCCCAACCCACTGGCTCATGCTGTAGGAATGTGCATGTCAACTGGAGAGGGCAAATGTGAGCACAGCCCTTGCGGTGGTATGAGAGGTGGCCTCGACGGTGGAGCCCATCCTGGGATGCCATCACTGGGAAGAGAGAGCTGGTGCTCCCAGCCTGGGGAAACTCGGATAAAGGTATGAGGGGGAAGACAGGATGTGCGGCGAGGAGCAGCCAGCCTCCTGCAGCCGATGATCCTATGGGCAGAGGGAAAACACTCCTGGAGGGGAGAGGAGACAGGGACTAAACAATGGCCCTTGAGGTGCCAAGGATGCTGATTTTTTTAGGCCAGAGCCACTCCAAAAGGAGACATTGGAACACAACCCAGCCCAGCCCAAGACAGATGCCATTAATTGAAAGGTGGGGGCTGGGCACAGTGGCTCATGCCTGTAATCCCAGCATTTTGGGAGGCCGAGACGGGCAGATCACCTGAGGTCAGCAGTTCAAGAACAGCCTGGCCAACTTGGTGATGTTGCTGCTGTTGCTGGTCTGTAGACCATAGTTAGAGTAGCAAAGGTGCAGCCAGCTCGATTTTTTGTTTTTGTGTAGACATCCGGAAATTCTTACCTTCACAGATCAGCCACAAAGGAGCTGATGGAGTCATTTATTATTTGGTGAGGGAATTCAGGGAGTTAATCCTATGCAACTTTTATTAGTATATATTATGCACCAAGTAAGAGGGTTCTCCCAGATGCTGTCTTGCTGTGTAGGAGGTAGGGTAGATCCCACAATCTATGTCCACACATTTACTGAGCATCTACTCTGTGCTGAGTAACATGTGTTAGGTGCTAGGGATGCGCAGATGAAAGACGGTGTGCTCCCTGGGAAATTGATCCGAAATACAGGCGCATAAATCAGCTATTTCCATATAGTAGGACCAGTGCTCAGATTGTGAGAGGCACAGGGAGAGATATCCAGGTCAAAGCTGGGAGACAAAGGCAGCTGGCTTTGCAGGGAGGGGACACAGAGCTGAGTGTTGAAGGGTGAGCAGGAGTCAGGCTGCCAGGCTGCCGGGAGCGGGGGTCCCAGGGAGAGGAACCACGGGCAAAGGAATGAGAAAGCATCCGCTAAGAGTGAGTGTGCTTTTGCCAAAGGAGGGCAGCTGTCACAGAAATGAGGTTGGAAGGTGGCTCTCAGGTTAAATTTGGAAGGATTTGGAAAAGCTATCCACCCCAAGGAGCTTGGGCTTTATCTGGAAGGTGAGAGGGAGCTGCAGAAAGATTTTAAGCTAGGGAGTGCCAAGATCTGAGATTCTGGGGACAAATGCCTCTGACACCAACCAGAATAGACTGAGGGTTTAACAAAAGAAGAGGCTGCTGCACTGCCATCGGACGGGAGGGGATGTGCTGAGACCTGGCCAGTGTCGGTGTGGAGGCATCCCACTCCCGGCCCGCATCGCAATCACTATCAAACACCTCACTCCACCAGTGGCTCGAGGTGCCATTTCATGGATGCCACATGGTGTGATCCCTTCTGTCTCTGACCCCAGAAAAAAGGAACCAGTGGACCCTGGGAGAGGGAGGACTTGCCCAGGCAACAGCAGTCTGTGGGGCCTCAGAGTCTTCACAGACATCAAGAAAACAGCCCCGGCCAGGCACGGTGGCTCACACCTGTGGTCCCAGCACTTTGGGAGGCCCAGGCAGGAGAATTAATCCCTTGCCAAGAGTTCAACACCAGCCTGGTCAATATGGTAAAACCCTGTCTCTACAAAACAAAAGACAAAAAAGTCAGTTGGGCGTAGTGGCATGCACCTGTAGTCCCAGCTACTTGGGAGGCTGAAGCAGGAGGATCACTTGAGCCTAGAAGGTCAAGGCTGCAGTGATCTATGATGGCTCCATTGCACTGCAGGTTGGGCAACGGAGGGAGACCTTGTTTCTAAAAAGAAAGAAAAGAGAAAACAGTGTCCTAAGCGGGGTAAATTGCTTTGGCCAATCTGCCTGCTCCAGAGGACCCTCCATGAACTGCCTTGGACCCAATGGTTCCCTTCTCGTAAGTCACTGCTGGTGCTGGTGCCTTCACTCCCTCCTTTTACCCAGTGCAGAGTCTCCCAAAGGTGCACAGTGGCTGAATGCGGAGATTCCTGGAGATTCAGAGTCCCCAGGGGGAGGGGCTGGGAAAGTGTGTATTAGGAAACACTCGAGGCTCCAGGCTGACGACCTCAGGGCTCCCGGGCTCACCCCCAAGGCCTATTTGGCCTTGGAGGCTGACTGGAGGCTAAGGCCTGGAACAGAGCCAGCAGGGGTCAAGCCAAAGAATCACAGTCACCCTCATGCTTCCCATGCCCCTTCCATGACTGGCAGAGAAGGCTCCAGTATTAACACAGCACTTTTAAGGCACTTGATCCTGTCAGAACAGACCACTGCAGCCCCCTGACCAAAAGGCTGGGTGGTAACTAAGGCTCAAACAGGTGACTCCCTCGCAGATAGGTCCTGATGGGAGTAGGCAAACTCAGGACTTCTCTGGAAGCTGCATACATTTCTGAAACGGACACCATAAGGAATTAGGAGAGTTTTGCTTGTTTTTTGTCGGTAATCATGAAATTATACCACCAGCTCACAAGAGCTAGGAGGACTTGGGACAAGATTTTAGAGATGTTAAAGCACGCCATCCACATGATCTCATTAAATCCTGACAATCATGTATGGTGCCGGGATTTACCAAGAACACCTGGCTTATTAGGGACTCTGGGCCCAGGGACCTCGGCACAACAGAATCACTGGTGAGATGCTTTGTGTGGTGAGAGGCTCTGCGGAGACGGGGATGGGGAGCTGGGCGTCTTCCCGGCTAAGGAGGAGAGAGTTTCTATGACTTAGTTAGTTTCACTTCTGAACCTTCAGAAGCAGCCAGGGCCAGGAGGACACCGCCTGTCCCAGAGCCTCCAGACCATCAAAGGCCACCTTCCCTTGCTTCTGGGGACACACCTTGTCTGTATCAGGAGGAGGGGCTGCAGTCCAGGAAGCCAGGCGGACTTAGCCCTGGTGCTCCCCACATGACTCAGCTGCTTCCTCCCAGGGGCCCCAGATGCCCTGTCAAGGACACGTCCCAGTACTCTCGTCAAGCTGTGGCAAGGACAGAGCCAAGATTTCAAAGTAGGGCTGTCTCTCTCCGAAGCTCAACGTCCTTCCAGGACAGGGCACTGTCCATCCCAAGCACCTACCCACAAGTGAGGGCACAGGGCCTTTCCCAGTGCAGTGTCCCAGGGCCTCTCAACCAGCAGAGCCAAGCTACCTTGATCCAGGCATTGCTCCAGAGAGGTCCAGAACACGACTGATCCCATCAAAGCCCCCTGAGAGCTCCCAAACCTCAGACCCTGCTCCTGCGAGAGCCCCAGTGCTCTTTCACGAGCTCGGTTTGGGCACTGGGACCCTGACATGGGAGAAACCCCTTGGTCCTTGGTGGTTCTGTCTGAACAGCCACACCACAGGGTTGTCACAGGAAATATGTGGCTCAGCGAGTCCCCAGCACCCCATGACCACAGTGGTTGCTCAGTAAATGGCAGCTTTCTCTCTTTCTTTCTTTCTTTTTCTTTGCTTTCTTTCTTTCTTCTTTCTCTTTCTTTCTTTCTCTTTCTTCTTTCTTTCCTTTCTTTCTTCTTTCTCTCTCTTTCTTTCTTTCTTTCTTCTTCCTTTCTTTCTTTCTTTTTTGATGGCGTCTCGCTCTGTCACCCAGGCTGGAGTGCAGTGGCGCAATCTCGGCTCACTGCAACCTCTGCCTTGCAGGTTCAAGTGATTCTCCTGCCTCAGCCTCCCGAGTAGCTGGGATTACAGGTGCATGCCATCACACCTGGCTAATTGTTGTATTTTTAGTAGAGGTGGAGTTTCACCATGTTGGCCAGGCTGGTCTCGAGCATCTGACCTCAAGTGATCTGCCCCCCTCGGCCTCCCAAAGTTCTGGGATTACAGGCGTGAGCCACCACTCCAGGCCAGTAGCAGCCCTTTTCCCTCTTACAGCTTCATTCAGAGGCTGAGAATGGAAGAGTTGGATGGGACCTCATAGATCCTATCTACAGATTTCTAGGCCATTGTAGGCAAAATAATGTCCCCCACCCCCAACAAAGATGCTCACATCCTAATCCCCAGATCCTGTGAATATCTGAGGGTGCAAGGCAAAGGGGAATTAAGGTTGCAGATGGGATCAAAATTGCTCATCAGCTGACCTTGAAGTTGGGAGATTATCCTGGATTATCTAAGCATGACTAACGTGATCACAGGATCTTTAAATGTTGAAAGGAGGCAGAAGGTCAGGTCAGAGAGGGACCTGAAGAGGCTACACTGCTGGCTTTGAGAACAGAAAGGGGCATGCCTCAAGGATGCAGGTGGCCTCTCGAAACTGGAAAAGTTAAGGAAACAGATTCTCCCCTCAAGCTTCCAGAAGGAACGCAGCCCTGCCGACACCTGAATTTTGGCCCAGTGAGACCCACTGCAAACTTCCGTCCACCAGAACTGTCAGAGAATATATTCGATTGTTTTCAGCCACTGTGATTGTAGTAATACATCACAGCAGCCATAGGAAACAGATACATAGGCCATTTCTCATTCTACAGCTGGGCAAACTGAGGCTAAACACTTGCCTCAGGTCACTGAGAGTGACAGAGCTGGGCCTCAGACCCAGGTTTGTTGAATTATCATTGAATGTGATTTCCACTACATCATTCTTGCTCCCATTACTCATTCCCAGTGCTACACTAGGTGCTGGGAACACTGTGGTAAGACCTTGGACCCACGGAGTGAGTGGTTAATTTGGTGGAGACTCAGAGTGGGGACACAGCAAAGTGACAAGTGCCCTGACAAGCACCCAGCCCAGCACAGGGATACTTCCTAGATGGAGGCAGGGACCACTACGCTGAGACGGAAAAGCCACGTTGATACTCACCAGGGAAGAACATGGAGATGCTCCAGGAGGAGAGGGAGCAAATGTGTGAGGCCACGATGGGCAGAGAAGCCACGGTGCCTGGGGCTGCAGAACTGCAGAACTGCAAGAGGGATTCAGCAGGACTGAAGCAGAGAGGGGCAGGGAGGGTGGGACAGCAGAGAGAGGGCTAGAGAGAGAAGCCAAGGTACAGGGGCAAACCTTAGGTACTTTAGACACCCATCAGCCAAGAGGAGCCAGGGACCCTGGCAGCGGACAACTGCACTCACCGGAACCATCGGGAATGGCCCTGACGAAGGTGGGCAACATCTTCACTGCAGCCGTGGGGTTGGTGTCCTTTGCCAGGCCCTTCTCCATCTCAGCCCGGAACCGCCTCATGATGTCCAAAAGGGTGTCATCGGAGAGCCGCATGTGATACAGGAACCTGTCCACCTGGAACAGACACCGGCCACCAAGGGGTGCTGCTGGGGGCCCTCACCCTCCAGTCGAGGCTGTAACCCCCGACATCCCTCAGCAAGCTGCATTCCTGACTCTGGGGACAGCATTGAGATGTGGATTCCCAAAGCCTCCCTATCTGACCCCTCCTCAGGCAGAGGACAGGGAAGCGAGTTAGGAAAGCAGAATGGAACGGAGGGCTGAGAAGGTGTGGAGTTACTTCTCTGAAGGGCAGAATCTGAGGAGAAAATGATTCTCCCATTATTCTGATGAGACAAGGGAGAGGCAGAAACTAAGAAGGATTCAGGGTTTCCGATTCCCAGTTCAGGGCCCTCACCAGTGTCCCATTCCTCTCCACCAAAAAAGGCCAGCTAGAGCTTGAATCGTAGATTTCTAAACATGGAAGCTTTCTTTCATCCAATGATGACCACAGATATAGCTAGACAGGTTTCTCTTTGTTTACTGGCTGCTAGGAAGCTCAGAGCTAAATTTCATTTCCAAAAGCAATGCCTAAATCTAGCCCTTTAAATTTCCCTCCTTTTTTTTTTTAAGACAGAGTCTCACTCTGTCGCCCAGGCTGGAGTGCAGTGATGAGATCTCGGCTCACTGCAGCCTCCACCTCCCAGGTTCAAGCCATCCTCCTGCCTCAGCCTTCTGAGTAGCTAGTATTACAGGCAGGTGCCACCAGGCCCGACTAATTTTTTTTTATTTTTATTTTTAGTAGAGATGGGGTTTCGCCATGTTGGCCAGGCTGTTCTTGAACTCCAGACCTCAAGTGATCCACACGCCTCGGCCTCCCAAAGTGCTGGGATTACAGGCGTGAGCCACCTCACCCAGCCATAAATGTCCATTTTGGTTTAACTGAGTTGTTCTAGTTAAGACAAAGCTGAATTTTTAAAGTCAGCTCAGATTGCTATTGAAAATGAGTGGATGTCACTCATGTAACCAGGAAACGGGGACAGAGGACCATACCCAAAGGAGGGAAGTTATACAAATCACTATGGCTAAAATCAGTCCTCTTGTTGGTAATATGTCACATCAGGGACGGCAGCAAAGCTTCCTCCCTCACACTAATTAACACTAATCAATTGGTGCTGGCAGTCTGGAGCCCGGGCTCACTGGGATGGATTATTGATGGGGGCAGGAGGAGAGACAGGGGCATATGCACCCTGTCCTTTCCAGCCCTGTTTTTATACTGAGCACTCTCCACCCTCCAGGTGACAGGAGGCTCCATCCCAGGCACATTCCCGGTGAAAGGGCATTTTATCCAGGGTGAAGAACACGTGCTACTGTCTACAGAGTGCGTCCACGTACGTCACCTCTTCTCATCGCCACAGCATCCCTTTGAGGCAGCCACGTAAGGCCAAAGTTCTTGTCCCCAGGTGAGAGGTGAGGTGAGAGGGCTGCAGAGCTGTGGCTACGTGGGACTGTAACATAGGCTCTAGATCACTCACCCCCATGGCCTGGCTTTGGCTCACAGCTCTGTCGGGGATGCATAAGCCCGACAGACAAATTATACCAAATGCACAGGGCTCACATTACCTTCGCGCTAGGACAGGGGCCCGGTCATCAGCCAGGCCTCAGAGGCCAGGACCCAGCTCAGTCTCGTGACAACGAACAGACCCAAGACACTGAAATGGTACCATGGCTCCGGGGACTCGGGGGCCAGAGAAAGACCAGAAAATCATCAGACAGCCATTAGCAAAAAAGGACAATTGAGCTTTCAGCATATTTGAGAAACAGGATGGAACCAGGTCAGGCTTCATTAAGGGCTTCCTGTTCCCCCAAGGCTGTTTATGACTAATTGGTTGGCACAGCCACACACAAGCCGAGAAAACTGGATGCAAAGGACGTGACCCAAGTAATTGGGGTTGGGGAAGGGTGGGATGCTGTATGTGGGAACCAAACTTGATTCTTTCCTACCCAAAGGGCTCTCAGACAGTGCCCCTGAACCTACTGATCATTTTTGCTTAGCCTGAGAGTATAAAAAACTCCAGGCATCCACACAATGTTATCCCTGCCATGTAAGTCCTGTTTTTTGAGACCCAGTTGGGGTCATTTGCGACTGGGGTTTAATGGGGTCATTGAGCACTTGGTTTGCTGCTGCTCTTTCAATAAGTTGAGGTTATGACAGAAAGAATGTCAACTCAGCAACAGTTTCCTTTTGATCTTCTGTATCTGCCACAGCACCAGGAACAGTTGTTAGAAGGGAAAAGTGAAACATATGTTGGGACAAAAAGCACCTATTTTCAATCCAAACAAGTCATGTGGGGTATGTGTAACCAGGGACACACGTCCCAGGCACTAAGGGAGAGTACTGGTGCTGCAGAAAACCAAGCCCACTTTTGGAGAGACACACAAACCATCATGGGAGATATCGTCTAAGCAAGAAAGCCAACCAGCAGCCCGTTTCACTTAGAAAGAGCAAATCCAACATTCAAGACTCAAGACTGAATTGCAGAAGGTGGGAGCTGGAGGGGCCTTAGAGCTCGTCTAGTCCAAAGGTCTCACATTAGGAATGAGAGTCATAAAAAATTCCGCTCTTTGACCCAGGGCTTTCATTTCCAGAACCTATTCTCAGGAAATAATCCTGACTATGGAGAACCATAAATCTCTACCAAGGCCGGGCGCAGTGGCTCACGCCTGTAATCCCAGCACTTTGGGAGGCCGAGGCGGGTGGATCACCTGAGGTCAGAGTTCGAGACCAGCCTGGCCAAGCTGGTGAAACCATGTCTCTACTAAAAATACAAAAATTAGCCAGGCGTGGTGGCGGGCGCCTGTAGTCCCAGCTACTTCGGAGGCTGAGGCAGGAGAATGGCATGAACCCAGGAGGCAGAGCTGGCAGTGAGCCGAGATCGCGCCACTGCACTCCAGCCTGGGTGACAGAGCGAGATTCCATCTTAAAAATAATAATAAAAAATAAATAAATAAAAATAAAACTAAAACTCTACCAAGGTTTAACATAACAATACTTTTATTTTATTTATTTTATTTTTGAGACAGGGTCTTGCTCTGTTGCCCAGCCTGGAGTGCAATGGTGCAATCACAGCTCACTGCAACCTCAACCTCCCGGGCTCCAGTGATCCTGCCACCTCAGCCTCCCAAGTACCTGGGACTACAGGCATGTGCCACCATGCCCAGCTAATTTTTGCATTTTTTGTAGAGACAGATCTCTCTATGTTATCCAGGCTGGTCTCGAGCTCCTGGAGGCAAGTGATCATCCCGCCTCAGCCTCCCAAAGTGCTGGGATTACAGGCATGAGCCACTTCATCCAGCCTAATATTTTAATTATTAAAAATGTTTTTGAAAGTATCCAAATGAGGCCAGGCATGGTGGCTCATGCCTGTAATCCCAGCACTTTGGGAGGCCGAGGCGGGCGGATCCCGAGGTCAGGAGTTCGAGACCAGCCTGACCAACACAGCGAAACCCTGTCTCTACTAAAAATACAAAAATTAGCTGGGCGTGGTGGTGCGGCCTGTGATCCCAGCTACTCAGGAGGCTGAGGCAGGAGAATCGCTTGAGCCCTGGAGGCGGAGGTTGCAGTGAGCCAAGATCGCACCACTGCACTCCAGCCTGGGAGACAGAGCAAGACTTCGTCTCAAAAAAAAAAAAAAAAAAAAAAAAATTAGATTGTGGTAATGGTTACACAACTCTGGATATTCGAAAGTATCCAAATGTCCAACAAGAGGAAAAGGTTAACTACATTATGGCATATCCACTTGATTGGATATTAAGAAGACATTGTAATGATAATTATGATGATAATGAAGAAATCTATGTAAGTGGTTACACTGTAACAGTAAGTGAGGGAAGCAGTTCAGAACTGTATGTACCTTATAAACATAACTAAAAACATACAGGATGAAGAAAAACTAGGAAGGCTTCCACCCAGCAAATATGAAAGTGTTTGAGATTAAAAGTAAATTAAAGGTGGAATTACAAGTAACATTTCCACTTTTTTGTAATGTTGACATACAGAGCCATGAAAAATACACACTGAAAACCTCCCAGTTCTCCTGTGGATGAACAATCTGCAGGTCAGTGACCAGGTCTGGCCTGGTGCTATCAATAGGTCAAATAATGTCAATATATTGAATTGGAAAAGAATCTGTCAGAGTGGTTTCTATTTTCGTTTTTTTCATTTTGTTTTATTTTTGTTTCCATGCTGGTATGGGAAGATTTTTAGAAATTGTTCCAGGGTCTCAGTAGTAACCCTTGCAGGCACCGCTGGCCCAGGATCTGGACAATTCTAGAGGCAGGAAGCACAGAGACGAAGAAGGGGACTCACTGCCTGACCGCAGAGAAACGAGCTGTGCCTTTTGACCAGGTGTGTTTCCACCACGTGTTGGGAGGAGTGTTCTCAGAACCATGACTCAGCCCAGCAGCCATAAACCAGTCTCCCACACTACCCCAGAGACTTCCTGGGGCACTTGCTTAAGGTGGCTATAAAAGTGCTTCCAACTTTCTCGCCTCCCACAGGGAGAGGGAGGTCAGCTCCCGGCATTGAAAAAGGCTGACTGTCCTTCCAGAAGGACCTGGAGCCCATCAGCAGAGGCTGCATTTCCCATCACAGGGTGCTCCTGAGCCTGCACCAGGGCTGTTGGACAAACATGTCCCGCATGATCCTAGGGTACAAAAGGTTAACCAACACAAAGGAGCCCAAGGAAATGAAATAAGTTTGCAGAATCAAAGGTTTCAGGGTTCCAAAGGCTCCCCCTTGGGGGTGGGAGAGACATGGTGCAACTTGTGCCTTTACTAAGCAGATAACAAAAGAAAGTGGATTCCTAGGCAGCGCCTCCTTAAGTAGCCAGTAGAGGGCTCTGAATCTAATCAACAAGTGATTGCTTTATAATGTTTTTAAATTTGCTACAACCTCTAACTCAACTCTCTAAATGAATAGAATTTAGTGGGAGTTTATCCCACCAAGTACCTGAGGGCTGTAAGGGGCCACACTTCCTCTCTCTCTTTCTTTGTTTTGTTTTGAGACGGAGTCTCATTCTGTTGCCCAGGCTGGAGTACAATGGCATGATCTCGGCTCACTGTAACCTCTGCTGCCCGGGTTCAAGGGATTCTCCTGCCTCAGCCTTCTGAGTAGTTGGGATTACAGGCGCACTCCACCACGCCCAGCTAATTTTTAAATTTTTAGTAGAGACGGGGTTTCACCATGTTGGCCAGGGTGGTCTCAACCTCCTGACCTCAGGTGATCCACCCACCTTGGCCTCCCAAAGTGCTGGGATTATAGGTATGAGCCACCATCCTTGGCCTTTTTTTTTCTTTTCTTTCCTTTTTTTTTCAGACAGGGTCTCACTCTGTCACCCAGGCTGGAGTGCAGTAGCGCAGTCTCCCGGGCTCAAGCCATCCTGCCACCGCAGCCTCCCGAGTAGTTGGGACTGTAGGCACACACCACCATGACCGGCTAATTTTTACATGTTTTGTAGAGATGGGGTTGCTCCATGTTGCCCAGGCTGGTCTCAAACTCCTGACCTCAAGTTTGAGATGAGATCTGCTCATCTCAGCCTCCCAGTGTATGCAGATTACAGCCGTGAGCCACGGTGCCTGGCCTCCTTATTCATTTTGTAAAGCAGGAGGGAGTCATGGCACAGCAGAAAGCATTGAAGGAAGAGTCAGCCAACTTGGATTTAATCCTCATTCCATCCTAAATACTTGGTGACCTTGGCTAAGTCCTCCTGCTAGGAGGACTTCTGTCATCTGCACTTTGAGAGATGCTTTTTGCCCAGGGCCGTGACAGCCAGCCGGTGTGGCCAGAGTAGCAGACTGGGCTCATTTTAGCTGCCTGGAAAGAACCCTGGTTCCCTCCTGTTGACCCTTGGCAACCTTTAACCAGCCCACTTTGGAATGAATTTTGTAGACAAGTTCCCTGAGCAAAGTGACAAAATAATGCACACCATGAATAGTGTACCATTGGCAAATAGCAGGTGCCAATAATAGATATTTCAATTACTGTCTATTGCAACTCACACCTTCTTGCTGCCCACATTTATATGCTTTCAAATACATGAACAAACAGATCTGCCCCAACAGTTCTTTTTTTTTAGATGAAGTCTCACTCTTGTCCCCTAGGCTGGAGTGCAATGGCGCGATCTCGGCTCACTGCAACCTCCACCACCTGGGTTCAAGCGATTCTCCTGCCTCAGCCTCCCGAGTAGATGGGATTACAGGTGCCCGCCACCACACCCAGCTAATTTTTGTATTTTTAGTTGAGACGGGGTTTCACCATGTTGGCCAGGCTGGTCTCGAACTCCTGACCTCAGGTAATCCGCCCACCTCGGCCTCCTAAAGTGCTAGGATTACAGGCGTGAGCCACTGCGCCCAGCCTTCTGCTCCAACAGTTCTTAAAACTTCTTTGAAAATGATTCTCCTCGCCTTTGTGGCCTTTCCGAGCAAACATCCCTTACAGCAAACACAATCCTCTTCAAGCTTTCCAAACACCCTCCTCACCCGCTTCCGCATCCAATACCTGCCAGGAAGTTCCGAGTGAAGTGTAAGGTTCAGGACAGTAATGCAATGCCCAGGAGTGTGGGAGAATTACTCCCTCTTCCCTCAGTGAGTCTTTTACTGGTCATATGCTCCCAGTATCTTTTCTAATAAGCTCTCTTCACTCCCTTCTGATTTTTTTTTTAAGGGAATCAGTTTTGTCCGTGAAGAAGGAGCTGGGCATCTCTCAGCTTCGTGGGTCCTCCTTACCTTCTTGATCTGGTCCTCCTTCAGCTTGCTGAAGTAAAATGCCATCAAGTGGACCGCAAACATTTTCCCCAAGTTTGGTTTCTCCTGAGATGGGCAGAGATTCCTGTGCAGTGTTCACTCCTACGACTCTGGAGTGTTGCACGCTTCCAGTCCAGGCTGGCAGACCTCCTGGGGAGCGAGGTGTTGCGGACTAAATACCTCCAGCCTGCTTGGTTCAATGATTAAACTCCCCCCCACCCCACCCCTTTGGTCCCTCCCTCTGGCACACACTTGATTGTCTAATAGGAGGCTCTGGATGGTAGCTGAGGTTTAGTGGAGGGGGAAGCAGGGTATTGATGGGTTGCTTGACTACTTGAGAATTGGGTGCCACCAAATCTCATTGCTAAGCAACCCTCTCAAGCCGGGGCTCTGCCAAGCCCACTCAGCCGAGGAAAATCTTCTGCGAAGTTGGGCACTAAACAAAGCCAACTTTCAACCGGTGGAGCTGCTCTGCAAATTTCCAGTCCCAGGCTTTTCTCTTTAGTTTTTTATGCCAGTGGCATAACTCTGTGACCCCCTGCTCCTCAGAAGCACTGAACTAACTAAAACTAAACATTGTCCTGGTCAATGGGATTTCAAGAATGTTGGGGCAGATTCTTCCATTTGTGACAGATCAGATCTCTTAACTAATAGCCCATGGTTAACAGAAAATGATCAATAAATGTTTACCTATTCACAGTGTTAAGCCAGAAAATCTTTAGTTCACAGGTAGTGACCCAGGAAAAAATATTCCTGAGAAAGAGTGAACTGAAGTCACCAGTGCTCACTGGGAATCACTGCTGGAGAGAAGGAAGTCACAGATAAGAAATGTCTCAGTCCAGCCGGGTGCAGTGACTCACGCCTGTAACAATCGCAGCACTTGGGGAGGCCGAGGCAGGCAGATCATGAGGTCAGGAGTTCGAGACCAGCCTGGCCAACATGGTGAAACCCCATCTCTACTAAAAATACAAAAAACTTAGCCAGGAGTGGTGGCAGGTGCCTGTAATCCCAGCTACTTGGGAGGCTGAGGCAGGAGAATCACTTGAACCTGGGAGGCAGAGGTTGCAGTGAGCCGAGATCGCGCCATTGCACTCCAGCCTGGGTGACAAGAGCAAAACTCCATCTCAAAAAAAGAAAAAAAAGAGAAATGTCTCAGGCCACTGAGATGTTTTATTCACTCACTTCTCACTCATCATACTTGACATGAGAAGGACCCAGAAAGCACCCAATACATGGGTACAATCAACCTTGCACTCTTCCCACAGTCACTGGCTGGCTAATGAAACCAATAACAACAGCGTTAACAACAGCGGCTAACATGGATGGAGCATTTACCAATCCCATTTTGTTTTTATTACTCTTGTTATTATTATTTTTTAGACAGGGTCTCATTCATCCCCCAGGCTGGAATGCAGTCGTGGAATCATGACTCGCTGCAACATCAGCCTTCTGGGCTCAGGTGATCCTCCCATCTCAATCCCCAGGGTAGCTGGGGCTACAGGCACGTGGCACCATGCCCAGCTAATTTTTGTATTTTTGTAGAGATAGGGTTTTGCCATGTTGCCCTGGCTGGTCTTGAATTCCTGGGCTCAAGCGATTTACCCACCTCAGCCTCCCAAAGTGTTGGAATTACAGGCATGAGCCACTGCTCCCGGCCCACTCTTATTTTATAGATGAAAAAATTGAGGCCCAGAAAGGTTACGTGATCACAAAGCCATAAACAGGACAGCAAGGGGTCAATCCTGGAAGTTTGATTCCAGGGCCCAGCTATAATACATGGCATTGGCTCTCCAGCCCTGCTTTCTCCACGCAATAGATACTCAATAGATACGCAATTGATAACTATTAGTAGCAGCATTCTGTTGGGATGTTAAGAATTTGTTTTTCTTTTTCTTTTTTTTGAGACAGAGTCTCACTCTGTTGCCCAGGCTGGAGTACAGTGGCTCAATCTCAACTCACTGCAACCTCCACCTCCTGGGTTAAAGCAATTCTCCTGCCTCAGCCTCCTGAGTAGCTGGAATTCAGTGCTCTCTACCCATTGCCGTGTGGACGAGCCATCAGGTCTCACTTAAGCCCACAATGCAGAGGAGGCTCGGTTAAAATTACTCCAGATGCTTTATTCAGATTGATATAAGCATATTAAAACTGTCTCCCAGATTGAGGATCCCCATCCTTTTCAGTCAATTTACCCTCAGACTATGACTTTTAGCTTGCTCCTTTATTACACAAGCAAACAAAGATGAACCTTTAGTTCCCCAAACCATTCAGTGCCCCAAACCAGGTGGAATTGTTGGTATTCTGAAATGCGCATCCTAGGCCCTAGCCCCCATTGGCTGAGGATAACATCCTGGGAAGGCCATCTGCCCGTAAGTGATGACATTATTTATCCTAATTCCCCCACTAGTTGATTTATTTCAGAAACAGAGTCTCACTACATCTTGTCTTGCCCAGGCTGGATTTGAACTCCATCCAGTCTTGCCCAGGCTGGATTCGAACTCCTGGGCTCAAGTGATCCTCTGGCTTCAGCCTCCTGAGTAGCTAGGACTACAGGCTTGCATCACCACACCCAGCATTTAATTCCCCCATTTAAAAAGTAACCTGGGCTGGGCGCAGTGGCTCACACCTGTAATCCCAGCACTTTGGGAGGCTGAGGTGGGAGGTGGGCAGATTGCCTGAGGTCAGGAGTTCGAGACCAGCCTTGCCAACATGGTGAAACCCTGTCTCTACTAAAAATGCAAAAATTACCTGGGCATGGTGGCGGGTGCCTGCAATCCCAGCTACTCAGGAGACAGAGGTAGGAGAACTGTTTAAACCCAGGAGGTGGAGGTTGCAGTGAGCCAATATTGCACCACTGCACTCCAGCCTGGGCAACAGAGTGAGACTCCATTTCAAAAAAAAAAAAAAATGTAACCTGGGCAGTGCAGTATGAACCAACTGTCATTGATTTGTTCGACATAGGGATAAGAGGTTACAGTAGCCAGTGGTCAAAAGATGCAAACCATAACCAAAGATCTCTGTAATCTCACGGTTGCTTGTGTGAGTCAGATAGGCAGCCTTTGGAATTTTAATCAGGCAAATGACACCAGAGGATTTTCATCTATTGCATCATTCCCTTTTTAATCTGAGCACATTAGCGTCTACATTCCAGGCCTGAGTAAGGTGACTAAACCAGGAAGTTTAATGATTACAGAGATCACATGCATTTGGAGTCATCTAGCTCAGCCCTCTCACTTTATAGAATCAAGACAAAATAATTAGGTTATTTTATCATTCCTCATCTGATTACTCCAATTCAAGTCTTGGGATTTTTCACCCTTACTACAGTTCTATTGGCTATTCAAGGATATCTAGGTTTAAATCTTATAAGTAGTTGGATTTTGCTTAAGAACACCCATTTGAGGGCCGACACTGACAAGTGACATTTTAGTTAAAGCGTATCACCCATCTGGCCCAAATCTTCCATGTAAGAAGGGAAACTCTCCCATCTGTAGACACATCTCCGTTTCATAGAGCTCCACTTTAATCTACACGGTCCGTTTTGGCAAGGCTCAAAGATAATTTCTGTTTCTCTTTAAGTACTGAGTATGGTGGGAGGACTAGAAGTCCAGCAAAATTTACCTATTTATTTAGCAAACACTTCCCCATGGGGTTTACTAGATGTCTTACGATATTAATTCCACAGTAACTGTCATTCTCCCTATTTTACAGATGGAGAAACCAAGGCACAGAGCCCAACTGGGACGCAGTGAAATCGAGATTTGAACGCAGGCAGTCTAGCTGCAGAGTTCTTGCTTGCCCGCTGTGCTACACTGGCTAGGCTGGAAACAAGGCACGGGGAGACTTGGGGCCTCAGCTGGAAAAATGGCCCTAAGCTCTTTCTAACACAGTGGAAAGTGCACAGGCCCTGGGGTCCTACTTTGGCTTTTCTTAAACTGCAGGTAAAGGTCCAAGTCTATATTCATATCTGTAAAAGCTTCATAGCTATGTCAGTGGTCACAGTGAGAAAGAAAGCAAATTATCACACAAGGAAAGGCATGTGGTCTACAGTGGGCACACTAGAAGCATCTCCTGAAGCTCAGCCTTTCCCTGGCTGGGGACCCCTCTTCGCTCACCCAACTTGGTCTCTTGGGATAAGAAAATGTGTGCAGACCTTTCAGTCCACTCAGTAAGGCATGATCCTAAACCATTAGAAAGTACCTGTTCCATGTACTGGAATTAAAGGAACAGTTGGGAATTTTATGGAAATTCTATTCCTGTTACTAAAGAAAACAGCTCTTGAATTCTGCCCTGTATTCTTTTTAATGGTAAGTCCAAAGTTAAGTCGTCATAACATAAATCAGTGTGACCTGCTGGTATTCCACTTGCTGCAAAAGAATCAGAAACTGTGTGGGAGAGCAAACTTCCATAATAAGAAAACCAATGTAGAGACTTCCAAACGCTGCCAGTGGTTACAGTCACAATGGTGTCTCTATCGGAGCAGCCACAAATGAAGCAGAAATGCTAACCTCAGCAAGTTTCAAAAGAATGCTGCTAATCATTTTTACAGGTTTATTCTGAACCGAAGACAAGGAATGCTCAGGAAGAAATTCTGACATGATTTCTAAATCACAACTGTACATTAAGGGTCATATTTGCAAAACACCTATCAAGGAAAGAAAAGCCATACAAGAAAATGCAGTTCATGTGACTTTTAACATTTTTCAGAATAATTACAATCTCAATTGCACAAAATAACCAACTTTTCAAAGCAAATGAGACTTCTGGTTAAACACGGCATTAACCTACAAGGACAAAAAGAAAGGAAACAGTGACTGATAAGAGATCTTAACATAATTCTGGAAGACAGGAAGCTCACGGAAGTAATTGCTTAGTAGAGCAAACACTGAAACCTGAGTGCCCGCAGAGGGTGACTCGGGTGAGAAAGGAGCTGTGACGTTTGTAAAACTCTAAAATGCTCAGGAATCAGAGGTCTGGGGCAAGACATAGAGCCAAAAACAAGAGATTGGTTAAAAAGCTATATAAAAAAGCTTGGCCAGGCACGGTGGCTCACCCCTGTAATCCCAGCATTTTGGGAGGCCAAGGCAGGTGGATCATTTGAGGTCAGGAGTTCGAGACCAGCCTGGCCCAGGTGGTACCCCCATCCCTACTAAAAATACAAAAAAAAATTAGCCAGGCATGGTGGTAGACACCTCTAATCCCAGCTACCCAGGAGACTGAAGCACAAGAATAGCTTGAACCTGGGGAACAGATTTTGCAATGAGCTGAGATTGCACCACTGCACTCAAGCTTGGGCGACAGACCCAGACTCCATCTCAGCGGAAAAAAAAAAAACCCCAAAAAAACCCAAACCCACAGGTATGGAAAAGGGAAAACTATAGAGACAGTAAACAAGTCAGTAGTGGCCAGGGATTTGGAAAGGTGGGGGATGCTGAATAAGTGAAACGCAAGGGCGTTTTTAGGGCAGTGAAACTATTCTGTATGACACTGTAACGGCAAATACATGACACACTTTCAAAACCCATAGAATTTGACAGCACAAAGAATGAACTTTAATGTACATACATTCAAAAAAACATTTAGGAGGTCAGCGACGCAACACAGACTGTGACATGAGTCTAACTGTGTTGCAAGTGTGTGAAATAGCCTCACTGAAGGGGAAGGGGAGGGAAAATATGCTGACCTAAGAAACTTTGGAAATTAATAGAGTAAGACTACAAGTAAAAGGAAGTGTATGTAGCACTGTATTCTGATTGATAAAGTTGCTTCCTGCAAGAGCACGCTTAACAATTCTGAAACCACTACACAAGAATACTGGAATTGAACAATTAAGTACATGGATGGTGGATGGCGGGAGGGAGGTTTCTTGCTGCTGGAGTGAGAGGCTTCAAGCAGGGGAGAAGGCTAGAATGATCCATGTCACTGGATTAGAATTGAGGACATCAGTATACACTCATGTTTAGCTTGATATTCATATAGATGACTATACATATATGTTTATATAAAGATTTGAAGACGTGTATATAGCTTAGTATACACGTGCATATGTCCTTGCTTTGTCAGCTGAGAAACACTAGAAGTAATGACACCCAGTAGCAACAAGCACACCTAGTGCCCAGATCAAAGAACCAGGTCTATACAAGATGGTCCTGGCGCATCTTGTAGTGCCAGAAAGGAAGGAACTAATCAACAAAACAAAAACCAAATGATACGGATGTGTCAAAGGAACACAGGAGCCAACTGAAAGTGAAAAAGTTCCTAATAACCAAAGCTAGAAAACATTGATAGGAGTGTTAAAAAAAAGAAAGAAAGAAAAAATTGGGCAAGATAAAGTATGATTGGATTATAACCCAAAGTCTACATTTCCATTAGCCCATACTGATGTTAACAAATAATTGTATAAATATATAAGTGAGGGAGAAAGGACCAATCTCCCATGCAGAAGAATGAACACAGATACTCCACCCTCAAAGAGGTGGAGCACAGTATACACAGTGATTCTTTCCAGACAGTTCAGTATGGAAAATGAGAAAAGGGTAACATGACAGTGAAGAAACCTGACACGTTGTCCTCAGGCATGTGATGAAGGTCAACTTCAGCAGGGTGAAGTCATGTTGACAGTACAGATCCGTGATATGAGGTGATAAGACCAGCACCTTACCTCTGGGCTCTTTCTCCCAAAACCCAAACCCTAGTCTAATCATAAGAAAAACATCAGACAAATCCCAACTGATGAATAGTCTATAGAATACGTGATTAGTACTTAAAGCTGTTGAGATCATCTACAGCAAGTCTGAGAAACTGTCACAGCCAAGAGGAGCTTAAGGAGACGACTAAATGTCATGTGGTGTCTTGGATGGGATCCAAAAGAGAAGAAGGCCACTGGGTAAAAACTAAGGAGATCTAAAAACCTGTGGCCTTTAGTTAATAATAATGTATCAGTCTTGGTTCATTAATTATAACAAACGTACCATACTAATGTAAGATGTTAATGGGGGAAATGTAAGATGTTAATAGGGGAAATGTGTTGGGTATATGGGAATTCTTTGTATTATCTTTGCAATTTTTCTGCAAATCTAAAACTATCCTAACTTTTTTTTTTTAAGTTTATGTTTAAAAAACCTTACAGGCCAGGCGTGGTGGCTCACGCCTGTAATCCCAGCACTTTGGGAGGCCAAGCTGGGTGGACCTCCTGAGGTCAGAAGTTTGAGACCAGCCTGGCTAACGTGGCGAAACCTCATCTCTAATAAAAATACAAAAATTAGCTGGCTGTGGTGGTGTGCACCTGTAGTCCCAGCTACTCTGGAGGCTGAGGCAGGAGAATTGCTTGAACCCAGGAGGCGGAGGTTGCAGTGAGCTGAGATCACACCATTGCACTCTAGCATGGGCAACAAGAGCAAAACTCCATCTCAAAAACAAACAAACAAAAAACCTTACAGATACTGCCTGGCATGTTGGCTCATGCTAGCACTTTGGGATCACCTGAGGTCAGGAGTTCGAGACCAGCCTGGCCAACATGGTGAGACCCAGTCTCTATTAAAAATACAAAAATTAGCTGGGTGTGGTGGTGCACGCCTGTAATCCCAGCTACTCAGGAGGCTGAGGCAGGAGAATTGCTTGAACTTGGGAAGCAGAGGTTGTTTTCTGTTTATTTGTATATTTGTTTGTTTTTTGAGATGGAGTCTCACTCTGTCGCCCAGGCTGGAGTGCAGTGGCACAATCTCGGCTCACTGCAACCTCCGCCTCCTGGGTTCAAGGGATTCTCCTGCCTCAGCCTCCTGAGCAGCTGGGACTACAGGCACGCGCCACCATGCCCAGCTAATTTTTATATTTTTAGTAGAGACTGGGTTTCACCATATTGGCCAGGCTGGTCTAGAACTCCTGACCTCATGATTCACTCCCTCCCACCCCACTGGCCTCCCAAAGTGCTGGGATTACAGGCGTGAGCCACTGCACCTGGCCTTGGGTGGCAGAGGTTGTATGACCAGAGTTCATGCCACAGCACTCCAGCCTGGGCAACAGAATGAGACTCTGACTCAAAAAATAAAATAAAGTAAAATAAACCTTACAGATACTGACATTTAGGGAATCATTTAAAAAGCCAGCTTATCATCCAATCAACCTGCATAAAAACTGAAAAGACATTAGGCCTATAAACAGAGCTCTCCATTAGCTTATTTCTTCACTTTTAAACATAGACACAGGCAAGGATCGCTAGACACATGAGACAAGTTTCCAACAATAAAGGTAGAAATCAAACCAAGCTGGGAAAAAAAAAAGGAATTAGAATAACGTAAGAAACAGAAGAAAACTTAAAAATTACTTTATCTAGAGATACTATAGGTGGAGGTTTATCTATTTTTTTGAGACAGGGTCTGGTACTGTCACCCAGGCTGGAGTGCAGTGGTGCCATCTCAGCTCACTGCAACCTCCGCCTCCTGGGCTCAAGTGATCCTCCCACCTCAGCCTCTCAGGTAGCTGGGACTACAGGCGCACATCAACATGCCGGGCTAATTTTTGCTTTTTTTGTAGAGACAGGGTTTTGCCATGTTGCACAGGCTGGTCTTGAACTTCTGAGCTCAAGCGATCTGTCCGTCTCAGCCTCCCAAAATGTTGGGATTACAGGCGTGAGCCACTGCACCCAGCCAGGTTTATGTATTTTAAAGCTGTGAAACAGGGGAGGGAAATCTCAGCATGACTCCCTTATCCATTTGCCTGTCCCATAGCAAATCTCTACTTTTCATTACATCCTAATAGGTTTGAGTTAGACACACACAGAATGACTGCATCATAATTACAGACTCCCAGTTTTGAGTCATAAGAGACTCTAATTTGTGATGATAGTTTTATATATTTGTGATTTACAGTCACTTTTCAAGAGTTTCATTTTGCAGATTTACACTCTTCCATATATGTAACATACAAAACATTACAAGTCACTGGATATTATTCCCAGTCATTTTCTAATCACATTTTATTAAATTATCAGGTCTGTATAGTGATAGGTTGAGATTAGTCTCTAAGCCTTAGTCCACATCCCATGTTTAAGTTCAGTGGAATCCATAATAATCCACGGAGGGCTCTCAGGTGAGTACTTCACAATCCGTGAGAAGACTGCAAGGACAGGAAAGAGCTGTCTCTCACAAAGAGTGACATGACCATAGTGAAATGGAAATGAATGCCTGGAATTTAGCTGGCCCTGAAGCCCACAAAGAAAGATAAGTGACATGACAAGCTTGTTGCAGAGAAGGAAGACTAGGCTGCTTTCTTGGTGACAATTTTAGGTACACTGAAGATAATTCTCCAGGGCCACTCCAATTCTATTTTTCCTGTTTTGCTTCACATGCTGCCATCTTTTCTTTAGTCTGTCTCTTCTTCTAACCACAGTTCCCTCCTTTCCCTCCAAAGGAAGGAGACGTGAAAGGGCAAACTATCACTATAAATGCTCGTTAGCTGAATGTTCAAGCAGCCCTTCCTTTACAGGACCTCCCACCCCCACCTCTCTTATTTGAGGCTTTATTTATTTACTTATTTAGAGACAGGGTCTCGCTCTGTTGTCCAAGCTGGAATGCAGTGGCATGATCACTGCTCACTGCAGCTTCAACACGCTGGGCTCAAGTGATCCTTCCACCAGAGCCTCCCAAGGAGCTGTACTACTGGTGAATGCCACCATATCCGGCTAATTTTTTAAATTTTTTGTAGAGATGGGGTCTCACTGTGTTGCCCAAGCTGGTCTCAAACTCCTGGCCTCAAGCAATCTTCCTGCCTTGGTCTCTCAAAGTGCTGGGATTACAGGTATGAGCCACTGCACCCAGCCACTTCTTTATTTAACATATTCAGGACTTTTCACTTGCCTTAGTTTTTAAGTGTCTTGCCTAAGTCCTTTCTCTGACTTAACAACTCTGGCCCCCAAACTGGAGAAAATGGGAGAGTTAACAGCATTCTAAGTGATGCACCCCATCACTTACATACGATGGGACCAAATCCACTATTTGGTTCAGTTCATAGGTATTTCTTGTAACCATCTGGACAAGAATGATTATGTCTGCTATGGTGTAAGTTACAGGGGTAAGCAAATTCTAGAAGCTGCAGTTGCCCCACTGCAGAATATCAAGAGATAAGCCCTTCCAGGCATTTCACTAGTTTATCCATAAGCAAGGAGGAAATAGAGTCAGTGCCACCCACTCAGCCTTTACTCCCATGAAGGCAAAGGTCAGAATGAAGATTGTCATCTCAGTTAAATGTTACCTCTGAACCACCAAAGAAAAAAGCAGAGAGAGGTTGCAGATCTGGCTACGTTCCCTCACCCAATTTGAGTCAAATCATATTTAATCCCTACCAGGAGGTCAGCCCCAATTCAATAGTTGCTCAAGAAATTAGTTCAGTTGTCAGAATAATCTGAGAGCTCAATTCACAGCCCAGACTGGACCCAAACCTTCAGGTTCATTTATATAATAAAATGCTTCCTGTGTGCCAGGCCCTGTGCTAAATGGCACGTGATCACACTTAACCTCCCAAACAACTCTAAGTGAGCATACTGACCATTTTCTTCAGATGTGAGATCAAGCCCAGAGATGGCAAGGCTGCTAAGCTGTGATATGAAAAGGAACCACATCTGTCTAACTCCAAAGCTTCCATCTTTAAACCCCTTTTAGCTAGGTTTCTGAACAGGGTTGAAAACTTCGTTGAACAAGTGTAGGCTGGCCTTTGGACAAGGGAAGACCACCCTACCTAAAACAGCCCTTCCCTGCCACTCAGCATCACTCTTTCCTTATTCTTTCTAGCATTCATCTCTAAAATTACACCCATTCATCTCACAAAGAATGATTTTGCTTCTGCTATATTCCAGATACTGTGGATGCAGTAGTGAAATAGACTACAATCTCTGCCCTCACCGATCTGACAGGATTTATTTGTTAACCTGTTCCTGTCTCTCCTACCAAATATGAGATCCATGAGGGTAGAAGATTGTCAGTCTTGCTTACTGCATATTTCCAGCACCTAAATAGCCTCTGGTATATGGGTACAACAGACAGCAATGTTTGTCAAAGAACTGCATCCATGACATCCTCAGCATGGCATAGGAAACTGGTCAAACAATTCACCAAAGTGATTTTATTCCCATGCAGAGTTCCTTATAGTGCACTGTCTTAGTACTATTCTACAAATGGCCATTATATAAAGACTTAAATTAAACCTCCATGATATCCTAGTATTTTCTAAATGTTGAAAAAAAAAAAAACAAGTTTAGTCATCAAGAGAGATTTTTCTGTGCAAAAAAAGAAAAAACAAACAAACACACACACAAACACACACACACACCAAAAATCCCCCAGTACCAGATAGCCACAATACTAGAGGAGGGAGTAAATGCATATGAGGAAAAAGGATTCAAAATAAATTTTTATTTGCAAAATTAAATAAAAAAAAAAAAACAGGAACAGAAAACTAGTCCGAATCAGGTTCCTTCTTCTTTCTTCTCGTCCCTTTTGGATGAGTCCCAGACTCTGTTTTTTCTTTGTTGTGTTCAGTTTGTTGTGTCATCCACTCTTTTTCTAGCTGTTTCAGCATGTCTGGAGTGAGGAGTCCTTGCTGCACCAATCTGGAAGCAAGGGACAGCTCTCCTGCATCGGGGCTGGGTGGCTCAGTAGCTTTACTCCCTAGAGCTTTGGTGCCGCGTGTCCTTCTAGCTTGGCTCTTTAAGGTTCCTGACAATCGTGACTGGCTCCCTGATGGAAAGCCCTCCAAATTCAACAGCTTATGCGTCTCAGACATTTTAATCAATTTAGTGATATTGTGCACACCATCTTGGATAATACCATCTAGTTCTTTCTGGAGATCTCGAATAAGGCTGGCATCTGGAAACATATCCATAAATCGGTAGCTGGGAAAAAGACACATTAGCATTATAGCAACAGCTCTTATCGCAGTCACTGGACAACTCTCAATGGCACACCTACATCATGACATTGATAAATTCTAAATGTTCTTTTTGCAAACTCTCTTCAGTGCCTTTGCTCAACCTTGATTTCTGCCCCCACATATCGGAGGAATATGTCATCCTGAGGGTGGGTCAGCACTATACCTCAATAGACTCTGATATACTCCTGGAGAGGGACATGCCCCTCCTTTGAGAATCACTGGCCTAGAACAGGACTTCTCAAATGATAATGTACAAGTGAATCACCCAGGGATCTTGTTAAAATGCAGAATCTGATCAAGTCAGGCATGGGCCTGATACTCCTTAGTTCTAACAAGCTCCCAGGTGATACCAATGCTTTTGGTCCAAGGACCATCCTTTGACCAGCAGGAGTCCAGTGGACCTTCCTTCTCACCTAGCCATCTTAACTAGAATTGCAAGAACTCAAGTCATTTTTGGAATGGGAAACCATTCCATCAGTTGAATTGCCTTTATGGACAATAGACATAATATAGAGCATCTTGCAAATATGTCCATAATTTGAAATAGAAAAACAAATTCATAAAACCTTTAATTTGTCCTACTAGAAAAATGAGAGCACATAAAGGAAAAATGTTGGTACCTTAGCCACAAGTAAAGATCCAAGACATCGTGGACAGCTTCAAGATCCATGAGGTCTTTAATATTCTTAGGTGGAAGTAAAGGCCATTTGATGTATCGGCGTAACCATGCAAAGGTCAGGGGCTCATTCCTGCTATACTGCCTGGCAAACTGAGAGAGAAAGAGGAAAAGGGTTTCAGAGAAGTGTCAGAATTCCCTTAAGTCTATAATTAGAAAGAGAAAAAAAAGAAAGCAAAACAAAACATTGTGGTTGTATTTCAATAGACAGGTGGTTTCTTTTCTCCTTTATACTCTTCTACATTTTAAAGAACATTTAATACTTTATAAGGCCAGGTACAGTGGCTCACGTCTATAATCCCAGCACTCTGGGAGTCTGAAGCGGGTAGATCACTTGAGCCCAGGAGTTCGAGACCAGCTGGGGCAACATGGAGAAACCCCATCCATACAAAAAACACAAAGAATTAGCTGGGCATGGTGGTGTGTGCCTGTGATTCCATCTACTCCTCAGGAAGCTGAGGTGGAGGATTACTGAGCCCAGGGAGGTCAAGGCTGCAGTGCGCCATGATCGTGCCACTGCACTCCAGCAGTGAGACCATTTGGAGAAAGAAAAAACAAAAAAAGATGATTTCCTTCTTTTTCTAAAACCAGGGTAATAATATGTGCAGCAGAAGTTCAAGGGCTACTCTGGGCACACTACCTATAGGGTATCCCTGCTCCACAAGGAGCAGTTAAAAAAAAAAAGAAGCTGTAGAAGGACTAACTTTCCAGGGCCTAAGTCTGTTAACTCTTATTTAGGAATATGTGATGTTCTAAAGCTATGGACAGACAGTACCTGAAGACTCCTATTTCTATCTCATATGTAATAGTCCTATAACCTCAAATACGAGCTTAAGTTTCTCTATCTTGTTAATGTCCTCCCTTATTTTTTATTTTTTTGAGACGGAGTCTCGCTCTGTTACCCAGGCTGGAGTGCAATGGCACGATCTTGGCTCACTGCAACCTCCGCCTCCTGGGTTCAAGTGATTCTCCTGCCTCAACCTCCTGAGTAGCTGGGATTACAGGCGCCCGCCACAACACCCAGCTAATTTTTGTATTTTTAGTGCAGACGGGGTTTCATCATGTTGGTCAGGCTGGTCTCAAACTCCCGACCTTGTGATCCACCCGCCTCGGCCTCCCAAAGTGCTGGGATTACAGGCGTGAGCCACCGCACCTGGCTGTCCTCCCTTATTATATAGAAACCCTCTGAGGTGGCCTGGTGCAAGGCTGGTCAGAAGTCAATCTTGGATCTGCCTCCTGCGAGCTGTGTGGCTTTGGCCAAGTCAACACTCTTTGCTTCAGCTTCCTCACTGGTAACGTGAGACATCACAGCCCTGTCTTGAACCACAAGACACTGCTGGGGAATGTGCTTTCAAAACCATGTTGCATCCCAGAATTAGGCAATATTATACATCACCTGTACTACAGAAGATAGACATACAACCACACAGTAAGACCCCTCAAGCAAGAGTTTAAATAAAATCTTCAGCTTCAAGATTCAAGCTGATTTCAAATGATTCATTTCCTGATTAGGGGAAATTATCTCTAAATGCTTAACCTAAGCAAGGTTAATACTTCAGAGAGGAAGAGCAGTTTTAGATCAATTGTAGTTAAATAATGCCACAATTTTGTTAAATTCAGTCTGGTCCACTCTGCTAAGTTTAATAAATGCCAAGTAGGATAGCCATAAAGGGTAGAAATGTGACCACACTACCTGCTAGGCAGGACAGGCCAAGCATGAGTTCTCAAGTTATCTTATAAAGGCAGTGGCTCTATTTTTTTTGGCCACAAACAACTAGTGGAAGCCCAATACATAAAAGAGCTAAGTAAGGAGCTATGCAGAGAGAGCAGGGAGAGATGCCCGCCCATCCATCCATCCATCCATCCATCCATCCAGCAGCTGGCCCTAAAGGAGCTCCATGGAGCACAGCTTCCAAATCACAGTCCTAAGGGGCATCCTAAGTCATTAATGTGATTGAGCTCTTTCATAGTTCAGTAATGACAAAGATCAGGAAAAAAGGAAAAGCCTCTAGATTTCATATTCTAATTTTTAAACAGAAAACACACGGAGCGGCCGGGTGTGGTGGCTCATGCCTGTAATCCCTGCACTTTGGGAGGCCAAGGCGGGTGGATCACTTGAGGTCAGGAGTTTGAGACCAGCCTGGCCAACATGGTGAAACCCCATCTCTACTAAAAATACAAAAAATTAGCCAGGCATGGTGGCGGGCACCTGTAATCCCAGCTACTCGGGAGGCTGAGACAGGAGAATCGCCTGAACCTGGGAGGCGGAGGTTGCAGTGAGCCAAGCTCATACCACTGCACTCCAGCTTGGGCAACAGAGTGAGACTTCATCTCAAAAAGAAAACACACCACGCATCATGGCGCACACCTGTAGTCCTAGCTACTCAGGAGGCTGAGGTGGAAGGATCGCCTGAGCCCAGGAGTTTGGGGTTACAGTGAGCTATGATTGTGCCACTGCACTGCAGCCTGGGCAACATAGTGAGACCTTATCTTAAGAAAACAAGCAACTGTTGACCTGCATGTTCCAGAGACTCCCTACACCTTAGTAAAGAGCTTCTATTCACTAGAATAGCTGTTTAAAGGATGGTGTGAATGGTGCCAAGGCCATGGGACTGAGTTCCACTCAGGTCAGTTTACAGCAGTTCAAGACTGTTCCATAAACTTCAACCTTATGCTAGCTAAGTTTTTCACAAATGCCAGCTCTAAGAAACATATTTTCTAGGTAAACATCTGGACATGGAAGATCTCTAACACATATTATTAAGAGAAAAAGAAAAGGCAAGTTGTGAGTAATTCATTAAGATAACGTTGATAGGGCTGGGCACAATGGCTCATGCCTGTAATCCTAGCACTTTGGGAGGCTGAGGCAGGTGGACTGCTTGAGCTCAGGAGTTCGTGACCAGCCTGGGGAACATGGCGAAACCCTGCCTCTACAAAATATACAAAAATTAGCCAGGCATGGCACATGCCTGTAATCCCAGATACTCAGGAGGCTGAGGCACGAGAATCGCTTGAACCCAGGAGGCAGAGGTTGCAGTGAGCTGAGATGACACAACTGTACTCCAGCCTCAGCGACAGAGTGAGACTCTGTCTCAAAAAAAAAAAAAAGATAATTTTTTATGGGGAAATGCACCCTCACAACAAATCTAGTGTTTCCACATGAACATGCACATAGGCAAACGCAATGAAAAACAGTCTGCAAAGATACACACAAACTTACACAAGTAGTTATTTCAGAGGACTAAGATTGGGGAGGGAGCCACATTTAAGCTATCTGTAATGTTCTCATTTTGTATAAAGAGAATGTATGTATTATTTATGTAATTTTTTTTTTAAAGGGCAGAGTCTTGCTATGTTGCTGGAGATGTTCTCGAACTCCTAGGCTTAAGCAATCCTTCCTGCCTCCCAAAGTGCTGGGATTACAGGCATGAGCCACAGCACTGGACTATTTATGTTATTTAAAAAATAAGTTTAGAGCTAGATTTGATTAGAATATAGCTCATATGTAGAATGCTCAGGCCTACAGAGGAAATGGCAGTGAACCTCAGTGAGTCAGGACAAGATTCAGAGAAGAGGAGGCCTTTGGGTTTAGTGGGGTGGGGAGAGCATGCAAAGCAGAGGAAATAGGGCGGGAGGTGAGAGAACATGTTATGTTTATAAGGTACATACAGTTCTGAACCGCTTCCCTCACTTACTGTTATAGTGTAACCACTTATGTAGATTTCTTCATTATAATCATAATTATCATTGCAATGTCTTCCTAATATCCAATCAAGTGGATATGCCATAATGTAGTTAACCTTTTCCCTCTTGTTGGACATTTGGATCCTTTCAAAAACATTTTTAATAATTAAAATATTAGGCTGGACTAGGTGGCTCATGCCTGTAATCCCAGCACTTTGGGAGGCTGAGGTGGGATGATCACTTGCCTCCAGGAGCTCGAGACCAGCCTGGGTAACATAGAGAGATCTGTCTCTACAAAAAATGCAAAAATTAGCTGGGCATGGTGGCACATGCCTGTAGTCCCAGCTACTTGGGAGGCTGAGGTGGCAGGATCACTTGAGCCAGGGAGGTTGAGGTTGCAGTGAGCTGTGATTGCACCATTGCACTCCAGCCTGGGCAACAGAGCAAGACCCTGCCTCAAATATAAAATAAATAAAATTAAATTAAATAAAAGTATTGTTATGATAAACCTTGGTAGAGTTTTGTTTTTTTTTTTTTTGAGACAGAGTCTCGCTCTGTCACCCAGGCTGGAGTGCAATGGTGCGATCTTGGCTCACTGCAACCTCTGCCTCCTTGGTTTAAGTGATTCTCCTGCCTCAGCCTCCCGAGTAGCTGGGATTACAGGTGCCCACCACCATGCCCGGATAATTTTTGTATTTTTAGTAGAGACAGGGTTTCACCAGCTTGGCCAGGCTGGTCTCGAATTCCTGACCTCAAGTGATCCACCCGCCTCGGCCTCCCAAAGTGCTGGGATTACAGGCGTGAGCCACTGCACCCGGCCTTGGTAGAGATTTATGGTTCTCCATAGTCCACTGTCCTTCCTGGCCCCCAGGAATCCTGTGCTTCTCAGAAGTCAGAGATTTGCATCCCTACCCAAATGAGTTAAAAGAGGCTAGAACCCTGGCATGGTGCTCATACAAGACAGTAACCCCTGGCTCAGTGCTTTACACTTAAGAAAACTGAACACTGTTGCTACTATTAACCCCTATTTAAGTTTTTACAAAGTCTCTCATATTACTGAATACTCTTGTAATTATTTTATTTTGAATAACAAAGTACTGTTTGGGGAACCTGCATCAACCAGAAGGAACTCAAAATAGCTTAAAGATAAAGGCTTACCTGTAACAGTGAAGAACACACAAAAGGCTGCTTCTTGTTGATAGGAGCTGTGCAGAAAACATACCTCACTCGCAGACTTAGTGGAATATGCTGGATCAACTCTGCAGAAAATTTAAAATCATCCATATTGCAGACAAAATACTGCCCATCAACTTGTGAAAAGTCTACAAAAATATCCTTGGGGAAAAAAAGACAGAAATTACTGGACTGCCTAAGTGAATTAAAATGAACAATGAATAACATACTCAAGTCTATAAAAGACAATCTCTTTAATCCAGAACAAACTTCCATAAAGGCTTGCTTTAATCACTCCCTCATATCCTTCCCCACCTGAAATACTGAGAGGAAATTCCTCAGGGCTAAAGTCCCAAAAGATTTTGAGAAAAAATTTTCACTTGTAAAATAAATTTTATAAATAGCAACTTCTCAAAGGCAGACTATCCATTCATGCTCATGAGGTTAACCAGTAATCACCTGACATATCAACATTTTTAGGGGAGATGTGAAAGGGAGTTTCCACTTACAATGAGATTGGACAGTGTTGCATCAGGGAGATGGTAGGCAAACATTTCAATCTGCTCAGCAGTTGGATGAAGACCAGCTGCCTTTTAGTAAAAGAAAAAACAATCATAAGCTGATTTTTTTTTTTTCAAAAAGGACAAATTTTCTTAAGTTATTGCACGATAAAGTCCCATTCAGGCTAAGCTCTCACCATATGAAGTAAATGCCAAGAATTTGAGTAAAAGAGAAAAAATATCATTTTACCATTTATTACCAATTAGAAAAGTTGATGATTTAGTAAAAATGACAGATTATGGCCACTGAGAAATTAGTCTTTTGCTTACATTTTAGTTATATTTCTAAAACCTATGATGATCTGGCAGTGTACAAAAAATGATTTTATGGGCTGGGTGTGGTGGCTCATGCCTGTAATCCCAGCACTTTGGGAGGCCAAGGTGGGCGGATCACGAGGTCAGGAGATTGAGACCATCCTGCCCAACATGGTGAAACCCCGTCTCTACTAAAAATGCAAAAATTAGCTGGGTGTGGTGCTGCGTGCCTGTAATCCCAGCTACTCGGGAGGCTGAGGCATGAGAATCACTTGAACCCAGCAGGCAGAGCTTGCAGTGAGCCGAGATCGCGCCACTGCACTCCAGCCTGGCGACAGAGCAAGACTCCGTCTAAAAAAAAAAAAAAGATTTTACGGCCAGGTGCAGTGGCTCATGCCTGTAATCCCAACACTTTGGGAGGCCAAGGTGGGAGGATTACTTGAGGACAGTAGTTCAAGATCAGCCTGGGCAACAAAAGGAGATTCCCATCTCTACAAAAAATTTTTAAAAAATCAGCCAAGCATGGTGGTGAGCACCTGAAGTCCCAGCTGCTCAAGAGGCTGAGGTGCAAGGCTCTCCTGAGCTCAGGAGATTGGGGTTACCGTGAGCCGTGATCATGCCACAGCACTGAAGCCTGAGTAACAGAGTGAAACACTATCTCAAAAAAAAAAAAAAAGGAAAGAAAAACCTGTTTTCCAGGGTAAAACCATTTTCCATGTCTCATTTCTCCTCATTGAATTAAAATGAATAAGAAAAACCCAGTCACTTTAACCAAGGCAATAAAACTAACATAGATATATACATCTAGAAAGACATGAGAACATTTTTAAACTGGAAGTGAGTTCTCTTTAGCTACACATTACACCGTTAGGACATGGCCACAGGAAAGTATAAGGAATGAAGTATGAAACAGAGAGAGAAAGTGAATGAAAAAGACAGAAGAAAAGAGGCAAGAGAAATTAGTCATAAGGGAGGGAAGAAGAGTCCAAGACATGAGGTGCCCAGGAGGGAAGCAGGGAGGTCACAGGAGCCAACCACGAACCTAACTGTACTGCTGAGAAGTTACAGAAATGATTCCAGCACAGCCTTCCCCTGGAAGCTTCTCTCCCTGCATGCTTCTCCCTGTATGATCTCATGTCTATACTCCCCTTCATCTAGTGTCACAAATGAGATAAGCCATGTAAGTGAATTTTCCAGGGAACTTTAAATTTTGACTATTACTAGAAAGTTTGTTTCAAATATGTACAATTCTAACTCATTAACTAATATTAACCAAAATTTAACCTTCTCCTCACTGGATGAAGTTGTATTGCTTAGGGCTGTTTTTGCCCCAAGCAATACAAGGTTTCGTCTATATTCAGGCTTCTGGTCATTTTTCAGTCCACTAATGTAGCTCTGTGTGCTCAGCTGAAGAAACTGCTTTTCTCCCTGTTCCTTCCCGCTGCTAGATTCCGGAAGGAAGTAAAGGCAAATCAGGCTCACTAAACTTTGTCAATCTGGACCTTCACTTGCATACCATTCTCTGATCAAAGAACTCTGTGGCTCTCCAAAGCAATAAAGTAGGGCTTTTTTTAATGCAGTTTTCATGGCACAAAATTTTCTTTCACTTATGTCTGTATCCAGAAATGTGTCTGAGGTGAGAGTCTGGATGGTGGGTGAGGGAAAGAATGACTCTCCTCCACAGAGAAGCAGTAGTTAACATGTTACCTCTTACCCTTATAGGATCCACAGGCCTCTTCAAAATTTCCTTTAATAAACTGAGATCTTCATGATTCATTGTTGTAACCTCTCCTTCTTTAAACCGTGAGCTGAATCTGCCAGCTCTGCCAGCAATCTGCAGGGCTTGAGAGGTTGTGATTGGTTCTAGTTCTCTCTCTCCCTTTTCATTGATACTGGGCTTTATAAGGGAGTAAAAAATAATTCTCCTTATGCTCCTGAAACAGAAATAAAAGTGATCCTGCAGACTGTATGAAAAACCCTCCAATACTTGGGTCATTGCATAATGCTCACTCCAATACTAGCTTAGGTCCTCTTGCAACCTTGACTGCCACTTACAAAATTAAGGAAAGTCTGGCACAGTGGCTCACACCCATAATCCCAGCACTTTGGGAGGCTGAGGCAGGAGGATTGTTTTGAGGCCAGGAGTTCAAAACCAGCCTGGGCAACATAGCAAGACCCAAGTCTCTACAAAAAATTAAAAACATCAGCTAGGTTCAGTGGTGTGTGCCTGTTGCTCTAGTACTCGGGGGGCTGAGGCACAAAGACCGCTTGAGCCCAGGAGTTTGAAGCTGCGGTGAGCCATGATCACACCACTGTACTCCGGCGTGGGGCACAGAGTGAGACTCTGTCTCAGAAATAAATAAATACATAAATAAATAATATTTAGGCTTAACATTGTTATCATTTAGAGATAATAACTAGCCCCATGTGCATAATAGGCACTCGGACACCTGACTGAGAAACTGAAAGTAAAGTGACGTAGTACAATAGGTTAGCAGTAGTGGTGGGCAGCATTCAAACGTCCTAGTGTGGGCCGAGTGTAGTGGCTCATGCCTGTAATCCTAGCACTTTGGGAGGCTGAGGTGGGAAGATCACTGGAGGCCAGGAGTTAGAGACTAGCTTGGGCAACAGGGTAAGACCTTGTCACTACCCAAAAAAAAAGAAAATAACCAGGCTTTGTGGTGTGCACCTGTGGTCCCAGCTACTCTGGAGGCTGAGGCAGGAGGATCACTTGGGCCCAGGAGTTCAAGACTGCACTGAGCTACAATTTGATCACTGCACTCCAGCGTGGGTAAAAGAGCAAGACCCTGTCCCTAAGAAAAGTCCTGGCACTATTTAATATTTTCTTTTTATTTCCCTCAATAGGTGTAGGCAAGACAAACCTCAAATCTAGCCTATAATATTTATTCTCCCAAATCATAGCGTTTGGTCATTAATGCCAATTAGAAAACTGAAAAACAAAAAAACCACCATTTAACTCACCAAATATTCATCTTATTAAAAACAAATTACTTACAAATTAAGTCCCATGCCAATTGCATCTGTAGCAACCAAGATTTTGCATGGGTCATTGGGATCATTAAACTTTTTTGCTTGAGCAAGTTTGGTCCCTAAAACAAGAACAATTTATGTTAAATCAGTGTTCTCAGTCTTTTATTACATCAAGCTAAGTACATCTTGGAAACCCTCACCTCCTGTTCTTCCCATTTTTAATGATAAAACCTTTACTGTTTCAAACTTTATTTCTTTATATCCTCAAAGAGCCACTTATCCTTTACATCCATTCCTTCAAATACTCCGTCATATAGCAACACAATCCCCCACCACACTAGCCTTATTCCTGAGGACACAGATTTCAGGACTACAACTTAAAAGGACATGGTCAAGACCAGATTTCAATGACATTTCTGTAAGAAAATAATAAACTCAACATTTAAGATACAGTCTAATAATAGCAGCAACTAACAAGAACTATAATTAAAATACTTCTATTTCCACTAAGATGAAATAGAAAATTATTTATTTTATATGACGTTTAACAAATTACCAATACATCAAGCAGCTTAATTCAATATTGTTTACCATTTTTTTATATATATCTCAACATAAATTGCAAAGATAGGAGATTTCATATCTTGTCACGAGGAAAGTCAATAATTACCAGGTGGGAGACTGCCATATATAACAGCTGATTCTAATCCCCGAATTTCAATCTGCCGACTCACAGAATAAATATCATTCTTGCTAAAACAGACAATGCAGTCCCCAGGCCGAAGGTTATCTAAAGATTCTAGTGCATGGTCCAGCACAGAAATGGGGGTAAGCCTCTTATAGTCTCGAACCTACAATAAAGACATGAAATGGCAAAATGACACACCCAACTCAACTTCTTGTGACTAGTAATTAAGTGAAAAGATTGTAATGCAGTTAAGAGTAGCTAAAAACTGATAAGTACCAATGTTTTTCAAAAGAAAACACAGAAAAACATTTATTTTGATATTATAAGTGTTACCATCACTTCTCATTGGCATCTCTAAATTAATAAGATGAAACAGAGTGTTTCACCTGTTTTCAAAGCTTTTTCTCATATATTTCATTTTCACGGCAATGTGTTAAGTTCAGAAAGGTTATTAACTGCTATTTCCATTTTATAAAATAGTAAAACTGAGCCCAATAAAAAATTAATGTCTGAGGCACATTTTGCAAGTCTAACCTTCTGTGACTTGTCTAAAGAATGCAAAGCTAAGAATGGCAAAACACAGAATGGACTCCAAAATTTCTTCCACTATATTCCACTATCTCTCCTTGAAAACTGAGCACAAAACTAAAATAACAGGCTAATTCAAAACTATTTCCTTGGCTTATGCTTATAATCCCAGCACTTTGGGAGGCCAAGGTGGGAGAATTGCTTGAGCACTGGAGTTCGAGACCAGCCTTGGTAACACAGTGAGATGCCCTCTGCTCAAAAAATAAAAAATTAGATGGGCATGGTGGCAAACACCTGTAGTCCCAGCTATTTGGGAGGCTGAAGTGGGAGGATCACTTGAGTCCAGGAGGCTGAGACTGCAGTGAGTTGTGATTGCACCACAGCACTCCAGCCTGGGTAACAGAGTGAGACCTTGTCTCAAAAAATAATAATAATAATAATAATTCATTTTACTATAGAACTCTGGTAAAGAAAAAGAGAAGCAGGATTAAAAGGAAACCAGTTACTTCCAACTCTAAGAATTTCAAAAAGGAATATAAACTGTGTCTGGCAATTAGATGTGTATCAAAGGCCCCAATATCTGACATACAACACTTTGAAAACGACAAACTTGCTGGGTCTCCAACTTCTAAGAGTACTGATTTATTTAATTCGAAGAGATCTACTCAAGCCCCACAAGGTTTTGTCAAGAAGTGAAGAATTTCCTGTACTCTTGGAAGACTTAGGGTGTGATGACCACTCTGTCAGAACTTCAGATCATGAGGTTCAATCAAATATATATGGTCTAGTTGATCACAAGAAAATGAAGCTTTCTTTTTAGTTAAGTTCTGACGCTGGCATTATCTAGGGCCTCTGAAGCCACTGCCTAGGTACTCTGGACTATTTGATATGCCACCTGGAGAACAAAGCATCTAATCGAATACCTCCACTTCCTCCCCCGTTGTGTACATAAGCTCCATCACCAGGTCAATAGCAGCAGGTTCTCCACACAAATGAACCTCTTCAGCACACAGTCCTGTCAATGCAAAACTGGGTTTCTTAATTTTAAAGATTTATAATTAAATATACAACATTTTACATAGCCAAAGTACTTTACGTTGGCTTACATATTGCTTTACAACCTTACCAAGTATTTTCAAAAATATTATCTCTGATGCAAACCTTGAAATAATCACCAACTTCTAATGGGCAAAGATTATCCAATTTTTATTAATCTCAGGCCTTTTAAATTGCTTTGGCCAAAGTTTCAACTCTATCAGAGTGAAATGAGCCAGGATTAGAAGCTGGCATTTGGATGCTAAGTACTGAACACAGACCCTATACTTGTGTTTTTCAAATTAGGCTCCATGGAATCGCTGAGGTACCTCAGAGGTTGGGGGTTGGAGGGCAGAAGAAACTCCAAGCTCCTTATCCCCGAGCAGATCCACTTCCATGTATTTTACATAACAGGCTTCAATGTATACTCTTTGTTTAAAAAAAGAGTTCAGCCTTTTTTTTTTTTTCCATGAGACAGAGTCTTGCTCTGTCGCCCAGGCTGGAGTGCAGTGGCATGACCTCGGTTCACTGTGGTTCACTGCAATATCTCCTTTCCAGGCTCAAGTGATTCTTGTGCCTCAGCCTCTGGAGTAGCTGGGTTACAGGCATGCGCCACCACGCCTGGCTAATTTTTATATTTTTAGTAGAGACAGGGTTTCGCCATGTTGGCCAAGCTGGTCTTGAATTCCTTGCCTCAAGCAATCGGCCAGCCTCGGCCTCCCAAAGTGCTGGGATTACAGGCGTGAGCCACCGCACCCAGCCAAGTTCAGCTATTTGTTTTTAAATTTGAAAACATCTGCCCTAAAACATGATCAAAAATTCACTCCAACATCAAGCAGTAGAAATGTTCATTCATGTCTATGGACCTCAAGAACTCCACTTACAGGAGCCTATCCTAAAGAAATAATTAAAAAGATAAAAAATAAGCTGGGTGTAGTGGCTCATGCCTGTAATCCCAGCATTTGGGGAGGCTGAGGTGGGAAGAGTGCTTGAACCCAGGAGTTCAAGACCAGCCTGGGCAACATAGGGAGACTCTGTCTTTACAAAAAATTTAAAAAGTTAACCAGGGGGCATGTTGGCAAACAGCTGTGGTCCCAGCTGCTCGGGAGACTGAGATGGGAGGACTGCTTGAGCCCAGGAGGTCAAGGCTGCAGTGAGCCACAACTGCGCCATCACACTCCAACCTGGGCATCAGAGCAAGACCCTGTCTCAAAAAATAAAAAGCTTTGGCCACAAAGATTTTTACTGCAGCGTTATTAGTAATAGGGAAAAAAAGGTTCAACTCTATGGAGCAAATTACAGTATTGCCCTTCAATAGAGATATGCGATCATATTAATACATAATGAAAAATGTCACATGAAAAACAGCAAGATACAAAACTAATGTTCTCAAAACACCATATGCACATACAAAAAAGAAAAGACTAGCATGAAACACACCAAAACATAAATTGTAGTTGTGTAAATATGAGATTTGAACATTTTAACTTTAATTACATGGTTATGCTAGTTTTAGCACAGGAAAAAATAGATTTCCCATTATTAAAATAATATTTAGAAAATAAAAACTCATACTTAGTTTACTTTTTTGTGTCAAAAAGAAAGGTTCTAGGTGACTCTATTTGGTTGGCAATGGCAAGCAGATAAAAATGCATCTCAGCGCAGATGTCATAAAGCACGGGTTTTATAGCATTACGACCACCAACCTAGAAGTGCTCTGGTCCAGGCCCATCCTCTGGCTGGATCTCTAATCATTTGAATTTCATCAATTACAGCCACTTCATCTTAAAATAAAAAAGTTAACATGAGCAATACCATCTACTTAAATAGTATTATAAACAAATTCCAACACCAAAATTCAAGCATCACCATCACCACTACCACCATCACTTACTGGGTTCCTCTTTTCCAGCAGGTTTGTTCTAAGTGTTTTACCTCCTCTTAAGTACCTCCTCTTTAATCCTCACAACAAATCTATGAGGTTAAGTATTATCACTATCTCCATTTGACAGAAAAAGTCAGAGGCCCAGAGAAATTAAGTTACTTGCCTTAAGTTATACAGTTAAATGCAGAGATGAAATTCAAACCCAGGCCATCTAGCTCCAAAGTCTATACTCTTTTTTTTTTCTTTTTAATTTAGATACAGGGTCTCACTGTTGTTCAGGATGGCCTTGAACTCCTGGGTTGAAAGTGATCTTCCTAACAGTGTCTCACTGTCATACAGCCTGAGTCCAGTGGCACAATCATAGCTCACTGTAACTTCAAACTCCTAGGCTCAAGCAATCCTCCTGCCTCAGCTTCCAAGCAGCTGGGACTACAGGCACGCAGCACCATGACCAGCTAATTTTAAAAACATTTTCTTGGGAGGTCGAGGCGGGTGGATCACAATGTCAGGAGATCGAGACCATCCTGGCCAATATGGTGAAACCCCGTCTCCACTAAAGATACAAAAATTAGCCGGGCATGGTGGCGTGCGCCTGTAGTCCCAGCTACTCTGGAGGCTGAGGCAGGAGAATCATTTGATCCCGGGAGGCGGAGCCTGCAGTGAGCCAAGATTGCACTACTGCACTCGAGCCTGGGCAACACAGCAAGACTCCAGCTCAAAAAAAAAAAAGGTTTTTTTTTCTTTAGAGATGAGGGTCTTGCTATGTTACTCAGGCTGGTCTCGAACTCCTGGCCTCAAGCAATCCTCCCATCTCAATCTCTTAAGTAGCCAGAATTAACAGGCACAAGTCACCACATCCAGCTCCAAGTCCATACTCTTACATACTCTACCACACTGCCTCCCACACTGAGCAGTTCCACTTGTCCTGTTTTTTTGCAATCTAAGAGACAGCCTGGAGAATTTCTCTGATGAGAACTATCACATCTGGACAGAAGTAAAAGAAGAAGGCAAGTTCCAGAACAAGGAGGTGACAGCCCTTCATTTACTAATGAAGCATCTCTACCACAGGAAACCAGGCAGCTCTCAGGAGCAGAAAGTGAAGTGGAAGGAATAATTCCTTGGGCCTCAGTCATGCTCATCCTTAGGGGTTTTAAATCCATCGCTATGGCAAAAAGTAGTGTCTCATCTCATTTTCTAAAGCTAAAATGCTTCCAAATACCTTATTCTATTCCCTGTAATTCATATATTATATTTTACTTTCTTCCCCAAATACTACAGAATTGAAAAGAGAACATTTAAAAATACAATGACACTTAGGAAAGTAAAGAAAGCTAATTTTATATTGAACAATCATCAGATTAAAAATTACTTATTGAGGCTGGACATGGTGGCTCATGCCTGTAATCCCAGCACTTTGGGAGGCCGAGGCGAGGCGGACTGCTTGAGCCCGGGAGTTCGAGGCCAGCCTGGGCAACAAAGTGAGACCTCTTCTCTACAAAAGAAAAATTTAAAAGTGAGGCAGGAGGATTGTTTGAGCCCAGGAGGTCACGACTGCAATAAGCTGTCATCGTGCCACTGCACTCCCACCTGAACGACAGGAGTGAGACCCTGTCTCAAAAAAAAAAAAAAAAAAACTACTTCGTGATCTGGATATGTACAAACAAGACTAGAAGAGAAGACATAGAGAAGAAATTCTGATTTATAAACTTCTGTGCAACTGTACAATATATTACTTTATAATGTATTGATTTTTTAAAAACTATTCTTCTCACAAAGTTGATTATTAAAATGAAAAAAAGCAAGCTACCAAATAGTAAAGTACCTTCCTATTTGTTTAATATACACACCCACCATGCACATATAACTATATGCATACACAACATGAACACAAATATTAACAAAGTCTGGAAAATATATAGGGTTAATTAACACCTATTGATTCCGGATAGGTGGGACTGGGAAATTATGTACATTTGTTTTCTTCTGTTTGCTTGCTTACATTTTTATATTTTCAATAATGAAGATATGATTGCTTACATAATAAGGAAAAAGTTAATTTTCACTTAAATGTTAAGGCCAGGTGCGGTGGGTTATACCTGTAATCCCACTGCTTTGGGAGACCTAGGTGGGAGGACCACACAAGGCCAGGAATTAGAGACCAGTCCGGGCAACACAGCAAGAACCCATCTCCACAAAAAATTTATTAATAAAAAATTAGCTGGGTGTGGTGGCTCACACCTGTAGTTGTAGCTACTCAGGAGGCTAAGGCAGAAGGATTGCTTGAGCCCAGGAGGTCGAGGCTGCAGTAAGCCATGACTGCGCCATTGCACTTCAGCCTGGGTGACACAGTGAGCCCCTGACTCAAAAACAAAACAAAACAACTTTAAATAGAAGCTCATTGTGGCAGTGTACATAACAGGAAAAAACTTTAAACAACCTAAATATCCTTTAACAAATGGGGAACAAATAATTTCAGTTCTAAGATGGAATACTATAAAACAGTTTAAATGAAATAACTACAAATATGTAGCTATAGATACTTCAATAAGACTAGATAGATCTAAACACATTTGTGGAGTAAACAAGCAAGTGGTAGAACAATAATAATACAATAATCACATAAATGTTTTAAAACACAACAATCTAGAATACTGGTAATACGTATCAGTGATATAATATATATCCTGAAAAGAGACAGGAAAACTATACACACCAAATATCTGTTACCAGTTAGAACAAAAGAGGAGAGAGGAATTAAACTGGAGAGTGGTACAAAGGAAATTTCAATTATGCTTATTAACATTTCAGCTCTTTTAAGAGAAAAAGGGAAAGAACTTCAGGTGCAGGCATTTGTCAGTGGTGGCAGGATCGCACGTTTGTCATACTTATTCTCTTCTTTTTCTAGATTTTAAAATTTTTTCTTCACACAAAAAAATCGTATTTCACATGTTCAAGTGTATTTTAAAATTAAAAATACCATGGTCAGGCGCAGTGGCTCACGCCTGTAATCCCAGTACTTTGGGAGGCCGAGGTGGGCAGATCACCTGAGGTCGGGAGTTTGAGACCAGCCTGACCAACATGGAGAAACCCCGTCTCTAGTAAAAATACAAAAATTAGCCGGGTGTGGTGGCGGGCACCTGTAATCCCGGCTACTTGGGAGGCTGAGGCAGGAGAATCGCTTGAACTGGGGAGGCAGAGGTCGCAGTGAGCCGAGATAGTACCATTGCATTCCAGCCTGGACAACAGAGCAAGACTCTGTCTTGAAAAAAAAAAAAAATTAAAAATACCAAACCATAGTTTCTTAAACAGCATATACATACAAGGAGTTGTAACACTGCACATCTCAACTGTACAAGAAACATGTGAAGCCTGTTTCCCATTTGGCTGAACTGTCACACGCTCTTCACCTGTCACCAAGTCACATGGCACACCCTAGAAAGACAGAAAAAAAACTAGAATTATTGAAAATAATGCAAAAATACGTTTTGGATATTTAACAGGGTGTTCTCTCCACTACCACCAAATTAGTTTGTTTCACAGTTAAAACATAATGTTCCCACGGCCAGACACGGTGGCTCATGCCTGTAATCCCAGCACTTTGGGAGGCTGAGGTGGGCAGATCACAAGGTCAAGAGATAGAGACCATCCTGGCCAACATGATGAAATCCCATCTCTACCAAAAACAGAAAAAGTAGCTGGGAGTGGTGTTGCACACCTGTGGTCCCAGCTACTCGGGAGGCTGAGGCAGGGGAATCACTTGAACTGAGAGATGGAGGTTCAGTGAGCCGAGATCATGCCACTGCACTCCAGCCTGGAGACAGAGCAAGACTGTCTCAAAAAAAAAAAAAAAAAAATTCCCAATGCTTTTTTCCCTTTTATAAAAAATAAAGTAAAATAAGAGCCACTCTCTTACACAACTTGGGTAAACCTGGAAACATCTCAAATCAGCTAAATCCTCAGGTAACAAAAGCATGAGACACTGCAGCAGTTTCACATTTTAACTTTGTACATCTCTGAACTATTTGACTTCATTAAAATGAGTTGTTTCTATATTCAAGAAGAACATTATAAATACAATTTAAGAATGTAAAGACCTCCTATTATAATTCCCTGAGAGGGACCAACATTAATGCTGTATCAGGGTGATCAACCATTCTGGTTTGTCTAGGACTAATGGGTTCCCCAGAATGGAGGACTCTTGGTGCTAAATCTGGAGAAGTCCAGGCAAACTGGGATGGCTGGTCATCATAATAGCCTGAATCTAATCATGGGGAAACACCAGACACATCCAAACTGAGAGACAGTTCACAACACAACTGACCTATAGTCTTCCAAAATGTACAGGTTATGAAAGACAAAGGAAGACTGAGGAACTGTCCAAGATTAATGGAAACTAGAGATATGACAACTAAATACAGTGTAAGACCCTGAAAAGAACCCTGGAGGGGTGGAGGATGGGGTGTAATTGGACAATTGATAAAATTTGAATATAGATTGTGTATTAAGTAAGAGTAATCTATCAATATTAAATGTCCTGCTTCAGACAAATATCCTGTGGTTACGTAAAAGTCTGTTCTGAGGAAACATATTCTCAAGTATTTACAGATAAAGAGGTATTATGTATGTAAATTGCTCAAACTGTTCAGAAAAAAAAAAAGAGAATGCAAATTACCTACCAAAACTGGTTAAACTCACATTATAAAGTCATAATAAAACAATGAACCAAAATGTAGCCCATTTAGTGAAAATGATGCCTCAGACTACAGGGCTTCAGTCCTTTCAGTTTTGAAAAGGTAGCTTCAGTCTTTATCATTAGCTCTAGCTGATAGCATCAGAGGTCTAATCTATAAAAGGTAAATTAAATATCATAGAGTAGTGCTTAACTCTGATGGGGCAAAGGACTACAGAGTTTTGAGAGTAGCAACAATATTTTATTTCTTAAAAAAGTAAGTGAAGCAAGTATGATAAAATGTAAAGATATGATGAGGTGGTGTAATAGGTTCAAGCTTATTTGTATGTTACTTTCTGCATTTCTCTACATATGTAAAATGTTCTTCAATATTGTATTTCATTCACTGTACTGGCACATGTTTTCATGTTTTTGTATCTCTGAAATCAAGATGCATCTTAAGAATTGATAGAGCTGGGTGCGGTGGCTCACGCCTGTAATCCCAGCACTTTGGGAGGCCGAGACGGGCAGATCACGAGGTCAGGAGATTGAGACCATCCTGGCTAACATGGTGAAACCCCGTCTCTACTAAAAATACAAAAAATTAGCCAGGCGTGGTGGTGGGCGCCTGTAGTCCCAGCTACTGGGGAGGCTGAGGCAAGAGAATGGCATGAACCCGAGAGGCGGAGCTTGCAGTGAGCCAAGATCGCACCACTGCACTCCAGCCTGGGTGACAAAGCGAGACTCCATCTCAAAAAAAAAAAAAAAAAAGAATTGATAGCATGTCAGAGTCAGTTGGTAGCATCTTTTTCTTTCTTAACTGTATATAAAATAATGGTACATCTTACAATTGACAGCCTCTTAGACACAATGAAATATGGTAATTTCTTGTTAACAGTAAATTACTACAAACATCTTTTCCCACTCCCACCAAAAAAGAAAATTAAGAAAAAAATGAGCAAATATTTGGTAATATACTGACAGCAGCATTACTCTTTTCGAAGATCTCATGTGCCAGTAATTTTAGAGGGCCACAATACACTCCAGACTTTGCTGAGAAGTATTTCTGGATTGCGTGATAAGTCTTTCCACTGTTTGTGGGGCCTGAATGAAATATTATCTTCCGCTGCATGGCTCTAGCATCTGGGTACCTAAAACATGAGTAGGTAAACAGCTTAATCCATTAACCTCAAAATCCATCCTGGCAAAGACAGCAAATGAAACAAATTCCAAATGAAATATCCTCTTAATGTTCACAAGATCAAGTCTTTGAAAAACTAAACAATGGGTTTCATATCCACATTAAAATAATGACTGGTTTCCAAGAATAGCATTTACTAACTAGAGGACAGAAAAACCCAAATGCAAATTAATGTCTTGGAAATTTTTCCCATTGTACAAATCTCTTTTTCTCAGCGGTTACTAAAAATAAATTTAAGCTGCTATCAGTTCCATACTATGTTCACATCATTCCCACAGCTCTAAACACATAACTCTAAAGGCAAACATTCCCAGGCCCCTGAATTCCAACATACACAAATATAATAACAGAGTCTTCTACCTCTGGCCATAGTGGAATAACTGGCACTAGACTTGCCCTCCCACTAAAAACAAGTACAGGCGAGGCATGGTGGCTCACGCCTGTAATCCCAGCACTTTGGGAGGTCAAGGCAGGAGGATCACTTGAGGTCAGGAGCTCGAGACCAGCCTGGCCAACATGGTGAGCCCCCGTATCTATTAAAAATACAAAAATTAACCAGGTGTGGTAGCACACGCCTGTAATCCCAGCTACTCAGGAGGCTGAGGCAGGAGAATCACTTGAACCTGTGAGGTGCAGGTTGCAGTGAGCCGAGAACGCACCACTGCACTCCAGCCTGGGTGACAGAGTGAGACTCTCTCTCAAAAACAAACAAAAAAAATCAAGTACAAAGTGGGGCAAAATACATGCAATAAATGTGTGGGGACATGGGCCACAAGGCAGTGCAGGACTGCAATCCTTGAAAGAAAAGAACACTTGGGATGAGCCGTACTGCACCCCAGCAAGGCATAGGGAGGTGGAACCCAAGCAGAATATGACAGTCCCACTGAAGCGAGCAGCAGAGATTAAGTTCAGAGCTGCTTCAGCAGCTAAAATGTGAAGAATAGACTGTGGAAGAGAAGGGTGCATAGAAGGAGAGCCCAGAAGTCTGTGTGGGGGTTCCCTGCGAATTCCTGGCCAAGGGCTGGGCTAACCATGTACAAGGTAAGAATCGGCAGGGTCTAGGAATGAGCAGCCTACCAAGGGTTTCAGTGGAAAGTCTCAAAGACGTCTCAAGTGCTAGGTGATGTTGCAGTTCCAGCCATGGTGGAAAGAACTCATTAACACCCAGGCGCTCAGCTAAAACACCAGGAAGGCCATAGCTTACACTTAAGGACAACATCCTTAAGTCAGGGCTATTCTAGATCTGCCCTAATAAAACCTAAAACCACACTCAATCCGGATCAAGGTAAGATACCAGTGAATTGCCTAAAAGAGTTAACTGCCTCTTTTTATTTTAGGAAAACAACCTAATCCAGACTCCTTATAATTTGTTATCTAGAATACAATAAAAAAAAATAATGACCACGAATCATCCAAGATTAGAAACTGAAAATTTCAAATCCACAAATGGAGAAACTAACCAGTTAGGTGGTATTCTTAAGTCACTGATTTTACGTAGATCATCCTTACAGTCCAACACAGGAAATATTTGTTTGGCATGTCTCAAGAAAAATGGGAATAAATCATCCGCATGAGCTGGAAAATAAAACACTGTATTAACATGTGCAATCTACATAAAATTCGTAACTAAATTTAGTGAAATCTTTTTTCTTAACAAGCTAAGTTGCGGGGGCACTGCCAGGGTAAAAAGAAAAGTCCTCTCTGGGCACAGTAGCTCACGTCAACAATCCCACCACTTTGGAAAGCTGACCTGGAAGGATGGCTTGAGCCCAGGAGGTTGAGGCTACACACTGAGCTGAGACTGAGCCACTGCACTCCAGAGCCTGGGTGACAGAGTGAGACCGTGTCACAAAAAAAAAAAAAAAAAAAAAAAAAGGAAGAAAAGAAAAAAAAAAGTAGAAAAGTCCTGAGGTTACAGGCCTTATCCTTTTCTGGGATCCTGTTTTGTCTTACTTTTTCCTTTTAATTTATATTTTCAGGAAATTGGCTAGCAACCACCACGTCCTACTCCTTTAGTACAAACAGGCAAAGATTAGCATTGGCAAAAGTTAAATTAAAAATAAAGAACCTAGACATGTACATTACAGAGATGAAGGCGCAAACATTTTTTAAACTTCGAAAACCACAGACAGGCAAAAACATGTGTTTGTTCCTCAGCAAGAATTCTCCACATCTTAGTGGCTCTGAGAGGAGGCTGGGGCATGTCCCATTCTGCGTTGTATCCTCAGTGCTGGGCACAAGGTACAGGTCTAAGAGTCAAATACATAACCAAAGCCAAACTGCCTGTGGGAATGAAACTATGATATTTTGACTTTTTTTTTTTCTTTTATAGCAAGAACTTTGTCCTGATATGAGGGAGAAGGAAGCCAGTGGCAAAAACAGATGGAATCTGCTATGCACTAATTCCAACTTGTGTGAGAGCTTATTTCACTGGGCCCCAGTCTTCCTCCAGTCTAAGACATATGGGTGATGTAATAACCAGCTCAGGGACCCAATATAAAAGCAAACAACCTAGAAGTCATCCTGTGAAAGCACTGAATTATTTACAGAGGATGTTACCAGACCCACTCTAAACCAAATAAGCCCTTCTAGAGAAATGAGCATGAAGTATGAGAAGAAATAGAAGGTATGTTCAATAGGATTTTAAAAAGTCTCTAAACACTTGCCTGCACCGAAGCAAATATCATTCAAAACAATGTGAATGTCCACATCCAGGGAATGAGACTGCATAATATAATTTCTAAAGCTTATGAAAGCTTGGTGGAAGAGACGAGCTGTAGAAACACAAAATGAAAAGATGTAAGGTGTAGTTCTCATTTTAAAAAGCACACAGACACACCACACCAAACTCATCAAAGAGTCTTTTTTTTTCTTTTTTTTTTTTTTTTTTTGGCAGTACAGCTGGTTTATTATGATCTGGGCTAAAACTGAAGTCCTAGCACAGCATGAAGGAAGGCCGCAGCTGCAGCTCCTCTGCCGTGCAGTATGGCTCACCAGGTGAGCCTCGCCAGTCTCCCACTCAGCCAGAAGCAAAGAGCAGGGACGTGTCTCCAGACTACAACAGCCAGGTCACATGAGGGGTCGTACAGTCCTGACCAAGCTGTACCGTAAGAGGTAATAAAATACCTCTATGAAGATGTTTTGGGCCTTACCATCAAGTCCATAATCAGCACCCAGTTTCTGAATTTCTTTCCTCTTGTAAAATTTGTCTAAGACCTTCTTTACTTCATCTAGAAGAGAGATGTCAAAATTTAACGTTTCCTTATCTTAGATAAATGCTGAAAAAAAGCAAAAGAAACTTGAAGCAATAACACTAAAGGCAGCAGTCTAATGAGTGTTGCAAGAACTAGAAGGTTTTAGTCGATCCTTCTTTATGAATTCATATGCGATGGGAGTGTTAAGAAAAATGATCGAGTTGGCCGGGCACGGTGGCTCACGCCTGTAATCCCAGCACTTTGGGAGGCTGAGGTGGGCGGATCACGAGGTCAGGAGATAGAGACCATCCTGGCTAACATGGTGAAACCCCGTCTCTACTAAAAATACAAAAATTAGCTGGGCCTGTTATTGGGCGCCTGTAGTCCCAGCTACCCAGGAGGCTGAGGCAGGAGAATGGCATGAACCCGGGAGGCGGAGCTTGCAGTGAGCCGAGATGGGCCCACTGCACTCCAGCCTAGGAGACAGAGCGAGTCTCCGTCTCAAAAAAAAAAAAAAAGAGAAAAATGATCGAGTCAAATAATGCAGCACCCTGTTATACCATAGAGGAATGAGCAATGCACTCTGGGATGAGAGGCAGCCTCAAGCCTTCACCAGGCCACTTATAGGTAGAGAGCCACACTGTCATTCACTTATAACGATTCTGCACATCCAAACAGTGAGCAGCTAAAACACATCCAGAAAGACAACCAATATAGCAAGGACCAGATCCTCATGCTTAAGGAAGCCACGCTGATGTTAAGTTTGAGGATGATGATTTCAGGGATAAAAGATTACACTTGTTTTGTGCTAGATGGCATAACTAAAGTCAGTGGGAGCAGATTTCAGTGGAATTTATACAAGAACTTCCTAACAATTAGAACAGTGAAAAGTGAGAGCTCCTTGCCAATGGAATTACTCAAGCAAGGGTTAGATGACTGTCAAGGGTGACGGCAGAGAAATGTCTATGCTATTGGGAGATAACATGCCACTATGAATCAATAATCTTAGAGGTAAAAGTATTTTAAACTAATCAAGCTGAGATTGTATTATGGTTGTATATGTTAAAATACTACAGCATTATTCAATAAACATTTTACTGACTCAGTCACACACTATGTATTTCTAGGAGGAGAAGCCACAATGAGGACACAGCCTTTACCCATGAAATTCAGAAAGGCCAAGTGACCTGTATTTTTACCTTTCACAAATGTGCCAACCACATTTTCACACAGTCCAACACACACAACACTCATTGAAGAAATCAAGCCTGAACAAAGCATTCCACTAATAAAACTGTTTGACAGAATGAGGAAATTTCAGAATCACTAGATCTGCCCACAATTAAATATGAGATACACATACACACACAGTGTGTGTGTGTGTGTGTGTGTGTGTGTGTGTGTGTATTTATATTTCAGATCACAGGCAGATTTCTGGGTCTCTGTTACTTTGTGCCGGGTAGGAACAACAGTTTCTTTTTTTCTTGGAGACAGTGTTTCACTCTTGTTGCCCAGGCTGGAGGGCAATGGCGCGATCTCAGCTCACTGCAACCTCCGCCTTTCGGGCTCAAGAGATTCTCCTGCCTCAGCCTCCCAAGTAGCTGGGATTACAGGCATGCATCACCATGCACCATGCCCGACTAATTTTGTATTTTTAGTAGAGACAGGGTTTCTCCATGTTGGTCAGGCCGGTCTCGAACTCCTGACCTCAGGTGATCTGCCAGCCTCAGCCTCCCAAAGTGCTGGGATTACAGGCGTGAGCCACTGCACCTGGCCAACAGTTTCTTGGTATCAAGGGTAGAAAAACCAATGACAAATAAAAGATTGGAAAAAGGCACATGCCATCATTGCTTGGGAAAATTCTGCTGACCTATAAACTCGATACAAACTAAAGACAGATCACATTTATTTAGAATTAACCTATTTTCTGTGACTAATACTACGGTGTTATATAAGATTCATGCTGCTTTACTCAAATTAAAATGCTTCCAAAATGTGAAATTTCTCATTATGCTAAGTAAAAGAAACCAGTTACAAAAGACCAATACTATATGACACTATAAATATGAAATACACAAAACAGGCAAATCAACAGACAGAATGTGGATTAGTGGTTATCTGGAGCTAAAAAAAAAAAAAAGACACTGGGGACTGGGGAACTAGAGAGTGACTTGCTAACAGATATCAGGTTTCTTTTTAGGGTGATAAAAATGTTCTAAAATGAAATTATGGTGATGATTGTACAATCCTGCAAATACACTAAAACCCAGTGAATTATACACTTTTAAAGGGTGAGCTTTCTAGTATGTAAATTAAAATTGTATCTTTCTTTTTTTATTTGAGACAGGGTCTCACTCTTGTCACCCAGGCTGGAGTGTGGTGGTGCAATCTCGGCTCACTGCAACCTCTACTACTACCCAAGCTCAAGCAACCCTCCCACCTCAGCCTCCCAAGTAGCTGGAACTACAGGCACACACCATCATGCCTGGCTAATTTCTGTATTTTTTGTAGAGATGGAGTTTTGCCATGTTGCCCAAGCTCGTCTTGAGCTCCTGGGCTCAAGCGATCCACCCTCCTGGGCCTCCCAAAGTGCTGGGATTGCAGGCACGAGACACTGCGCCCAGCCTAGTCTTTTTAAAAGAACATTCTGACTGCAGGTAGAGAATAGAATGAAGGGATCAAAGGCATATGAGGAGACACATAAGGGGCTATATGTGCAGTCCAGTCAAAAGATGGAAGCTGGCAATTTAGACTAAGCTGGTTGCAGTGGAGAATGAGGGAAATGAATGAATCCAACATTTATGAGGTAGAATCAACAAGACTCATTAACTGGGCTTTCTCTGATTGTTAGATGTAGGGGTGAGGGATGGAAGAACAAAGACTACCAGGTTTTGACCTGAGCACCTGCAGGAGCAGGCTGAGGGGAAGGTAAGTTGTCTTGACATGCTAAGGTGAGGTGTGTGTAAGAAAGACAAGTGGAGACACCTGGTAGGCAGCGAGATATATAGGTCCAGGGTGAAGGAGAGAGGTCCAGGGTAGAGACAAAGATCTGAGAGGAATACTGAATTAGTGAGGGGAGAGAGAGAATGAGACACCCCATAGACAGCACAGAATAAGGCAGCAAGGTGACGCAGGACAAAGCCTTTAAGTACCTCAACTTTTTGGGTTATGAGTAGGCAAAAGAGATTGAGAAGTGACAGCTTCTTGTCCTGATTGCTAAGCTAAGTGGAAATCTGACACCTTAACCACATGGCTATATCAGAGTGTAGTAATGCACCATCTTCTGTAGCCCCTCCTGCCATGCTGAAAAATCATTCTAGTAAATTCAACATCTGGACCAATCCCAGTCAAAGGAGATGAAAAATCACCTGGCACACAGACCCAATGAAGTATCTAAGGATTCTCCACCAGAAGAAAATCTAGTGCTGACAAACCCATGTCTTTATTCTATCTTCTTACAGGAAGCAGCAAAGACATTTACATTTTCAGGTGAATTGGAATAGCTGCAGAAAATAAGAATTTATCAATATTTGAATACAATAAGGCAAATTATCTCATCCAAATTACCTTATGCCTTCAAATAATATAAAATAATGGAAAATTGTTCTTTAATGGGTAAACTATTGTTTGAGTTTCAACTCTGCAAGATGAAAAAGTTCTCATCTATTTCGCGACAATGTCAATATACTTAACGCTAGTGAACTATGTGCTTAAAAACAATTAAGACTGGCTGGGTGCAGTGGCTCAGGTCTGTAATCTCAGGGCTTTGGGAGGCCATGGCAGGAGGATCCCTGGAGCCCAGAAGTTTGAGACCAGCCTGGGCAACATAGCAAGACCCCATCTCTACAAAAAATTAAAAAATTATCCAGGCATGGTGATGCACGCCTGTATTCCTAGCTACTTAGAAGGCTGAGCCAGGAGGATTGCTTGAGTCTGGGAGTTGGAGGTTACAGTGAGCTATGATCATACCACTATACTCCAGCTTGGGTAACAGAGCAAGACCCTGTCTCTAAAAAAAAAAAAGTAAAGAAAAAAAAACTAAAAAAAAGCTTAAAAGAGTAAATTTTATGTATTTTTATAATTTAAAAATAAATAATAGTATAATTACATTATTAAAATAACACATTCTCTGCTATGGTTTGAATGTCTTCTCCAAGACTCATATTGAAATTTAATTGCTATTTTAACAGTTGAGAGGTGGAACCTTTAAGAGGTGATTAGGACATGAGGAGTTTGCCTTTGTGAGTGGATTAATGCCATTATCACAGGAGTCAGTTATCACAGGAAAAAAGGATAAGTTCAGCCCCCTTTCTCTGTCTCACAGGCTCATTTGCCTTTCCACCTTCCACCATGTGATGATGCAGCCAAAGGCCCTCATCAGATCCCGGCTCAGAACCATGAGTCAAATACACCTCTATTGTTTATAAATTACTCAGTCTCAGGTATTATGTTATAACAGCAGAAAATAAAGACAGTCTCCCAGCACCAAGTAAAGTGAAAGGCCTTGCTTAACACTGGAAGAATATGTCAAAGAATAACATATACTGTGAGTTCCATCACATGTTTAGTGAAAGTACTGTACTTCTGCTCTGAAAAACATATTGTAGTCTATATTTTAGATTTACAATAGGAGGCACCAATGTCGCTTGTTGAAGTGAGACATTTCTCCTCCTATTCCTGGAGACAATTCTGGATAGCATTTCCTCAATCTCCCAGTTTCATATGGTCAGAGGAAACTCCCTTACCTCCCTAATCATCCCGAAACTCACCTTGAAAACATTCACATGCCTCTCTGTCAACGAATCCATCCAAACTTAAGTTTTGCTGAGCAAAGCCCGCTGCCACTAACTGATGCTACCTCTTCTTTTCTCTCTGGAGCCGGGGACACCCTACCTTGTTCTAGACCTTGTCATGTTCTACCTTGTATTACAGTTCACTTTCCATACACGTGTCCTCCCCCACGATACCGTTACGTTTCTTAAGAGGGGATCTGGATCTGAGTCTGGTTCCTCTTGGCAACCACCACACAGCCTAACAGCGTGGTATGAGTCGGCGCCTCCTCAATGATAAAGAATCCTAAAAGGAGTCTCCGCTGGCTTTTCACTGCCACATCCCATTCGGGGGTGGGAGAGAAACAAAGAATGCAAGAAAGAGCGGGCGTCCACCTAACAACTCAAAAAAGTCAAATCTTCCCAACACATGAGTGTCTAAACCATTCAGAGAGCAGGGCAGTAAAAGGGAAAAGGCCGCTTCTGGGACGAGGCGTTAAGAATTAATCAGATACAGTCCTAAGCCGTTTGAGGGGCTCACACACCAGCGAAGGAGGCAGACACTGAGAGGCACGATGACAACACTCGATGGGACCTCGGATCCCCAGGGGAAGGGGATGTAGCTTCCTCCCAACCAGCCTCGGCCCAGCAGACACCACCCTCTGCCGCCCTCAGTAGTTCCCGCACTCACTCTTGTCCAGAGGCCGGGTTAGCTCGGCCCCGACGTCGCCGTCGGCGCTGGGGCCCTGAGGTTTCACAGTCAGGGGCACGAACAAGGACGTGTTTGGTATTTTGGAGCCACCGGAGGCAGAGGAGGAGGCGGTGGCAAGGACAGAAACTTGCCCCAGAACCCCGGGAAAGGGCCCAAAGTGGGGACGAAGGGCAGAGCAGATGGCTGCCCGGTGGCCAGCCTGGCGCCCCGCCGGGAGCCGAGCCCACAATAGGGCACGGGAGAAGGACATCGAGGCCGCAGGTTCTACACTGTCTGGCGCAGCCGCGGACACGGCGGCGGACAGTGACGCGCACCTCCAGCGCCTGCTGTCCAGAAAGACCCAGGCCGAGCAGGTAAGCTGCCCGGGAAAACGCCTGACCGTTAAGGAAAACGCCGTGCCGTGAGGGTGTTCTTTCAGGGAAAAAGAAGATTAGCAGGCAAAACCACTAGAGATAATTCTCGTTCTCTTTCTCTGTTTTGTTGGTGATTGGGACCACCTTTCCCTAAAGAAGGGAAAATAATCAGGCATCTTTGGGATGTCATACATGAGCGGAGGGGGCCTGCTAGTCGTGTCACGTGATGCAAACTAGTACTTTGGTAAGCAAGTGTCCAGAAGCACGTGGGTGAGCAGTGAGAGAATGGGTGGTGGAGCAGCAACTGCGAATGCTCAGGGTACGAGTATGTCTTGCGGACTCAAACACTAAATAGCATTTCCCAAAAGTTTCTTGCATTGTTAACCGTCATTTCCTGATATGATAACGTTAGCGATAATAACTTGATATGCCCCTCAGAAATGTTGCTAAGAAATATTGTTGCACTATTAAACCCCTTGTATTACGTAAGTACTTTTGCTTTAATGTGAGCAGTTTGCGTACATCATCCTAGCAGCTATGACCACATAGTTGTGACCACATGGCAAAAATACGTGCTCTGTACCCCAGCCATAGTTTCGTTCCATTGCATTTGTTGAATACCGTGTTCTCATGTGAGGCTGCAACATGTTAAATTCACAAGTTTAACCCGGGCGTGGTGGTTCACGCCTGTAATCGCAGCACTTAGGGAGGGCGAGGCCGGTGGATCATCTGAGGTCAGGAGTTCGAGACCAGCCTGGCAAACATGGTGAAATCCCCTCTCTACTAAAAATACAAGAATCAGCCGGGCGTGGTGGTGCACACCTGTAATCCCAATTACTAGGGAGGCGGAGGCAGGAGAATCGTTTGAACCTGGGTGCCAGAGGTTGCAGTGAGCCGAGATCGGGCCACTGCTCTCCAGCCTGGGCAACAGAGTGAGACTCCGTCTAAAAAAAAAAAAAATTCACAAGTTTAGCATCTCCATCCACATCTCTTTATACTTACATCATTAAGATCTTACAACTTGAAGGAACGTGTTATGTAATATACAATACTGTATGTCTAATAGGATTCCAGTAACAATTTGCCACGTGCCTTTGATTCACAAAATAATTTTTAAACATCAGGGATACAAGGAGACAGTCCTTTGCTTTCAAAGGTTCTGATCTGGTTTTGGTGGTAAGAACAGTACACGTTAAATAATGCACTTATTACTCTAATAGACTAATGGCAGTTCAAAGAAAGGAGCAATTTGAGAGTGGTAAGGAGATTTCTGCCAGACTTAAAAGTAAAACATAGAGAAGCGGTAAGTAAATTCTAGTCAGTGGAAACGATGTAAGCAGAGGCTTAACTAAGGAAAAGACATACTGAAAAAAATTTAAGTAACAGAGTTAACGCAGACCTAATTCTATGGCTTACAAATAGTGATTATATTTTTGAGAAGAGAAATCATTCATTAGGAAGTACCTAGGATAGACTAGGATAAACACAAATATGCAGGGAGGAAAATTACAACTTTATCAACAGTTCTAGCTGAAGGTGGTAGATTCCTGTGTCTGAGTTATGATGGAGACCATGTATGTGGAATGAGAGGTTTTACAAGACTCCTTAGATAATGTAGTGAGTGACTAAATATGCTAGAAAATGTTAATAAACAATGATGTCTCGTCAGATTTGGAAACTAGGAGAATGAAGGATAAACCAAACGTTTAATACGTAACTGAGGCAAGCACTATGTTGTTCCTTTTAATCTTTTAATATGCTTGACAACAATTTAGAGGTATTATTGTCACCAGGTTAACTAACTTGCCCCAGTAAGTGGTAGAGTCAGATACAAATCTAAATCTTTTTTTTTTCTTTTTTTTGAGACAGTCTCACTCTGTTGCCCAGGCTGAAGTGCAGTGGTGCAATCATAACTCACTGCAACGTCCACCTCCCAGGCTCAAGCAATTCTCATGCCTCAGCCTCCCGAGTAGCTGGGACTACAGGCTTGCACCACAATACCTGGCTAATTTTTGTATTCTCTTTAGTTTCACCATGTTGGCCAGGCTGGTCTCAGAACTCCTGGCCTCAAGTGATCCAGCTGCCTCGGCCTCCCAAAGTGCTGGGATTACAGGTGTGAGCCACCGTGCCCAGCCAGTCTTTCTGATTTCAAAGCAAATAGGTGGGCTTTTTGGACAGGAGCAGCATATTAGGCCAGAATCAACATTTGTACGAGTCTTTTTTTTTCTTTGGAAGGGTGATCGTGAACTCCTGGGCTCAAGCAATCCTGTGTCAGCCTCCTGAGTAACTGGAACTACAGGTGCATGCCACAGCACCTGGCAGTTACTAGTCTTACAGATCTAGCCCAACCCTAGTATAGTTTTACAGAAAAAAAAAATCCTCAAAACTATTTTAACTGTAATTTTGTTTGCACCTCCTTGCAGGTAGAAAATGCAATCTGAATTTTATGATAGCACATACAGGCTTTCCCTTTCAGCCATTCATTAAGTTCTACTATAAACATTGAAATGGGAAAATTCAATATAAAATTTTTGCTTTTACAAAAAAAGATGTCATATCTATACTGGTTATGTCATATTTATAGCAGTAAGTGTAATCAGCACCTAACACATATTAGAGCCTCTATAAATGTTTTATTTTGCTTGTTGAATGGATTAATGCAGTAACTATGTAACTGGTATCCTCCTATACTTTGCCGTAGCACCATAATGATCTTTTGAAAACACAAATCTGGTAAGTTACTCCTGCTTAGAGTCCTTTGGTGATTCTGAATAAATGTTCAGATAAAGCCCATATTCCATCGTATGGCATCCAGGTTCTGTCCTAAATTGGTTGGCCCTATATGCCTCTTCCAGCTTTATTTCTACTCCCCACATCTACCATTCTATTCATGCTGGAACTATACACCAGTTATATCATCGTTTCTTACCTCTGCACCTCTGAACACACTGGGTGCTTCTCTTACATATCACAGGTCCCAGTAGAGGCTCTATCATAGAATGAAAACTATCGTAATTGTGTCTCTGGGTCAGTGGTTCTTAAACGTTAGAGTGCAACAAGATTGTTGGGCCCCATCCCTGAAGTTTCTGATTCAGTAGATCTGGAGTGGGATCTGAGAGTTTACATTTCTAAAACATTTCAGATGATGCAACTCTGCTGGTCTGAGACCACACTTTTGAGAACCACTGCTCTGGATTAAAGTTCCTTCAGGATAGGGCCAAGATAACACTTACTCCATTTTGCATTGCTATAACAGAACACCACAGACTGAGTAATTTGTAAAGAAAATGAATTTATTTCTTTTAGTTCTGGAGGCTAGGAAGTCCAAGATCAAGAGGCTGGCATCTGGTGATGGCCCTCTTGACATAACCTGGTAGAAGGCATCACATGGCCAGAGAGCAAGACCTGTGTGTCAACTCAGGTTTCTCTTTTCTTACGAAGCCACCAGTCACATCATGGGGGACCCACACTGAGAACTTTTATCTAATCCTAATTACTTCCCAAAGGCCTCACCTCCAATCAATATATGAATTTGATGATTAAGTTCCAACACAAAAAATTTAGGGGACACATTCAAACCATAGCAAGCACTAACTGATAGTCTGTAAATATGCTAAATCCATGCATGAATACGGAAATAAATAGAAGGGGAAAGGAAGTGGGAGAAGATAACCTAGGTGGCAGAAATAATACAAGTTAATTTCTTCTTCGCCTTTGCTTTTGCTGTTTTTTGTTTTTTGTTTTTTGTTTTTTTTTTTGAGACGGAGTCTTGCTCTGTCACCAGGCGGGAGTGCAGTGGCGCAATCTCGGCTCACTGCAAGCTCTGCCCCCTGGGTTCATGCCATTCTCCTGCCTCAGCCTCCCGAGTAGCTGGGACTACAGGCGCCCGCCACCACGTCCGGCTAATTTTTTTTGTATTTTTAGTAGAGACGGGGTTTCACCGTGTTAGCCAGGATGGTCTCGATCTCCTGACCTCATGATCCACCCGCCTCGGCCTCCCAAAGTGCTGGGATTACAGGCGTGAGCCACCGCGCCCGGCCTGCTTTTGCTATTAACAAAATCTGGTGTAGGTTTCACAAAAGCACATCCTGTAGATTACTCTCTCATACCTTGTCTACCAAATTTTGTAAGTTGAAGTTTCTAGTATTTTTCTGACATTAAGGTTATCATGATCTAGACGCTAAACTGTTGCTTATCCTAAGTGAACTTTTAAGATTTACTCTTGGCCGGGCACGGTGGCTCACGCCTGTAATCCCAGCACTTTGGGAGGCCAAGACAGGTGGACCACGATGTGTCCAGAGTTTGTTCCTTCCAGTGGGTTCGTGGTCTTGCTGATTTCAAGAATGAAGCTGTGGACCTTTGCAGTGAGTGTTACAGCTCTCAAAGGTGGCATGGACCCAAAGAGTGAGCAGCAGCAAGATTTATTATCGTGAAGAGCGAAAGAACAAAGCTTCCACAGCATGGAAGGGGACCCAAGCGGGTTGCTGCTGCTGGCTGGGGGCTGGGGTTGGGGGGTGGCAGCCAGCTGTTATTCCCTTATTTGTCCCCCACCCATGTCCTGCTGATTGGCCCATTTTACAGAGTGCTGATTGGTCCATTTTACAGAGCACTGATTGGTCCATTTTACAAATCTCTAGCTAGCCACAGAGAGCTGATTGGTGCATTTTACAAACCTCTAGCTAGCTAGAGTGCCAATTGGTGCGTTTTACAATCCTAGCTACAGAGTGCTGATTGGTGCATTTTACAATCCTCTTGTAAGACAGAAAAGTTCTCCAAGTCCCCACCCGACCCAGAAGTCCAGCTGGCTTCACCTCTCAGTGAGGTCAGGTGATCGAGACCATCCTGGCTAATAAAGTGAAACCCCATCTCTACCAAAAATACAAAAAATTAGCCAGGCATGGTGGCACGTGCCTGTAGTCCCACCTACTCGGGAGGCTGAGGTAGGAGAATCCTTTGAACCCAGGAGGCAGAGGTTGCAGTAAGCCGAGATTGCACCACTGCATTCCAGCCTGGGCGACAGAGCAAGACTCCATCTCAAAATTAAAAAAAAAAAAAAAAAAAAGATTTAGTGTTAGAGTCATGAAATGTTAGAGCTGGAAGGGATGGGGCACCTGTCAGACACATTTGTAGAACTTGTACAGATGGTACCCATGTGGTCCTGCTCTGTCTTGCTTTCTTTCCGGGGCATAATACCACTCCTGGAAAACCTTTGCTTTATTCTAATACTGAGCTGCATAACAGTTCTAATCCATAACTGTGTTATATTTTAGACCTGTATTTTTTTTCTAAATGAGAGCATCTTTAATTTTATAATCACTTGTTTTTGAAATCCCTTAGCTGTCTAAAAGCCTGGGCTCTCAAAAGAGCTAAAAAATCCCCTTCCCGGGAGCAACCAGGAAAGACTGACTTTTATCCTGAGACAATAAATGGGTACCACACGTGAACAGACATTGTAACAAAATTTTATCTTCCATCTATTTTCATAAGAGCTCATTTCATATCTTCTAAGTCATTTGTTTTCCCGTAAGTACTCATGCCCCACCACTTCCCCTATGTTTTTTTTTTTTTTTTCCGTAGAGATTGGGGTCCCGTTTATGTTGCCCAAGCTGGTCTCAAACTCCTGGGCTCAAGCGATCTTTCCACCCTGGCCTCTCAAAAGAGTTAGGCACCTGGCCACGTCTCTTGTTTATTTAATTTGCAGGCCCCCAAGAACTCATCCTAAGAGGGTAAAAGTTTTTCTTCCCCAGCAATATCAAAACAATGAGAAAATTCTTCATTAGTGACAGAAATAAAAATTTTAATGGTTTAGATCAGTGGTTCCCAACTCTGGGTAGATTTTTGAGACATGGTGTCTCTGTCACCCAAGCTACAGTGCAGTGGCATGATCACCTCAGTGTAATTTCAAATTCGTGTACTCAAGGTGTGTCCAGAGTTGGTTCCTTCCAGTGGGTTTGCGGTCTCGCTGACTTAACGGAGCCGTGGACCTTCGCCTTGAGTGTTACAGCTCTTAAATGTGGCACAGGCCCAGAGTGAGCAGCAGCAAGATGTATCGTGAAGAGTGAAAGAACAGAGCTTCCACAGTATGGAGGGGGACCCGAGCCGGTTGCCGCTGCTGGCTGGGGGGTGGCCAGCTTTTATTCTCTTATTTGTCCCCGCCCACGTCCTGCTGATTGGTCCATTCTACAGAACACTGGTTGGTCCATTTTACAAACTTCTAGCCAGGCTGGAGTGCATTGGTGTGATCTCGGCTCACTGCAACCTCTGCCTCCCGGGTTCAAGCAATTCTGCCTCAGCCTCCCTAGTAGCTGGGATTACAGGCATGTGCCACCACGCCCGACTAATGCATTTTTGGTAGAGATGGAGTTTCTCCACGTTGGTCAGGCTGGTCTCGAACTCCTGGAACTCAGGTGATCTGCCCGCCTCAGCCTCCCAAAGTGCTGGGATTACAGGCGTGAGCCACTGTGCCCAGCCTGATTGGTGCGTTTTCACAAGCACTGATTGGTACATTTTACAAACCTCCAGCTAGCCAGAGTGCGTTTTACAATCCTAGCTAGAGTGTTGATTGGTGCATTCTACAATCCCCTTGTAAGACAGAAAAGTTCTCCAAGTCCCCACGCAACTCAGAAGTCCAGCTGGCTTCACCTCTCAAAGGGATCTTCCTGTCTCAGCTTCCTAAATAGCTGGAAATACAGGTGCATGCCACCATGCCCAGCTCATTGTTAATTTTTTTGTAGAGATAGGGTCTCATTTTTGTTGGCCAGGCTGGTCTCGAATTCCAGGTGATCCTTCCGCCTCAGACTCCTGAAGTGGCTGAGATGACAGGTATTTTTTTGAGGTTGTTTTGTTTTTAATGCTTATGGCCCAGTCTCTGAGATTCTTATTTTATTGGTCAGAGTAGGACCCGGGCCTGGTTATTTTAAAAGCTTCTAAGGTGATTCTGATATGCAGCCAGGGTTGAGAACCAATGGATTAGACATTGTAACTCTTCATTAAAGACACAAATTTCTTTTTCAGTTTATGACTTCTAATTAGCTGGCTGACTTTTGACTGAAATCACCAAATATTAAATTTGAATTTTTTTCAAATTGGTTATGCTACAAAAAGTCTTGAGCAAAACGGATAGGCATCCTGTATATGACAGTTTTAAGCCAGCCTATTAAAAGCATTATATATCTATTTAAAATTGAAACCAGTAATATTTATAAAAATTCATTATCACAGTTACAGCTTCCTAAACTATTGAACAATCCTATCCTCGACAATAAATCTAACAATGAGAAGAGATTTGAGAACAGAGCTATTTTAATCATGCAAACAGCAAGCTCAGTTTCTGTTTCAAATTCTTTATTATACATCATGGTTGCACAATTTGAGGCTGGTTAAATACAATTGGTTTTCAAAATCTCTTTGAATATTTTCTGGCTTACTACATGCAAATGACCATGAAAATATTTGGCATTTTAAAATTCTGAAACTCTGAATAGGCACTTACATGAAGGAAAACATTACCATTCATAGATATCCACATGTAGAACAGATGCTCCAGCACATGGTGGTACATGGACCCTTTTGCCAGTAAAGTTGGTTCCTGACCATTTTATCAAAGTGCCATAGTAGTAAAACAGGTTTAAAGAAATGTAATTTGGGTTATTTAGCTTACTCATAAAGTAAGGTTAACTGACAAGACTTGCACTGAAGTGCATAAAAAATATTGGTACAAAAACCAATGAACCATAAGTGAAAGTAGTTTCCATACAGCAGGTTTCATTTTGGTTCCTACACTCCACATTTAGTGTATTTGCGATCAGACCCCATGCATATGAATGGATGACTGCAATCTTCTTTTTTAGAGACTTAAAACAAATGACTTGAATTTAGTGTTAAAAAATTAAGAGACTAGATGAAGTTTCAATATGAGTTTAACTAGCCAAAGTTCGAGTTTAATAAACATGAAATTACCCAGATCTAGATAACTACATGCTTCACAGGTCCTCCTGAGTCCCCCATCCCAAAATTTTCCCCTGAAAAGAAAATGAATGTATGAAGAAAATAATATTTGCATACACATGGCAAAAAGATTCCTTAAATTGAAATATATAAATATGTTTCAAAGTATTTATGGAAAAAATAGTTTTAACAAATCTAAAATGCCAAGCTAAGTCAACTCCACATTGCAGAAAACACACAACGGTACTACTGGAATATAGCAAAACTGTTACTTAATATGGCCAAAAAAAAGAAGGCCATAATGACCTGCCACATAATCCCTTGGGGAAAGAAATCTAATATTCATAGCACAGAAGACCTCAAAGAGGATAAAATTCTGGAAGCCATGGAATGGTACTCAGAAGTGCCTGCGGTGAAACACTCCATATGCTTTTCTCAAACACATATGTTAAAAACAAATGTAGTTCTCAAAAATATTGAGATGCCATGTTTTAAATCTCTGCAGGACACAAGAGGCCACTCAGGTTTTCTAATTTTATTTGAACACAAAATATTTAATTTTTTGCATGTAGAGAATAAGAGGTAATCATTAGCCTGAAAAGAGAGGATTTATAATCAACATTATGCAGAAAGAAAGCAAAATTACAAATACCAGCCTACTCACATGAAAATTTTTCATGTTTACGCTGATATATATCTGAGTGCTTATCATCAAAGTAGGAAGTTAAAAAAAAAAAGGCAGCTTAACAAAGTTCCAGTGTTTCAAAGAAAGCACTTTTAAAAATGTATATACATGAACGAACATTTCATTATATCATAAAATAAATGCTGCGCTGTAAGATAAAGGAAGACTAACATATATGGAGTTTTGGCCTTTTTCCGCCCCCTCCAGCTGCAACCATCTTTAACCTGCTGAACTTAATCTCAAGGGTTACAGGAGTTTTTTGCTTTTCTTTTTTTCTCCTGTTCAGTTCACATTTCAGGCTGTTCGGCAGATGCCTGTGATTCTGGAGATTCAAATCGCTGGTGAAAGTTTGTTCTCTGTTTCCTCAGTTTTTCAGGAGCTTTTCTCCATAAAATTATCTCCTAGTAAACAAATGCAAGATATTAACAAATTAATGTTTGATATGATGCCTTATCTCTATTGATTGCCACTTCAATTTTAACCATAATAAAATTAAATTCTTCCCTACAAAAGCCCTCCTCTTTTCCAACTTCTTTTCCACTTTCTTCCAGCTCTAATCTTGACTGCCCCTTCTACCTCTAGTGCTCCTATCACCAGCACCCATGCATTCCACCACCACCAATCCAATCTGTCAAGAAGTCCTATTGTTACTTTAAAGAATTCCCCAAATCCATCCTTTAATTGTTCATTGCCCTCATCCAAATTCAAGTTCTTGTCACTTAGATATTAAAACAGCTTCCTCAGAGGCAAGAGAGGCAGAGCCCTTTCTATCTAATCCTTTATTATCACTAGCAGGTTAATCCTCCAGCACATTGCTTGGATTGCTCTTTAGTAGTTCTCAGTGCCTCCAGGATAAATCTCCAAACAGGTATTCATGCCCCTCTATAACCTTTATCCAATTTACCAACATTATTCTCTTCCCTCCCTTGACCATTTTCCCCCATCGGCCAAATGGAGTTACTCTCTGCCTCCAATGCAATCCAAATAAACTCGCCCTACATCTTCCCCAGTCTTCAAATCTCGATTTCTCTACCTAACTCTTACCCTAACCAATCCATCCTGAGAACTTCCCTCTTCTAAATTCCTAAAATTATTTGCTTCATGAAGTCATTATAGGCTTTTTTTTTTCCCCAACATATCAGAATTTAAACATCCAAATGAGTGCACATGGGAAATAACAGACTTACCTCCAATAGTGCCATGATATGCAATTGATTTTGAAATTGTAAAAATCATGTAATTTATTTCAAAGTTATAAATCATGTATGTTTAATTATACAACATTAGGATGGCAATACTGGAATAGGTTTTGTCTCTTCTAAATTACTGTCAAGCTATTATTTAAGTATTCTGTTAGTTTATATTATTTTTCTTTTTCCCAGATATCTACAATGTGAGAACATGGAGGACAGATCATGTTTATAAAAGGTAGTTTTTGTATTTTTCACAGTACTTAGGACAGGGTAATTTCTAACTTAGCTTTGAACACTCAACTGACATTTAACTACATGTTTATTAATCTGATTCAGAATACAAAAGACCATTCTAATTACTATCTTCATTCAAAATTCACCAAAAGCTTTTAATTGATTTTCAAATGAGAACAAGTTTGTAATGAACACTTTATATTAAACAAAGAATTAGAGGCGGTTGGGCGCGGTGGCTCATTCCTGTAATCCCAGCATTTTGGGAGGCTGAGGCAGGCGGATCACCTGAGGTCAGGAGTTCGAGACCAGCCTGGTCAACATGGTGAAACCCAGTCTCTACTAAAAATAGAAAAATTAGCCGGGTGTGGTGGTGCATACCTATAATCCCAGCTACTCGGGAGGCTGAGGCGGAAGAACTGCTTGAACCCGGGAGGTGAAGGTTGCAGTGAGCTGAGATCGCACCACTGCACTCCAGCCTGGGCAACAGAGCGAGACTCTGTCTCAAAAAAAAAACTTAAAAAAAAAGGATTAGAGGCTGGGCATGGTGGCTCACGCCTGTAATCCCAGCACTTTGGGAGGCCAAGGCAGGCAGATCACTTTAGGCCAGGAGTTTGAAACCAGCCTGGCCAACATGGCAAAACCCTGTCTCTACAAAAAAGAAAATACAAAAATTAACCTGTAGCGAGACTCTGTCTCAAATAAAAAAATTATTAGAATTCAGTCATCTCATGGACATTATGACAGAATTGTTTAAAAGGGATAAATCAGCAGGGCACAGTGGTACGTGCCTGTACCTCCCAGCTACTCAAGAGGCTGTGACTGGAGGATTGCTTGGAAGATCCCCATCTTAAAAAATAAAAATAGTAATAATAATAATAATAATAATGTATATTTGTTAAGAGAAAGATATTCAAGACACTACTGAGTAAAAATGCAAATTAAAGAATACAGCTGGGCACGGTGGCTCATGCCTATAATTCCAGCACTTTGGGAGGCCAAGGCAGGAGGATTGCTTAAGCCCAAGAGTTCAAGACCAGCCCGGGCAACACAGTGAGACTCTGTCTCTACAAAAAATTAAAAACAGTAAGAAAAAAAAAAAAGCAATATCCATAATATGATGTAAACACACATACACACATTAGTTGCAATGGTGGTGGAAATTCTGCTGACCTTTACTTCATTCTTTGTTCTTTATTGCCTTATTTTTTTCTAAATAAGCAGCAGGTATTGTTTTTATTAAAAAACAAAAACAAAAGAACTTGTAAGAGAAAACTAAAAGCCCTGAAAAATTATAGCTCATTCTGGAGTACTGCAGAATGATTGGGGAGGGATCTATCATAGGATTCTATTCTCCTCTACTTCTTTATCTATCATACCCACAGTGTTTTTATTTATTTAGAAACTCCCACTCGCTCAGTACAGTGAAGCTTAGAAGAGTGCTTTCGAGGTATTTTTAGATCTGCCGCAGAACATAATACCAGCCCAAGTGGCACCATACCTGCTGTTTGAAGTACCTCCGGTCTTCCTCATCAACAAGCACTAAATTCAAAAAGTACCTTACTGAAAATTTTTTGTTCACATCTCTCATTGTTGGAGTTGGGTCATATCCTGCTAAAAATAGCCTTATTGGAATTGATTCACCTGAAAGAAAAGGAATTTCTACTTAATTCTAAAGATGATTAAATATAGTCACATAACAGGTAGGACTAAGCACTATAGAGTTGACACTAATGCTTCACATCCTCATGAGATGCAAAATAACAAAGACCAGGGTTCATCCTCAGTAGTACTGATATTTTGGGCTGAATAATTCTTTGTTGTGGGGAGGGTCCTATCCTTTGTAGGATGTTTAGCAGCAACCCTGGCCTCTACCCACTAGATACCAGTAGTACTCTCCAAATGTAACAGCCAAAAATATCTCCAGACAACACCAAACATTCATTGTGAGGTGAAGTTGCCCCTAGACGAGAACTACTGTTCTAGAGTCAGAATACCTGGCTTCAGATCTCAACCACTTACTGGTTGTGTGACCTTGGAAAAATCACTTACTCATTGTTTAAGTTCTTCATCTGTGAAATGGGGAATAACAATAGTATTCACAAGGAATGTGTAAGGACTATATGGGTTAATATACCTAAAAAACTCAAACAGTGCCAACAGATAAGTGCTCTATAAGTTGTTTTGTTATCTTCTTTCATGAAGTTTACCATAATTTCTAATCATGTGTATAAATTATTGAATACTTGTTACTCATATATTCAAAGCTAAAAACGGACAGAATGATGACATTCTTTTATTACCAAAAAGACTGTTATTCAGATTCTCATTGCTTCTATTTTCCTAAGGGTAATTCTTTGCATATTCTTTTTTTTTTTTTTTTTTTTTTTGAGATGGAGTCTTGGTCTGTCGCCCAGGCCGGAGTGCAATGGTGCGATCTCGGGTCAGTGCAACCTCCACCTCCTGGGTTCATCCAATTCTCCTGCCTCAGCCTCCCGAGTAGCTGGGATTACAGGCACCTGCCACCATGCCCTGCAAATTTTTTTTGTATTTTTAGTAGAGACTGGGTTTCACCATGTTGGCCAGGCTGACCAGTCTCGAACTCCTGACCTCAGGTGATCCACCCACCTTGGCCTCCCAAAGTGCTGGGATTACAGGCGTGAGCCACCGCGCCTGGCTTTTTTTTTTCTTTTTCTTTTTCTTTTTTTTGAGGCAGGATCTCCCTCTGTCATTCAGGCTGGAATGCAGTAGTGCCATCTTGGCTCAATGCAACCTTGCCTCCTGGGCTCAAGTGAGCTTCCCACCTCCCAGGTAGCTGGGATCATAGGTGCATGCCACCATGCCTGGCTAATTTTTGTATTTTTTATAGAAATGGGGGTTTTGCCATGTTGCCCAGACTGGTCTCAAACTCCTGGGCTCAAGCAATCCACCCACTTTGGCCTCCCAAAATGGTGGGATTACAGGCGTGAGCCACCACGCCCGGCCCCTGAATTTTTTTTTTTTTTTGAGACGGAGTTTCACTCTGTCTCCCAGGCTGGAGTGCAGTGGCATGATCTCAGCTCACTGCAACCTCCGCCTCCCAGGTTCAAGCGATTCTCCTGCCTCAGCTTCCCAAGTAGCTGGGATGACAGACGTGCACCACCATACCCAGCTAATTTTTATATTTTCAGTAGAGACGGGGTTTCACCATATTGGCCAGGCTGGTCTTGAACTCCTGACCTCAAGTGATCTGCCCACCTCAGCCTCCCAAAATGTTGGGATTACAGGCATGAGCCACCACACCCGGCCTGAATATTTTTTACATAATAATTTTCTCATGCACACCAATTTGCTGAAAGATATAAAACTCATAATTTTACATAAAAACTGGTGGCTGCTGGAATTTTACAAAGTAATGTTGCATAACACAAGAGTACACATACATGCATCATAAGGGACACAACCACCTAGCTCAAAGAGTTTTAGAGCACCTAAGATTACATTGCCTCATCTACACTTGGCACTTAATAAATGGTACTGGCTTTGTGATGTAAGCACAAATAGTGAAGAAAACCCAGACATAAATTTTAAAATGATAAATACTGGCTTCATTGTCTCAGATACTGAAGATTAATCTAGTAATGGAACTGCTTATTTTCTTGAGAGCTATAATGACTCCAAAAACCTACAGGAATTAATGCTCAGCCATACTCCATTTTGTGGTCAGGAGAAAAAACATTTACAAAGACGAACTATTGTATAATAGAAGACAATGAAAATATTACAAATTCAAAACTAGAGAATAGATACATATAACTGTCTCTAGTAAATCCTAAATTGAAACTGAAAAATTAAACCTTATTTCAGACTAGGAAATATAATTACAGTCTTCTTTGCAGCTGTACAAAGATGACCTTAAAAGCTATCATTGTAAGAATGGTTTAAGAATTCAAAGATACTTTCACACTAAATAAATACAAACAAAACTGCCATGAACACTGATGTTTGCACTATACAAAAGAAGTAACTGAAAAGTGTGTTACCTTTTACTGGTGCACCATCCATTATTTCATATTTGGCGATTGTTTCTGTTTCTGTTGTGGTACTGGGTCCTAGTGCAATAATGTAAATAACATTAATTTAAATATTCCAGAATATAATTACTAGCCTTATGCCTTCTTATTTTTCCACTACATTATTTTTTTTTAGAGACGGTGTCTCGCTCCATCACCCAAGCTAGAGTGCAGTGGTCCAATCATGGCTTGCCGCAGCCTCAACCTCCTGGGCTTAAGCAATCCTTCTGCCTCAGCCTCCCAAGTAGCTGAGATTACACGTGTGCACCACCATGCCTGTTTTTTTATTTTCAATTTTTGTAGAGATGGGTTCTCAATATATTGCCCAGGCTGGTCTCAAACTCCTGAACTCAAGCAATCTTCCCACCTAAGCCTCCAGAGTAGTTGGGACTACAGGCGTGCACTATCATGCCTGGCTAAGTTTTGTATTTTTTGGGATAGAGATGGGGTTTCACCATGATGCCCAGGCTGGTCTTGAATTCCTTGGGTTCAAGTGATCTGCCCGCTTCAGCCTCCCAAAGTAGTGGGATTACAGGTGAGCGACCGCACCTGGCCACATTTTAAACAACAAAGGAGAATTTGAAGTTGTTTGAAACAACAAAGGAGAATTTGAAGTGATTTTAAAATCACTTAAATTTACTAGCAAGTAGAAACATGGAGATTAAGAAATCACATATGGGGGTACATGTTCTCAGGACCTCTTGCCTTGAGATCATGCCTTGGGTGAGAATTTTATTTAAAAATAAAATAATAATAATAAAAGAAATCACAGATGTTTTAAATTATGAATACTGACTATAAATTCTTATAAAGTGTTGCCTAGAATTACTTTCAGCAAAAAACCCGACGATGAGGCCAGGCACAGTGGCTCACGCCTGTAATCCCAGCACTTTGAGAGGCCAAGGCAGGCAGACTGCCTGAGCTCAGGAGTTCGAGACCAGCCTAGGCAACACGGTGAAACCCCGTCTCTACTAAAAATACAAAAATTAGCCAGGCATGTTGGCGTGTGCCTATAATCCCAGCTACTCAGGAGGCTGAGGCAGGAGAATTGCTTGAACCCTGGAGGCAGAGGTTGCAGTGAGCCGAGATCACGCCACTGCACTCCAGCCTGGAAACAGAGGGAGACGCCGTCTCCAAAAAAAAAAAAACACCCAACAATATTAGAGGAGAAAGTAAGTTTATATATTTATATATTAAAATCAAAAAGCAGGGATGAAACAATAAAAGATATCAGGACAACTGGTCAGCCATCTGGAAAAAAGTAAAGGTGATACATACCTCACCTCTTACATCACAACACATTTCAAATGAATTAATATTTTAAAAATGAAACAAAATCCCTAAACCACAATGTATTACTTCAGTAGAATCAAGCACAGAAAATTATTTTTAGAACTTCAGTGTGAAAAAGACCTTTCTAACCATGGCATAAAACCCAGAGGCCATAAAATGAAAAACTGATAAATCTGACTACATAAACATCAATAACTTCTACATGGCATGAACCACCACAAACAAGACAAACGAGGGAAATTTTTGCTACCCTTAATATTAGAAAAAGGAATTCAGGGCACAGTGGCTCACACCTGTAAACCCAGCAATTTGGGATGCTGAGGCAGGAGGATCGCTGAGTCCAGGAGTTTGAAACCAGCCTGGGCAACGTAGTGACACCCTGTCTCTACAAAAAAATAAAAAATTAGCTGGGTGTGGTGGCATGTGCCTGTGGCCCCAGCTACCCACAACGCTGAGGTTGGAGGATTGCTCAAGTCCAGGAGTTCAAGGCTGCAGTGAGCTATAATTGTACCATTGCACTCCAGCCTGGGTGACAGTGTGAGACCCTGTCTCAAAAAAAAAAAAGGTGGAGGGGGATTGATTTCTCTAATATATAGTTTCTACACATAAGTAAGAAAAAGAATAGATAATGGGGCAAAGAATATGAATGGCTTACAGAAAATAAAAATTGTTTTTATTCATATGAAGAGATGTTCATCCTCAATAAGAAAACTGAAAATTAGGCCGGGCGCGGTGGCTCACGCTTGTAATCCCAGCACTTTGGGAGGCTGAGGCGGGCGGATCACGAGGTCAGGAGATCGAGACCATCCTGGCTAACACGGTGAAACCCCGTCTCTACTAAAAATACAAAAAAAATTAGCCGGGCGTGATGGTGGGCGCCTGTAGTCCCAGCTACTCGGGAGGCTGAGGCAGGAGAATGGCGTGAACCCTGGAGGCGGAGCTTGCAGTGAGCCGAGATTGCGCCACTGCACTCCCGCCTGGGCCACAGAGCGAGACTCCGTCTCAAAAAAAAAAAAAAAAAGAAAACTGAAAATTAAAACTATAATGGAATATATTAATTAGCTTGACTGTGGTAATCATTTCATAATGTAAACATTCCATCATACATCTTGAATATATACAATTTTTATTTGCCAATTATACCTCAATAAAGCAGTGGGGGAAAAAGAATCCATAAGAAAAATCCCAGAACTACACTGTAGTAGTATCTCCCCCTTACCCATCAAATGAGCTAAAAGTTTTTACAGCATTGTGCTCATGAGAATATGGGGGAAAAGAGGCACTCTCCTACATTCACTGCTGATAGCAATGCAAACTGGGATAATCCCTAAAGAGGACTTACTGATAACATGCATCAAAATTGTAAATGGCCAGGTGCAATGGCTTATGCCTGTAATCATAACACTTTGGGAGGCAGAGGTGGGAGGATAGCTTGAGCCCAGGAGTTCGAGACTAGCCTGGGCAACATAGTGAGACCCTGTTCGCCACAAAAAGGGCAGAAGAATTATAAACAAATATGCTGTTTAACCCATGAATTCCACTTCTAAGATTTTATCTTGCACACGTGCAAAATGACATTATCTGTAATAGCAAAAGACCGGAAACAACCAGTATGTCCACAAACAGCAGACTGGTTCAATTTTAGTATATCAATAAAATGGAAAACTATTAAAAAGATAAAGTATTCTACACATTGTTATGGAAAGTTCTCTAAGATGCACTACTAAGTGGCAAAGCGAAGTATGCATTATACACCACCATTTAAGTAAAAAGGGGTGTGTCTTATACATAGGTACTTGCTTGTATACATAATAACTAATTGGAAAGTTTTGGTTTTTGTTTTTCTTTTTTTTGGAATGGTCTCACTCTGTTGTCCAAGCTGAAGTGCAGTGGCTATTCACAGGCACAATCCCACTACTGATCAGCACAGGAGTTTTGACCTGCTCCACTGAGGATTTTTAAACTTATAATAAACATATTACCTATGAGTAGCTAGAGTACAGAAATAAGATACTTTTTACTGTATACTCTTTTACATTTTATTTTTGAACCATGTGAATTTATTACCTATTCAAAAATTAATTTTTTATAAAAAATAAATTCTGGACAATCAAAAAGTAATTTAAAAAAACATTAAATAACTTACTGCCAGCAATATTAACTAGCAAAATTAGTACTCAATGTGGATATCAAATTATGTTTAAACAATATTTTAAGATTTTAAAAATGTCAACTAAAACAAAGAATTTTAATTTACATACTCTTTTCAACTTACCAATTCCTGTGATCTCTTTTTTGATCAGCTGTAACTCCATATGTTGTATTTTTATTCTTACTAATAAGAAGTAAATTTTTCCAACAATCACATCCTTTAAATGATACCTATTGGGGAAGAACATATCTCACTAAATATCAGTTTAAAAACAAGCAAAAACAGTGAACTATGTCCTAAAAGACTTTGATAGACATCTTTAGTATAATTACTTAAGCCATTTTGAGGCTGGGCACAGTGGCTCTTGCCTGTAATCCTAGCACTCTGGAAGGCCGGGGTGGGCGGATCACTTGAGGTCAGGAGTTCAAGACCATCCTGGCCAACATGGCGAAACTGTCTCTACTAAAAATACAAAAATTAGCTGGGCATGGTGGCACATGCTTGTGATCCCTGCTACTTGGGAGGCTGAAGCGGGAGGACTGCCTGAACCCAGCAGGTGAAGGCTGCAGTGAGGCAAATCACACCACTGCACTCCAGCTTGGGTGACAGCAAGACTCCATCTCAAAAAAAAAAAAAAAAAAGTACTATTTTGAGCTCTTTCCTTGCCGCTGCTGAGTTGCATGGAGGTGGCGGCCTGGGTGTATTCAAGATTCAGTTTCACTCACCACCATGGCTGAGGAAGGCATTGCTGCTGGAGGTATAAGGGACGTTACTACTGCTTTACAAGAGGTGCTGAAGACCACCCTCATCCATGATGGCCTAGCATGTGGAATTCACAAAGCTGCCAAAGCCTTAGACAGGCACCAAGCTCATCTTTGTGTGCTTGCATCTAATTGTGATGAGCCCATGTATGTTAAGTTGGTGGAGGCCCTTTGTGCTGAACCCCGGTTGATGACAAGAAGAAACTGGGGAATGGGTAAGCCTCTATAAAACTGACAGATGGGGGAAACCCCGTAAAGTGGTTGTTTGCAGTTGTGCAGTAATTAAGAACTATGGCAAGGAGTCTCAGGCCAGGATGTCATCAGAGAATACTTCAAATGAATAAATAAAACTTTGGCTCACCAAAAACAAAAACCAACAACAACCATTTTGATTATTCATATTGTTTAGTGTTCTTTTTTTCAAAAAAGTATTCATCATTTCACTATGCAAATAAGGAATCAAACTTTTACTTGACTACCTCAGAGGGAATAATTACCCTGGTTAACTGTTCTGGCTGGGCTCAGTGGCTCACACCTATAATCCCAGTACTTTGGGAGGCCCAAGGCGACAGGATTGCTTGAACCCAGGAGTCTAAGACCAGCCTAGGCAACATAGGGGGATGTAATCTCTTCTAAAAATTAGCTGGGTGGTGCAAAATTAGTGGCACATGCCTGTGATCCTAGCTACTCAGGAGGCTGAGGTGAGATGATAATTTGAGCCTGGGAGATTGAGGCTGCAGTGACTCATGATTGTGCCACTGCACTCCAGCCTGGGTGACAGAGCCAGACTCTTTCTCAAAACAAACACACACAAAAAATACTTGAAATATTTGGTGTATGAAGATATTTTCAACATTAAAAGACACAAGAGTTTAGTGTCATTATTACTCAAGTTCTACAAGAGTGCAGCTAACATAAATCATCTGCCCACAAAGACAAAGTAAAAGAAACCTACCTACATAGGTTGAGTCTGCTGTTGTGATAGCTAATAACCAAAGGTCGCTCCCACGTACCTTGTAATGATGTGGTAATAAACTTAGGAATCCCTATAATATCCAGAGGACTTTTTAGCATCCTCCCAGGTTTGGCTCTCAAAATTGTATCTCAAGAGTTGGTTAATATAAATTATGTCAGGCCGGGCACGCCTGTAATCCCAGCACTTTGGGAGACCAAGGCGGGCAGATCACCTGAGGTCAGGAGTTCAAGACCAGCCTAGCCAACATGGTGAAACCCCATCTCTACTAAAACTACAAAAATTAGCCGGGCGTGGTGGCACATGCCTGTCATCCCAGCTACTCAGGAGGCTGAGGCAGGAGAATTGCTTGAACTCAGGAGGTAGAGGTTGCAGTGAGCCGAGATCATGCCACTGCACTCCAGACGGGACGACAGAGATTCCGACTCCAAAAAAAAAAAAATATGTTGGGCGCGGTGGCTCATGCCTATAATCCCAGCACTTTGGGAGGCCAAGGCGGGTGGATCATGAGGTCAGGAGTTTGAGACCAGCCTGACCAACATGGTGAAACCCCGTCTCCACTAAAAATACAAAAATTAGCCAGGCATAGTGGCAGGCACCTGTAATCCCAGCTACTCAGGAGGCTGAGGCAGGAGAATCCCTTGAACCCAGGAGGCAGAGGTTGCAGTGAGCCGAGATCACGCCATTGCACTCCAGCCTGGGCGACAAAGTGAGACTCAAACAAACAAAAAACTGTGTGTGTGTGTGTGTGTGTGTGTGTGTGTGTGTGTGTGTAAAAATTATGTCAGTCTGAAGGGAAGCTTCAGTGGTTTCAGGTCCTAAACTATTTGATAATTTCATCAACAATATAATTTTAAGATTCTGAAGTCCATATGTATTACATATTCAGTGATATAAACCTGGGAGTGACAACCAATAAAAATAATGTAACAAAAGACTGGGGTATGAAAGGGATAATACAGGGCACATCCATTTCTTCAACAAACAAACTTTAATAAAAAAAATAGAAGGGAAACCTATAAATTAAAAAATTTAAGGCTCAAACAACCAAATGCAATGTGTGGCCCTAGTTTAAATATTGATTTGAACAAAGTATGTGAAAAAAGAAAGATATCTGTGAGCCAATTAGGGAAATGTGAATACTGTCTGGGTGTATGAAGATATTAAGGAATTACTAATATTTTTAGATATAAGAGTATTGTAGTTATATTTAGAATGATATATAACTTTTTAAAACTTTTTTCTGAATAGACACAGAAAACAAGCTTGTCATATAACATTTAAATAAGAGATATGTAAAGTCAATACATAATTTCATCCTTTACAGATAACCACTGTTAACAACAGAATATCATTGCAGACTCTTTTCTATTCATATCCAAATACATGAGTATTTTACAGAAATGAAACAGTACTATGCATGCTGTTTTTATGGCTAAATTTTTCACTTAATATATCATGGACACGCTTCTGGAGAACTAAATACATATGTCTCAATCTTTTTTTTTTGTTTTTTTTTTTGAGATGGAGTCTCCCTCTGTCACCCAGGCTGGACTGCAGTGGCGTGATCTCAGCACACTGCAACCTTTACCTCCCAGGTTCAAGCAATTCTCCTCCCTCAGCCTCCCAAGTAGCTGGGATTACAGGCATGCACCGCCACACCCATCTAATTTTTGTATTTTCAGTGGAGACGGAGTTTCTCCATGTTGACCATGCTGGTCTCAAACTCCTGACCTCAGGTGATCAAACTCTGCCCACCTTGGCCTCCCAAAGTGCTGGGATTACAGGTGTGAGCCACCGCACCCGGCCTCAATCTTTTTAACCCTTCTTTAGCATTCCACAGTATGGCTGGACCATAATTTATTTAACTGTTATAATACCAGTGGGCATTTAAATGGCAATCTTTTGTTCATGTAAGTAATGTTTCTGAGAACATCTTAGTCCATGTATAAAATGATATTGATACAGCTTCCCACAGATTGTATCGAAGCAAATTCCACATATATAATTTAATTGATAAAATGATACATAATTTTATGGGTTAAATTAAATGTCTGGAATTTGCTTCAATATAACCTATGGGGAGTATGAGAGCTGAATACAGATAAACTGGATTGTGTGTTGATAACTGTTGGAGCTGGGCAATGGGTACATGAGGATTCATTATATTATTCAGTATACTGTTCAAATATTTTAGTATATGCTTGAAATTTCCCATAATAAAATTTAAAAAGGCATTAAACACAAGCAAAATATGAGCCAGTTTTGTAAAAATACAACATATATAAACATATATACCTTCCCCCTCCCCCCAAGAAATGATATACAAGGAGACATTAACAGTGATTAAGTGGTAAAGGTGAAAATATGTGAAAAGAGATGGCTAGGATGAGGTAATATCAAGCCAGTAAGATAAATTGTATCCTCAGAAGGACTGGCTGCCTTCTGAGATGGTGACATCCTCTACACAAAGTGGCCAAGCAGAGATTTATCAGGAATAGAACATAAAAGACACCTTTACTGAGTGGAAACCAGACCAAACTCCTAAAATTTCTTTTAGCTCAGAGATCCTGTTGATTTGTTAACATCAGATTAATGTCAATTCTATCCTTACTTTGACCAACTGACAAACACCTGAAAAGTTAATTTTTGAATTTTCTCTGAACAACTTATCTGTGAATGATACTTACTTTGATTTATTATATTCAAATTCTATATGTAGACAATCTTCAATGCCCACTTCCATCTTAATAGAGTTGTTAACATCAGGATAGGTGGCAAGCTGGTGAACAATAAGATCATACTCTTTTACCAAATCTGTCAGTCTTCTCACTATTGTCACTTTAAGAAAATACCTACAAAGTTAAAAGAGAGTCGATGAGTTAAATCACCTGTGATAAATTTTCATGTTTTAAATCAGCAAACATTAACTGCAACTCAGGCTTCTCCTCCTTGCTGGAACTCCTTTGGGATCAACTTACTTCATTACTTCACGAAGGAGTTCCAATTTTCTTTAATGCCCCCAACATGAAAAAAAATACAAAGTTCAATTTTAAGAATAGTGTAAATACTTTACAGATGAGTTTGGAGGGCTGTCATCAAGCCTACTTGAAGAAACCTCTCCAGATCACTTCTTTAAGGAACTGCTATTTGAAATTTGGGTTGTCAAACCCAGTTCCAGATAGATAATGCCAAGTTAAACAGAGAAAGCAAGATCTCGGACCTGATGCATTCAGATTAATATCCTGAAATGCCCTGGACTCTGAGGCATCCCTGGCTTCCTGCATACAGACTTAGTGAAGGGAAAGGACACTGAATTGAGAGTTTAGAAAACTAGGTTCGTACTCCTTTTCTGCCATCCACTATTTGTGTCATTTTAGATGTATCAGAGCCTCTCTGGTACTCCAGATTACTTCTGAACCATATACTAAAGGAGATTTTCTGGGAAACTAGTGGATTTAGAAGGTCATTCAGTTTACATGACAAATGAAGTACGTAAGGGACAATTCATACCAGGGAAGTGTATAACTGAAATGTCTCATAACAATGTTGTCTAACTCTATAATGTTAGAACGCTCTATTACCTCAAATCAGCATTAGCCAAAGTATGTGACAGAATTTTTAAAAATCTTAAATCTTCCAATACAGAATTATAATTAGAGGTTCAAATAAGATATCAACAGTAGTCATTACTTTCTGGTTTTGATTCTGTTTACAGTTTATAATACACATTCATACCTCAAGCGGACATTGGCACCGATGTAAGATTCATATGGCTTTTCAACTTGCATAAATTCAAAATCATAACTTCTGCTCTGAGTCAGTTCTCCAGGTAAGGCTAGTTCTTTCACTAGGTTTACAAATTCATGAGTATTACTCTTGTCATTGAAAAGTTCTGAGAAATTTTAAAAGGCAAAAAGACCAATTATTTAATAGCCATTTCAATAAAACCCAGACATCTACTTCAAACACAAACGATTTTTACCAAAAGAATTATTGAGTTTGTCTCTAATAAACTAGACCTATGCTCTGAATTCCATTATCCTTTTTATAATTATACTTCATGTAGGCATAAAAGATTTCAAGTGGCATAGCACAATGAAAATTTCTTTAAAAATGAGTTCATTCCTTTGATGTAGTTGGGGCTCTCCCAATATGAAGCCATTTGACACATTACCAGCAATTATTTGAACTTCCCCTAGACAAGGCAAAAATTCTATTTTGCTTTAGTTAGGCAAATATATTACCTTCATAAAATTACAAAACACAAAAAGACTAAAACCAACTATCAATTACTACAACTTGCCTCTCAGTCAGAATAGACATGTAAGTACACTCTCAGTCAGAACAGATATATAAATATCTACCCATTCCAATTCTGATACTTTAAAAATGTACACTGAAACTTAGAAAGCTAGATTTTAAGCCTAGTTATGTAGACAGTATTATAAAGACATATTTTCTTTTCTCTTCTGAATCTTCAGTATAGAAAGATTTATATAGTTTAACTCCCTACTAAATCAAGCATTCATCTGGAATCATGTATGGAAATGTACATAAGTTGATCTAAGTCAAGAAGAAACTACACCTTTCCTTCTCACATGGAATTGTGTGTTGACACAAGTGAGTCTGGCTACAGGCACACACTAGATCAGGAAGACAAATGGCATGGGTAATTAGAAAATGAAGAATGAAGGTGAGGCTGCTAATTATAAGAAGGATGGTGAAAAATGCAGGCAGATGAAAATTTCAGTAGGTCAACTAATTTACTTGAATTAGTTTTCAAGGCTGGTAGTTTCATATATATCATGAAATGATATATCAAATATCATTTCATACAAGTCAAAGAAACACAATTTAATATAGTTATAAAGTAAATCCTCTCTTTTATTATGCAAAATCAATTCCTTCCTTCTACAAAGCTAAGCTCTAATTCAATTATTTTGGTGCAAAATCCAACCCTCTTCAAATTCAGTTATCAAAGAAAAAGAAATAATACTATTTTAAAACTCACCAATTTGACCTACAAATTCAATTCTAATTCCTTGGTGTTCTAGCCTCTTTCCAGGTTGCTTAAAGGCTAGGTTTACCTGCCAAAACATGAAATTATAAGAGATGTTAACAATCCTATGAGTGGGCCTACTAGTAGCTTCCTTTCAGATGAATGCAATATATAAATATTTCAGGTATTCATTTATGAAGTTTGAGACACCACCACATACCTAAATCAGGATGATGTTATAGCACCAGAGAAGGTGTAATTTAGTTATACACAATCATGGGTGAACCTCTTATTTACATCAACATAAAGTCTGCTTTGTTAAGAAGGAATCCTTAATAGGTGGAGAACTATAAAAAGACTCAAAGAAAGGAACAGCCTTCAACTATCCATATTTGTTTTCTGGTCAAACAGTTAATTCTATGACTAATAAAAGCATTTTAATGTGAGGTAATTACTAATTTCAAGAACTGACCTAAAAACAGATGCAATTCCAGGACATTTAAATCAAGCAAGACTAACATCCACACAACTAGGACTATATTATGGACAATGCTCAGAAATTTGTCGGTCAAATCATAGCTTCATACTTATTGTAATTGAGGTATCACTTTCAGTTTTCTGTAACCAATATATTATTATAATTCCTAACCTTAAAAGCAGTGCCTTTTGTCCTAAGTCTGCTACCCACCATAAAAACAGAATGCCTAAAGATTTAAATTCAAGTATGATTTATCTTACATACTTTTTTTTTTTTCCAGAAAGGACTCTGTTGCTTAGGCTGGAGTGCAGTGGCACAATCATAGCTTACTGCAGCCTCAACCTCTTGGGCTCAAATGATCCTCCTCCCTCAGCCTCCCAAAGTGCTAGAAGTACAGGCATGAGCTACTGCACCTGGCCATTATCTTACATACTTTTGGAGTAAAATATATAATCTCAAAATCCCTAAACTCATATATCTGCCAAGTGGAAATCTTAAAAAAAAAATATATATATGTGCACGCACGTGCGCGTGCGCGCACACACACACATATTTTAAGAGACAGAGTCTCACTCTGTCACCCAGGCTGGAGTACAGTGCATGATTATTGCTCACTACAGCTTTGAACCCCTAGGGTTAAGTGATCCTCCTGCCTCAGCCTCCAAATAGCTGGGACTATAGGGATGCATAACTACACCAAGCTAATTAAAAAAATTTTTTTTGTAGAGATGAGGTCTCACTATATTGCCCAAGCTGGTCTCAAACTCCTGGCCTCAAGCAGTTCTGCCACATTGGACTCCCAAAGTGCTGGGCTTACAGGCATGAGCCACTGTACTGGCCACAAACTCATCTTTAAGATCTATATAGAATTCCTTTTTTTTGTTTTAGACGGAGTTTCGCTCTTGTTGCCCAGGCTAGAGTGCAGTGGCAAGATCTTGGCTCACTTCAACCTCCATCTCCCAAGTTCAAGCAATTCTCCTGCCTCAGCCTCCCAAGTAGCTGGGATTACAGGCATGTGCCACCACGCCCAGCTAATTTTGTATTTTTGGTGGAGATGGGGTTTCATTATGTTGCTCAGGCTGGTCTCAAACTCCTGACCTCAGGTGATCCACCCACCTCGGCCTCCCAAAGTGCTGGGATTACAGGCATGAGTCATCACGCCCAGCCAGATCTACAAAGAATTCTATTGTTTGGCTACACCACCATTTACCTGCTGAATCCCCTGTATGGTCATATAGGTTGTTTCTCAATTGTCTTTCTTGATAACACTCTTCTTCTCTAAGTATTACCTGAGACAGTCAAGGATACAACTTCACATTGCTTGGCATGGGAGTCAGGGCTCCGTTCAAGTACCATTAGTTCACTGTGAGATGACCAGGGTCTAGACTTGAAGCCAGCCTGCTCCTATGATGGGTGTTTCTCTGCATGTGTTTACAATCCTACCGGGTTCCCCTTCTCTAAGATTCTGATTGTATTTTGTATATTCATTTATTCACTTGTTCACTGAATGTACCCAGCCCTGTGCTGGCTACTATTGAAAGATGTATGTAGTCTGAGAATATCATCTTACCCTCAAAGAACAGAGAAATCAGAAAAAGGAAAGAGAAAGCAGAGAATCAGGTGGAGTCTCAATATATTGCCCAGGCTGGTCTCGAACACCTGGCCTCAAGCAATCCTCCTGCCTCAAGTGACCATACCCAGCCAAATTTATAACTTTTTAATTTGAGAAAGATATCTGTGAACTATGTATGTTAGAAATAAAATTCCAAGCTAGGCGTGGTGGCTCATGCCTATAATTTCAGCACTTTGGGAGGCAGAGGCAGGAAGGCTGCTTAATTAAGGTCAGGAGTTCAAGACGAGCTTGGACAATATAGCAAGGCTCCGTCTCTACTAAAAAAAAAAAAAAAAATTAGCTGGGTATTGGGGCGTGTGTGCCTGTAGTCCCAGCTACTAGGGAGACTGTGGCAGGAGGAGCCTTTGACCCTAGGAGGTCGAAGGTGCAATGAGCTAAGATTACACCACTGCACTCCAGCCTGGACAACAGGGCAAGACCTTGTCTCAGACAAAAAAAAGGCAGGGCACAGTGGCTCATGCCTGTAATCTTAGCACTTTGGGAGGCCGAGGACAGTGGATTACTTGAGATGAGGAGTTCCAGACCAGCCTGGCCAACATGGTGAAACCTCGTCTCTACTAAAAATACGAAAATTAGCTGGACGTGGTGGCACATGCCTGTAATCCCAGCTACTTGGGAGGCTAAGGCAAGAGAATCACTTGAACCCGGGGGGCGGAGGTTGCAGTGAACCACTGCACTCCAGCCTGGGCAACAGAGCAAGACTCTATCTCCCCCTGTACCCGCCAACCGAAAAAAAAAAAAACAACTTAACATTTAAGAATTAGGTAGGATCCTTTTTCATACAAAAAAGCATACTTCCAGGTTTCTTTTTTTTTTTTTGAGACAGAGCCTCGCTCTGTCGCCCAGGCTGGAGTGCAGTGGCACGATCTTGGCTCACTGCAAGCTCTGCCTTCCAGGTTCATGCCATTCTCCTGCCTCAGCCTCCTGGGTGGCTGGGACTACAGGCGCCCGCCACCATGCCCGGCTAATTTTTTTGTATTTTTAGTACAGACGGGGTTTCACCATGTTAGCCAGGATGGTCTTGATCTCCTGACCTCGTGATCCACCCGCCTCGGCCTCCCAAAGTGCTGGGATTACAGGCATGAGCCACTGTGCCCCGCCGTTTTTTACTATAACAAATGCTGGTAATGTAACTTTTAAAAGCTTTTCTTACAAATAATGTTTCTCAAAAGATAACAGAAATCAAGGAACAAGAAAAAGAGGTCCAATTACTTCTGTTTGTAAACTGCATAGATTAAAATATTCATCTTCTGTATCTTCCCTATCTTATAACCAATATAAGTTAGTTACTTGCCTTCAAAATAACTCAGAAAAAAGTAAATTGTGATACACCATATGATGGAATATTATTAAAAGTTTAAAAACAATAATGATAAAGAATTTTTAATGATGTGGGTAGATATGCATGATGTGTTACGTGAATAAAGCATGGTTAAATTGTATACAAGTATATGCCGATTATATTTTTTGAAACTACAGAAAGAGAATACTCTTAACAGCAGTTACTTCTGAAATGAATGATTATTGATTATGGGTAATTGTTTCCTTCTCTGGTTTTTAAGTTTTTGTTTTGTTTTTTGTAGACAGGGTCTTGCTGTGTCACCCAGGCTGGAGCGCAGTGGCACCATCATGACTCACTGCAGCCTCAATCTGCCAGGCTCAAGTGATTCTCCCACCTCAGCCTCCCAAATAGCTGAAATTACAGGCACATGCCACCATGCCTGGCTAATTTTTTTTATACAGGGTCTTACTATGTTGCCCAGGCCTCTTTAAAAAAAAAGGCAAAAAATACTATTAAAGTCAGAAAAATATTTAAGAAAGAAAAGTAGTACTTAAACAGGCTTAACATTAAAAATTTTATATTTGAACCACAAATAATAAAACAAGCATAATCCCAGCTATTTCAAAAGCCATGCAGTAATTTGAACTATAATCTCTACCAACAAAGCATATAGAAAAAAATTATATTTTTGAAAATACCTATATGGCAGCAGTTTTTAAGAATGATTTTATTTGAACATGGCTTTGTCTGATATTTTTAAAACTTACAGTTCTTCAAAAACCATCATGAAACCACACTATTAAAGTACAAATGCAAAGTTTTTCAGTCTTCCTACCAAACTGCAAACTCTGAAATTTTCCTTGATCTCCCACTGATGTTAAAACACAGTTGCTTTTAAGCCTTATTGTAGGCTCTTCTGCAATATGAAGAATCCCAGAATTTGAAGGCATAATTAAGCATTTTGGTTTAAAAGCTATTCTGCAAGGAAGCACAGAAAAGTAAACTAACTATGCTGGTGAGCTGGGTCAAGAATTTTTTTTTTTTTTTTTTTTTTTGAGACGGAGTCTCGCCCTGTAGCCCAGGCTGGAATGCATTGGTGTGGTCTCGGCTCACTGCAACCTCTGCCTCCCCAGTTCAAGTGATTCTCCTGCCTCAGCCTCCTGAGTAGCTGGGATTACAGGCAACTGCCACCACACACCCGGCTAATTGTGTGTGTGTGTGTGTTTTTTTTTTTTTTTTTTTGACATGGAGTCTCACTCTGTTGCCCAGGCTGGAGTGCAGTGGCCTGATCTCAGCTCACTGCAAGCTCTGCCTCCTGGGTTCACACCGTTCTCCTGACTCAGCCTCCCGAGTAGCTGGGACTACAAGTGCCCGCCACCATGCCCGGATAATTTTTTGTATTTTTAGTAGAGACGGGGTTTCACCATGTTAGCCAGAATGGTCTCCATCTCCTGACCTCTTGATCTGCCTGCCTCGGCCTCCCAAAGTGCTGGGATTACAGGTGTGTGCCACCACGCCCAACCTATGTCAAGAGTCTTAATACCAATTCAGTTATACTTTTCTAACTTCTTATTATAATTCAAAAACTTGCAAAAAACTTGCAAGAATAGCACAAGGAAATCTCACATAACCTTTACCCAGATTCAGCACAAGTTTTATATTCTGCCCCATCTGCTTTATCATCATCTCTCTACATATATATGGGCATGCATATATATACTTTTTTCCACAACAAAGAGTAAGTTGGAGACATGATGCTCCATTACCCCTAAACATTTCATATGTATTTCCTAAGAAAACAGACATTCTCTGCCGGGCGCGGTGGCTCACGCCTGTAATCCCAGCACTTTGGGAGGCCAGGGCAGGCAGATCATGAGGTCAGGAGATCTAGACCATCCTGGGTAACATGGTGAAACCCCGTCTCTACTAAAAATACAAAAAATTAGCCGGGTGTGGTGGCAGGCGCCTGTAGTCCCAGCTACTCAGGAGGCCGAGGCAGGAGAATGGTGTGAAACCCAGGAGGTGGAGCTTGCAGTGAGCCGAGATCGTGCTACTGCACTCCAGCCTGAGGGACACTCCATCTCAAAAAAGAAAAGAAAATTCGCATTCTCTTACATAATCACAGTGCAATTATCAAAATCAGGAAAGTTGGGCCGGGCGCAGTGGCCCACGCCTGTAATCCCAGCACTTTGGGAGGCTGAGGTGAGCGGACCGCTTCAGGTCAGGAGTTCGAGACCAGCCTGACCAACATGGTGAAACCCCGTTTTCTACAAAAAAATACAAAAATTAGCCAGGTGTGATGGTGCATGCCTCTAGTCCCAGCAAATTGGGAGGCTGAGGTGGGAGTATCACTAGAACCCGGGAGGCACAGTTTGCAGAGAGCCACTGCACTCCAGCCTGGATGACAGAGTAAGACTCAGTCTCAAATAAAAAATAAATAAAAATAAAATAAAATAAATGAGGGCCAGGTGCAGTAGCTCACGCCTGTAATCCCAGCACTTTGGGAGGCCAAGGCAGGTGGATCACTTGAGGTCAGGAGTTAAGAGACCAGCCTGGCCCACATGGTGAAACCCTATTTCTACTAAAAATACAAAAATTAGTAGGGCGTGATGGCACGCGCCTGTTCCAGCTACTCAGGAAGCTGAGGCTAGAGAATCACTTCAACCTGGGAGGCAGAGGCTGCAGTGAGCTGAGATCATGCCACTGCACTCCAGCCTGGGTGACAGACGAAGACTCCATCTCAAAAAAAAAAAAAAAAAAAAAAAAAAAAAACAAAAAACACCAAGAAAGTTAACATTCCATGGTCTATATTCAAATTCTATCAATTGTTCCAATAGGGACAGGCACAGTGGCTCAGACCTGTACTCCTGGCACTTTGGGAGGCTGAGGTGTGAGGATCACTTGAGCTCAGTAGTTTGTGGCTACAGTGAGCCATTATCACACCACTGCACTCCATGCTGGGCGACAGGAGACACTGTCTTAAAAAAAAATTTTAAATGTGTTCCAATAATGTACTTTATAGTCTTTTCCTCTCCAGTCCAGGATTACATATCTCTTTAGTATCCTTTTTAATCTAGAACATTCCTCAATCATCATCTTTCTTGACCCTGACTTATTTAAAAATACAGGACAGTTTATAGACTGTACCTCAATTTGGTGTGTCTGATGTTTCATCACAGTTAGACTCAGCTTACACACTTTTGGAAAAAAGACCACAAAAGTGTAGTTGTATCTATTTCAATGCATCATATTAGGAAGCATACAATGCCAGTTTGTCCCAATACTGATTGATGTTAATTTTGGTCACTTGGTTAATCTACCAAGTTTCTCTAATTTAAAGTTATTATTCTCCCCTTTGCTATTAATGAATAATTTGTGTGCAGATACTTGAGACTACATAGGTTTAAAATGAACGTAAAAAAAAACAGATCTACATACAAAACATACTCTTGGCTGGGCGCGGTGGCTCACACTGGTAATCCCAGCACTTTGGGAGGCTGAGGCAGGCAGATCAAGAGGTCAGGAGATGGAGACCATCCTGGCTAACACGGTGAAACCCCATCTCTACTAAAAATACAAAACAATTAGCTGGGCGTGGTGGCGGGCACCTGTAGTCCCAGCTACTCGGGAGGCTGAGGCAGGAGAATGGAGTGAACCTGGGAGGCAGAGCTTGCAGTGAGCTGAGATCGTGCCACTGCACTCCAGCGTAGGCAACAGAGTGAGACTCCGTCTCAAAAAAAAAAAAAAAAAAATACTCTCTGCTCCAACAAATGAGTCTCAAAGCTCATGCCTCAGTATACAATATTCTAGAGATGTCTCGAATAATGCTATCTTCAGAATTTATTTAAGGAGTTACATTATTCTACACTGTTTAAGACAAACATATACTATCAATGTACCACACACCATTTATACACTCATTTTAAAATCAGACACCAAATTATCTGTATATTATTGTTGCTGGATATTGTGATTATCCAAAATTAGTTTCCAACTGCTGCCAGTGGAAATCCAAGATTAGTTTGCAACTGCTGTCATAGTCCATATGCATATTGATGAAAGATGCCACAAAAATATTCCTTGCTTAAAGAACTAAACTATAAACTACTATAATCTTGGACTAAACAAAAGTCAACCCCTGTGTTGACTTTTGCAACAGGGAATAGATCCAGAGTTCACTCTAAGTGGCTTGTCAATAGTAGTACCACCTCAAGCCATTTTACTTGCCACAGATTCAATTTCTAAAAAAGAAATAAAAATGTCTTACAAATGAAAGTAGAGAACAGTGAAAATTGACTTCTAAAATAATATCTCACTTTGAAATAATTACCAACTATCTTAATTACTAAATATCTCTTTACCTTAAATAGATACAATAAGAGGTTCTTTTATTCTCTGCCTGTTGTGACAGTAGCTATTTCATATTTATAAAAAAAAAATTCTCAGCAATACCTAAAGAGTTTGACAAAGTTTTCATATGAAAACACAATACAGGGGCTGGGCACGGTGGCTCATGCCTGTAATCCCAGCACTGTGGGAGGCCGAGGCATGCTAATCTCGAGTCCAGTAGTTCGAGATCAGCTGGGGCACAATGGCGAAATCCTGTCTCTACAAAAAAATATAAAAATTAGGTGGGCATGGTGGCACATGCCTGTGGTCCAAGCTACTCAGGAAGGTGAGGTGGGAGGATCACTTGAGCCCAGAAGGTGGAGGTTGCAGTGAGCCGAGATTGTGCCACTGCACTCCAGCCTGGCGACAGAGCAGGACTCTGTCAAAAAATAAAAATAAAAAATAAAAAATAAAATGCCACAGAGGTGCCAAAACAATTCAATGGGGAAGGAATATTCTTTTCAGCAAATAGTGCTGAAACAACTGGATACTGACATGCAAAAGAATAAAGTTGGACTGCTGCCTCACGCCATCACAAATATTAACTCATTTGGATAAAACACCTACATGTAAAAGCTACAATTAAAAAACTCTTAGAAGAAAACATGGGTGCAAATCTTCATGACCTTTGGATTAGGCAATGATTTCTCAGAAATAATGCCAAAAGCACAAGCAACAAAAGAAAAAAAAATTGATAAATTGGACCTCATCAAAATGTAAAACTTTTGCACTGCAAAAGACACCAAGAAAGTGGAAAGAGAACTCAGAATGGGAGAAAATATTTGCAAAACACATATCTGGACTTGTAACCAGAATATATAAAGAACTCTTACAACTCAACCATAAAAAGAAAAATAACCCAATTAAAAAAATAGTCAAATTTTGAATAGAGTTTTCTCCAAGAAACACAGACATATGGCAATAAGCACATGAAAAGATGTTCAATATTATTACTCACTGGGGAACTGAAAATCAAAATGAGATACCACTTTATACCCACTAAAATACCTATAATAAAAAATAGACATATTAGTAAGTGTTGCCAAGAACATGGAAAAACCAAAACCCTTATATATTGCTGGAGGCAATCTGAAAGGGTGCAGCTGCTTTGGAAAAATTTGGCGGTTCTTCTAAAAATTAAACAGGAAGTTAACATATGACCCAGCAATTCTACTGCTAAGATCCAACAGAAGTTAAAACATATGTTCACACAAAAACCTGTACATGAATGTTCACAGCAGTATTATTCATAATGGTCAAATAGTACCAACCCAAATGTCCTCAACTGATGAATAAACAAAATGTGGTATATCCTTATACCACACGGATATATTAGAATATTATCTGGCACCAAAAACAAACAAAAGAAGAATGATGTTCTCATACATGCAATAACATGGATGAACCCTGAAAACATGCTAAATGAAATAAGTCAGGCACAAAAGGACAAATATTATATGACCACTTATACAAAATATCTAAAATAGGCAAATTCATAGAAACGGACAGTAGATTAGAGGTTACCAGGGGCTGGAAGATGGGGAGTTACCGCTTAATGGGTACAAAGTTTCTATTTGAGGTGATGAAAAAATTTTGGAAATATAGTAGCTATGCTTGCAAAACATTATCAATGGAATTAATTCCACTGAATTATATACTTTAAAACTGTTAAAATGGCAAATTTTATGTAATATATATTTGACCACAATTTTTTTAAAAAAGAATTAAGTGTTGACCAGGCACGGTGGCTCACGCCTATAATTCCAGCACTTTGGGAAACCGAGGTGGGCAGATCATAAGGTCAGAAGTTTGAGACCAGCCTGGCCAACATGGTGAAACCCCGTCTGTACTAAAAATTAGCTGGGCGCGGTGGCAGGCACCTGTAATCCCAGCTACTCGGAAGGCTGAGGCAAGAGAATTGCTTGAACCCAGGAGGCAGAGGTTGCAGTGAGCCCGTATCACACCACTGTACTCCAGCGTGGGTGACAGAGCGAGACTCCATCTCGAATGAATGAATGAATGAATAAGTGATTGAATAAAAATAAAAAGGAATGAAGTATGGGTACATACTACAACACGATGAACCTTGAAAACATTATGCTAGGTAAAAGGAGCCAGACACAAAAGGCCACACAGTATATGCCATTTATATGAAATGTCCAGAATCAATAAATTCAGCAAGAAAGAAAGAAGATTTGTAAATTAGTGGTTCTCATGTAGTGACTGCTAATAATATGGGATTTCTTTTTGGGGTGGTGAAAATGTTCTGGAATTACATTTTGATAATGGTGGCTCAACTCTGCAAATATAGTAAAAATCACTATACACTCTAATAGGTGAATTTTATGGCATGTGAATTATAACTCAATTAGGCTATTTAAAAAAAAAAAAGAAAAGAAAAAAGTACATGCCACAAATAGGCCAACAGAACAGAATAAAATTCTGAACAGGTTCACACAACCTCTGATTTATGACAAAGGTGGTATATTACAGTGCAGCAGGAGAAAGGATGGCTTCTTCAATATACATCCTGGGTTCATTAGCTATCCATACAGAAGAAAAATACATTTGACTCCTGTGTCACACCACAGACTGATTTATGACAAAGGTGGTATGACAGTGCAGTGGAAAAGGATGGCTTTTTCAGTATACATCCTGGGTTCATTAGTATCCATACAGAAGAAGAAAAATAAACTTGACTCCTATGTTACCACCACAGACAAACTGAAAACCAATTCCAAGCAAAACAAGGATCTAAATGTGAAGTATAAAAATAAAATTTAGGCCGGGTGTGGTGGCTCACACCTGTAATCCCTGCACTTTGGGAAGCCAAGGTGTGTGGATCACCTGAGGTCATGAGTTCGTGACCAGCCTGGCCAATATGGTGAAACCCAGTTTCTACTAAAAATATAAAAATTAGTCAGGTGTGGTCGTGGGTGCCTGTAATCCAGCTACTCAGGAGGCTGAGGCAGGAGAAAAGCTTGAACCCGGGACGCGGAGGTTTCAGTGAGCCAAGATGGCGCCACTGCACTCCAGCCTGGGCAACAAGAGCGAAACTCTGTCTCAAAAATAAATTAATTAATTAATTTAATTAAATAACATTTATAGGAGGAAAAAAAACAGGAGAATATCTTTGTGCCCAAGGGGTAGGCAAAGATTTTTTAAACTAGATATGAAAAGCATAAACAAAAAGGAAACATTATGTATCTAGTGTATTAAAATTAAGAACTGTTTATCATAAGACACCATTAAGAGACTACAAAGTCAAGCCAGAAATTAGGAGAAGATATTTATGATACATACATAGACAAAGGACTCCATATCTAGATATATAAAACACCTTTATCAAGAACATACAAAAAATCCTACACATCAATAAGAGAAAAAGAGTCAACTAGATAGAAAAATGAGCAAAACTTGGAACCAACCAAGATAGTAGGTAAACGGATAAACAAACATTGGTACATCCATACAATGGAATATGATTTGGCACTAAAAATAAATGAGCAATCAAGTCACAAAGATATATGGAGAAACCTTAAAAGAATATTGCTAAATGAAATAAACCAATCTAAAAAGGCTACATTCTATATGATTCCAACTACATGACATTCTAGAAAAGACAAAATTATAGACAGTAAAAAGATGAGTAGTTGCCGAAGACTGTGTGGATGGTGGTGGTAGCGCAGGTGCCAGAGCGGCATGACTAGGTGAATGAAACACAGGGAATTTTTAGGGTGGTTAAACTATTCTATATGATATCACAATGATGGATACATGACATTATGCATTTATCAAAACCCAGAAAATGTACAACAGAGTAAACCCTAATGTAAACTATGGACTTTAGTTAATAATAATGTGGTAATAATGGTTCAACAATTTTAACAAATGTATCACTCTAATGCAAGATTAGTAACAGTGAATCCATGTGGGGCTGGGGTGAGGAAGAAGGGAGTACACAGAACTCTACTTTCTGCTCAATTTTTCTGAAAATCTAGAATTGCTCTTAAAAGAGCTCTTGAGTATGTATCTAGGAGTAGAACTGCTGGATACAGATAATGCAAACCAGTTTTCTATATAGTTATGTAAGAATCTGAGGCTGGACACAGTGCCTCACACCTGTCATTCCAGCACTTTGGAAGGCAGAGGCAGGAGGATCACTTGAGCCCAGAAGTTTGAGATTAGCCTGGGAAACATGGGGAGACCCCAACTCTACAAAAATAGTAAAATATTAGCTGAGCATGGTGGTGTGTGCCTGTTGTCTGAGCTACTTGGGAGGCTGAGGTGAGAGGATCGCCTGAGCTTGAGAGGTCAAGGCTACAATGAGCCATGACCACATCACTACACTCCAGCCTGGGTGACACAGCAAGACCCTGTCTCAAAAAAATTAAATTTAATTTGAAAACTAAAAGAAAGCAATCTGGGTGATAAAGACTCAAAACCCAGGGTTCTTGAACAATAACTAAAGGAAATAGCATATTTAGCTTAGAGAAGACAGGATAAACAAGACAGTGATGTGGAAAATGCTTAGAGAGAACTCTTACTTAGAAAAGGATTAGATTTATTTTGCGTATCTCTAAAAAGCAGAGTGGATACTGTTAACAGAACAGCAGAATCCCCACACTCTGAAAAGTAGGCATACAGAAACTCACGTCAGGAATATTAAAAAGGAATTTATTCTTGCTGTGGGCGAGATGTCAGACCTCCAAGATCCAACATAATATCTAATATATGAAAGATTTTCATGCAGAGCATCCTACAGTGCAAAGCCAAGTTTGGAAACCAATGAGGCAGTCTAACCTCCTAAACTTATAGGTGAGATCCAGGAAATTAAATGACTGTCCAGAGTTACCTACCAAGACAGCGGTAAAGTTAAGGCTAGATCTTCCAGTGCTAGCCCAGTGATCTTTTTATTACACCAGGACATTTCACAAACCCTAGATTGGTGTGGCAAGATTTGTTCTTAGTGACACATGCTTGGTCGTAAACAACCCGTTGTTTCCTCCTCTTTTTCCTTTAAGCTTTCTTTTCAGCATGTTCACTGATCACCTATTTAATAATCTAAAGATATGTCAGGAACCAATATTAAGTTTACCTGAAACAAACTTTCTACCCCATTTTATAAATAAGGGCTTTTCTTATATTCTAGAACCTCTCTCATTTTCCACAATTACTAAAGGACTCCTAGCAGAGATTTGGTGACCAGTTCTGCAAAATTCTTTCAGTATTATCGCATAGCATTTGTCTGGTATGGTCACCAGGATGTTTGAAAACTAGTTAGTTTATTTTTAATCTTCTTAACCATAACAAAGCTTTCATTCTGTTTTAATTTTTAATGATCCTACCTTTCCCAATTTAAATCTTTTTTTTTTTTTTGAATAGTGGGGGGAAAGCTTTCTTTTGCATTTGTTATATTAAAATAAGTGTGCCAAATGAGCATATTATTTTCTTATTCATCTTATTCTAAATATGAGGTTTAAAATGTCTTTCTTAGCTTTAAAAGCCTCAAGCTCGTTGTCAAGATAGTCTTTCTGAGGTTATTACAAATCTATACCACTTTTTTCATTTTCTTTAGTTATCCTAATTTTACTGAACACAAGATAATCTTTCAAATAATCCTTGGCCAGGCACAGTGGCTCATGCCTATAATCCCAGCACTTTGGGAGGTCAAGGTTGGGGAATCACTTGAGTCCAGGAGTTTGAGACCAGACTGGGCAACACAACAAGACCCTATCTATAAAAAAAAAAAATTTTTTTAATTAGCCAGGCAGGGTGGTTCATATGTCTGCGGTCCCAGCTACTTGGGAGGCTGAGGTAGGAGGATTACTTGGGCCCCCAGGGGGATGAGGCTGCAGTGAGCCGTAATCATGACACTACACTCAGCCTGGGCAACACAGTGAGACCCCACCTCAAAAAAAAAAAAAAAAAAAAAGGCCTGGTATGGTGGCTCACGCCTATAATCCCAGCACTTTGGGAGGCTGAGGCAGGCAGATCATGAGGTCAAGAGATTGAGACCATCCTGGCCAACATGGTGAAACCCCGTCTCTACTAAAAATACAAAAAATTAGCCGGGCGTGGTGGCATGCGCCTGTAATCCCAGCTACTCGGGAGGCTGAGGCAGGAGAATCACTTGAACCCGGGAGGCAGAGGTTGCAGTGAGCCAAGATCGCGCCACGGCACTCCAGGCTGGCAACAGAGCAAGACTGCATCTCAAAAAAAAAAGAGGAATCATTGTATCATTATGAAGAACTTCAGAAGGAATACCTGGGTCATGGTGAGTACTCAGTAAATATTGTTATTATAGCAAACCTCTTTTCATGTGAATGAATACAGATCAATATAATCACATTAATAATGGCCCTAAGCACTTAATGGTTATTACCATAATTAGGTTTTTTAATGTCTGGACATTTAAGTGGCTTTCAATTTTTGAATATTATAAACAGTGAAATGAACAAAGTTGATTATTTTAGGATAAAATCTGATCAGAAGAATCTGTGGATCAAAATAATATTAATCAATACAGGCACTGCTCAAATATTTCCAGCTGCATACATTCTGAGTGCATGGTATGATTGTATTCCCTACCCTCTTGTGGCTGGGTGAGGTACGAACAAGACTGTTTCTAGAGACAATAAATTTGATCAGAAATGCTCTTTGTTACTTCTAGGATGGGGCATTTTAATGGCTTGTGAAAGACTCTGCAGAGATTTCTCTCCCTCAGCCATGATGAGTGTGATGTTCCTGGCTGCTCCATCACTGAGCATGGCACAGAATAAGGCCCTCAGCTAACTCACAAGGAACATGTTGCCTGGGCAAGAAAGAAGCCACTGCCACTGTTGTTTTTAAGTCACTGAGTTTTGGGGTTGTCTCTTACATAGTAATAATCCAGACTATTCTGGCTACTATAAATGATATCCACTTTTGAAGATTTTGATACATATTGCTAAACTGCCAGAATGGTTACACATGGCCTTTTAGAATCTCAGATCAATTTCTGGGAAGATGGCAACATAGTCTTTGAATCTCCCCAGATCGTCACATAAAAACAGATGGACCAACTAGACAGCAAAACCAAAAAAATCTAAGGATCCAATTTACCACAGAAAAAGATAAAGTATTCCCACAATCCCAAAACATAATGCGTAGGGACAAACCAGGTTAATAGCCACAAAACCTGCATGATACTAGGGTTGTGCAGGAGGAATCAAAGAATGCAATGGAGTGTCTGATGGACCTAAGAACTCCCAAATTACTCATATATATTCACTGGAAAGCATGGTGTCAATCTGAGAATAAGAGCTAACGCTGGAAGGAGTTTTGCACAATCCAATAATATTAGAACACTCAAAACTGACCAGTCAGGCCTGCTGTCTAGGATAGGTGGTTAGAAAAACTATCCTAAACCAAACCATCAAAAGTTCAGGAAGGGCCAGGCACAGTGGTTCACACCTGTAATCCCAGCACTTTGGGAGGCTGAGACAGGTGGATCGCCTGAGCTCAGGAGCTCGAAACCAGCCTGGGCAACACGGTGAAACCCCGTATCTACCCCAAAATACCAAAAATAATAATAATAATAATTGGGCGTGGTAGTGTGCCCTGTGGTCCTAGCTGCTCAGGAGGCAGAGATGGGAAGATCGCTTTAGCCTGGGAGACGGAGGTTGCAGTGAGCTGAAATCGTGCCACTGCACTCCAACATGGGTGACAGAGTGAGACTCTATCACGAAAAGACAAAAAGTTCAGGAGAAGGTCGGGTGCAGTGGCTCACATCTCAGCACTTTGGGAGGCCAGGATGGGAGGATCACTTGAGCTCAGGAGTTTGAGACCAGCCTGAGCAACATAGCAAGACCCTGTCTCTACAAAAAATATATATTTTTTAATTAGCTAGGCACAGTGGCACATGCCTGTGGTCCCAGCTACTCGGAAGGCTGAGGTAGGAGGATCGCTTGGGCCTTGGAGGTCAAGGCTGCAGTGAGCCATAGTCATGCCACTGCATTCCAGCCTGGGCAACAGAGCAAGATCTTATCTCAAAAAAAAAAAACATTGGGGAAAACTAATTTCACATAAAAATTAGCAACATAAATATATCAAGGTCAAATCCCATACAAAGTTATTTTAAGAAAAAAAGAGAAGGAACAGAATGGCATTTCTACAGACAAGATAGATCAAAACTGTAATTTATTTCAAAACAGGCTATACGATATTAAGAAAATGATACAATACATGAAAGAAAATCTTAAGCTAGGGTGAGAAAAATCAGAAAAGAATTAGAAATAGAAGTAAAAATCATTTTAGAAATAAAGGATAAGCAGAAGGAATACAAGAGCAAAAAACCACACTCAAACAAGACTCAAAAATACTGATATCAAGAAGAAAACCAAAGCAAAGGAATGGAATAAATACTAATTAATAATGGCTGTAATTCAAGAAAACTTTCCTCAAATGAAAAAACTGTTAACAATACCCTATGCCAGAAGACAATGCAGTAATAATAGATTTAAAACACTCAAGAAGGCCGGGCACGATGGATCATATCTGTAATCCCAGCACTTTGGGAGGCCAAGGCAGGCGGATCACAAGGTCAGGAGTTTGAGACCAGCCTGGCCAATATGGTGAAACCCCATCTCTACTAAAAATTTAAAAACTAGCCAGACATGGTGGTGGGCACCTGTAGTCCCAGCTACTTGGGAGGCTGAGGCAGGAGAATCGCTTGAACCTAGGAGGCAGAGGTTGCAGTGAGCCGAGATTATGCCACCGCACTCCAGCCTGGGTGACAGAGCAAGACTCCATCTCAAAAATAATAAATAAATAGAAAATAAATAAAATAACTCAAAAAAATGTAAGCCAAGATTATTCAGAAAAACTAACTTTTAAGTGTAAAGGACACAAAAAAGCCATTACCAATATGCAAAAACTTAGGCCTTATTGTTCCCATGAGCATTTCCTGAGGAATCTATTAGACTCTAGTAACTAGAGAATAAGCTTCAGACAATGAAACAAATAAAGAGACAAAGATATAAGGACTGGTGGTGCACACTATATGAACAGTTATTTATAAAACCAAGACTAAGTGAGGGCGAAAGGAAGCACATAAAGTATATAATTACTATACACTCTGACAATGTACTTACTATGGTACATTTAAGAAATGTGAGTAAAACAAATAGCAAATGCTAAATTTTTTTTAACTAACTTCATAATCATATTGATAGTGGTAATGTTAGTATTGTTATTCTGAGACTATTATGTATATAATGTGGGGTAAAGATATTGAGTAAATTATGGGATATGCTAATTACATCTTCCTTTGACTCTGAAAATCAGTATTCTTGATGCAGAAGAAAGGAGATATACATGTAACATAAGAGGTTAAGTAAAAACTTCTAATTTTCAAATTGAATTGGAAATGACAATATGATTCCTGAAGTATTTTATCTTAAACAATATACACAAATAAAAATAAATTTATTAAATCTATATTTAAAAACTCTCCCCATCTATCCACTGAGCAGCCTAGAAATAATGTCCAACACTGTAGCAATGAGCAATCTTTGCATGCAACTATGGCCTTGAAAGATACGGCTGAGTGCAGGTATGAAGCAGAAACACAAAAGACCCTTAAACATCTTGTCATACCAGTTAGCAAGAAAGCCACCAAAAACTCCTAAGGTCTTTGGCAGTTTATTAAAAACTTAAACATATTTAACATAAGGCAGCAATTCCACTCCCAGGTACATGCTCAAGAGAAAGGAAAATATAGGTCCACACAAAACTGCTACACAAATGTTCACATCAGCATTAGTCACAACAGCAAAAAAGTAGAAACATCCCAAATACCCACCAACTGGTGAATGCATAAACAAGAATGTGGTATAGCCATAAAATGGAATACTATTCATCAATAAAAAACAATGATATACTAATAACAAATGCTACAATATTGATGAATCTCAAATACATTATACTAAGTGAAAGAAACAAAATAGGAAAAGACCACACATTGTATAATTCCATTTATATGAAATGTCCAGAATAGGCAAATTCATAGAAACAGAGATCAGGGGTTGTCAGAGACTGGAAGGAGGGGAAATGGAGAATGACTGCTAATGGTACAGCATTTTTAAAAATTTCTGGAGTAATGAAAATGTTCTGGAATTAGTGGTGATAGTTGTACAACTCTAAATTTACTAAAAATTTTAAGCACACTTAAAATGGGTGAATTTTTATGGCGAATATATATATATATATATATCTCAATACAGCTTAAAAAAAGAAAAATCCTAGGGCCCCCATGTCCTTTCATAAGAGTCAATACAAATGTGGTAGGCAGAATTCTAAGATAGCCCTCAATATTACTATCCCATGGTGTACACATGTGTATAATCCTCTTGAGTGTGGGTGAGTCCAGTGAATATGATAGGATACCACTCCTGTGATCAGGTTACTAATCAGTTGATTTTTTTAGTTAATCAAAAGGGAGGTTATCCTAACTGGAATTGATCAAACCAGGTAAGCTCTTTAAAAGAAGATGAATGTCAGAGTGATGGTCTCCTCCTGGCCTTGAAGACAACGCAAACTGAGAGAAAGGGGCCACTCAGCAAGGATCTGAGGGCAACCTATAGGAACAGACAGCCTACTGCACAAGAAACAAGGGTATCAGTCATAGCACAACAAGGAAATTTCTGCCAAAAACCAGTGAGCCTGGAAGAAAATCCTGAACTTCAGACGAGACTGCAACCTTGGATTGATTTTAACCTGGTAAGTCCCTGAGCATAGGACCCAGCTAACCTCCACCTGGACTTCTAAATCACAAAAATCCTAAGACATAAATTTGTTATTTTAGGTTGCTAAGTTTGTGGTAATTTGTTACAGAGGATTATACAACTAGAGCTTCAATAGGGCAATATTTATAAACATCAAGTATGTTTAAATCATGAGTTTATATAAGTTATTGAGAAATAAAACTAGTAGTTTACACCTTTGGAAGATAAGGAACCAAGTTATTATTTTTTAAAACACGCCAAAGGCCAGGCACGGTGGCTCACGCCTGTAATCCCAGCACTTTGGGAGGCTGAGGCGGGCGGATCACAAGGTTAGGAGTTCGAGACCAGCCTGACCAACATGGTGAAACGCCATCTCTACTAAAAATACAAAAATTAGCTGGGCATGGTGGCACGTGCCTGTAATCCCAGCTACTCGGGAGGCTGAGGCAGGAGAATCACTTGAATCCGGGAGGTGGAGGCTGCAGTGAGCCGAGATCACGCCATCGCACTCCAGCCTGGGCAACAGAGCGAGACTCCATCTCAAAATAAATAAATAAATAAATAAATAACAAAACAGGCCAAAAAAGGAAAAAGGTCAAGCATTCTTTTTTCTATATGAGCTGTACCACTAGGTCACAAGATATAGATAACGTCTCTTTGTAAATGTATTCCATTTCATAAGTAAAAACAAAATGACAGAATTTAAAGTATCACCATTCTGCAACTCCCAATGAGTTAAATCAATCTAGGTACTGAGTATCAACAGTTGCAAAAAAGAAAAAAGGCCAGCCATGGTAGCTCACGCCTGTAATCCAGCACTTTGGGAGGCTGAGCTGGGCGGATCACGAGGTCAGAAGTTCGAGACCAGCCTGACCCAACATGGTGAAATCCCGTCTCTGTTAAAAATAAAAATACGAAAATTAGCCGGATGTCGTGGCGCGTGCCTGTAATCCCAGCTACTCAGGAGGCTGAGGCAGGAGAATCACTTGGACCCAGGAAGCGGGAAGTTGCAGGAGCCAAGATCACGCCACTGCACTCCAGCCTGGGGGACAGAGCAAGACTCTGTCTCAAAAAAAAAAAAAGAAAAGAAAAGAAAAATGACAGAGAAAGAAAACCAGACATTTTGCACCTGCAATGGAAAAACACACCACCACCTATATTCTTGCCAGAAGAATCAAACTTGAGTTTGATTCAAGCCTCTGGACCTAGCTGCCAACTGATAGGCAATAACTGTACCAGGAATACACAAACACAGAGAACTCTACAATTCAAATGACCAAGTGTTCTTCAACAGATATTGCAAGTTAAAGAAAGGTATGAAGAGGGAACCTGAGATTAAGAGAGATTTAAAAACCGTACCAAATTTTTCTTAAATGAGCAAGACTAAACAAACACAAGAAAGTACTACTATAAAAGTCAGTACACTGGTTACTTTTGAGGGGATGGGAGTGTGATGGAGACAGGACACATGGGGTAGCTGGCAAAGTACTACTTCTTGACTTGGATGGTGATAATAAGAAAATATGCCTTATAATAATTTATTTTTGTTGTATATGGTTTTCTACACGTGTTTTTTCAATAAAAACATTAAAAATGAAAAAAATCTCAAACCAATAAACAATCAGATTCAAGATATAGTAACTTTTGAACTGAAAATACTTACCTATAAGAGATCTTATCATTTTAAAACATGCTATCCATAGTTGATCAGGTCTACGTATGGTTTCCAGCAATGCCAAAATGTAATTTTTAAAAAAATTATTTACTTAGTGTTAGAGACAGGATCTTGCTACATTGCCCAATCTGGTCTTGAACTCTTGGGCTCAAACAATCCTCCCTCCTCAGCCTCCCAAAGAGCTGGGATTACAGGCATGAGCCACCACACCCAGGATCAAAATGTAATTTGAACACCAACTATTCTTTTTAAAGAACACACTGGAGTAGCTTTACTTTTACTTTAAACACCCCCCTTTTCCTTTATCCCATAAACATCAGCCATGAACTTCAACTGGTCCAGGTGACATAAGATTACTTTAAACTAGACTGAAGATATTCTCTACAAGACTTAAAAACAGTAAATAAACCAAATAAATATTTAGTGAAAGCCTATTATATAATCAACACTATCATGTATTTTATGGAGACTACAGAAGCACACTCTGATCCCCTGAACTTAAGGAGCTTACAAATTAGTAGGAGAGATATTTACATGTCATATCTGTAAAAGAAATACCTGAGATGCTAGGTTCAGTCTCTCCCTAGAAAGAAAGCTAGATTGGTATTCCTATGCCCCCAGCCCATTAACAAGTCATTTCAATAGGCCAAACACTACTACTTTTACTCTTCTTTCATTTGACATGCTCCATCCTTTTGATGATTGTCTGCTCTTCTTTAGGCCTTTTTCTCCATTTTTTTTTTTTAAATAGATACAGGGTCTCCCCATGTTGCCCAAGCTGGTCTTGAATTCCTGGGCTCAAGTGATCCTCCCTCCTCGGCCTCCTAAAGTGATGGGATTAAAGGTGTGAGCCACTGCACTTGGCCTTTTTCTTTTTTCATCTTTTAAAAGGAAGAATAAAAGGGAAGTAAAGTTGAAAACCAAAAAATTCACTTCGGATTCAACACTAAGACCCCAGTAGGTAATCTGGCAAAGGACCAGAAGAGACAATGCAGTACAAAAAAAAAAAATAACCTCACATGGCTGGTAAATCTAAGTTCAATTTATCTAGTAACCAAAGAAATGCAAATTAAAATAATAAGATTGTTTCTGCCTACCAAAATAGCAAAGATTACAAAGTGATCATATTCAATGCTGCCTTGGGTGAAAAAGACCCACAGGTGGACATGTAATTTAATGCAAATACATTTTCCAGATTAATGTGTATTAAGATCCTTCAGATATTTCACGAATTTTGGCCTAGCAGCTCACTTTCAGCAATCTATTCTAAGGAAATAATCTCGTCCTACAGAAATTTAGAGAAAAATTTACGTATACCGATGTCCATATTACCAAAGATATGAAGAAAGCCATCTGAAAAACAGAAACTGCTTAAATATCAAACAATAGAGGAAAAAGTATGCTGAATATATTACATATACATAAATATCAATTAATGCGGAGATTAGAGGAAGCACATCCAAATTTTAACAGTGAATTATTTCTATATGAAGAGATTATATATATTTCCAAAACTGTCTACCACATGAATATATTAACTGAACAAGCAGGGGAGAAAAATCCTAGTATTTTCTATTTTTAAATTATTTCAAATGTTTTGTGGTTTGCTTTTGTCTATGATATTACCATTCTCCACTATCACTGACCACTAATAAGTATTGATCATACTCCCTAAAATATAAGAATAATCAGTCAGGTGTGGTGGCTCAAACCTGTAATCCCAGCACTTTTGTAGGCCTACGTGGGTGGGTTGCTTGAGCCCAGAAGTTCAAGACTAGCCTGGGCAACATGGACAAACCCCATCTCTACAAAAAAATTAAAAAATTAGCTGAAGTGGTGGTGTGTGCCTGTAGTCCCAGCTACCAGAGAGGATGAGGTGGGAGAATCACCTGAGTCCAGGAGTACAAGGCCGCATGCAGTAAGCCATGATCACACCACTGCACTCCAGCTTGAGCAACAGAGTGAGACCCTATTTAAAAAACGAAACAAAACAAAACAAAAAACCCAAAAAACCCAAAACAAAAAACCGTATACATTACCGGATAAAGAAAAGGGGAAAAAAGTGAAACCTTATAGAAGGCGTCATAAACATATCTGACCATGCATAGACACATCCCAAAAGTACTCAAGTCCTCTACAGAGTACCTAGAAATAAGATCAACAGACACAATAGTAGCAGTACAGAGAGGTAAGTTACAAAGAATGTAAAAAAACCTTTAGAAAGTTATACCAGAGAATTACTCTCAATCTCTAACTTAATGTTAAAGGAAAAACAAACTTTGGGTGAATTACAGCTCCGATCTGAAGAAACTGTCTGAAACCAGACAGAAGCACATAATCACAAACAGAAAAAAAAAATATTTTTTTTTTCATGAACCACACAGGAGACTTAAACAGAAAATTTTGCATGAAATTTAGAGGCTCTTCCCTTGAAAGCCTTCCAGGGTAAGAATCTTTCCTTTGCAGGAAAGATTATCTTCTAATCAATCAAATATTTTAGCTGAACTTTAGGGAAAAAAAAATCTCTCTCCCTCATAAAATTATTCAAATTTAAGAAACAGCACAGACCACTTTGATAACTAATTCTGATATCTTACAATTAGATAGTTTTGTCAAACAGAAGATTTACCTTTCCTGAAACGGATTCTCCGTCATAGAAGAGATAGTGTTTTTCTACTTTGCCATCTTCAGTTTTCATTTCTGCCATTTTCCTGGTTTCCCCATCATTAAGAACAATATCGATCTCACAAATTGGACCAAAAAAGCCTCCAAGAAAACTCTGAAATAAAATGAAAATGGTCATAATTATCATGTTTAGTCAGTCACTACATTTTATAATTTGAATTTAATTACCTATGAACTACGGTTAAATAGACTGCAAATCTGTGAGTTCATAAGGAAATGATAAAAACATATATCAAATGCTACATCAAAGGCCGGGCATGGTGTCTCACGCCTGTAAACCCAGCACTTTGGGAGGCTGAGGTGGGCGGATCACCTGAGGTCAGGAGTTCAAGACCAGCCTGACCAATATGATGAAACCCTGTCTCTACTAAAAACACAAAAATTAGCCGGGCGTGGTGGCATGCGCCTGTGATACCAGCTACTCGGGAGGCTGAGACAGGGGAATCACTTGAATCCAGGAGGCAGAAGTTGCAGTGAGCCAAGATCGCGCCATTGCACTCCAGCCTAGGCAACAAGAGCAAAACTCCGTCTCAAAAAAGAAAGAAAGAAAAAAAAAAAAACTACATCAAAACTGAACAACTTAAGTACAATGTTAAGAGGGTAGATTTCATGTTATGTGTTTTTAACCACCAAAAAGACCAAAAAAAAAACCCTAAACAAATTTCAGCATGCTATAATTTCAATCATTTCCATACAAAACCACTATAATCAAATATTAACATATGTCAGAAATCTAAGAAGTTAATTCTTAACAGCTAGGCTTGAAAAATTACCTTTATTTATACTTTTATTTATGAGGTTCTTTTATTATAGCAGAATTTACACAATTCAAAGTACTCACACAAATCCAAATGTACTACTATAATGCACTACTTACTGTAAAATCTACTGCTATATTTGGTCTGAACAGGATATGTTACACTGTGAAAGCCCTTGTAGTAAAACTGGCTATAATGAAGGAAAATAAAATTTCTGTGAATTTTTCCAAAGAAAATCTACAAGCCTTGTTCTATAAATCCTGAATATGACAAATATAAGGGACAAAGATCAATTGCTTATCAATGCCAAAACACATCAGTTGGTAATAATACAGAATCCATTAGCAATTTTGATACTGGATATAGTTATGGATTATTTTAGCCACAATGAAATTTAGTCTTCTAATCTTTTTAAGTTTACACAGAGAACAGTCTCCTATCATGTCATCCTACATCCCTTCATATTCTGTCCTACATAACAACCAGAATGATTTTTTTTTTGAGACAGAGTCTTGCTCTGTTGCCCAGGCTGAAGGGCAGTGGTGCAATCTTGGCTCACTACAAGCTCCGCCTCCCGGGTTCACACCATTCTCCTGCCTCAGCCTCCCAAGTAGCTGGAACTACAGCCATCTGCAACCACACCCAGCTAATTTTTGTATTTTTAGTAGAGACAGGGTTTCACTATGTTAGCCAGGACGGTCTCGATCTCCTGACCTCGTGATCCACTCGCCTTGGCCTCCCAAAGTGCTGGGATTACAGGCATGAGCCACCGCGCCCGGCCCAGAATGATCTTTTTTAAAAAAATTTTTGTAGAGACAGGGTCTCACTCTGTTGCCCAGGCTGGTCTCAAACTCCTGGGCTCAAGCAATCCTCCTGCCTCGGCCTCCCAAAGTGTTGGGATTATGGGCGTGAGCCACTGCACCTGGCTCTGAATGATCTTTAAAAAACATATCTGGCTGGGCGCGCTGGCTCACACTTGTAATCCCAGCACTTTCAGAGACCAAGGCAGGCAGATCACTTGAGGTCAGCAGTTCGGGACAAGCCTGGCCAACATGGTGAAGCCCCGTCTTTAATACAAAAATTAGTCGGGCATGGTGGTGCATGCCTGCAGTCCCAGCTACTCGGGAGGCTGAGGCAGGAGAATCACCTGGACCCAGAAGGCAGAGGTTGCAGTGAGCCAAGATCGCACCACTGCGCTCTAGCCCGGGCAACAGAGCAAGAATTTGTCTCCAGAAAAAAAATGTTCACAAGTGTTATTCATAATAGCCCCAAATAGAAACAATCCAAGTATCAATCAACAAGAGAATGGATATATGCAATTTAGTATATATTCATACAAATGGGAACACCAAACAGCAATAGAATTAGAGGAGATACAACTACACACAAGAATGAATCTCATACACATAATGTTGAGTGAAAGAGGCCAGACACAAAAGGAATACACAAAACGTACGTATAACTCCACTCACATAGTAAGCAAAAAACATGTAAGGTACATTATGGTGTTACAGGTCAGGCAGTGACTGAAAGAAAGCACAAAGGGAGCTTCTGGCTGCTAGTAATGTTCTGGCTGTTTTTTTTATAACTGAGCATTTGATACAGAGGTATTTCACTTGGTGAAAATTCATCAAGCTATACACCTATTCGTGTACTTTTTCATAGTTATTTTACTTCAGTTGTGATTTTAAAAACAGACACACACACAATGTATTCTCTAATGTGGTCTACATATATCTGACACTAGTCATCTCTCCAACTACTCAGCCTCCAACGTTCAGAGCTCTTTCTTCAACAGTTCCAATTTGCTAGTGTCCTTCTTGTCTTAGAGCCAAGCAAAGTATTCTTAACCTAATTCACCCTTTGAGTTTCAGTTTGACTCCCTCTCCATGAGACCTTCCTTGACTTCCTAATCAAAACTGGATTCTCCAAATTTAGGTTTCACAAGGCTTACTTAGTACCTGACTCTCCTACTGAACTGTAAACTCCATGAGGCTCATCTAAGGCAGCGTATGGCATTTAGCAGAAGGCATTAAAATACCTATTGAATGTTAATTTTGAACAAACACATACCATTTTAATAACAGAAAATAAACAAATATACAAGAGAAATTAACTGAAATCTGGAATAGTCAATAATATTAGCCTTTCTGAGCAAATTAGCATTGGTATAGTAGCAAACTATATCAATGGAATTTATATTAAACCTCAGTTCTGTCCTCACTTAGGAGAGTCATTAGTTTGCTTTCTGTTAGCTTGCTTTGTGGCTATGTAGGGCACAAGGTGATGCTATACTCAAATGAGATGTTTTCCTAAATCCTGTATTAACAAAAGGGATTATAATTTTAAGCAACCAACTAAAAGAATTACCAGATTAGTACTTTTGACATATGTAGCAAATTTTCTTTTTGGGCCAGGCGCGGTAGCTCACACCTGTAATCCCAGCACTTTGGGAGGCCAAGGTGGGCGAATCACAAGGTCAGGAGTTCGAGACCAGCCTGGCTAACACGGTGAAACCCCGTCTCTACTAAACATACAAAAAATTAACTGGGCGTAGTGGTATGCACCTGAGGCAGGAGAATCACTTGCACCCAGGAGGTGGAGGTTGCAGTGAGCCGAGATCGCGCCACTGCACTCCAGCCCTCGGGACAGAGTGAGACTCTGTTTAAAAAAAAAAAAAATTTTTTTTTCTTTTTGACACGTTTTAATCTTTTCTGGCAAAATTACAAATAACAAACTCGAATTTTAACCAGAAAACTAATTTTAATCAGAAAACTATTCTGAACTAATTTAGAAAAAAGAGAATGAAAATCATCAGTGATAGGTCACACACACTGTCCATTCCTAGGTGGCTTTCGTACTCCAAGTCTTAAACTCAAAATGGTAAATTCTGAAATACTGTAGTACATTTCCTCTAAGGGCTACAGAAATGAGAATGTATAGCAGCTTAAAATCATGCAGCTCACATTTACTAATCGAATATGTGCTGAGCTAGCAGGGTACAGGGGTTGTGTGGGAGGAGCAATCATGAAAGGGTAGAAGACAACATCTTCAAGTAGCAGTCTATTTTAGATGGAAAACAAAATCAGTTATATTGAAGGATAATGCTAATTGGCAGAGAGAGCAATAAGAATGAGCTCTCCTTCCTTATGACATCCACATTTATAACTCATTTGAGTTATAAAACAGAGATAGAAAAATTAAAATTAATTCTTTTTTTTTTTTTTTTTTTTTTTTGAGACAGAGTCTCACTCTGTCACCCAGGCTGGAGTGCAGTGGTATGATCTCAGCTGACTGCAACTTCTGCCTCATGGGCTCAAGCAAGCCTCCCACCTCAAGCCTCCCAAGTAGCTGGGACTACAGGCGTGAGCCACAACACCTGGCTCGTTTTTATATTTTTTGTAGAGACAGGGTTTCTGCCACATTGCCCAGGCCAGGCGCAAACTCCTGGGCTCAAGTGATCCACCCGCCTCAGCCTCCCAAAATGCTGGGATTACAGGCGTGAGCCACCTTGCTTGGCCTTAAAATTAATTTTCTCATTCCTCCTGACACTTCCCAGAGCTACTTAAAAGAAAAATGAGATTTGAAAACTATAAAAATTGTTTTACAGAGAAAAGGAAATATTATAACTTTTTTCCACATGCATATACCTAAACACACAGAGTTCCACTTGGGATTTGAAAGCTGACATTAAAAGATCAAATCGCCAGGCGCGGTGGCTCACGCGTGTAATCCCAGCAGTTTGGGAGGCCGAAGCAGGAGGATCACAAGGTCAGGAGATCGAGACCATCCTGACTAACACGGTGAAACCCCATCTCTACAAAAACAGAACAAATTTGCCAGACGTGGTGGCATGCACTTGTAGTCCCAGCTATGCGGGAGGCTGAGGCAGCAGAATCGCTTGAACCCAGGAGGCAGAAGTTGCAGTGAGCCGAGATCTTGCCACTGCACTCCAGCCTGGGCGACAGAGTGAGATTCTGCCTCAAAAAAAAAAAAAAAAAAATCAAATCCCAAAGTTAAATAAAATTTTGATAGAACTAAAATTGCCACCAATTAAAATGGTATAAACCAAGTTCATTTTATAAAATTTCACAATTAACACCATAATGATAAACAGTGTTTTGACACCATTCCTTAAATATTTAAATTCCTAACCATTAAAAATATGTGAAAAACTACGTGCTATCCTCTATTATTTTCTGGATGCAAGAAATATTTCATAATTTTAAAAAAAGTAGCAGAACACAGTGGCTCACACCTGTAATCCTAGCACTTTGGGAAGCTGAAGCAGGAGGATCACTTGAGCCCAGAAGTTCAAGACCAGCTTCGTCAATACAGCTAGACCCCCATATCTACAAAAATTTAAAAAATTAGCCCAGCATAGTGGTGTGTGCCTGCAGTCCCAGCTACTTGGGAGGCTGAACCCAGGAGGTCGAGGCTGCAGTAAGCCACTGACTGGGCGGCAGAGCAAGAGCTTGTCTCAAAAAAAAAAAAAAAAAAAAAAAAGATATTTTTAAATACAATCAAAACACTAAAATTGGAAGCAATCAAATGGCATTTTTAAAAAGCCTAGTATAGCATATGCAAAAAAGTAATAGGTTGAGTAATAAATTACTGCACTTTAACCAGTTATTCCATGACAATATGGCATTGGGTTAACATTCAGGTTTTTTTTTTTTTTGAGATGGAGTCTCGCTCTTTCGCCCAGGCCGGAGTGCAGTGGCGCTAGCTCGGCTCACTGCAAGCTCCGCCTCCCGGGTTCATGCCATTCTCCTGCCTCAGCCTCCCGAGTAGCTGGGACTACAGGTGCCCGCCACCGCGCCTGGCTAATTTTTCGTATTTTTAGTGGAGACGGGGTTTCACCGTGTTAGCCAGGATGCTCTTGATCTCCTGACCTCGTGATCCGCCCGCCTCGGCCTCCCAAAGTGCACCACGCCCGACCAACATTCAGTTTTTTTACATTAGGGCATATCGAAAATGAACTAGTCAGCCAGGCACAGTGGCTCACACCTGTAATCCCAACACTTTGGGAGGACAAGGCGGGCGGATCACTTGAGGTCAGGAGTTTGAGACCAGTCTGGCCAACATGGCGAAACCCCGTCTCCACTAAAAATACAAAAAAAAAAAAAAAAAAAAAAAATTGGCCGGGTGTGGTGGCGCATTCCTGTAGTCCCAGCTACTCAGGAGGCGGAAGTTGCAGTGAGCCAAGATCGCGCCACTGCACTCCAGCCTGGGCGACAGAGCGAGACTCCGTCTCAAAAAATAATAATAATAATAAAAGAACTAGTCTTACTAAAAAACACCTCCAGAAAATTGTGGATATCTTACATTTTACAGGTAGAGAACAAAAAGAAAAAAATAACTGAGGAAAAAAGCTTGTCTTTTAGAAAGAACTGAAAGAGAAAGATCTCTACCCAAAGTCTCTCTTTCAAAGTTTTTTCTAAGATGTGCAACTTCTGTCATTTGAAATAAAGGGTAATGAAATTAAATTCTTTTTCTAATTATTCTAAATAAAATTCTAATACTTCTGATATGTTAAAGAGGAAGTAAAATACACAACTGTCAAGCTGGTAAAGACTAGAAGGAAAGAGAATAAAATTTGTTGAGGGTTAGGATATGATGCAGACAGCAATTCAGTTTTGAGATTTTTTTTTTTTTTTTTTTTTTTGAGACGGAGTCTCACTCTGTCGCCAGGCTGGAGTACAGCAGCGCGATCTCGGCTCACTGCAACCTCTGCCTCCCGGGTTCAATTGATTCTCCTGCCTCAGCCTCCTGAGTAGCTGGGATTACAGGTGTGCGCCACACCTAATTTTTTTATTTTTAGTTGAGACGGAGTTTCACCATGTTGGTCAGGCAACTTCCGCCTCCCGAGTAGGTGGGACTACAGCAATGCGCCACCACACTTGGCCAATTTTTTTTTGTTTTTGTATTTTTAGTGAAGACGGGGTTTCGCCATGTTGGCCAGGCTGGTCTCAAACTCCCGACTTCAAGGTGATCCGCCCACCTCGGCCTCCCAAATTGTTGGGATTACAGGTGTGAGCCACCGCACCCCGTGAGATCTTTTAAGTGCAAAAATACTACTCACTTCTTTTGGTAAAGATATCTTCAAGGGCGCATTTGGAATATTGCGATTTTCAGGATTAACTATTAATATGCAAGTTAAAACTCTTGAGCTTTTAAATAACTGGACTGCAATATATATGACTATAAAAACATGCTAGCAATTGTTTTTATAGTTTTCTAATCTTGGCCTAAACCTCCTATCACTGACTTTAGGTTAATTTAGGATTTTTCATATAATTTCTGAACCCAATATTGAGCATTACCAATTAGCAAAAATACATGGTAGATACATAAAAAGGCAACTTTTTAGTCCCCACTGAAGGAATTTCACTAAGTCCAGTGGATGTAAAGAAATGCAACTCATTGCATTTCTGAGGTGGAAGGCTGACTCTCAAAATTCATTCACTTAGCCCATACACAAGCAATGAAACAGCAAATTTTCATACATATATTACATCTGTGACCATTTCAGTGTTTTAAAGTTTTACAATTTAGTTTCTGTTTGGGTAACTTGAAAATATAAACTGCTCTTGAACATAATTCAAAAAAGCGTATTAAAAGTAATAATTACAAATGTAAGCAAAAAATAGGAGGACCTTTTAAGTTTTCTTTTCAAATGATATTCAATTAAAGAAGCCTGCCCTAACACTGACTAGGCAAGGTCCCCCAATACTTCCTTCTTAGTATCTGTCACAATTCTAATTTCCACGTTAAACAAATAATTTACACAAATAAATGTTTATCTCTCCCTACATTGTAAGCTACGAGAGCAGGTAGGCGCTGTTTCCATTTTACTGGGGTCCCCTAGGCACACCTGAGCAATTATTTGTTGAATGAAAGAAAAAAAGCTCTAAGAATGAACATGAATGTCTGGATTTTGTTTTGTTTTGTTTTGAAAGCAACATCATTACTGAAATTAAAAGTTATTTATTCAAAGTAGCTTTTTAAAAATATACCTGGCTCGGCCTTTTAAGCCAAAAGTCTCAAGCAGTCTATTGAATCAGTGAGCTTTGGGAAGAGCAGGTAGTATTAGGAGAGCATACAGTAGGCGCTAAATGAAGAGAACTGACGACTACTACCAGAAAATGGGTAAAATGAGATCTAACCTAGAGACTGCCGACACCCAGCTAAATACCACAATGCCCAGGCTAGTGCTTCCGCGGACTGTGGTGAGAGCACTGATTCCCCTCCCTCCTCTGCCTCATAGGCCGTTTCAACAACCCAGAGCGTTAAGTTCAGCGAAATAGCTTGCGGACGGAAATGAGAGCCAATGCTTAAAACGGCGGGCACCAAACGGGTGTCTCTGGAGTTAAAGATATCCCCCATTCCAACGTCCTTTTATTTTTCTCTCCCATTTTACAAGTGTCAACAGAAAGCCTGAACTGGGGTCATGAAATCAAAGAATGTCACCATAGTCAGGTTTTAAAATATCAGAGTTTATCAAGTTCGTGACACACTGAGTGCCCAAGTCCCCCGAAGAGTCCGGAGGTGGGGGGCTCCCGGGTCGCCCCACCTGGATGGAAGAGAGGCTGCCCGGGAGGAGAACAGGGACTGGCTACCTAGGAAGGGGAGGCGGCGACCAGCCCCCGCAGAGGCGGGGTCCGAGTCCCCAGCCAGAGCCCCAACAAGCAGTCGAAGAACGCGGGCAGAGGCTCCGACATGGCCAGGAGAGCACGCCGCCGCCCGTAGGTGCTCGGGCCTCGCCGAGACCGGGAAGAGGTGGCGCCGCCAGCTTTTCCCAGACCCAGGGGTGGCCCGACAGGCCTAACCCCGCTCCCCGCCCTGCTCCCCCGTCCCCTCCTCCGGCGACGCCCGGCCCGCGGTTGGCCGGCCCGCCGCGCGCTCCGGGACGAGGGCGGGAGGCGAGCGCGCTGGCCGCCGCGCACTCACCATTGTCAACGCCGCCGCCGCGTCCCCCCTACTCCACTCCTCTTCCCTCAGGAGAACTCCCAGCCCCGGCTCCCTCCGCTCCGGCGCTCCGTCACGTGACCTCGGGCCGCCCCTCACACGTGACCGCTCCCTTCCTCTCCCCCACCCCCGCACCCGTCCCTCTCCCAGCCTCCTGCCCCGCCCTGCTGGCCGCCAGGCACTCCGGGGAGAGGCCGCTTGGAGGCGGGGCCTCAGGCTCCACCCTTCGGAGGGTGGAGAGGGGCGGGCAAATTACGTCGAGTGGGCGGGGCCTGAACAGAGGCGGGTTCGCGGGCTCCTCCTCGCCGTCTCTTCGGTCACCGGACGAGCGGTTCCGTGTCCGGCCTCTTTACCGCACCCAGTTCCTCTTTGTGAAAGTTTGAGCGGCTGGGAAGGAAGGAGGAGAGGAAGGATTCATCTGGAGGCTCTCTCCTTGGCTGGGTCCTTGGGTTGCCGAGGCGAGTGGGAGCCCTACTTCCTTAGGCCTCGCAAGAAGAGATGTGCTCTCTTCGTCCACGGCGAGGCGTTCTGCCACCTTGCCTGAACGCAGTCCCGCTCCACCTCCTTCTGAGTCTGGGTTTTCTTAACTTGGCTTTCTCGCCTCTGAAGAGAAGACCAGTAGAAAAAAATCCTAGGGTACAACTTTCATTGCTTCCCAAAGTCCCCAGATGGCCCCTGAGCGACCCACCCTGAGCCTGGAGGGCTCACAAACCCACCGTTCCGCCCAGCCGTTCTGAGAGGGCAAAGGCGCTCCCCCGAAAGTCCCACGGCGCAGCTGAAGACTACGCTGGCCTGAACTGGATCCTCCTCCCTAGTGTAAGCCTATAGGACCTCCAGATGAGGAAAATACTGTGTGGGATTTCAGAGTATAGTGTTGAAGGGCCACAGTGCACTCTATGCATAACCAAAGCAGAAGAAAAATCCATCCCTGAACGCACTATAATTACCCCACCTTAAAACAGAAGTTTGTGAGGCGAGTCCATGAAACAGGTATCAAAAAAAATTTTTTTATACTTAATCCTCAGTGTGAGCCTCAAATTTAAGAGGATTGAAATCAGAGTATCATCTCTAACCGCAATAGAATTAAAATTAGAAATCAACCCAAACAAGCCAGAAAATTCCGGAAATATTGGAAATTAAGCAACATAATTCCAAATCTCTAGGTCAAAGAAGAGATCAATGGAAATTTAAAAATAAGTTGAGGCCGGGCACGGAGGCTCACACTTGTAATCCCAACACTTTGGGAGGCCAAGGCAGGTGGATCACCTGAGGTCAGACACGAGTATCTCTTGAATCCGGGAAGCGGAGGTTGCAGTGCCCGAGATGGAGCCACTGCACTCCAGCCTGGGCGACAGAGCAAGACTCTGTCTCAAAAATAAAAAATAATAAAAATAAAATAATTTGAAATAAAAGATAATAATACAACATATCAAATTTGTGGAATGCAGTGACACTGTGTAAAAGGAAAATTTGTAGCTTTAAATGCACATATTTGGGCCAGGCATGGTGGCTCACAGTCTATAATTCCAGCACTTTGAGAGGCCGAGGCGGACGGATCACTTGAGGTCAGAAGTTTGAGACCAGCCTGGCCAACATGGCGAAACCCCGTCTCTACTAAAAATACAAAAATCAGCGGGGCATGGTGGTGCACGTCTGTAATCCTAGCTACTCGGTAGGCTGAGGCAGGAGGATCACTTAAACCTAGGAGGCAGAGATTGCAGTGAGCCAAGATTGCGCCACTGCACTCCAGCCTGGTGACAGAGCGAGACTCCATCTCAAAAAAAATAAATAACTATAGTAACACTGATATTGTTGTCTGTTTGAACTGTGAAAAGAAAGCAGCAAAAACAATGCAAATCTTTAATTAATAAAAGTGAAAAATGGTTTTTTTCACTTAGAAGATTTGCCTGTCACCTTGAGAGCTACTCTGGTTCCTACCCACTCTTTTCTGGGACTTAAATATCAACATAACAAAGAGAATAGATGAAAATGCCACACAGGCAAAGAAATACTAGCGAAGCCAGGTATAAATAAGAGGTGGCAAAGAAAGTCACACTAGAAACCAATTTGTACTAATTATTTATTCTACTGATCAAAACCCAATCAATAATTGTGCTATCATAATAAATACAAGAAGCAACAGAATTGTTGAGCTAGTTATTTGTCTGTCTGCCTACCTATCAATCTATTCAGCAAGCCAGAATGTTAGAGCTAGATTGTGAGCAGTACAGTGTTTCACCAGCTGAGAACTGTGGCATCTCTATATTTGCCCTCTGCCAAAAAAAAAAAAAAAAAAAAGGTGGGGTGTGTGAGGAAAATGTGACTAACTTACAGGGATTGACTTTCATCAACAAAAGTACCGAGTTTAGGTCAGAAAGTATTAGATGATAAGATAATCTGAGCTTTTATCAATCAGAAACCAGTTAAGAGAAAAATAGTCATTTGTTCAAATTCACAAAGACTAAAAATTCACATTAATAACTGTGAGAGTGTCAGGGAGCAGCTGTTTGCAGAGTTCACTGGCAAAGTTAAGGGAAGAGAATAAAATACAAATACACAAAAAGGATAAAGAAAGAAAATACAATTTAGGCCGGGCGCAATGGCTCACACCTGTAATCCCAACACTTTGGGAGGCTGAGGTAGGTGGATCACTTCAGCCCAGGAGTTTGAGACCAGCCTGAGCAACATGGTGAGACCTTGTCTCTTGCAAAAGAACAAAAATTAGCTGGGAGTGGTGGCATGTGCCTATTGGACCAGCTGCTCAGGAGGCTGAGGTGGGAGGATAGCTTGAGCCAGGGAGGCAGAGTTTGCAGTGAGCAGAGATTGCACCACTGCACTCCAGCCTGAGCAACAGAGCGAGACCCTGTCTCAAAAAATAAATAATAAATTAATTTAATTTAAAAATAAAATACAATTTAAAGCATGCCAGTGAAGTATAGAAACACTTTTTTCTTTTAACCTCCCAGAGCACATAGAATAGATTTTGCTTAAAAACTTTAGCGAGTGCAGCTGTAATCATGGTAAATATTCTTTTTTTAAAAAATTACAATTATAAAAGCCAAACATTTTTTCACAATATACAGTTTTTTCTTAAATGTACCAATACTTAATGTTTTATCTCACTATTCCTCTTTTCTTTTTAAAATGAGATATAATGTACATACAGTGACATATGTTAGTCTTAAGTGTGCAGTTTGATCAGTTTTGACAATTGCATACATTTTGATTGTGCATGGTGTCACAGGGCGCCGTGGCTCATGTCTATAATCTCAGCACTTTGTGAAGCCAACACAGGAGGATTGCGTGAGGCCAGGAGTTCAAGGCTGCAATGGTCGTGTCGCTGCACTCCAGCCTGGATGGTGGAGCAAGACCCTAGTCTCTAGAAAAAATTTAAAAATTATCCAGGTGGTGGGGCATGCCTGTAGTCACAGCCGCTCAGGAGGCTGAAGCGGGAGAATTGCTTGAGTCCAGGAGTTCCAGGCTATAGTGAACCACACTGGTGCGACTGCACTCCAGTTTGGGCTACAGAGCCAGGCCCTGACTCTTAAAAAAAAAGCATACATTTGTTTAACCCACACCTTCATCAAGATATAGATGACTGCCATCAACCCCAGAAAACTTTCTCACATCCTCTCACAATCAATCCCATCTCCTAGACGCAACCACTGTTCTGATTTTTTTTTGATATTGATTAGCTTTGTGTGTTCTATAGCAAAATAATAATGGAATCATACCACAAGTGTTCTTTTGTGTCTTGTTTCATTCCCTAAGCAAAATGGTTTTGATACTTATTTATGTTGTTGTATGCATCAGCAGTTTGTTCCATTTCATTGCTTATAGTAGTATTCCATTTTGTGAAGAGACCACAAAATATCCTTTTTCCTGTCAGTGGAC